>NC_000003.12:184955574-186205574 GCF_000001405.40 Homo sapiens | reverse complement strand
CCACACCTAGTTAATTTTTGTATTTTTAGTAGACACAGGGCTTTGCCATGTTTGCCAGGCTGGTATTGAACTCCTAACCTCAGGTGACCCACCCACCTTGGCCTCCCAAAGTGCTGAGATTACAGGCGTGAGCCACCGCGCCTGGCGCCTTCAACTATTTTTCAACAGAAGAAATAAAATATTACAGATAAAGCTGAAGGCCCCAGCCTCTTTATGCTCCAAACTTACCTTTTCACTCACCTTTATGTTCTTGAGATCACTCCATGTTAGTGCTGATAGAGCAGGTTGGTCACTTTTTTTTTTTTTTTTTTTTTTTTGAGAAGGAGTTTTGCTCTTGTCGCCCAGGCTGGAGTGCAATGGCACAATCTCGGCTCACTGCAACCTCTGCCTTCCAGGTTCAAGTGATTCTCCCGCCTCAGTCTCCCAAGTAGCTGCGATTACAGGCACCCACCACCATGTCCAGTTAATTTTTATATTTTTAGTAGAGACGGGGTTTCGCCATGTTGGCCAGGCTGGTCTTGAACTCCTGACCTCAAGTGATCAGCCCACTTTGGCCTCCCAAAGTGCTGGGATTACATGCATGAGCCACTGCACCTGGCCTGGTTCGTCACTTTTAACTGCCCTATGGAGTTCCATGAAAACCCAGCCACTATCCGTGACGAGGAGCAGAAATGGGAACTCTCAGACACTGCTGGTGGGAACATCAGTGGTAAGCCACTTTGGAGAGCGGTTCAGCAATACACGCCAATCCGAAAATGCATTTATAGCCTATATGACCCAGCAAGTTCTTCTCAACATCGATCTAGAGAGTTTCTCGCACATGAGCATAGAGGTGCAATGCAACATTTTTTTATTGCAACAAAATGGAACCAACCCAAATGACTATGTTATTCTAACACTTTAAAAAGACAGTGTGACTAAATGCCACTGACACTTTAAAATGGTTAAATTTTAAAAAATTTAATTTAAAAAAAAGGACGTGCTGGGTACTATGCTGGTGATATTTAATCCATATCACCATATCAGGATATGGGTCTCACCTATGAGAATCCATATTCTAAAACTAACATTTAGCACAAATAATGAGTCAGATTACTGTCCTTTAAGATTGGGCAGATACCTTTAGCTATTCCAATCTAAACCAGCGCCATTATTATTATTATTATTTTGAAGCAGGGCCTCGCTCTGTCACCCAGGATGGAGTGCAGTGGCGCGATCTCAGCTTACTGCAACCTCTGCCTCCCAAGTTCAAGTGACTCTCCTACTTCAGCCTCCCAAGTAGCTGGGATTACAGGCACACACCACAATGCCTGGCTAATGTTTGTATTTGTAGAGATGGGGTTTCACCATGTTGGCCAGGCTGATCTCAAACTCCTGACCTCAATAGATCTACCTGCCTTGGCCTCCCAAAGTGCTGGGATTACAGGCATCAGCCACCACACCTGGCCAGTGCTATTATTTTTAAAAAAGAGACATCAAGGACTTCACAGGTTAAGTACCTTGACTAACTTCACCCAAACCAGTATGTGCAGAAGAGAACTCACGGCTCTTAAGCTCCAGCTGTGGGCATTCTCTACTCTGTCTTAGCATCCACCTGCAGTGCTGCACACTCTTAAACTAGAGGGAAAGAGGTCTTCAAGTCTTGGTCTCTCCTGATATGATCTGAACCTTCTTCTCAGCTACCACAGGTAGAGCCTTTCCCTGGAGTAAGGAAAGTAGGAATTGGCTGACGTACAGCCTGTCCATGCCGCCACAGTGGAAGAAATGGAAACACGCATGGGGAAGGGAAAGTTGAGAAGAGCATTAGAAGGGATTTTGAGTTCGTGGAAAATAAGAGGGCCAACCTGATTACATATCAAACCATGGAGTCAAAAGTAAGGCTAGAATGGTCCTGAGAGAGCTCCTCCTTCTAGTTTATTCCCCTTCCTCAATCCAGTCCAGCAGCTCCCTCATTCCAGCATCACCTTCACTGTGAGACCATCCAAGGCAGCTCCTGCCACTTCTGGTTGCTTCTTCTTGCCCATTCACCGGTTCTCACCACTTGGTTTCTTTCTGCTTCCTCCTAATCGGTTTCTTTCCGCTACTCCTAATATGTGGGCTAACCTCTTTTCCCGATTACAAAGGTAATCCAAATTCATGGCAGAACATTTTAAAATACAGAGGGGCAAAAAAGAAAATAACCCCCAATCCCACCAACCAGGAATCAGCACTGCTACAACATTGGCCTCGTTTCAATCTTAGGGTAATGTTAGCCCTTGTTTCTTTATCATCAGGCCTCCTGAGGACCTCTGTGATTCTTTGGCTTATTAAATCTTTATTCATTTTTAAATGCAGCTCCATCATCCCCATCTCTGTCTCTTTCAGTCGTGCACTGACTACGAGTTTCCTTCACTAATGCTTAGAATCGTTCAGCTTACTAAAGAAAAACTGTTTCTGTCAACTTTCCCTTACAAAATTCCATTGTTTGCTTGCAGTTTCTGGCACATAAAACTTTTTCTTTTTCTTAAATGACCCTCTTTTTTATTTCTTACTAATGTGCACCCTGTAGTTCACTTCAAGCCTCTATTCATTCATATGCTTTTATTTTCCGGTTCTTTTCCATTTCTTTTGTTCTTTGTGAATTACTTTGATTTTCTTTTGTCTTCAGACTCCTGGCTCTATCTACTTTGTGTCTTCCGTGGACTTAGAAGTAACTTTTAAAGATTATGTTTTATGCCTACATTTTCACAAAGTAGTTGTTGAGGGATATGCAGCATGTTTAATAGATGGGGCCCAAGAAAGTCTCAGAAGACCAAAGTTGGGGGTCAAGTGATTCAGCATGTTGGGTCAGAATGCTCTCCCACAATACATTTCTTTCTGGAAGATCCTCTCAGCCAACTTCTGTCCCAGCCCCAGGAAGCATATGTCTTCTACCACCAAGGTCCCTTACTAAAAGAATAACTTTCCCCAAGCAATGTCTACCAAACAAATGCATCTTTTAAGTAATAATAAACTGCGAGGCCCCATCAGTGGGAAATGACCTAGACTTTTTAGAATATTCAGAGGAATTCATGATCTTCATCACCACACATGGGAGATTTGGGAACCTCAGGGAAGAGAAACATTACAATCCTTTTCTTCCTCTACAATCACAGGTTATTAAACAGAGAATATTATATACAAATATGTCTTGTTGGCTATAGTGGATATGTCTTTGTTTTTCTAACTTATCCTGTGAAGTCATAAACTTACTAATCTTAGTCTTCACTAGAAGAGGAATTAAGAAGGTAGAAGAACTGAATCTTTAAAGAAGGTCATAGAATCTACAAGGGGTTGGATAAATACCACTGTGCACACACACGTGTTATATCTCAAGCCCATTAGGCTCAACAAATGAATAACAATAGCAGCAACTTACTGAGTACTTACCACGTGGCAAGCTCTGTCTTATTTCATCTTTATAACAGCTCTGCATGGTTGTGTATTATTCCCATTATTTACCCAAGGAAACTGCATCTCATAAAACAAGTAAGTACTCCCAAGATCAGATGAGTTTCAAGCCTCAATCTGTGATCCCCAGCCCATATGCCCTTCACAATGCCACGGGACCTGCAGTAGGAGATGACCTCTGCATTACCTTCCTGCTTTTAGAAAAGTCATGTGTCCATTTAGTTGATAAAGGGGCTCCCATTCAGGACTTGGCATATCTATCAGGCAGTCAGCTTTCTGAAGCAAGGACTTTATCTTATTCATTCTATACCCCTGGACTTAGCACAATGCCTAAAATGAACTAATTCCTCAATAGTTGTTTGTTGATTATAAAATTGAACCAAGTATAGGGAATTCCACAATTGGTGTGAACATTAGCAATGATCACTTGGCCAGCCTCAAGTCCCGCCTTTTTCTTGGAAGCTACCAGAAAAAGGGGCCCACCTTGCTGCATTTGTAACACAAAGGGGAAGATGGCTGGCACTCATGCCTTCTCCTAACTGCGCAGTGAGTGAGAAGGCCTCCCACGCCCATCTCTAGGAAGCTATTGGTGGTATCTTTGATAGTAGCAGAGGGTCCGGGACAACTGTGAACCAGGACAGGAAATGCCAACATTCTCCCACCTCTTTCCCACCCAACAGAATTAAGACAGTGAGTGGGCAGAGCTCATGTGGCAGTGAGGGTGCCAGGTGGCTGTAGGGTGGAAGTCACCCTGCAGGGCAGAAAGGGTCTCCATTCTGAGCCCTCTCTCATGGCTCAGAAGCCTACCTGCCCATGATCCCTGCTGGCCCCCAGGCCATCAGGCCCTGCTTTGTCTGCAGGAAAGTGTGATCCCTCAAAAAGCCCCATCCACTCCAGGTTGGCCTCAGCTTCCCAGACAGACAGCAAAGCCTATTAATCTGCATCCAGAGCAAGAATCCCTTAACACACTAGTTTAAAAAAAAAAAAAGAAAGAAAGAGAAAAAAACACCTGGGGAGGGTGGAGCAGTGGATAGGAAACAGCTTTGCCTTCTGTCCAACTCTGAAGCAACCCATCACTGTGAACTCTGAGAAACAGCAGTTTTGTTTTGGAAACTGGCACCCAGTGCCGGCTCACTCCTGGAAATGAATTTGGGCACCCCCACCCCCAGCTGCAATATTCTACTTCCAGTCTGCCTGCCAACACCCCCTTCCAGCTGCCCCTCTCAAAGGCACCATTGTGCCCGCCTGGCACAGCAACAGAGGAGGGCTAAAGAGGAAGAAAACATTTTCTGCCCATGGGATGTTCTTAAGCAGGTTGTGTGTACATGGCTTCAATGCCGCATTCCTTGAGCCCACACAAACCCGCCAGAACTCCATCATCCCTGTCACAGATGCAGCCACTTTCCAGTCTAACTGGCCCACCTCAGCTCACTGTCAGAGAACTCGGAGCACACACCAGGGCGGACAAGGCTAGGTGGAAGTGGGGGGTCAGGATGGCACTCTTTCAGCACAGCGCACACTAGCCTGCCAAAACAAAGCTGAATGTAGATGTGGAATTTTGGAACTGGAAGGGGATTTAGTTCCACTTACCACTCCACAAAAGACTCATCCTAGCACATTCTGATAAGTGGGCACCCAGCCTCCTCCTGAATACTCCAAAGATAGGAAGCTCACTACTTTTCAAGAAGCCTGCTGCGTTACTGGACAGCTCTGATCTTCAGAAAGTTCTTCCTGATGTTGAACAAGGATTGTGTGTCCCATTCCTTGTCATCTTCTTCCCTAGACAGCACTTAGAACAATACTTGGAACAAAATCAGTGCACAATAAGTGTTTACGGGGTGCATGACTGAAGTCTTCATCCACTGGGCCCATTTTCACCCTCTAGGGGCACACAGAGCATCCTCCACACTCCTCCACATGGCTGCCTTTCATAGGGCTGGAGATGTATCTTCATGGTGTCTCCTTTTCATCTTCACTGAGCTAAACAGCCTCAGTTCCTTAGAGGACTTGATTTATAGACCCACAAATATCCTGGACCACTCTTCTCTTGATACACTCCATTTTTTTCATGGTCCGCCTTAAAATGAAAAATCAAATTCCTGTTCTATAATACTCTAAATGCGATCTCATAGGTAACAAAGCACAAGAGTAAGAGGCATCGGGAGCATGCACTCTGTAAGTTGGGCTGACTTCTTGATCTCGTCACTTGCATCTCATGCATGAAACCCGCAGGTTCATGAGGACTATCATGAACCTTGACAAATTTGGAAAGACATTCCTTCCTTAGTGTCACCGAGTCAATGTTTCCTCATCTGTAAAAATGGAAATACAAGGCCGGGCGCAGTGGCTCACACCCTGTAATTCCAGCACTGTGGGAGGCTGAGGCAGGCCGATTGTCTGAGGTCAGGTGTTCAAGACCAGCCTGGCCAAAATGGTGAAACCCCATCCCTACTAAGAATACAAAAATTAGCCGGATGTGGTGGTGTGCACCTGTAATCACAGCTACTCAGGAGGCTGAGGCGGGAGAATCTCTTGAACCCAGGAGGCGGAGGTTGCAGTGAGGCGAGATCATGCCACTGCACTCCAGCCTGGGCTACAGAGCAAGACTCTGTCTCAAAAAAATAAATGGGAATACAAATACTGACATTGTAGGGTTGTGAAGATTAGACATAAAATATATAAAGTGCTGGTTCACAATAGTTACTCAATAAATGATATATATTAATAATATATAACATACGTGTGGATTAATATCATTATCTAACTGCCCACAATAGACATCAGCTCCTAAAATGATATAAACCAGCACCTCTGAATGCAGGAGAAGCCACTGTTCTGTAAGAGTTGCTACAGGCCAGGCCAGTTTGTGTATGTGGATAATACTGGACTGTCCTGAAAGCCAGGCGTGGTGGCTCATGCCTGTAATCCCAGCACTTTGGGAGGCTGAGGTGGGCAGATCACGAGGTCAAGAGATCCAGATAATCCTGGCCAACATGGTGAAACCCTGTCTCTACTAAAAAAAATACATAAATTAGCTGGGCTTGGTGGCATGCGCCTGTAGTCCCAGCTACTCGGGAGGCTGAGGCAGGAGAATCCCTTGAACCCAGGAGGCAGAGGTTGTAGTGAGCCAAGATCGCACCATTGCACTCCAGCCTGGGTAACAAGAGCAAAACTCCGTCTTAAAAAAAAAAATACTGGACTGTCTTTCCAATAATGTTGTCGCCACTCAATACATCACCTTTTCTTCCTTTCTGAGCCACATCAGGTTATTGACACTAGAAACATTCTCTCTAGTTTTTCTCTGCGGAAAACAGATATTGTTGTTTGCCCTGTTTTTCTTTGACTCCCAGTACTTTCTCTATTATGGCCATAGGCCCTGCAGACATGCAGGTAACTACTTCCTTTTCTTCCCCGTTGCCTCCAGCCAGCAGTGTGCTAGAGCAAGCTTGCTTGCTGGTGTATCTCTTCCCAACTTGCCTTTTGGTGATGTCATCATGGTCACTTGAAATTGGCCATAGTAGGAATATTGACACCACCATGGAACACAATAACAAAGGCTTTTTTTCCTCCAAGGGAGTCTGCTGTTAAGCACTGACAGCACACCACTGCCTCTAGTATTGACCCACTGGAAGTACCTTGAGGACAGGGACTGTGTCCCATTTCTGCTCCATCCCTAGAGTCTAGCACAGAATAAGTAGGTTCTCATCATTCTTGATAGATCAGTGAGTACTCCTGTCTTCTGCCTCTTAATGTCTCTCTCATATAAAACATGCCCCATGTGCCCTACTCTTGTTACCTATTCAGGTGTTCAGGTATGGATTTCCTTCAGCTGTGATCAGAGGACCACTTGATGGAGACTTGGATTAACCTTCCATGTCTCTCCCTATCCTGGAAATTTGGTCCACTTTATTTGTTCACTATATTCATCCAGAGAGGTTGGGGGAACTCATACGGAAGCAAAGAAACCTTATCACGTTTCTTCAAAGAACACCTGGGTTTCCATTTTAGGATTTTTGCACACATTATTTCTTTCAACTCACAAATAGTTATATTGGACACCTGATATGGGTAAGACATGCCAGGAACTGTGAAGAACACAGAGCTGTCAGATATGGTCCCCGCCTTCTATGAGTTTAAAGTCTCCTAGGGGACAGACAACTATGCAAAATGCATGGCAGAATATACATTCCCTTTAAGAGGAGAAAACAAGGCAGTGAAAATTCAGAGAAGGGGAAGATTCATTTCTAGCAAGAGCATTGAGGAAAGCCTCATAGAGGAGAAAGCTTTTGAGCTGGAAGGGTATGTTAACGGGCATAAAAGAGTTGATGGGCAGTTTAGGCAGCGTGTACAGCAGAAAACAATGTAAGTAGTCCGCAACTCTGTGGCCTCTATGCAGAATTCAGGCTACTATAACTGACATTTACTAAGGCTCAGCTAACCCTCTCCCTCAGCTACTCTCCTATGTCCAAACCAAATGAGACCCTACGGCATCCAGCCTTCACCGTAGTCTGACTTACATTCCAACCTGCCAAGCTAATTCACAGAGAGAGGCTGCTCCCCGCCCACGGTATCAGAAATGCTCTCGCTGTAAATGAGCACCACTGCCTCGTTCTTACCTAAGTCCCACAGGCCCCGGGGGCTGCACAGGGTGGCTTATTGGTGCTTTCTCTTTCCCTATTTCCTGCCAGTGTCCTGTTCCCTCAAAAAAGAGGCAGTGTGCGGGGTGGTGGGGGATTTCACTCAGGTCTAGGTCAGCCACCCCTCTGCCTTTTAGGGTCTATCTGCGGCTCTGATCTGGAGCCCAGGCATCAAAGGAGGCCACCGTCATCTCCTGCCCATGCCCCTCTCAGCCCATCAGAACCCCTATTCAAGTGTGTCAGGATATTGTCCGCCTCTTCCTCAGCCCTCTCTCTTCCTTCTCACTGTAACTGAAGTGCTATTTTCCCCAGACATGGCCCAGCATTTACTACTTCCATCTTCAAAAGAGCTACCCCCCGGCCAACTCTCTCACTCGCTGAGAAAGGAAGGACCCTGGTATCGTCCCCAGATCAATGTCCCAGCACTCTGTTCAGCATCTTCTCTTTCCCTCTATCTACTTCCCATCCTAGGCATCCCAACTTCCTCTTCTCATCCATTCATCCAACAAGATGTATTGAGTATCTTCTCTGCCTCAAACATCCACAAAAAAACCTTTTCCTCAATCACATTATCCTTTTAGATCCCATCTTCCCTCTCCAGCCTGTGTGCCACCAAACCACACGGTGACTCTGACTCTGTTCCCTCACTACCACCACCCGACTCACCCCAGAGTCCCTGGTTAAGCCCTATCTCTCCCAGGAGAGAGCTGTGTCATCTAGGAAGGTCAACTTACCAACTTTAGACCTCACTGTTCTCATTTTGGTAATTAGGAATGATCTCTAATGTCCCATGTTGCTTTCCCATTCTAAGATTCTGTGCTTCAGCCCTTATCCAATAGCCAAAATTCCTCTTTATAAAGTTACTCATGGCTTCTTGGTTGTCGGTCCAAACAATCACAGGTCTAATTCTGGATCAGCTCACTCTAATTAGCTAAGTAACATTGGGCCATTCCCTTAACATCTTTAGCCTCAGTTTTCTCTTCTATAAAATGAGATATTTGGACTGGTTCACCTTTCAAGCCCTTCAGGTCTTTGATTCCATGAGATTACAGATGCAGAGAAGAGAAAAAGGCTGGGCGCAGTGGCTCATGCCTGTAATCCCAGAACTTTGGGAGGCCAAGGCAGGTGGAACACCTGCAGTCAGGAGTTCGAGACCAGCCTGACCAACATGGTGAAACCCTGTCTGTACTAAAAATACAAAAAATTAGCTGGGCGTGGTGGTGGGCACCTGTAGTCCCAGCTACTTGGGAGGCTGAGGCAGGAGAATCACTTGAACCTGGGAGGTGGAGGTTGCAGTGAGCCAAGATCACGCCACTGCACTCTAGCCTGGGCAACAGAGTGAGACTCAGTCTTAAAAAAAAAAAAAAAAAAGAAAGAAAAAGAGAGAGAGATCCTTTTAAGAGACTATACGAGAAATAATTTATGGAGAAAATAGCATCTGTAGAGATTTAGAAGAAAGGTACAGGGAAGGTGCTAGGGTATCCTACCATTAGGGGACTATATTAATGGGTCAAGACAAGAACTGTATAATAGAAGGTATAGGCTGATAACACCTGAATCCACTGATCAGTCTAAAAATCACAAAAAAGAGACAACCAAATTATGTGCTTCCTAATGAGATGCAATAGGAAATATACAGCCCCACTAATAAAGTAATCTTGCCAAAAAGCCAACCCTAAATCTAGTCAAGCCTGTAGATCTAAAAATACCAATTTAGTGAAAATACAAGGGATAGACTATGTTTAAAAGACACCCCAGAGATGCAGTTGGCAAAATCCAGAATCTGCGCAACACTACAGCCTTACTACTCAAAGTGTGGTCCACGGACCTGCAACATCAGCATCACCAAGAAGGGGGTCAGAAATGCAGTCTCGGGCCGCACCCAGACCTCTTGAATCAGAATCTGCATTTTAATAAGACCCTGGAGTGATCTGCATGCACATTCAAGTTTGAGAAGCACTGCTCTAAGGACAAATGACCCATTTCTTCAATAAATAAAAGACAAGGAGAAAAAAGAACAGGAGTCTATAGATCAAAAGAGACCTAACAGATATATATCAACAAATGCAATGTAAAGACTTTTCAGGCAAGCTAACAATTTAAAAAAATGATACTATCAAGGAAATTTGAACAACTACTGGATACTTATTAAAGAATTTTTTAAAGAGTAACAATAGTATTAAGGTAATTCTTTTTTTTGTTTGTTTTTTTGTTTTGTTTTTTTTTGTTTTGCTATAAACTAGTTCAGTCTGGTGGTGATAAAGTGAACTGGGGTAGAGTTAAAACAAGATTAGCTGCCTGTTGCTAGAGGTGCTAATTACCCAGACTGGGTTTTGGGGTACACGGGGGTTTATTATACTCTCTGCTTTCCCTATATGTTTGAAAATACCCATAATTTTTTTTTTATACAGAGTCTCGCTCTATCGCCCAGGCTGGAGTCCAGTGGCGCGATCTCAGCTCACTGCAACCTCCGCCTCCCGGGTTCAAGCGATTCTCCTGCCTCAGCCTCCAGAGTAGCTGAGATTACAGGCGTCCCCCACCACGCCCGGCTAATTTTTTGTATTTTTAGTAGAGACAGGGTTTCGCCATGTTGGCCAGGCTGGTTTCGAACTCCTGACCTCAGGTAATCCAACTGCCTCGGCCTCCCAAAATGCTGCGATTACAGGCATGAGCCACCTTGCCCGGCTTTTTTTTTTTTTTTTTTTAAAGAAAGACCAAGAAAGAGTCGTGGAAGATGGGAGGGACAATAACTCAGTGACAGGGTACCCAAGAAAGAGAAAATTCCCAGCAGAAAGGGGACACATGCCTCCCGGAGCTACCGAGTCCTGGCTTCCACCTCCGATCTGGCCTGGTGGAGGTCATTCCTGAGAGCAGACAAAGCCGAGTGGCAGGCCTATAAACAGAACCGTCTGCGTCCAAACCAAATCTGTGGCACGGTGAATCGAGGTTAGAAGAAGGGGGAATTTCCTAGTTGCTAAAAACTGAAACAGGTCATCAAATAAATTGTGGAATCTCCTTCCCTAAGGCCCTTCAGAAATAGGATCGACAGGGCTGGAGTGGAGGGGCCCCCGCCCGCCGCCCTTTTGAGGTCACGGCGCAGGAGAGAAGGAGGGCGCGGAAACGCCGGCACCGGCTGGGAAGCTTCGGTGCT
Organism: Homo sapiens; assembly: GCF_000001405.40. NCBI lineage: Eukaryota > Metazoa > Chordata > Mammalia > Primates > Hominidae > Homo > Homo sapiens. The sequence continues at coordinate 186,194,357 of NC_000003.12, read as the reverse complement.
CCGGGTCCCTCTTGGCGAGGGCGGAGAAGTCGGCGGCCTCTGCCTAGAATTCTGTGATTGTAGGGATCGAGACATCAAGGGCGGGGGTGCAGAGGATTACAAGTTCCCTAGCGCGTCTCATTTGCACATAAATGTGCTTTGCCTCCTAACCTTGTCTCTGTTACCTGTGCACCTGCCTTCCACCAAACCAACCAACCACCCGTGGCTCAGGAAGAAACCAGAACTGGGGGGATTGTCTTCCCAAGGGGGACACAGTTGAACGTGGCCGGCAGCCTCTGGCCTCCCGGGCCTGGGTTCAGACGGACTCCGGCGCTGCTTCCAAGACCGACATCGGGCACCTGGCCGCCGGCGCACCCAGGAGCACGATTTCATGCGTGTGCACGCTCTCTGCTCGGGCCAGGAGCTCTGTTTCAGCCCCACTCCGGGCTATAAATCCCTGGTTCCGCCCAGCGCAGCCTCGGCTCGGAGGGCAGCCTGCTAGCCAGGTCCTGGGTTAGGGATGGCCCACGGTGCGCGCGGGGACCGCCACACTCCTTAGCGCCACGCTGGGGCCGCGCGGGCCGGAGCAGGGGGAGGGGGCCCGATGACGTCATGGAACAGTTGGAGGATTTAGCTCGGGAACCCGCCGGGGAGCGGGCCCCGGGGCCGGCGTTCCATTTAGGCCGACAGCGTCCCGGGCTCGGCTCCACTTTCCCAGACGGCACGGCTGCCTTCCACGTCCAGAGCGGGCCTGGGGTTCTGAAGGAAATCAGTGCACGATCGCGAGGCCAGGAACTCTGGAGAATGGGCACGCAGGCGTGCGCTTGCCAAGGCTCTTACCAGCCTGGGTCGGGCCAAGAGGCCGTTAAGATGCCTCCAGCAAAGCCTCAGGTAGGGGGAGTGAATTCAGGAAGATAAATGCCTCATGGCACAGAGGTTGGGGAACCTGTGATGATAACGCAGACAGTTACACAGTGCTACTGCATTCCAGACACCCATCAACCCACCCCTTAAGGCAGATGTTATTCCCCTATCCTCCATTTTACAGATGACAAATTAAACCTCAGAGGGGTAAGGAAACAACCTGGAATCACACCGCTGGCAAGTGACAGAGCCAAGATTTAAACCCATGTCTCTCTGCCTTCAAGCCCAGGCAGGCACGTTCTTTCCAAGACACTACATTGGCTCTCACTTTCCAAGTAGGTGCATTCCAAGAGGGAGGGAGGACATCAGCGTCCAGCAGACCCCAGGCTTCTCCCATCTCCTCTACTTGCCCTATCTACATGGGACCCACTGCGGTAATAGGGGAAGGGGACAACCTAGAAAGCAGAGTGAGGATTGCCTGCTCTTCCAGGAAGAGGTAAACGTTTACCAAGTTAATAGCAAACACACTTAGCTGGCTATGGATAGAGATGGAGGGGACAGGGTACAGTTAAAACTGTAGTACGGAAGAAAGGTGACTTTGTGGAATACTATTTGTCAAGGACTGTGCTGGTGATGTACTTTTTTAAAAAACAAACCTGGTGCGGAGGCAAGATATAATAATATTAATATCCAACATTGATGTGCCAGGCATTGCTCTAAGCACTCTATAAGATAGAGCAGTAGTGGGAGATCTCAATTATTCAAACAGCTGGAAGTTTAATTTTGCTATAAGCCTAGCATCAGCAAAAATCCCGATTTGCCTCACTGACTCATCTCCAGCGTAGGATCTGGCATCTGCCTTCCTAGGTTTGCATCCTGGCTCTGCCATCTTGTAGAGTAGGAAGCTGTGGAGCCTTGAGCAAGCATCTTAACCCCTAAGAGGCCCTGTCAGTTGGGGGTAGCAATGCTGCCTCCCTCATCATGTTCATGTGAAGATCGCAAGAGATACTATGGGTGAATCCCAGCACAGTGCCCTAGAAAGCTCTCACCAAGCATGAGTTGCTAATATTATTCTTATTACTGCTCAGAAGGGAAAGGGATGTTTTGACCAACAGTGAATAAATTGAGATGATGTAGAAGCAACTACAGCCAAGATGGGGAAGTGGCTGCTTCATCTAGAGGGTGATAAGGATAAAAGAAAATGTGGGCCAGGCCCGGTGGCTCACCCCTGTGATCCCAGCACTTCCGGAGGTCAAGGCAGGTGGATCACCTGAGGTCAGTTCAAGACCCGGCTGGCCAACATGGTAAAACCCCATCTCAACTAAAAATAGAAAAAAAATTAGCTGGGCGTGGTGACAGGCACCTGTAATCCCAGCTACTTCAGGAGTCCAAGGCAGGAGAATGACTTGAACCCGGGAGGCAGAGGTTGCAGTGAGCCAAGATCACACTACCGCACTCCAGCCTGGGCGACAAGAGCGAAACTCTGTCTCAAAAAATAAATAAAGGAAGAAAAAAGAAAGTGTGATCCAATGGGACTCTAGCCTAAATCTCTAATTAGGAATATGTGTATGAAGGATAGGAGGGTAGAAGACATTCCAAAATAAGTTTCTAAGAAGTCATGAATCACACTGAAAAGAAAAGAAAAAGGAGTCAGTTTTTGTTTTTCAATCAATGTGACAGCAACAGAGAGTGTTGGTTGAGCCTATGCTTTCAGGAAACTGTACACATACACGCAAAGGCAGAGCCTGGGCATGCAACCAGGTAGGAATACACAAAAGCAATTCAGACCTGTGAGCCTGGCTTCAGGCTAACTGAAGGCCCAGCTGAATGCTAGACAACGTTTGAAGTGAAAAAGAACATAGAAAGCATAGCTCAACAGGACTGTGCCATTCTGGAAGAGTTTTCATCTTTTCCAAAGAGAGTGGCCTTAAACTAAAAATGGAAGAAAAGATGCCAAAGGTGGATACTAGAACCCAAGGTAAATCAATGGAGAACTAACTGGCTTTGAAACACACACACACATTTGAATCCAAGTTGCTGGACAAGCCTGTAGGTGTCATTCAGGGGCCACTTTGACAAATCCAGAAAACAGAGTAGGTTCTAGCCAATAAGAGGCAGACAAATATGGCTCCAGTGTTCAAAAAATAAGAATAGGGTACATTTTGGAAACCACAGACTGATACACTTTATTCTGATCCCTGGCAAGATTCTAGAATAGATTATTAACAAAGTATTTAGGCTTTGCACACAGATATTGGTGACTTAGTTGAGTTATCTTATTGCTTTTCTAATAGAGGTTGTAGGGTGGTCACTTAGGAAATGCTGTTTGATCTCGGCACAATGTTTTATGTTTTCATGGAAAGAACGCAGGATTGAGGTCTGGAGACCTGGATACATATCTAGCTCCACCACTAATAAGTCAGATGACCACAGAGAAGTTTCTTAACCTCACTGGGGCTCATTTATGAAAGATGAGGCATGAAAGATGAGAGGCATCTTCCCTTATGTGCCTCTCATCTCTAAATTCCATCATCTGTCTAATAACAAAAAGTAGGCTGGGTGACAGTCCAGTCCAGAAGATGCAGCTCCGATAGAGCAGCCATACCCCAAAGGATGTTAACGCATAATGTTTGGTGTTAAACTGACCAAGGAGAGTGCTCGGTCACTGTTTTTTCCTTTTATGCGCACATATTAATGACTTAATCCCCAAATGATGGGAACGCGATGACAAAAGGTCACAGAATGAAGATTGGAAGTAAGCTGGGTAGACTAGAGGAAACACGGGCTGAGAGCCAGATGAAATTAATTAACATAAATGTAAAGTTTTATGTCTATGTTATTTTTTAAAATCTACACAGGTTCAGAATGGCGAAGAACTGGATGAAAAATAGATCATGAGATGATCTGGGCAATGAAGATGACCACCCATTTAAGCTGAAGTGATGTTGTCATCTAGCCACTAACAAAATGGCCAGTGCAATCTTTATCAATTGGATAATAAGGATAAGGATAATGATAATGGATAACGTGCTGAACTCTTACATGAGCTTTGCACGTCATCTCATTTCTGGGGCATGATAGTATCATAAAATTTCAGCCACAAGAAGTACTGGTGTGGTAGCCACCTGCCCCCATTAGATCCCGTCGTTGATGTAGTTTTCAATGTTGGGGGTCTTGCCAAATAGCAGGGTAACAAACTAGAGTGTGTGCAAAACAGGGAAGCCGGGATGGGAAAAGATCTGAAAACCAAGTCTCATGGGAGAAGATGAAGAGAGTTGACAGTCCAGAGGTGGCACAACCTGGTAGTAGTGTGAGAGGGAGGAGAAATAAAAAACTTGGGCTCTGACTACCTGCCCTTAAATCTGTGTACTTCCACTTGTAAGTTGTGAACTTTGGGCAAGTTACTTAACCTCCTCTGTGCCTCAGTTTCCCCAGTGTAAAAAGAGGATAGTCATAGTAACTAACTTATAGGATTATTAGGAAGATAATAAATGAGATGTGTATAAAATTGTGTGTGGTAGATGGCAGTGCTGAATACATGTGCACAATGGTGATCTTCATCATCATCATCATCTATCTAGGGGGTGGCCTATGGAGGAGGAAGGAGGGTCATTCTGTATGGGTTCAGAAGGGAGAACAGGACCAACTGGTGGAAACAAGAGTGAGAGAGAATCCAGATCAACATAAAGAGACCTCTCAAATTATCAGAACTTCCCAGTGAAAAAATGAGTTCGCAGTTACCAGAGTTGCTCACTGTATGCCATCTTGTAGTTGGGGAAACAAGATAACATAATGTAAGAACTGCAAAGAAATCAGGAGGTGAGTCACTATGAATGGCAACAAGTCTTCTAGTCCTGCTCTGTTGATAAGTCTCTGGAAGTTTGGGTTTGTACGTAACCTCAGAGATAGTGGGTTTTTATTGTATGCCTTTGATTTTTTCTTTCTCCCAATAAACAACATAAAGACCATGTACTTTGTACTCAAATCCCCCAACTTTGAATCCCTGCTCTGTTATTTATTAGCTGTGCAAGCTTGGATAACTTAGCTCAAGTCTCTGGGTCCAGTGTTTGCTTCTGTAAGTGAAATAAACTACCTACTATCCTGAGGAACAAGGATCAGAGCTGATATTTCTTGCTGTGTTGGTAAGCACGATGCCAAAGTGGGCTGACTTTATAGACATGTGAGATGAAAATTCAAGCCTTCTGGCTTTTTGTACCTGGTGGGGACTGCAAGTTGTGGAGATTGGATAAAGAAACTCTGCTCCTTCAGCAAACACATATGCCAAAATTGCATTTATGATACAGATACAGGAGACAGGCAGATTCTGAAAGCCTTCCAAAGCTTAAAGTCTTGTGCTTCTCACAGAGAGATAAAATAGGAGGGGGCAAAATGAAAATTTTCTGGCCAGGCGTGGTGGCTCACTCCTGTAATCCCAGCACTTTGGGAGGCTGAGGCGGGCGGATCAACAGGTCAGGAGATCGAGACCATCCTGGCCAACGTAGTGAAACCCCGTCTCTACTAAAAATACAAAAACTAGCCAGGCATGGTGGCAGGTGCCTGTAATCCCAGCTACTCGGGAGGCTGAGGCAGGAGAATCGCTTGAAACCGGAAAGTGGAGGTTGCAGTGAGCCGAGATTGTGCCACTGCACTCCAGCCTGGGTGACAGAGCAAGACTCCATCTCAAAAAAATATATATATATATGAAAATTTTCTGTCATTTGTTATGTTCTGAATTTTCTGTCATTTGTTAGGTTCTGAATTCAGTTCCACTAAATCTTCTAATGGTTAGGAAGGGGCAAGATTGATGATAATGAGATTAGACTGGAGAACAGTTTGACAATTGACTTAAGAACCAGCCCTAAAGCACTTCTAGACCTAAAGATGACCCTGGAGCCTGTACTGTATTCCCCGGAGCTGACCAGGACTGGATCTGTCATCTCACCACAGCAGTCAAAGCATTAAGTCTGAGCGACTTTGCCCATGATTTCTCTTCTGACAGTGGCAGGGTGGTGGCTGAGGACCTGTCACATCCTTTAAGAGAGTACACACACACACACGCACGCACACACACAGAGCACCTTGGGTTGTGACACACTGAGGACACTAACAGATGGCCTTTTCTCTCCGTCCTCCAGTGTGATGGGGTTGGGGTGGACCTGAGCAACATCTTCCTGGAAGGCATTGCCATTCTCAACATTCCCAGCATGTACGGAGGCACCAATCTCTGGGGAGAAAACAAGAAGAACCGGGCTGTGATCCGGGAAAGCAGGAAGGGTGTCACTGACCCCAAAGAACTGAAATTCTGCGTTCAAGGTAAGCCAGGAATGAGGATAATTGTTTTAGGTCAATGCCCAGTAGTAGGTGCCCTCAGGTGGATGTCAGCAGGCCTCGTAAGGCCCCACAGCCCAGCAAGGACTCCATGCTCTGCGGATATGCTGACTCGTCATCCGATGTTGCAAAGTTTACAACTTAATCCAGAAGACAAAAATTCACAATAAGGGTGTCCTCAATGACAGTCAGTTGTCAAGCTGTGGGGCTCCATGAGGTTCAGAGTCAAATGCTGCCAATGTCAAGGTTACCAGGGTTCTCCAATAGCTAAATCCAATAGTCAGTTCCTAACCCTCATCTTGCCACAGCTGTCAGTGGCATGTGACCCAGCTGATCACTCCCTCTTCCTGGAAACGCTTGGTCCACTTGGCTTCTAGGACTTGATTTGCTCATGGTTTTCCTCCCCGCTCACTTGTCACTCCTTCTCGGTCTCATTTCTCTCTGACCTCTTGATGCTGGAGGATCCCCAGGCAGGGTCCTTGACCCTCTTCTCTTCACTGTCTGTACTTAAGCCCTTGATCACCCCATCCAGTCATAAGACTTTATTTAAATACCATGTGCTTACTCATGATGCCTCCAGCCTGTCTCCAGCTTTCCCTGAGCTCCAGGCTCCTATGTCCAGCAGCCTGTGTCATACTTCCCTTATGTGTTTAGCAGACACCTCAAACTTGGTATGTCCAATGCAGAGCTCTGCTGTCCCTCCCCCAAACCTTCTCCACTCACAGCCTTATTTCTCTCCATTGGTAACTCCAGCCTTCCCATCACAAGAGCCAAAACGCTTGGCATCATCCTTGACTCCCCTTTTTATCTCACGGCTCACAGCCAGTCCATCAGAAAATCTGTTAGCTACTTTTAAAAAACATCCAGGATTCAACCACGTCTCACCACCTGCATTCCTGCCATCTTGATCTGAGCCACCATCCTCTGTCCCCTGGATTACTGCAAAGCTTCCTCACTGGGTTCCTTGCTTCTATCTCACTGCCCTAGGTAGCCTGTTCTCACCACCACATCAGAGCAGTCAGGTTATGACACTCCTCTTCTCAAAATCCTGCAGTGGCTTGGAGAAAAAGCCAAAGATCACGTGGCCTAGAGGGCCCCGTATGTTTTGGCCTCTCATTACCTCCCAGACCTCCTCTTCTGCCACTCTCTCCATCGCTCACTCTGCCTCCTCCACTCTGGTTCCTCCAACACAGCAGGCTGCTCCCATGAACCAACTATTCTTTCTGTCTGGAACAACTGGGTAGTATGCTTTAGAGGCCACCAGCTGGGCCTTCCACTTTTAACTCACCAGAATACAAACACAGCTTTCTGAGAATGTCCTTAAAACCACCTCTACCCCAGCCCCAAAAGTAGCCATTTTCCACCAGTGATCCAAATGGAGAGATTCAATCAAAGCTCCTGGCAGCTGATTCCCCTGTGGGCTCACGGGTCCTCACAGGTCCTCAATGGACAGGTGAGCTGGAGGAGAAAGCCAGGTGTAAAAGCGCTGGCAGAAACACCATACCAGCAGGCAGGAGACAAAATTCTAGTCCAAGACCTGCTACTAACCTATTTTTGGCACCCCAGTTTTCTTTACTGTAAAAACAATATCTTGTATCAAAGTTTTGATAGGTGGATGGATGGGGTTGAACCAGAACCTTGGTTCTTAAACCAGCTGCTTGTTGAAAATGAAGATTTGTGGACCCCAGCCTAGATCTACCTAATCAATCTCTGTGCTGGTTCCTGGGAATCTCAATTTTAATGAGCTCCCCAGATGACTCTGATGGGCTGCCAGGTTTGAACACCATTGCTACAGGCAAATGCCCTCAGTCTCTCCCATGCCTGGCATTCCATGGCTCTGCGTCTGTGTGCTTTGATGTTCCAGGCTGTTAGTGCTAAGGTGGGATGTGATCCCACCACTAGAAGAAAACAAAACTCCGCTGACATCAAGGCGGGGGTTGGGGAAGTTATTCTCTTGTTTCACACCCGTCTATTTGACAATCAGATTGTTATATTCCAGGCCAGGTCATCAGGAAACATCATCTCCACACCTCTGTCCTTTAAGAGAGGATTCAGGAATTGTTGACCTCTTTTTTTTTTTTTTTTTTTTTGAGGCAGAGTCTCACTCTGTCACCCAGGCTAGAGTGCAGTGGCACATGTTGGCTCACTGCAACCTCCTCCTCCCAGGTTCAAGTGATTCTCATGCCTCAGCCTCCCGAGTAGCTGGGATTACAGGCGTGCACCATCACGCCCGGCTACTTTTTTCTATTTTTAATAGAGATGGGGTTTCTCCATGTTGACCAGGCTGGTCTCAAACTCCTGCCCTCAGGTGATCCACCCGCCTCAGCCTCCCAAAGTGCTGGGATTACAGGTGTGAAGAACCATGCCCGGCCTCTGTTGACCCCTTAAGTCCCCTTTATTTCACACAGTAAACTTTTCAGTGTATAAAGCTGAATAATGTGTTCCTCCTTCCTCCCTTGGCAGGGGAAGTTGTGGGTGCTAACAGAGGGTAGGGGAAGCATTGAAGGTTGTATCAAGTTCCTGCAAATTTTCCTACCCTGGTGCTCCTATCTCAACCCCCGCTCTGGTATCTAGCTCCCTCAGAGCAGAGAAGGGAATGAGCAGAGCTGAATCCCCACCACCACCCTCCCTGCTCCCCACTTCGACTCTCCACCACCCTAGGGCTGGGGGAAGCTCTTGATGAGATCATGTGCTGATCAAGGACAACCTTCATCTTCCTCTTACATGTCTGACCTTACATCTTCCCCTTCTTCAAGCAAGACCAAAGTGTCTGCTGATTGCTTTTGACTATCATGTACAGGAACTCTCTTCCCCAAATCCCCCTTTCTCACCCCTACAATGTGCTTTCAGAGCTAGAAGTGAAACCACTTCCTGTTCTTTAGATGAGGACATCAGCTGATCAGAGTGGGGCACTGACTTCTGGGCTTTGCAGAGATGCCAGCACTGAGCTTTCTTCTTGAAAGGGCTATGATCTCATGTAAGTTGAGTTGTTAATGGGAAAAGCTAAAGAGGCAACGTATTTTAGTGAAAAAGCATTCGCCTGGGAGTCAGAAGACTGGAGTTCCAGTCCAGACTCTGCCTGTCGCTAGTGTGTGACTTGAGGCAAGTCCTTTCCCCTTCTTGGGTCTCAGTTTTCTGTATCTGTAAAATAAGCAAGTCTGACAATTATATTTTAAGATTCCTTACAGTTCCGCAAAATTAAGGCATAGTCAGATTTTGGTCTATGTGGACTCTTTCTTGGACAGAATTATATTCAAATTTCTACCTTCTCTCAGTGTATTTTGTCCCGGGATTTATAGGCTACTGGCTGAGGAGGCAGAGAGCTCTCTCTGCAGCCTCTTCATGTGTTGCGATTCTTAACTCCTTGGCAGTTTCATTGGAGTTGGAGGAGAGGGAGAAATCAGGACACAGTAGGAGGGAATGAGCTTATCATAGGAAATGGAAGAGGAAATGATGATGGGAGGGGTTGCTCTCAAATCTCTCATCAGGCCGGGCGCAGTGGCTCACACCTGTAATCCCAGCACTTTGGGAGGCCGAGGCAGGCGAATCACTTGAGGTCAGGAGTTTGAGACCAGCCTGGCCAAAATGATGAAACCCCATCTCTACTAAAAATACAAAAATTAGCCAGGCATGGTAGCACATGCCTGTAATCCCAGCTACAAGGGAGGCTGAGGCAGGAGAATTGCTTGAACCCAAGGGGCGGAGGTTGCAGTGAGCTGAGATCACACCACTGCACTCCATCAAAGATTAGTCTTTCTCCTGGGAAAAACAATCCGAGTAAGAAGGTCATTCAAGATTAGCATGGAATGGGTTCTATAGAAACATTGGCTGATAAGAAAGCAATAAGGGGTATTGGGAAAAGCCCCATGCTTACAGTTAGATAATCTGGGTTTAAATTTTGCCTTTATGCTTCTAGTTTTATAGATCTTGGGAAATTACCCAACCACCCTAAGTCTCAGCTTCCTCATCTGTAAAACTGGCATAATAATACATGGCTTATTAGGAAGATGATGGATGTGAAAGTGCCTGGAACATAGTATAATAAGCTCAAACCTAAAAAAAAAAAAAGTCCCTACGCCTATAATTCTATTTTGTGTTGGAGAATGCCAGTTGATTCACATTTGAAGTTCTTGTCCTAAGCATTACTATCCACCTGCACTACCACTAAGAAAGAGCAGAGCTCAGCCGGGCATGGTGGCTCACGCCTGTAATCCCAGCACTTTGGGAAGCCGAGGCAGGTGGATCACCTGAAGTTGGGAGTTCGAGACCAGCCTGACCAACATGGAGAAACCCCATCTCTACTAAAAATACAAAATTAGCCGGGTGTGGTGGCGCATGCCAGTAATCCCAGCTACTCAGGAGGCTGAGGCAGGACAATCGCTTGAACCTGGAAGGCGGAGGTTGCAGTGAGCTGAGATTGCACCACTGCACTCCAGCCTGGGCAACAAGAGCGAAACTTCATCTCAAGAAAAAAAAAAAGAAAGAAAGAAAGAAAAAAAAAGAAAGACTAGAGCTCCTGCCAAACTCTAGCCCAGCCTTTGTCGTAGCACATTAAACTTATATTACCAATTGTACCTACTATCTCCTTTCCTAGACCTTTCAGATTCCAAGGATGGAGGCTGGTTGTTATTAATCTTTGTATCCCCAGTGCCTGGCCTCAAGTAGTTACCCCGCCCCCCCCCAAGAAAGGTTCTTAGCTACATGAGAAGCATATGGAATTTGCTATTTTTTAGTTTTTGTAACAACAATAAGAATAGTGAGAAACAGTCTCTTGTATTTCTATTTCATTTTGGCTTGCAAATAATTTTGCATGTATTAACTTAGTGTAATCCTAACCCGAAACCCATGAGCAAGGTTATACCCAGCCTCCTCCATATCCCTATTTCATAGTTGAGGAAAATCAAGGCCCAGAGAAAGGGTAGGATTTATATAATTTACGTCCAGTGGTGGCATCAGAACCAAGATTCAAGCCCATGACTCCTAGCCTAGCCCAAGTGGCTAGTGTTTAGAAAATGCGTTAGGGAGTCTACTGTGTGTCTTGCATCAGCCACGCACTCAGGAAATAGGAAGTATTTAGACCCAGTCCGAGGAAAGGCTCCACAACTCCTTGTTGAAATTCTGCTCCCTCTGCAAGGCCTACCTAATGGCTGCTGGAAGCGAGCCCAGCCTGTGAATTCCCTGAGCACTTAATTTTGCCTTCTATCTCATCAGTACACTGATCAGAAGTCTGCCTGTGTCACGGGCATGTGTGTTCTCATCATATGTTTTCCCTGCCATTACCTGGAAAATGAGGATCACATGTTCTTTATCTTTGTGTCCCCTTCAAAGCCTCCCACCCTGCCTGGCTCACATGTGTTCTACAGAAACGTTTGTTGGAAGAGGGGAGAGAGGGGAAAGAATCTTGCCTCCAGTTTGCCAGTGGGCAGTAGATTCTGGAGTAGGACAGGAACAGGTACTTAGTGAAAAATCTTTAGAAAAAAAAAAATCTTAGAGTTACATGTGAGTATTTGTGAGGCTGAGAATTTAATTTCATGGAGCTATTATAAACTCATTTGATAAGTAAGATGTGCTGGCCATTTTCAAATAGGTAATTCAAATATAGCTTAGAGGACTTGCAATTGAGAGAGGGTAGAGTAGGGACTCACCATTGAACTAGAATTCAGAAGACCCAGAGCTTCTCAGCACCAGTCATGGATTAGATGAGTCCCTGGACATCTCCAGCCTCCATTTCAACACTTACAAGATGGAAACAAGTATGGTCTCCCTCCCTCAGCCTTGTTTTGAGGGTTAAATGAGATCATCCATGTAGGGACTGAGCAGAGTGCCTGGAACCTGGTGAGCCCTTGGTCAGCAGTAATCAGAATTATTGTTAGGTGTGGGGGAAGGTATTTATAATATAAGAAAGGGGCCAAATTTAGAATTTCACTCTCTTGACTACGGCTTCAGGATTTCATCTATTATCTTTAAATTGCCTGTGGCTCTAACAACCTGTAATTCTAGGGTTATGTATTGGCTCTGTGCCTACACATGTTTGGCTATTGCTGCCCATGTGGAGTTCCACCTGAGCTGGCTGTCCAGTGAAGCAAGGGGAGGGGGAGGGTGCCCAGTCTTGGATCCTGAGGAAGCACCAAGGGCATGGCACAAGGCTGGGTCGGTCCCCCTGGGGTTGAGGAGCAAAGTCCTGGGGAGCTATGCCATTGTTTCTCTCTGGCCCCAGCCTAAAATATAAATGCAGAGGCTTCCTGCATATTTCCTCAGACTCTTCACTGATCCTCATGCCTGCTCCTATCCAGCCTTCAGTCTCAAGCCAGCAGTGGTCTCGAGCCTGTGTTATCCACACCTGGCCCCTCTGGCTGTCTGATATTAAAGCAACTTTCCTCTCAGTGATTTCTTGGTCAATCCTATTTGAACTGCAAATGGTGTGTCCTAGAAAATGTTTTATTTTATTTTTTTGAGATGTAGTTTCTCTCTTTTTGCCCAGGCTGGAGTGCAATGGTGCAGTCTCGGCTCACTGCAACCTCTGCCTCCAAGGTTCAAGTGATTCTCCTGCCTCAGCCTCCGAGGTAGCTGGGATTACAGGTGCCTGCCACTGTGCCTGGCTAATTTTTGTATTTTTAGTAAAGACTAGGTTTCGCCATGCTGGCCAGACTAGCTTCGAACTCCTGACCTCAGGTGATTCGCCCACCTCGGCCTCCAAAAGTGCTGGGATTACAGGTGTGAGCCACCACACCCAGCCACTAGAGAAGGTTATAAATGGGTAGCACAAAATCTCCCCAGGATCTCACTAGATAATACTTTTTGCAATTCTTGGTAAACAAAGACAGGGAGACAGATACCCTCGGTAGTGTTCACTCTGAGTCATTTTCCCAGCAGTGGGGACAGGCTTCCTGTCAGTTTATTTAACACATACTTACAAAGCCCCCACCACGTGCCAGGCACCATGGTACAACGGTGAACAAAACCAAAAACAAACATAGTCTTTATAGCCACTGGGTGTGGGGGAGCCAGGCCTCAATAAAATAACCCCACAGACAGGCATATAATTAGGAACTATGCTAAGTACTAAGAATTGCTTAGCTACCCAGAGCCCAGGCAAGGCCAGCAAGCCAGTGTGTAGCTCATAGGCATGCCCGTGGCCTCACTAGCCTAGCACTCAAACCAACTGAGCAGAGCAGGCACAAGCACTCTTCAGGCAAATACGTGTAGTCATCAGATCTGCCCTCCTAGATGTGAACACTTTACCTGGGAAGGGCAATACCTTGGCTCTGCTACTTTGCAAGCACGTATGGTTCAATCTGTCTGTGCACTGTGCCCATGTGGATTCTCACTAATTGTATGGACTATGCCCTGAATCCCAAAGCAAGGGAATGGGATGCCATTCAGCCATCTCAGATTCATACTCCCAGGTGAGGAACTAGAGATCAGCTGAGACGCCAAAATAATTGTGAGCACGAGTTCACTGTTTCTCATGGCTTTCTTTTCACCTTTATGAAGCCATACCAGAATGTGGCCTCAGGGGTTCAGGAGCTGTCCAGGTCTGTAGATTCCCAATTTTCCCATTCAGTGGAGATTTGACAGTCATAGTGAGAAATGATCAGCCACCACTCTTCCGAGTTGAGAGAAAATAAAAATGTTCCTAAAAAGTTTGCATTTAACAGAGATCCTCTCTGGCCCAGGTCTCTCCTGTGGGCTGAGACAGAGCAAGACAGGTGACCCCTAGGGAGCCCCAGAAGTACTATGGGTGTGTGCACTGGGACTCTTCTTAGCTCTGGGGAGTAACCATGGCAACATACATGTCATTCCCGTTCAACATTTGCAGGCCTACGGAGACGCTGTTTTGCTTTTCACAGGAAATCACAGCTTTGTCATTTAGTCCTTCAAGCAGCCCACGTTGAAATCAACATGCCCCAAACTAGTCATTATCTTCCCCATCTTTACACATCCTTCCCCCTCCTAAAAACACTGCCTCCTCCCCGTACCCATGTTCCCTGCCTTATTGATGTCTCACCTGTTGCCCAAGCTGGAGACCCAGAGTCACATGTTTCCCTTCACGACTGGCTTGAGGAACTCTCATATAATTATTTATTTACATGGTGTTTCTCCCATCAGACTGTGAGGCCCTCAGGAGGCCCCAGATGTCATAATCCCTTCTGTATCCCTGTGCCTGGCAGAGTCTCAGAGGCCTCAAAAGGGCTTGTCAATATTGGTTGACCAAATGCACCCAGTCAGGGGCACATGGAGCAGTGAGTTAGGGGATTGTTTTTGAATTGGTCTCTCAGCAAGAGTGAATTTGTGTGAGTGATGCTGGCGTGCGCTGTGCCAGGGCCCCTCTGCCAGCATCCACCTGTACTGGAGCTCAGGAGGTCGGCCTCCAATTCTCACTCTTCTCTCCTCTCAAGCCCTTTTCTATTCCCAACTGACTCTACATCAGAAAGTAGCTGTGGTCTGTTTCCGCAGACCTCTCATGGCATCTGGCGGGATCTGACTTGCTAGACTCTGCCAGGTTAGGGCAGGTATGTTTTTGCAGCTTCCAAATGCAGGCCATTCAACGTGGTTCTCAGATGCCTATTTCTATAGAAACTGTGATGTTTTCTACATAATACTGAAATCCCAGAATCACAGGCTGCCTAGGAATGTAGATATGATTTTGTTCCCTGGATAAGGAAATGTAGATATTATTTTGTTCCCTGGATAAGGAAAGTGAGTACCAGCAAGGTGAAGTGGCTTGCCCTTAGCCAAACCCAGATAGAAATGCAGATCTTTTGGCTCACACAGACCAATCCTCAGTCCTTTACAGTAGGGGCTGGCAAACCTTCTCTGCAAAGGGCCATGTAGTAACTATTAAAATAATTAGGCTAGGTGCATTATACAGTCTCTGATGCAACGACTCAGCTCTGTCCACTTAGCATGAAAACCACCATAGGCAATATTTAAATGAACGGGCACGGCTGTGTTCTGATAAAACTTTATTTACAAAAGCAAACAGCAGGCTGGATTTGATCCTCAAACCATGGTTAGTCAATCCCTGCACTAGAACGCCGTGTGGTCCATGAACCAGGAGCCTTGGCCTTGCATGGGTGTGTGTCAGAAGTGCAGACTCTCAAGTCCCACTGCAGGCCTACTGAAGCAGAGTCTGTATTTCAACAAGATCTGCTGGTGATCGCACATACGCTGAAGTTTTTGAGAAGAACTGCACTGGTAGGTCTGGTTTCTCCTCCAAAGAATATCAAGAATAAATTTTATAAATTAGAAAAAGGAAGCCAAGGGAGGTTAATTGACCTATCAAAGGTCACACTAATTGGTGCATCTGGTACTGGACCCAAGTCCTAGTATTCCAAACGTACAATTCTTTCTACAAACCCCAGAGTAACCACCCCAACCCGACCCCAGCTTCGCAGTTTCTGGCTGGTCCTGACCCAACTCAAATTCACTGGAAATTCAAGTGAAGCAATCATTCACTCTTTCTCAGCTGACGTCTGAATGAAGAAGACTCTGACTCCAGCTGTGTCTCCTCCCCTCTCCCACTCCCTTCTGCAAGACCTGGGAGGGCCTGGCGAGGTGGAAATGTGCCTCAGGAGGCTGCTCAGCATCTGCAGAGGAAAAACTTGCTCACACAGGTTTGAGCTGGAGTTGAACTCCAACTTAATTCCTGCCTCAGGAGGTTTGCTGCTCAAAATAGAACCACAGAGCCAAGGAACCTTTCACTTTTCACATACAGAAGAAAATTCTAGGCTAGGCTCTTTGGCAGGACTAGACACCTTAGTTTTTCCCTCTTGCACTTGCCCATCTTGACCCCCAAACTAGTCTCTGTTCCCCTGCAGAATTCATAGACCATTTCATATTGGGCACCACCTAAGCTCCATCCCACAGCAAAACTCCGTCCTGGCCACATGCTCTGCACAGCCTGAATGTTGGTATTCTCTGTGATCTGTTTCTATTTGGTGCAAGAAGTGTTTTTCTTAGTGAGTTGGGCTTCCGTAACAGAATACCATGGACTGTGTGGCGTAAACAACAGAAATCGATCTCTCACAGTTCTGGAGGCTGGGAAGTCCAAGATCAAGCCACAAGCACTCTTGGTTCCTGGTGAGAGTCTTCTTCCTGGTTTGCGGATGGATGCTTCTTGCTGTATCCTCATGTGGAGAGATCATCTCTCTTGGTCTCTTCTTATAAAGGAACTAATCACATTCACAAGGACTCCACCCTCATAATATGATTATGTTCCTAAGGGCCTACCTCCAAATACCATCATATTGGAAATTAGGGCTTCAACATATGAATATGGGGGGAGGGGAACACAAACATTCAGTCCATAGCAGGGTTTAATCTTCTTAATCAGCAAATATGTGTTGGGCTATTATTTATTGAATACCTACTTATGGGACAAAACCATTGCATAATTATTTAATCCACTTTATGTCTCAGGACACTGAAGCTCAGTAGGATTAAGTGACTGGGCCAAAATCACACAGATAACACACGATAGAGCCTGGACTCAAACCTGTCTTCAAGTATCTAAGGTGCTCCAAGTCTGCAGAGGAGGAGACAAGAAAACAATATGGTCCAGGCCTCAAGTAGTTGGCAATCTACTATCTACATGTAAGAAATATCTTTAGAACAATCGTGTTAATATTGGCATAATGAGCAAGCACCATGGAGTGGAAGAGATGAGTTTATAAGAGTGTGGGAGGCAAGGAGGTCTTCCCTTCAGCACATGTGCCCCAGCTGCCCAGCACCATGCAATGCAGCTAGTAGGTGATCAACAAATGTTTGACGAACAAATGAATGAACAAGATGAAATGCATGTGTGTTAGTCCTGGGAGCTCAAAAAGATTTGAAAAGACAGGGAGTAAAAGAAAGGCAACATGGGCTGGGCACTGAAACCCAGAAGTAGCAAAGCAAAGACCGGAAGATGGAGACTGTTCATGGAGTTTGAACATGATCCTTTGAATAATAAGAAGAGATGAAGCTTTTTCAGCCGGGAGCAATAGGATCTGAGAGTCATGTGCAGTTTGGATGAGAAGGAAGGGGAAGAACCTGGCAGTAACAAGGCCAGTGAGGAGACTAATGCAGAATGCGGGCTTATGGCTCCAAGGCCTCAAATTGAGAGTCAACAACCCAAAGGGGAAGAATGGACAAAGCCAACAGTAAGCAAGGGATGGACAGAGGACACTGCCACACAGGTGATTCCTCCCTCCCCAAAAACCACCCAGCAGGACCCCTGCTCCTTCTCCCAACAAGCTCAGCCTCTTCCTGCCTGCCTCCACGCCCAAACCTCTCCCCATCACCAGGGGCTTCTGTTAGCAGAGCAGAGGCATCAGCAGGGACCTTTGCCCCTTTGCACCTCCAGCATGAGGCCAGCGCCCATCTCTTTTCATCCTCAGGTCTATTTATCCAGCATGTGTTAATCACTTACTTGGATCTAGCACTAGATGCCAGAAATATTTTACATTCATCGTCTCATTTTAATCCTCTACAGCACCCCCGAGGAATATTTTATAGATTAGAAAAACAAGGCCCAGGGAGGGTTAATTGACCTATCCAAGACTGCGTTAGCTGGTGGATCTGGGACTAGAGCCCAAATCCTAGTATTCCAAACATAGGATTCTTTCCACACACACCCAACACCCTCCCACACCTCCCCCATTCTGGCCAACCCTGACCCAACCACCAGAATAAGGCCCTCCCTGTCGTGACTCTCCTCCAACTTTGTCTTTCTGGAGAATCTGAGATGATATTAGTGAATGTGATTAGTTCCCTTATAAGATCTTTCTGAGATGATCTCTCAATAGTAGGTGCTGTAGGCAGCCTGTTGAGCTGTGATAAGTTTGGCCAGTGCAGATCTCTGGAATGTACCTTGTATATGCCACGCCTGAGAATCAGGATTGAGTTAAGGTGGAAAATCTTACCACTAATTGATTTATTTTATTACATACAGTGTACCCAGAATAAGATTCCTGAGCTCAGTGGGTAAAGTAATGCCAGATAATATACCAACTAGTATTTTACCTTCGAGCCAAAGAATTCAGCATTCCATTTAATAAGATCATGTAGCCAAGGCTTCCCTGAGAGGAGATGAGAAGAGGCTCACCCCCACCCAAGCTCACCTCCCTGCCTTCGGGTACCCTGTCACTGCAAGGTACTTTGTCTCTGCCTTGCGTCCTTTCAAATGAGCTTATTTTTTGAATCGGGCCTTGGTTTGAATTCCAGCTTTAGGGTATGCCAGCTATCTGATATTAGGCAAGTTTCTTAGCCTCTGAGCCTGAAGGGTTTGTTGTTGTTGTTAAGTTGGGATAGTAGTTTTTAATGGAGTTGCCACAAGGATTGAAAGAAAAACCTTTGTTGGATGCATAGTTTCCAACATTTTTCTCCCATTCTGTAAGCTGTCGGTTAACTCTCTTGATCATTTCTTTTGCTGTGCAGAAGCTCTTTAGTTTAATTAGATCCCATGTGTCGATTCTTGCTTCTGTCCTTTGTAAAGCTCTAGGCTGCGGAGTCTGTGCCCAGCACTGGACCTCACCGGGACCACCAGATCAAGATTCCATAGCTCTGCTGGCTCCCAGGCCTTAAAGGACATCCCCACCCTTGGCTTCTCTTAGAGGCAGGCTCCTGTCAGACCCTTGCTTCAGAGCCACTGGGACATTCCCCACCACACAGCTCTGCCGGGGCACTGCCTCCCCCTCTGAAGCACCTGACCCTCATGCACAGAGCTTTCAAAGTCCACCTCCCACAACATACAGCGCCTTCATCGGAGCCCTGGAGAATCCCAGAAGATAAAGCCACACAGAATGGAGGACACATTTTTCCCGTCCCACCCACCACACGAGCAGGTTTTCAGGAACCAACAACAATGGCCATTGTGTGCAGGGCCTCACACTTTCTCTTGCCTCAGTGTAGGGCTGTACTGAATGTTCTGTCTTCTGCACAGTGTGAGAACAGGTGAGGTCTCCTACCCATCTGCCCTTGACTCAGCCCATTAGGAAATCCAGCCTCCATCTTGGCTGGAAAAGCATAAATAGACCTTAGGGATAGGATGCCTCCATCCTCAACTGGAGGAAACTGAGGCCCTGAGGAGGGAAATGATTTTTCCAGGTCACACAATTAGACAGAGCCAGAACAGACACCACAATTCCAGTCCTGCCCGCTGGGCCCACATGTCGCTTCTCCCTCAGGCTCTGCAGGCCTCTCCTCCTCCAAAAGCAGTGGTTCTCCCTGCTTCTCCTTCCTAACTCTTCCCAATGGGATTATCCAGACTCAAAGGCCACTCAATGCCCTCTGGCCACTTACATGCTTTGATGGGGCTTTACAGAGCCCTGAGAGTAGCAGAAACCCACAAGCCAGTGTGGCAAGGGCATGGCACAAAGGAGCGGGGTACCCAACTGGCCTAAGAGTATCCAACCCATGCCTTAAAGATGTCTAGAACCTGCTCTGCTCCCACCTTGCTCAGCCCAGGAACAAGAGAAGGCAACCTGGATGGTTGTGGGATTGCAACACACACACACACACACACACACACACACACACACACACACACACAGCCGCAGGGAAAGGAGGGGAGTTCATTTTCAGATAAAAGGGTGAGCTCCTCCCTGTTTTGGAGTAAAAAGAAAAAAAAGGAATAAAGATGCTTCACTTGCCAGAGGGGCAAGTCACCCTAAATTCTCAAGGTCATAATCTCTCTGCTCTTTACCGTCTCTCTGCCTTTCTCTTTTTCAGAATCCTCCCCCAACCTTCTCCTTTTTTTCACTTATCCTTCCCCTCCCTCCCTTTCATTGCCTTCCTCTTCCTCCATAACCTTCTCTAAGTTACATTAATTACCATCTACAGAAGGCCATGCACTTACTGTGTAGCAAAGTCGGAACTTCTTGAGTACATCCCTTTTTAAAGAAACATAAAATCGCAGTAAGAGCAAGTGTTTCTTGAGGGCCCTCTGTGTGCTGCTCTGATCCCATCCTATTCATACAAGGTACTTGAGGGCATCCCTTCTAAACTTCGAGACAACCCTGCCAGTGACTTATTGTATCTATTAATACATTTTCCAGATAAAAGGCAGACTCGGAAAAGTTAAGAGTCTTCTCCCAAGTGACAGGATCAGACCCAACTCTGTCCGAAGCTCGTGCTGTTTCACAACCTGTCACAGGGGTACATTCTCTGTGCTGGGTTCATGGAAGACCAAGGAATAAGCCCTCTGCCTCTCTCCTCATGACAGGGTCAGTTTCTCTGGGGAAAGCATTAATCACAGAGTATTCTTCAGCTTAGTTATGGTTGGGATGCCTGAAGGCCTGGTGCTTTGAGAGGCCAGGCAGGAACATGGGGGATGAAGATGGACCAGTTAGAGCTTTCCTTCTTTACTCGTTTGTTCCTGGGGAACCCCAGTCCCCTTGCCCTGTGGAAGATCAGGAAACAGTCTTTAGGGATTCTTTCCGTTTCCCCACCCCTAGGCTTTTTTCAGGCTACATTGCCTTTGAGCTGCACTTTGAAGCTCTTTCGCCAGGAGCAGTGTTTCATCTGTGCAGACCAGTCCAACTGGGAGGCTCAGAGGAGCTGAGCAGTGCCCAGCCTTGTTGGGCTTTGAGTGCCCAAGCCACCAAGGACACATGCCCATCTCCATGGAAATTTGGAGGCAGGAGAGGAGCCCGAGGACATGCCTGCCGGCGCCTTAGTGGGCTAAGTCTGCAAAGAGGCCTGACAGCTCCCACTCACCTGTCTAGACTGTGGGGACTGAATCTGGCCCCACTGTAAGCAGAGCTGGGCTTGTGTCTTTTCTTTCTGAGGAGGTTAAGAGGTTCCCACACACACCCAGCGCTTGTCAGCTTCTCAGTAGCACAATGATAAGGGACATGGCTTTTTACAGATCACTTTCATATTCTTTATCTCTTTTGTTCTCAAAATAACACAGTGAAGTAGGGTTTATGATTATCCCTGTATGGGCCGAATTGTGTCCCCCAAAAATTCGTGCGTCAAAGAAGCCCTAACCCCCAGCACCTCAGACTGTGACTGTATTTGGAGACAGAGCCTTAATGAGGTGATCAAGTTAAAATGAGGTTATTTGGGTGGGCCCTAATCCAGTCCAACTGGTGTCCTTATAAGAAGAGATTTGGAAACACAGAGAAACACCAAGGTCCATATGCATGGAGGAATGGCCCTGTGAAGAGGCAGCCAGAGGGCAGCCAGCTGCCAGCCAAAGGGAGGGGTCTCAGAGGAAACCCACCCTGCTGGCACTTTGACCTTGGACTTCCAGCCTCCAGAACCGTGAGAAAATACATTTCTGTTGTTTAAGGCCCCCAGCCTGTGGCTGCTTGTTTGTGGAAGCCTGGTCTGACTAATACAGCCCCTATTTTCAAGATGTGAAAACAGGCTCAGAGAGAACAAATGACCTACCCTAAATGACACAGCAATTAAGATATTAGTCCCATCCTCAAGAACTTAGTGTAGAGTTTCCCAGCTTTTTTCTTTACCTCTGTGACTACAGTTTTTCTATCAGTGGCTATTTATTAAGTAGTGACAAATTCCTGTTTGCATTTCTAATGAATCAGATGCATACCCCTCCCGGTAAGAGCTCAACATGAGCATTGGCTAACTAGCATTACCCACTGAACTGACAGGATTCCAGCCCAAACAATAGCACCTAACATCTCAGCACGCCAGTGCTGCTGTAACCCAGGTAAACAGACAGGGCCCACAGGTTTTATCACATGACACAGATGCTCTAAGGTATGGGGCAGGCTTCCTTGCCACCATGGTGGTGTGGTTTAGAAATTCTGTTGGCTCCATACATAGTCAGGGGCCCTGCCCCTCCATTCAGGGTTGTTTGATTCCCTGGGCTGCTCCATGGCAGCCCCAAGACCTGAACCCTGGTGTGCTGATGGAAGGGGAAGTGGAGTGGGGGTGGGATTGAGGGTAGCAAAGCATCCTCTTAAGCTAAGGATATCCCACACTTCCCAAAGGCATTGCAAAAGGCGAGTCCAAATCAGGACACCCAGAGATTCCCCTGCCTCTTAAATGATTGATTGAATTTTCACTAATGCAAAAAAGCAAGCGGGCACTGGGCGCGGTGGCTCACACCTGTAATCCCAGCACTTTGGGAAGCCAAGGCTGGCAGATCACCTGAGATCAGGAGTTCAAGACCAGCCTGGCCAACATGGTGAAACCCCATCTCTACAAAAATTAACTGGGCATGATGGTGGGTGCCTGTAATCCCAGAAAATTGGGAGGCTGAGGTGGGAGAATCTCTTGAACCTGGGAGGCAGAGGTTGCAGTGAGCCAAGATCATGCGATTGCACTCCAGCCTGGGAGACAAAGCAAGACTCCAAATATCGGGGGAAAAAAAAAAAGCAACTGGGATGAGAATGGACAGAAAAATTATGCAATAAAGGAGAGAGGCAAAAACCAGGCTGGGTAGAAATTGACTGTCATATGCAGATTACATGAGTGAATTCATGGAAAGCCTGTTACCCAGTACAATCTGGGCAAGTACAGTCAGGTTTCTATATTCATGGGTTCTGCATTTGTAGCTTCAACCAAGAGCAGATCAAAGATTTTTTTCTAAATGGATGGTTATGCCTGTACTGAACACATGTAGACATTTTTTCTTGTCTCTATTCTTTAAACAATACAGCATAACAGCTGTTTACAGAGCATTTGCATTGTGTTAGGTATTATAAGTAAGCTAGAGATGATTTAAAGTAACAGGAGCATGTGCACTGGTTATATGCAAATTCCACACTATTTTATATCAGGGACTTGAGCATCTGTTTTGGTATTTGCAGGGGTCCTAAAACCAATCCCCCATTGATAACTGCAGACAACTATAGTTATTATTATTATTATTGATTATTATCTCTTTCCTTCTTCTGGCCAAACCTGTCAAAGTCTTTGGCTCTAAAGCATCTATATTATTCAGTTTATTCAACAAACATATATCAAGAACCTTTTATATGCCAAAGGCTGGTCTAGTTGCTAGAGATACAAAGATAAACAAAACAAGAACACAGTCCTGCCTTCAACTCGCAATGGAGTTGAGAGAGTGATATGTACAGAGACAGTTGTTGGGTGAGATCCACTATCTAAGCACAGAAGAAGGAACTAGCATGGTGCTTGGGGCATCCCAGGAGGCTAAACAGGAGTTGTCCAAGCAGAGGGATGTTTGCACACCTAGCTAAGGAACTTGAACATTGTTTTTGTTTTTTGTTTTTATTGTTTGTTTGTTTTGGCTTCCAGATGTTCCCAAAGAAAGACTGGACATGTCAGATGTTTCCCAGAGTGTTCTGCTAGCATTTACTCATCAGTGTCAAGCTCATCTGGAGTTCTGACTTTTACAGGAAGTGTAAAACTATGAGGAATATTGAAGATTTAAGAAAATGGTTTTAGCCTTAATATTACGGCCTAGGGACTCTTGTACACAGCTCTAAGAAGGTAGATAGACTGACCATTGGGAGTTGTCCGGGTGAATGTGGAGAAAAAGGAAAGTGAAACTAATGTATTTTGGGTGCCCACTCTGTGCCAGCCACTTTCACATTCAGGTCTGCCATTTAAATCTCATAACCCCACTTTGAGGTCAATATTATTATTTCAAATTTTCCATTGAAATAGCAATAGATCAAAGCAGTCATGAAATAACTTGTTGACATTCTTCTTCACTCCAACTTCTGTATATATTTTGGGCAGTTTTCTTGCCTAAGGCCCAAGTTCTCAAACTTAAGTACGCCTCAGAATCTTCCAGAGGGCTTGTCAGAACACAGACTGCTGGGCCCAAACTCCAGACTGTCTGATTGGGTAGGTCTGGGGTGTGGCCTAAGAATTTGCATTTCTAACAAGTTCCCAGGTGATGCTGAGGCTGCCGGTCCAGGACCAGACTTTGAGAACCACTGACCAATGGGAATGATCCACCCAATAACTTAGCCCAGTGGTTCCCAAACTGTGCTCATTTTTTCATCATCTGGAAATCTTTAAAAACAAAGACCGATGCCTAGCTCCTATGCTCACACATTCTGATTTAATTGGTATAGGGTGCAACCTGGCATTGTTGTTTTTAAAAGCTCCCCAGGTCATTCTAACGCTCAGCAAAGTTTAGGAACCACTGGCCTAGCCTCATTTCTCCTAGACTCTAATCCCACCCTCCAACATCCACTTCAGCTGCCCACCACTGGGACTACAGGTGGAATTTGTGCATCGGCTAGTGCTTTTCACAGCACCTCTCCCCAACCCTCTCTTTCACTGTCTCAGAACAGCTTTTTCTAGAACTCCTTAAGTCTCTTACTCACCTTCTCCCTTTTCATTCAGTCCATCTCCTTTCCTATTCAACCCAGACCCTGTGGCACAGTAATTACTGCAGCCATCTCCTGCCCACAGCCAATATCATCAATGCCCTTATCTTCCTTGTTCTTTCTTTGACTATATCTACCTGGGAGGGTTTGAGGAGGAGCATCTAAGTCAAACTGCAGGCACAGAAGTTTGAAGTTCATTTTGAACTTGTGGAAGTTGATGACACTTGACCTGAGTTTTGATAGACAAGTGAAAGTGGGAGAAAGTATATGTAGAGTACATGTAAAAGCACAGAGGAGGAAACAGTAGGGTTTGCCTGGGGAATGACATGTTGTGTATGTCTGCGGCAGGCATCTAGCCCCACAAAGACAGGAAGTAAAACTGCAGAGGCAGCCCCTTGCCAGATGGGAATTGGACCTTGGGCATCAAACCAGGGAATGTGAGCATTATTTTTATAACTGTGAAGAGCAGTTGATATGTTTTTATACATGACTTTTGTTATAACATTAATGCACACTTATAAAAAATAAGAAATACCAAAAAGCGTAAAGAAGAAAATAACAATTACCTTTAATTTAATTACCTAGAACTCACCACTGTTAAGATTTTGTTGGGATTTGTCCTTTTCTTTTATGCATATTCTTACCTAGTTGAGAGAATGCTATACAAGTAAGTTTATATCCTGCCTTCACACTTAACATTTTAACATAAACAATATTTAATGTTATTGAAACTTTGTAAATATTTTAATGTCAGCAAAAAAATTTCATCATATAGATACCATATCACTTATTTCACTTATTTAACTATTCCCATACAGGAAGAAATGGGGGTAGGGAGATTTCCTGTTGCAAATGATGCCACAATGTACATATTTGTATGAACTTAGTTTCTATCAGTGATTTTCATGATCAATACCAAGAAAGAAATTAATGGATCAAGCAGCAAGGAAGTTTTATACTTAGTAAAATTGGCCAAATTGTTTCCTTCCTATCAGTTTACGTTTTCAGTGTGAAAGTATGCACACTGCATATTCCGTTCCCCAGCACTTGGTGTTTTGTTTGTTTGTTTGTTTTAAGACAGAGTCTCACTCTGTCACCCAGGCTGGAGTGCAGTGGCACAATCTTGGCTCACTGCAATTTCTGCCTCCCGGGTTCAAGCAATTGTCCTGTCTCAGCCTCCCAAATAGCTGGGATTACAGGCACCCACCACCACACCTGGCTAATGTTTTTTGTATTTTTGGTAGAGAGGGGGTTTCACCGTGTTGGCCAGGCTGGTCTTGAACTCCTGATCTCAGATGATCCGCCTGCCTCAGCCTCCCAAAGTGCTGGGATTACAGGCGTGAGCCACCATGCCTGGCCAGCACTTGGTATTATGATGAGTGCCACTGAGGATTTTTCATATGGGGATGACATAATCAGATTTGCATTTCCTGGAGGCTGAACTGGATGGGCCAGATTGGAACCCCCACTGTTGTCCTTGCTTTTCCTCCCTTGCCTCCACATTCTCCTTTTTCTATTTTCCCATTTGTTATCATCCTCTTTTCTTGGAGTGCTTATATTATATGTTCACTACACACAAAACACTGTACAAGGCTTTGCTACCAAGGAATAAATAAGAGCAGTATTGAAAGTCCTAGCTCTATGGATGTGACAAGCTCATGCTGGCCCAGAGACCCTCTTCCTCTAGCTCTGGCCAAAAAGAGTCTCTGGACAGTAATTCTCCTTAGGAAAAAATACTTTTTATATTTTCCAATGAAATTGCCAAGTAGGTTTATTGCTTAATTATTTTTTTCTTCATCCTGTGACTTTCCAGCCCCACACATGATCATCCCTGTGCCTGGAATGTCCTTCTTCCTTCCTCTTTTCAACCCAAAAATTACCTTGGCGCTCATTCATCCTTGAAGACCTCTTTTAGAGGTCTGGGACACCTGCCTTCTGTACTTTGCCCCAGCAGAATCAGTCACTCAGGCTTCCTTGATCCTGCAGTTCAATTGCAGCATTTTCTACACCTAACTTGGTTTCTCCCTCTTGGCTAAGAGCCCTTCAAGAATAGAACATTTTGCATCCCAACTCTTACAAGACAGTGTCTGGCACTGAGTTGTTACTCAGTAACTGTTGAATGAGTGAGTGAGTGAGTGAGTGAGTGAGTGAGTGAGTGAGTGAATTCCTGTTTTACTAAGGTGCATACACATTCCATCTTAAATACTAGTCAGTTGAAGAGTGTAAAGACAATATGGAGATGACATGAATTGCCAAAATCACACCCTGAATCATTGATGCTTAAGGTAAAACAGACACCTGGTATACCAGATGTCTCAATCTAAACATTAATTCCTCTGTGTGCCTAGACACTGACTTGCATTCTGTTCTTTTTCATTTTAACTCCAAATTTAAGTTGTACCTGAGTATCTCTGTGATAGAGGAAGTAAAGGGGATTAAGTGATGCCAGAATTTCCCAAAATGCGTTCCTAAAAAATGGAAGCGGTGGGTTGTTTATAGGCATCACACACAAGAAAAGGGTCTTGTGGTCTTATAACTTTGGGAAACAATGTTACATAGATTTCTTTACCTCAAGACCTCTGTAGGCATTCTAGGAAGTAGAAGGAAAGATGAGTTCGGCAATGGTAGAGAAGTAAAAGAGCAACCAGGTCCTGCCTCAGTGGTAGTCATCTCAGCCTCTCTACACCAGGGAAAACTCAAAGGCAGGATGGCAAACAGTATGCCAAGATCCTAGCCCCTTTCCCTACAAATCTCCTCAGTCCCACATCTGTGTAAGCCCCTGCCCCCACCCACCCACCATGCTGATGAGATCAGCCTTCATTACTTCTCTTCTAGAGCCAGGAAGCAAGGTAATGTGTGGGAAGTGATAGCTGCAAGGTAATGTGTGGGAAGTGATAACAACTTCGGAGTTAAAGCCATTCAACGGGAAAATTTGTTAAAAGACCAAGACATTGTAAAGCTGAAACACTTGAGTCTATTAAGTCCCCTGCTTCTTAGAACATTTTGTTACCAGGGAATGTTTTAAGGAGGGAAAACATTGGACTATCACAGCACCATCAGACACCAAAGCCTGGTACAAAGAACAACAGTTTCCAAGACATCTGTCTCTGCCACTCAAGAGACTTCTGCAAAGTTCTGCTTCTCTTTTCTCCCCCTCTCTCCTATCCCAACATCAACCCTCAAACCCCCTCACCCCTAGACATACTCTATACCTTTCTCTCCTCCTCCTCACCCTTTTCCTCTCCCTCCTCCTTCTCTCTGTCTTTATCTTACACACACACACACACACACACACATTTATAGCCCATGTTGTTTTCACAGACACTATTGGAATGACACAGTGAGCTAGACCATCCAACGTTATTCAACCCTCTTTGGTAAGAAGGAGGCTAATTAAGTGACTAGAGGTTTAGACATTCATTGTTTATTAGGTCCAAACTCCTTCAGAGAGCCTGGAGCATTCTCCTAAACAAACATTACCCTTTCCTGGCTTCTTTTTCCAAGTCCAAATGAGATGGAGTGTTTAAGGAGACAGTATCTTTTCACAAACATGAAGAAAGGAGTACTAGGGCAGAATGTGATTGTCAGTAGATGTAGAGGGGGAAAGCTATGTGCCTGTCACAGAAAGACTGATGCAAGCCGTGTATCTGTTGGCAGCTGATGTCCATTAGTGATGTCCATTAGTGATCGTCAGTAATTTAGACTAGCAATGTTGACACATTTGTGGTCAGCCCAATGGTTTGTTTAACTGTCTTCACTAGGAATACATCCGTCAAGAGATTGTTTTTTAAACAATAGTTAGCCTTCTAAACAAGAGTAAAGACAAACTCAAATATCTCCTTGCCAATCTTAACACTGTTATACTATACCAGGAGGCACTTTAGAAGACAGAAGCCACCTGTTATATAAGCAATAGCATTAACATAGACACAGTTTTCTAGTTTGTGGATATTAAGAGGATGTTAGTGATTAGCCACAACTTATGAGAAAGCTACTCTTGCCTTGGTAGGCAAAGGAATGGAAAGCTTTTTTAAAATCTGCCGTTTTATTTTGCTTCTGTTTTAAATAAATGAAAGTTGTGCTGGAAAAGTGAGTTTTGAGCCCAACATCAAACATTAATCCTGCTACTGCTTTCACAAGAAACTGGGGAAGCACCATCCAAGCCTCAGCAATGCTGAAGAAAAGGACCTCATCTAGGTTGTGAATGAGAAGCAAATCCCACTGTGGGAGACCACTGGTCCTGAGTGACTCTGAGCCTGAGCCTCCTACTTCCTGCCCCTCCTTTTCTACTGTGGGCTCACAGACTCTGATGTTGGTGAAATGTTCTTTTCCTTGGCTTGGATTAGGCACCTGGTGTCCTGAAAGAGGTCATTGGTTTTCCTGAGGACGTCCAAGGAGGCTGGCTCACCAGTGGCTTACCACAGGCCAAATTTGAGGTTAATTAACCATCAGTCATTGTCAGTGGGGCCAAATGTTATTCAGACATTCAGAGAAGAGAGACTTGGTCCAGCTTTGGGTAATGGCCCTCATTAACATTCCTTCCTATCCTAGTTCCAAACCAATATGTCTTTAGCTGCATAGGGGTTGAAAATAATCAGAAATAGCTGGTTCATCATTTATGTCACTCTACATTTGAAGAGACTTCTTGATATGGTAACCTATTTATTGGATATATATGATGTCTGAATCAAAATCTTTTTTCACTAAAACTGACCATCTCCTCATGAAAAGGTACATTTATTGATCTTTGGGGAAACACCCTATTCAGAGTGAATATGAAAAAGGTGTTTGGTGGGAGATGAAGGGATACAGACATTGGCCATCTGGGGACCAGACTTTCTGGCCAGAACTTGTCTGAGGAACACAGAGATGTGTATGCACTACTTTTGCTGTCTCGCTCTGCAGACCTCAGTGACCAGCTCCTTGAAGTGGTGGGGCTAGAAGGAGCCATGGAGATGGGGCAGATCTACACCGGCCTGAAGAGTGCAGGCAGGAGGCTGGCCCAGTGCGCCTCTGTCACCATCAGGTATGCCTCTTTGTCACCCAACAGCCTCTGCATCTCCCCGCCTGCGTACACATTCATGCAGACAACTGAGAAGCCATCTTTGGATTTTAGGGCAGGGAGAGTGCAGCACAAAAGCTTGATAATGTTTGTAAAGAACGTCTTTGTAGACCATTTCCCAAACAGGATATAATGCGCCCATCTAAAACATCAACTGGAGGACACACCACAACCAGTTTGCTGTTCTGTTAAACTGAGCTGGTGAAGTTCTCTAAACAGGAGTATAAGATTAAATGGTCCAGAGAACCAAAGGTCCAACTCCTTGGTGTTTTTATATTTGCAAATTAAAATGTTAGATAGATGGCAGAGGGATGCCAGAGGGCACACTCTGATAAAAAAAAGATGTCTCTTCTCTGCTCTACTCCTTCTCAGACAGTGACCTGAGAAACACTATTTCCTATACACCTTTGTATGCTAAGCCATCAACATCAGCAAAACTGGCATAATTGACAGACAGGATGACAACTCTAGGGGATGGACCACACAGGTTAGCCACTGTAGGCTCCTGGAAGAGATGAAGTCTAATCGAGAGGATCCTCTGATTTCAGTTGCCTCTGATTAATCAATGCAGCTCATCACATTTTGTCTGAGATTCTTCTCCCACCTGATTATTTCAGAAGTCTTTATTCCTTTCCTTTTTCACTGAATTACTATGGACCAAATCTATTAACATGCCTTGGGGATCTCCGAGAGGAGTCCACAGGATACTGGGTTTCCCAAAGGTATTTGACCACAGAACTCTTTTCTCCCAGAACCTCCTGGGCAAGTGTCATCAGAGCACATTGGAAGAAACTCTGCCCTTGGCACCACACTGCATTCCTCAGAAAGGTCCCCAGAGCGGATTCCCTGAGGTCTCTTAGCTGAAGGTCTGCTCCACTGACCCCTTTTCTTCATTTCCCCTCTTTGTTTTCTGTCTTTTCTATTCCCCAAAGCTTTGCTCTCCTTTCTTTCTGAGCTGTTGTCATGATGGGGTCCCTGTTTTCCAGATTAATTCTTGAGGCCTGTCTATTCTCCAGGACTCTAATACTGAGGAGGTCCAGTCTGTTAACACATCTAAGCCATAACTTATGAAGACCACAGAGAACAGAACATCCTGATCCTTGAGGAATCTGAAAGCCATGTATAAGGAGGAGGACTTTTTCTTCACATTCAGTAGCTCTATTTCCAGATAGAAACAGAGGGGGTGAGCCAGGAGCCCCATCCTCCTGGCCATTTCCTGAATACTATCCCCAGCCTCAAGAGCCAAAATGCCACTCTTTACTCTTGTTTTTGTTAGTAGATTTATTGTTTTTATTATTAAATACCCTCAGGGTCAATCAGAGAATCATCACATCAGAAGATAGCTTTTCCCTCCCATTTTATAATTTCAAGAACAGAACAGTTGCCATACCCAGGTGAGGGCTTCTATGTCAATGGGTGATAACTGTTCCCTGCTCACCCAGACCAGAGGCCTCCAAAAGAGCCTGCCTTTTCTTCCAAAAGCAATGTATTATGAATTCATAACTCTTCTGCAGAGGGAAGTCAGAAGACTTCATCTCTCTCCTTTTAAAACCTATGGCGGGCTGTGGTGGCTCACGTCTGTAATCCCAACACTTTGGGAAGCTTGAGGAGGGAAAATTGCTTGAGGCCAGGAGTTCAAGACCAGTAGGGGCAACATAGCAAGACCCCCTTCTACAAAAGATTTTAAAATTAGCCAGGTGTGGTGATGTGCACCTGTAGTCCTAGCTACTCAGGAGGTTGAGGTAGGAGGATCGCTTGAGCCCAGGAGGTCGAGGCTGCAGTGAGCTATAATCATGTGACTGTACTCCAGCCTGCGAAACAGAGTGACACCCTGTCTCTTTTTAAAAAATTCATATGCCAAGGTCAGAAAAGCCTTGCCTCAAGCAAGAAGGCAACACTTTCACCTCTCCTCTGGGGAGAGTATTCCTAGATGACCCCCTTTCCCAGGTAAGCCAGGCCCACAGTCCATGCAACCCCAGAGTGTGCTTATTCAGGAGATTTTTAAAAAGGATTGAGGTTGGGCCAGGCGCGGTGGCTCACGCCTGTAATCCCAGCACTTTGGGAGGCCAAGGCAGGCAGATCACGAGGTCAGGAGATCGAGACCATCCTGGCCAACATGGTGAAACCCTGTCTCTACTAAAAATACAAAAAAAAATTAGCTGGACATGGTGGCAGGCACCTATAGTCCCAGTTACTCGGGAGGCTGAGGCAGGAGAATGGTGTGAACCTAGGAGGCAGAGCTTGCAGTGAGCCGAGATGGTGCCACTGCACTCCAGCCTGGGCGCAGAGCAAGACTCTGTCTCAAAAACAAAACAAAACAAAAACCAGGACTGAGGTTAGAATAGATTGCAAGGCAAGACACACTCAGACCTGAGCTGTATGTTGTATAAATTGGAGACATTACCTCATTGACATGATGCAACCTCTCACTCAACATAGAGACCAGGCCAATTCCCCTTTCAGAGTGGAGTTTTTGGCACGTACTCTGGGCCTTCTAGCTGACTGTTTGAGGAGCACCTGCTCAGTGGTGGCGCTGCCACGCTCACTGGCCACTGTATCCCAGACTTCTGTGGACTTCACTGCTCATCCACAGCAGTATTTCTCAAAGTGGGGTCTGAGGACCGAGGCAGTAGAATCCCCTGTAGTGCTTATTAAAACACAGACCCGGCCGAGCGCAGTGGCTCATGCCTGTAATCCCAGCACTTTGGGAGGCCAAGGCAGGCGGATCACCTGAGGTCGGGAGTTTGAGACCAGCTTGACCAACATGGAGAAACCCCGTCTCTACTAAAAATACAAAAAATTAACTGGGTGTGGTGGCACATGCCTGTAATCCCATCTACTCGGGAGGCTGAGGAAGGAGAATTGCTTGAATCCGGGAGGCAGAGGTTGCAGTGAGCCAAGATCATGCCATTGCACTCCAGCCTGGGCAACAAGAGCGGAACTCCATCTCAAAACACACACACACACACACACAGACACAGAAACACAGACCACTGGGCCTGGCCCCCAGACCTGCCAAGTTAGACTCCCTGAGGTGGTCTCAGAAATCTATTTTTAACAAGTTCTCCAAAAGAGTCTTAGAGAACCACACTTAGGTAGGCAGATAAGGTTTTCCTACTTCTGTTTTCCTGGTGGGAATAACCTTGATTCTCCCACTTGAAAAAGCTCACTGTGTTCTCTTGGTGTTCTGGGTTCCAGGACAAACAAGCTGCTGCCAATGCAAGTGGATGGAGAACCCTGGATGCAGCCATGTTGCACGGTGAGTCTTGCCAATCTTTGAGATGGGGATGAGAAGCCTTATTTTTGAGCCCTTTTGGGCACTGACTTAATATGAAATCACTGAATCTCAGAGTCACAGGGACTGTGGAAGATTATCTAGTGCAACCCCTCTTCCACTTTATTATCCATCCACTCATTTACCTGGCAACTCTTAATGAAAACCTGCTATATGCCAGACACTGTGAAGCGCCGGTCACAAAATTGAATGAGACATAGAACCAACTTCGAGGAGTTCACAGTTCTAGTCAGTGAATTCTGAGACTTCATCTACTGTATCCTGGACAGCCTCAGCTTGAATCATGTCAATGGCAAGGAATTTACTACCTCAAAAGGAAGACTGTTCTGCTGATGAACAAGTCAAATTGCTTCCTTACGTGGAAGCCAAATCTACACACTTACCTTACCTAGAATTTGGTAGGGTAGCGCCTTTGACTGCTGGAGCTCCCGGGAGAAAATTCCTCGCAGAGCACAGACATGCCTCCCAGTCGGTGCACCCAAAGCCCTGATAACCTACTTGAAAATTCCACTGAATGAGTCACCACGCAGGTTATCTATTTTGTTTATGGCACTGTCACCCAGAACGTAGAACAGTGCCTGGTTTGTAATAGTTGCACAATAATACATGTCAAATGATGAATAAAAGACTGAACAAATGAACTAACAAAAATAGACTATCTCCATTCCCAGACTTACCATATCCGTTAGCTCTCCCTTTAGCACTAGGACAGGAGCCATGCATCCTTCCTTCTTAGTTTGTCCTCAGTTAGAAATGCAGCTAGAATCTCGTGGTGAAGAGCAATCGTCGTCCTGGTTTTCAGGGCCTCTGCTGGGATACTACATGCGTAATACCCTCAATAAGATTGCAGCTATGCAAATTTCAAAAGACAAAAGTGGAGTTTCTAAGCTTCCTCACTCTAGTGGAGTATTCAGATACTTTGATCACCTGCTATTTTGAGCCCTCCAGAACATCAAATTGTCTTCTACTAAAGGAAGGTTTCCATGAACCTGCTGAGAAAAGGTAGCATCTTCTATAAAGGTTATCAAAAACAGAAATTTCTCTGCAAAAATCTTACCTCAATCTTATGAAGACCAAGAAAAAAATGAAAACACACTATATCAAATAATAGCTTTCCACCTTGCTGGAGTTAGGACGCATAGAGGGAATTTCTACTATTTATCATTTGATGGAACTGAGTTGAGAAGAATCTATCCAAGTTCCTTTTATCTCCAACCCCCCTACAAAAAAAAAGGTGGAAGAAATCAAACCCTCTCCTACCTGGTTCAGTCCTAGCTGAAAACTGGATTGCTATTCCTATAAATTCAAGCACTGGATTTTGAAATAGCCAAATGCTTCTCCCTATGCCCACACCCACCCTTCCTCCATACCACCCTTTAGAGATTACAACTCACTATGAAAAAATTTGTGAACCAATGATTTCATAGTGTGAGGCCCAGAAATCCGTATGTAAAGGTATATTCGTCTGCTTTGAGTGCCATAATAGAATACCACAGACTGACAGCTTAAACAACAGAAATTTATTTTCTCACAGTTCTGGAGGCTGACAACACAAGACCAAGGTGCCGGAAGGGCTGGTTTCTGGGGAGGCCTCTCTTCCTAACTTCCAACGGCTGCCTTCTTGTTGTATCCTCACATGGCTTTTCCTCTGTGTTTGTACACTCTTTTCTCTTCTTATAAGGACACCAGTTCTAAGGGATTATGGCCCCCCCGCCCCTTGTGACCTCATTTATCCGTTATTACCTCCTTAAAGGCCCTACCTACAAATATAGTCACACTGGGGGTTAGGAATTCAACATATGAATTTGGGGGGGACACAATTTATTCCATAACAGAAGGTAACAGAAAATCATTCTTAAACTTGCAAGGGTTAAAACCCATGTACCCCTTGTTGAAACATCTTCTTGAAGGTATACACCAACTAAGAAGTGATTCAAAATTAAAGCCTTAAGAATGGACTATCACAGCCCAAAAGAACTTTTGGTAAAAATGGAAACCAGTGAAATTAGAATGAAGTTTCCAAAAACCTGCTAAATATGTTTATGCAATAAATGCAAATGGCAAAAAATCATTCTTTGAAAGAGAAGACATATCATGTAAATATTAATAACCTGTATCCCAAACCTGAGATTATATTAACAAAGGCCAAAAACATGCAGGAGACACTGCTGAAGGAATAGTAAAGATATGTGAAGTTTCTCATTGTCTCTCTTCACTTTGATGACAAAACGTATAAATCAGAAGATAATTTTAATAGGTAGACAATCACTAGCGAAACTAAAAATAGGGTGCACACCTTTCAAATCTGGAAGAATTTAAAATATATAAACCCTATTAATGTAGCACAGGATAGAAAGCAAAAAATAAGCCAACATTTAAAAATTTTTTGAAGCAAGTTGAATGATGTTAAGACTGTATATATATAATATATATATAAAAGAAAAATAGATGAGTTAAAATTCCCTATTAAAAGATCAATACTCTCATATTGAGTTAAAAATGAAAATCCAAATATATGCTTCTTACAAAAGATACATCTAAAATGAAAGGTTATACATACGTATATATAATATATATCTTATTTTATCCTTTATCAGGTATAAAGAAATTAAAAGGAAGACATAGTAATGTTAATTATGCTAATTTTAGGCAAACTAACCTTTCCATGTGCCTAAAGCATAAAGCAGAATAAGTAAACACATTTTTTATTTGATAAAAAGTACATTCAATTATGAGATATAGTGGTCATAAAATGTTAGATATTTAATAACAGAATCAAAATATATAAAAAACTATCAATACATATTCTGAGAAAAGGTTGATATAGAATTGACAGACAGATATTGAGAAGCTTGAAAATATTTGTTTCCATCTTTGAGGTTAAGTAGCAAAAAAATAAATGCTTGGATGAAATAACTCTATAACTCATAAAGAAATTAAATATCATATTTGTTCAGGCATTCATATTTATTAAACTAGATCATAAACTAGTTTACAAGGCAAAAAGCTCCATAAAATCCAGTTGCAGAAATTATAAAGGTCATTTTCTTTGACCACAAAGTAATAAAGCTAGAAATTACTAATAGAAGATTAAGTGAATAAACAAAATTTAGTCACTTGGAGACTTAAAAATTCTCCTAAACAACAAGAGATTTATGAGGAGATCAAAGCCACCATGGTAGATTACTCAAAAAATTACAAAAATAAGAAGGCTCCAGTTTAAAAATTATAGAATATAGCCTAAACTATATTTGGAAGTAAATTAAAAGCCTCATAATCTTCCATCATATAAAAAAGAAGTAAAATGTAATGAATAATACTAAAATTAGAAGAGCAATAATAAAACAATCTTAGGAGAAGCAGAAGGAAGAAAATAATAAAGATAAAAGAAGAAAATAACTAAAAACAGGAAACTCTAGAACTAGTTCTTAAAATATGTCAAATGTTTGAAAACCTAATTTTTAAAAGAGAAAGGAATCAAACATATTAAAAGGTAAAAAATATAAATGTAATATAAAAATATAAATATAACTGTGTCCGTGGCTTTATTTAAATATAAAACAAGGCCGGGCGTGGTGGCTCATGCTTATAATCCCAGCACTTTGGGAGGCTGAGGCACGAGGATTACTTGAGGTCAGGAGTTTGAGACCAGCCTGACCAGCATGGCTAAACCCCATCTGTACCAAAAATACAAAAATTAGCCAGGCATGGTGGCCCATGCCTGTAATTCCAGCTCCTCGGGAGGCTGAGGCATGAGAATCGCTTGAACTCAGAGGCAGAGGTTGCAGTGAGCCAAGATCACACTACTGCACTCCAGCCTGGGCGATGGAGTGAGACTCTGTCTCAAAAGAAAAAAAATTGTAAAACAAAATATACAATCATCTTGATTCTAATGAACTTGAACATCTTAAGAAGATGAATGAAAATCCTGGTAACCATTAATGAAACTAAATTATTTCAAAGAATTACATACTAAATGATCTTAAAACAGATGGCCTTATTGGTGAGATCTTCCATACTACTAGGAAATACGTATTTAGGTGAACTGTTTCATAGTACAGACAAAGATGGAAGGCTACTCAATCCATTTTATGAAATGAAGACATGCAATAACCTAACAAAAATTACATTTAAAAATAGAAGACTATAGACTATAGACTATATATAAATATGACATAAGAATTCTAGTTAAAAGTATTGGTAGGTAGAATTGAACAATGTATTAAAAGAATCATTCACCCCTATGAGCATATTAAAGGAACAAAGGAAAGTCTTCTACTATTAGTTTAAATAGAAAAACTACATGATAAAATAGATGACCCAAAAGTATTCAATTACATTCAACATTTCTGATTTTTAAAGATAAAAACTCCTGAAAACTAAGATCAGAAAGCTTCTCCCCTACTAATGAATACCTTTGTTAAATATATGTTAAACCATAACCAATATTTTACTTAATAGTAAAACACTAGAGGAATTCTCACTAAAATCATGAACAAGACATGTATTTTTAACATTGGAAATTTTAGCCAATGCAATATATACTTGAAGCAGAAAAGAAATGTAATTAGAAAATATAATTAGAAAAAGAAATATAATTATTTGGAAAAGAGTCAAAACTGTCATTATTTGTAGGTGGTATGATTATGAACATAAAAAGCTAATAGAATAAACTGAAAACCTCAAAGGATAAATTACTTCAATAAAACCCTATAGAAAAAATGGACAAATATTAAGTTTTCCGGCATTAATATTAATAGTATACCAGCAATAATCAATTCAAAGGATATAATTAAAGCTTAAAATATCATTATATAAGCAATAAAAGACATAAAATACTAAACTGAACTGTGTAAAATGCATGAAGATGACTATAAGATTTAACCAATAAAGAAAAAAAAAAAGGATTTGAACACAGAACATCCCATGTTCCTGAACAGGGATCCCAAAATCCCAATGCAATTGTTTCTTTAACTCTACAAACAATGCAATTTCTAGGATGTTTTATAAAAGAACGCTGAGAAATAACTTCTCGCAAGATATTAAAATAATTATAAAGCCACAATAATTTGAATAACATGCTATTGGCATGATAATGGATAGATAAATCAATAGTACAGAAGCAAGCCTTGAGAAACCCTAGTATACATAAAAACTAATGAAGGAAAGAGAAAGATTATAAACTAATTAGGTAGGCATGAACTGTTTAGCATATGATATCCAAGAAATTGCGTTTCAGAAAATGTCTTTATATAGAACCTCTCACCTCAAACTATATTCCAAAAACAAAACCAAAGCAAAAAAAAGCCCCCCAGTTCAATTACAGTATTAAATGTTCTTAGCTACCAGAAAAAAAATAGATGATCATAATTACACTGGGGGCAGGGATTTTCTAAGGAAAAAGGGACATATTTGACTGTTAACCAATTTTAATTTCTACAAGTCAAAAATCAATATAGAATCTTCGAAAGACTAAGGACAAGATGTTTGCAATCGCTATCCCAAAGATCAGGTTAATTCTCACAAGGTATAAAGAAACCAGCTATTAGAATCCAGCGGAAAAAAAAAATACTAACAATGCAATAGTGAACAGAGAATTCATAGAAGAAGTGTCATGGGCTAATAAATCTATGAAATAATATTTAATATCACAAGTTTTTAAAAAAGGAAGAAAAGATTTTCAAATTAAAACAGTGAGAAAGGCATGCCATGTTTCACTGACCAATTAGCACAGCTGTTTTGTCTTTATATTCATTGCTGTCAAGGGTATGGGGAGACCAGGACACTCATACAGTGAGGCAAGAGTATCAACAGTTACAGCCATTCTGAAAAGCATGTAGACCCATGTGTCAAGAACTGTTATAAATATTAATATACGTTGATCTAGTTCATTTACTTTCACTTTTAAAAATTGTTCATATACTTCTAGGAATTTATTCTAAGTAAAATACAGATTACCAGAAATACAGAGAGATTGATATATAAGAATGTCACGTCTACATTACTTATCATTGCAAAAAGTTGGAAATTTCCTAAAAATTTCCTTAAAATGCCCAACATTTAGGGAAAGGTTTCAGCTGGGCACAGTGGCTCATGCCTGTAATCCCAGCACTTTGGGAGGCTGAGGCAGGCAGATCACGAGGTCAGGAGTTCAAGACCAGCCTGGCCAACATAGTGAAACCTCGTCTGTACTGAAAATATAAAAAATTAGCCGAGCATGGTGGTGGGTGCCTGTAATCCCAGCTATTCAGGAGACTGAGGCGGGAGAATCACTTGAACCCGGGAGGCGGAGGTTGCAGTGAGCCGAGATCACGCCGTTGCACTCCAGCCCAGGCGACAGTGCGAGACTCCATCTCAAAACCAAACAAAAACAAAAACAAAACAAAACCAAAATAAAACAAAAACAGAAGCCCATATTTGTTTATATATGTATATACAAACATATATATATATTTATTCGGGAAACTTGTCTCATTATTATTACACTGTAAGATGATCTCTCGTGCTTCACCATCACAGTTAGGTGGCATAATCTGAGCCTCAAAATTCAGAATCTTCTCCCAGAGTTAGACGATAGCAGAATCTCAAAGTCAAAGATGATCCTACTTATCTAGTCTGGTGATTCTCAGACTTGAGTATGCATCTACATAACCTACAGGGGTTCTGAAACACAGATTGCTGGGCCACATCCCAGATTTTCTGGTTCAGTAAGTCTGGATGCCAGAGAGTTTTCATTTCTAACAAGTTCCAAGGTGATGCTGATGCTGCTGGCCTATGAGCCACACTTTGAGAACTAATGACGTAGTTGAACTTCCCAACTCATCAATAAATCCCACACTTCTTCCCCACCCTCTGCAAAACCTGATTGTCCAGTTACATTCTTTTTTTTTTCTTTTTCTTTTCTTTTTTTTTTTTTTTTTTTGAGACAGAGTCTCGCTCTGTTGTCTAGGCTGGAGTGCAATGGCACGATCTCGGCTCACTGCAACCTGTGCCTCCCAGGTTCAAGTGATTCTCCTGCCTTGGCCTCCCAAGTAGCTGGAATTCCAGGCGCCCACTACCACACCTGGCTAATTTTTGTATTTTTTAGTAGAGACGGGATTTCACCATGTTGGCGAGGCTGGTCTCAAACTCCTGACCTCAGGTGATCTGCCCCACCTCGGCCTCCCAAAGTGCCAGGATTACAGGTGTGAGCCACTGCGCCTGGCCTTGTCCATTTACATTCGAAGGCCTCTGATGGCAGGAAACACTGTCAGGAAGCAGCACATTCTAGGATCTTGGAGAGCCCGGAAACAACTAAGACCGGAAAGCCATGCAAACCTTCCTCCTCCCTTAGGCTCACCATATTTCTTTAACTTTTAAAATATCGCAGAGACTATTTGAGACCTTCCAGATTTGTGCCTTTCTATGCATCTCCAGTTCAAATTACAGCAGACCTCAGACACTTTTCTTTTTTGTTGTTTTGTTGTTGTTGAGACAAGGTCTCACTTTGTCACCCAGGCTGGAGTACAGTGGCGAGAACACGGCTCACTGCCGCCTCGACCTCCCAGGCTCAAGCGATCCTCTCACCTCAGCCTTCCAAGTAGCTAAGGGCGCGCCTCCACGTCTAGCTAATTTTTGTATTTTTTGTAGAGACGAAGTTTCACCATGTTCCCCAGGCTGGTCTTGAACTCCTGCGCTCATGCGATCTGCCCCTCTGGGCTTCTCAAAGTGCTGGGATTACAGGCGTGAGCCACCGCGCCTGGCCCCTCAGACACCTTTCAAATGGTTTGGGAAGGGTTCACACTTCAGGTTATTGGCCATTTTACTAGGCATTATCTGAATTACACACCCTGAGAAGGCAACATTCAGGAAGAAGTCCCTCAATCTCTTGCTTCTCTTGAAGTAATAAGAATGTGTTGGTTTGCAGAAAACAGCCCCCAACAAAGTCAATCCCCAGCACTAGTGAAGTTCACATTTTTATTCTATTTTAAAGGGGAAATTACATGCTGTAATAGTTTTGTGAACTTCGAACTATCATGCAAGAGTCTAGTGTATCAATTCTCTCTGTGATCAAACAGAAAACTATGCACTAAGCTGCTGATCTTAGCACTTGGCCAGGTGCTGTCAGTGATGTGAATAGTTTTTAAGAAAATCATGGAGACTTTAGTTAATGGCCTGACTCGCCCAATTACCAAAGAAGCTTGGGTGCTAACTACAGAAACGTGGGATGACCTCTTTCTATCAGGGTTTGAAAAGGCAGGCTTAGCCACATCCAACTACCTCCTAAAATAGGATCATAACTATTTTACCTGCTAGCCCCTAATTTGAGGGTAAGGGACTGATATCTCTTTGACTGGAAATGAGGATATGATTTCATACTTCTTTCGGTTCTATAGTAATAGAATCCACAAAGCTGACCAAAATATTATGTTACCCAGGAGCCCCAGACTCCTACCCTGTCAAGACCTTTGTCAGAACCGCTGAAAAACAAGCAGGAGAGATTTGAGTTTTACTTCCTCTTCCGTGCCCTGGAGGTACTAACTAGCAAATAAATAGCTCAGCTAAAGGGATAAAAAAGAGAAGCAAGGGTCTTGTGTCATCTAAATAAAAAAAAAAAAAAAAAAAAGGCCGGGCGCGGCAGCTGGTGCCTGTAATCCCAGCACTTTGGGAGGCCGACACGGGCGGATCATGAGGTCAGGAGATCGAGACCATCCTGGCCAACATGGTGAAACCCCGTCTCTACTAAAAATAAAAAAATTAGCCAGGCATGGTGATAAGCACCTGTAGTCCCAGCTACTCAGGAGGCTGAGGCAGAAGAATCGCTTGAACCTGGGAGGTGGAGGTTGCAGTGAGCCGAGATTGCATCACTGCACTCCAGCCTGGGTGATAGAGCGAGACTCTGTCTCAAAAATAAAAAAATGTGGGGGAGGGGCTCTACCAGCGGGAAATGTAGGCACCAGCTACCATCCTCTGCTTCCAACAGAGCCATCTCCACTGCCAGCACGTAGGGCTTATCAGTCAGTACTTCCACAGTGTGTTGTACCCTGAACAGGCACTGCACTGGCTCAGAGAGTGCCGTGGTGAATAAGCTGAAGTCCTTCCCCTCATGGGCATGGGAGATCAGGAGTGAGAGAAGGCTGACCACAGGGGAACATGCCACAAACGTGTTCCACAGGGGAACAAAGAATGCTACATTGCATGCCACAGATAAGTGCTGTCCGAGTCTCCAGTCTCCAGCCTATGCCTCGCTTCCGTGCGTCCTGGGATAAACATAATGCCCACAATAAGACACACAGCACAAAATGATGTTGATGCATTCTCGGTTTTCTCCTCTGGTGACTATCAAAAAACAGAGACTCTCTCCCCTTTTAGGTCTCTGGGCTGGTGGAAGCCAACATAAGGATCATTTTCAGCTTTTAGCACCAGGTTATGCTAATTGTCCACAGTGTCTTCTGGTTCTATCCTTCCCTTCCATTTCCTGGAGCCCTTTATTTTTATTTTATTTTTTTGAGATGGAGTCTCTCTCTGTCGCACAGGCTGGAGTGCAGTGGTGCAATCTTGGCTCACCACAACCTCCGCCTCCCGGGTTCAAGTGATTCTCCTACCTCAGCCTCCCACGTAGCTGGGATTACAGGTGCCTGCCACCACCTCCAACTAATTTCTGTATTTTTAGTACAAACGGGGTTTCACCATGTTGGCCAGGCTGGTCTCAAACTCCTGGGCTCAAGTGATCCGCCCATCTCAGCCTCCCGAAGTGCTGGGATTACAGTTCCTGGAGCCCTTTCAATGTAAACCTGGCTTACAGTAGTGCCCTCTTAGCCAGGCACTCACTACCCCAGCTCACCTTGACAACAGCTGTTAAATAATTTCCCTCAAACTCTTTTCTTTTGTGTCATGTTATTCTCCAGCACAGAATGCCATCTCTCATGCTTCCTCATTTCTTCATGTGAACCCAGTCTTTCTGCCTCCCTTTAAAACCCCACACCAGCTGCCCCACCTGTGTCCATGACCACATTTCTCATAGTTTGCCCTGAACTCAACCTGCTCATCTGTGACTTCTCTACCCACTCCCTTTTCATCAACACATTTCCTTTCCTTCCTTCAGATTTTAAAATTCTTTCCTCCTTGTTCCCATCAGACTTTTCTCATTCCATGCCCACCTTGTTTTGGACACCACTTGGTTTAGCCGACATTGATTTAAACTCGTTGATGGTTCTGTGTTCAAGAGTTCTGTTGTTCCCTGCGGTCACACTGTCATTTCCTATAATGTGGTAAAAACCACAAGAATGAGTTCATAGGTTCTGTTTCTTTTGACATCCATCTTTCTCCTTCTCTTTCTCCATAAGACAAGGATTTTACTAACTGTTACTTTCCATTTTACAGTTTACAGTGGGCTTTCATTGACAATCTATTCTTTGATCTTTGTGAGGAAAATAAGACAAATGTTATCCTCCTCATTTACAGTTCAGTAAGCACTGGCTCTGAAGAGTCAATGATTCATCTAAATGTTCACAGCAAAGAAGTGGAAGTGTCTGGACTCAAACCCAGGTCTTTGAATTCTAATTGCTTCCTGTTCCCACTTCATCGTCCTACTCTGAGCATTATCATACTTAATAAATATTGTGGATGGATAATGTAGATTATTAAGGTGGCAAGGCCACACTCAGGTAGGAATTAACTATTTCAAAGCCATGACCTGAGGATAAGGTTGGGAATAAAGGCAAAAATGAGAATACATCAGTGTCTTTCACTTCTGATTGACTTAAAGTTTACAGGAGGAAACACTTATAAACCCTAAAATTTAAAGAAAAAAAAGTTTTAAAAAGAATTTGGGGTCTTCCCTCGAAGGCCAAGAAAAGAGGAAATACATAAGGCACTCAATTGGGAACTCTCCACATAATGGTGCTTGGTCAGAGGTCAGACCAAAGCCTC
The DNA here is from genome assembly GCF_000001405.40 of Homo sapiens. Classification (NCBI taxonomy): domain Eukaryota; kingdom Metazoa; phylum Chordata; class Mammalia; order Primates; family Hominidae; genus Homo; species Homo sapiens. The sequence continues at coordinate 186,150,655 of NC_000003.12, read as the reverse complement.
GGTCACTTGATTGACATCTCAGCACTGCCTTGGCAGGAATGACCAGGAGCAATGGAGGCTGGGAATCTGAAGAACTGGGCTCTAATTGTGCTGCTGCTCTGTTTGTGAACTTAGGCTACTCTAATGGGCTCCTGCAGAGGGGTCGATTGAGTCCCTGAGGTCTCCTCTGGCTGTGACATTCTGAGAGTCTGTGAATACCAAGAACACAAGACAGGTGTGAGCTGATCACCACGTGGGAAGCTCACACCTGTCTCTCCCCAGTGCTTCCGCCCCTCACTTCCAGCCGTGCCAAACTCCAGGCCCAGTCAGGGTCAAGTTGCCAATTTTGAAGCCGTTCAAGGACAGTTGTCCTTCTGCATGGGGCTCCTTCCATCCTGAAGCTGGCCTTTCCTTTCTCTGCGACTCACTCTCCCTTAGGCTACTGAGATTTGCATGCCACTAATTCATTTCTGCCTCTTTGCTTTTAGATTAAAATTACTCACAAGAACCAAGCGCCCATGATGATGGGGCCTCCCCAGAAGAGCAGCTTCTTCTCGTTGAGAAGGAAGAGCCGTTCAAAAGACTAAACAGTGTGCCAAACACCAGCTAAACCAAGAGAGAAAGCAAGAAACTATAATGCACACTCACACACAATTTATGTGCACACTCACACATGCACACACACACACACATACACACTCTTCTCTAACCAGTGGAAGCAAAGCCACCCTTCGGGAAGAAAACGTCACCTTGCCATACATTCTGTTTCAACAGTGGGTACACCCCTAACAGAGCCAGTGCCAACAAAACATTTTGAATGGACTTAGGGCCCATGAGGTTGTGGCTGGCTTAGGCAGCAACCTCCACATTCCCACAGGCCTTGAGCAGAATTTTCTGAGACTGAAGGGAAATCCCCCTTTCTTTCTACCAGCCCTGCAAGTTTCCTCATGGACGCTCGCGAGGAGCAGGCTGCAGGTTTCCTGCCTATGGTGAGATCAGATGTGGCCAAGGGAAGGAGCTCTGGTTCCAGAGAATTTGCACAAAGTTCCCTCTGTACAGAGACAAAACGGCCTCCGGCTCTCAGAGCATAATCCTTGGCAGGGCTCAGCAGGCGCACGTTGGTTTCTTGGTCGTCCTTTGAGTGACAACTTCTCCGTGAACCTGCTGAAGAGGCAGAAAGGCTGTGGAAAGCTGTATTTCCATTCTTGGGTTTCTGCGCCGTCGGTGGGCACTTGTTATTTTCCAGGAACCTTCTCCTGGTGTCTACATGTTTGCTTAGAGGCGGCTCCAAGAGCCCCCAGAGCTGCCTGCATAGCACACCTTAGATGTGGTATTTATTTTCTTAGTTCTGTGAACACCTGGGAGGGAGAGCGGAGAAACTGGGATTTATTTTTCAAATTGGTGTCATAATATTGTGTAAAAAGGGAAGGAAAAAAAAAACCACCCCCAGCTTCTTTCTTTTTCAAGCCAAAGCGTGTTTCCTGTTTGAGTTCCAAGCCCTGGTGGCAGACTATTCCTGAAGGCAGAAAAGATGGGAAGGAAGGAACTTTGCTGGGGAAACCAGGAGACGGTTCCCTCCTGCTTCTTTGCACTCACCACTCCCAGAGTATGACCTGAAGGACCTTCTGATGGTCTTAACGTGTGTGCGCGCGTGTGTGTGTGTGTGTGCGTGTATATATATATATTTAGCCTATATATTTATATATATATATATATAAATATTTATTTACTGATGGACTTTTCCTCATTGGAAAAAAAAAACATAGGTAGTATGAGACAGAAAGTGGTAAGGAAAAAGAAGGTTCTCACTCCCCCACTCCACCGTTTCATTGTCAGGACGCATCTCCCTGTGGTGATCACAAGGGTTAAGGGGAATGAAAGTAGCTCCCTATTATGAACGAAGAGACCGAGAACTCCTATTCTGGATCCTCAAAACAAGCATGAAAGACCTGCTGGGCTGGATTTACTCTCCCATTTGTCAGATAAGAAAATTGAGTCTCAGAAAAGTTCAGAGACTTTTCCATGGTGTCTTGGCTAATGCAGCTTGAGAGTAGGTGCCGTTACAAAGATATTTAATGGAGAAAAGAACCCACACATCTCAGAGTAGGGTCATTTCTGGTCACTGAAAAGTGAGTCCACTTGGATCCAGGTTGCCAGGGAGGAACAAACGTACAGCACATGCGTGGATGGGATATCCCCACACAAGAAAACGAGCGCCTCATGCTGCTTCCCAGAGGTTCTCTCTGACCTGAATGGAAAAGAAGTTGGTCTGAGATCGAAGGTACTAAACAGATCATCAGACTGAACTCTCCACATGTCACCTCATCATGGTCATCATAGTCTCTTAGTTTGGAAACAACCTTGGCTGCAGGGATGACCTCAGTGGAGAGTCACAAGAAGGACTGAGGCGTCTTCTGCAAGATACTGCCAGCCAGGACAGAGGGGTCTCAGCAGAGCTCAGTGGGCTTCATTCAGCAAGTGCCAGCATTACCATCCTTTCCCAAGGGCAAGGCCATGCAGAGCTTCATTGGGCCTCCATCCCTCTCTGAGATTTATCAGTGGAAACTTGGACCCACTTGATATCGTTCCACTGAGCTGCCTCTAATCTTGCATTGGACAGGAGCTTTGGACAAAGAAGGGAATATTAAGATTGTGTGTACAAATGGCACTTAACTGTGAAGGACCACCTAGGAGCAAGATCTTGGACCATTCTGCTCAACCTAACAGTGCAGAATGCTAAGTAAGGGGAAAACCAGGCCACCTGAAGAATATCTTTAATGATGGTATTCTTGGTGATGGGACCAACAAGCTCCAGAATTACTACAGGTACTATCTTGGAAGCCACTTGTTTCTGAAACTGAGGCAGGTTCAGGTTTGGGGTCACTGATTCTAAGACATTTACAGAAGTTCGTGCATGTGTTTCAGCCATGATCCCCAAGATTGAGGCTATTGAGACATGGCACTATCAACAGGTGAAATTGATTCTCAGAGACTCACAGGTCTCATGAAGGGGCAGTGCAGAAAATGGCCCTTACCTGCTGCACCCTAGTGCACAGGACTTGCAATGTTGCTTGAGAGACATATCCCAAGTCCTTCTTAGAGGCATGGAGTATAACAACTTCAGTGGAATTGCACTTCCAGTTTGGTAACCTTAGTAAATCTTGTGTTGTTGTTTAATCGTGCCTTGCAAATCATCCTTTAAACACTATGACTGTGGTTTCTTGTGGTGGAGTCCCTCATCATAGTGACCCTCATAGCAACCTCTGAGGTTAGCAGAGAAGGTATTATTATCTCGATCTCAATGAGGAGAACAAGGCTTAATGAGGTTTAGTGACTTCTCAAAGCCACATGGTTAGTCAGGGGAGAACCTAATCCCTTATTTCTTATCTTATTCTGATTCTGGCCATGCTACAAACATGTTCTCACCTGCCCCCCATGCTTCTACCCCAACAGCAATAAAAACTGTAAAGCAGGAACTCTCTAGTACATTGTGTTGTCCCTAAACTGATGGGCTAGGAATTGTGTCTCATTATGGCTTAGTCTTTGTGGGTTTTCCCCAGTGAGTTGAGAGTGGAGATAGACCTAGTAGGATGATTATATTCAGGTCAGAGACCAGCTCCTCTCAAGAGAGTTCTTTCCACAGATGGAAAAGATACGTTAAAATTGCCAAATAAATTAGGAAATACTTGGCAGAACCTGGAAGAGCCTCCAGACTGGCGTTACATAACATGCATATACATTATACATATGCACATTATATAAGGTGACATAGTACTTAATGTGCTGTATATATTATGTAAATTACATATTTGTGAGTAATCATGATAAATATAGAGACCCACTAATCACTTTTTTACACATACTCAGTGACAGATTAGGAAGTTACTTTGCCAGAGAGTCTTAAAACTTACTCTCTTCTGCTGCTTTGGTTCCAACTCCTGCCAAAAATAATTGCATCAACTTTTCCCATCTCTAGCCCCCTCTTCTCTTGGCCAAAACTCTCAGTTACCTCCTGTCCCAGCTAGTCTGTGCCTTCCGTGCAACACTACCACAATTGGGATCCATAAAAATAGAATCATGGGGATGGGAAGGATCTAGATGCTCAGATCCCCTATATGTCAGGCCTACACCTCAACACTCCCAGGCAGGTGCATGTCTAATGCTAATATTAAAAGAGCGGGAGTTGGGGGAAGGAGGAAGAGTCTACCAACCTTCCAAGGAAGGAAACTTCACAGTCTTCCTTGGCCGCCAGCTCCGGGCTCTAACAGTAATCAATCAGGAAATTATTTCAAATGTCCAGTCTGAGTCCCCACAGCATATCTGAAACCATAATTTCCTAAAATGTGTCTCCCAAAACACTAGCATCCATCAAATGTTCCGTGAAAAAAGAGTTCTGTGGTCAAGTGCTAAATCTCTTCTGGGAAGTACATAGAGAGTCTCTGAGAACTCCTAGTAAAGAACCATAGAGTCCTTTATTTGTCAACATCTATAGATTAGAAAACACTGCCTTAAGACCACCATTTATTTTGTTGTTCTCAGTGGAGGTGGAAACACACAAGTGACCATCCTCCACAATAATATCTCAAAAAGTGCTTTTTCTAAGACAAGAAGTCTCCATTCTTTTTTTTTTTTTTTTTTTTTTTTTTTTTTTTGGCCAGGGGCTGGGGACAGAGTTTTGCTGTTGTTGTCCAGGCTGGAGTGCAATGGCACAGTCTCGGTTAACTGCAAGCTCTGCCTCCTAGGTTCAAGCGATTCTCCTGCCTCTCCTGAGTAGCTTGGATTACAGGCATGCGCCACTGTGCCCAGCTAATTTTTGTATTTTTAGTAGAGACGGGGTTTCACCACCTTGGCCAGGCTGGTCTCGAATTCCTGACCTCAGGTGACCCACCTGCCTCAGCTTCCCAAAGTGCTGGGATTACAGGCATGAGCCACCACGCCCGGCCAAGTCTCCATTCTTAAGACCCTTTTTCTTGTTTCTTTATGAGATTGTTTGCCTATTTTTATTGTTCCCCTCTACACATCTTCAAGCAAGAATCAATGATCTAGGCCCTTTGTTTCCTGAGTTGGGAAGGGACTGGAAAGGGGATTAAAGAGAAGAAAAAATGAAAGGGTAGGCATGATAGCAGGTAGAGATCAGACTTCATCTGTGTAACTCCAGAGACCAGAATCAGGTCTGAAAAACACAGTTGTAGACAGGTTAACTTCTATTCAATTTAATAACTACTCCTGGAGCTGCTCTAATATGGAAAGGGCTGCCATGTATGGGAATGAACATGCACCTGCTCTTATAGGAAAAAGCTTTGACCTGGTTGGATGGGAAACAAACAGTAACTAATCTACCTTGCCCCAAAAGCTATTTAAACTGTTTTCATAGGCATTAACGTTAAATCAGTAAATCTATTAATTCCCTTTGAACAGCATTTCTTGGTGTGTCCCTTATTTTCTGAAAGAATGAAAAATGACTCCAAGAGCAATTTCTGGATTGGGAGTACTGACCATTTAGACCAGTCTTGGACATGGCAGGATTGACCTGACTCACTGGCACCCTCAAGGGTCGCTGATGGTGGTTGTGATTGCTCCTTGGTAGCCCTGAGAACTTAAAAAATGGATTGTAGTATTAAAGTCAAACAGATTTTGCCTTTCTACCGAGATCCATATTAACAGTTTGGAACTTCTAATCATAAATATCAGACCTGTATCAGACTTGCAATAGCAAGGAAAAAGAAACTATCCTACATCTCAAATTCCAACAAGTTTTAAATATAACAGGAGAGCAGAATTGTACAAACTTTCATATGGAGCCATTGATTTTAGCTCAACTTGATGTTCTACCATATTAGAGTGCATGTTTCAACTTTCTGCTATAAAGAGAGAACAGGAAAGGGAGATAAGAAAGGAAACTCCCAGCTGGGCACGGTGGCTCACGCTTGTAATCCCAGCACTTTGGGAGGCCGAGGCAGGCAGGTCACGAGGTCAGGAGTTCGAGACCAGCCTGACCAACATGGTGAAACCCCGTCTCTACTAAAAATACAAAAATTAGCTGGGCTTGGTGGTGCATGCCTGTAATCTCAGCTACTCAGGAGGCTGAGGCAGGAGAATCGCCTGGACTCGGGAGTGAGAGATTGCAGTGAGCCGAGATCATGCCACTGCACTCCAACCTGGGTGTCAGAGCGAGACTCTGTCTCAAAAAAAAAAAAAAGAAAGGAAATTCCCATTCATTGCTTACTAGTGCCAGGCACAGTGTCAAGGTCTTTTCATGTGCTTTCCCTTTTGATCTTCAGAACAGCCTAAGATATTGGCATTGTACTTTTTACAGATATAGAAATTCATACATAGAAAGGTGAAGTACTTTGTCCAACAGACAGCAAGTGATAGAACTAGGACTTGACACGGGTCTGTCTCATATGAAAATCTATGCTCAGCCAGGCGCGGTGGTTCACGCCTTCAATCCCAGCACTTTGGGAGGTCGAGGTGGGTGGATCACCTCAGTTCAGGAGTTCAAGACCAGCCTGGCCAACATGGTGAAACCCCGTCTCTACCAAAAATACAAAATTTGCCAGGTGTGGTGGTGCACGCCTGTAATCCCAGCTACTTGGGAGGCTGAGGCAGGAAAATCACTTGAACCTGGGAGGCAGAGGTTTGCAGTGAGCCAAGATCATGCCACTACACTCCAGCCTGGGTGACAGAATGAAACTCTCATCTCAAAAAAAAAAAAGAAAAGAGAAAGAAAATCTATGCTTTTTCCACTACATTTTAGTGCCTTTAACATTCTATTCTAATAGTTTCCAACCATACTAGTATGCTACTTGAAATAATATGGCATTGACAAATTGATATCCCATCTGTTCAACCTCTGTATAGCCATCTAATCATGTTCCTACTGAAGAACTTCCAGTGCTTGTTCATATTTAAACTCAACAGCCTCCACGGACAGCTGGATCCCAAAACCCTGGCAATCGAATCAGTAGCCATCCCTTCCTTAATCCTCAATGTCTTCATGTTCTAGCTGAATGCAACTCATTTCCCAGGACCTACACCTAATAGGTTTTTTTGTTCAGCTCTGTGAGTGGGAGAGCAGCAAACAGCCTTCTCAGATTTAAATGCCATGGTCAACAGTGACTGGCCAGCAAAGGGAAGGAGCACTGGGGTTGCTGAAGGGAGCCTCCAGCAAGGAGGCTCTGTATGCAATCCTCATTAGTGATAGGCGTGGGCTGGGCCATCTGTGTTCCACAGGAGAACAGAATGGCAAGCTGCCTTTCAGATGCCAAGAGATGCTATCTAATGGGAAGATCCAGAGAGCTCAAAAAGCAGAGAAGCATCTTTCCTCATAGGCATCTCTGTGGGAAACCAGGGACACAGAAAACCAAGGGGTTTTGGAAATTAGCTACTTAACTTGCTAGGTGTTCTACCCTTGCTGCCACTTCATTCTTCATGTCCAAGGTGCAGGACGACAAGCAGAGCCTTGCAACCTCATCTGCGAACTAAACTCCCCTAGATAGAGCTGTGGTGAACCTTTGTAAGTCTGAAATCTGTGCATGGAATAGCAGGTACATTATAGCAAGACATCAGAGTTTACGATTAAGCCTCCAAGTCTCCCAGGGGTCAGGAAACCCTGCAGGTAGAAGAGACGGTTTAATTGGATGCTCAATGCTGATTCCAGAGAAATCATCAGAAAACCTGGAGGACTACTCTAAATGGGTCAGATTAAGAAAATGCAATTTGGAACAAAGAGGGTAACATCTAACCCAGTATCAAGCATGCAGTAGGTAATGAGTAAACATTTGTCAAGTGAATAAATGAATGAATAGCTAAAGTGGGTATCTGTACTTCTACTCTGGAATGGGTGGGGGGCAGGGGGATGAAAGCTTTTTAACTAACAACTCAGGAACTTGAAACCACAGGATGTAGAGGGAGCTCATGGGGGCCTTTAACTACCCAGACATCTGTTGAGTGATGGATACAGCTAAATATGGATCATCAAAGGGCTTTCTAGGTCACATGGAGGGCAGCTACATGATTCAGAAAATATGAAATTCAACTTGGACAGAAAGACAGAAATATTTGCAATTCACTTCTTAGAGATAAGGTCAGAATTGACAAAGAATAAAAGGGCAGCACAGAAGTAGAGTTACAACACAGTAAGAGATCAGCATAATAAGATACAGATTCACAAGATGAAAAGAGATAGAGAACTGGATTTTTTGGCAGATTGATTTGGGCAAGGGAGGTGGGCATGAACACTACAGTCCAAAAATAGAAGGAAGAACTGAGAAATCCTCAAAAAATATTTTTTAAGCCTAAAGTCGAGTAAATGATAAAATAGAAATCCCCAGGTATTAATGACGTTGTTATTAAATAAAAGCTATCATTTATTATCTAGTCCAAAGCTTACTATTTTTATGACCACTTTTGAACTTCACAAAAACCTGTATGGTTCTCTCTTTGACAAGTGAGGAAAACTGAGAAACAGAGCAAATCTCACAGTGACAGATCCAGGATTCAGATCTGTCAGTATCTGCCTTCAAAGTCCAAGTTTCTGCCTGCAGGGCCATTAACAATTCCTCTGAGCCTCAGGAATGGACAGGGATTTACTACCCCGAAACTAATCCCCTATGTGGGACTTACTCCCTTCTCAAACTGGAAACCCAAGTCCCTCTCCTCCCTTTTCAACAGAGCTGGAGTGGAAATAGCATTCACATGTCTAGAAGTGGGGGCACACTGAGGTGGGGCAGCAGCCCTGAGCAGCAGGAGGTCCATGTCAACCTCCTCCTACCTTCCCAGGTCCTTGTTCCCAGGCACCAGCTGGGATATATCCTAAGGCACTACTTGAGCAGGATGGACAACGGTGGATACCTAGTGAAGAACTCAGCCAGATCACAGTATTCACATAGTATTAAAGATCATACTAAAAGATATGCAGAGACCATAGTAAAGATCAGGGGCAAAAGAAATAAGGTCAGGTAGTCAAATATCAGAATTTAGTAACATCTCTAAAGGTGGAGTGGAGATTTGGAGTGGCCTTTTAAAAACATTTCGGGTGAATCATAATTTGGGATAAAAATTACTGCCTAGAGTAATGCAAAAAAATTGAGCATTTTAAGACTCAAAAAGCAAAATTCTTTTAAAAATGAAATCTTAAGAGGAATTACAAGGTGAGGAATAATAAAAATAATAGGCCGGGCGCGGTGGCTCATGCCTGTAATCCCAGCACTTTGGGAGGCCGAGATGGGCGGATCATGAGGTCAGGAGATCGAGACCATCCTGGCTAACATGGTGAAACCCCATTTCCACTAAAAATACAAAAAATTAGCCGGGTGTGGTGGTGGGCGCCTGTAGTCCCAGCTACTTGGGAGGCTGAGGCCAGAGAATGGCGTGAATCCAGGAGGCAGAGCTTGCAGTGAGCCAAGATTGTGCCACTGCACTCCAGCCTGGGCAACACGGCAAGACTCTGTCTCAAAATAATAATAATAATAATAATAATAATAATAATAATGTATTTGTACCCTAGAATATAGAAAATGAAATGAATTTTAAAACCCCACAATATACCTGGCAATCCGGAAGAAGATTCCAGAAAGTTTGCATTTTCTGTTGAGGGACTAAACAACAGTACTTTCAAAGTAATTAATGAACTTCTTTTGTCTTTTTTATTTTTTTAAGAAAACTGGTACCAATTGGTTACCAGAAAATGGCATGATCTTCAAGAAAAAAAAGTTTTCCTGGTGAACATTTCCTCTCTCCCCAACATCCTTGAGGTAAAGGGATTGAGAACTAGATCTTTTAACTCAGAGAACCATACTTGCATGGAAGGTGTTAATAACAGAGGGTGTCACGGAATCGCTGTTTGGGGTTTGCTATTGTTGTACTCTGCTACTACCAGACATTAAGGTAATGATAATAGACCTAGGAGAACTAAGCAATTCCTGCCTCCCGTCTGCTCCCTGTCAGCCTCCTGAAGCCCCCACAGGTTAAATATGCCTCCTGAAATTAGAACATCTGGGAATAAATTCTTTTTAGGATGAAAATGCTCAAACATACAAAAAAGTGCAGCCATGAGTATAGTGAGCAACCGTGTACCCATCACTTCGATTTAACAGTTGTTAACATTTTGCCCTGTTTCATCTTTTTCTGACTGAATTTTTTTTCTTTTTTTTTTTTTTTTTTTGAGATGGAGTGTTGCTCTGTCGCCCAGGCTGGAGTGCAGTAGAGCGATCTGGGAATCACTGCAAGCTCCGCCTCCCAGGTTTACGCCATTCTCCTGCCTCAGCCTCCCGAGTAGCTGGGACTACAGGCACCCACCACCACGCCCAGCTAATTTTTTGTATTTTTAGTAGAGACGGGGTTTCACCGTGTAAGCCAGGATGATCTCGATCTCCTGACCTCGTGATCTGCCCGCCTCAGCCTCCCAAAGTGCTGGGATTACAGGCATGAGCCACTGTGCCTGGCCTGAATTTTTAATAAGTAAGTTATAGGTATCATGACATCTCACACCAAAATACTTGAGCATACATCATCACGGAGGATTCTCTCTGAAGTGTTGAAGGTTGTGTGTATCGTCCGCATTGCTGAAGGAAGGCTTCAAGGTGTTGTGCATATGAGCTCTGTCATTTCTCAACTGACTGAGTCCAGTTGTTTCCAAGCAGAAATTCATCAGGACATTACCATCACTCATGAGGAGAAAGTGTTGGGTGGAACCAAAGACGGTCTTAGCTGTATTTGAAACATTTCTGATTCTTCTGGAAACAGGAAAGCAAACAGCCCATGAACTAAATTCTCAAAAGACACTAAATCGGAAAGTGTTATAAGCACTAATGATGCCAGACAGAAAAATGCAAAACAGTTGGAGGAGTCAGAAATTCACCTGAAAGTCCGGGAGCGGTGGCTCACGCCTGTAATCCCAGCACTTTGGGAGGCCAAGGCAGGCAGATCACTTGAGGTCAGGAGTTCGAGACCAACCTGGCCCAATATGGTGAAACCCCATCTCTACTGAAAAAACACAAAAAAATTAGCCGGGCGTGGTGGTGCGTGCCTGTAATCCCAGCTACTCAGGAGGCTGAGGCCGGAGAATCCCTTGAACCCGGGAGGCGGAGGTTGCAGTGAGCCGAGATCGTGCCACTGCACTCCAGCCTGAGAGTAAAACTCCGTCTCAAAAAAAAAAAAGAAAGAAAGAAGAAGAAATTCACCTGAAAAATGCAAGTTCTTAATTCTGAAATAAAAAGCTGTTTAAAGCATTAGTAGTTACAGAGTGGTTGGGCACAATATTATTTTGAACAGGTAAAACAATAGAACACCATGTCTGCAGATTTATTTATTCAGCTAAAAAACAGTTTTAGTTATTGTGCCATCACGTGAAGAATAGGAAGCTAGACTCAGGGAGTGGATAGGCTGCTGTGATGTACAGATACTCCCCTCCACTAGGGCAGGACTGATCTGGAAGTGTGTCAACCCCCGAGAGAACATCTGGGAAGCCTGGTTGAAAAGCTTTGGCTCATTTATGCAGGGTAAGAGAGAATTTTTCAATAGGCAAAATGTATGGAAAGCAGGTATCATTCCACTTGCTCTGTGCGTAGCTGCTGGGATCAGGATGGGCTGACTGCACATGTTCCGGACAAGATGGTGGGCAAGGTGGGTGGTGCAAAGGTCTACCAGCTCAGTGATTCCGCCAAACCAAAGAAAAGCAGGCAAAAATGAGTGATAGCAGGTGCCAGAATATTCAGCCTGTCTCAGTCAATGAACGAAACGTGTTTCCCATTTTAAGCACAGCCTAAGGGAGAAGTAACAACTAGAAACCAAGGCCTGATAGATTCCCAGCCTGTGCACGGTGGAGCTACACGGGCACCTACCTGACTTCCTACACATCGAGAGGAAAGCTTTCTTATCCATACCCCAAGTGCGCATCTGCCCGCCTTTGAATCATTAAACACCACCCCTCCCTTCGCCACCCCTTTCCTCACACCATGGAGTTCATAACACCAAGCATCACCTTCTCTTCTCCTGACACTGACACCAGAAGAAAAGGAAGTCTATGTTGACGGCACAGAGATGAAAATTGCCTCCATCATTCTGAGTGTAGGAACATGTTTTCTTCCCAGATCGCCCCCTCTTTGGAAGAACACAATCTCTTCTAAGCTCCCTCCTCCAGCCTAACCCCTGGCCCTGAAGCCCAGGATCTGCTGATCAAACACATGAGCTCACTGCAGCTTATATAAGAGCTCTTGGCAGGCCTTCCCAGAGATGGATGCTGGGCTAGGTCTCTGCACACTTGTGCTTGCCTCGCCTAGGCAACATGACTTTTTGTTTCTCTATCTCCTCAGAACAGAGAGGCCTATTTGTACTACTGTTCATCAGTCGTTTTGTAGTAGGAAAGAGGAAGCACAAAGTTTCTTCCTATTTCCCAGTGATTAAAAGTGGCCCAACTTCCTAAGGGGGAAAATAAGAATTCCAAAGACAAAGCTCACTTGAATGTGCTGAGCCCCCTTCACTCGGCTGTTTTCTGTGATGGGGCCACACCGCTGTGGGTTACCACAGGGGAGCAAGGATAGAAACAGAGTGGGAGCTGGGGGCCACGCCTGTGTGACATTTCGGAGGACTCCAGCTCGAAGGTCCTTTCTGAGATGTTTGTGAGCAGGGACTAGGGCAGAGGGAAAGACAAAATATTAGGTTGGAGCAAAAGTAATTGCTGTTTTGCTTATACTCTTAATGGCAAAAACTGTAATTACCTTTGCACCAACCTAATCGATGAGAATTCCCATCTTCCCCCAAAGGGGAAATAAAAGGACATTTAGGGAAATCTGTCAGATAGTCTCAAAGGTAGGTCATCTGCAAGAAATCCATCCTGCCTCCGACTGACTTGGTGAGAAGTCCCATCCATTCCCAGACTCCATTTTCTTAAAGGAGAAGAGAAACTTTTGGAAACCACACTCAGGAACTCAGAGAAACGAGGAAAGAGAAAAAGCAAGGAAAAGCCATTCATGAACCCAACTTTCAAATTCAGTGGATATTTTGCATGGCTCCCAAGAGGAGAAGGGACGGTTGTATGACAGGATTTGTTTCTCCTACTGCCACTGACGAAAGGAAAGGAAACGCATGAGGCCCTTTGCCGTGCCCGGCTCCCTTCTGCCGCGTCAGTCACTCCAGGCCTGGGGCTCTGAGGCAGGGCCAGGGAAGGAAGACGCAGGCCTTAGCTGTGGCCATTCTCATTCTCTTTCCTGAGCTTCGAAGCCACATCCTGAGGGCACTTCCTACCCACACATCCTCGTCCAGGGAAATGTGCTCATCTCCCTCCACTCAGCACTGGACTTCTCTCGCAAGGCCAATTCTGGTGCTCCCTTCATACCAACTGGCAATAGGGATGTGGGCAAGTCATATTACGGCTCACTTTCCCTACATGTAAAATGGGGCTGGATAGGGTGATTCACACACTTACTAATGGATTCATCAGTGAATATTTTGTTTTTAAAGAATGTCTGTCTGGGCTGGGCATGGTGGCTCATGCCTGTAATCTTAGCACTTTGGGAGGCCGAGGCGAGAGGATCACCTGAGGTCAAGTGTTCAAGACCAGCCTGGCCAATGTGGTGAAACCCTATCTCTACTAAAAATGCAAAAATTAGGTGGGTGTGGTGACGCGCGCCTGTAGCCTGTAATCTCAGCTACTGGGGAGGCTGAGGCAAGGAGAATGGCGTGAACCTGGGAGGTGGAGCTTGCAGTGAGCCGAGATTGCACCGCTGCACTCCAGCCTGGGCAACAAAGCGAGACTCCGTCTCAAGAAAAAAAAAAAAAAAAAAAAAAAAAGAATGTCTATCTGGGCTGGGCACAGTGGCTCACACCTGTAATCCTAGCACTTTGGGAGGCCGAGGCGGGAGGATTACCTGAGGTCAGGAGTTCAAGACCAGCCTGGCCAACATAGTGAAACACCATCTCTACTAAAAATAAAAAAATTAGCTGGGCGTAGTGACTCACACCTGTAATCCCAGCTACTCAGGAGGCTGAGGCAGGAGAATCGTCTGAGCCCAAGAGGCAGAGGTTGCAGTGAGCTGAGATCTCGCCACTACACTCAAGCCTGGGCAACAGAAAGAGACTCTGTCTCAAAAAAAAAAAAAAAAAAAAAGAATGTCAATCTGTCAGGCACTGCACCCTAATCTCTTAATATGTCGCAATGCAGTTCTATTACTTTTTCTCCATCTTTTCCCATCACATTCTGCTTTTCTCAACCTCTACCCACACCCAGAGTCTGCTTCTTCAGCTTTTTTCTTTTATTTTCATATTTTTCTTCACTCTCTGCACCCTCCCCCACCCCAGCATGGTTCTATTTTTAGAATGTTCATACATAAAATCAGAGGATTAGAAAAGGGTTTTAAGGGGCCATCTGCCCACTTTGTTACCTCCAGGCAAACCTGTGCTTAAAAGGCCCAGGAAAGATCAGAGGGCATACTCCAAGCCCAATTTCAGGATGCACTCCAGCATCTCACAACTTCTTCCATTAAAAAATGGCCTCAACGTCTAACTTAAACCCCTCTGTTCAATACTACTCTCCTTTTTCTCTTTACCTCTTGAGTCACATCACAGACATAAAGCACCTTTGTGAGAGAGAACTGTGGGGAAGTTTAACCCATAGTGACATAGTGGAACATCCCAGGCCATAACAACCACAGTTTCAATGTAAAACCAGATCCAGGAACACAGAATGGACTAGAGGCTATGGCAGTTAGCTGGATTGGGCTTCTGTAAAATTAACAAAGACAGAACAAATAGCAAAAAACCAACAAGCACGACCCTACTGGACTCACAGTTTCTAACAAACTATCTCAATTAACATGAACAGTCCACGAGCAAGGAGTTCTAAAATCATAGCCCCCTTAGGTTGGAAAGGCCCTTCCTTAGATGTTATCAAGTCCAACCTTTTATGCAGAGTTGGCAGCCAGCATAGCACAAAGTCTGTCTCTGCTGATTACAGCTGAATAACAGATGGCGGTCATTCAGTACTGGTTCTTCCATCAGCATATAAAAAATTCCTTCAAAGCAACTCTCCCAGGACCCTGGATAGGAGGCAAGGCAGGTGTTCACCTGGACAGGGCCTGATGCCCTTTTTGGTCTGTGCTAACCTGCTGAGGTAGTCTACGGTCTTAATAGAGACAGTGTGGTCTAGTGTGTGGGTCGCTTGACAAGGAGGCAGATTTCAAAACGTGCCACATTTTCTTTCTGCCTTCTTCAGATGGCAAGAGGCAGACAACTCAACTAAAGAGAAGAGGATTTACAGCAAGTTGCTGACCCAGCTTACAGCACAGCTGTCCTCTTCCATAGAATGGGAAGAAGTTTTATGCCTTTATGCTTCTCTGTACCATCAACCTCAAAGTTCGGTGGGTATCTCAGAGAAAGTGTTATTATTAGCAAACAGTCATAATTCCAAGAAACCACTTGCTAAGGGGTTCCTGATGGATGATTTTCTCTCTCTGTAGAAAACAAGTAAGAACCTTCTATCTTGGGGAAGTCTGGCAAATGCTCCATAGAGGCTGCTGTGGAAGGGAATCATTCCACATCCCATGTTAGGATAAGGCCCGAAACCCTGCCTGGGAAAACAAGAGCAGCACACGGAGTGGGCTTCAGTCCTGTCTCATTTACAGGGTCTTGAACACGCCCTATAGGCTTCTGGGACCTGTTTTTCTGTATCTGTCAAACAAGGGGGTGCTCTAACGACCTTCCTGCTGTAGCGATCTTGCTTCACTTTGGGTAAATGCCACAGCCATAGGAGAGGAGGTAGGGTCTTTGTCCTCATGGGTCTCCCACCAGGCCCAAGGTTTCTCCAAGCCCTGCTGACCCAGGAGGGCCACTCCTAGCCCCTCTGCCAAGAATCTACTTTCCTTCCCTCATTGACTGATCATGCTCAGAAATCAGCTAATTTGGGGGTGGGGGGCATCCAACATGAAAGAAACACTACAAAGAAACTCTTAGGTAAGCTCTCTACCTCTACACACACCCATACACATACACTGACACAGACACATACAGGAACCCTGAAATATAAGTATTTTCCCTTCCATGTATCAAACCTCTTTTGCCCTCTTGAATTGCCAGTGTGCTGGGAGAGAATTCAGTCCCACAGTGGAGAAGCACTGCTTCCACTTACGGAACTCAGCTAAACCTCAGTGTTTAGGGATGACCCTGGGCACAGGTTGAAGCTAAAGGTCCTAACACACCTCCATTGCAGTGCAGAAATGCAGACTTTACCAGCCATGATTGGGGCAGTAGCTAACTAAAAGCACAGGACCAGGATCCAGATCCTTCCTTTCTTGCTCTTCCACTTCCACTGCCTCCCCCACCCTAGATGTGTTATTCTGTAACAGTGGTCGCCTGCTCGAGACTGCTCATCTGCCTGCATAGAGTGCCGTGGACTTGCTCTGTAATGCACTGTATATGTGTATGTCCTGACTCTGTGGTTTACTGCAAATAAAAATGACAGCAGGTGGCTGACCTCTGACCTCCTGGTCATTTCATGCCATTGCTTGTGAAATCAGGATTGGCCATTCATGCTCTGGGGATGTACGTGCTCCTCCAGACACTTCTGTGACCATTCCACAGGTGCACGCTGCTAGAGAGGCACCACTGATGTGTCAGGTTTAGGAGGGGTTGAAATTCTCTGTTGCCAATTTCCTGGTGTTGAAGGAGGGGGAGAGAGAGCCAAAAGCCCTATTTAATAAGCTCCAGAGAGTTGAACAATGAGAACACGTGGACACAGGGAGGGGAATATCACACATTGGGGCCTGTTGAGTGGTGGGGGGCAAGGAGAGGGAGAGCATTAGGAAAAATACCCCTGCCTGTGGGGCTTAAAACCTAGATGACGGGTTGATAGGTGCAGCTAACCATCATGACACATGTATACCTATGTAACAAACCCGCACATTCTGCACATGTATCCCAGAACTTAAAGTAAAATAAAATTTTTTAAAAGCCCCAGCTAAACACTTTATATACATCTTCACACCGACGTCTCCCCTGAGACGTGGTCAGCATTTTATAGATAATGAAACAGGAGGCTCAAAAATGGTGATTAACTTGCTCAACACATAACACAATAAGTAACCCAGTTCTGTCTCTCTCAGACCCCAAAATTCATGTTCTTTCCTCTAATGTTTCTCTAAGTGTGGGACTGCTTGCATCAGAAACACCTGGGCTCCAGATTTCCAGGGCCCACCCAGCTCTCCCTCATCATGATGTCTGAGAATGGGCCTCTGACATCTGGTATTTTAAAAGCTGGGGCTGTCTCATGCCCACAGAAGTTTGAGAACCATTGCATCACTCCATGCAGGGACAGCAGGACTACTTTGGAAGGACAGAGACAAGTCAGCATTTTAAAATGACTCGGTAAGAAGTCCCTTCCATTCCCAGACTCCATTTTCCCAGACTTCTATAAGCTCAGAAACCAGAGCTTATAGAAGAGAACCCCTAGACATAAGAGACTGGTGAGGAAGCAGGTCTGGAATAAAAGAATGAGTGGGGGCTGGGCAAGGTGGCTCGCGCCTATAATCCCAGCATTTTGGGAGGCCGAGGCGGGTGGATCGCCTGAGGTCAGGAGCTTGACACCAGCCTGGCAAACGTGATGAAACTCTATCTCTACTAAAAACACAAAAAATAGCCAGGCATGGTGGTGGGTGCCTGTAATCCCAGCTACTCAGGAGGCTGAGGCAAGAGAATCACTTGAACCCTGGAGGCGGAGGTTGCAGTGAGCCGAGATCGTGCCACTGCACTCCAGCCTGGGCAACAGAGCAAGACTCTGTCTCAAAAAAAAAAAGAATGAGTGGGGAGTAAGGCTGTGGGCTGGGCTTCAATCAGAGTTGGCTGGTCCCTCTCTCCAGAATGTAGATCCAAGAGCAAATCCACCTGCTGGTCTCCAGGCTGAAGCTGTCCTGAGCCCAGGGTTCAAGGGCACACCAAGGTGGAGCTAAGGCAACAGGATGTGGGTTCAACACAGCAGCCTCAGAGACTGGGTCTGCAATAGGGCAGCAGTCTCACAGGATGACTATGGACGCTGCAGCTCCTACAGATTGCTGCTGCCTCTTCAGCACCCCACCACCCTGCCCAGCCTGGCCCAACTGGCCAGTCCCCCAGATCTGAAGAACCATTACTGTTGTCTCTCTAGGCTCTTCCTGCCACAGTGGACCAACAAGGCTCCCAAAGCATTGGAACTCACGCCCTGATCCACAGTTTTCTCCATGTCTCTGCTGTCATCCTCGGGACTGGGCGAGGACTCTGACCTCAGGGAATCTGACCAAAATGTTACTCATTCCTACCCATTCCCTCCTCCTTCCACCTGGATCTGCTGAGTTCTATTTTGTGCCTTCGAGTCTAGGTGGAGGTTTCTGAAATAATGGTTGGGATGTCTGAGGTGGAGCACTGTGAGACAGATGCATAATTGCTACTTGGGGGCAGAACAAAATCCTGGAAATAGCTCAGCTGCCCACTCAACTGCAGAGATTCAGCTAGCCTCTTACTCTCCCAGCTGCAACACTAACTATGCGTGAAAAATATTTTCCTCAAGAAAATGGCTTTTCTGAAGTCGAGAAATCATGAAAACACCTCCTGTACAGAATTTGATATAACCAAATCAGCAAAGCACTTACATTATGAGTCTGGAAAGCAGTTTATGATCTAGAATTCTTATAGTGAGAATTTTCTTGAATCTCTGTAGCTAACAAAAGAATTGTATAAACAAGGAAAATGCTGGTCCATTCAAGAACAAAGGTCTTTAGCAGTTGTGTTTGCATTTTAAACAATAGCTAAGAATAAGAGATGCCTATTCGTTTGCTGTAGTATTTACAAGACTCCCTAACACACACCACCATGTTTCTGCTTCTACCCCCACTTAACAGGTTACTGTGTGTCCATCAAAGTAACAACACTGCCTTTGTTCTTAAATGTTCCTCCTTCCTACTTTCCGTTACACTGGACTATCAATGATTACAGAAATATTTCTGAATCTAAAACCTTAAAGCATTCTCAGAAGGAGCAGACAGTCAACAAAGGCATCAAAAACGGTGAAGGAAGCAGATCAGCAAGAAAGATCAGAGAGAGCAGAAGCAGACAATCGTGGTCTCAGAATTGGCGGGATTACAGAGAACACTTGGTTCAACCTCTCAGCCAGAGCAGGACTTCTCTTCACAGCACCCTGTCCCCAGAAACAGCCCCCTTTGCTTGAAGACTTCCACTTATGGACAGTTCACCACTTTCCCAGGAAGTCCATCTGGGAACAACTGTCTGAGTTTTAGATAGGCTCCAATGGCATCCAAATCTGCCTCCTATTAACTCCCATCATTGGGCCCTGGCTTGGCCACTAGCAACACAGAATGAATCTTTCCTCTCTTCTGCAGGACAACTTGCAGATATTTGGAAAGAGCTACCTCATTCTAGCTAAGTCTTTATTTTTTTTTTCCTCCAGACTAAACATCCTCCAAATCCTTAAATCATCCCTTATATGTCATAACTCTCAAACCCTAAGCTATTCTTGCGATTTTCTCTGGAACAACAACAGTTTGCCAAAGTTCCTTTTAAAAGGCAATTCCCGGAACTGAACACAGCATAATGCCCCAGAAATGGATGGTCAAGTGGAGAGTCGCATCCCTTGCTGTCGATACCACATTAGCTTTCTTTGGCAACCATATCACTCTGCTATTTCATCCTGCTCTCATAGCCAACAACATCTCCAAGCCTCGTAGGAATGATAATAACCACCACTGGTATGACGTCTCAGAGATGACAAAACCATTTCAGAAACATGCTCCTATTTGCCGCTCGCAACAACCCGGTGAAGTTGACTGAAGAGGAGGAAACTATGGTTTTCCAAGGCCTCATGGCCAGCCCTCAAGCCCTGAGCCTGTGATTCCAAATCCATGCTCCTCCAAACACACCCAGGCTGCCTTTTCACCTGAACCATGGTCATTTATGTATTTATTGAGACTTTTGCTCTTGTTGCCCAGGCTGGAGTGCAATGACATGCTCTCAGCTCACTGAAACGTCCACCTCGCGGGTTCAAGCGATTCTCCTGCTTCAGCCTCCCTAGTAGCTTGTATTACAGGCACAGGCCTCCACGCCCGGCTAATTTTTTGTATTTTTAGTAGAGATGGGGTTTCTCCGTGTTGGCCAGGCTGGTCTCGAACTCCTGACTCCAGGTTATCCACCCACCTCAGCCTCCCAAAGTGCTGGGATTACAGGCGTGAGCCACCACGCCCAGCCCTGAACCATTATTAAGGCCCACGAAAATCTCCCTGGCTTCATTTGTTCATGTCTATTCAAAATCAGAGTCTTTTTTCTGTTCCATTTTGTCATGTTAACTTCTGCCTATCCTTTAACTTGCCTATGTCTTTTTTTTTTTTTTTTGAGATGGAGTCTTGCTCTGTCGCCAGGCTGGAGTGCAGTGGTGCGATTTTGGCTCACTGCAACCTCCAACTCCCTGGTTCAAGCTATTCTCTTGCCTTAGCCTCCCAAGTAGCTGGGACTACAGGCACATGCCACCATGCCCAGCTAATTTTTGTTTTTTTAGTAGAGACGGGTTTCACCATGGCCAGGATGGTCTTGATCTCCTGACCTCATGATTCGCCTGCCTCGGCCTCCCAAAGTGCTGGATTACAGTCGTGAGCCACTGTGCCCGGCGCCTATCTCTTTTTGACACCTGTTTCTGTTGTCTGTTGTATTAAAGAAAAGACACCGGGTCAGAGAGAGAGAAGGCAGCAGAAGAGGATGGGGCACAAAACAGGAGGAGACTTTGGGCGAGAGGAGCAGAAAAGGGAGCATCTTAGAAAAGAATGGGCAGGGCGGAATGACGGCTGCATGTGGAAGTGGGGGATGGAAAGACTGGGTTCCAGTCGCTGAGAACCTTGGTTGGCTCTGTTACCCTAGGCAAGCCCCTTAGCCTCTGTGAGCTTCACTTTCTGAGAAGGAGGGTCAGAAGTGGGACTAGTCAATTCCCAAGACCCTTCCCAGTTCTATGAATCTAATGGGCAGATAAGGCCTTATCATTAACCCAATGTGCCTTGTCTTTTTCAATCCAATGAAGATACTGAAAATCAGACTCTCCTGAAATATTTAACATGACTTCCTTTTGCTAAAATAAAGAAAAGCAAAGATACCTAGGGGCCATGGCAACAAGCAACATTTATTTCATCTGTCAGCCATGGGTTTTTCGGGGGGCATGGGGAGATGGGTTACGACAGCTACTTCTCAAGATATAGGACCCAAAGGAATCCTCGAGGGGGCTGAACAAGCTCTGCAGCCATGTCACCTGATACCTTCTCCACAGTACCAGAGGACTGAGGGTTCCACAATAAACAACAGCCTCTTAAACCATGTGTGGAGGGAAAGAAGCTCCTACTTGCTAAGCATCTCTTGTGTGCCTTCCTGGGGAGGTCACAGGATAAATGTTCTTTGGTTGTTGCATTAAGATAGGAAATGTCTGCATGCTTTTATTCTTCCACAGCAGCGCTGTCCCTTAGAAATACAATGTGAGCCACATATGTAAGTTTAAATTTGTTTTTTTGTTGTGTTTTTTTTTTTGTTTTTTTTTTGTTTTTTTTTTTTTTTTGAGATGGTGTCTCGCTCTGTTGCTCAGGCTGGAGGGCAGTGGTGTGATCTCGGCTCATTGCAACCTCCACCTCCCATGTTCAAGCGATTCTCCTGCCTCAGCCTCCTCAGTATCTGGGACTACAGGCATGCGCTACCACGCCTGGCTAATTTGTTTGTATTTTTAGTAGAGACAGAGTTTTTCCATGTTGGTCAGGCTGGTCTCAAACTCCAGACCTCAAATGATCCACCCGCCTTAGCCTCCCAAAGTGCTGAGATTATAGGCATGAGCCACCGTGCCTGGCCTAAGTTTAAATTTTCTAATAACCACATACAAGGAATAAAAAGGAACAGGTGAAATTAATTTGAATGAAGTAGTTTTAAACTCAACATATCCCATAAATAATCATTTCAACATGTAATCAATATAAGACATTATTAATGAAGAGCTTAACATTATTTTTTTGCACTAAGTCTTCAAAATCCTGCAGGCATTTTACACTGATAGCACTGGGCTGTGGTTAGTAGCATTTTATTGGACAGAGAGCACCTGAGGCTTCCCATCATAGCACTTCTCAAACTACATTGTACTTGCCTATTTCATTGTCTGAATTATTCATCCGGCTGGAAGCCTTGGATGGGCAAGGACTGTGAAGTTACCTGGTATGTTCCCAGACCCCAGCAGAGTGCTTGACACGGATATAATAGGCCTCAATTAACACTTCACAAGGGAGCAAGGAAGGAAAGAATGCAAGGTCACGCACCTAACCAGCACGGAGGAGAACTTGGGTTTAAACCTATTCCTATGCAACGATAAAACCCACCATCAGCCGGGCACAGTGGCTCACACCTGTAATCCCAGCACTTTGGGAGGACAAGGCGGGTGGACTGCCTGAGGGCGAGAGTTTGAGACCAGCCTGACCAACAGGGAGAAACCCTGTGTCTACTAAAAATACAAAATTAGCTGGGTGTGGTGGCCCATGCCTGTTAATTATAGCTATTCAGGAGGCTGAGGCACGAGAATTGCTTGAACCTGGGAGGCGGAGATTGCAGTGAGCTGAGATGGTGCCATTGCACTCCAGCCTGGGCAACAAGAGCAAAACTCCGTCTCAAAAAAAAAAAAAAAAAAGAAAAAAGAAGAAAACCACCATCATTTAGCCAAACCATGCTGCCTCATAAACTTCAGGAAGCATTATGAAAAAAACATGGTCTTTGGTGCCAAAAAGACTTGGGTTCAAATTTCAGTTAGACAATCAGTGATGAGGAACTCACGGAAAAGCTTGAGTGGTTTTGTGCTAGTGACTTTACCTCTCTCAGCCCTAATTTCCCCATTTGTCAAATGGGGACGATACCAGAAAACCTTTACCTCACAGGTAACCACGAAAATGACCTGAGACAACATGACTAGTATCTTGCAATCTTTAGACTTTCTGTGTTTCCAGTCCCTGTCTAGTAAAATGGAAATAAATCATTCTTATCTGGCCAACACTTAATCATGAGGCAGCTTTGACCCTATCCAGTAAGGGGAGAGTAACAAAAAGCAAACCAAAATTTGGGGAAGAAAGCCAACCCCTGACATCTGCCTCCTTATTCGTTTGTTGCTGTTGTTGTTTTCTTTTTTGAGACGGAGTCTCGCTGTTATCGCCCAGGCTGGGGTGCAGTGGCATGATCTTGGCTCACTGCAACCTCCGCCTCCCGGGTTCAAGCAATTCCCCTGCCTCCGCCTTCCGAGTAGCTGGGATTACAGGTATGCGCCACCACGCCCAGCTAATTTTTGTATTTTTAGTAGAGACGGGGTTTTACCACATAGGCCAGACTGGTCTCAAACTCCTGAACTCGGGTGATCCATCCCGCCTTGGCCTCCCAAAGTGCTGGGATTACAGGCGTGAGCCACCGTGCCTGGCCCCTTGTTCGTTGTTTAAACAGCTCCACACAGCCCAGATCTAGCCAGGGCAGCCATGCATTGTGAGAGAGCTGGAGATCCCCTGCCCGGCCGCACTGCCCTTTCTTCTAACATTTGCCTCAGGGATTCTCACATTTAGACCTCCTCTGCCCCAAGTCCAGTAGAACCCACCTTTGCTATTCCGCGAGCTCAGGAGGCTGGAAACTCTAAGAACTGTTCTGGGTGCGGCAGCCCAGGTAGAGAAGGAGCCCAGTAAACGCTCAGAGATTCACCCACAGGGCCCTTCCCAGAGTGGAGGCCCCAGCGCTAGGGAGCTTCGGCCTGCGGAGAAGAACACAGTGATTCTAACCCAAAATCCTCACATGAGCTTAGGAAGAGGAACAGCTGCAAAACTGTCATTGTCTTGATTAGAGAGTATGGGTCAACATTAAAAATGCCTTCCTAGCTCACCTCCCACCACTCACCTCCCCTTACATACCCTCTGGAGTTGTCTCATCTCCATGCCTTCTCTGGCTCAGCCCTCAGCCTGCCCCATCACTACCACACACACATTCACCACCACCACTCACCACACACACACACCCCACACCACACACACACACACACCCCCCACACCACACAAACACCACCATCACCACTACACACACACACCCCGCACCACACAAACACCATCACCACTATACACACATTCACCACCACCACTCACCACGCACACACACCCCACACCACACAAACACCCCCCACACCACACAAACACCACCATCACCACTACACACACACACCCCACACCACACAAACACCCCCCACACCACACAAACACCACCATCACCACTACACACATTCACCACCACCCCACCACTCACCACACACACACACCCCACACCACACACACACCACACAAACATACCACCATCACCACTACACACACATATTCACCACCACCACTCACCACACACACACCCCCCACACCACACATACCATCACCACTACACACACACATTCACCACCACTCCACACACACACACACCACACCACACAAACATACCATCACCACTACACACACATTCACCACCACCCCACCACTCACCACACACACACACCCCACACCACACACACACCACACAAACATACCACCATCACCACTACACACACATATTCACCACCACCACTCACCACACACACACACACCCCCACACCACACATACCATCACCACTACACACACACATTCACCACCACTCCACACACACACACACCACACCACACAAACATACCATCACCACTACACACACATTTACCACCACCTCACCACACACACACACACACACACCACACAACCATCACCACTCACCCCACACCACACATACCGTCACCACTACACACACACATTCACCACCACTCACCACACACACACACACACACCACACAACCACCATCACCACTCACCCCACACCACACATACCGTCACCACTACACACACACATTCACCACCACTCACCACACACACACACCACACACACCAAACATACACCACCACCACTCACCCCCCACACACACCCCCCACACCACACATACCATCACCACTACACACACATTCACCACCACTCACCACACACACACACCCCCCACACCACACAAACACCACCATCACCACTACACACACACACCCCACACCACACAAACACCACCATCACCACTACACACATTCACCACCATCACTCACTACATACACACTCTCATACACACACTCTCTCCACCACACACACCCCCCCACACCACACACCACCATCACCACTATACACACACATCCCTATACCTACACACAATTCTCACAGGACATGCACTAAACACCACCTAGTACCATCACTACCATACCCACACACATATTCACCACTGTCACCACAGACACATACACACTCCCATACACAAACACACTCCCCACACCACACACACCACATACACATAACCTACACACACAGAGGCCCATGCACACCATATCCACACCACCCCACACGCCTCACCCTTGCCCACACACCCCGCAACACACAGACAGAATAATGACCTACCTCAAACACTTTGTCTCCTGGGTTCTGAAGCCTTATCTTTGTCACCTTGATTTGATTCATTAATATACAGACATTGCTTCTCTCCCCTACTTGATTAGGAGCCCCTTGAGGACAGAATGTGTTTCTCTCTTTATTTCTGTAACCAGCATAGTGTTTGGTACATTGTTGAGGCTCGACAAATATTCCTGAATCAATAAATGACTCAACTAATCAGCCCATATGTGTCTATAGGGCCTAAATGAGGTGAGTGTGGAGAAGCAATTATGTGGAACCAATTGTGCAGGCGCTGAGCAGGCCCAGCATGGGGCCTGGGGGGCCGTCTTTGGTGGCTGGTCCTGCCTGGTCCTGCTCCACTGCCTCGGTCTCATTCCAAGGGAAATATTTGTTCTGTGAGCAAATAAAATGTGAATATGTTCTAATCTGTTGCAAGGATACACAGAGCTGCCTTCAGCCTGGTGCTTAGATCTCTGAGGGCACTTCAAAGAACTGCAAAAATAAAATGTCCT
The DNA here is from genome assembly GCF_000001405.40 of Homo sapiens. Classification (NCBI taxonomy): domain Eukaryota; kingdom Metazoa; phylum Chordata; class Mammalia; order Primates; family Hominidae; genus Homo; species Homo sapiens. The sequence continues at coordinate 186,124,657 of NC_000003.12, read as the reverse complement.
CTGTGGAGCGGGAAAAATGGAGCTCTTTCCTGCCCAGAGAGAAGGGCAAATGAAGACTGGATGACAAGTTTCCCGCTTGAAGATAACGTAAATCAAATCTGCTCTGGGCCCATCAGGACCCCAGACATGAGAGGTGATTACAGACTTCTCTTCCTATCATGCTATGTACTTAGAAGTGCTGAACCTGCCGTTTGAAAACACACAGACACACACACCAGAAATCTTTACTTCATGCCCATGTTTAACTAATGAAGGAGAAGTCCCAGCTCCCAGCAATGCGTGTGTTGAACCACGTCTTGTCTGCCTCGCTGGCCAGCTGAACTAGCCTTTTGCCCACTCAAGTACCACACACCGTGGACCCTGTGTGCCTACATTTTAACAAACATGCAGAATGGATGGGAGAAGTGAGGAAGAGAAAAACAAAAATTCCCAGTCGCAGAAAATTAGGAGGATATCTTTGTATTTTGTTTGTCTCCTACTAAGGAATTCTTAGAAGTTCAGAACCTTCCATAATAAGCTGTCATCGGATACACTTGTTTCCGCATAGGGCCTCGGGTTTGATTGCAGGGTTTTTAAGCTTCTGGCAGAGGAATGCAATGTTTCAACGTTGCCTTAGCCCAACCCCGTCCCTTTTCACAGGCTGGGGCAAAAAAAAAAAAAAAAAAAAAATAGTGTTGAACTGTCCAGTGTGCAAATTAAATCATTTATTAAAGGCTGAAGAGAGAGGGTTTAAGATCCCCACAGTGGATTCTGAAACTATAACCCAGGATTCCCTCTTTACATCCATGTTCTGTACGTGCAAGTCTCTTGTGTTGCGCTGTCCTGAGGTCAGGCAGGCCTATTTTGAATTCTGGGTTAAGAACAAGCCTCAGCCATCCCTTAGGGCACAGCCTTAGCTGCCATTTACTGATCCTCCCTTGGTGTTTAAATCCTCTCAACAACAAACTGCAGGTGAGAAATATTAGTGTCATTATCAGCCTCATTTTGTTAGTGGGGAATCTGAGGCTCAGAGACATCAAGCAACCTGCCCAATATGGCCCAGCTGGTATTAGAATTCTGCTTTGCCAACTCCAACACTCGTCCTGTCACCCCGGTGAACTCACCAAGGAAGTCAGCCTGCCTGGAACTTCACGAATACTATTCCTACTAGTTTATCATTCAAAGTAACCTCTATTCTCTATTTCATTAGATCGCCCATTTTTAACATGTGTAATTTAATTTAAAAATCACACAATACTAGCCCAGTCCATTCAAAAGGCTTTTTGAAAACCTCTGTTTCCTTTGAAAATGGATTGTTATCTATGGCCATACCACCCTGAACAAACCCGACCTCATGTGAAAATGGATTGTAGTTTAGGTTCCTCCATTTCAAAGTGGAATTGCAAGACCTCCCTAACGTGTTTACAACATTCCTGTGCTGAGTGTTATCCCTTCTCCCAGGAGCCAGATTGACAGTCTCTAGCGCAGCCCTCTCTTTGGCTGACAGCTGTCATTCATAATGGCAAGGGGGCAGTCCTATCCCCATCTAAAATAGGCAACAGAATGTAGCCAGATCGCCTACTGTCATACCTATACTAAAACACACACAAACACACACACACACACACACACACACACACAAAGATATTCACGGTAGTGTTTTTTTTAACCTCAAAAAATTGGAAACAGCCTAATACTCAATCAACATTAGGGAAACAAGCAAATCATATTATAGCTATAAGAAGACATACTAAGCAAACTTTAAAAATTGAGTTTTTGAAGAATGTTTAATAACCTAGAGCCACTCCTATGACATAATACTAGGAAAAAATACAAAGCTTTTTATCTTTTAAAATCTCCATTATGTAAAACAGCAAGAAAAAAAGACAGGGAGGAAATATGCTTAAATGTTAACAGTATTCATTTCTAGAATGATGGATGTTTAGTTTATTTGTAATTATTTTTTATATTTCCCTAACTGTATACAATGGATATAGAATGATTTTACAATTTAAAATGTCTTTGTAACTCCCAATTAGGGTGAATGGAGAAGATTGATTTTAAAACTTAACAAAAACAAATGCTTTTGGAGAAACTGTAACAAATGAGATTATTAAATATCTGAAACCTCTCTGATTGGAATTAGGCCATAAGTTTAATTTTTTTTAAGTATCATGACAGATAGGCATGCCTGCCAGCTGAAAGAACTATTTTACTTCCCACGGCACTCCCTTACAAATAATGTACCAAGTCTTTTTAAAACAACAAATGTAACAGCCTACAGGATTCTGTTACTTGTTTACCCTGGACCTGGGCTCAAAATGGCTTGAATCTATCTCCACCATTCAAGATCAGCCCTGATGAACAAATCCCTGGTGTGCCTAGAAGGAGGGAGGGTGGGGAAGAAGTCAGGGGAGGAGCAAATATGAGCCTCCCCACCCCCCCACTCACACCTGGTGTGGAGCTTTGTCAATTACTCACTGAAGGAATGTAAAACTCTGTTCTTCCTACCGGATCCAAGCTAGCAGAGGCAGAAAGCAGCAGCAGCAGGACATGCTGGGTTGATTCCAAGACACTGAAGAGTGTTGATAGCCCAGACAGCTTCCCTGTTCTTCCTTGTGAACCCAGTCCTGTTCCTCTGAGCTTTGGGGTGTTCTGAGCCGGGACAAGAAGGCATCTGAAGAATGCTTTTTCTGATCCCCCATCTCTTCAGCCAGGTCTGTGCTCTCTTTCTCTCACCTCTCTGCTATGATGCACTTCAACCTACCCTTCACCCTCATCAGGTTTGTCGTTCCCAAATTTCCCCCTTCCATTTGTCACTCCTTTACTCTACAACTTACCATGGCTTGAAGAATCAGACCCAAATTCCTCAGATCCCCAATACACAGCCCCTACCCAACTTCCTCCAAACTCACCTCCCTCACCCCCACCCCATCCCACCTACTCCCACCCTAACCCCAGCACCCAACCCAGCTCTCCCTGCAGACTGAACTTCAGTGGCACTCCGAAGTTGGAAAGAAATGTTCCTTCACTAAAATAGAATAGTGGAAGCTTGTCCAAATTATGCTCAAAGATACAATTTTCTCAATGTTAAGTTTTTCCCATCAATTTTTGTTAAACCTTTGGCACTCACAGCTCTGCCTATCTCTAGTGAGAGCCCACAGATGGCAAGGCGAAGGAACAAGTCCCGTGTGAATAATCATGGAAAAGCCTCAGGAGCAGCCCATCACGTGTCCTTCAACAGCTTGTTTATTTCACAGACACGTGCTCATGGTTGTGATTTTATATGCACACATAAAATAAATTCCCATTTTCTACTAATAAAATTGTTTTGGTTCATACGATAGAAGTATATACCACATGCTTTTCTGGTAGTCTTTTTTATTTTTTTTTAGAAAAAAAAACTCAGGCTGGGCGAGGTGGCTCACACATGTAATCCCAGCACTTTGGGAGGCCAAGGCGGGTGGATCACGAGGTCAGGAGATCGAGACCATCCTGGCTAACACGGTGAAACCCCGTCTCTACTTAAAAAAAAAAAAATACAAAAAAATTAGCCGGGCGTGGTGGCAGGCACCTGTAGTCCCAGCTACTCGAGAGGCTGAGGCAGGAGAATGGCGTGAACCTGGGAGGCGGAGCTTGCAGTGAGCCAAGATTGCGCCACTGCACTCCAGCCTGGGCAACAGTGCGAGACTGAGGCTCAAAAAAAAAAAAAAAAAAAAAAGTCATAATGTTCTACTAAGAAAATTGTGGTTGCTAAGAGCCGGGACATCTCAGTGACTTTACAAAGTATTGCCTCAGACACACTCTTCTTCTTCCAACATATCAGACTCATACACACTTATGCCTTCATCATACCGTTCTTCTTATGATCTCCATGACCCCTTTTCTGCCAAAGAATACTTGGGCATTCTGCAAGGTCCCATCCTCCATGAAGGCTTTCTGAACTCTGTCCTGAGATCCAACAGAATCCCTTTCGTTTCTTTGGAAATCAGTGAGGAAGAGAGAAACACTAGACATCAGAGAAAAGTAGTAAAGAAGAAAACACTAAGTGAAATCTACAAAGGAGGAAATATCACATTGAGAAGGAAGATGTGGGAACTATTGCATTTACCCCAGAGAACAGCTTTGTGGATCTTACTGAAAAGGTCACTGATGGTCATGAAAGGTGAGCTCCTAGCGACAAGATTCATACAGAAAAATTGGGAGAGAGCACAATGTATTACATTTCTACTCTATTCCAGATACTCTGCTAGATGCTTTTCAAAATATTCTATTTATTCCTTTTGGAAACTTTAAGGTTTGCATTATTATCCCTGTTTTACAAATGATAAAACTGAGGCTCAGAGAGATGAAATTATTGGCTCAAATTCATCCACTTTGCAAGATGGAAACCCATTTCCACTGCCCACATCTACCTGGCACTGGACATCCTCACATACTTTATCTCATTGAACAGTCAAACAGCCCTATAAGACAGGAGTTATTATTCCCATTTTTCAGATAGGAGACTGATATGCGGAGAAATGAAACAGCCTGAGCCAACAGTCCCCTAGTCAGTGATGACAGAGTTGAGATAGGATGTGGGGCTTTGGCTCCAAGTTCATGCTCTTTTCACCATATCCCAGCTGCCACAAGGAAGCACAGGTATAATTTAGTAGCTTTGAGAGAAAACATTACATCTGGGAAGCAGGGGGAGGTGGTTTAAGCCACTGAAGATCTTTGGATAAATAAAGAGCCTCTTTCAGACAAGAGTCTATAGAGCCATTACCATATTACCATATGGATTACCTAGTTACCATTTACATTTACAAGGTGTACACATAGTTGTAAATGAATGCTACTCGCATTCCAGTCAGGAATGTGTGGGCTGGAATGGGTAAAACATGGATCCTGTAATGAAAAATTGCATCTTGTCATCGAAAGCAGTTTAACTAATAGGGAGGAAGGGGAAGTCCATATTTAGCTGGTACATTCCCCTGTGATGGAGACAGACCCTGTTGGAGCAGGCCCTAAGGTCAGCTCACAGGTTCGAGACGAACATTCCTAGGTGGGAAGATCTAGATGAAACCCAGATAAATATACAAAGCAATTAGGTTATGGAGCAAGGGGCAAGAAGAGTGAGGAAAGATTTCAAAGGCAGTTCAAGTCAAAGGTATACAAAATTCTCCCAACCAGGATGCTACTTGATGAAGAAAATTCCTTGATGGTCAGGCAGAAAGGAAAGCCTTGGAATGTTGATTTTTCTTGGCTGCCTAAAGACCCTCCAGATGCATGGGATTGTATCCCAGGGAAACTGGCAACAATGGTGAGGACCAGGAACACCAGGGGTAAGTGAGACACTGTTTTTTAGGGGGGACCCTGAAGCCTCCCAATCTTCCCAGACCAGAGGAGAAGTGGAAAGTGGTTCTTCCAACCTGATCACTATTGCCCAGCCCCAGGGACACCTGTCGGGAAGGGAAAGGGACCTAGGTGGAATGAGTCAATGAGGAGGTAGAAGTCCTCCTTCTGAACAAGACTTAAATAAGGACATGCAAATGGGAGACTTGGGAATTTGGGTGCAATATGAACTCCTTCTGGGTTGCTAAATGCTAAGATGAGGCCCTAGGGTCCCACTGAGCTTCATGCCATTCCTAATCTGACCAAAATGAAATTCGGTGTCCCAGGGTCCAGGTACTGCTGCTAAGGAAATGCGGTGCTTCCCTCCACACACACTGAGCTATTGCAGAGGCCAGGTTACCAGTTCCTCATTCTTCTCCCACCATGTGAGCAAGGCAGAAGCTGCGCACCTGTAAAACTTAAGTCCACAAAGAGAAGGTAACCCAGCCGCCCCTTTCTCAGGCACAGTGTTTTGCTGTGCGGTAGAAATCACATGTTCATTCACATTTTCAGTCATCCTTTAGTGACCACCTCCTAAGTGCCAGGTGCTGTGGTTGGGGCTGAAGGATTCAGACAAGAGTCTGAGAGGTTCCCTGTAAGAGGAATTTGTGTCACAGGAAATACAGATGCATAAATAATGTGATCTGTGCTTTAATTGAAGACATCACAAACGCTGTGACGTTTGAAGAGGTTTTTATCTTTTGGTTGATTGAGTTTTTGTTTGTTTGGTTGGTTGGGTATTTGTTTGTTTGTTTTTTGAGTCAGGGTCTTGCTCTGTCGTCCAGGGTGGAGTGCAGTGGTGCACAATCTCAGCTCACTGCAGCCACCACTTCCTTAGATCAAGTGATCCTCCCACCTCAGCCCCGCTAAGTAGCTGGGACTACAGGCACGCACCACCATACCTAGCTAATTTTTGCATTCTTTTTTTGTAGAGATGAGGTGTCGCCATGTTGCTCAGGCTGGTCTTGAACTCCTGGGCTCAAGGTCTTCCAGAGTGCTGGGATTACAGGTGTGAGCCACCACGCTCAGCCTGGTTGATTGTTTTTAAGTACCTAAGAGATGTATTCAATGATTCCAAAATGTGAAGTGTCACCCCTCTAATGATTTTCTAAGACCCTTGATGTCCTGTCCCTAAAATACCCATTCTAGCCCTTTCCCAGTCATATCTCCCCCAGACCTAACATTCTACAGTTTAGACACACATGAGGAATCAACAGTCCCTAGATGTGCCAGCTATTGCCAAGCCCCCATATGTTTGTGTGTGCTGTTCCCTCTGCCTGGAAAGCTACTTGCTCTGCAAAGCAAAGTTGAGTAATTAATCATTCAAGGGCTGTCCCAAATGTCAACCCTCTCTAAAGCCTTCCTTGACCCTCACAGGAAGTACTCACTGCTCCTTCATTTGTACTCTCAGAACCCATTTACAGGGCTCTATTAAGACACCTGTAAATATTGTACAATAGCTATTTGTTCCTGTGCCCTTCTTCCACCTCCCACTAGACTGTGACCTTTTCTCAGACAAGTCCTAAGCTGAGGACACCAGCAACTCAACAAATGCTTCTAGAAGTGAAAATGAAATTTACTGCTGTGCAAACTCCTATGTGTCTTACCTTAAGAACCCATTAAAGGTGATTGCCCAGGCCAGGCACGGTGGCTCATGCCTGTAATCCTAGCACTTTGGGAGGCCAAGGCAGGTGGATCACCTTAGGTCAGGAGTTCAAGACCAGCCTGGCCAACATTGTGAAACCCTGTCTCCACTAAAGATACAAAAACGAGCACGGTGTGGTGGCGGGCACCTGTAATCCCAGCTACTCGGGAGGCTGAGGCAGGAGAATTGCTTGAATCCCGGAGACAGAGGTTGCAGTGAGCCATGATCGCACCATTGCACCCCAGCCCAGATGACAATGTGAGACTCCATCTCAAAAAAAAAAAAAAGTGATTGCCCAGCCTTATCTGATAGAAGGAAGGACCAGTCACTTTCCATGGTCAGATACGCTCACCCACTTATTGCTGGGACTCTATAGTGTTACGGGCTGGGGTGGAGGGGACCTAAGGTTAGAAATACAGTATAATAAAATTTATATTTTTAAAAGGCTGTAACACATAGATATAGTTGTTTGGGCAATAGAAAACAGAATGATACGCAAGAAACTGTTAATCATGCATGAAAATGGATACAGGCTAGGAGGTTATATACAGGCTTTGATTTTTCATTCTACACCTTTCTGTGCTGTTGAAATTTTTGTCATAGATCTCTGTCACTTTTCGAAGAAATAAGAGATTAAAACAATTCCTATGACTGCATCTTAAGTGAACCAACTAAAATTAGGTTGATGTTTACCAAAAGATGTGCTAGAGTCTCACTACAATGTTCATAGCAGCATCATTAAAAATAGCTAAAACTGGAAACTGCCCAAATGTTCACTAACAGTAACATGGGTAAATGAGTTGTAATATACTCATACAGTGGAATACTATACAGCAATGAGAATGAATGAAATATAACTACATACTACAAATGAATGAATATCCCAAACAAATGTTGAAGAAAAGAAGCCAGATACCACATTATACATGGTATGATTCCATGTATATTAAGTACAAAAACAGGCAAAACTGAACAGTGATGTCAGAAGCCAAGATGGTGGCTACCCTCGTGGGGAAGGGGATTTAACAACTGGTAAGGGCTATGAAGGCGGCTTTTGGTGGGATGAGGAAGGGAGCCGGGAGTGTTCTGTTTCTTAATATTGGTATTGAATGCACAGAGGTGCTTACTTTGTGAAAACTCATAGAGTTATATATTTATGATTTGTGTATTTTCTTGTATGTATGTTATACTTCAATTAAAAAGTAAACAAACATGCAAAACAGGCCCAAATTGAGGCGCCTGAACATTCCCTTACATCAAGCTGATAATCCCTCTTGAGAGTTGGATGCCGAACTTCCAGCCTCCTAGAAATAAATACAGGTCAACGTGGAGATGGGAGTGAAACTGTGCCCCCTGATCATTTCATGAGCGCTAGTGTCTTGTACCCAAGTAGAGCCTTAGGGCAGGAAGGAACAGACAGAGAACCTGGATGCCTTCAGGGCTCTCCTGGGATGGGATGCTGTTCTCATATTTTAAATCTTTAGGCATATAGCTTGGCCTCTTGATAGGAGAGAAGGCAGAGAAGGGAGAGGAGCGGGGATGAGAAGAGGTTTTCAGATGGGTCTGGTTTAAATTGAGGCTGCCTCCTGCCCCAGAGCCAACAGGCAGGCAAGATAGACTATTAGCAAGAAACATGATGGGGAGAGGAGGGAAGAGGATGTGTACTTCTTTTTAAACACTCACTGTGGTTATTTGGTTTGACATGGCCATGAGTGGGAAGATGCCTCAGGCTAAAAGGGCAGACTGGACCCCGCATTTGAAGCCAAGCGATCAAATCCACTGACAGGACATTTGTTCTGGGGGCTCAATTGTCAGTTGGCCATGGTTGATCTTCCCTTTGTCCAACTCAAAATAAATACAGCCCACTCCACAGGCCCAGCAGAGCCTCAGCGGAGGTGGGCGTCTACAGACCAAGCCAAGAGCTGAAAGAACCGCCCGCCTTACCACCCGCTCTCCAGCTGCCACATTGAAGCAGGCCTATGAAGAAGCCCCGCTCCAGCCCTGCCAGCCCCTTAGTCTCTTCCAGTGGAGCTGCGGGAGAGGCTGAAGCAAGGCCTTTCGTAGCTCGAGACGGGCAAGTTCTGAGTCAGCCTGCTCCTGCTGTAGGAGCTGAAGTCCAAGGAGGGCACAGAAGGGGTTAACCCCTGGTCACATAAAACTCACCACCATGGGCATAAAAGGAAGCAAAAAGAGGACTCTGAGCGGTCAAAATAGATTTTGCCAAGTCTACACATCCAAGTTTGTCCACTTCCTCATTGGAGGGGATGCTTTTGCTGCTACTCAGAACCTCTGGGCTCTTTCTCTATGCCCATTGCAAACACACTTGGTTTGCTGGTTTCCACGCCTATGGCAGATCAGAGTCAGAAAATTACAACAGATGTGAGGGGCTAGAGAAGCATGTGCTGAATGCATCGTGATGTTCTGATTAACAACCTGACATTGAAAAGGGGGCAGGAAAACTCGGAAGATCCAACACAGGATCCACCAAAAGTCCAGTAGCCCGAGGCTCTTTCATGGGAGACAGGCAGTCCCCCAGATTTCTCAGGGGTAGGGAAGGATGCAGGCGTGTGTCTGGCTCTAGGAGCTCTTCCCTGCATGGTGAGATGAAAGGACTCAGGAGGCTTGGGAGAGATTGCAGGGTCGCATGGCTGCTGTGCAGATTCTGCTGCAGAGCTGGACTCAGTTTTGAAGTCAAGGAGAAGCCATGGGAAGTTTCCTAAGATTTCCATCTTCTTTCTTTTTTTTTTTTTTTTTTGAGATGGAGTCTCGATCTGTCTCCCAGGCTGGAGTGCAGTGGTGTGATCTCGGCTCACTGCAACCTCCGCCTCCCAGGTTCAAGTGATTCTCCTGCCTCAGCCTCCTGAGTAGCTGGGATTACAGGCACACGCCATCATGTCTGGCCAATTTTTGTATTTTTAGTAGAGATGGGGTTTCACCATGTTGGCCAGGCTGGTCTCAAACTCCTGACCTCAAGTGATCGGCCTGCCTCAGCCTTCCAAAGTGCTGGGATTACAGGCGTGAGCCAACACGCCGGGCTAGTTGTTTCTTTTTAAAGTTGTGGGCTTAAGAAATAAACCTGTCAGCCATCAGAAATCTAAATAGGACATGCTCTTCCAGGTTTTCTTGATAGTGGCTGTTTCATAAGAATTGAAAGTCAGCAGGAGACAGGAGAAAGGATGTCTTCGAGCTCAGTCAAGAACCAGGAGAGGAATAAGGTCCCCCAGACTGGCTGGATCAGAGGCTCAAGAACATGCATTCTGTGTTCTGTCAGAGATCTGACTTGCTCCTTTCTAACTGAGGAAACTCAGACATGGTTTTAAACCTCTCACTTTGAAACTCAGTTTTCATATCAGCAAATTGGGTATTATTACCACTTCTAAAGAGAGATTGGGCGTATTAAATGAAACACTGTAGTATGTAAAGTGTCTAGCACAGAGCCTGGCATATTGGAGATGCTCAGTAAACATCATTTCCCTTCTTTTTCTAAAGTGGCTTTCATGAAGACAAATCCTTGCCAGCCCAGGACAATAATTCAGAAGTCTGGCTGGAGTTGCTGAAGCAGGTTCCTAAGGAAGCACAGCAGCTCTCACTGGCATGGCAAGCAAGCAGCCAAAGCCCTGAGAACAAGGTGAGGGGCAAGATGACAAAGTGAGAGACTGCAGGAACTAAGACGACAGAGCAGAGTGAATAAGAGCAAGGACTCTGTTCAAGATCTACATTAGGTGCCTGACTCCAACTCTTACTAGCTGTGTGACCTTGGGCAAGTTACCTAACCTCTCTGTCTCACTTTCCTCATCTATAAAACGGGGAGAATAATGATATCTGTATCACAGGGTTATTAGGATGATCAAGTGGGTTAATATAAGCAAAGCCCCTAAACAGAGTCTAGCACAGGGAAGTGTTCTTGCAGTGCTGGCCGCTGTCATTAAGCACACACAGCTTCCACAGGGCAGCAGAGTGGCTCCTGGGCAGATCCTAGGGGAGCAGGCTCTGTTGCTTGGGCACACTCCCTTTTTTACTATGTGCTAGCTATGTGGCCTGGAGCAATAGATTGAACCTTTCTGTACCTAAGCTTTCTCATCTATGAAAAGTGGAGATAATGATAATAGTACCTCCCTCAGAGGGCTGTTGTTGGGACTAACTGTGCCAAGTCATGTGGAGTGTTTAGCAAAGTGTCTGGCTCATATTAAGTACTCAGTAAATGTCAGCTTTTACTATTCCCCGGCTGGAAGGAACCCTAAAAACAATATGCCCCCTATTTTTTAAAGAGACATTGAAGCTAACAGATGTTCTTTTCTCCCTTAAGTTTTTAGGGCCTTTATTTCTGAATTTTAGAAAGGAAGATAGGATTCTTTATCTCTCCCTTAAATAAAAACACATTTCAGTACCTTTTTTTTTTTTTTTTGAAACGAAATCTCACTCTGTCTCCCAGGCTGGAGTGCAGTGGCATGACCTCAGCTCACTGCGACCTCCATCTCCCAAGTTCAAGCGATTCTTCTGCCTCAGTCTTCCAAGTAGCTGGGATTACAGATATGCACCACCACGCCCAGCCAATTTTTGTATTTTTAGTAGAGACGGGGGTTTCACCATGTTGGCCAGGCTGGTCTTGAAATCCTGACCTCAGGTGATCCACCTACTTGGGCCTCCCAAAGTGCTGGGATTACAGGTGTGAGTCACCACGCGTGGCCAACATTTCAGTACCTTTTTTACCCTTTCCTCAAATCCCTTCCTTCCCCCCATACAAGAATAGGAAAGGACTCCAGGAGCACTGTAGCCCACATCCCAAACCCTAGGCAGGTCTACACTCACCCCGGCATTTCTAACAGAGAAAGAGGAGGGATTTTCCCAGTATGAGAAACCAGGATCATGATGCTTCCATATTTCCCACGATCATTTTGGTGATCAGCTCAAGACAGGGTTGCCTGCCTTATACGGTAACTTGCTTTTGGCATTTTAGGGGAAAATTCTAAAAGCAGTTCTCTAAAGGGTAACAGTTCTCAGGCTTGGGGCAAGGTACTTTCTTTTCTATTCTTCTACACTGTTCCCCTCTAGACACACTGCAAATTGAGTTTAAAGAACAAGGGTCTAGTTATCGTGCTGTGATTGAGTTTTGCTACTGCCAGAGGACAAAGGCTAGATTGACATTAGATGAATGTGCCAGAGGACTGGTCTCTCTTTTTGTTTTCTTTTCCAATCCTGTTTCTCTCCTGGAGGAGAGGGAATGATAATTAGAACACATGCTTGTTCGACAAAACCTCCCATGTAAGTAATGTTCCTAGGAGGGAAGCCTCAACGTAATAGACAAAGAACTTCTAAATACTACCTTTAACTCTTATAAAGGCAAAGATAACAAAAGAAGAGGAGCCGGGGAGGTAAATCATAAAGAGAAGAAGGAAGAAGAGTGGAGAGAAGATATCAGTAAATATTTAAAAATGAGGAGCCCACCCTGGGCCCAGGAGCTGGCTCAGGTCATCGCAGGCTGTACTCTGACTTTTAATGCTGCAGCCAAGATGGCTGTGCCAAGAGCTGTACCCCTTGTCCAGCACAAACCTCCAAATTCCCAGAATCAGAGACTCTGAGAGATGGAACAATCCTCAGAGTTCTTCTATCCTGGAAAATGCATTAGTCCCTCTACCCTATCCCTAAATCTTTCTGCATAAATGCCTCCTGTGATGGAAGACTCAGGGCCAGATACAATCTTCCTTTGCTGGACCACTCCAAACATCCCAGAGTCCTTCCTAACCCTATTTGGAGCTAAAATCTGCCTCCTTTGACTTTGGCCAGCTCTGTCCTTTACCACTCTGGGTTGAAATGATGTTTCCCGGTAGTCGCTGAACAAGAGAGGCAGATGCTAGGTCTCCCATATATGGGCTCTGGGATGTGACCACCTTGGCTCCTATCCAAGTTCAGCAACTGACTTTCAAGCTCTGTGACCATTGGCAAACTACTTAATCTCTGTGTCTCAGTTTCTCAACTATATATTATAGAATGGAGACATTAATAGCCTGACCACTTTGGTACTATTATTATGAGGATTAAATGAGATAATCTGTGAAGAATTATATATGGCATGAACAAGTCATATATAAAGTGCTGAGTAAACTTCAGATACTGAAGTTACACAGCAGACTGTGGGCTCCTCCAACGCAAAGACTGGGTCTTATTCATCTCTGCAACTTTTTTGCCTAGCACGAAGTCTGGCTGAATATTTGGTACAAAATACATGTTTACTGGATAACTAAATAATCGCAATAATTAATTGGCAATTATTCTGGTGTAATCCCCTGCACATGATCGCGTGTTCAAGACAAGCATTTTTGAAAAAAAATCTATCGCCCAATCCTCCCCTGCCCCCACCTGAGCCACTATTTGTTACTACTCAACCCAGAACTATCCTACTTCTCTTTTCAAAGTGGAATGGAGAGACTTGGCTTGAGGCAAAGGTCACAAGAGCCAAACTCCAGGCATCAGGTCCAACCCTGTGAGGAAGTTGCTGTGAAGCGTGCGGCACTGTTTTCCTGTAGCCAAAGTTATAAAGTGTGATTGATGTGTTACGGTTTAGATGGTGAGGATATGTGGCTCTGTGGGCTGTAAGCCTTCCGGAGGGCTGGGGCCTGAGAGACTTAAGGGAAGAGGAGTAAGAAAGCTCCTTTGGAAAAATGAGTTTAGAGAGCAGGATGTCATGGGATGGGATGGGGAGGAGCGGGAGTGGGGGTAGACAAAATTGGGGAGGAGGAGGATCTGGGAGCTTACCTGGGCCCTTCATCTAGCTAGGGAGATAGAGCTCTCAGGAATGTCAGCAATAAGCTCAGAGCACAACTGTACTAGTGTAAGATCTCCAGCCACCAAACAGAAACGGTACCACCTGGAGAAAGAAAAAGGGCACTAAGGGAAAACTGGAGTCGGAAGCAAAATGTTCTACCAGGAAACTAGATCTCAAGGAACTGCTTGTTACATGTTCAGAGTACTTTCCATCCATCAACTCATGCCCATTTCAGTCTTCCAAAGTCAACAGCTCCAGCGTGCCTGGTCAGTGCTGAGCCCAGGACTCAACACGGGTGCTGCAGGTTGCTTAGGGGCACGCCAACATTTCAAGGGCTATAAACGACAGACCAAGTGTCCGCTCTGTTTAAGAGACACAAGTGGAGATAGGAAAGAACCTTTGACTTAAGTGTGGGGGTGGCAGGGGCAGGAACTGCCCCAGAGTTGGCCACCGTGGGACCCCCATTGCTAGGGGCTCTCTCCTGTCACTTAGCATCTTTCCTCCCCACCGCTGGCACGCGGCGTGAATGGCAGGGCACTCCAGCAGGACGAGAACAGAGCTCCGTCACAGGCCCCCAGCATCCCCGGAGAGAAGATAGAGCCGCCCCACGGCCTTCACAGGAGGGGGTAAGGGGGCGGAGAGGGGAGAGGATTGTTTGTTTATTTGTTTCCTGGAACACCCTGTTAAGAATCTCAGCAATTGCAGTTAGTGCCCTATCGTTTGGCAAGCAGAGCCGCTTCTCGTCGTTCCCAGCTGCACGGGATCTAATTCGCAAATACACCATCTTGCATTCAATACTTAAATGGAAAACAAGCAGCCCGGGGAGGGAGGCAAAAAGTCTGAGTCTGCATGCCCGTTTCGGAGGGATTTAGGTTTCCAGGTCGGTGGACTGGCTGCTGCTGTCCCCGGAGAGGATTTCTTTGAGCCCGAACCCTGTCTCACCTCGACTACAGAACCCACTCTGGCGGAGGTTACGAGCCGCAGTTAAAGAGAAAACGGGATTTGGTTGGGTCTTAGGCCTTGCCAGTACAAAATAGTAACAAAAATCTGTTTGAGAGCTGAGATTTTAAAAGGAGATGCTGCTTATTCTTCCCACTGGAAACCTGGTTAAAAGAAATTAAGGCCTCTCTTAAAGGTAACTAAGATTAGAGGGCTCGGTTTCCGTTTTCTGTGTTTCTGTGGGCTAAACGCCCAGGTCGGTCAGCGAGTTTGTGTGGAATGACGAATTCCTCTCCCCTGAATTCTAAAATGATAACTTTGCTTGGTGCTGCAGCTGCGAACGTCTGGCGCCAAGAGACCCAATTCTGGTCGGGGCTTTGCTGGATGGAGAAGTGGGGGTGAGTGGGTAAGGGGGAAGAGTCGTGCCTCGGTGAAAAGTCGGGAGAGCGGCGAGAAGGGAAGTAACGGCGGCTCCTCCTGGCCTCGGCCCCTTTAAGTGCTTCACTGACTCAGCTAAGCTTCCCCCTCAGGTCGCGTTTTTTATGAATGAAAAACGTCCTTACATTCATTATATAAACAAGCCTGTGCTGATTGGCCAATGGCCCCCGGTGCATAAATTATGTAAAACAGACCCCTGAGGGGGTGGAGAGAGATGCACCGCTGGCCAATGGGGGCCGGAGTTGATGGGGCGGCTTGGTTGGATTTGCCCGCAGACAGGGTAAACAAGAGGTGATGGACAGCCGCGGGAACGGCCTCTGGCCAATGGGAACAAGGCTGGGCTAGGGCCGCGGGCCAATGGCGGCGGGCGGAGCAGCGAGCCGCGGGGGGCCGGGCCAGCGCTCCAGCCTGGTTGGCAGCTGCGGCGCAGAGTCCAGCCGCTGGTGCGCGGAGCGGTTCACCGTCTTCGGAGCGGTTCGGCCCAGCCTTTCGCCCAGGCGCCCAGGCCCGCTGCGCGCGTGCGTGAGCGCGCCTGCGCCGCCGGGGCCGCTGCAAGGGGAGGAGAGAGGCCGCCTCAGGTGAGGGGGCTTTGCGGGGGCAGGGGGGAGATCGGAAGGGGCGTCCGGCCACTGGTCCGACAGGCCCAGCCGGCTAGAGTTCACGGGCTGATTCAGAATCTTCAAAGTCGGGGTGCAGTAGCTGGGGTGACCCCCCCCGGGTTGACCGCCCCCTCCCCCCGCGGCCCGGTCCGGTTTGGTTCCTGGGAGGCGTCGGGCGGGTGCGGCTAACGGTTCCGGAGCGCGGGGAGAGCGGCTTTCCACACGTCGTGGGGGAGGCGCCCCGGAGCGCGAGTGCGGGGGCTCCCGAGTGGATGGGGGATCGCGGAGTTGCGAGGCTTTCACAGTCTCTGGAGATTCGAGAGCCCCGAGGGGACTTGGAGGCTCGCGAGAAGAGACGCTTGGCGGAGCTCCGCAGTTGGGAGGAGGGGGCGGGAAGCAGTTTGAGGGGAATGTCTGAGAGGCGCTGCCCCCCAGAGCACCGGGAGGGGGTAAATGACACAGGCAAGTGCAGCCTGCGGGGGCGGGGGTCGACCAGGAACTTACGCAGGCCTTGCAAGTTTCAGGTGGTGGAAAGTGGACATCCAGTCGCCCTGCTCCCACCCAGCAGGCTGAGGGCGTCCGGCTGTGCGGCGACTCGAGAAAATCGGGGCGCACCGGAACAGCGGCCTGGGGATGGTGGGGATAACACGGGTGTGGAGGGGACAGCACCGAAAGATGCTGCAGCCTCGCAGCGGATTAGGGTTCCGGCCGCATTTTCAGAGGGTGGAGAAAACTCGGGGGGGAACCGAACTCCTGGTCGACGAGGGGGTGCCAGGGAGAGATGTTGGGGGTGGGGGGATTGGAAGCGGTTGGTAGCGCCGGGCGCCGCACCTCGTTTTTATGAATGTGGGTGACTTTATGAATGAAGCGGGTTTCTTTCGTTGGCTCGCTGCTCCCTGCGGCTTTTTTTTTTTTCTTCCCTTTTTGTGAATGAAGCATTGAGCTTTCTTCCTAAAACGCTGGGGTGAGGGGCCTGCGTCGGAGGCTGGGCGTGCGTTGGAAATGGGGGCGGGGGCGCAGCTGAAGGAGTTTTCATGAATGGGGAAGGCTGAGAATTGGGTGGAAGTGTGTCTTGTTTTGTGAATGGGGCCCAGCGCTAGAGATCCAGTTACAGCCTCTACCTGATGTGGCGGCCGCGGCTCGCTCTCCCATTCATAAAACCGGGCCCGCTGCGCGCCACAGGGGAGGGGCCTGGATCGCGCCGCTGCGCTGTGCTAAAGTTTTCCTGGGGGCGCCCGGGGCGCGGGTGGTGGGGGGGCAAAGGAAGTGGTTTAAACTCCTGGATGAACTCGAGCCTTTCCTTCAGGCTTTTAAAAAAATTATACTTGGAATACAATTTTTCTAACCCTGGAATGCCTCTTTTCCGTTCGTTTATGGCAGTTTATTTCTTTTAATTTTTTAGAATTTTTTTTGCTCTTCCGGGTGAAGTATTTCATCATGAGACTGAAAAATATCTCCCCCTCCCGTCTTCTACTGGTTGTCCCCTTCCTCCTAACACATTCACAAAATGTCTTAGGCCATGATTTAATCTGACAGATTTTCCTAAGCGACAGAGCACTCTCTCTTTCATGCCCCTCAACTCACTGCTGAGGTTTCTCAGATTTTGTATACGGTTTGGTGGCATTTGAGAGAGGCGTTATTCTGAACATTTCTTGTGGTGTTTGGACGGGGCACGCAGGCAGGCTGGCGCGAGTGTTTTTCTAGGAAGTTATGAACTGTGTGCTATTTTGCTCCTCTCTTTCCTTTGACTTTGAAAATATCTGATTCCTTGGGCCAAAGTGCTGCGGAGGATGCTGGCTGTGAAGGGTGTCCTTGTATCCTGCCCACTTATGAAAAATTTGATATGCTACACACAGTGTGAAAAACAAATTGGATGGAATTGCTCACCGGGGGAAAAGTTTCCTGTTTAAAATTGTGTATATGTCAAACAAAAGAAGTTGACCTTTAAGCATTTTGAATTGCTTAGAGCTGGAGTGAGTGAAATTAATGTTTTTCCACCTTTTGTTGACTTAACGGTGTTTTTATTTGAAGAATAAAAGTGTTTAGGAAGATGGTACCTCCCTGAAATTGTTACTTTATTCCACTCACGTTAGGAGAAGTTTTCTCCCTTCTAACCCCACCCTTTTTCCCCAGACTCACACACTTACCCGTCCTGAAATGAGTTTCATTTGGGGGTGGGGGGGTATGTCTAGAAAAAAATGATTCCGCTATATGAAACAGCCTAAGTTTTAAAAGACCTTTGGTAGAGATGCATTGTACCACATGCAATGGAATTAGTTTTTTTAATCCATTACTTTTCATAGACATTTTACTCTTTTAGAAGTTGGAGATGTCACAAATATCTCTGTAAGTAACCAGGGAGATATTTGTGACATTACAGATGCTATATCTGTTTAGTCCTCTTTTAAATAAAGAGTTGTGTGTGAAGATAAGTATACCTCTGATCAATTTATTCCAGGAACTATATATAGTGTTTTAACAGTGACCTACAAAATGCTTTTGGAAACACCATGTATGTCAGATCTTTAATTGCCAATAATTTGGAATACTTAAACCCAGTTTCTCTGCTTCCTGACACTGTACTGTCAAAAATTAAATTATCTCTTTTTTAAAAACCCTACTACAAATGCCCTGGAGTATATGAGAGAATCTTGAAATCACCCTTTTATTTTATTTTATTTATTTATTTTTGTTTTGGTAGAGAACAGACAGTAGCAAATCTGTAATTTTAATGATTTAAATAAGAAAGAAAAAATGATGACTGGGTAAATGGATTTGGCACGGAGTACATCCTGTACCTCTGATACCATTAATCAAGCCCGGCATTGGTGTGTAAAGCTTGCACCTTGAGTAGGTTTTAAGTACTTCACAGAAGGGTAATAATTTTGCACAGGCCCTAAAAAAAAGGCAGTCTAAAATTGTTTCATTTCTTTTTTTCCCCCCTCTTAGTTAAAATCTCCCAAATTCATATTACAGGAGGATCCCTTTTCCCCCAGAAATTACTCAATGCTGAAACCTCTCAAAGTGGTATTAGAGACGCTGAAAGCACCATGGACGGGTTTTATGATCAGCAAGTCCCTTTTATGGTCCCAGGGGTAAGTTTATGTGGCTTTTGGTTTGTTTTGTCCTCCCTCTCCAATATGAGTCTTCCCCCTGTGGACCTCTTTACTACACTTGAGCCTTCACTTTCTGTTGGCCTCTTTCAGAAATCTCGATCTGAGGAATGCAGAGGGCGGCCTGTGATTGACAGAAAGAGGAAGTTTTTGGACACAGATCTGGCTCACGATTCTGAAGGTAGTAAAGCTTTCCCTGATTATGTTGTGGCTTCCCTGCTCCCAGTGACAGTAGCGTGTAGATTCTTCCCTGTCTTCTCCCTAGCGAAAGAAATATCCTCATTCTGGGGTCTTCTTTTTCAATTTCAGAGCTATTTCAGGATCTCAGTCAACTTCAAGAGGCTTGGTTAGCTGAAGGCAAGTTTCATGGATGTCCTATTTTCCATATAAAACATTTTACTGTGCTTTTTAATAAAACTTAAAGGTCTAAAATAAAAATCTATTTTCCAGCACAAGTTCCTGATGATGAACAGTTTGTCCCAGATTTTCAGTCTGATAACCGTAAGTACCTTTCTGGTGATGGCACATTTGTTCTGAAATTGTTTGGTCTTAGATCATCCATGTCTAGAATATGCTTTTTTCAGCTATGGCCAGATTTAGACAGTAGTATGCATTTAGTTTCTTCTAATAATTCAGAATTAACCCTGAAAACTTTTATTTCATAATAAAATTATTTCTAAAGTATTTCTACTGTATTGCAGGTAAGATTTACTGAACATAATTTTATCCTAAATTTCTTTTTACCTTAAGAATATTGTAAAGCTGACTGGGCACAGTGGCTCACACCTATAATCCCAGGGCTTTGGGAGGCTGAGGCAGGTGGATCACTTGAGGTCAGGCATTCAAGACCAGCCTGGCCAATATGGTGAAACCCCGTCTCTACTAAAAATACAAAAATTAGCCAGGTGTGGTGGTGGGCGCCTGTAATCCAAGCTACTCAGGAGGCTGAGGCAGGAGAATCACTTAAATCCAGAAGGCGGAGGTTGCAGTGAGCTGAGATCGCATCACTGCACTCCAGCCTGGGCAACAGAGCAAGACTCCATCTCAAAAAAAAAAAAAAAAAGAATATTGCAAAGCTTTAAGCTCAAAATTATAAATTAACTGACAAAATATATTTGGTGTTAGGCCAAGCATCTATTAATCACACATTGTTTTATGGCTTTTTTGGGGTTTGTTTTATAAATTAAGTCCTTGATGTGAATCATGAACCTGATATTTCTCTTTTTCTTAAAGGTGCAGAAAATAGTTAATGGAAAACTCCAGTTAACTTTGGCTTCATCCAACATGTTGTCAATTTTGTCTCTACCCCTAAGCTGACAAGGGGTGGTCACAGAGTGGCCTGATTTACTCTTACTTTTCGTGTAGTTGCTGTGGCTTTTCTCTTCAGAGAAGAGAAACTTTTTCTTAAAATGGCCACTAAGTGCTCATTACTAGAGAGAAAATGCAGTGGGAAGCTCAAAAGATGGCTTTCAACACTGGCAGGGGCATGGTTACTTTGCACTGATCTTTTGGGGCTGTCCTCAACAGGTTTGGGAGCTTTTATGGTCTAGGCAGAGTTATGAAGGACAAAGCCGGCTGATGAAATTTGAGCAGCACAGGGCTGCTCTAGAGAGCATTAGTCACTGGCGAATGAGCAGGTTTAAGAGAGGCCTGGAGAAAATGCTGCCTCTCTTGAGAGTTGCATCATAGAGAAATTCATGTCTCTTAGTCATAGTTTATAATAGCAAGCACCTGAGCCATGCAAGGACTCAATTTCTCATTTTGGACCAACAGATTCTTCCCAGCTTTGTTTTATCTCTGGGTAGGTGGGTGTATGTGTGTAAAAATGCCACTGGAGAGAGAGTATCTTAGGTCTCTCTCTAAGTAAAAAGTTGGGTATTCCAAATCTTTTAAATGTAAGAGCAGAGGTAACAGCTAAACATTCCTTAATGATAGGCCTCATGTCCAAGGCACAATGCCATGAAACTGTAAAAGGGAATAAACTGGAACACACACATGCATGGTTACCTTAGCTTTGTCACAGCTTGCTGTGGATGTGTTCTATGGGAGAGTAAATGCATGTTAATTATTGCCCTTTGATTGCTTTCGAGTGATTGGGAAGCTTGCCACTGAAAGACTAAATAAAGATAATCCAAGTGTGTGTGTGTGTGTGTGTGTGTGTGTGTGTGTGTGTGTGTGTGTGTGTTTGCAAGATGAAAGACAGGGTTTGTAATCCAACTTTGTTCTGTGTTGACAATTTGGCCCAGCCTTTCCAGTTCTTGCTCAGAGCAGCATAAACTGCAGTCTGTTTGGGAGGTGGCTTTCTTGGCAGAGGTTCTTTGAAATGCTTTTATGACACTTTTGTTTGTTTCTCTGTAACCCAAAAGAGTTAAAAGGGAGATGAGATGGCTGCATTCAAATTGATTGCATGTGCTGAAGCAAGGGTATGTTCTTTGTCAGCAAGCAGGATTTATATTTGGAGAGATATTTATCTGTGGGAATAGGCTAAAGTGAAGAAATCAATAAATGTGTTTTGGCTCTTTAGAAATAATTTCTGCTCAGCAAATAGAATGTGCTAAGTTCTTTAATTAAAATTCCATACCTCAAGTGGAGGTAATTTGGGAGATGTTTCTGCTTACCAAGTATGATGTTTTTTTTACTTTGCTTACTTTTTGTTTTAACTGCCTAAGGTTGAGCCTTTCTGTCTTTTAAGGATAAAAGAGATGGTTGACTAGCCTAGAAAAGGTCTTCTAATGATTCTTTCCCTCTGACTTTATTTCTTGAGGTAGAGCTTCAAGAAGGGATAGATTCAAATAGAATAACTTGCTTAAGAAGCAAGGCAAGAACACAAATGTGGGTGGTGCATCTTTGAGCCATTCATTCTTGCAAAAGCAAGTTTGTTTGCCTGCAGTTCAGACCAACAGCCAGAAGCATGAGGAGGAGCTGGCAGAGCCCACAGCCGGCTGCATGCACTTACTTTTCCATGAGCGCTTTCCACAGCCTCGAGTTCAGGACCAGCTTCACTCCAGTCATTTTCTGGAAGAGCTCGTGATTTTTTTCAGGGGAGGGAAGAAAACTCATTCAAATTTAATGAAACCTTATGAGTTGGTTTGACTCACTTAACCAATGAATATAAGCCAAACTTAGATTTGCCAGGGGAAAGCAAACCTTTTTTTTTTTTTTTTTTTTTGGAGAGAGAGTTTTGCTCGTCACCCAGGCCAGAGTGCAATGGCGCAATCTCGGCCCACTTACTGGGATGTCCACGTCCCAGGTTCGAGCAATTCTCCTGCCTAAGCCTCCCGAGTAGCTGGGATTACAGGCACCTGCCACCATGCCTGGCTAATTTTTGTATTTTTAGTAGAGACGGGGCTTCACCATGTTTGCCAGGCTGGTCTTGAACTCCTGACCTCAGGTGATCCGCCCACCTTAGCCTCCCAGAGTGCTGGAATTACAGGCGTGAGCCACTGTGCCCGGCCTGTAACAAATATTCTTACCAGTGGCCACTGGTAATACACTTTCCTATTAATAATGATTTGATAATTTTCCATTGTATATGTGTAAATTTATTGTATACATGAAAGAAAGAGAAATACTAAGAAATGTAGGTAATATTTTTATTTTGGAATGTCAGTTTTAAAGATTATGGCTTTTTTTTTTCTCTAAACACTAAAAGTTCAACTTCTAAAGAGATTATATTTTGTAAGTTTCTTAGAATTGGGTTTCCTGCCCATAGGGATACATCCTTAAGTCTGATTTGAGTGAATGAAACCATTGCTTTTATATCTTATAGAAATGCCCAGCTTACTTCTAGCTGTACAGATTTCACCTCTACCTCACACATATAGATATCAGTAAAGCATGGAGACTCTGAAAGGTCAAATTCAAGGGAATAGAAATCTATAGATCATAGGGATTCTACCAGTGGACCTCATTGTCCCTTGGTCCTAAGAAGTAACTCTGAAGATCTCAGATTGCTTGAGTTGGATGTCCTTTGTAGAGACAAGCTTGCCCAGCCCCCTCCTTTCACAGCTATTCCCAAATAGCTGAAGAGACTGACCAGTAGTGGGGGCAGATGGGAAGGTTTAGGTGAAGTAAGAGGAAGATGTATAAAATAATATTCTTAAAGAAGCTCTCACAAAGCTGCAGAGCCAGGGAGTAGTGGCATATTCAAGTGTATTCAGGGTCTCCATTATTTCAGATACCTGGAGATGGTGTTCAGGAAAGCATCTGGGAGGCCTCTGGCTGTCCAATTCAGCACTCACTTCTCTTCCTTCTATGATCCTGAGAAAGTTACTCAATACCTTCATGCTTTGAGTTTTTCCATCTAGGATTTGGAAGACAGAGAGTAATTATAAAAGAAAAAAATTATAAAAAACTGACATATTTAGGCTCACACCTGTAACCTCAGTGCTTTAGGAGGCCAAGTCGGGAGGATCTCTTGAGCCTAGGAGTTCGAGGTTACAGTTGAAGCGAGTAGTGATCACACCACTGTACCCCAGCCTAGGTACCAGAGCAAGACCCTATCTCTAAAAAACGAAAACAAAAGAAAACTGCCATGTTTCCTAGAAGACACCTTTCGTGTGTATACAGATAAAACTGTGTACATATTTCCTATATATGAAAAAGTGTTTGTGCATGTGTATATATCTATGTAACTGTGTATGTAGCTAAATGTGTACCTTAACACATAGAGCGGCTAAACCAGGGAATCTGGGTCAGTGCATAGATGTATGTACATATTTACTACACATTTTCATAGAACTAACTATGCCATGGATAAGATTGGAACTCAAGAGTGTTTCAAAGTCGGGGTAAGGTGATGTGTTCCATTCATTTTTCTGAACTGACTGGGTACTTAAAGAGTGTGTTACTAGATTTTAGCATATATAAATAGCAGTTTTTTAAATATACATTTTGGGTCTGATTTTTAATCTCACTTATTAATTTCAGTTATGATATTATAAATATATACCTGTTAGCATCTTGAATAACTAAGATATTTTATGCTGAGTAGAGAGCATGATAAAAATCTTATTTCAAAGTCATGGCCTCCATACCAAATACAGCCTAGAGAATTGTTTTAAGATCCAAATGACCCCATTTTCCCCTTGAAGTGTTCTTTTTAGATCTGTGTTTCAAAGAGAATGGAACAACTGGAGGAAGTACAAGTAATTTCCTAAGGACCAGCTAATTAACTGATAAAATCGACTTTTCATAAATACATTGCAATAGACGGCTGGGGAAATAGGATTAACTGTTATGACAGCCCTTGAGCCTAAAACACATTGATCTTAATCCTGTTTCACGATGAGATTATTCAGCTGGATTTCTTTATTAATGTGTGAGTTTAGTACAGTAGAGGCAGTGCCTTTCCTTTGGAGAGGGTACATCATTTTGGTCTTTGGTCCTAGGTGTGGTGTAGCAAAACACCACGTTTTCTTGCTTGGGCCACCTCTATTCAAAAGGATCATCCTAAAGTCTTTTTGTTTGGCAAGGTAAGAAAGAAAACAGTGGGCACTTTAAAAATAAGAGGTTTGAGGGAAAACAAGGCCATTGGTTTATACTTTTCAGGAATCAGTAGTTCTGAAGGTAGAAAAGAATGCTGATGAAAGCGTGAGGAAAACATGGAGGAGAGATTCTTTGACTCCAGGTTTTACAGTGTTACTTTCAAAGTGTTTGTTAGTTAGCCCAGTACCTTACTGCTGGGAGGGTGCTAAATGATTTGAAATCCTTCCTGTTTTGATAGCCTCAAAGATTCTTAGACTCAGTATTCTGAAGGACCCAAGACCTACAGTACGCATTTACTTAAAGGAGCCATCTGTTTTACAAAATCTGCTTTCGTCTACCTTTAATTCAGTTAGGCTTATTTAAAACTGAATTTTTCTCTTACCCTTCTGTGTCTCTGCGCTGTTAGTCATCTAACAAAACCCAGTAGGCTTACCAGTCCTTTGTATTTGGTGAGAAAGATTTGGGACGGGGAGTTACATCTGTGTCAAGATCACTTGTGTAGGTGCCAGAAGTAACAAAATCCTGGCATCCATGAAGAAATTACCATTTATCCCCTCCTCTTTCAGCATTCTTCAGTTTTACAGGAGTAAGGCATGGGTAGCATAATGAAGCCGAAAATGTGTACTGTCTCCCATTTCTACCATCTAGTAGTATCATTGTTTTAATTTCAGCCCTAGAAAAAAATGTTTCTTGGTGGTGGGGTGGGGTGTGTGATTCTCTGCCGAGAAACTGTTCCCTCCACACATTTCTTGGGTTTTAGTGGTGGTAAAGTACATCCAGCCTCAGAGGCTGACAGCCCCCTCTCGGGCATACGGCTGCCCTTGAGGCAGCTTGGGCCCCATCTGTGCCCTGGCACACAGTGCTTCTCCACTTGGAATCCAAGGAGCTCAGAGGCTTGTCATGTTGCAGCTCCCAGCTCTTGGACAAGTGCCAGGCATGCTGATGCCATTACCGGATTAGGTTGCTTTTTTAAAAATTCATTTTGTGAACTCATCAAGCTCATTTAACAGAGGCTTTGGTCGTCAGTTTCTATCATTGTCCTATCCCTCTAGGCTTGGCTTAAAGGAGTGGCAAGATACCAGGCCCCTAGTATGTGCCGGCACTAGTTAGAGTGTGTATGTATAAATTATAACCATAATGTAAGTACACCTTTGGGCCTGGCAGGCAAATGACAGTGGGTTAGCAACTCAGATGTTAAAGGGAAAAGAATTCCCCGTAAGAGGACTCTGCATAGAAAATAAAGGGGGCTCCCTTGTTTAAAAAGAAAGAAGCATCTAGGGGAAAATTGAAGCAGAGAGTGCAAGATTCCAGGGAGCAGGATAAGATCTAGTTATTAAAAGGCCAGGAGTTTGAGGCTGATCTGAACAGCCGAGGCATGGAATGGGGATTCTGTGGTCAGAAGGACTTCAGAGAAATGCTTCCAGTGGCACTGAGTTCGCTGGAGGGGACATGAGGGCAGGCAGTGAGAAGAAGCATACATAAGACATTTGAAAATAGCCAAATATGTGATGAAAAAAAGGAAACAACCATGAGCTAAAATTTATCTCCTGGATTTGCTTTTCATAAAGAAGTATGCTTTTCCTTGAAATAAAGTCTGGTTGTCAGACGGGCTCCATCCGCTTTCCCTCAGGGTGATTATTGAAGGTTTGGAAAAAATATCTAAGAAGCAAAGCCAGTTTTTTTTGCCTTGTACTTTGCAAAGTCTCGGCGTAGATTTCACCCTCCAACCTTAGATCTCCACATTCTTCCCTTTTGATGTCTCATGAGCATTCAGGAGGGTATTCTGAACTCTTCAGGCTGGATCCAAAGCCAAAAAAGGAACTGTGAAATTGTCTTAATAGGTAGCTTGTCCCCTCCTCTGCAGCCAGAAAATCTGGTAGTGTCTCCAGAGCCCTCCTCCCCTGGGGAGGAAGCCAGGTGGCTCCCGATGTAGCTACCAGCAGTGAATGGGAAGGAAGGTCTGGAGAGGCAGGCTTCCAGAGAGAGTTGTGCCCTAATGCAAACCAGCTCACCCTGGGGCAGGAGAAATACCACTGAAGTCTGTTTCTCTCCGCTGGTAGCTACAGCCAGATTCTGAACCGAGGGGCACATGATAGTTTTTCTTTTGCCTTTCCCGTTTTGCCAGAGGGCACTTTCTGACCTTACTTCTAGCGGACTTTTGCACAGCCTTGCAGATTTCCACAAGGGTCTTGGCCATTTGAATCCTAGGAAGGGTGCACAGCAGGCAAGATCCCCTGCCGTGTCTGAATTTCTTACGTAAACACAGCGTACTGAGCGAGCAAGCGTCCCTGCGGCGACAGCTGGGCGCTGAGCACTATTAGGTCTGCCCCAGCTAGCAGAGCTGCAGATTCCCCCTCTTGCCTGAATGGAGCATTCCAAATTGGTTGTGAATGGAGGGCGGGGCTCACTTGCAGACTTTTTCAATGAATAACCAGACCCCATTGTGCAGCCCGTGGAAAAACAACCAACTCAAACAACACTGGGACTGTTAGAAATATGCTTGTGATTGGCAGCTTGGAGAGCCTCCAAAATTAGTTTCCTTTGGCTTCCCTGCTGCTCCCTGTTCTCCAAGCCTGGGCTTAATGGGGTTTGAGTTTTCTTTTAAGTGCTCACTTTAACCCTTAAACTGCCGGGCTGATGGCCTGGGATTCTGGGGAAGAGCTGCCGCTGACCCACAAAGCCAGTGAAGCCCATTCCCCTTTCTTTGTCTCTCATTTTAGACTGTAGCTGTCTAAAGGGCGTGATAATAAGAGGAGAGGGTGGTTTAGCTTCCCCTGGAGAGGGAGGTGTTGAGACTTGATCTGAGGCTGTTAAACCCTTTTATCTCCTTCCCGTGGGGTTGTGGCTTTAGCTCCCCATTGAGGATTCCTGCCTGCTCTTCTCTGACCTCCCCTCTACTCCAGGCCTGAATAGCCCAGGTGTTTACCTGCCACGACACAGACACTTCTTGCTTAGGCTTACAATTTTAACACAGGGGGAGACAAAGTTGTAGTTTTTCTACTCCTTTGCCTTCACTCCTGTTTAATTTTCCACTGTGGTCAGATAAGTATTTTTTAAACGACCGTACTCAAACTTCTGGTACTGAGCAATGGGGGAACCTCACTATGGCTGTAAACCCTTCCACTGGACACTAATCAAATGCATTGCCTCCCAAAATGAACATCCTTGGAAGTACCAGAAAAACCCAGCCTCTGAGCAACCCCCAAACCAAAGTAGCCTCATCATGCCAAAACTAGGCCAGGTTTTAAGGGTGCACGTGCCTCAAAATAGCATCCAGCCTTGATTGATTGATTGATTAATTGGCCAAGCGGGTGTGCTGGGGGTGGTCTTGCTGTGTTGCCCAGGCTGGTCTGAAACTCATGGCCTCAAGCAGTCCTCCCACATAGCTGGCATTACAGGTTCGAGCCACCACACCTAGCTGCTTCCACACTTAAACATCCTCCAACATCTTACCTGGTAGCTCACCGGCAGCTCACAGACACACGTCCAGTGTTCTCTGTGGGATAGCCCAGGGATGTATGATGAGCATAAAAAGGACAATCAGTTAAAAGGCAAAACAAAACTTAATAGTAATGATCCAGAGCAACTTCCTCAGGATTTTAAAGAGCTCTTCTTAGTTCCTACTCTTCATCCTCACAAACTTAATAAGGCAGTTTGCACTTGTGTTTTGCCTCAAGGATTTTTTTTTCCCTTGCTGTAAGTTGGCCTTGCAAGCATGCCTTCCCTTCCCTATTAAAAAAAGAACAGGCCTGGGCAGATTGTCCTTTTGTGAGAGAGTTTGAAACCTCTCAGGAGGTAACCCTAGATATCAGCTGTGTAGGAGGTTGCTGATATCTGTGTTTCTCCAGAGGGGCTGAAAAGGACTTCGCTTACATAAACACTTTCAGCTGAGTGCCTGGAAATGCTTTGTAATGGCCTGCAAGAGCACTTAATGAGGGTCTTTTATACTTTTCCCATAGAAAAGGTAGAATAGAAGAGGGGGGGATGTCTCTTTCACATGGTCACCCACAGTAAAGGCCGGATCCTGGAGCCTACCCCTAGTTTCCTCATCTGAATTTTAATAGAGAATAATTGAGGGGGGATAACTTTGCTGTGCTGAGGGATATCTCGACTCAGAAAATTTCTGCTTCTCCTCAACTCCCTCTTCATTTTTTTTCTTCCCCAGCAGCCATGGAATTTTATTTCTTGCGGAAGAAGGTGGAAACAGCATAGGGTTTTGGGAGGTATTTAGTATTTTGACAACTAATAATCATAGTCCCTGCTTCCCCATTTTTATGCCTATTGAAACAGGAAACAAATCACATTTCTTAGGCTCCAAGTGTCTGCAGAAGCAGAGGAGCCCTGTCACGTGTTTATGTCCCGCCTCGGCCACAGCGCCTGCTCTGCGCACTGTGGACACCTGGTGCATACAGCCCGCACACCACCGCATTCCCTACCACATGCCCTTCCCATCCCAGCTGCCCCAGCCTCCAGCTGGTGGGGAAGTAACACTGTAAAGGGTCTCAAACCCAGAGTTCTGAGTCCTTGGGATGACCTTCTAGATAAAGAGAACAAAAGCTAGTTAGGGCTATTTCTCATTTTCTGTTTCCTCTTTTAAACACATACACTAGCCAAGTGTTGCTAGGCTGCATTTAGACTTTGAGCAGCTAATGCTATGTTTCCCAGTAAGACTGCATGTGCTAGAGAGCAAGTCACAGTTTAGGCACCCTTGACGTACTTGCTGAGTTTCTGCTTTTAGGAGAAGTGGGGCTATAGATAGAAGGGAATGGTTCTGGGGGAAGAAACTCATTTCCCTAGGGTTTGGATTTTCTCCTGTCAGATTTTAAGGATGAATTTTCAATCTGAAATTAAAGATAAGATTTTCCACAGTGCTTAAATCCTATTTCAAGTACTGTTAACATTTCACTTTAGTGCCAGTGTGGATGAGAATTATGTAAGTTGGGAGTAAATTATAGAAGGGTTGTTAAAGCTTAAGGTTTAGTTTTGCAATTTTTTTTCCTTTCAGGAAAAATGTCCTGTTTCCCCTTATCCTGATTGCGTGATCCAGTGTGAGCAGCCCTTCATGATAAAATCCACTGTGGTTGATGTAAGGTCACAGTAGAGGAAGCCGCCCTGTCATCTCTAATGAGTTGGGAGAACAAGGGTTTCCTTAGACCTCTTTCTCAATCTTGAAAATAAAACCAATAGTTGTCTATCATATTTCTACAGGTTGAGTATTAAAATTCTTTGAAGAGCTAAGCTGCCCAAGGAAAGTAGTAAAACACTGATTCAAATAATGCTCAGAATCCTCCTTTGGTGTAATCCTGCCAGTCCCTCACATTTGTATGCTGCTGGTCTCTTAAGCATGAAAGTAACCAACATGCCAGCTCTGTGGCTGTAGGTCTAAAAGAAGCCTATGGTAGTCGAAAGGGGGCGGTGCATTAGAAGTCAGAAGAACCTCTTGTTTTTATCTTGACTCTCCTGGAGTCAGTTCCGTACTCACAAGCATGTTACTTGACTGTTAAATGCTTTGGTTTCTCCACATCCCACAAGTTCTGAGATGCGACACTCTTATGCAATTAGAAATATTCATCCTGTATAAAATATTTTTAATGGAAGAGCCCCGTATGTGCTAATACTTGAGCCCTACTTCAATCGAAGTTGGTCTAATTCTTTTCTCGTCTCCTGACCTTTAATTTCTAACGCTGAAATTCAAGGCATCTAGGTTTCCATTTTTGGCGTTCTAAAGTAACAATCCTAAATTGTTAGGCTAAATGAGTCCTTTGAAGAAAGGGAACTGTACAAATCCAAGCTGTTTCAAGAAAAATGCTGAAGTGTAGAAAGAATATGAACTTAAAGGAAGTAAATCTGAAACTAGTTCATCTGGGTCAAAAAAAATCACTCTACTACCATTGGCATTCAGTTTTCTTCCTTATTTGATAACAGAGGTTTTCTGTTTGGAAATTACTGTCTGCAAGAGGCAATTTTGTCCCGAGAATAAGATGCAGCTATTCAGTGATAGATAATCGTTCTTACCCACAGGTCACCATCTATGAATCAGGACATTGCTGATTTAGTACTTTACACCCGTGGACGGAAGGCTCTCCTCCCATCCGTGACCACTTCTTTTGGGAGGAGGAGCAGTGACGAAGCATTAATACAAAGAATTTCTTTCCTTGTATTTTAGCCAGAGTTAGAATAGAAATCTTTACAAATCACCCATATCATTCGCTGATAGAAGTGAAGAAAGGACAAGACCAGTATCCCAAAAGCCAGCCCTCCTAGTTGATGACCAAAGGCATGCCTTGCCAACTTCTCTACCCTTGCAAACTTGCTAGTGCCCCATAGGTCACCTTTGATGACTCTTTTACTCCAAAGGCCCGCAACAGGTCCATTGCCTTGAGCTCTTCCCTGGGCCTTCTCAGCCTTTGGAGAGTGGGAGCAGCTTTCAGCCTCATGCAGCAGAAAAGGTAGACAGTGTTCAGGACCACATTTGCTCTTCCTAGCCAAAGCTATTGCCCCACCCCATCTTTCCCCCTGTCTGTCCTTGAGGACCTGGGTATCATCTTAGACTTGATCACATTTCTTCTCTCTGGAAGGAGTAAAGAGGTAGGGCAAGTCTTGAGCTCCCCCCGGAGTTTGGAGTGCCCCCCACACTTGGGCCGGTCAACCTGAGTTGTACTGTCCAACCTGTGGGTTACAATTACATGTTAGACAGTAACCTCCCAAGCCGACTTCCATGGGCAGAATTTAGTTTTTGTCTTCTAACCAATTGTATTTCATCTGGGTATTTGATTGCCAGATACCCTGTGCTGGTTCTGCTCTCTGGCTGCTACCATTGCTGTAAGCGGCCATGTGAAATGGGGGATGGGAAGGAGGCAATTGTTTGCTGAATGTTGCAATCCTTGAGCCATGCTTAGCAGAAGGAAACCTTTAAACCACCTCCCCTTCCCCAGGTTATATGAAGCCACTAGATAATATAAACCTTATAGTTCAAATAATGAGATTTTTAACAGTGTGAGAATGCTCCCAACTAAGGCCCTTTTCTGTAAAGTGTAACCTCCTTGTCTAGTCATTCCCCCTTCCCACAAAGAAATTAAAATTCCTTTGTAAGTATAAAATCACCATTTTCATCTTTCCCTGCTTTTACCCCTAGCCAGACGGGCTTTGTTCTGGGGTCTGCTAGAAGCTACAACCTGGGGGTCCCCTAAGCTGGAATTGCTGATATGCTGGATTTCTCCATTGTTGAATCTATCCTGTATCTCATATAGCCCACATTCCAGGGAGCAGTAAGGGCATAAAATATCATAACACTGGTCTTATACAAACACTTGACTCTCCAGAACTCTGCAAGGTCTTGTCTTCAAAGCACCAGTTCTATATACAGCCAGCATTTCCCCCAGAGAAAGCAATGTTCTACAAGCCCAGTACATGATATGTGTCACAACCTAGACCCATGTTGCTATCGTCAGCTCGAGTGCATAGCAGAGACTTAGGGTTATCTGAGGTAAACAAGCAATGGAGGAGAGACTTACAGAGAATGGCCTCATGGTCTTAACTGCTTCTCGGTACCAGTTCCGTCATCTATTTTAAAACCCAGGTTTGAGGCTGGGTGCAGCGGCTCAAGCCTGTAATCCCAACACTTTGGGGGGCTGAGACTAGAGGATCATATGATGCCAGGAGATTGAGACCAGCCTGGGCAACATAGTGAGACCCCGTCTCTTTAAAAAAAAAAAAAATGTAGCTGCGTGTGGTGGCAGGCACCGGTGGTCCCACCTACTCTGGAGGCTGAGGCAAGAAGCTCGCTTGAGTCCAGAAGTTGAGACTACAGTGAGCTATGATTGCGCCATTGCTCTCTAGCCTGGGTCACAGAGCAAGACCCTATCTCTAAAAAAACAAACAAAAAGAGGTAAAATGAAACCCAGGTGGGGAAAATTTTATCAATAACTCTTAATTCCTGTATTCTGGGAGAAATTCCACTGTCTTTGCAGGCAACCTCTTAGAGATGTTTCAGATACCATTGTCTACTAATGCTATTTATACATTTTCAAAGTTGGTTCAGTTCTTTTCTAAGCTCCTTTTCTTCCCTTTAGTTTCTAACTTTTATATTCAAGGCCTTTGGATTTCCATTTTCAGAATTCTAGAGTAATCTTCCAGTGTCCTTAATAATTGTGTTTCTGCCACCACACTTAGGAACTGAGAGTGGGCTTTCTGGAGATAGTCTCTATGCTGCCTTTCAAGCAAGGTGCCTAGCATTTTTTAACATGGCACTCACCAACAAAATTCCTCAGCTTGCATTTCAAAAATCTTCCCCAAAAGGTCTTGGCTCTTGAATTTCCAGACACTTGATACAACCTCATCTACTCTCATGAGCAAGAAAGGTGTCTCCTTCCCTCACTTCCTTTCCCACTGTGGCAAGACTTGGCTCTAATTTCATTGGCTGCTATTACATCCTGGTATTTCTAGCCATTTTCATGCAAGGCCATCAAAACTTCAAAAACTTGAATCTGGATCTTAGGTTGGTCTTATTCCTATACCAATGTAACCCTAACCCTATTTTTTGGATATGTCTTTCCCATAGTCCATGTCATGATAATACATTCAAAGCCTTTTATTTTGAGCTGATTGTATTACCCCAAGTTTCTAGGTCTAAATCAGCAAGAATTGAGTGTTTTGTTTGTTTGTTTTGTCCACACACCAGTTCCTGAAGCCTCTCTTCTGCTGACTGTAGTTTTTTTTCCCACTGCATGGGAGAAATCTGATTCCTGAAGCCAAGTGTTCCAGGAACTAGCTTTACCACTCCCTAATTTGGCTCTTGCGTTATTTATTGTACAGAAGATGATAATTGGCCTTATAGGAAGGGATTCTATTCTGTAACTGTTCACTGATGAATTCTGCTATCTCATGGTTGATCTGAGACCCTGGAGCCCTGAAATATACCACCAAGGTGACAGTCAGTCCTTTGGTTCTTGCCGAGACATATGACAAATAGCAAAAATACCCCAGAGTCATCAACATCATAACTCCCTTCCACCACCATGATTAATTGCTAATCTAAAGTCCTGAATACTATACAGCTGTGCCAGTTCTGAAGCTTCTTTCCCTGTACCTGCTAATAGCAAACCCTATCCCAAAGCACAAGCACAAAGCACAAGCCTTACTTTCTTCATGTGGGACTTTGCCCAGGACAAATGCAGCTGTTCTTGCAGAATGAGCCTGCCCTGAAATCTCAGCCCCTGCATGTGGTATGGCCAGCCAGTTGTTGGCTTACCAGGTGTTTGTCATGTCCCCTATGAGTCGTATGGAGGGCCTTGATTCCACACTAAGGTCCAGCTGCCATTCTTGGTTCCTAAGACATAAAGGCACAGGGGATTTTCCAAGCCAGTGTACTTACTTCAACACAGTTTAGGTCTTCAGCCCCGTGTTCCTTTTTATTAGCCTGGTAAACTAGGCTGAACAGTTGGAGCCCCCAGGCTCAGAGCAGCGAAAGCATAGGCCACCTATTTCCAGCTTCCTCTCGTCCTGATCCCAGCCCTGCTCAGCATTTAGGGGTAAAAAGGGCTAACCCAAGCTGCTTATGAGGGAAGAAAATGAAGGAGAACCATAAGAAAGAGAACTTCAATTCTGCCAACCTTCCCAGGTTGGTGATAGCTGCCTTGCACTCTCTGGAGGACCCTGGGGATGAAATCGAATGAGTTGTCCAGCTGTTCTGGACAACCTATTTGTCCTAAACGTGTTTTACATATAAATTCACAAGGAGTGGAAATTCTCCATTTTTTCTCAAGAATCGTTTGTGGTTGACTTGGGCATATATTTTAGTTCCTGTTATAGATGCATTAATATGAATATAGTTACTGATAGGTGTTATTTTTGTTGATCATTTTGCATTTGTGTAACTGCTATCTTTTTACCCAGGCAGGTTGATGGAAGTATTAGCAGGCAGTAGTCACAGTGACAGCAGTGGCTGTTTTTATTTTGCCATCTCTGGAGTGTTCCCTTGTCCTTTCTAAGTGGGCCAAAGCCAACAAAATGTGTTTGAGAACCACTGG
Organism: Homo sapiens; assembly: GCF_000001405.40. Classification (NCBI taxonomy): domain Eukaryota; kingdom Metazoa; phylum Chordata; class Mammalia; order Primates; family Hominidae; genus Homo; species Homo sapiens. The sequence goes on along the minus strand of NC_000003.12, from coordinate 186,090,290 downwards.
CGTAGACATTAGGTATGACCAGCATATATCCTTGTGTAAGGCTAGATTCCCAGGGCTGTATTATCCTTCCAATTCAGTAACAGGCCAAGGGTGGCTTTCTTCATTTGTCGACGTATGGTTTTGAGGTTCTAAGCATTTCTACTTTTGACATGTTAGTCAACTATAAGATAAAGGATTTTTTTTCCTCCAAATATCTCAGAGGAAATGGGACATAATAGCTGTTTTATTGATTTATTTTTAAAACGTATTGCTACATTTGCTTCATCTCTGTGTATATATGGTTTTTTCTTAACCATTTGAAAGCAAGTTTCAGGCATTATAACATTTCACCCCAAATACCCTGGTGTGCGTCTCCACAGATTGACATTCTCCTACATAGCCTGAGAAAATTAACTTTTATTCAGTAATGTTTGGAATTCCCCAGTTGTCTCCAGATATCTCTTTAGCAATGTTGATAATGGTTTTGATCTAGGATTCAATTTAAAATCACACATTGCATTTATGTTTATGCTTCATTTGTCTTCTTTAATATGCAACAGTCTCCCTAGCTTTTTTATTTTCCCTGTAACAGTGACTTTTTTGAAGTCTTGGCCAGTCGCTGACTTTTTTAGGGTCCATTTTTAAAGAATATATAGAAATGCAAACAGCATCCAGAAATGCTGCCCTTAGGCTTAGAAATCTCTAATATTGTTGATTCTCTCACTTCTCACATTTATGTATTTGTGTTGACCTTAAAACAGTGGTGAAAGAACAGAGTGACACAGATGGAGATAATTGGGTCAGAGATCATTTGTGCATGTTTGAGGAGAGGGCTTTTGGGGGGCTCATTAAACGGTTTTTAGCACAGCTTGCTCAATAGTTGATTTTACCATTTGTGGATGATTTTTCACCTATTAAATTTGAGAATTTATCCTTACACAGGTTAGCTGTGTGAGATATTAAAGAAAAACGGCACATTCTTCCATACCTACACCAATTCTGCTTTTAGAACTTGTGTCCCCTAACTAAATTTGATAACATTGTCAATTTTTGTTTTTGGAAACTGTTGCCAGGCAGGATCAATGTTAAACAAGTTTGAGCATGCCTCTTATTTGGTTTGGAAATCCAGACATCTCCTTTTCCAGATATTCTTTTTTAAGTGCCAGAACCTGTCCACTTAACCTTATCTCCTTGTGAACCTTCTTGTTTCCCAGAACAGAGTATTATCTACTATTAGAGTCATTCACTAGTGCTGTTAGAGCAGTTACAAAGAATATTGAGGTATAATAGATTTTATGTGTAAAATGAGTTTTTAATCTGCTCAGTCCTAAAATAAATATTTCTGACCCTCTCTGGTAATACTGTAGAACTTAAAAAATAAGTCTTACCCTATCTACATCTTTTTTCCTGCTAACTAGGTATTTGAGCTTTGTCTCAAAATTCGTCAAAAAAGGCAAGAGCTAAGAGTAGGCAGCACTATGTTGGAAGCACAAGGTACACTCCCTCCTGTGACTTAAAGCCCTCTGGTCTTTGCCAGTGGAGTACTCAGACAAGTTAAGGGCAAATCAGGGAAAAAGAGGTCATACCTGCTCTTCCCTGGTGGATTTTTCGGTTCTGTTTTGCCAGTGTCCTTGTTATTTTTCCATGTCCCTCTTCTTGATCATCTTTTCCTCTACCTTCTTTCCCTGTGTTCTACTCACTCCCACAACCACAGAATATTAATAGTATGGGCAGGTGTCTCGGACTTCTCTCCCCTCCCACCCCCATTCTTGGACTATGCAGTATGTAATTCTTCCTCTAGAGGGAAAGGAAGTGAGATGGCAGTGGTCACAGAGAGGAGCAGTGACCCAAAGCTGGTGGCCAGGAGACTTAGGAGAAGGCCTTCATTTCAGGATGATGGCTCTGGAACCCTGAGCAGTGTATGGCCATTACTATTTGTGTACATTCCACATCATATTTGTTCAAGTGTAATGGGAGGCTCTGGAGACCTAGGCCAGCCCCCTGAGCTGCAGCCTCATGGACACGCCATTCAGAAGCACGTGTCAGTGCTCTGGTCAGCTTCTGTCATGAGACACAACTTTCCATGTGAACTAAGAGGATAATGACAGTTGAGTGTGACCTGGAGGTCAGGCCTGCACAGCTGATTTGGGAAAGATGAGTCTGGGCCAGATGAAGGTAAATGAAACTGAAGAAGGGACAAGGAAAACCCCAAAACAGAACGTGAAGGATGGCAACTGCTGGAAGGCGGTCAAAGCCTGTGTGTGAAGTAGGAGAAATCTGGATGGGCTTAGTCCTTCTTCCCTTCAGACCGCAGGGTAACTAATTGGCAATTTCTTTAACACTCAGCAGCTACATAAATGTTTTATGTATTCACAACAAAGTCTGTGGCAAATTGAAACTTTGATGATTATGAAACACCAAAGAAAGCCTTATTAGACAAGATGGGTTTCGTCTTTCTTAAAAAAAAAAAAAATGCTTTTGAATGGAACTGTTGCTCATCATAACATTCAACAAAAGTGTTTTCCTACGTCTTGATCCTTGGGGCTGTAATAGTGAAGTTTACCATTAGCACGGGCATGGGGTGGCCGCCTTGAACAGTCCACAGGCCTGTACTTGTGGGCAGTAAACAGCTTTTGTCAGCAGAGGGAATTATTATTTCTCTTGAATGGACCAGTTTATTTTTTCTATTTTAAAACAACTGAGTTGTTTCTTTGGAAGACTGTTTCTAGACCATCACAGAAGAAAGATTTTCTAAAATTTGATATATTTTAGTATTAACTCTGTGGTGCTATTTGATGAGGACCAGGCTGCTTTTTTAAAAAGTAGAAATTTAATTGAAGTAACATACAGAAATCACAAGAGTACAGCTGCATGATGAATTCTTACAAACGGTATAAGCATTTAGATCAGAAAACGGAACTTATCAGACTATAAGAAGACTCCTGTGCCCCCTTAACAGGCACCACCCCGTCGAGAGTAACCTCCCTCCTGACTTTCAAACACCATAGATTAGTTTTGTCTTTTTTTGAACTTTATATAAATGGACTTACATGGCATGTACCCTTTTGTGTCTGGCTTCTTTTAGCTCAGCATATTTGTGAGATTCATCCATGTTGTTAAGCATAATTGCAATTTCTTCATTCTCCCTTCTGTGTAATGCTAAGATTTTGTTGGGGGTTACACTGAACCTATAGATAAATTTGGGAAGAATCGATATCTTTATAATGTTAAGCTTTCCAATCCACGAGCATGATCTATCCTTCCATTTATTGAGAGTTCTTTAATTTTTCTTAGTGTTTTGTGGTTTTCAGTGTAGGCATCTTTTTTCTTTGTTTTTTCTTGAGACAGGGTCTCACTCTGTTGCCCAGTCTGGAGTGCAGTGGCATGATCACAGCTCACAGTAGCCTCAGCCTCCCGGGCTCAAGTGACCCGCCCACCTCACCCTACCTCATAGCTGGGACCCCAGGTGCACACCACAGTCCTGGCTGAATTTTTTTTTTTTTTTTTCGTATCTTTTTGTAGAGACAGGAATTTGTTATGTTGCCCAGGCTGGGCTCAAACTCCTGGGCTCAAGCGATCTGCCCTACCTTAGCCTCCCAAAGTGCTGGGATTACAGGCATGAGCCACCATGCCTGGCCCAGTGTAGACATCTTATATGTCTTTTATTGACACTTTCCTAGCTATTTGATGATTTTGTTGATATTGTGTATGCTTTTAATTTCACATTGTTTTAGTTACTGTATACTAAAAGTTTTTTTACATGTTGACCTCATAGCCAATGACCTTGCTTACTGATTCTTATACTTTGTGGATATTTTTATATTTTCTATGTACCTAACCAGGCCATCTGTTAATAATGACAGCTTTCTTTCCTTCTTTCTAATTTGCCTTATGTTTATTCTTGCCTTATTGCATTGGCTAGGACCAGGCTTGGATTTTGATCCCTGTGTCAGATAGAAAAATCTAAGGAGTTCCGTAGTCTAATAAGAAAAGCAACTATGAAATTGGTTGACTTGTGAGCATCACATCTAAATTTAAAATGGTGTTATGGTTGTCTGCAAGGCAATACATGTACTTGATTGTGCATACCCACAGATATGGACTTAATTACATCTTATCAGCTAACTGCCCTTCTTTTTTCTACCCCTGACGAGCTAAGACTGTCATATATATTTGTGCATAGATCCTTAGCAGAGTTCTTATAGTCAAATAGGGGTCCAGACAGCTCACGCAAGATCTTCCTGCCTCAGTGGTGGTAGTAAGACAATTGTCCAGAAGCAATTGCAGGGCAGGGCAGGGCTTCTGGGGAGAGAGATGGCATCCATGGCTGCAGTGCGGAGTCTGGGTGGTAGTGACTGGCTATAGAAGATGCCAGGTCTTCTGAAGTGCTGGTAGCTGTCTGAATGAGCAGAATGTTTTGATCAGCTCGACTATAGAAGGGAGAGTGAGATCTTTTAGATGGAATGCTAGAATGGGAGGCAAGGATTACAAAAAGTGAAGGCTGCCGGGTACGGTGGCTCACGCCTGTAATCCCAGCACTTTGGGAGGCCGAGGCAGGCGGATCACCTGAGGTCAGGAGTTTGAGACCAGCCTGACCAACATGGTGAAACCCCATCTCTACTAAAAATACAAAAAATTAGCCGGGAGTGGTGGTGCATGCCTGTAATCCCAGCTGCTTGGGAGGCTGAGATAGGAGAATCACTTGAACCCGGGAGGCAGAGGTTGCAGTGAGCCGAGATTGCACCATTGCACTCCAGCCTGGGCAACAAGGGCGAAACTCTATCTCAAAAAAAAAAAAAAAAAACGAAGGCTACTGGAGTCAGAGATGGCATTGCTTGTGACAATGGAGGTGAAATAGAGATCCTGGTTAATTTTGGTATCCCAGAGCCAGACAAAGGTGTAAGTCCTTGAGTGGATTTAGGGGTATGACGTGTGGCTCGCACTGGGGAGTGTAGGGTAAACATGAGGATACAGCCCTGAGAGCTGGAAAAAAGTATCCTTCTGTTGTCTTCTCCCGTATTGTCTTCCTTCTCTCTTTCCCTTTATCTTTTATTCTCTCTTTGATTGGTCTTTTTTCTCTCAGATTCCTTCTGGGAGCCAATATAATGAAAAGACTAAGAACTGCATAGGTAGGAATCCTGGCCACTGACCAGCTGTGAGACGTGGCAAGTGACTTTGAGCCTTTACGTGGCAAGTGACTTTGAGCCTTGTTTTCGTGTTCGTAAAATGAAGACAATGGAAGCATTAATAGCTTTCTCATTGAATTGGGAAGATTGAGTGAAATGATGTATGTAAGAGCAACTGGGCATAAAGGAAATGGTAAGGGGTCTGGCTGGCTGCCTCTTTCTTGGTCTGCCTTCTTTGTTCTTTTCCAGAGGTATTAGTTCTTCTCATCCATTTTTCCTTTGTTCTAGAGCATATTCTGTTAAACAGGTGTAAGTGGTATTTTTGTTTAGTTGAAAAAAAGGTTTATGCCTTCTATTTTTAATGTACAAAGTGAGCGAGTAGAGTATCTCCCATTTCTGTCAGTGTGGTAGAAGATGACTAAAATGACAGTGCGGAGGCCCTTGCCTCTTCTCCCCTCGAATAGCAGCACCCCTAAGCCCTTTAGTTCCATTGGGCCTCAGGATCCTTATCTATAAATGTGAGGGCTTGAATTCAGCATACTGAGGCCCTAATCTATCTCTGATTGCATCGTTGAGAAGATGCTAAAAGTCAGATGCCTCACTAAGTTATGCGGGCCAGCCATGTCTGTTTTGCTTAGCATCATAGGCCCCCGACATCCAGAATACCTGGCCCATCGAAGATACTCTGTGAATGAATGAATGAATGAATGAATGAATGAATGAAGACAGAAAGAAAGATCTTCATGACAAAGAAGGTAGTCCACATTCAGCAGGAATTATTTTCAGGGCACCACTGACTTTGTGGGCCCCTCTTCTACAATTCTGAGTTTAAACTCAAAGTTTCTAATTGCAGAAGATGTTTATTAGCTCAAATGTCAACTTTTTTTTTTTTTTTTTTTTTTTAGCATTTCTTTTCAAACTTCCTCAAGAGTTCATGATCCCTTTTCAATTCCAATTTGTTGCCATCCTTTATAGTCCTGGGTCTCTGTCATCATTTAGCAAGTCAGCTGTGCAAAGGTAAATACTATTTTTGAAAGCACAGGGTATAATTACACAACATCATAGCACCATCTGCAAGGTGCTGTGCCCTTTTCTTTATTTCTCAAGGCTGCATCACATACCTCATTTTACAAATGAAGAAACAGACTGAAAGCAAGGAGCATTCCTTGGCTTCTGAGTTCCTGCTTTAAATACACCACTATCTCTGACTAACACATGCCAGAATTAGGCTCCTTCACACATCCTCTAGTCCCACAGACCTTTGAGGAGCTGAGCCTTGTTCCTCACCACTCACAGGGCCCCTCATGGCTTTCCTGTCAGTGTAGATCTGTGAAACTTTCCATTCTTGTTCCTGCCATGTTTTGTCCTGCGGGGAAAGTATATGTAACTAACATTGTACCCAGCCTTGTAGGGTAGATGTGGTCCCTGCCTTCACGGTTAAGAACAAATTGGAAATATAATCCATTTGTTCACAAAAATACTTTTTGAACTCCCCCTTTGTATAAAGAATATACTATTCCACATATAAGACGTTTTGGGGTAGAAGGTACTATATAATTTAGAGCCAAAATGATGTGGTACACACTAAGTACTGTCTGGATTTGAAGAAATCAAGACATCAGAATTCGCTGGCAGCTTAGATCCTTTTAGATACGTGCAGTTCCTGAAACAAATACAAAGTGTTTCTGGGCAACTTTGGCATACCCTCTGGTGTTAGACTTGTCAGCAAAATTGGTAACTGTTATAATAATATTGTGACAATGTCAAGACACTTCTAAAACCTGAAATCAGACCATTCAATAATACCCTAATTGTTTTCTTTCCAAACTTAGGTAAAGTGGTGATTGCAAATGATTATCTTTAGATAAAGCAAGAAAAGTAGACGTTTCAAGGACATGTAGCTTTTGTTTAAATTGGGTCATCATTACCTTTCCTCATTATTTTGCCAAAACTTTTATAGCAGAAGACTGGTGAGAGGAAGGGCAGTGACCACGGGGCAGTGCTGAGAACTGCCAGACTATCTACTGTGTTGGAGGAAGGGATTTCTGTGTCAAATTCTCATTTACTAGCAACATTCAAACAAGCTTCGCTATTTTCTGTGTCTGAATATCTGAAACAGTTGATAACAATTGAGTGTTGGCTGCCATGATGTCACCATCAAAAAATCACGAGAGAAACTCTAATGACTTCTAAATATAATCTGCTAGTTCTCAACTTATTTTATGTATTCAGGAAAAGCAGTTGGCATTATATAAGAAAAGAATTATGAAAACCTGTCCTTTCCAGTCAGTCACTGGCAAGACTTTGCAGCAACATTGCTTTATAACCTTGTCATCTGTGATAGAGTCATCTGTCTCGTATTCAATCCTGAATTCAGAATTTGGGATTATAGAGGCACCTGAGAGGCCAGTTGGCTGGAAGATAGTTCAGCCTTATCAGATATTAATAGAAAAGAGATGATTGTTTAGGCCGAGTGCGGTGGCTCACGCCTGTAATCCCAGCACTTTGGGAGGCCAAGGTGGGTGGATCACAAAGTCATTAGTTCGAGACCAGCCTGGCCAACATGGTGAAACCCTGTCTTTACTAAAAATACAAAAATTAGCTGGGCATGGTGGCGGGCACCTGTAATCCCAGCTACTCGGCAGGCTGAGGCAGGAGAATCGTTTGAACCCAGGAGGCAGAGGTTGCAGTGATCACGCCATTGCACGCCAGCCTGGGCGACAGAGTAAGACTCCGTCTCAAAAAAAAAAAAAAAAAGAGAAAAGTGATGATTTGTTTAGCTAGTTCTACCTCGTATAATTACTAAGAAGTAACTCCTAAAGATGTTTTAGGAGTAAACATTGAGTCAAAATGAAAATGTTACTGGGTCACCAGACCACTGACTGTAGTTAGCTATTTAATGAGACCTTTGATACAGTGGCCAGTGGCCAGCATAGAAGCTTAACTTGCTCTCCTTCCCCACCTTCCAAGGTAGCTAGACAAGGAGTAACCATTCTAACTCAACTAGAAGGCAGCCCTTATAGCGCAAAATGCATCTTTCCACTTTGGATAAAATGCTGTCTCTGCAACAATTTAGCTCCTAGAGAAGACAGAAAAGGCAAACTCGGTTTTTTGTTCTTTGGGTTTATTTTGGCCACTACATGTAAATCACCTTGATTTGAAAAATTCTTGTTACTCTGCCCTCTCAGAATCCTATGTGGTATATGTAGTTGGCTTCCAAGCCAAAAGCAGTAGCTCCATGTATTTATTCCATGAATTCAGCAAAATTCACTGCACCATCTATGAAAGGACTGGTTACGCAAACCTACCCTTGCTGGTCGGTCACTGAGACAGGCCTGGAGCAGATGTTGTAAGCACAAAGGTAGCCAGGCTTTCTGCTTTCTGTATTCATTAGCCTTTCCTAGGTGGTGGATTGGTCTGTTGTTTTATTCCTTTGCTTTTAAAATTTTTGGAATGCCTCTAAAGTTGAGTATTTCTTGCTGAGAGCTGATATTTAAAGTTACTTGAGAAAGGACTTTTTAAAAATTCTATATTTAATTTGTAAATATGCATCTGAATAAGAAATATATTTGCCACAGCAATTTTAAGCCTTTGATAAGCTTAAATGTGTTGGTAATGTCTACCAACACATTTTTGGTCGTTTTGTCCTTTTTGGAAACAAAATTCTTCATGTCTGCAGCCACTTGCATTTTTGGTGGAGACCCATTACCTGCAAGGTTTTTAAGGATTTTGCAGCTTCTGGAAAGCAAGACCCATGACCAAAGAAATTTGGGAAAAAAGACTTGGCTAATTAAAAGTATCAGATGATGATACTTTTTCTGACTTTGAAGAATTTAATTGGCTTTGGATGGGAGGTTGTGTGTTTAAGCGTTTTGCTTTTTCTGACATGTGACTTGACATGAGTTCCAAGAACAATCAGCTAGTTAGAAGGTTTGCAGAAGGAAGCATTGTGCTCCCTGTTAATCAGCTGTTCTCTCTCTATTCCCCTCTCATCCCTCTTCTGATTTCAGTGGTGCTTCATGCCCCACCTCCAACCAAGATCAAACGGGAGCTGCACAGCCCCTCCTCTGAGCTGTCGTCTTGTAGCCATGAGCAGGCTCTTGGTGCTAACTATGGAGAAAAGTGCCTCTACAACTATTGGTGAGTGGGCAAGAGGAGTCGAAGAAAGGCTGCCCAGAAAGGCTCTGGAAGTAGCCATCAAGCTGAATGTTCCTTCCCAGTGTTACTTACCCAGCAGACCCTGTGGTAAAACATATCCTTCTTTCATGGCAGTGTCATCCTCCGGGTGTAGTCCAGTCCCCTTGGGATCATTGTACTGCACACAAAAGAAAACCATTAAAAACCTTGTGGCTCTACAGAGCACTAAGTTCATAGGGTACCCAGTCCTTCTAGGGAAAGAGTCTCAATCCTGGGATACTTGATCTGTGGCTTTGAGGCAGGTAATATATACTTCTTCATGTCTATCATATGTTAATGTGAACTTTAAGCACCAGAGAAGTAATCTCCAAATCAGAATATATGAAAAAGTCTTGAAGCTTGTGCCCTTTACTTAAGAATATCCAGGCCCCAGGAATGAAGCTTTAATTTTAAATCATTCTTTGCTCTAGAAGATAAACATAGATTTGCCTGAAAGGGGGAGGAGAAGAGTTGTTAATTCAAATGATGTCACAGCACAAACAGACCTTCAACACATATTCTGACTAATTCCTGGGAACCCTGGAAATAGTTGGGAGAGGGGACCAGAGAACACCTGGCAAACATACATTCTCCCCTCACCCACCCACCCTACACAGGCATACACGGAGAATTCTTTTAGAAGGAGGGAAAAAGGAAACCGGAAGCAGAGGCTAAAATTATCCTTGAGAAAAATCACTAGAAGTGTTAAACAAGTCCCTGTGACGCAGTGTGTTTGTCACTTTTCAGAGGTACAAATATCCCCTCGGGGCTACGAGCGATTTAACTATGTTAATGCTGTTATTTCCTGGCAACAATGGGCTGCAAACTAGCTTTCTGCTGGACCTGGTAACCATGCTAATGGCTTCATTTCAGCTTAATGGTTCCTTCTCTTTTTCTGTTTACAGTGCCTATGATAGGAAGCCTCCCTCTGGGTTCAAGCCATTAACCCCTCCTACAACCCCCCTCTCACCCACCCATCAGAATCCCCTATTTCCCCCACCTCAGGCAACTCTGCCCACCTCAGGGCATGCCCCTGCAGCTGGCCCAGTTCAAGGTGTGGGCCCCGCCCCCGCCCCCCATTCGCTTCCAGAGCCTGGACCACAGCAGCAAACATTTGCGGTCCCCCGACCACCACATCAGCCCCTGCAGATGCCAAAGATGATGCCTGAAAACCAGTATCCATCAGAACAGAGGTGGGTGTTGATCTGGGCTTCTTCCTTAATTGTCTCCCTCACTCCTATCCTTTCTCACTGGGAGAGGGGAAGCAGTTTGTCTTATTTACCAGGTTCCTAAAAAGTTATCATTACATTGAGGCAGCTTGTGAGGCAAGACTAATGATAATACGAATATGACTGTTTATATACCACCCTGTTCCCAAGGTACTCCAGATGGTTGATGGACTACGACATCCTTATAAAGTAGGTAAGGGAGAGGTAACTGGTATTCTCCCGTCTCACAGAACTAGAGGAAGAATGACTTGCCAGGATAGTCTTGTCCCTCACTGAGGGCAGGTTCCTGACTCCTCATTGGATGCTGCCTACTATTAATAGAATTGAACTTCAGTTATTACCATTTCACTTACATATAAGGGACAATTGCTGATTTATACAAGGTAATATTACTTATCTGATTTTAACATGTTTTAACAGTAGGAGATTAGCTAAGGACCTTATTTGTACATCTGCTTTTGAAATAGAAATCTCCTGGTTACACTGCAGGTGGTTTTTACATTTCTACAGGCATTGAGGCATCAGGAGTAACTTGTCCAGAGTCATTCATTTGTCAAAAAAGTGTGTGAAGGGAACCTTCTCTGCACACTCCAAACCTGACCTCTTTATCTGTGGTATTCTAGAATCTCGGATGCTTGTGGCCTTCTTTTATAGAAGATGTGCTGGGGGCCTGTCTTTATTTCAAGTTTCTCTGGGATAGGGGGGTAGTTGTCAACAATATTACCAAAGGATGCAAGATGGTGGCCATGGTATTTCATATCTATCTATCTTGTGTTAGGTGGATCGGTGTGGGGGCCACAATGGGGCGGGAGTGGGAAGAATATATGAGTATACCTTTCCCAGGCCTGGTCCATTCCAGATGCCTACCAGTATTTACTTGGAGGTCATTTTATTTCTAGATGAAATGCAGGGGAAAAAATAAGGTCCCTTTGTCTGGTTCTGATCCCCTTCCCGTTTTGCTCTGAAAGTCACCATTAAGAACGGCAAAATATGGCTGGTTGCTGTTTATTCCTTGGTTAGGCCAAGGAACACGAACGCCTGTGTTACACAGGGCTCAAGGGGTGAGCACTGACGGGGTTGTGGGGGGCTGGCTCTGGAGTGGGCCTCTATTGCCACCGGGGACTCATCTGGAGGACACAGCTGCCGCTGAGCTTTTGGCAATTGTTACCTTGTACTAACAACCTGTACTTGTGCAGAAGAATTTGGTTACTTGGTTTTTTATGTAAAAATTGTAGACTTTTTTTTTTAAGTTGGCAACTAATTCAAATTAAAAACAACACCTCTGCAGACTAAACAAAACTTCTCTGGGCAAAATCACCCTGCAGGCCTGCCAATTTGTGAACTCTGGCCTAGATATCATTTTTATTTCAATGGTTTTTTGGTGTTTTTAAACAGCATCTTGCTGATTTTCTGCAAGGGTTATGGGGAAATTGGGGAGGAAGTGTGGGGTCGAGTATATATTCAGTATTTGAAACTCTTAGCAAACTTCTATTTGTTATACCATGAACTGTAAAAGAAAATTCCTTTATCTAATATTTCCCCCTCAATCCTTGTTTTTTATCCAAGGGGCTTATGTAACATACTGTATTAACAGTTAACTGAGTTGGGAGACAAATATCCTAGTTCTCCTGGAGAATTGGGAGATGGGTAGCCCCAGTCTCAGCTGTGAAATAAGCCTGTCTCCAGTCCACCCAGCCCCCTGAGAAGGAAGGAGTTTTGGATTCCTGGGATTGATGAGTTATTTGCCCGTGGGTGTTGAAAGGAAGAGAGGAGGGAACCAGAATGCAGGTATTTCTTTTCTTGGGTGATTCCTCCTTGAAGTCTGCCTGTGCATTTTGGACTTACTTCTTGTTATACTCTGCCTTTGAGACTGATGGGTCTAAAATTCAAAGCTCTCACACACACACTGGGGTGATACAGAGATCCTTGAGGTAATTGAGGTGAAGGGGGAGGAATTCTGTAGGTGACCAAATCGATTACAAACAACACTGGGCACTTGGATTTCCACTCAAGAGTGCTGTCCTCTCAAAGTTGAAAGTGCACAGGAGTCCCCATGGGAGTGTGGAGCGGGGATTTTCAATGCAGAGTCCTTGTTAACATTCAGAGATAGAGTGTGTGGGCCTGGGGCGGGGCCTGGATATAGTCTTGTCACACTTTGAGAAATTGTGATCCAGCTCTCTCTACCCTCATCCTTATTCCACCCTACCTTTATTTAAAGCATGTATTACCAAATTCTATTCCTACTGCCTTTGTCTATTAATATGGTCATCCACGTGATATCTATGTGACATAAAACGCATCAAAAACGTGACAGTGATTTTTCTTCTAGATACTGGATAGTACACAGAAAATGAGACAGACCAAAATCCCTGGTTTGATATTTGTAAAAGTAATAGAAATTACAGTCATGGATAATATCAAGCTTCATAATCACATATTTAATAACTTTTATGCCTGCCCAAAAGTGGGGCAGATTACTTTTATTGGTGACTATAGGTTGTCTCTTGGCTTAGAACTTTTTATTAAGATTAGAGGGACTATTACTTCAAAACGAAATCCCTAATACAAATATATGGTATTTTGCATGATAGAAGTAAAGAGAGTCTCATTTGAAACTTTTAACCGCCCTGTGACATAGGCAGAGTGAAAAAACCCATTTTATAGGTTAGAAATCAAGCCTCAGCACAGTTAAAGGACTTTCTAAAGCTCACATAGCCAAATACAGGGTCCTACATTCAGCAACCAAAAACTTCCATGACGTGTAATTACGCCATTTGTTTCAGTTATGATTTTATTTGGGCTGCTAACATCCACTAATGTCTACTATAAAAACTGAGTAATTGACCTTGATAAATTTGTTTTGACCTTGAACATTATCTGTTTTTTTATTATACTTTTAAGTTCTATCTATCTCTTCAACTACAAAATCTTAATAAATTCCTACATCATTTAATCCAAACCCATGTGCTTAACATGTGTCTTTTTTGTTTTGCTGGGTGTGCCGTATCTGTTCAGTTGAATAGAGTAAGCTCTTTGAGGATAAAAACCTGTGATTTAGACTCCTTTCTTTAGGCCACATTTAGCCTTGTACCTTATTTGTCCTCAGTATATGTTTATTGATAGTGATAAAAGTTTGCTAAAATTATACCGTAAATAGCTAAAATGTAATCTAGTCAAAAGTACACCCTTGCCACACATGGCGGCACACACCTGTAGTCCCAGTTACTTGAGAGGCTGAGGTGGGAGGATCACTTGCCCTCGGGAGTCCTGGGCTCTGTAGTACACTATGCCGATCTATCAGGTGTCCACACTAAGTTTAGCATCAATATGGTGACCTCCTGGGAGTGGGGACCACCAAATTGTCTAAGCAGAGGTGAGCTGGCCCAGGGGTCAGAAACAGAGCAGGTCAAAACTCCCATGATCTCATTGTGCCACTGCTCTCCAGCCTGGACAACACAGTGAGACCCCCATCTCTAAGAAAATAATGAAGAAAGAAAAAAGTACATTCTTAATGTTTTATATAGTCTTAGCATGTAATTCTTCACAACTCAATTTATTTTTAGAAGATAAATACTGTGTTTGAAAGCCATGATTTATACCAGTGATTTCCTCCCCACAAGGAGAGGGGAAAAGACATGTAATTTGACATGTTCAGACATGTGCCACTTATCCTGAAAGACCAGCTGAAAAAATGTTTTTTCCTTCAGCCTTCCCAATCTTGTGAGTTTTCTCATTGTGTTATTTATGATGTTTACATGTGCTGGGTGGAGGAACTTAGAAAAATATTCCTATAGTACTGGCCGTATATATTTTTGGCTTTTATTAAACCGTATCTCATTATATCTTGAGTTGAGGAAAGCCCTGCAATTCAACTGAAGAAGCTCCACTAAGAAAAATGTATCTCTAAGAATTTTGGAATACACTGCTTTCTCACTTACTTGACATCAACCAAAGAGGTTAAAACCCAAGAAGCAGCAACATTTAAGAAAATGCTCCTGTACCTGAAGAATCCTCTGCTTCTGGATAGCCCCTAAGGGCATCAGTATTGTGGTAGGCTAGCATGCTGTAATTGACAGAACAAAATGTGTAGTGCTGGAGTCATCAGGAAAAGGTCAACTGGGTAGTGTCTTCTGAAGGAGGAAACAGCCTAAGCTGTTTGAGAATGTCAAGAACGTCTGCTTCGGTGGTTATTATTGAGGATTCAGAGCTTAAAGGGATGGGCTAAGTTTTCTGGAATTTTGATTTAACAAAAACTACCAATTCCTTAAGGATGCTAGATAAATTAAGAGATTTTATATACTCGTTTTTCCTCTTGTTTTTTCTTCCTCTCTTAAAGTTCATTACCCTTAAAGTAAATTGCTATTCATTTTTTGTCCTTCAGATTTTGTAGTACAATAATTTTTAGAGAGGAATGAACTTGACTGTAAGTCACATTTGTAGCCTGGCCTGGAATAAAGTGAATGTGCCTGATGCATCTCTTCTCCAAGTGCCTGTTAATAACATGTTGTGTATGGCAGCACAGATTCACTTTGGGATCTGAAACTGAGTTTCATGGATGCTTAATGGATCCTTCTTTGACAGACTGAATGATGTTCTTGTAATGGTTAGAGTGCGTAGGTTTTTTTAGTTCTGAGTCTTAAGAGGGTTTGTTTTTAGCATTTCATCATGTTTACTGTAGGCTTCTTGTTACCTTTTAACAAGCTAAAGGACATTTCCTTTTATCCCCAGTTTACTGAAAGTTTTTTAACATGAACAGAGGTTGAAATTCATTAAACATTTATACTGCCTCTTTTGGGGTGATCAAATAATTTTCTCCTTTAATTTCTTAATATGGTGAGTTACACTGATTTATATGAAACCAACCTTGCATTCTTGTGACAAACCTAACTTGTTTATTCTTTTTTTTTTTTTTTTTTTTTTTGGAGACAGAGTCTAACTGTCGCCCAGGCTGGAGTGCAGTGGCGCCATCTGGGTGCATAGCTGGAATTATAGGCGGGCACCACCACGCCCAGCTAATTTTTATATTTTTAGTAGAGACAAGGTTTCACCATGTTGGCCAGGCTGCTGTCAAACTCCTGACCTCAGGTGATCCACCCATCTCGTCCTCCCAAAGTGCTGGGATTACAGGCATGAGCCACCATGCCCAGCCCTAACTTGTTTATTCTGTATTATATTTTGTACATTGGTGAGTTTGGGTTTTCTAATATAAATATATAAGACTTCCACATCTGTCTTCATGATTGAGAAAGTACATAATTTTTCTTTCTTATATTGTCCTTGCTAGGTTTTAGCATTAAGGTTATACTCATCAAATGAGTAGAGGGTGTCTTCCGTTTTCTATATTTTAGAACATCTCATGTGAAATTGGAAGTCTTTATTCCTTGAACTTTTTGAAGAATTTACTGCTAACAACCATTTGGGCCTGGCATTTTCTTTGTAGGAAGATTTTTAATTACTGGCTCAGTGTCTTCACATTTTACAGTTTTGCCCTGGATTTCTATTTAGTTGAATAAATTTAATAAATAAATTTTTCTAAGAAGTTGTCCATTTTGTGTGAGTTTTAAAATTAATTGACATAAAGTTATTCATGGTGCCCTTTCTAAAATCTCTATAGCATCTGTAGTTGTCTTTTTCATTTTTGATATTATTTATATAGACCTTTTTTTTTCCTTAGTCTTGGCAGACAATATTGTCTTCAACAAATCTACTTTTGGCCTTACTTATTCTCTCTCGGGTGTTTTCTGTTTCATTGATTTCTGCTCTCACTAAAATACTTTATTCTTTGTTTTCTTTGGGTTTATTCTGTTTTTCCAACTTATTTGTTGTATGATTAGCTCACTAATTTTTAGCCCTTTTTCTTTATAATATGTAAGCACAAAACCATATAAAATTTCTCTTAAGGCTGGGGTGACTGTACATGGAAGTTTGCCAGGTCACTTATGGTCTGTCTATGCCTTGTTTAGAAGTGATTGCTAATAGCTTCTTGCACTCTCCAAAGGATCCTGGTTTGGACAATCAGTTATTTGATCTCCCTACCCAAGTTCTGCTTTAGATACATTGCACAGGTTCTGATTTGCAGTACTTTAAAAATTCAGCTCCAAGTATTTTCTATTATTTCTTTCAACCTTGGAGTTCTTTATAGATATGTTTCTTAATTTCTAAACGTATGAGATTTTTCTGGTTGCCTGGACTATATGATTTTTATTATCTCTCATCCAGAGAGTATTTTTAAATGATTGTAGAAACAGTATAGGCCAGTGGCTCTGGAGTTGGACAGACTGACAGATCTGGGGTTGAATCGCCGCTCTGCTGCTGTGTGACCTCAGGCAGGCACTCAACTTCTCCAAACTTTCGTTTCTTCGTCTGAAAATAGGATAATAGATACCACACAGAAGCGTTGGGTAGATTAAATAAAATCACGCTTGGACAGAGGTGTTCAGTAAATGTTAGCTTCTATGACAATTTTACTTTTTGAAAATCACTTTTATTTTACATAAACTATACTAAAGGACACTTCCTTAAATGATGTAGGTATCGCAAACTGAGAAACTTCATTGTTTAATGTTAAGTTTTTAAAATGTAATGCTGCCTTTCTCCCTGATCTTTTCATCATCACACTAATATTTTTTGTTTTGTTTTGTTTTGTTTTGAGACGGAGTCTCACTCCATCGCACAGGCTGGAGTGCAGTGGTGCAGTCTCGGCTTACTAAAACCTCCCCCTCCCGAGTTCAAACGATTCTCCTGCCTTAGCCTCCCTAGTAGCTAAGATTACAGGAGTACACCACCACACCCGGCTAATTTTTGTATTTTCAGTAGAGGTGGGATATTACCATGTTGGCCAGGCTGGTCTTGAACTCCTGACAGGTTATCTGCCTGCCTTGGCCTCCCAAAGTGCTGGGATTACAGGTGTGCACCACCACGCCCAGCCAAAGTTATTAATGTTATATCTACAACTAATACTTTCACCATCTGATATCCTGGGGACATGTCTTAGTTTCATCACCATCCCTCTCCCATATTTGATCTTGAGAAGTCAGACAAACAGGTAGGCCTACAAAGGACATGCTTTTTGTTCCTTATCTCTCAATGTCTTCTCACAGTTTAAATGGGCCCATTTGAGTCTCAGCAATGTTGGCAGGCCTTATGGAGTTGTTTCAGAGTTCTTTGGTGTACGTTTAGGGACAGTGTCTGGCTCTTCGTTATATCGCAGGAAAATAAACATCATTGTGAAGTTGGCACATTGCCACCTCCAATAAAAATCAGCATTCTCTTTCTGAAAAAGGAGAATGGATATTGAAAAGGCAACCAGTGGGCTCCTTTGATTTGTGCATGGTTTGTGTGTGTCATAGTCTTCCAGTTCCTTAAGATCTTCTCTTTTATTTGCATATCTTTTTTTTCTTTTTTTTTTTGAGATAGAGTCTCACTCTGTCACCCAGGCTGGAGTGCAGTGGTGTGATCTTGGCCTCCACCTCTCGGGTTCAAGCAGTTCTCCTGCCTCAGCCTCCCGAGTACCTGGGTTTACAGGCATTCGACACTGCACCTGGCTAATTTTTTTGTGTTTTTAATAGAGACAGGTTTCACCGTGTTGGCCAGGCTGGTCTCAAACTCCTGACCTCATTTAGGGAACTCACATGGTGATCTGCCCACCTTGGCCTCCCAAAGTGCTGGGATTACAGGCCTGAGCCACTGCTACAGGCTGACGCCTGTAATCCTAGCACTTTGGGAGGCTGAGGTGTGTGGATCACTTGAGGTCAGGAGTTTGAAACCAGCCTGGCCAACGTGGTGAAACCCTGTCTCTACTAACAATACAAAAAAATTAGCCATGTGTGGTGGCAGGCACCTGTAATCCCAGCTACTTGGGAGGCTGAGTCAGTAGAATTGCTTGAACCCGAGAGGCGGAGGTTGCGGTGAGCCGAGATCGCGCCACTGAACTCCAGCCTGGACGACAGAGCGACACTCCATGTCAACGGTGAAACGGTTACAGGTTTCACCGTGTTGGTCAGGCTGGTCTCAAACTCCCGACCTCATGTAAGGAACTCACAAGGTGATCTGCCCGCCTCGAGCTCCCAAAGTGTGGGGATTACAGGCCTGAGCCACCATGCCTGGCCATATTTGCATATCTTCTGATTTTAGCTTGGGAGTTGTGGGGAGAAGGTGGGGCAGTTGAAGATAATGTTTATTGAGAACTTACCAGTGTTATAACAGGGCCGGGCCTTATAACATACATTATCTTACATCATCTTTACAAGGTATCCTGGCTGTCCTTATTTTTTTGGAGAGGAAACTGAGGCTTCAGAGCGGTTAGATAACTCATCCAAGGTCACACAGCTACTGAGTGGTAAAGGTTGGACTTCAGCCTAGGATGTTCTGACTTCACAGCCACAGCCTCTTACCCAGCTGTGCTGCTTCTCGATTTTCCGTCTTCTTCCCTGAGCCTTAACGGAAGTACTAAGTGCATGATGTTGATTTCTTGGCAGATTTTATGTATCATCTCTCAGCTGGCCTTTAAACGGCCACTGCTTCACCTGGCACCCATAATCACTATATAACCTCTGTCAGATCCTTTTCTCCTTTTTTTTTTTCCTGTGAGCATTGTGTTTACTCTGTGTGCTGGCAGCAGAAACCAGAAAGGAAATGCAGAAAAAGCATCTAACGGTTTTCATAACGTAAACCAAATGTTGGGAGTGTGGGTGAGCTCGTGGGAGGAAAGGCGCTATATAAATCTGACAAATAAATAAATAACTAGTTCTTTAAATAAACTGGCACCGAAAAAGCCTTAAACTGTGACCTATTGAATTTAGGCTTATTCGGAGTCAGAAGTCCCTTTGCTCACCAAATGTGAGTTCCTTACACGTGCACTCTGTTGGGCTAATGGTGGGAGTGGATGGAAGGGAGGAGGTTAAGGGGAGGAAGAGGAGGTTTGGTAGGAACCAGGCTGTGCCTTCACTGAAAGTGATTGCCTGCCTTGGTAAATTAGAGGCATCTTTGTTGTAGCTGTATTATGTATACAACACATTCTTAGATACTTCAAAAGGACTGGAGAAGGGAGGGTGGTTCAAGTGAAGGTCAGTGAGTAAAGTTCACAGGATGTATTTTGAGGACAAGGACTGAATGACTTCACTAATCTCTGCACATAAAAGACATTATCAGCAGCAAGCTCTGAGAATCTTTCTTCCAAATATGTTGGCTTTGTGACCTACCCCTGAGATCCCCCTTGGCCACTCCTGCTGTCTCAAGACAAACCAGTACGGAACAATCCCAATTATAGAATCTGTTCTGCAGATCACAGGCCTCTAAGCTTTGCGCATCCTTAAAGTTATGCCGCGGGGAGGGGATGAGGTTGCTGGCTAGTGCCCATGTGGAAGTACCTTTTCCTGAGGAGGCCATACCAGGCCAACTCTAGAGTTTCATTCTGGAAGGTGAGAAAAGATGAGCACTAAGCGGAAGTGAGGCCACCAGCCTGCCAGCTGCAGAGGCTCTGGTTACAGAACTGAGCGGCACATGCCATCTCGGAGCTATCAAAGGAACTGATTTCTGGAGGTCACCTTCGAAGGTGCTGGGATGGTGGCAGAGGGGAAAGGGAGAGAAAATGGAAGGCGTTACTACCATTCCTTTCAAGTAGCACAAGATGTGGGCACTTTACAAAAATAAGGCCTTAAGAATATCTTCGGCCGGGCGCCGTGGCTCACACCTGTAATCCTAGCACTTTGGGAGGCCGAGGCGAGCAGATCACTTGAGGTCAGGAGTTCGAAACCAGCCTGGCCAATGTGGTGAAACCCTATCTCTACTAAAAATACAAAAAAAAAATTAGCCAGGCATGATGGCAGGCACCTGTAATCCTAGCTACTTGAGAGGCTGAAACAGGAGAATTGCTTGAACCCAAGAGATGGAGGTTGCAGTGAGCCGAGATTGTGCCACTGCACTCCAATCTGGACAAGAGCGAGACGCCGTCTCAACAAAAAATAAAAAGAATACCTTCATCAGCTGGGTACCGTGGCTTTTGCCTGTAATCCCAGCAAACTTTTGAGAGGCTGAAACAGGCAGATCACTGAGTCCTGGAGTTCAAGACCAGCCTGGCCAACATGGTGAAACCCCGTTTCTACTAAAAATCGCAGCTACTTGGGAGGCTGCGGCAGGAGAACCACTTGATCCCGGGAGGCGGAGGTTGCGGTGAGCTGAGATCGAGTCACTCGAGTCACTGCACTCCAGCCTGGGTGACAGAGCAAGACTTTTTTTTAAGTCTTTTTTTAGACTTTTTTTAAAAAAAAAAAAAAAAAAACAACTTCGTCTCTCTTTTCTGAAAGAATTCCCTTTAGGTTTGCGGCATGCTGCCGGTGCCCATGTTCTAAACGTCAAGTGTAAACCTGAGACGGGAATTTACACTTCTTCAAAGACCATTGAAAGGTTTCTTGAAGAAGTTGTGCCGTAAGGCATTCAGCGCCCCATGAAAGGCTATCAGCCCACTGAACCTTCAGTAGTTGGTAAAACTTGTTTAAGACATTGGCCAGGTGGATTCTGAGGCTTTTGATGTCTGGGATAAAAGGATAAGTACATGTAAATTGCCCAGTAGTTTTCATATTATAAAATGATCTTACCGTGCTGCTTTAGGTAGAGTAGTAAAGGCAGTATATTGTGCTGTGCTATACCCTGATGTAAACAGTGTTCTATCTGTACACAGATCTCTTCAGTTTAAGATTGTAAATCTTGATGTTCTAGAAATCTGCTGACCACCTGTTCCCACACATTGATTCAAATCAAATTCAAACTATTTTATTAAAGCTATTCAAGAATTCTTTGAATTAATAGAATTCAAGCTAAAAGTAGAGAATAAGACCTTAATATTACAGGATTGTATTATTTTTCCTTGAAGCTTGGCTCCTACTTTCTAACTGAGGGTATATATTCACAAATGCTTTTCTTTATACACATAGATTAGTGCTTCCTGTCTGTTTCATGGACTGAGAGTTCACACATCTCCAGCCTTCCACAACCACCTTCCTAAACTCTATAGTCTGTCAATTATGGCTGTGGCAGAAACCATACTTTACAGACATGATTGTATTTCACCATTTCAGGAGCATTTGGAGGATAATACATCCCCATGTCACAGATAAGCAAACAAAGCCAAGAAACTTTGCCTTTGGTCACTTCCCTACTAAGGCACGGCAGGCTTTCCCTTCTACACTGCACACCCAACAGGGAAAGGGCAGCTGGCACACATCTGGATTTATCTGACAGCTGAAGAGTGTTAAGGAAACTCGACTAGTAGCAACAGGTTTTTATTCTATCTTGTTAAAAAACAGTGCATATTTATTATCAAACTATAGATGAGCAAAAAAAGAAAATCACCTAAAATTATAACCACCCCACAGATAGGCAGTGTTAATATCTAAATGTCAGTCTTTCTGTGGTTTTATATGACACCATACTACTACTTTTATTTTTGCTAAGCTTTGATACTCTACGTACTGTTTAGCAACCTTCCTTAATATGTCAAAAATACCTTTCCAAGACCTTATATATTTACATATTATGTAATTTCTAATGGTTGCTTTCAACCAAATGACTGTATCATAATATATATAGCCAGTTTCCTTGTTAGACAGCTGCATTGGTGACCATCTTTGTAGTTATACCTGATCATCTGTGACTGAATTGCTGTTCAGGTACCTGGCACAGAATTAGTAACTGCCTGCTCATCTTCCAAGCTAAAAGGAAAAACACTTCTCTTCTGACTTTGTTACTTTTTTAATTACTAATGAGTTAAACTTTTTGTTTATGACCATTCCTATTCTGTAAGGATATTCCTGTTTATGTCCTTTGCCCATTTTTTTCCTCTTGAGATATTCATCTTTTGTTAATTTCTAAAAGCTCTTTTTGCCAACAGTGAGATTCCTGTATCTGTGGAGATTTTTCCTCAGTTTTACTTTTGGTTTTGTTTCTGGTGTTTTCTGACTACTGCAGATTCTTTCCCCCTGGTTTGATGTGTTTCTTTTGGTTTTGTTTCCGATGTCTTTTTAAGTTATAGAAATTTATACAGTGAGGTATATCCAGGTTTATCTTGATGATTTCTGCTGTTGGTATGATACTTAGGTTTTCCCTCACTCCCAAGTTTTGTAAGTTTTCATATATATTTACTTTCATATGATGGTTTCACTTTTTTTTTTTTTTGAGACAGTCTTGCTCTGTTGCCCAGGCTAGAGTACAGTGGCGCAATCTCGGCTCACTGCAACCTTCACCTCCTGGGTTCAAGTGATTCTGATGCCGCAGCCTCCTGAGTAGCTGGGATTACAGGTGCACAAAACCACGCCTGGCTAATTTTTTTAGGTTTTTTTGTTGTTGTTTATTTTGAGACGGAGTCTCGCTCTGTCACAAGGCTGGTGTGCAGTGGCGCTATCTCAGCTTACAGCAAACTCCGCCTCCCAGGTTCAAGCGATTCTTCTGCCTCAGCCTCCAGAGTAGCTGGGACTACAGGCGCGCACAACCACATCCAGCTAATTTTTGTATTTTTAGTAGAGACGGGTTTCACCATGTTGGCCAGGATGGTCTCAATCTCTTGACCTCGTGATCCCCCCGCATTGGCCTCCCAAAGTGCTGGGATTACAGGCATGAGCCACCACCGTGCTGGGCCAATTTTTTTGTATTTTTAGTAGAGATGGGGTTTTGGCACGTTGGCCAGGTTGGTCTTGAACTCCTGACCTCAAGCGATCTGCCCGCCTCAGCCTCCCAAAGTGCTGGGATTACTGGCATGAGCCACAATGCCTGGCCTGGTTTCACTTTTTATATTGGAACCTTTAATCCATATGAAATTTATTTTGGTATCTGTATAAAATGGGGTCTAACTTTTTTCCCCAACTAATTTGAAATGCTAACCTTAACAAGTAGTAAATTTTGGAATATACTTGACAGTTTTTGGCTTGCCATTAAATTCCTTTGACCTGCCAATCTCTCAATTTGTTGTATTATTGTTTTAATTATTGAAGTTTTATGACATATGTCAGTAGCTAGTGGGTCCTTATGCCTTTTCAAAATAAAGTTTAGAATCATTTTGTCAAGTTAGTTGGGAAGGCATTTGCTTTTATAGATTAATTTTCAGTGAATCAATAGCTTCAAAGTCCTAAATATATTCTCTTAAATCTTTTTTCTTTCTTTTCCTCTGAAAACAATTTTGAGATTTTATTCTTATATGGCCTATAGGTTTCCTGATTATTCCTAGGAATGTTATGTTTTTTATTGCTACTATGAATGGGATTCTCTCTCTTTTTTCTTTTTAACTACATTTTCTAACTGGTTAATTTGTATTCAGTCTTTAAAAATTCCTTCTATCTATAGGTGAGAGAATGGATGAACTAGTGAACAAACATTTATGTATATGTTAGTGCTATTTGCAGATAATTGGTCTCATATATTCAGATACATAATCTGGCCCATCTATACAGATAGACTGTGCATAAAATATACATACATGGAAGATAAGAGGCTACCACATCATTGCTTTGATTTTTTTTTTTTTTTTTTGCCACTTCCTGACTCAAGAGCTTCGAAATACACAATGTAATTTTGGGAAGAGGGTAAAATGCCCAGAAATAAGCATTATTAAGTACTTTGCAAATAATTTCATTAATTGGAACTTCTAGTCCCCAGTGCTCAATCATAGTAGGAATTCATCAAGTCTTTGTTCAACATGAAAACCTCTTTCTTCTTACAGATTTCAGAGACAACTGTCTGAACCCTGCCACCCCTTCCCTCCTCAGCCAGGAGTTCCTGGAGATAATCGCCCCAGTTACCATCGGCAAATGTCAGAACCTATTGTCCCTGCAGCTCCCCCGCCCCCTCAGGGATTCAAACAAGAATACCATGACCCACTCTATGAACATGGGGTCCCGGGCATGCCAGGGCCCCCAGCACACGGGTTCCAGTCACCAATGGGAATCAAGCAGGAGCCTCGGGATTACTGCGTCGATTCAGGTCAGCATCAAATTGTGCTATTCTTTGCTTCATTCTTGCATTCTTCTGTCTCGTTATTCAGTGTCTTATACATGCAGGGCCTTGGGGACAGGAATTTTTATAAGAATTTTTTATAATTTTTATAAGAATTGCCCTCAAATAACTTAGGAGCTAGTAGAGCTGACATGTTTATGCGCAATGGAATACAAAACAAAACAGAAAAGCTATGTAAGTGGTAGGAAGTGCGGTAGGCATTCAGAAGTGGTATGAAGTACATCTCTGAGTCCAAGCCTGGAGAGTGTTGGGGTTCAGTTTTGGATGGAATTTGCTCGACCTTCTCTGAGATAATACATAGATTGATCTATTCAGGCACCAGTTGGTTATGGGAAATGCTGAGGAAATAGGCAGAAGGGAGAGACCTGTTGCTTTATGACAGAAAAATTACCAAGTGTGAGGTAGTGATCGTGTGTAAACATTTCCATCAGCATTCCTCTGGAAAGCTTTGATGTATTTTTCTCAGGAGTAGCATGAACAGCAACATTTTTTCCTTTAAGACTGACATTTTGATCTGTCCTGATGGGTTTTGCACCCCACTCCACTCCCTTAAAGCAAGACACTCAACAGAGGTTACCATATCTGTAATTCTTTGATCTGAGTTGTATTGCCAGGGTGATGGCTCATCCCACATGGACACAACTCAAATTACTGTCTTTCGTCTCGATGGACACTGATAACATGATGGCTGAAGAAGAGATCACTTGAGTGTGGTTTGGTTTCAGTATGACAGCCCCAGCATGGCAAAAATGGACCAAACTGCAATCCTCTACCCCTTCCAATGCTGGTCCTGGCTTCCTAACTTCAGGTCCCCTAATCCCTTTGGCCTAAAAATACTCCCACCTGTTGGAGCAAAATTAGATGTGACCACCAGCAGTAAAGGGGAGCAAATTAGAAAAGATCTAAAGCAGTCCTCTTCCCGTTCCCACCCTAACACCCAGGAGTCAGCATGGGCAAGAGGCCAGGCTTGGCCTTTTGAAAGCCAGTATTTTTTCCCCTGCCATTGGCTCTTTCACCAGATTTAGTGTTAACACATTTCTAAAATAAGTGAACAATGAGAGTGAAACATCTTTTTTTTCCTCCCGTGACTCTTGATTAGGAGAGCCTGCCTTTCAGCTGGTGGGTTATGGTGTTTGCCATCTTGCTTATTGGTGTGGCACCTCTTTCCCAGGACAAAGCCAGAAAGACATGACCCCAGAGCAGGAAGTTTAGGGGCTTTACCACAGAGCTGCAGTTGACCGATGTGCTGTTTCTGCTGCAGAAACTATTGACAGGATTGTGTCCACCTTTGCTTTCCTTTCAGAAGTGCCTAACTGCCAGTCATCCTACATGAGAGGGGGTTATTTCTCCAGCAGCCATGAAGGTAAGGAACCTGCTTTTCTTTCCTCTTCTCTCCTCTCTCCTCTCCTTTCTTCCTTTCTTTCTCTCGGCTTTTCTTTCTCCTACCTTCCTTCCTTCCTCTTTCTTTGCTTGACTAATACCCAAGCTTAAAATTGCTCAGTTTCCAGGCTAAGATTTGAGATCATAGTTTAAACCTTGCTTAGCTCATGAATATGAGAGCTGATTGATTGTAATCTTCAATTATTTTGCACGCAGGGTTTCAAGCATGCCCCTAAGCCCTGTGAGGGCTGCCATTTTCATTAGCAATGACCCCAACTTTTTAACAGTATAGGACAATTTGGAGAAAAAACAAACCCACCTTATTTCCACATTTCCAGAAATGGAGGTTATGTTTATATAACACTATCAGCTGAAACTGGAATTTAGGAGTTATGTCAGTGAGGGTGGTTTTTATATGTTTTACAGTTATGTCAGTGAGGGTCCAAGGATGTCTTAGAGTTTTAAAAATGTGTCTCTAGGTTTTTTACTTAGTTTGAGTGCTTGGGTGGGTAACTCTTCATTGTAATTATTATTATATGATAAATGGTTGCCATTTTTAACATGGGAGGGAAATTGAAGGTATTCTTCACCAACCTTGAGGGGGCTGGTGGGGAAGTGAGCTAGCAGGGGGTAGGGAGTACTGGGGATGGGAGTGGAGAGGTATGTTATGTACAAAATGCATTATTGAAGGACACAAATGTTTTCTCATTGGATTTTTAAAAAATACCTCAAAGGAGAAACATGAGAACAGATATAAAGCAGTTTACCCACAAGCCTGGATTATCACATATCCTAACATTTATTTTTATGTGAAGATGATCGTTTTATATCAAGGGTGTATGCTGTCTGCTCAAGTTCTTGTGCCCTATCCCTTTGGGACCAACTTAATTCAGTAAGTCTCTGAGATCATCTCACTCTAATTAGGAGCAGGAGCAGTAGGCAAGGTTGAGCCTGTGACTTTGCCTTCATTAGTGCTGACCTACTAATTAGGGTGAAAGTAATTGGGAACAAATAAGATGCATAAGTGTTCCATAGCATATGGCTTCAAGGAAGTGGTCAGAATGGAGCTAGAATGTCAGTTTCTTGGAGGAGCTTGCTTTTTTTCATC
The DNA here is from genome assembly GCF_000001405.40 of Homo sapiens. NCBI lineage: Eukaryota > Metazoa > Chordata > Mammalia > Primates > Hominidae > Homo > Homo sapiens. Next base: position 186,063,291 of record NC_000003.12, on the reverse strand, counting down.
TTTTTTTGTTGTTGTTGTTGTTGAGACGGAGTCTCGCTCTGTTGCCCAGGCTGGAGTGCAGTGGCATGATCTCCGCTCACTGCAAGCTCTGCCTCCCAGGTTCACGCCATTCTCCTGCCTCAGCCTCCCAAGTAGCTGGGACTACAGGCGCCCGCCACCACGCCCGGCTAATTTTTTGTATTTTTAGTAGAGACGGGTTTCACTGTGTTAGCCAGGATGGTCTCAATCTCCTGACCTCGTGATCCACCTGCCTCGGCCTCCCAAAGTGCTGGGATTACAGGCGTGAACTACCGCGCCCAGCCTAGTTTTCTTTCAAATATAAACTTTTGTAGCTTATTTTTAGCACAAGCAATAAATACTGATTACATAAAATTCAGAAAATACAAACAGACAAAAAGATGAAAATTAAATCTCACTGCCCAGAGATAACCATTAACTTGCTACATAGTCTTTCAATCTTTGCTGTGCATATGTAAATATAGGATTATACAGATCGTATAGGACTCATTGTTTTATAGTCTTTTTTTAAACAATAGTCATTAACTCAAATTGAACATTTACTATGTTTCAGACACTGTTATGTGTTCTTTAGATGCATAAATTCAGTTGTTTAATTCTCATAGCAGCCCTATAGGATAGATATTTCTGGGTTTGGTTTTGTTTTGTCTTTTTGAGACGGAGTCTTGCTCTGTCGCCAGGCTGGAGTGCAGTGGCGGATCTCAGCTCATTGCAACGTCTGCCTCCCGGGTTCAAGTGATTCTCCTGCCTCAGCCTCCCAAGTAGATGGAATTACAGGCGCGCGCCACCACGCCCAGCTAATTTTTTGTATTTTTAGTAGAGACGGGGTTTCACCATGTTGGCCAGGTTGGTCTCAGTCTCTTGACCTCGTGATCTGCCCGCCTCGGCCTCCCAAGGGATAGATGTTTCTATTTGCCCCATAGGGTAATGAAACCGAGACTCAGAAAGGAGAAAAGATGTGCCCAAGGGCACGTGGCTGTAAGAGTAGAGCCAGAACTCTAAGCCAAGCCCTGTGGCTCCAGAGCCCATACTCTTCATCTCCTTCCATATTTCACAGCCAATGTCATCTCTATAGCACCCAACATTACACTATGATTTCCTCATTAATGGCTGCACAGTACTCATTGCATGGGGATGCTTTTAGCTAATCACCTATTGCTGAAAAGTGGGTACTTCCAGGTTATTCTCAAATTCCATGAACATTCATCTAGCTAAGTGTTTTCTTGTTCTCTTGATTCTTGAAGCTAAGTTTCTGAAATTTCTGGGTAAAGGAGGGTATGACATTTTTTAAGGCATCTGCTGCCGGTTTTTGTGAGGGTCTGTTTTGTTGTTGTTTTTAGTACATTGTCACAGATTTTTAAATTTTACGATTTATCTAAAGAAGTAATTAGATGTGAATCAAAAGGAAGAAGGGATCCTTTTGTTGGGGGAGGATAATCGGGCTTTTAAGCTCCTGCATAAATGAATGACAGTAGCAAATCAGTGGGCTCATTTGATGGAAAGGAGCCCTGGTAGGGACTGAGATCATGCTTGAGGGATATGAAAGGCCTGGAGAGGTGGGCTCAGAGCTTAAAGTTACCCTTCTGGGCAAAGGCTAACTTGGTATGGTGGATTGAGGAGTTCCCTTCTAAACATTGAAATAGGGAAGTTTTTTTAGAACACCTTCCCCAGATGTATGTCTTCTTTTTCTCAAGTGTATTTCTCCCTGAAGATTTAAAGCAGTGTGATTCCCAAAATCTGTGGCAACAGCTTCACCTGGGACTTTTTAGAAATGCACATTCTCAGGACCCATCCCAGGCCTACTGAATCAGAACCCCCAGCGGTGGGGCCCAGCAGTCTGTGTTTTAACAAGTCCTGCAGGAGATTCTGATGCACCTTCAAGTTTGAAATCTACTGAGTAGTAACGGTTCTCAAGTTTGGTCAAACATTGGAATTACCTGAGGAGCTTCTAAAAATGTAGATTTCCAGGTTTCCTCCAGAGCAATTAAATCAGAAATTCTGGGGTGGGACCCAGGCTTTAGTAGTTTCTAAAGCTCCCCAGGTGATTCCAGTGTGCATCCAAGGTTGAGAACCACTGGTCTCTGTCATTTTAAATGAAAGTCAAAAGAGCTGATACTCATGAAGCATTGGGTGGCTTTTATAAGTGATTAGTTCATAAGAGCCGTGTTTATGGGTAGCTGCTTCGCACTCACTTGGTTAGATGGGAGACCGAGTGTTGTTTCACTGGGTACCCTGTGATGTTCTGAGTAAGTGTCCAGCCCTGGAAAGGCAGGGCTGTCTCCCGGACACTGGCTGTGATGGGCACAGCTGCATGGGGCTCTTTGAGGTTCCTGAATGTTTCTACAGAAGCAGTTGATGTCTGCAGCAGGCAAACTAGGAGGGAGTGGGGGAAGAGAGGGAGGAAAACATTTTGCATAATTACAACATTTAGGAAAGAGCATGCTCTTAAGGGAAATATTTTTAGCAAGGCATTGGGTTGCTTACTACACACAGACTATCTGGTGCATTTGTGTGTGTTTTCCCTCCACCCTTTCCCATTCCTTTCCCTGACTTCACACACATCAAAGAAGTTAGTTTCAAAGAATCCAGCATTTTTAATTGTTCTAAATTACCCTGACATGCTTTTCCTATCCTTATACAGGCTTGACCACAGATGCCTGTGAAACAGTTAAGGAAACAAGTGTTTCTGATTGGCATCTGTGATTGCTAAGATAGCCATCCTGCCTTAAGTGTTCACCTGGAGTCCTTGCATAATGTTTTGAGTCTTTCGTTTCTAGTTTGCCCCTCAAACAGGTCTTCCTTCCTGCCACCTTCATTTGAGTGATTAGATGATTGTGGCCACAACTGATATAACTGCTGGCTCAAATTCAACTGACTTAAATTTCACTTAAACCAATAGTATCTTCCAGATGGTGTAGAGGACCACATGTGGCGATGACTAGAAACCACAAGATACACCGCAGTGATACTTCTTATAGGCAGACCTTCATCTGATTAGCTTTGAAAACCAAACTGAGAATTTCTTCTAGATGTAGGTGGTTGTGTTTTTTTCTACATACTGTGAATGTATTTTTCTTACCTTAGAGGAGAAGAACTCTGAAAATAACATGGCAAGTTTGACAGATACGTAAACTTGAAGTAGTTCGCTTGTAATGACTTTATAATAAGACCATTAAAACATCACCGGAATATCAAAATACATATGGAAGATCGGGAAATATGTAGCTTCCTGGCAGGCAAGGCAAAATGTTTGAAGCATAGTGGATTATGAAAGTCTTGTTGGTAATACAGAGTATACCAGTTGGTCATAAAAGTCAGTTTAGTGCCAAATTGGAAAATAAATTTATCAGGAGTCATTGAATCCCTGACTTAAAAGTTAGCATTATATTCTTAAATATTTTTTAATGAAGACTATAAAACTTCTCATTTATTCAAATATTTATTTAGTACTTATGTGTAAGGTGCCATGAGGACACTAAGATACCAAGATACGATCCTTATCCTCAAGGAATTTAGAATCTTTGGTGGAGGATATAAGATCAAGCTCTGACATTATTCAGTTAATTTCTTAATAGCACTTACCACAATGTTGTACAATGACTATGTTTATTTTTTTAACTACCATTTATTACACACTTATGTACCAGGAGCTACTCTTGGCACTCTGGTATGAAGATAGAGAAATAGATCAGTTGAATGATACTAAATTAAACTCTTATAACAACACCATAAGGTAGGAATTTTTATCTGCTGCAATGAGGACACTGGAGCACAGAGATTAATTTATTCAAGATCGCACAGCTGACTGGAGTCCATCAGTACTATGCCACCTCTCGTTTCTTTTTCTCCTTTATTGTCTGTCGCCCCCAGTTGAGATGCAGGCTCCATGAGAACAAGGACCAAGTCTACATTCGCCTGGCTACCTACTCCCTTCTAGCACAACGCCTGGCATAAATACTTAGTGGATTAAATAATATATAAATGACAATAAAATAGACTTTGATGTCGTTAAGCAACAGAGAACTAATGCTTAGGGCTGAGAAAACAAAAATGAATAATATAAACCTCAAAGCAGTCTCAGTTGTGCAGAGTTTCTTCAGTCCCAGGCCTCTTAAAAATGGTGCTGCTCCTGCCAAGAAGCTACTTGATCTGGGTTGACTGAAGAAACAAAGAATGGTGAAATTATACCTTGGCACCTTTACTCACGGATTTTTCCTTTCTTTTTTTTTATTTTTTATTTTTATTTTATTTTTTTTTTTTTGAGACAGAGCCTCTCTCTGTTGCACAGGCAGGAGTACAATAGCGTGATCTCCACCCACTGTAACCTCCGCCTCCTGGATTCAAGCAATTCTCCTGCCTCAGCCTCCCAGGTAGCTGGGATTACAGGCGCCCACCACTATGCCCGGCTAATTTTTTGTATTTTTAGTAGAGATGGTTTCACCATGTTGGCCAGGCTGGTCTCGAACTCCTGACCTCAGATGATCCACCCATCTTGGCCTCCCAAAGCGCTGAGATTACAGGCTATTTGTCTTCAACAAACCAATCTAAAATCACTTATTTCCTACTCCTCCATAAGCCACATAGCACTTGTTATTATGGCTATCCTCATTCAGAACCCTTAAACCTTATAATTGCTCATGGAATTATAATTGCTCACCACCGTGCCCAGCCTCGTGGATTTTTTAAGTCGCAGTGAATCCTTCTCAGATCTAATGGAAGTCCTTCATTGCAGAGCCTTTTCACCTGCCTGCCCCCACTGCATTATCCAACACACACAGACCTGTAGTATGAGCCAGGTGAACTAACAGGAAAACGGAGCACAGGGAAGCACTGCTTATCAGACAGGAGCCCTGGGGCATTCTCCTAAGACGTGTGCTGGTAAAGGAGTATGCACTGGAGACCTTACACCTTGAGACAGGCTGAACTACAAGGAGGGATGTGACCCCATCCAAGTTATCTGTTACCTGGCTTTGATTTGAACCACCAATCTTGACAAGGTGCCTAGCGACATGGTGGTTAGCACTGAGTGTATATTAGGGGTTTGTGGATGAAGACTGTCAGGCCATCCTTCCTTCTTGAGCCCTTTAACTTTTTGCCTTGCCTTCTTTTATTTCGTTTGCATGTGTTGTTGGGCCAGTTCCTCCTTGACCTCTGTTTTGTCATCTATACAGTGAATTTGTTTCATTGCTAGAAAGTCTTTTCAGATCCTCTCCACTGTTTGGTAATAATACCCCCAATACTGCTTTCGAAATCCTCTACAGGCCCAAGTCTTTATTCATTTTGGCAACATTCTTTACCCTTCAAGCTCTTTCGTAATTGAACGAGGTATGTGAGTAGCTTGGATGAGTTAGTAGGAAAGGTTGAAATTAATTTTAGCTAAAAGGAAAATGGCAGGTCTGTGTACAGATCAACCAAATCCATCCAGCTAGGCCAACTGAAATAGAGATGTGTTTCCAGCTGTAAAGGCTTAGTCAGAGCAACATTGATCCATGCAGACCTCAGAAGCAAAATGCAAAGGAACGTACTGGTGACTCAGCACTTCCCTGCAGTCTTAGCTGTAAAAGCAGGAATTGATGCTGCTCTGACTGAGGCGCAGGTGATTACATCAGAATTGGAATGCCTAAGCCCTCTTGAAGTCCCTGAAAATTCAGTCTGCCATAGATACAGCAGTAGGACTTAGGATCTGAAATGATAGGATTGCACTCTAGTCCTTAAATCCATAGTTTTAGTACAACACAGAATTTGTTAAGCAACGTAGTCTTTCTTTTAAATTCTCTTTCAGGTTTTTCATATGAAAAAGATCCCCGATTATACTTTGACGACACTTGTGTTGTGCCTGAGAGACTGGAAGGTAAGTAGCCCCATCCAAGGTTTGTTGCCAGGTAGAGGTTTGGAGGTGTCAGAACACCTCAGCCATGACTCTCTTCCCAAGTCCAGTGATTAAATCAGCATGAACAACTCCTTTTTGTCCCAACCACCTGAGAAACTTAGGACTAAGCTATTGTGTGATGTGTCCTTGTCCCAAACAGGCAAAGTCAAACAGGAGCCTACCATGTATCGAGAGGGGCCCCCTTACCAGAGGCGAGGTTCCCTTCAGCTGTGGCAGTTCCTGGTCACCCTTCTTGATGACCCAGCCAATGCCCACTTCATTGCCTGGACAGGTCGAGGCATGGAGTTCAAGCTGATAGAACCGGAAGAGGTATGCACTGGATGCTGGACTCAGACGGGTTTTGATTTGTTGTTGTTGATGATGTTTTTTGTTTAGATTTCCATTGAGGCTTTTTGTGTCAAGTCTGCTCTTGCTTCTCATTCATATTCTGGCCTGGCCAGTGGGCTTGGCTGTATCCCTCCTATTAATGGGACAGTTTCTAATACATGGACAGGCAGAGTTCTCCAGTGTAGAATACATGAAAAGTATTTGTAACACTTCTGCAAAATTTAGGGGGCAAGATCATGAAGACTTATATTCAAATAGGATATGCTCTCCCTCTTGGAAAGTCTTTTTCAGGTGCTGTTTCAATGATACAGACTTGTTTTGGTCTTAGCCCCTGTGGGCCATAGTCTATCTCTGAGTCTACGTGAACATACTGTATGACATTTTGACAATATATTACAGGATACAACTACCCACTGTGTATTTCAAATGGCTGTAGCCTGGAGAAATAAAATTATCAGAGGTGGCTCAATCTTAATGAGCTTAGATTTTTTTTTTCAAAGGTGTGTTATGGCCGGGTGCAGTGGCTCACACCTGTAATCCCAACATTTTGGGAGGCTGAAGCAGGTGTATTGCTTGACCCCAGGATTTTGAGACCAGCCTGGGTAACATGGCAAAACCTTATCTCTACAAAAAATAAAAGAAAATAAAAATAATAAAAAATTAGCTAGGCATGGTGGTGTGTGTCTATAGTCCCAAATACTTGGGAGACTGAGGCAGGGAGGATCGATTGAGCCTGGGTGACAGAGCGAGACCCTGTGTCCAAAAAAATAAAATGAAAGTGTGTTATGTGACATCACAATAGAGTAGTTGAGAGATGATACAAACCTCAGTTATTTTAATAGGAAAAAAACACTGTTACTGTTTTTGTGCCCAGAACAGAAATACACTGTTGACAGAACCAGTGCCGTTTCTTCAGTGGAGAAGACACACCCTAGAATCCCTTTCCTGAATATCACATAACAAAGTAAATTAAATCAGGCTCTCAGTATAGCATATTCTAAAGGGGTTGATTTTTAATTTCTGTTTGATTTAGAATCTAGAGAGATTATAAATGGAACAGAAATAACTGCCCAAAAAAACTGACATACGCTTCTTTTAGTAGCATGTTCTTAGGCATATAAATTAAACCAGCAGATCAAAAGGCATCTTTGGGTTGGGTATAATTAAATTGGGAACAACACTCTTAGACACTCTTAGAAAGCATTTGAACGAGAATTGCTGTTTTCAGTGTTCAGTTAACTCTAGGGCTCGCTTTAGCACACCAGAGAAATACGCTGGCATGGGGTTAACAGGAGGAGGTAGCAACCGGGGACTTGGTTTGGAACAAGAAAGTGGTCTAAAGATTCAAATGGGAAAAGGAGGAGAATGTGTGGATTAGAAATTTATGAAGAATCCTGATTGATAGGAGAAGAAGGCAGACTTCATTCAAGGCAATTAGAAAACAAGATGTGCCTATGTGTTCCCTGTTTTATATTCACTCACGAGAATGGAAATGTGTCAGCATCTCTAGATGGACTAATTAAACAGCTTCTATTCGGTTCAGTCTACCTTCAGAGCTGGAGTTGAGTGCCACTGTGTTAGTTTAGTGCCTACGTGTTTTTTTCTGGCCATGTAGAAATAGAGCCATGTTTTAGGCTTCTAGCATCCCTGCAGAGCCATCCACCCCACGCCGACCCATGCCTCTCCTCACTGCTTTCTGAATAACGTGGCCTGGTTTATGTGAAGTTTGAGAAAAGCATGTCACCTAGGTTCACTGAGGCTTTCTGAAAGTAGTTCTGTCATGTGGGCAGCCCTTATTGATTTATCTTGTTTCACAAACAGGAGCTTTTATTATTTTATTGCCACTGCCTCGGGCCTAAGCACAGGCCGTCCAGCTGCAGGTAAACCTGGTTATGATCCTTCGTAAAGCTGTTATTGAATCTTCTGCACTCCTACCAGTGGCATAGAGAATGATGAACAGATGGCAAAGGGCCCCTGCTTTCTTACTTAATAAAGAAACTAATATTAATACAGAATGCTCGTAAATGCCAGGCAGCCAAGTCATATGAGAAGCCTGTGGTGTCCTTGAGCCTCCCTCGGTTGACCGGGCAGCTTTGTTTCTTCAGGAAATGGTGCTTTCCACCCCACCTTGAAGTCCCCAAGCTTTCCCTAAGCTCCAAATGTTCCTTTCTCTTCACCCAGGATCAGTTGGGTGCCACATGTGCACGTTAGCCTCAGGACAGGTGACATTTGCTGAGCTCCCCCCACCCCTCCTTGTATACCTGTGAGGGCCCTGTTCTTGTTAATGTCAGGAAGATACCAGCTTCTGGAAAAAGCTGTAAGAAGTCGTCATGGGGGAGCTTGAAGGGTGAAGCGGAGGAGGAAGCTGTTGGGACGTAATTGTAGGCAGCTGTGTGGCTGAGTAGTGCACTCTGGGTAATTATCCATAATATCCATTACACTGTGCATGGAAATTGTGGTTTTAGAACTGCGTTTTGGCAGGCCCCCTAATCAAATGTCTTTTGATAGTCATCCAGCTTAGCACCCTCTCAATTATGACTGACTCGGCTTTAATCTGGAGCCATTTTAACTGTGAATCTGCATTAATGAATATTTTGGGGGGTAGGGTTGTTTGTTGAACATGTGGCAGATAACTGCTGCTGGGAGGTTTGAAGGGATGGGCTGCTAGAAAGAGCCACTCCCTGGGCTGTGGCTGCTCTCTCTTTAAAGGGGAGAAGGAATAGGTAGATCCGTTAACTCCTTCAGCCTCAGTCCTCAAGATACGTGCTACCAAAGTAACTAATGAGAGAGAAGAAAGATCTGATGACAAGCTATTGCCTGCCTCCCCAGTCCCAGAAGAGGGGCAGCCCTAATTCCCAGCTGCTCTGGAGCTGAGCCGCCTCATGCATTACTGTAGAAGGAACAGCCGTGGTGAGGGCTACAGAATCACAGGGCTCTGGCCCGGGAGGATGAGTCAGTAACTATGGCTACCAGAGCTGCTTTGAAATCTGTGCGTATACCAAACCTTTCTCCAGTAAGCAATTGCATATGCAAGTGACAGCTGAGAGGTGGCCGCTGAAGTTGAAGAATATTCAAGGATTGTTTTCCACCCCTTAACATAGTAAAATGATGAGGCTGGGCTTCTCTGAAATTTCCCTGTGTCACTTGTGGCAGACAGCAATTAAAGATTAGTTTTATAAGGCATCATTGCTTTGAACAGGGTACAATGATGTATATTATTAGGTTAGCAGATGTCTCTTCTTACCATTATTTCTATTGGTTTTAAATGTTTATCTTCTCTAACCAGGATGTAATTTTTGGTTAATTTTGCCTTTTGGGCTGTTTCAAAGGTAGAGTAGAGTGGGTACCATATGGAGAAAAGAGGAGACCCAGGACATCGTGTCTGCTGTGGGGACATGAAGCAACTGAACGGAAATTGGACTTTCACAGGGTTTCTTGCAAGGCAGAGCAGAATCATTGCTATTATTGTAATTAAGAGAGATGCATTCTTATCAGATCATTTTTGGCTTTTATGAAAGGTCATTTTAGAATCCTGAATTTAGAAGATGTTGCTTTCATTCTGCCTAGATATTTTAAGGAAAAGGTTTATGTGAAATGCTGTTTTCTCTCTGATTCCTACTCCATGTTTAACATTTGGCTTTTAAAATATCGAAGGGGCCGGGTGCAGTGGCTCATGCCTATAATCCCAGCACTTCGGGAGGCTGAGGCAGGTGGGTCACTTGAGGTCAGGAGTTTGTGACCAGCCTGGCCAACATGGTGAAACCCTATCTCTACTAAAAATACAAAAATTAGTTGGGCATGACAATGGACACCTGTAATCCCAGCTGCTCAGGAGACTGAGGCAGGAGAATCGCTTGAGCCTGGGAGGCAGAGGTTGCAGTGAGCCATGATCGTGCCACTGCACTCCAGCCTGGGCAACAGAGTGAGACTCCATCTCAGAAAATAAAAATAAAATAATCGAAGGAATATAGTTTGTTTTTTTTTTTTAAGTTTCCAAAACTGACCTAAAATGCTCCAAACGTGACCCCTGACCCCTGGTTTGCATACATTTGAAAACCTCTGAGTAAAACTCACATTTCCAGGGTTATTCTACTACCTTGACAGTCATTCTCATAAGTAGGATTTTGGAAGCTGATATACTTGAGAACAGAAATTGCTTGGCTGCCGTGATAATTGGGTAAACTCTACTAGGAAGTTTTCCTGCTAGAAGGCTGCTTTGCCCAGAGCTCCAATTATATTGCCCTATCAGTGTGCCTCAGGTGGACTGGGTTGGATATAATGCATTTCAGAACTGTTTGGAAAGCCCTGTTAATTTTTCATTAAGTGGATAATGGTGCTACATGCTTTCATGTCCATTCTGCAAGTCTGCTGGGAGCATGGGATTGGATGGCAGCAGGCTGAAATGATCTGATTCCCCCTTAGTCCATGAGCTGCAATAAGTAAACATCTCCCAGCCCCCCTCCAATCTTATTAGAATTGAACTTTTGCTCTGCTGGCCCATTAGCAACTCACTAGTGTGTTTCTAATGTTTCAGGAATGACCATTCTAATTATTCCTTATTGACTGCTACAGAAACCATAGCACTTAATGGCAACACGTTAATGGTCTATGGGTATTGGTCAATAATTCATACGTGGAGAAATAGTAGAGGGCCTGCATCCTCTGGGATGTTAGCCAAGCCCTCTGCAATCTTAAAGTGCTAGGATTCTTCCATCTCTAGGTCTCACCTCCTAGTAGTTGTCACTGAATCATCGCCTTTGTTGAATGTTTGGTCTTGAGGGAGTTAAATGCCTTCCCTTCCAGGTCAGAGTAGCAGATCATTGACCAAAGCAGTCAGGTTACAGAACTGGCTCTGCTGGGATTGGGAGAGAACATGGGGCCCAGGGAATGCGTTTCCATTGCTCTTCACTTTCCTGTCTCTTCAGGTTGCTCGGCGCTGGGGCATCCAGAAGAACCGGCCAGCCATGAACTATGACAAGCTGAGCCGCTCTCTCCGCTATTACTATGAAAAGGGCATCATGCAGAAGGTGAGCCATTATACAAGACCCTTAGCCCACTCTGGTCTCTTTTAAGGAAAAAGTCCAGGGCTTCTGTAGTGAGACTGGTGATCGTCGCTACGAGGAAATTTTAGCCCCCTAAGTGATTCTGTGGTAGGAAACAATCTTGAGAAGACAAACTTGAGACAAGAATCAAATGAGATATAGAGTACATTTGATGCTGTTGGTTATGTGGAAACTAGAAGTTGCATGCAGAACACACAATAGAAAATTAGGCTTCTCTGCTTTCCCAAAACTGCTTCTATATATAGAAATTTCCAGAAACTTAGGCCAACTGTTGTATCCAAAAAGGACTACAGGGAATCAACTTGAAGGTCTCTACTTCAACAGCTTGATTGAAGTCTTTAGTTATTAAAACACCTAGACCTCCAAATCTGTTAGTTTGATATGCTCAGAAGTGTTAGAGGAATAAGAGCATCTGATTTTTCTTTCAGACTTACAGAAACTGGAACTCAAGTTAAAAACCCAACGTTTGTAGAATGGCAGCAGAGTCACCTGGTAGCAGGTTGCTCTTTGTGGAATAGAGGATGAAGCATATTTTGAAGAAATCAGTACAAAATTCTTCGTGGGATAGGTAGCAAGGGGCCACAGTCTTAACATCCCATGGATAAGTAGAAGATGGGAATGGCAAGTCTTTCTTAGCTACCAAATTCGTAATGTACTGTTGCCCAGATACTAGCATTTACACATTGAGCCAGTCTACCTGGCAGTAGCCAATAAGATGAACGTGGCAGAAGCATATGGGCAAAACTGCTGAGAACTTGTCTACAAGAAGCCAGATTCATCTTTCTCATAGGCGGGTGGTAATGTGACCCCATATTCTCCTCGCCACCTTAAAAAATACTCAACAGCTCATTGTGATTTTCTGGATAAACTCTAGACTTGCTAGTGCGTCATACAGGCTCTGAGGCTGTTCCCAGTCTGGTCACCACCTAACTCTCGTTTCTTCACTCAAACTTGACGGCTTTCACTAGCATAGCCACCTTTTAATGTAATGTAGTATTTGTTTGCCAAAGAATACATGTTACATGCATGTACATTATCAAGCATACCATAAAATGGAAGACACCTATTAAACTGTCATCCTACTTAAGACCTAGAACATTCCTAATGCTCTCAGTACCTGGCCAGCCCCTCCTTGTTTTCTGTCACCTTTCCATTTCAGATTGGGTTAGGTGGTCCCCTTTGCTGCTTCTGATGGCACCAGTACTTGTTCCTACCACTGCTCTTCTCGCTGTGTCTTAACTCCTTTCTTGTTACTACCCCCCACTGGAGTGTAAGCTCCTTTGGGTTAGGAATTGAGGTTTAACTTCAGTGCTTGATACAGAGTTAAATGCTGTAGGATAGGTGGTCCCCTACCTTACCTCTCCTTTTTTTAAAGTATACGGTCCAGTGGTTTCACAGAGCTGTACAACCATTACCACAATTAATTTCAGAACATTTTATCACCCCAAAAAGAAACGCCATACCCATCAGCAGCCACTCCCCATTGTCCTCTATCCTCCTTAGAGTTGATATCATCAGGCCAAATCCTAAGTTCAGGTGGGAGAGCCATTATTCCTTTGCTGTTCCCAACTCCACATCCAGCATGGGGAGATGCAACCCAGGACACAGTAACTTGAACCAATGGAAATGAGCTGTCCTTATGACTAGCTTCTGTGTTTTCTAAGGGAGTAGAAGAGAACTTTATTTCTGAGAATAAGTAGGCAAAGAGTACAGGAAGGCCCAGGAATGAGGCTTCGTGGGCTCAGATCCTAACACTTCAATTTGTTAGCTGTATGATTTGAGGAAAGTCACCTAATCTCCCAAAGCCTCTATTTCTAATAAAAATATAGATAATAATTCTTGCTTTAATCCCACAGGGTAATATATTTGAAAATATTTCAGAAATAATAATGTGCCATCCAGTGTAAGGAAGGGGTTATTATTTTATTTGTTACATGACTCACGAGTACATGAGAGCTCATTAAAAGGTGAATGATAGCCCGTCGGTGTGTAGAGAGACTTAGAAAAGCTGTAGTCCCATGCCCTCCATTTTTGAAGGGAAAATTGAGGTTCACAGAGGTTAAGACTCATTAGTGACTAAACCAGGACTGGAAGCCGTGCAACTCCCAGCTTCTGATCTAGGATTATTTCCACTGTGCTCTCCTGCCTCACTCTCCCACACAAACTAATTTTTGGGGTTGGGCTTTAAGGTAAAACCAGCGTACAACACTAACTAGAGGTGGTTGATTGGTAGAGATGTGGAAGCAGAGCCATACTTGTTCAATTAAAAAAAGATTTTAGAATCACAGCAGAATGACTGAAGGGCAGGATTAAACTCAACAGTTTGCATTTTTAAATCTAAAATGTTTATCTTATCAGTAAATTTGGCTGCCTTCCCTTCCCCCTCTGCGTCTCCAGACAGAAGCCGATTATTGGGTTTGATTTTCGGTATTAGGTGCCTCTTGTACTATTGCTGAACAACCAGCAGAGAGAAGGTGATCCCATTGACGCAGATGTCTCATCAGCCACATACCATGAGGTCCTTGAACAACCAAGACCTTCTGGTTCTAATATTATAATGCAGAAAACCCATAGAAAGGTAGTTAGCGGTTCCCTCAGTGTAGCAGAGCCATGCGGTGAGTCATTTAAAGCTGCAGGTAAGCCAAAAGCAATTCTTTTCAGCTTTGGAACATACTTAAGGCTTCTGCGCAGGCTCGCTCTCATCAGATTTCTAACCTTTCTAAATAACAAGGCCATACTGTGAAGACTGTAAACTCTGGAAGTGACTAAAAATGTGGTCAGGCTTCTGCCTTGCACCTGTCAGTCCTTAAACCTTTTTGGAACACCAGACTCCAGGCTCAGCATAACCATGCTTTCAAAGCTGTCACTGGAAGACAGAAAGTGAAGATTTTCTTTTAAGAGTCCATCTAGTGTGAATTCGAAATTCAGATATCTTCTTTTTTAACTGCTGTAGTGTCAGTAAAACACTTGGCAGATAATAGGTTCCCAGGAGTTCTCAAAATAAGTCTGAGTGATTGGGGTAATCGGCTGCTCCTTTGGTCCCTGGCTTTGTGACTTAGGAATACCTCGTTCTCTTCCCCTGATCCCATGCCCTGTTCCAACTGGGCCCTGTAAGGTGTGTGTTCTCCCGCAGGTGGCTGGAGAGCGATACGTCTACAAATTTGTCTGTGACCCAGATGCCCTCTTCTCCATGGCTTTCCCGGATAACCAGCGTCCGTTCCTGAAGGCAGAGTCCGAGTGCCACCTCAGCGAGGAGGACACCCTGCCGCTGACCCACTTTGAAGACAGCCCCGCTTACCTCCTGGACATGGACCGCTGCAGCAGCCTCCCCTATGCCGAAGGCTTTGCTTACTAAGTTTCTGAGTGGCGGAGTGGCCAAACCCTAGAGCTAGCAGTTCCCATTCAGGCAAACAAGGGCAGTGGTTTTGTTTGTGTTTTTGGTTGTTCCTAAAGCTTGCCCTTTGAGTATTATCTGGAGAACCCAAGCTGTCTCTGGATTGGCACCCTTAAAGACAGATACATTGGCTGGGGAGTGGGAACAGGGAGGGGCAGAAAACCACCAAAAGGCCAGTGCCTCAACTCTTGATTCTGATGAGGTTTCTGGGAAGAGATCAAAATGGAGTCTCCTTACCATGGACAATACATGCAAAGCAATATCTTGTTCAGGTTAGTACCCGCAAAACGGGACATAGTATGTGACAATCTGCATCGATCATGGACTACTAAATGCCTTTACATAGAAGGGCTCTGATTTGCACAATTTGTTGAAAAATCACAAACCCATAGAAAAGTAAGTAGGCTAAGTTGGGGAGGCTCAAACCATTAAGGGTTAAAAATACATCTTAAACATTGGAAAGCTCTTCTAGCTGAATCTGAAATATTACCCCTTGTCTAGAAAAAGGGGGGCAGTCAGAACAGCTGTTCCCCACTCCGTGGTTCTCAAAATCATAAACCATGGCTACTCTTGGGAACCACCCGGCCATGTGGTCGCCAAGTAGAGCAAGCCCCCTTTCTCTTCCCAATCACGTGGCTGAGTGTGGATGACTTTTATTTTAGGAGAAGGGCGATTAACACTTTTGACAGTATTTTGTTTTGCCCTGATTTGGGGGATTGTTTTGTTTTGGTGGTTGTTTTGGAAAAACAGTTTATAAACTGATTTTTGTAGTTTTGGTATTTAAAGCAAAAAAACGAAAAACAAAAAACAAAAACAAACCTTTTGGTAACTGTGCACTGTGTCCTTTAGCCAGGGCCGTGCCAACTTATGAAGACACTGCAGCTTGAGAGGGGCTTTGCTGAGGCTTCCCCTTGGCCATGTGAAAGCCCGCCTTGTTGCCTGCTTTGTGCTTTCTGCACCAGACAACCTGATGGAACATTTGCACCTGAGTTGTACATTTTTGAAGTGTGCAGGGCAGCCTGGACACAAGCTTAGATTCTCTATGTATAGTTCCCCGTGTTCACTAACATGCCCTCTCTGGAAAGCATATGTATATAACATGTGTCATGTCCTTTGGAAACCTGGTCACCTGGTGAAAACCCTTGGGATTCTTCCCTGGGCATGACTGATGACAATTTCCATTTCATCAGTTTGTTTTGTTTTCCTTTTTCTTTAAATCTTGGACTTTAAACCCTACCTGTGTGATTCAGTAGGGTTTGAGACTTACGTGTGATACTGACAGGTAAGCAACAGTGCTAGCATTCTAGATTCCTGCCTTTTTTTAAAAAGAAATTATTCTCATTGCTGTATTATATTGGAAAAGTTTTAAACAACCAAGCTAAAGCTATGTGAAAGTTGAGCTCAAAGTAGAGGAAAAGTTACTGGTGGTACCTTGCTGCCTGCTCTGCTGGTAGAATTCTGTGCTCCCCGTGACACTTAGTACATTAAGAATGACTACACTGTTCCTCGTATGTGAAGGAGGCAGTGCTGACTCCGTGAGTGTGAGACACGTGCTTTGAACTGCTTTTCTATTCATGGAGCACTCCATAGTCTCAAACTGTCCCCCTTATGACCAACAGCACATTTGTGAAGAGGTTCGCAGGGATAAGGGGTGCACTTTATAGCTATGGAAACATGAGATTCTCCTCTATTGGAAGCTAATTAGCCCACAAAGGTGGTAAACCTGTAGATTGGGCCTTAATTAGCATTGTACTCTAATCAAAGGACTCTTTCTAAACCATATTTATAGCTTTCTTAACCTACACATAGTCTATACATAGATGCATATTTTACCCCCAGCTGGCTAGAGATTTATTTGTTGTAAATGCTGTATAGATTTGGTTTTCCTTTCTTTACTTACCCTGGTTTGGATTTTTTTTTTTTTTCTTTTGAATGGATTTATGCTGTCTTAGCAATATGACAATAATCCTCTGTAGCTTGAGCTACCCCTCCCCTGCTGTAACTTACGTGACCTGTGCTGTCACTGGGCATAGGACAGCGGCATCACGGTTGCATTCCCATTGGACTCATGCACCTCCCGGATGGTTTTTGTTTTTTTCGGGGGTTCTTTGGGGTTTGTTTGTTTGCTTCTTTTCCAGAGTGTGGAAAGTCTACAGTGCAGAAAGGCTTGAACCTGCCAGCTGATTTGAAATACTTTCCCCTGCGCAGGGCCGTATGCATCCTGCCAAGCTGCGTTATATTCTGTACTGTGTACAATAAAGAAGTTTGCTTTTCGTTTACCAAGCACCCGAACCTGCCTCTTTCTTGCCCTCATTGGTCTAATTTTAAAGCAGGCAAAAGCCCCCTGGCTTTCTCTCCGCCCCCGCCCTAGCCCTCTCAACAATTTAGCCTTACCAATGGACAGTGGCATCGAGGGTAGTTAGGGAACTCTGTTACCTGGAAATAGATGTGCACAGCTCCTCTTAAACTCCAGCTAAAAATTTAATCCAAAGAGGTGGAAAGTCGAGAGATCCTCTTCCCAGCCAATGGTGAGCTGAGATCACCTCATCCCCTTGAGCCCACCAAGCCACCAATTCTTAGTAACTCTTTTTTTAAGTGTAGCCCATGTTTCGCTTTGGGTTGTGTGAAAAGATTACAAAGCAGTCTAGGACTTTCGAGTCCCAGAATTATCCTCAGCCCCTTATGTGGATACTTTGAAAACCAGTAAGAACTTAAGACCATTCATTTTCTAATTTTTCCCCAATAAGTTTTGCTCTTGACAAGTGAAAAATCAATTAATGGTTGATAAATAACGAAAAAAGCTCAGGAAGGTTTTGCCCACTATGTTTTTTTCTGGCCGTGCAGCAGTAAAAACCTCCTCCTCCAAGTTTGTCTCTTTCTCGTGAATATGTATCACTCGGGAAATACGTGGAAGGAAATAAAGTTCGCCGGGTTGTATTGCGGTGTTATTACGGTTATTACGGTTTCTAGTGCTCTTATTTCACCCTTTTTCTGCACCTCTAATTTGGCCTTCTCAAGACTCCTATTACAGTGGAGAAATAAAGTAGAGCCTTTTTTCAAGCCTAGAACAGAAGGCTTTCTGTCAGTTTATCTGCTATCTTTCTTTACTGTTTTACAAGCCTCTAAGTGTAGAAACATCGAGACTGAATGAGTGCACCGCCTCTTGAATTGGAGCTTGTGAGGAATGAATGTCTGCCACATAAACCCCATTAGCTTCGACAGATTAAGAAAAGATGCTTGGGGAGAAGGGGCAAGGGTGCGCAGGAAAAAGCCGTCTCTGCCTCTCAGCTTCACCATGATAAGGCTTTAACAATCCGCTCCCCATTATTCACGGGCTCGTTATCCAGCCTGGGCCCGGACCCAGATCGTTAACCTAACGCAGGAGGTCACCAAACACTGCCGCCCTTCTAGTGTTGGGCGCTAGGATAAGGAAGCTCAGAGAATGGGAAGTTTACTCTGCATCAGGGTCCCCTTTCATGAGCCAAGCCAGGGAAACAATGCGTATTCAGTTGTTAGATGACAAAGAGGTAGTGTGAGCGCAGAAGAATGTGGTTTTGAGAGCCAGAGTATGTGCAGAATCTAAATTCTAATGCAGCTGGGACAAATGTAAACTAATGTGGAAGAAAAACACTAATGTACCCAGACGGTTGGAAACTTTGGAGAGACCGTTCATTGCCCAGCGGTGCAGGTGGCTGCTACTCAATGTGTGGCCTCTGAAATACAAGAGAAAGGAAAAAAGTCCAGAAGATCATCAGTTTAATACAAATGCATAGTGTAAGTATTGTTTAGTACAAATACATAGTGTAAGTATTCTATTCAACATAAGTGTATTGTACTTAAAATAGGGGGAGGGTGTGAGGGTGGTACCAGGCGAGCGGCTATGTCCTTTTGATCCCGGCAAGTACACTGGTGTCCCATTCAGAAGGGGCCCTTTGAATGACCAGCCTTAGCTCCTCCAACTTTAAGAGCTGGCTCTACACCCAAGCCTGGGTTTGTTGACCTTGGCAGTGAACCTCAGGTAACCTTTGGGTAGCACTTTACACAGCACTTTTTCATCTCCATTATCTTTTTGGCAGGCTTTCTGAAATGGTAATACTGTTGAAATTGAGTCTGAAAATACCATGGCTGTTAGCCTCCAAAATTAATTTCTTTTTTGGAATTTTCACAGTGGCTACTGTGGAAAGAGGACTAGTCCCTTGGAGCCTAGACATTTGGGTTCTGGCCCCAGGTCAGTGGTTGATTGGGTTTAACTAAATGGTCTCAGGGGACCATCTGGCCTAACCTCCTAGGTTCATTGAGGGCACTGATGAAGTACTACTCCCCGATCTCATAGGCAGTAAGGGAGAAAGAAAGGAGTTTCCTAGGGGAGTCAAGGAATGTGTGTGCGTGTGTAGGAGAGTTAACAGTTAAGAACATCATTCTCAAGTCACCATTTTTAAGCAAGCTCTGAAGATGGCTCAGTTCCACCATTAATGGCACATTTCTTCTTTTTCAATCATCCACTGAGCACCTGCTAGGTGCCAGGCACTGCTGGATGCTAAACATAAATGATTTAGGTGGCATTTTCAAGCTAAAGCCCTGTTTGTGGTATAGTAATTGTGTGACAACCTCTTACATGTTTAAGTGCTATACTTTCCAGGTAATACTTAAACACCACTGACACCATCTTATCCAGACTATGTTGACCAGAAGCTGGGGAGGCTGGGGCATTTATCCTCCAACTCCTGCCCTTATTGGTTGAAGGTTATCCCCAGAGATGTTAACTCTTCAATATATATCCTATCAGGAAGAGAAGAGTGTAGATGCAGATAATCAGTGTGCTAGGAACTGTTTTCAGATGCAGTTAGCTTAGGGGGTTGAGGGCACATGGAGCTGGCATCAGTGATGTCTGTGACACCTACCTTTAACAATTAGCCGGACTCTCCTGGATGACCTGTTTCCTAGAGTGAAACAAGGGTGAGTCTGTGCTTTCATCATTGAGTTATCATGTACCAATCATCGATGATGTGTAAGACACTATAATAGACACTTTGCAGGTGAAGATAAGGGAGTCACAAGCCCACCCTCTCCTTCAGCACCCAACAATCTAGTGGGGGAAACATTTCTCCAGGTGAAACTAGAATGCAAGGTATAATATACTGAGTATTACTCATCCAATAAATAGTGCCTAGTCTATGCCAGGTACTGCTGTAGGATTCGTGGAGGGAAATAAATCTCTGCTCTCAAGGATCTTACATCTGGGCAAGGGAGGAAAAAAACAAATGATAGAATTTGTTAGGTGTTAAGTACTATGGGATCAGGGAAGGGAAATGGTGAGTAGTGGGAGTGGAGGGTTGCAATTTTAAGTAGGGAGGTCAGGGAAGGTCTCAGTTGAGCAAAGACCCAAAAAAGTAGCTGCCAGATGGATATCGGAAGGAAAAGCCTTCCCTGCAGGGGGAAGAGCAAGTGTAAGACCCTGAAGCTTTGAACATGCTTGGAATATTTATGGAACAACAAGGACTGTGAAACTGGATCCAGGAGTCAGATGGAACATTGTTAAAGTAACGGGTTGTATCATCTGGGGCCGTGTAGGCTTTTTAAGGACTCTGGCGTTTACTCTGTTTATGTTTAGCTGTTAGAGTTTTTTGAGCTAAGAAGTGACATCATCTGATGTGTATTTTGAAAGATCACTCTGACTGCTAAGTTGAATATAGACTGTAGGGAACAGGGAAGGAAGGAAGAAGATCAAGTTGTAGGAGGCTGCGGTAGTCCAGGCGGGGTGAGATGGTGGCATGAGCCAGGGCATAAGGAAAGCATATATGAATATATTTGTAAG
This sequence comes from Homo sapiens, assembly GCF_000001405.40. Taxonomy (NCBI): domain Eukaryota; kingdom Metazoa; phylum Chordata; class Mammalia; order Primates; family Hominidae; genus Homo; species Homo sapiens. Next base: position 186,042,784 of record NC_000003.12, on the reverse strand, counting down.
ATAGAGCCAACAGGCTTTGGACTTGCAAGGTGAGAAATGAAAGAGAAGTCAATTATGTCTCCAAGGTTTGTGGCCTGAGCCCAAGGAAGGTTGATGTTGCCATTTACCAAGAGGGAGAAGACTGAGGAGGAACAACGTGGGGACAGGTGGGGGAAGAACAGGCATTCTTTAGGGGGCATATTAACTTTCAGATGCCTTTGAGAAATCCAGTTGGGAACACATTGGGTTATACAAGTCTGGAGTTCAGGGGAGAGATCCAGGCTGGAGATAGCAATTAGGAGTTGTCGGCATGCAAGAGAGTATCTAAAGCTAAAACTGGATGAAATCACTAAGGGAGTAAGTATAAATAGAAGAAAATTTCCAAGGACTGAGCCCTTGGACACTCCAAGATTAAGAGGCTGGAGAGACAAAGAAGAACCTGAAAAGGAGGTTGAAAAAGAGTGGCCAGTGAAATAGGGGAAAACCGGGAGGGTGTCTCCAGGAGGAAGGAGAGAGGGACAATGGCCGATGCTTCTGATGTGTCCAGTACGGTGAGGACTGTGGCTGGATTAGCAATGTGGAGGCCATGTATGACTTGCAGATGCCATTTCCAGAGTGGCAGAGGCAATAGAACTGATCAATACTACTAGAATCCAAAGGAGGTTTGAATGTACCCTCAGTTGGGGACAGGGATCAGAGAAGTTTCCATGGATTTCAAAATCCTGGATTTGAGTTCAGCTCAGCCTCTCTCACTAGCCCTTCTACTCTCAGACCTTCAAAGGCTGAAAAAGGCCTAGGAACCCTGCCAGGTAGCTGGACTGGAAGATACAAGGTGGGAAAGAGTATCTGAGGATAAAGGAAGAAGGATCAAGATCCTGTTATCACTACCTTTCCCATCCCCTTGGGGTTCTATTTATTCTCATGTTGTGCTCTTAAAATAAATTTCTATTTTTGAAATGTTAAGTGTTTTTAAATAACTTTTTTCATATTACACAATTAGCATATGTTCTTTGTAGAAAACCAGAAAAAAATCATAGCCCAAATTAAAAACTATTCTGAAAACTCAACCTAGAGATCACAGTTAACACTTTACATCTTCCCAGATGGCTTTTCTCTATACTGTATTTTAAATATTAAAAATGGTCATGCTATACACTTTACAAAGTCTTTAAACTTGTTTTAAGCATTGTATTTTGAACATCTTTCCATATCAAGAAAAACTCTTTTACACCATTTTTAATGACAGGATGCCATTCCATAGTACGTATGTAACATCATATATTTAAGCAGTCCCCTTTGCTGGAGATAAAGGGACCACAAATATGATATACCCATGCCCACCAAACCAAGTAATCTACACTCCCCCCAGCCCAAAATCAAACAAATGACAAATAATAATTTGGGTCTTTTCTATTGTTTTAATTAGTAACCAACTCCTATTAATTCTACCTTCTAAATATCTCTAAAATCCATCTCCATCATCAGTACCGTAAACCTCCCAATATCTCTCACCTGGACTGTTGCAGTCACCACCTAACAGGTCTCACCACATCTTGCCCCACCCCCGCCCCTTCTGCATGATGTAATCAGAGTGATTTGTTTTTAAGCGCGAGTTACTCCCCTACTTGAGACTTTTCAGTGATACCCACTGGAGTGGCTAAAGTAAAAAAGACCAGCAACACCACATGTTGGCAAGTATACAATGCAGGCAGGAGTGTTAAATGGTACAACCAACTTTGGAAAACTATTTGGCAGTTTATTACAAAGGTAAACATACATCTACTCTATGATCCAGCAATTCCAATTCTAAGTATTTGCCAAAAAGAGATATAAACATGTATTACAAAAAGACGTATGCAAGAACATTTATAGAAGCTTTATTTACAACAGCCACTCAAAACAACCCAAATGCCCGTCAACCAGAGAACAAATAAACAAGTCATGGTATCCATACAACAGAATACTACTCAGCAATAAAAGAAAATGAACTACAGATACACATAGCAGTATGGATGAATCTCAAAAACATTATGTTAAACTAAATAATAACACAAAAGAATACATACTGTGTTATTCTATAATATATGAAATTCTAGAATAGCCAAAACTAACCTATGGTGATAGAAAGCGGTAGCAAGGGATGGGTGGACAGGTATTGGCGGGAAAGGGGTAGAGGGAACATGCTGGGGTGATTGACAGAAATTGTCTATATCTTGGTTTGGGTGACTGTTATATGTATATGTTTGTTAACATTCATTGAACTGAACACCTGAAGTCTGTGCATTTTATTTTATGTTAATTATTCCTCTGAAAATATAGTCATTGTTTGAGATAAAACCAAAATCCTGAACTTGGCCTTTGGCAATACCTCTTCAGCCTCACCATGCACCATCCTCTCCCCTGTAATATATGTTCCACAGCCCCTCGCCTTCTTCCAGTGTCTCAACCATACCTTGATCCCTCCTGTTCCATCCTTGACACGAGCTATTCCCTGGAGCTGAAATGTTATCCCGCCCCTGAATCCATCTCTGGCCTCCAAGCAGCTTACCCTCCACCCATTCTTTACTCTCATTTCTAAGAGCACCCCAGGGAAAACAATCAGTTTATCTTTCAAATAAATGAATAATTGCATTTTCCAAGCCTTCCAAGATTTGCTCTCATTCCCCTCCAACACCATTTTAATACTCTTTCAGTGCTTGCTATCTATTTTTTATAGAACTTCTCACAATTTTTAACCTTTCATTTGCAACATTAGTTACTTGGCCTCCCCCAATAAACGGTACATTTTATGAAGGCAGGACCGTACCTAACTGCTTTATCTACGATAAAGAGTAGGTGATTAAGAAATATGTATTGACTGACTGAGTGCAGTTATGAGCATCTTTGTTCACTTACGACTTCCAGGATAAATTCCTAGAAGATATATGATTTGGTCAAAAGGGGGGCAAATTTTAAAGCCATTTATATAGACTGCAAAAAGCCTTCCAGAAAGATTGTGAGGATTTGTACCTTTACTAGTATCCTGCAACTTCTTTCGCCTAGGTTCTTACAACCTTTGTCTACATTGGGCATTATTTGTATGTACCCCTCTGTTTACCATTCATTCTTTCTTATCTTTATTCAAATAATATTTATTGAGCACTTATTATGTACTGCGTTCTGAGCCAGATGTTGAGGATGAAATGATGAATTCGATCAGTAGTTTTCACATTTTTTCCTTACCTTCTCTCTAAAAGAATTTTGAAAATCTAGGTATCCTTTAGCACTGTTTTAAGTCGACCCTTAATAATTTCCACCGTATTGTAAAAATAATTTCCCATTTATTATAAATTCTGACATTTAAAAATATTATCACAATTTAGTTATTAAAAATGCAAAATTAGCTGGGCATGGTGGCAGGCACCTGTAATCCCAGCTACTCAGGAGGCAAGGCTGGAGAATTGCTTAAACCTGGGATGTGGAGGTTGCAGTGAGCTGAGATTGTGCCATTGCATTCCAGCCTGGGCGACAAGAAAGAAACTCCATCCCAAAAGAAAAATTTTTTTTTTACTCTATTATACCTGTATACAACAAATTATTTTAGATAATTTCCTTTGACAATAAAGCTATATATCTTAAAAATTATTCTGTATTTAGTGATTACAAGTATTAGTTCACAATTGATCAAAAAACATAAATATATCACCAAATCTGATATACACTTATTAAACATAAAAAGTAAAAATCTGTCTGAATTGAATCTCTGAATGAGCTAGATGGGAGTGTTATTGGTTTTGTCCACTAGTTCACTGCAAGAATGAGATGGGTTTAGCATCAATTCTATTCCTATTTTTCCATTTTAAGTCTAAGAAATATCATGTGGCAGAGAGTGCTACCTGTCCACCAAAATCATTTTTCTTCTCTTTCAGTAATAAGATTGTTAGGTAAATATGCGGGTGGGCTATATTTCCCAGCATTCCTTGCAGTGTGGCTGTGCCCATTATCTATATATTGCCTCTCAGCTCAAATTCACCCTTGTCTGTTTCCTCTGTAAAGTTGATCTGGGCCCTTTAAACATTTTTCCTTTGGTGGCTGGCGCTGAAGCTTTGGGGTGCTAGAGTGATACTGAAAGAGAAAAGCATTTTACTTCCTAGTTCCCATGTGCAGCCTCCTCCAAGGATCACAGCTTCTCCAGTGCCCAGCTACTGCAGTGCACAGTAGTCAGCAGCACCCAGCAGCCGGCAGCTTCCCTTGGCCCCCACCCTTCCAGTCAGTTTTGTAGCAGGGTGGGTTGAGCAACTTTCCCTGGCAGCCAATAGGGTAGATTTCCAGCAAGTGCAACCAGCAAGGCACTTCTCTGCCCTTCAGCGAACAACAGCCATGCCCTGCTGTGCAGTAAAGGATTAACTCAGTTCACATTGTCCAAGCCCCATACCTTCAAAAAAAAAAGGAAAAAAGAAACGTATTGGAACATCCTGCCTGATAAGAGTGTCTTTGTTTATCTAGGACCTTAGGCCACGCCAGGTAGTCTATGCTAACGGTGTGATTTATAGTGGGGGTCTTGGTATCAACTGGCCTCTGGAGGAGCTGAAGACTTGAATAACTAAGGTCAGCTGTGAGCACAATCAGCCATGCCTATGTGATCAACCCCCAGTACAAACCCCGGACACCAAGGCTTGGGTGAGCTTCCCTAGCTGGCAATACTTTATGAGTGTTTTCACACATCATTGCTGAAAGAATTAAGTACTGTCCATGTGACTCCACTGAGAAAAGACAACTGGAAGCTTGCATCTGGTCTGTCCCAGCCTCTGCCCTATGTGCCTTTTCTTTTTGCTGATTTTAACTCTCTTTTCATTATGACAAACCATAACCCTAAGTATAAAAGCTTTTTTGAATTCTGAGTCCTCACTTATCACTGAACCTAAGGATAATATTGGGGCCCTCAAATACACCTCTTCAATGAAATATGAATCTCAGCCCTGATGAAAGAGAAGGAGGTGGGAGTGCTCTTTCTCAGCTTTAGGGATAGTATCCACTTTTTATAAATGTTATCCCTTTGCTTCTGAACTGCCAATCCCTTGTGACTCCAATCCCCTCTTACAGTTAATAATTCTTCCTATTAAACTTCCCCTATTTAAATTACTATATGGTTTCTCTCTGCTGATTGGACCCAGATGGATATAATCTAATTAAAGGTAAGCAGAAATAAAACATGCTCTTTCTGGGCTAGGACTATTAAGAGAGCAAGTGCTCCTCTGTGCATTCTTCTAGTTGGGTGTAGATGATGGCAAGACCCTTGGGGGATGGTGGAGCCACACATGGAAGAAACCTGGGTGTCTTATTCACCACATGCAGGAGAACACTTACCAATTAGGAAATAAACTTCACGTTTGAACCATGTTTGGGTCTATTTGTAACAGCAATTTAACCTACTCTAATACACCTTGTTCACTTAAATAAGCACTTAGGAATAAAAGGAGTTGTGTGTGAGAGTTTTGAATGGAAATGCCACTCCATTCTTGAAAGTCTTTCCAACTTTCAAGAAGTTTACTTGTTAAAATTCACATATTCTTTCATCAAAAATTATTTGTAATGATTTATCAATTGACAACTCTGTTAGGTCCCCCTTTACTTTTATTGAAAATAAAAGATTGAAAACAATTTAACTTGTAAAAGGATTTGTTACCAGTTATTACAATCTAATCATTTTCTCAATGACTTAGTACACCAGAAAGCCTTTACTAAAACTTAGCTACCAGATGACTCCACACAGTGGCTCTCAAAGTGTGAATTCCAGACAAGCAGCATCGGCATCCCCTGGCAGATTGTTAGAAATGCAAATTCTTGGCTTGGCATGGTGGCTTATGCATGTAATCCCAACACTTTGGGAGGCCAAGGCAGGTGGATCACGAGTTCAGGAGATCGAGACCCCGTGATCTCTTTTAGTGGAGACGGGGTTTCACCCGCCTCTACTAAAAATGCAAAAATTAGCTGGGTGTGGTGGCGTGTGCCTGTAATCCCAGCTACTCAGAAGGCTGACGCAGGAAAATCTCTTGAGCCCGGGAGGAGGAGGTTGTAGTAAGCCGAGATCACGCCATTGCACTCCAGCCTGGGCAACGGAGCGAGACTCCCGTCTCAAAAAAAAAAAAAAAAAATGCAGATTCTCAGAACCCACCCCAGACCTACTGAATCAGAAACTCTGGGGGTGGGACCCGGCAATCGGTGTTTTGCCAGCACGCCTTGTAGGTGATTCCGGTGCCTGCTCGTCTGTGAACCACTGCTGTATGTTACACCTGCAATTCTTCCACCTGGACTCCCGTTTAACAGGGCTAGGTTCCAAAGAGGTTCAAATATTGAAATATTAATTTCAGCCTACCTTTGCCATTTTGTATTAGTCATCCATTAGTTCACAATATTATTAATTAGTATCCATTAGTGCTAATATTACTAGTGGCTTAAAACAGCATACATTTCTGTAGGTCAGGAGTCCAGGCATGACTTGGCTGAGTCCTCTCCTTCAGGGTCTCACGAGGCTGCAGTCAAGGTGTTGGCTGGGACAGCAGTCTCCTCTGAGGCATGGCTGGGAGTGGATTCATCTAAGTTCACATGGCTGTTGGCAGTATTCAGTTCTTTGCTGGCTGTCAGCTGAAGGGCATCCTCGGCTCCTTGCCACGTGGGTCTTCACAGCATGGCCACGCTTTTTCGAGGCCAGCAAGGGAGTCTCTCCTAACAAAACTGGCATTGCAATCTTATATCACATTATCACATTCATTCCATCATTCTTGCTGTGTTCCCTTGGTTAGAAGCAAGTCCAGGGTCCCATCCACACTCAAAGGGAGGGGATTACACAAAGGCAAGGATACCAGGAAGCAAGGATTATGGGAGCCAGTTTAGAATCCTTCTGCCATATCACCCAATATTTTTTATTTAAATGCTTTTGTTTTATTGCATCCTTTATTTTATCAAAACTTCAGAGATTCCATTTAGATCGTTCAGTAATAAGCATTCTGAAACATGTTTACTAGAACATTTTTGGCAAAGCTGGGCCTCATTATCAAACCAATCAGCCAAATCGGACTCTGACTTAATTTCTGTCAGAAAGAGTCTGATGTCATTTTTCAATTCAAATAAATGTGTTGGCTGGGTGCGGGGGCTCATGCCTGTAATTCTAACACTTTGGGAGGCCAAGGCAGAGGGATCTCTTGAGCCCAGGAGTTCAAGACCAGCCTGGGCAACATGGCAAAACCCTCTTCTACAAAAAATGCAAATTATCCGGGTGTGGTGGGAGGCACCCATAGTCCCAGCTACTTTGAGGGCTGAGGTGGGAGGATCGCTTGAGCCTAGGAGGTGTAGGCTGCAGTGAGTCATGATTGCGCCACTGCACTCCAGCCTGGGAGACAGAGTAAGACGTGTCTCAAAAAAAAAATGTGTTAAACACAAATTTTAAGGAATAATATTTTTAAAACTTGAAAAGATGCATTTTGGAGTGTATATTGTAAGAAATATTACTAAAGCAGCCAGGTCAAGATTAAATTGATGCAGATCTAATGTAAGTAGTCATATCCAAGTTACTTAAACAAGAAGATAACATAAGTTCTGATTATTTTATAATTATCTAGTGTGATGTGTGGCTAAAATTATTAATTATTATTAATGTGATGAGTATTACAGAAGGCAAGGTACTCCTTTAGTAAATGTGTATTCATGTAGGTATTGAATTCTGGTAGACAGCTTTTGGGGATAATGTAATTAAGTAATGCATTGAAAAGGCCAAAACAGCTCCATTAATTTCATTAGACCTTAAAATTAAATTTTCCATGTATTTAATGAAAAAGAAACCAATTGGTCCAGCAGCTAGCATATAATTTTATTTTTTGTTAATAGGAGGTATGAAACCTTATTATAAGCTGAAATAAGAGGAGTATTGACTATAATTGTAATGCACATTTCATAATATGATTTGATAAAATAGGTTTTAACTGAATGACACACACCAAATCTGAAAGCACATGAGAGTTTTATATAGCATATATTTTGTGTGCCTTTATAAAGAATATTTTGTTTGTAAATTTGTTTTTGAAAAATTTCAAAATTATGAAAAGTAGAAAGAATAGTATGATGAACACATGTAAACACTTTACTTAAACTCATCTATCCTGTCTATTTATGCACTTTTTTTTTTGTTTTGTTTTGAGACACAGTCTCGCTCTGTCACCCGGGCTGGAGTGCAGTGGCGCCATCTTGGCTCACTGCAACCTCCACCTCCGAGGTTCAAGCAATTCTCTGCCTCAGCCTCCTGAGTAGCTGGGATTACAGGCACGCGCCACCATGCCCGGCTAATTTTTTTTTTTGTATTTTTAGTAGAGAGGGTGTTTCACCATCTTGGCTAGACTGGTCTTGAGCTCCTGACCTTGTGATCCATACGCCTCGGCCTCCCAAAGTGCTGGGATTACAGGCGTGAGCCATCACACCCGGCCTTATTTATACACTTTTTAATGAACTTCAGCTGCCAAACACAAGGACATTCTCTAGGCCCATTGTCTAGTAGAATGTCTCACAAGCTGAATTTGTTTGATATTTTCTAATGATTGGATTCAGGTTAAATATTTCTGGCAAGAATGCTACTTAAGTGTTATTGTTTATTTCCTATCATCCCTCTGAGAGGCATGTAATGTTGGCTTGCTCCAATATCACTGATGCTGAGTTTGATCACTTTGTTAAGGTGGTAATGCCAATTCTTTTAATTATAAAAGCGTATTTTTCCCTATGTGATTAATAATAACCTATTTCCCAACTAAATTTCACCCAATGGTCTTAGCACCCACTGATGATCTTCTTACCCAAAGAAAGCTACACATGGATGGTTGCCCAGTGTTGATTATCTGATATATCTTGGATCCAGGAAACTAAGTAGATACATTTAAAAGAATCAACATCCTTAATCTACATTGCTTCTATTGTTAGAGGGGCTACGTCTTCCAGTTAGGGACAGTTCTTAGGGATGAGTGTTACGACCACCTGAAAAGAGTTCCTTTCTCGTTTAGGTTCCTGAGAAGCAGAACCTGAGGCTGGGATTCTTACTCAAATGGCTTATTGGGAAGTGCTCTTAGGAGACAGGGAGTAAAGGCGGTACTCCAGCTAGGAGGAAAAGTGAAGCAAGAATGCTCTGGAACACAGTTAGTCTCCCTTGAAGACAAGAGGATTGGCCTTTTTGGACCCCATGGAATTCAGTCGCTAGCAGAGTTTGGGGGTGGCTGGAGGGCACAGCCTCCCCGGTGGGAGGGCTCCTGCTTCACCAAGAGCAATTCCCTGAAGAAGGGGGATAACTGGGAACCGTTACCCACCATTACTCACAGCAACATTCAAATTCAGAATGTTTTTAAGTGAGCTAACCAAACAAAAGACATCTGAAAAACAAATTCCTCTAGTTTATGACCCTTGTAATAGATAAATGGATCAATGGGACAGATTAGAGGGACAAATTCATATCAGAATTTTATATATGATAAAAGCATTATTTCAAATCAATGGATTATTTTAAGTCAAGGGTGTTTTGCTTGCAAGAAAAAAACTCTATCAACAGTTCCCAACCTTTTTGGCATCAGGGGCTGGTATTGTGGAAGACAATTTTTCCACAGACGTGAAATTGTGGGGCCATGGATGATTTCAGGATGAAACTGTTCCACCTCAGATCATCAGGCATTAGATTCTCATAAGGAGTGTGCAACCTAGATCCCTCACATGCACAGTTCACAATAGGGTTAGAGCTTCTATGAGAATCGAATGCCACCGCTGATGTGACAGGAGGTGGAGCTCAGGCAGGAATTAGCTCACTTGCCTGAGGCTCACCTCCTGCTGTGCGGCCCAGTTCCTAACAGGCCAGTGACCAGTACCAGTCTGCAGCCCGAGGGTTGGGGACCCCTGACATTACGTAGATAGATGATTGATAGATAAATTGGCACACATTACCAATACATCCAGGGGCAGGACATAGTTGGATCCAGAGGCTCAAATAATTTTACCAGCACCTGGTCTCGTTTTATCACACAAGGCTCTGCTTTTCACTGTGTTGGCTTTATTCTTGGGATACACATGGTAGTGGCCTCTGGAAGCCCACACTTGTATTTTTACAGCTTCAAGTCCAACAGGAAAAGACTATCTCTTCTGAAATAATCCCAATAAAGGTCTTAGAACTTAGTCTCCTTGACTCTGATTGGTTTAGCTTGGGCCATGCCCTATCCCTGTGGCCAGGGAGATGATACCAAGGTTGATTTACATACCCAAGCCTGGAGCAGGAACTATTGTTAGTTCCAAACAAACCACATATAATGAGAGGTGGTTCCCCAAGGGAAATAAAGTAGCTACTATTAAAAGAAGAGGCAAGGGATGCTGGGCAGGAGGCAAAAACAACAGATGTCTCCTGTAACTAATTACTCGGTAAAGATGTTTAGACACCTGATAAGCCATTTGAAAAGACTGAGGTTGGGGAATGGGTAATGAAGGTGGGCACCTACTCATGCTTTACATCAAAATTAATTCCAGATGATTTAAAAGTTTTTAATGTAAAAAACAAAACCACGAAAGTACTGGAAGGAAGCATGACTGAATAATTTTAAAAAGCTGAGAGTAGAGAAAGTCTCTTTAAGCAAAACGCAGAAACCATAAAGGATAATATTGATAAAATTTGACCACATAAAACTTTAAAAGTTTTTTTTTTTTTTTGAGACGGAGTCTAGCACTGTTGCCCAGGCTGGAGTGCAATGGCGCCATCTTAGCTCACTGCAACCTCTGCCGCCCAGGTTCAAAAGATTCTCCTGCCTCAGCCTTCCGAGTAGCTAGGATTACAGGTGCCTGCCACCACGCTCAGCTAATTTTTGTAGCCTTAGTAGAGATGGGGTTTCGCCATGTTGGTCAGTCTGGTCTTGAACTCCTGACCTCAGGTGACCTGCCCACCTCAGAGTGCTAGGATTACAGGCGTGAGCCACCACTCCTGGCCTAAAAGCTTTTGTACATTAAAAAATACCATACCAACTTTGGGAGGCCGAGGTGGGTGGATCACAAGGTCAGGAGATTGAGACCACAGTGAAACCCAATCTCTACTAAAAAAAAAAACTCAAAAAATTAGCCGGGCGTGGTGGCGGGTGCCTGTAGTTCCAGCTACTCGGGAGGCTGAGGCAGGAGAATGGCATGAACCTGGGAGGCAGAGCTTGCAGTGAGCTGAGATCGCGCCACTGCACTCCAGCCTGGGCGACAGAGCAAGACTCCGTTCTAAAAAAAAAAAAACCATACCAAATGAGATAAGAAAGATCTATTATAAAGATACAGTAATTATAGAAATCTATACACCAAGTAATATAACAATAACCATTATATGCTATAAGTTATACAAAATACAACAAGAAATAGAAACACATTAGTAAGAGACTAATTCACCTCCTTCAGTCTATGACAGGTGAAGTGGACAAATAAGCAAGGCTAGGTAAATTATTAGCAAGGAAGTTCTGATGGATGAAATTTCAATCCTGTACTGTGAAAATATAGACTACATTCCCCACACCCCAAGGGCTCATAAAACTTTCATGAAACTTAACCAAATATTAGGTCACAGAAAAGCATTCTCAGACCAACATACAATTAAACCAGTAATAATAAGAAAATTAGAAAATAAAGAGACGCTTCTACCTTCAGAAAATAAAAAGAATATTAAAATTCTGTCTTAAACTCTTCTTGGGTTTAGGAAATAAAACAAATTGTAGTCTATCTCAAAACAATCATAATAAAGACAACGACAACAAGGAACTAAAGCAGTGTACAGAGAAAATGTTATCTTTATACTAATAAAGAAGAAGGAAGAAAAACAAATTGTCTAACTCCAGACTCAGAAAAAGAACAACAAAATTAACTAAAGTAGAAAGAAAAGCATAAATTAATGCATTAGAAAGCAGAAAAATAGTAGAAATAAGAATAAACCAAGACAATGAATAAATTAAAGTAAAAAAATGAAATTTTATTATTTCAGATAAAAATTTAGCTAAACTTAAGGCCGGGCACAGTGGTTCATGCCTGTAATCCCAGCACTTTGGGAAGCCGAGGTGGGTGGATCACCTGAGGTCAGGAGTTTGAGACCAGCCTGGCCAACATGGTGAAACCCTGTCTCTACCAAAAATACAAAAATTAGCCAGGCGTGGTGGCACACGCCTGTAATCTAAGCTACTTAGGAGGCTGAGACAGGAGAATTGCTTGAACCTGGGAGGCGGAGGTTGCAGTGAGCTGAGACCAAACCATTGCACTCCAGCCTGGGCAGGAAGAGTGAAACTCCATCTCAACAACAACAAAAAAAAATTAGCTAACTTTATCAAGAAAAAAAGGGCAGAACAGTGGCCCCTGCAAAGATGTCCACACTCTCATCCCTGGAATCTGTGAGTACACTACCTTATGTGGCCAAAGGACTCTGCAGATGTGATTAAGGTACAAGATCTTGAGATGGGGAGTGTATCCTGGATTATCCACGTGGGCTCAATCTAATCACGTGAGCCCTTAAAATTAGGGGATCTTTCCTGGCTGAGGTTAGAGAGATGTGATGTGAGAATCTGACTTGACATGGCTGGCTTGAAGATGAAAAACAGAAGGCCATAAGCCAGGGAACACAGACGGCCTTTAGAAACTAGAAAAGGCAAGGAAAGATACTGTCCTAGAGCCTCCAGAAAGGAACACAGCACCGCCAACGCTTTGACTTTACCCTGGGGACACCTGGTTAGACTTCTGACCTAAGGAAATGTGAGATAATAAATGCGTATTGTTTAAGCTACTAAGAATAAGCCACAGCAATAGAAAATTAATACAAGGATTAACCTTACAAAATAAGAAATGACAAGGAAGAAACAAACCTAGAATTAGAGAAAATAAAAAATCATTGTTACTTTACTAACTCTATGCAAGTAACTTTGAAAACCTGAATGCTAGCTGCATACCAGTTACCAGAATACAAACAAAAAAGAAAACCTGAATGAAATGGGTGAGTTTCTAGGAAAATATAATTCCCCCAAACCAATCCCAAAATAGGTAGAAAATAAAAATAGACCAATTTCTATTTAAAAAAGAAAGTTAAAAAATTTATCAGAGGCCCCCCAAAAGCAGCAGGCTCAGACAATGTCACAGGGATTTTTTTTTAACCATAATTTCGAGATGTGATAATGCCAATGCCATTTAAATTGTTCCACAGCTTAGAAAAAAAGGTAACCCTGGCCAGGCGTGGTGGCTCACGCCTGTAATCCCAGCACTATGGGAGGCCGAGGTGGGCGGATCACCTGAGGTCAGGAGATCAAGACCATCCTGGCTAACACGGTGAAACCCCGTCTCTACTAAAAATACAAAAAATTAGCTGGGCGCGGTGGCAGGCACCTGTAGTCCCAGCTACTCGGTAGGCTGAGGCAGGAGGATGGTGTGAACCCGGGTTGTGGAGCTTGTAGTGAGCCAAGACCGCGCCACTGCACTCCAGCCTGGGTGACAGAGTGAGACTCCATCTCAGTAAAAAAAAGAAAAGAAAGAAAGAATAAAAGAAAAAAGGTAACCCCGCAAATATCTTTTTATAAAGAGAATATAGCATTGATACTGATAAATAACAAAGATTTCACATACAAAAACTATAAATCAATCTAATTTATAAACATGGATTCAAAAAATTCTAATAAATCCTATTTTTTTAATCCTAATAAAAATAGACCTCAGCTGCATTAAAAGATAGTAATAATAATAATAAACCAGGCATGGCAGTACATGACTGTAGTCTCAGCCACTCAGGAGACTAAGGCTGAAGTATTGCTTGAGGCCAGGAGTTCAAGCCTGCAGCGCACTATAATTCCACCTGTGAATAGCCACTGTACTCCAACATAGAGAGACTTCATCTTAAAAAAAAAAAAAAAAAAAAGAGGCCAGGCATGGTGGTTCACACCAGTAATCCTAGCACTTTGGGAGGCTGAGGCAGGAGGATTGCTTGAGCCCAGGACAACATAGCCAGACCCCATCCCTACAAAAAGTAAAAATTTCACAAAAAGAAACAAGAAAAAAAAAGTAATGACTTTGAAGTTTAAGAATGCAGGGATGGTCCAATATTAGCAATTCTATCAGTATAATCCATATTAATAGATCTAAAAGAAAAAAATGACCATTTTTATAATACTGAAAAAGCAGTTGACAAAATAAAAAGGGCATGTATGTAAGTCATCAATAAATGTAGAAGGAATTAGTAAGTCATAATAAAATAATAATATAACTAATTTATAATTCAACCATCACAATAATATAATTCATTCAAGCTAAGCATTATTAATGGAAATTAGTAGGTGAAAAATTTGAGGACTAACAGGATATTTGCATAATCTCAGGGTACCTCCTTACAGATACTTATTAACTGCAATGGAAGCAATAGTAACTTCACAGTGGAAACACCTGGCTAACACCACAAGGTGATCACAATTAACATGACTGGTTGTCTTAGTTCAGGCTGCTACAAAAAAAAATGCCATTGACTGGGTAGCTTACAAACAACAGAAATTGATATCTTACAGTTCTGGAGGCAGGAAGTCTGAGATCAGAATGCCAGCATGATCAGGTTCTGGTGAGGACTATCTGCTGGGTTGAGATTGCCATCTTCTCCTTGTATTCTCATGTGATGGAAAGAAGATGAGAGAGCTCCCTGGGGTCTCTTTAATAAGGGCACTAATCCCATGCATGAGGGCTCTACTCTTATGAACCTAATCACCTCCTGAAGGCCCCACGCACTGGGGGTTAGGGTTTCAAGATGTGAATTGGGGGGGGACAAAAACTTTCAGTCTATAACACTAGTGGCAGAACAGATCAACATTACGTGCTCCTGATGTGACATTGACAGAAACAGCATTGCTTCTGTGGTGTTCCTGCCGAAGAAGCATAACTTTATTCTAATCATGAGGAAACATAAGAAAATTAAAATTGAGGAATTTTCTACAAAAAAAAAAAAAAAGAAAAAACAGCCTCTACTCTTTAAAAAGTGTCAATGTCGGCCGGGCGCAGTGGCTCACGCCTGTAGTCCCAGCACTTTGGGAGGCCGAGGCAGGCAGATCACAAGGTCAGGAGATCGAGACCATCGTGGTTAACACGGTGAAACCCATCTCTACTAAAAGTACAAAAAATTAGCCTGGCGCGGTGGCGAGTGCCTGTAGTCCCAGCTACTCGGGAGGCTGAGGCAGGAGAATGGCGTGAACCCGGGAGGCGGAGCTTGCAGTGAGCCAAGATTGCGCCACTGCACTCCAGCCTGGGCGACAGAGCGAGACTCCATCCCAAAAAAAAATAATAATAATAAGTCAATGTCATGAAACACAAAGAAAAAAACTGAGGAACTGTTCCAGATCAAAAATAGCTAAGGAAATGTGACAACTGAAAATAAAGCATGATCCCGAATGCTTCTTTGCTATAAAGAACATTATTGGAACAAATGACAAGTCATAAAGAAGGTCTGTAGACCGGATATTATATTAATGTTAGCTTCCTGATTCTAATCATTGTACTTATGTTTATAGGAAACACATACTGAAGTACTTAGGGATAAAGGTAAAACCTTTTTGCAACAGTCCAGGAAAATATATATATGTATATATTTATATTAAATATAATTTAATTATATTTATATTATATTAATTTATATTATAATTATATTTAATATATTTAATATACATATATTTATATTAAACTATATAGATATAGATAGGGGCCAGGCACAGTGGCTCACACCTGTAATCCCAGCACTTTGGGAGGCCAAGACGGGCAAATCACCTGAGGCCAGGAGTTCGAGACCAGCCTGGCCAACATGGTGAAACCCCGTCTCTACTAAAAATATAAAAATTAGCTGGGCAATGGTGGCAGGTGCCTGTAATCCCAGCTACTCGGGAGGCTGAGGCAGGAGAATCACTTGAATCCAGGAGGTGGAGGTTGCAGTGAGCCAACATTGTGCCACTGCACTCCAGCCTGGGTGACAGAGCGAGACTCTATCTCCACAAAAAAAAAAAAAAAAATGGGGAGAGAGATAGGGAGATAGTTAAAGCAAATATGGTAGAATGTAAATGTTGGGGAAATCTGGGTGAAAGTTATGTGGGAATTCTTTGTACTAGTCTTTCAAATTTCTGTAAGTATGAAATTATGGAAAAATAAAAAATTAAAAAGAAAAAGTAGCACATAATTTTTAAAACATCTGCAATTGTAATGAGGAAAAGAGAGATATATTGGTCAAAGGTTTTTGGTTTTGTTTCTTTAGTGAAAGAAGCTTGAATACCAATGGAACAATCCCCACGGGTAGAGGGGAGAGGGTGAGGAATGACAGGGGGCTGGGGGGAGGCTAGTCCTCAAGAGTGAGAATGAGAACTAGAGTGAGAGAATAGATAGATGAGGAAGTATTTGTGTATCAGTCCCTTTTCACACTGCTAATAAGACATACCAGAGACTGGGTAATTCATAAAGGAAAAAGGTTTAATGGACTCACAGTTCCACATGGCTGGGGAAGCCTCACAATCATGGCAAGAGGCGAAGGAGGAGCAAAGGCGTGTCTTACATGGCAGCAGGCAAAGAGAGCATGTGCAGGGGAATTGCCCTTTATAAAACCATCAGATCTCGTGAGACTGATTCACCATGACGAGAACAGCACAATAAAAACCTGCCCCCATGATTCAATTACCTCCCACCAGGTCCCTCCCACAACACATGGGAATTATGGGAGCTACAGTTCAAGATTAAATTTGGGTGGGGACACTATCAAGCCATATCAATTTGTGACTACGAAAAACAATATATATTCAATGTATAACATTTAGAAAATATAGAAAGGTGTATATAAAAGAACCCAAATCACCTATCATATCAAGACCTAACATGAAAGCTCACTGATAGAGGCATTTTGGGTGCAGGCAGGCCAGAGAGGGAGGCCTGGGGCACAGAGGCGTGGAAGAGACCTCAGAGAGCCTCTGGATGTGCTCCCTCTTTCCATAGATGAGGAAGCTAATGCTTAGAGACATGAAATCATTTTCTTTAGATCACAGAGCTGGTTAAGGGCAGACATTATTTTCTAACTCATGATCCAATATTCTTTCCACTTTACAGGATGTATCACTGAAGTTCCCAGTGGTTGTCAACCAGGGGAAGTACTGCCCCCAAAAGAAATGGCAGATGTGTGGGGGCCTTTTTAATAGCCTTAAGACAAGGGGCTGCAACTGCCATTTAGTGGATGAGGACCAGAGATGTTAAACTTGCAACAGTGATCCAGGAAGTCCTGCACAATGAAGATTATACTATCCGACATAACAACTGCACCTGTGTCAGAAACCTCACAGCAGCTGTGCCTAGAAATCAGGCTTCTAGGGTCACAGTCCAGCCCACCGTAGTGAGCCATAGGACTGGGCAAGTCGCCAACCCATCTTATTCATCTTGAAAATGAGCATTTTATTCCAGATGAGAACTCACATCCTCAGCCTCCGACTTGCCCAGATTCTGTCATCACATTGCAGTTTTCCCCTCAGAGGAGGCCACGGTGGCCACAAGCTGACTCTGCCAATGACACATAGGTACAGGCAGAGTAAATCCACAAACTCTCCACTTTGTAACCTCCTTGGGCTAAGCTAGTTCACAGATTTACCAAGCTAAGCATCTAGCATCTTAGATGATAACTATGCTCTTGTTTGCAAGACTCTTTCTAGTTACAAAGCATTTCCACCTGCATTATTTCATTCAACACTCCCATTAGTCCTATGAAGTAATTACACCTCCAATTTTATAAATAAGAGAAGCTAGACTCAGTACGAATGACCCAGATTACTGGGTCAGTAAGTGAAAGATGGAGCCGGGATGAGGTCCTGTCTTCTGAGGCCAAATGCAGAGCTCTTTCTAGGCTACCTCATTGCCTTTGGGGGAAATGCCAGTCTCAGACCTGCTCCCTTTAGTCCAGACTGGGCAATGATCTCTTCTCTTTTCCATCCTCCTTCCCTCGGGCCATTCTTTTCACTCGGATGAAAACTAACTAAAGAGCAAGCAAGGGGACCTCCAGCTTGCTCTCGGCTTCCTTAGGAAACACTAACAACGGTTTGAAAGAGAGTGAGCTCTCTGTCATTAGGGGCGTTCAAGAAGACATTGGATGACCATCTGGCCAAGATGTGGTAGAGGAGATTCCTGATTATTTTGCAAAAGTAAAAAGATTTCCGAGGACCTTTCCAAATTTGAGAGCAGAGGACTGTGTGCTTAGGGAGACAGCATGTTTCGGAAGCTGACTGGGCAGAGGCCCAAGCTGAGGGAATAGAGACAAGTCTGGAGAAGGAAATAAAGAAAGAGAGAAGAAAAAATCTGAAAGTGATTGTGAAGACGAAAGCAGATTCTTCGCTTCCAAGAAAGAGACTTGGAGCACCAACAGGGATAAGGAGACAAACTGGGTTGATGCCTGGAGAGGAAGTTAGGGGAAATGTCAATGTTTCTCAAATAGCCTTGCCCAGAAAATGTGTCAACAAACACCCAGCCAAACTTCACCGAATACAACTCAGGCAACACAGCCGAGGAGCAGAGGAGGAGCAGTCTCTGGAGACAGAAGCACTTGAATTGAGTTAAAAATACCTTAAATTCACAATCAATCAAAAATGCTAAAGGCCCAGAGAATATATTTGGACTGGACGTCTTCCATTTCCCTGAAAGTAGGTGGTGTGGGATTCTTTTTTGAGCATTATCTGAATCAACATTGGGGCTGGGGAGGACTAGCCTTGTAGTGAGAAATCACCTTTTAGCCAAGGAGTATCCTGAATGCAATTCCAGAGGGAACTCTAGGGACTATTCCTAAAATGGAAACCAGGTCCAGAATGCATCTTTGCAGCCTGGCAGGCTGAAGGGATAAACAGATTCAGGTGAAAAAAAAAGGATTCCTTTTTACAGTATCCTACGGGATGCCTTTTTTTCCTGAAATCCTTTTGAAATCTCCTTCAACTCCTCTTTTCAACCATGGGGTACAAAGACTTTAATAAGTTTCGAAAAAAATGTTTCAAAATAACTCCTTTCTTACACATGTAAAACATTGAGAAAATATAGATGCACCAAGAGAAGGGAATACATATTCTGTTTCTCTACTACCCAAAAATAAGCATTTTGCTATGTCTACCACATTTAAAATTGTTTTAATTTTTGGTTTTGGCATGGTTCAAAATCAAAGTGGCATTAAAAAGATATTCCTTGAGAAGTATTGCCCCTCCCCTTCCCCCTCCATCATGTTTCCCACCCACTTCCACCTTCTCAGGTAAACTCTGATTGTTTTTACATCCTTCTAATGTTGTCTAATGCAAATACAAGTACAAACATAAATTCTTATTTTACCCCTGTCTTACTACAAAAGGTAGCATATCACATACATTGCATTCAGCTTTTTGACTTGACAATATATTCTATTGCTTTTTATTTTCCATGTTTATGCAAACATTAGTTTTTACTGAAATGGGATGATACTTCTGTAACTTGCTTTTTTTTTTACTTAAAAATTGTTTGTGGACCTCTTTGCATATTTTCAAATATTCTTCCACAGTATCATCTTCAAAAGCTGCAATGTCTGGAAAAAGCCCTGGAATATCGCTGTGGCTGTTTTCTGCCTCCCCCAGGATAATCTCACTTGGAGTTGAGAGGTCTGTGGATGACTTCCAGCTCAGCCAGTTACCAGATGTGAGAATTTAGGCAAGGCCGAATTTAGGCTCTGAGCCTCAGTTCCCAATACTAACACTTCTCACTCATAGTAATGCCAGATTTGCCTCTAACCCAGGGCAGTAGTGAGAATTAAACGAGACAATGGTCAGGAAACCATCACTTAGGAACCAAACACTTTCAGTAAACACTTTTTCTCAAAACTTTTAGTTTTCTAAAAGCATTTTTCTTATTACACATTTAATGTATATGCATTATAGAAAAATTAGAAAAAGTAGTAAACCAAAAATAGAAAATCAAAATAATCCATAAATTTGCAAAAAATCCTTTCAGATAGTTCATATATATACATATACATGTGTGTATATATATATATATATATATATCTGTGTGTGTGTATATATCTACATACACAATATATAATTTACAAAACTTGTTCATATTGTACCTTTTGGTTTTGTAACCTTTTACTCCCACTCAACAATATATTTAAATACTCTTCCATATTCATAAATATAATATTTATTGTTATTGGCTACATCAAATTCTGTTGTATTCGTGAACATACCATGCTTTTTCTAACCAACCTGAAAATGTAAGTTCTTTTGAGGTTTTTATTGTGTATAATGTTATGCTGCACGTCTTTATAGTCAAATATTCGCATACATTGAAGAAGTCAATTTAGAATGCATGTTGCATGTTTTCTTTTTTTCACTCAACAAACGCTGTGGAGCACCTACTATTCTCCATGAGCTGTCTGGGTGCTAGAGTTACGAAGATGAGTCTGGTACAGGAACTGTTAATCTAGGAAAGAATACCAAATCGTTATTACATTTTGGGTTCGCTGACCTCTCTAGGGTTCCTGATGTGCCTGGCGGGACTTTTCACAACCCTAAGCTGTATTCATAGAGCCTGACTTCATTTCCCAACTTGAAGTGACCCTTTCTCTGCCTGGCAAACTTCTACTCATTTGTCAAGACCCAATGCAAATATCTCCTGCTCTATGGCACTTTCCCTGATACCCCAAAAGAGAATAAGACTCTCCTAGAGAATTATACGGCCCCAGAGTACCTGTTACATTCCATTTGTAATTATCCATATACTTTCCTATCTTATCTCTTCCCCTGCACTTTAAGTTTCTAGGAGTTGGTTCCTAGCTTCCTAGTTTCCTGTCTTGCTTATTATCTCCAGCCGTGCCCAGCGAGATGCCTAACACATAGCAGATGTTCTCGCTGAACACTTATTGAGTGAATCACCAGTACCACATGGTTAGTAAAATAATAAATACAACAACTGAAGTTACATTATTGGCAAAGAAGGGCTGTTAACAAAGACCTGTGGTCAGCAGCCAGCTTAAGGGATGGCTCAGCTGTCCTGGCCTATGGGCTGGGTCAGCTTTTTTTCCATGTCCCAATTTTGTCACTCTCTCTCTTGACCATGACTGTTGAAGGCTGGCGACTGTTGAAGGCCTTCATTCCTTGGTGCCTTGGTTCACTTTTAGGCAGCCAAGGGGCAGCAGAGGCTCAGCAGGGAAATATCTACGGCCTAAAACTTTTATACAGTTATAAAAGTTATACAGTTTATACAGTTATACAGTTATAACTGTATAAAAGTTTTAGGCCTCTTGCAACAAACATCCAAGTCATAAGTACAAAGGAAAGGTCTCTTTTATTTATTTATTTATTTATTTATTTATTTATTTATTATTTTTGTGTTTGTATGTGATGGAGTCACTCTATTGCCCAGGCAGTGCAGTGGTGCGATCTCGGCTCACCGCAACCTCCGCCTCCCAAGTTCAAGCGATTCTCCTGCCTCAGCCTCCTGAGTAGCTGGGATTACAGGTGCTTGCCACAATGTCCAACTAATTTTTTATATGTTTAGTAGAGATGGGGTTTCACCATATTGGCCAGGCTGGTCTCGAACTCCTGACCTCAGGTGAGCCACCTGCCTTGACCTCCCAAAATGCTGGGATTACAGGCATGAACCACTGAGCCTGGCCAGAAAGGTCTCTTTTAAAGGAACATATATATGGCCGGGTGCGGTGTCTCATGCCTGTAATCCCAGCACTTTGAGAGGCCAAGGCAAGCAGATCACCTGAGGTCAAGAGTTCGAGACCAGCCTGGCCAACATGGTGAAACCCCATCTCTACTAAAAATACAAAAAATTAGCCAGGCGTGGTGGCGGGCAACTGTAATCCCAGCTACTCGAGAGGCTGAGGCAGGAGAATCACTTGAACCCTGGAGACGGAGGTTGCGATAAGCAGAGATTGCGCCACTGCACTCCAGCCTGGGCAACAAGAGCGAGACTCTATCTCAAAAATAAACAAATGAAAATATATATAAAATCATGAATACCAAATTTGGTATTAAAATGTTTATTTCGGCCGGGTGCAGTGGCTCATGCCTGTAATCCCAACACTTTGGGAGGCTGAGGCAGGCAGATCACGAGGTCAGGAGTTCGAGACCAGCCTGGCCAGCATGGTGAAATCCAATATCTACTAAAAATACAGAAATTAGCTGGGCATGGTGGCACGTGCCTGTAATCCTAGCTACTCAGGAGGCTGAGGCAGAAGAATCGCTTGAACCAGGAGGCGGAGGTTGCAGTGAGCTGAGATCATGCCACTGCACTCCATCCTGGCAACAGAGAGAGACACCATCTCAAAAAAAAAAAAAAATTTACTTCAACCAAGAAATCAAAACAACTTACAAATCTTTAAAGCTGGACCATATCACAAGACCCTATCTGACACACCATTCTAATATTTTTTTAATTTTTCAGCTATTCTGAGGGAAAAAATACAACATTAATCTGAAATTAAGGAGTACAAAAGAACAACACAAATAAATGGCTACAATCTGGGGCAGGAAATAAACACGAGACTGTAGCATCTTGTAGTGCCAGAAAGTAAGGAAATGCTAAAAAATAAATAAATTTTTAAAAATTGGTGGTCATATTTCAAAGGAATAAGAACTAGGTGAAAGAACTCCCAATGGCCAAAGCTGGAACAACTTAAGCAGCAAAATTAACAAGTACAGGAATATCTCATCGTATTGTGCCTCACTTTATTTTTTTTAACTTTTAAGTTCAGGGGTACATGTGCAGGATGTGCAGGTTTGTTACATAGTTAAATGTGTGTCACGGGGGTTTGTAGTACCTATTACTTCATCATCCAGGTAATAAGCCTAGTACCCACTAGTTATTTTTCCTGATCCTCTCCCTCCTCCCACCTTTCGCACACCAGTGGGCCCAGTGTGTGTTGTTCCCCTCTATGTGTCCCTGTGTTTTATCATTTAGCTGCCACCTATAAATGAGAACATGCAGTATTTGCTTTTCTGTTCCACATTAGTTTGCTAAGGATAATGGCCTCCAGCTCCATCCATGTGCCTACAAAGGACATGATCTCATTCTTTTTATGGATGTGTAGTATTCCATGGTGTATATGTACCACATTTTCTTTATCCAGTCTATCGTTGATGGGCATTTTGATTGATTCTGTGTCTTTGCTATTGTGAATAGTGCTGCAATGAAAATATGTGTGCATGTGTCTTTATGGTAGAACGATTTATATTCCTTTGGGTATTTACCCAGTAATGAAATTGCTGGGTGGAATGTACTTCTGTCTCTAGTCTTTGAGGAATTGCCACACTGTCTTCCACTGTGGTTTAATTTACACTCCTACCAACAGTGTAAAACTGTTTCTTTTTCTCCACAACCTCACCAGCATCTTTTTTTTTTTTTTACTTTTTAATAATAGCTATTCTGGCTGGTATGAGACAGTATCTCATTGTGGTTTTAATTTGCATTTCTCTAATGATCAGTGATGTTGAGTTTTTTCTCAGATGTTTGTTGGGCGCACATATGTCTTCTTCTGAGAAGTGTCTGTTCATGTTCTCTGCCCACTTTTTAATGGGGTTGTTTTTTTCTTACAAATTTGTTTAACTTCTTTATAGATGGTGGATTTTAGACCTTTGTCAGATGCATAGTTTGCAAAACTTTTCTTCCATTCTGTAGGTTGTCTGTTTACTCTGTTGCTAGTTTCTTGCGCTGCGCAGAAGCTCTTTAGTTATTTAGATCCCATTTGTCAATTTTTGCTTTTGTTGCAGTTGCTTTTGGCACCTTTCTCATGAAATCTTCGCCGGTGCCTAGCACCTAAATGGTATGGTGTTGCCTAGGTTTTCTTCTAGGGTTTTATAGTTTTGGGTTTTATATTTAAGTCTTTAAATCATCTTGAATTGATTTTTGTATATGGTGTAAGGAATGGATCCAGTTTCAATTTTATGCATATGGGTAGCTAGTTATCCCATGTGCTTCACTTTATGGCGCTTCACAGACATTGTGTGTGTGTGTGTGTGTTGTTTTTTGTTTTGTTTTGTTTTTTACAAATTGAAGGTTGTGACAAACCTGCATCAAACAAGTCTATTGGTGCCATTTTTCTAATAACATTTGCTTACTTTGTGTCTCTGTGTTGCACTTCAGTGATTCTCACAATATTTTAATACTCAATTCTTTTTCATTATTTTTATATCTATTACAGTCTTCTGTGATCAGTGATTTTTTTTAGATGGAGTCTCACTCTGTTGCCCAGGCTGGAGTGCAATGGTACAATCTCTGCTCACTGCAACATCTGCCTCCTAGGTTCAAGCGATTCTCCTGCCTCAGCCCCCCCAGTAGCTGAGACTACAGGTGCCCACCACTACACCTGGCTATTTTTGTATTTTTAGTAGAGACGGGGTTTCACCATGTTGATCAGGCTGGTCTTGAGCTCCTGACCTCAGGTGATCCACCCGCCTCAGCCTCCCAAAGTGCCGGGATTACAGGCTTGAGCCACCGTGCCCGGCCATGTGATCAGTGATTTTTGATGCTACTATTGTAATTGTTTTGGGGCATCATAGGGCAAATTTAATCAATAAATGTGTGCGTTCTTACTGCTCCACCAGCTTGTTGTTCCCTGTCTCTCTCTCTCTCTCTCTCCTCCTTATTCCCTAAGACACAATATTGAAATTAAGCTGATTAAAAACCCTACGATGGCCTCTGAGTGTTGAAATGAAAGGAAGAGTCGCACATCTCTCACTTTAAATCGAAAGCTAGAAATAAGTAAATTTAGAGAGGAAGGCATATTGAAAGGCAAGATAGGCCAAAAGCTCTTGCACCAAACAGTTAGCCAAGTCATAAACGCAAAGGAAAAGTTCTTGAAGGAAATTAAAAGTGCTCCTCCAGAGAACACATGAATAGTAAGAAAGCAAAACAGCCTGTTTGCTGATATGGACAAAGTTTGAATGGTCTGGTTAGAAGATCAAAACCAGTCACAACATTCCCTTAAGCCAAAGTCTAATCCAGAGCAACTGGATTAACTCTCTTCAGTTCTATGAAGGCTAAGAGAGGTGAGGAAGCTGCAAAAGAAAATTTGGATGCCGGCAGAGGTTGGTTCATAAGGTTTAAGGAAAGAAGCCATCTCTATAACATACAAGCGCAAGGCAAAGCAGTAAGTGCTGATGGAGAAGCTGCAGCAAGTTATCCAGAAGATCTAGCTAAGATTGTTGGTGAAGGTGGCTACACTAAACAACAGAATTTCTTTTTTTTTTCGAAATGGAGTCTCGCTCTATTGCCCAGGCTGGATCTGGCATCTATCCAGGCTGGATCTGGCATCTATCGCCCAGGCAGTGGCATGATCTCTGCTCACTACAACCTCCCCATGCCGGGCTCAAGAGATTCTCCTGCCTTAGCCTCCCAAGTAGCTGGGACTATAAGTGCCTGCCACCATGCTCGGCTAATTTTTGTATTTTTAGTACAGACAGGGGTTTCACCATGTTGGCTAGGCTGGTCTCAAACTCCTGACCTCAGGTGATTCACCTGCCTCGGCCTCCCAGGCCTCCTGTTGGAAGAAGATGCCATCTTTTCTTTTGTTTTTTTTTCTTTTTGTTTTTTTTTTTTTAACAGTCTTGCTCTGTCACCTGGGCTGTAGTGCAGTGGTGCGATTTTGGCTCTCAGCAACTTCCACCTCCAAGGCTCAAGTCATTCTCTCACCTAGTAGCTCTCTAGTAGCTGGGTCTACTGGCACAAGCGATCCTGTCACCTAGGAGCCTCCCTAGCAGCAGGGACTCCTGGCACAAGCCACCACCTGGCTAATTTTTTTTTTAGAGATGAAGTCTCACTATGTTGCTCAGGCTGGTCTCTGACTTCTGGGCTCAAGCAGTCCTGCTGCCTCAGACTCCCCAAGTGCTGGGATTACAGGCATGAGCCACCAAGCCTGGCCTAGAACTTTAACAACTGAGAGAAGTCAATGCCTGGCTTCAAAGCTTCAAAGGAAAGACAGACTCTCTTGTTAGGGGCTAATGCAGCTGGTGACTTTAAATTGAAGCCAATACTCATTTACAATTCCAAAAATCCTAGAGCCCTTTAGAATGATGCTAAATCTACCCTGCCTGTGCTCTAGAAATGGAACAACAAAGGCTGGATGACAGCACATCTGTTTACAGCATGGTTTATGGAATATTTTCAGCCCACTGTTGAGACCTACTGCTCATAAAAAAAAGATTTCTTTTCAAAATATTACTGCTCATTGACAATGCACCTGGTAACCCAAGAGCTCTGATGGAGATGTACAAGGAGATTAATGCTGTATCCATGCCTGCTAACACAATATCCATTCTGCATCCATGGATCAAAGAGTAATTTCAACTTTTAAGTCTTATTATTTAAAAAAATAAATCTTGTGAATGCAATAGCTGCCACAGCTAATGATTCCTCTGATGGATCTGTGCAAAGTAAATTGAAAACCTTCTGGAAAGGTTTCACCATTTTAGATGCCATTAATAACATTCATGATTCATGGAAGGATTTCAAAATATCTACATTAACAGGTATTTGGAAGAAGTTGATTCCAACCCTCATGGATGACTTTGAGGAGTTCAAGACTTCAGTGGAGAACGTAATCTACGGTTACTGGTAGAAATAGCAAGAGAACTAGAATTAGAAGAGGAGCCTGAAGATGTGACTGAATTGCTGCAATCGCATGACCAAACTTGAACAGATGAGGAGTTGCTTCTTACGGATGAGCAAAGAAAGTGGCTTCTTGAGACGGAAACTACTCCCGATGAAGATGTTATGAACATTGTTGAAATGACAACAAAGGCCTTAGAATATTACATAAACGTAGTTGGTGAAGCAGCAGCAGGGTTTGAGAGGATTTGTCTCCAGTTTTGAAGGCATTTAACATTTTACTCTGGGTAAAATGTTATCAAACAGCATTGGGTGCTGTAGAGAAATCTTCCATGGAAGGAAGGGTCCATCGATGCAGCAAACTTCACGGTTGTTTTATTTTAAGAAATTATCAGCCAGGAGCGGTGGTTCATGCCTGTAATCTGAGCACTTTGAGAGGCTGAAGTGGGTGGATTGCTTAATTCCAGGAGCTCAAGACCAGCCTGGGCAACATGATGAAACCCTATCTCTATTAAAAATACAAAAAATTAGCCAGGCATGGTGGCACATGCCTGTAGTCTCAGCTACTCGGGAGGCTGAGGTGGGAGGATCACCTGAGCCCAGAAGGTTGAAGCTGCAGTGACCCAAGATCGCCACAGCTTCCTCAACCTGCAGCAACCACCACCTTGACTAATCACAGCCATCAATATCAAGGTAAGACTCTCACCAGCACAAATATTATGACTTACTGAAGACTTGGGTGATCATTGACATTTTTAGCAACAAAGTCATTTTAATTAAAGTATGTACATTTTTTAGGCCTAATGGTATTGCACACCTAATAGACTATAAACATGTATAGTGTAAACATAACTTTATACACTCCAGGAAACCAAAAAAAATTATGTGACTTGCTTTATTGTGATATTTATTTTATTGCAGTGGTCTGGAACTGAACTCACAATATCTTCGAGGTATTCCTGTATTGGATTGTAAACCAAAATATAAACTAAATATCCAGAGTTCACATTGACATAAATGATGGAAGGAAGGAAGGAAGGAAGGAGGGAGGAAGGAAGGAAGGAAAGAAGGAAGGAAAGAGGGAGGGAGGAAGGAAGGAAGGAAGGAAGGAAGGAAGGAAGGAAGGAAAGAAGGATCTTCCATGGAGAAGAATTTCAAATAAAGTACATAGATGCTGCCCACTTGAGGAGGGTTATGTAACTCCCCACTCCTTAAGCGTGGGCTGTGCACAGTAACTTCATTCCAAAGAGCACAGTTAGGTCAAGGGGAAATGGGAAAAGTAGCTTTACAGTGGAGAAACCTGACAAACGTTACCCCAACCAGCAGATCAAGGTCAACATTAACGGTGACAAACTATATTAATAGATTGACACGATGTTAAGAAAATGGCACTTTACCTCTGCAGACTTCCTCCCAAAGACCCATAACCCCAGTTAAACAATGAGAAAAACAAATTCCAATACAGGGGCATTCTTCAAAACTTGATCAGTACTCCTCAAAACTGGTCGTCATAAAAAAAAATGAAGGTCTGAGAGATTGCCATAACCAAGAAGAGCTTAAGGATACATGGCAACTACAAACATAATGTGATATTTTGGATGAGAGCCTGAAACAGAAAAAGAACATTAGGCAAAAAGTAAGGAAATCTGAACAGAGTATGAACTTTAGTTAATGGTAATGGATCCATCTTGGTTTGTTAACTGTAACAAATGTACCTTACTAATATAAGGCATTAGTAGTAGGGAAAAACTGGGTGCAGGGTATACGGAAACTCTGTACTGTCATCTCAACTATTCTGTGAATCTAAAACCATTCTAAAAAATAAAGGCTATTATGAAAAAAGGCTGTAACCTATTGAACTCTATAATTGTATAATGAAATTATTCTTAAACTACATAACTTCACTTGTGAATGATGGTGTGTTGAAATTTTATCACAGGAATGCTTGTTCTTCAGGCCATTCTGCTCCATCAGGAGACATGGCCCCTGTTCTCCTGTGTAGAACCACCACACTCTATCAGTAGTGAGGGGTTCCTCTATCTTACCTGGAAGCATTCTTGAAAATTAACAGATAAAACTGAGGTGCTCCTGTAAAAGTAGGAATGGGGGCCTAGAGACCAGAAAATTGGCCCTCTTCTCCCGAGCCCTGCACGAGAGGCAGGGACTCCCCAAGGCTTTGAGGAGTGAGTCTGATCATTCATTCAACAAATATTTGCATTGCTAGGGGGAACAGTGGTGAACAAGAGAGACATCCCTGCTTTCTGTAAGAGGTGGTCTGCAAAATCCTAGACCGAGCCAATGGTTCTCAATCGTGGCGGAACTTTAGGATCTCTTCAGGCGAGCTTTAAAAACATACCAATGCCTGGGCCTCTTCCCAGGCCAATTACTTGAAAATCTCCGAGGGTGGAACCCAGAAATCTGTATGTGTTAAAAGCTCCCCCAGGAGATTCCAGAATGTAGCCAGGACTGAGACACATTAACAAAATGATCTAAGAACAGCTGACTCTAAAACGGGTGTTCTGTGATCTTTGTCATCATGCAACCAGAGGAGAAAAGGGCTGAGGACCAGACCCTGGGGCGTGTCCCCTCCCCCCCCAGGGAGTCTGGAGAGAAAGGAGCTATGGTAGCAGAGGTTCCTGAGCTGAAGGCAAGGCTGGTGCTGGCAGAAGTGGGGGCGAGGGGAGTGTGCTGAGGAGCAGTGCGTAGCAACCCACACACTTGCTCGTTTTAGAACAAATCAGCGCTTCTCAGACATATGTACTGAAGAAGCCTCCTCCTGGAATTTTCCAGAGGACTACGGAGCTGAAGACAACTTCCAGCATAAAAAGCATCCAGCCTAGATTCTGCCTATCTTGATACAAAGAATCTCAAGACTGGAAGGTCTGTAAGGGGTCACCAATGTCTCTCTCTTTCTATTTCTCTCTCTCTCTCTCTCTCTCACACACACACACACACACACACACACACACAGAGACAAGGTCACACAAATGCACACGTTGTGAGCTGTGTATTTAGAGCAAGTTTTCATGGTGCATCTGAACATACCATGTGGCTATTTGATCTGTCTTTTGGCATTTTTACAGCCACAAACAAGAACAGAGCTAAGGAGAAACCTGGAAAACATGGGTGAGGGATAAAGAAAGGGAAGATCAGATGACCAGTGGCCTAGAGCTGAACAACTACCCCTCTTCTTACACCCTTGTGAGGAAGGTATGACTCTCTCCACCTTACAGAGGAGAAAACTGTACCTTAAACAGTCAAATGTCTTCTTCGGGGTCATTTAGTTAACATAGGACAGAGCAGGATCTACTCATCGTCACAATTTCATCCCTGTTTCCAGATGAGGAAACTGAGGCAGGAAGATGGTGGAAGCAAAGCTGGGCTTTGATGTTGAGAGTAGGTCAATACTTTCTCCTGGGTATCACGGATGCTATCGATCTGGGAGGCACCATCTGCTTCCCGCACCCCCGCCATGCACACGCCACAAGGAAAGGCGCAGGAGAACTCTCTGCACTATCTTTACAGCTTTTCTAGAAATAGAAAATTATTCCAAAATTAAAAGTTTATTTTAAAATAGCACATATTCAAGATGATTGCACTCAAAACTCTTTCATATACTATGGATAAACAAGGTAAAAAATTTTCAAATATTGGTTTATTGATCTTTATGCATTTTTCAATATCAATTTCGGTGTATGCTTTATAATATACGTATCAATATAAAAGCATAAATACAGGTTGTATTCATCTCTTAAGTCTGAAAAACAAAGCACCACAAACTGCATGGCTTGAAACAACAGAAATTTACTGTCTCACAGTTTGAAGTCCAAAGTCAAGGTGTCAGCAGGGCCATGCTCTCTTTGAAGCCTCTAGCGGAGGATCTGTTTCATGCTTTTCTCTCGGCTCCTGGTGTTGCCAGCAATTCTTGGTGTTCCTTGGCTTGTAGACACATCACTCCAGTCTGCTTTGTTGTCACACAGCCTTCTCCCTGGGTATCCCTCTCTGTTTGCCTTCTCCTCCTCTTCCTTTTTTTTTTTTTTTTTTTTTTTTTTGAGATGGAGTCTCACTCTGTTGCCCAGGCTGGAGTGCAGTGGCTTGATCTCGGCTTGCTGCACGCTCTGCCTCCCAGGTTCGAGCAATTCTCCTGCCTCGGCCTCCTGAGTAGCTGGAATTACAGGCATGCGTCACCATGCCTGGCTAATTTTTTTGTATTTTTAGTAGAGATGTGGTTTTGTCATGTTGGCCAGGCTGGTCTCAAACTCCTGACCTCAGATGATCCACCCACTTCAGGCTCCCAAAGTGCTGGGATTACAGGGATGAGCCACTGCACCCAGTCATTCTCCTCTACTTATAGGGACACTGATCATACTGGATTAAGGCTCACACTACTCCAAAATGACCTCATCTTAACTTACATCTTAGCTGTATCTACAACTACCCTATTTCCAAGTAAATCACATTCTAAGGTTCCAGAAAGGACACACATCTGGGGGGGGAACACTCACTAACCCGGTATAGTCGGCCCCAGGGCACCACAAAATTCATGTTCATCTCATGCAAAAATACATTTGCCTGATCCCAAAATTTTAAGCCATTCCACTATCAACTCCAAGTTCAAAATCTCATCTAAATATCCACTTTCAGGCCAGGCGAGGTGGCTCATGCCTGTAATCCCAGCACTTTTGGAAGCCAAGGCAAGAGGATCACTTGAGGTCAGGAGTTCGAGACCAACCTGGCCAACATGGTGAAACCCCGTCTCTACTATAAATACAAAAATTATCCGGTCGTGGTGGCAGGCGTCTGTAACCCCAGGTACTCAGGAGGCTGAGGCATGAGAATCGCTTGAACTCAGGAGGCGGAGGTTGCAGTGAGCCGAGATCGTGCCACTGCACTCCAGCCTGGGCAATAGAGAGTGAGATTCAGCCTCAAAAAAAAAAAAAAAATCGACTTTAAAAGTCCCAAATTTCATCATCTAAATCAGTTATGAGTGAGAGTTGGGGTATGGTACATCCTGGGAAAAATTCTATCTGTGGACCTGTGAAATCAAAAACAAATTATCTGCTTCCAAAATACAATGATGGACAGGCATAGAATAGACACTTCCATTCCAGAAGAAAGAAAGAAGAAGGAAACAAAGGTGTCATGTGTCCCAAGCAAATCTGAAACCCAGTACACAAGTCTGTACTAATGTGTGATAAAAGGGACTACTATTTACATATATATATATTTATTTATTTATAAATATATATTAAATTTATTTATTTATATTATATATAAATGTATATTTAAAATATATATTTTTTATATATAAATATATAAATATATATATATATATATATTTTTTTTTTTTTTGAGACCAAGTCTGGCTCTGTCACCCAGGCTGGAGTGCAGTGGCATGATCTCAACTCACTGCAACCTCTGCCTCCCAGGTTCAAGCGATTCTCTTGCCTCAGTCTCCCGAGTAGCTGGGATTACAGGCACGCGCCACCACACCCAGCTAATTTTTTGTGTTTTTAGTAGAGACAGGGTTTCGCTATGTTGGTCAGGCTGGTCTCAAACTCCTGACCTCAAGATTCACCTGCCTCGGCCTCCCAAAGTGCTGGGATTACAGGTGTGAGCCGCTGCGACCGGCCTATATATATTAAATATATATAAGATGCTACCTACTTTGTCCAAGCAGGTTGTGTCCTGTGCCACATATTTCCTAGCCATTGTTACAAATAGCCCTGTTGCAAGAGGTGGCTGCAATTTCAAGCGATATCCAGCCACCAGCCACTGATCCCCACTAAACAGATCTATTGGGATTGGGAAGATTTCTAAGAATGAAATGAAAAGTTACCTTTTTCGGATGAAAGTCCTGGGTCTGTCAGGCTTTCAGGACAGTGATTTGCATTCTTTCTTTTCTTCTTTGGATGAATATAATGGCAGCTCTAAAGAAGGCAAATTCTGGCCGGGCGCGGCGGCTCACGCTTGTAATCCCAGCACTTTGGGAAGCCGAGGCAGGCGGATCACAAGGTCAAGAGATCGAGACCATTCTTGCCAACATGATGAAACCCCCGTCTCCACTAAAAATACAAAACTTAGCTGGGCTTGGTAGGACACACCTGTGATCCCAGCTACTGGGGAGGCCGAAAGAGAAGAATCGCTCGAACCCGGGAGGCAGAGGTTGCAGTGAGCCGAGATTGCACCACTGCACTCCGGCCTGGCAACAGAGCGAGACTCCATTTCAAAAAAAAAGAAGGCAAACTCTGGAATGTATTATCAAAATAGATTGTGATCACAGAACTAATTCTTTTAGCTAAGGTAGTATCCTCAGCAATCAGAATCTGTAGAGTTGTTTTGCTTTAAGTATTGAGTTAAAATTCTAAAACTGTACATCAATCTGGGAGGGACATTACTCCTACAAATAAATTAAATGTGATTTAAAATGAAACATCCCTATTTACGACTTGGGGCAAACTAGGATTGGATTAAACTGGTTGATAATACAATGTTGAAAATTATCCAAGATAACTCATAAAGTTCCATCTACATGTTTGTATCTCCAAACACTTGCTCAATACATATACTTTTTAAAGTTAGGATTTGGTAATAATGTTTAAGTTCAACCATTTAATAGAATGTTTACTTTTAAAAAATAAAATCGGCTGGGCATGGTGGCTCACGCCTGTAATCCCAGCACTTTGGGAGGCTGAGGCAGGCGGATCATGAGGTCGAGAGATCAAGGCCATCCTGGCCAACATGGTGAAGCCCTGTCTCTACTAAAAATACAAAAATGAGCTGGGCATGGTGGCTCGCACCTGTAGTCCCAGCTACTGGGGAGGCTGAGGCAGGAGAATCGCTTGAACCCGGGAGGCAGAGGTTGTAGTGAGCCAAGATCATGCCATTTGCATTCCAGTCTGGTGACAGAGTGAGACTCCATCTCAAAAAATAAATAAATAAAATAAAATAAAATAAATTCACAGCTAAATGCAAAAATTCCAGCAACCTAGCATCAATCAGTGCCCCTTCTGTTGGACCATGCATCCTTCACCCACAACTGTTTTTATTAACTGGGATACTATCCATCTCTGTGTAACTTTATGAAATGTGTTTTGGCTTGGAGCACAGAAAATCCATTTAGACATTAATAGTGTAGTTGCCAGTTATGTTATTCATTCACAAGAGTAACAACAGTGTGCTGTGATTTTTTTTCCAGCATTTTCCCCCTAATTTTATTGGCTAATAAAATCCAAACACTGGAATCTTTTGCCCAGAAAGTGGCGCCAAAGGAAAGCAGCTACCCACCCAGACCCCCAGGGGCTCTCTAAGTAGGGCCTCGGAGTCCTGGGTGAGGCCCCAGGGGAGAGAGGAAGTCCTGCTCTCCAACTTCCCTACAGGGTCAGCCAGAGGTTTTTCCTATGGCTTCCTGGTTGAAGGAAGAAAGTTCAGGTCTCCCTCCAGTTCTTGAAATCGAAAATGGTGGTATCACTGCAGTACACTCCTTCATTTCATTCTTTCGCTCAAATGTGTTTTTTTTTTTCTAAAACCTCAACAAGCAATTTTGAGCAAATATTATGTAGCAGACCCTACGGAAGATGCTGGGTATAAAGAAAGGAGCTCATAGCTCAATAGGAGAGGACAAGTAAACCAGTAATTACAGCACAACCTTATGAGTAGCATAGTGAGATATGAACAAAGTACATGGCAGCCCGATTCAGATTAGCACAAACCTAACTAAACCAAGATTTAAAAGGAGAAACACCTGACCAGTATGACTATTTTTTTAATTGTCAAAAAGTTACTACTTATACCATATAAAAGTAGGTAAATATATATATGAGAGCATCACCTCAGTCCCATGAGACAAAATGGTGAAAGACGTCAGTAGGAAATTAACACAAGAAAAAATGAAAATAATAAACTAAGCTGGGTGCGATGGCTCACGTCTGTAATTCCAACATTTTGGGAGGCCAAGGCAGGAGGATTGCTTGAGCCTAGGAGTTTGAGACCGACCAGGCTGGGCAAAATGACAAGATCCTGTCTCTACAAAAATAAAAAATAATAATAAAAAAATTAGTTTGATATATTTCTATATATACATCAAATTTATCTTTTATTTGTGGTGGCATTCACTTGTGATCGCAGCTACTCGGGAGGCTGAGTCAGGAGGATTGCTTGAGCCTGGGAGGTTGAGACTGCAAGTGAGTCAATGATGGCACAAGTGCACTGCAATCTGGGCAAGCGAGACTCTGTCTCTATTAAAAAATAATCACAATCAGGCCGGGCACGGTGGCTCATGCCTATAATCCCAGCACTTTGGGAGGCCGAGGCAGGCGGATCACCTGAGGTCAGGAGTTCAAGACCAGCCTGGACAACATGGTGAAACCTGTCTCTACTAAAAATACAAAAATTAGCCAGGCATGGTGGTGGGCACCTGTAATCCCAGCTACTCGGAAGGCTGAGGCAGGAGAATTACTTGAACCCAGGAGACAGAGGTTGCAGTGAGGCAAGATCACGCCACTGAACTACAGCCTGGGCGACAGAGCAAGACTCTGTCTCAAAAAAAAAAAACCTAGTAATAATAATAATAACCCACAAGCAGTTTTTAAAGATCTTCTACCCTATTAACCTTCCAAGGTTAAAACAAAAATTAAAACAATGAAAACAAAAATCTATAAAATCCAGTTCTCAGAAGTCTGCAGGAAAACTGAAACTCCACTTAATCTGGTAGCAATATAAATTTGTACAACCTGTAGGAAGACAATTGGTCAATATGACACGAGTCACAATAATAATCTCTTTAAACTCAACATTCCCAAATTCACAGAATTTATCCTAAAGAAATAACTGTAGTGAAGAAAACAAATTGTATGTATAAAGATATTGGTCACAGTGTTATTTATATTTGCGATAAACTGGATCTAACATACATACCTAATACAAGGAAAACATTTCAGTAGATTATGAAAAATAATTATGAGGGCTCTCTGTAGCAACACAATAAATGGTCTACTTCTTAATATAACATTTCATCAAAGGAACACAGAAATGTATATGCATATAACTCAAGCCCTCAGATCTAGCAGGGTCTCCAGCATTAGAAGCCCTTAGCGAAGTACAAAAATCACAAGCATTCTTATACACCAATAACAGACAAACAGAGAGCCAAATCATGAGTGAACTCCCATTCACAATTGCTTCAAAGAGAATAAAATACCTAGGAATCCAACTTACAAGGGACGTGAAGGACCTCTGCAAGGAGAACTACAAACCACTGCTCAATGAAATAAAAGAGGATACAAACAAATGGAAGAACATTCCATGCTCATGGGTAGGAAGAATCAATATTGTGAAAATGGCCATACTGCCCAAGGTAATTTATAGATTCAATGCCATCCCCATCAAGCTACCAATGAGTTTCTTCACAGAATTGGAAAAAACTACTTTAAAGTTCATATGGCACCAAAAAAGAGCCCACATCACCAAGTCAATCCTAAGCCAAAAGAACAAAGCTGGAGGCATCACGCTACCTGACTTCAAACTATACTACAAGGCTACAGTAACCAAAACAGCATGGTATTGGTACCAAAACAGAGATATAGATCTATGGAACAGAACAGAGCCCTCAGAAATAACACCGCATATCTACAACTATCTGATCTTTGACAAACCTGAGAAAAACAAGCAATGGGGAAAGCATTCCCTATTTAATAAATGGTGCTGGGAAAACTGGCTAGCCATATGTAGAAAGCTGAAACTGGATCCCTTCCTTACACCTTATACAAAAATTAATTCAAGATGGATTAAAGACTTACATGTTAGACCTAAAACCATAAAAACCATAGAAGAAAACCTAGGCATTACCATTCAGGACATAGGCATGGGCAAGGACTTCATGTCTAAAACACCAAAAGCAATGGCAACAAAAGCCAAAATAGACAAATGGGATCTAATTGAACTAAAGAGCTTCTGCACAGCAAAAGAAACTACCATCAGAGTGAACAGGCAACCTACAAAATGGGAGAAAATTTTCACAACCTACTCATCTGACAAAGGGCTAATATCCAGAATCTACAATGAACTCAAACAAATTTACAAGAAAAAAACAAACAACCCCATCAAAAAGTGGGCGAAGGACATGAACAGACACTTCTCAAAAGAAGACATTTATGCAGCCAAAAAACACATGAAAAAATGCTCACCATCACTGGCTATCAGAGAAATGCAAACCAAAACCACAATGAGATACCATCTCACACCAGTTAGAATGGCAATCATTAAAAAGTCAGGAAACAACAGGTGCTGGAGAGGATGTGGAGAAATAGGAACACTTTTACACTGTTGGTGGGACTGTAAACTAGTTCAACCATTGTGGAAGTCAGTGTGGCAATTCCTCAGGGATCTAGAACTAGAAATACCATTTGACTCAGCCATCCCATTACTGGGTATATACCCAAAGGACTATAAATCATGCTGCTATAAAGACACATGCACACGTATATTTATTGCGGCACTATTCACAATAGCAAAGACTTGGAACCAACCCAAATGTCCAACAATGATAGAATGGATTAAGAAAATGTGGCACATATACACCATGGAATACTATGCAGCCATAAAAAATGATGAGTTCACCTCCTTTGTAGGGACATGGATGAAATTGGAAATCATCATTCTCAGTAAACTATAGCAAGAACAAAAAACCAAACACCACATATTCTCACTCATAGGTGGGCATTGAACAATGAGAACACATGGACACAGGAAGGGGAACATCACACTCTGGGGACTGTTGTGGGGTGGGGGGAGGGGGGAGGGATAGCTTTAGGAGAGATACCTAATGCTAAATGACGAGTTAATGGGTGCAGCACACCAGCATGGCACATGTATACATATGTAACTAACCTGCACATTGTGCACATGTACCCTAAAACTTAAAGTATAATAATAATAAAATAAAAAAAAGAAGCCCTTAGCAAATTATTTAAAAGAAAATAACAGAGGCTGGCAAGATTGTGAAGAAAAGGGAACACTTATATACTGTTGATAGGAGTGTAAATTAGTTCAACCATTGTGGAAAGCAGTGTGACAATTCTTCAAAGAGCTAAAAACAGAACTACTATTCGACCCAGCAATCTCATTATTGGGTATATACCCAAAGGAATATAAATTATTCGGCCATAAAGACACACGCACATGAATGTTCGCAGCACTATTCACAATAGCAAAGACATGGAATCAGCCTAAATGCCCATCAGTGACAGATTAGGCAAAGAAAATGTGGTACCTATACACCATGGAATACTATGCAGCCATAAAAAGCATGAGATCACGTCCTTACATGTATGGAGCTGGAGGCCATTATCCTTAGCAAACTAACGCAGGAACAGAAAACCAAATACCGTATGTTATCACTTATAAGTGGGAGCTAAATAGAGAGAACACATGGACACATAGAGGGGAACAACAGACACTAGAGCCTCCTCAAGGGTGAAGGTTGGGAGGAGGGAGAGAACTATCGGGTGCTAAACTTAGTTCCTGGGTGGTGAAATAATCTGTACAACAAACCCCCGTGACATAAATTTACCTACATAACACGCCTGCACATGTACCCTTGAACCTAAAATAAAAGTGAAAAGAAAAGAAGGAAAGAAAATCTGCTTTAAAAAAGAAACCCACAGTGAGAACAGGTTTCAAAGGGGCTTTGGAACCTCGAGGCTGGAGAATTCCACAGTCGGTATTAATCAGGCCTTCCCCTTCATGCTTCCTTCTTCCTAGACACCCCCACTTGTCATCCTGTGCTCTCTTTATTCCATTTTAAGATTCTCCTTTACCTCTCAGTGTCTCCCTACCCCCCAGAGAGTAGAAACTGTGAGAACTATGAAACTATGAGAAAATAAGAAAACTCATTTTCGTAACCACCCACCCCTTAACCAGCCTCTAACAAGTTCAATAAAGTCAGGATTTATTTAGTTTATTTAATGTAAAAGCATGTATGAGAGAGAATGCAGAGAAATGATCATGCTTTTGTTAGGCTGGTGGAACTGAGAGAGCATTTTTAAATTTTCCTTTTATGTTTTGTTTTACAGCCTTTTTTTAAGGTAGAGTCAATTCTCAGACAGGATTTCACAGTGGTATCTGAAATCAGTCTCTGGGCATTTACATTGCATATAAGTAAGCAAGTTTATCTGGCATTAAGACAAGAAAAAACATTTTTAGAAAAAAGTAAGAAAAAAGACCTTATTCTGTAGATATTCTAACTTCTTGTAAAGTTGCAATAATCATGTGAGTGAGAAAGAAGCCAAACATTCAGACACCTTCACATTCAGTGTGACTGTTGTTTTATGATCGCTGGAGTAGGTCTGACTGTCAGACACAGAGCAAGCACGCGAAGTGTGCGATAGTGCTGGACACCCACACATTTTTCATTGTGAGCCACGGTGAGTCTGAAGGGTCACACTTGGCAGAGTAGCAGAGGACCTACCTTGGCTAGGACTCAAGTTCACACTGAGGCTTCATTTATTTCTTTTCTCCTGTTGTCAGTAATTCTCCAAAATGTTCCAGTTTTATGATATGGCTTTTAAGGGAATTAAATTTGAATAGCACAAAATTGTATAATTATCTTACAATTCCATTGCAATTATTAGCAGATCCAAGTCTGCTACATCATTATTAGGTAATAATGATGATGATGATAATAATGACAGCTAACATCCATAGTCTGTTTACCATGCACCAAATACCATGCTAAGCAATTGGGAAGATGATTAGGTCTACCAGCCTGCTATCATGTGTGTTAGTTACTTAGCATAAAAAAAATAGAAAAAAATCTAAGAATTTCAGGTCAACCACAGTTTGGGGGCAGATGAGTCACATTTAGCTCCCAGAATACATATTGGATGCATGGCCCCTAAAGCAGTGCTCACGCCCCCTCATGGCAACAATAGGCAGGAGCTGAATTTTGAGGTTCCCTTTAGACAGGGCATGTGCTTCCTAATTCACCACATCCCCACAGCTCCCTGTCGGGCTTATATCCAGCCCTCTTCATTCACTTACATAGTTTGCCTATCTTCTATATGTTTGAGTTTTCCACCCCCAAACCTAGACAATATACCTGCAATTCAGGCATCTGCCACTAAATGGTACAATGCCAATAGGCAGGCATAAGGCTAGCAGGGACATTGGCAATCATATGGCCTAACAGTTTTCCCAGCCTTTTTATGGGAGTCGAGTATTTCTTCCAATAAAATGTTACTCAAAGGTCCATTGTATTAGTCCACTTTCACACTGCTGTAAAGAAATACCTGAGACAGGGTAATTTATAAAGGAAAGAGGTTTAATTGACTCACAGTTCCACATAGCTGGGGAGACCTCAGGAAACTTACAATCATGGCAGAAAGTGACGGGCAAGCAAAGACCTTTTTCACATGGCGGCAGGAGAGAGAATGAAGGAGGAACTTGCACATTTATTAAACCATCAGATCTCGTGAGAACTCACTCACTATCACGAGAACAGCATGGGAGAAACCACCCCCATGATCCAATCACCTTCCTCCTTCAACACATGGGGATTACAGGTTCCTCCCTCAACACATGGAGATTACAATTTGAGATGAGATTTGGGTGGGGACACAGAGCCACACCATATCACCCATCTCTAAACACAAAAAAGAAGCTCTTTTGGCTGAGGATGGGGTAACTCCCAAGAAGTACCCAACCCGCTTGGCCCTCCATCCTTCTCCCCAGCACCGCTTGACATTTTAGGGATGCTGGCAACAGAATTTAATCCCCTCGTCCAAAGAAGAGGGCACAAACAAGTGAAGCTATCTATCCTCAGTCACACAGCTAGTTAACGGTAAAGAAACGTAGTCTCTGATAAATAACTCAGTATTTGGCAATTCCATCCACTAAAAATTTGTTGCATTTGTAGAAAGTAAAAAATAATAACAATGACTAATAATAGTTACTATCCATCTACTTTTTTCAAAGACCTGTTGTTATTCCTTGTCATATACCAGCAGATATCTTTATTAGAAAAGTTTAAACTTAATAGTCAATTATAGAATTATAAAAGTACTCAGTTTTATACTGATCTGAAAGGAACATTGAAAGTTTTTTTTTTTTGTCTCACCTCTTCATTTTACAGACCAAGAAAATGAGGAAGTGCTTGAAACCAATTCCCCCTCTTAAGTGTTCCAAGTTATCGTCCTGTTCAGTATATCAAGTACACACTATTACATCTGGACTTGGTGGTCAGAAGCCAGAAATTTCTATTTTAACCAGTTACTCCATGAAAATCATGAACCGTTAAGATATAAATTAAAGTTGTGATTTCTT
Organism: Homo sapiens; assembly: GCF_000001405.40. NCBI lineage: Eukaryota > Metazoa > Chordata > Mammalia > Primates > Hominidae > Homo > Homo sapiens. The sequence goes on along the minus strand of NC_000003.12, from coordinate 186,001,879 downwards.
TTTATGATTCTCTTCCATTTTTGAAGCACACACTCTCAGCTGGGGATTCAAACATCTTTTTACTCCAGAAAGTGCATTTATAAACTTATGGGAAGATATTCCAGACTGAACTTTTTCAAGAGAATTCAAGTCAAACTTCTGTGGTCAAAGAGTTTTATGTTAAAATTTCCAATTCATTGCATTGTATACCAATACTTTGATAAAATGCACTAGAATCAAATTATTAGACACAGGTACAGAAAGACAAACATGGCATGTTCTCACAAATGTGTGGGATCTAAAAATCAAAACGATTGAACTCATGGAGATAGAGAATAGAACAAAGGTTGCCAGAGGCTGGGAATGGTAGTGGGGGTTGGGGTGGATGGTTAATGGGCACCAAATAATAGAAAGAATGAATAAGACCTAGTATTTCATAGCACATCAGGGTGACTATAATCAATACTCATTTAATTGTACATTTTTAAATAACTAGAAGAGCATAATTGGATTGTTTGTAATACAAGGATAAATATTTGAGCGGATTAATACCCCATTTTCCATGATGTGATTATTATGTATTGTACACTTATATCAAAATATCTCACATACCCCATAAATATATATACCTGCTATGTACCCACAAAATTAAATATTAGAAAATTTTTTAAATTATTAGACAAATAAAATTTTATTTTTATTTTTATTTTTTAATTAATTAATTTTGTTTTGAGATGGAGTCTCACTCTGTCAGCCAGGCTGGAGTGCAGTGGCACAATCTCAACTCACTGCAACCTCCACCTCCCAGGTTCAAGTTATTCTCCTGCCTCAGCCTCCCGAGTAGCTGGAATTACAGGCACCCGCCACCACACCTGGCTAATTTTTGTATTTTTAGTAGAGATGAGGTTTCACCATGTTGGCCAGGCTGGTCTCGAACTCCTGACCTCAGGTTATCTGCCTGCCTTGGCCTCCCAAAGTGCTGAGATTACAGGCATGAGCCACCACACCCAGCCAACAAATGAAATTTTAAAAGATAGAAAATACAAATTCATTTTATTATTAGATATTAATCACAAAATTACTTTATCAAGTTGCTATAACCATTTCTAAATGCCTGCTTCCTATTCCTGTATTCACCCCATCTTGTACCAGTAACAAGCATTTCACAGACTAACCAGCTACCAAAGCACCACCCAGATGGTTGGTCTAGATACAGGGAAGTTTAGTACCGCCATTCATATAACCGGGTAATGTTTCCCATCATTTAACCCCAGACCTAGACGGCCATTTTGAAAATGTGGTTGTAGTCCCCAAAGGTGTGGGGTACGGTCACCGTATGGTTCATGGGAAAACAGAAATACACAACCTTCCGATTGCACTACTCAGAAAAGAGTAGGGAAGGGTTCAGATCATAGAGGGCTTGCAAAATGGATTAAGGAATTTGGGGACTTCATCTTAAAAGCTGTTGAAAGTTGTTTAAAAAAAAAAACTTGAGTCATATTTGGGTTTTTTAAAGATGGGTCTGCCTGCAATGTGGAGCATGATTTGGAGGAAAACAAGACCCAGCAGGAGGCACGTGCAATTGTTTAGGGAAAAGCTGATATGGCCTGAACTAAGGTAGTAGCAGTAAAGACGGAGATACAGCTTCAAGAGCAGCTTAGGAGGCTTGGTTATTGATTGGCTGTAGGTGATGAAGAGCAGGGAGGGGTCCACAGTGACATCCAGGTTTGGGGGTGAACTATTAGATGCCTAGTGGTGCTATTCCCTAGGATGGGAGGCCCAGGAGGAGGAGGCTGCTGGAAACAATGAGTTTAGCTCCTCATAGGCTGTGTTTGGACTTTCCTGACCCTGTGCTGCTGCTCATGGTGGTCTCTTTTTTTTTTTTTTTTTAGACGGAGTCTTGCTCTGTCGCCCAGGCTGGAGTGCAGTGGCGCGATCTCGGCTCACTACAACCTCCTTCTCCTGGGTTCAAGCGATTCTCCTGCCTCAGCCTCCTGAGTATCTGGGACTACAGGCACGTGCCACCACGCTCGGCTAATTTTTCTTTTTCTTTTTCTTTTTTTCTGGGGGGGTGGGGGGAGATGGAGATTTACTCTTGTTGCCCAGGCTGGAGTGCAATGGCGCGATCTTGGCTCACCGCATCCTCCGCCCCCCGCAGGTTCAAGCGATTCTCCTGCCTCAGCCTCCCGAGTAGCTGGGATTACAGGCATGTGTCACCACGCCCGGCTAATTTTGTATTTTTAGTAGAGACGGGGTTTCACCGTGTTGCCCAGGCTGATCTCGAACTCCTGACATCAGGTAATCCTCCCGCCTTGGCCTCCCAAAGTGCTGGGATTACAGGCGTGAACCACTCACCCGGCCACGCTCGGCTAATTTTTTGTATTTTTAGTAGAGACAGGGTTTCACCATGTTAGTCAGGATGGTCTTGAGCTCCTCCTGACCTCGTGATCCGCCAGCCTCAGCCTCCCGAAGTGGCGTGAGCCACCGTGCCCGGCCCGGTGATCTCCTACTGGACTGCCCTTGCTTTAATGTTCACTCATCAAATCTCAACCATAAAAAGGCTTGGCAATCATAAAAGGGTTTATTAAGAACTTTGAAGAAATGCGGGGAAAAAATTTATTAAGTAATGTTAGGTAAAGTAATAAAAATGCAAATTATAAGAAAGTTCTTCTCCTGTTAAATTGGCCAAAAATTTTTTTTTTATTAAAAGACCCAAAACTGCCAAGGTTGTGGGAAACCTGGCACTCTCACACATTGCTGGTGGCGATGTAAATTGGTACAAACTTTTTGGAAGAAATCTGGCAGAATGTATCAAGAATTATAAAAAAGTGTGTATCTTGTGACCCTGTAATTCCTCTTCTGGAAATCTATTCTACAGAAATCACTCAAAATGTGGGAGAAAACACTTCATACACAAAGATGTTTATCACAGCCGAAACTGGAAACAACCAAAATGATTAATAATAAGAGATTGTTGAAATAAATCATGATGTTTATTTGCTGACTTCTTATACACAATGAAATTTATGGCCATGAAAACTGTTCAGTAATGAAGAGGATTGCTTGTACTATAATGTTAAGTATATATGTATAATACATGTCTGCTATTATCCTAATTATACAAATAATCTCCATAAGAAAAAGACAAGAAGGAAATGATAATAATTATTGGGCTAGGGTGGTGGGTCCACAGATAACTTCTAAAATCTTCTTTAATTAGTTTCCTCAAATTTATTATAAATAGTTAAAATGCATACGTAATGGAAACCATGGAGTATTATGCAGAAAAATATTAAGTAAAAGAAGTAAGATAGAAAATGTTATCTGTGTTAGTTACAAATAAATATATATATTTGACCAAGAATGAAAAAGACCACAGGTAAAAGGAAACAGTTGATTTGTCTGCATGAAGGATTTTTGAAAATTCTTCATTGCAATTACAATATTGTTTGTGAAATAATATTTGTTTCAGGTCATCTACCCAATCTTGAAAACCTGTCTCAAAGACTTCCTCTTTTTTTAAGACTTTCCTCATCTTCTGACCAGACATTATTGCTTCTTTGAACCACCGTGGTATTTGGTTTTAGTTGTTGTATGATGATGATGCAATGGTTCTCAAACTTCAGTGTGCATTGAAACACATGGAGGTGTTTGCTGGGCCTCACCTCCAGAGTCTCGGATTCAGGAGATCCAGGGTAGGGTCCAATAATTTGCATTTCTAACAATTTCCCTAGTGATGCAGACATTGCTAGTCTGGGGAGCATACTATGCAGTAGGATACTCACCCCAGGACTAATGTCTATTATCTTCCTCCTTTAACACTTGTCCATGGTCAATTAGTCCAAGAGTAGAGATAATTAAGCTAAAATGTACCATTCCAAATATATCATGCCCCTGGGCACACAGTTGGTCCAAAGGTCCAAAGCTCCCAGACCAATCAGAGCCCTTTCCCAAGATCTTTAAGAGCCGTTAAGATGTATGCATGGGGCTGGGCACAGTGACTCATGCCTATAATCCCAGCACTTTGGGAGGCCAAGGTAGGTGGATCACTTGAGGCCAGGAGTTCGAGACCAGCCTGGCCAACATGGCGAAACCCCATCTCTACTAAAAATACAAAAATTACCCTGTAATCCTAGCTACTTGGAAGGCTGAGACACAAGAATCACTTGAACCCAGGAAGCAGAAGTTGCAGTGAACCAAGATCAGGCCACTGCCCTCCAGCCTGGGTGACAGTGCAAGACTCTGTCTCAAAAAAAAAAAATATATATATATATATATATGCATGGAGCTGGCCACTTAAGAGCCTTTCTGTAGTGGAATGAAGCCAGCAGGTAGAAAGAAACTCAGATAAAATACAGAGCCCAAAGGTGTTTGTTTGAGCCTGTACCAATTTGGATTCTTTGAGATGAAAGTAGCAGATATTGAACTCAAACCATGAATAAAATGAAAATAAAATTCTAAGAAAATTAAATGCCTCACACAACCTGAGATAAGCTGGGCTCCAGGGCTGTCTAATACAGCCACTGAAGGACGTCACCAAAGACCTGGGTTTTTTCCCATCACTCTGCCCTTATATTTGGACATTATGATTGGTTTAGTCTAATCAGTGGGGTAGAACATTAACGGACATGTGAGAGTTAGACAGGCAAAGACAGTGAGTATAACCAACACAGCCCCAAGCTGTGTTACAGAATCATTCACAAAGATCTCCATAGAATCCAGAGACTGTCCTGGAAAATCTGTCGTTCACCTCTTCACTTGATCCTATGACTCCTCTAGTATCTTTCCTTTTATTCTCTCTGTCTCTCCACTTGCTTTGGGTTGCTGTTCATTGTCATCAGAGTCCCAATATCATAGTATACCTTGGAGTATCTCATTTTTTGCCACCAGTTTCCATTCACCCTTTAGTTAACCACAACCCTATTCTCCTTCCCAATCTTCAGCCCATGGCTTCAGCTGGGGTCCTATCCTTGGTTCAAAGATGGAGCATGTAACCTAGACCTAAGCTCATCAGCACATCATCTTCTCTCCCCAACCACTGCAATGTTTGGTTGAGAAATGAGCATATGGCCTGGTTACAGCTAGTGATGCATTATTAAGCTTTTGCCAATAATCCCAGGAAAGAAACTGGGAAAGCTATTCTGCCAGACCAATCAGAGCCAGTCAAAAATTCTCTATTTCCCATTAGATACGAGCCAGAGAGGTAGCGCAGTAGCTGCTAGGAATCACCTTGCAACCACAAGGGTAAATCCTGTCTGAGAACGGCAGCAACCCAGAAAGAGAAGACCTAGGTCCTGAGCCCCTAGCCCCTGTTGTGCCTTTTGATGCCTCTTTCTTTGCTTAAGTCATATGGAGGCAGAATTTTCAGCATGTACAAAGACAGGAGTTACAACTGAGAAGTCCTTTTCCCCATCTCTCTTGTGGCAATTAGATAGCATGCTTTTTGAAAGCAGAGACTAGATCTTGTCTGCAGTTGCATTTCTCCACAGTCGTATTGGTGCTCAGCACATAGTAGGTACTGAAGCAGAATTTCTTGGATGAGCTTGAGGCAGGCTCATCAGGCCCCAGAGCTGGGGTAGCTAGGAGAACCTTTGTCCCTTCCCTGGGCAGTTACCGATGCAAGGCCAGGACCCTTCCTCTGTGTCATCATCAGAGATGCATATAGTTTTTCGTAATGAAGGAAGTTCAGTGTGGGTTATCAATGAGTGTTACACTTGAAGATTCCAGTTGGACCTATAGAGACCAGGTTCACCCATCTAAATTCCCACACTCACCGAAAATAGGCCTTGAAATGCAGCAGTTCTCACAAGAGCTATTTATTTTGCAGCTGAGCAGAAGGCCTTTCTTATATGTTTTGCATAGGAGCTCAATATTAAACCCAAAGTCAAGGACCCCACGACTGCCATGCACCTTGTTTGCCAGACTCTGTCAGGATTCCCACATTCCAATAGATCTTCATTTCTGGCAGAGCCTGGGGCTTAGAGCAGAGAGAGAATTCCTGGAACAACTTGAGTTCCCTCCAAGACCAATGGACAATATCACATCCCTCCCCTTTGGGCTCTGGCCTAAGACTCCTGTAGCCCAATTTTAGGAGGCTAGGGGCCCTCTTGATTCCCAACATGTCTCTGACCCATCAGAAATGCTTGACATAGGGAAATTTACTTTCTAAGAACAAACTAGCCTGGAAGGGAGTGCTGGGGCTGTTCTTTCAGGGGAGAGATGTTTAACTGATTGTTTTTTGAGAGAGAGGTTCATGCTTTGTCCTTGGACAGCATTGCAGCATTGCAGAGCCCTGAGTTGCTTTAATTTTGACTCCGCTACCAAGAGGTGAGTCAGCTTAATGATATCAATGTAAGAACAGAGATGACGAAAGAAGAAGTGATTAACCTACAGCAGTCTTGCTGGTTAATATTAGAGCTGACCAATTCCTGAGGCCCTCTGTCTCCCAGTTCTGCAGATGCCGCTGTTAATAGGAGATCATCAGAATCTAGCTAAAAAGTATGCTAATCACATCACCCTAAGTTACTCTGGAGACATTTAGACCCTTCATAACCTAGACCCTTCCTCTCTCCAGCCCCATCTCTCATCATGATTCATCTCTCAAATAATATTCCAGTGATAACCTTTTTGGAGCTGATCATTTAAAGCAAGCTACATCCCTCCTCTATGCCTTTGTTTACACTGTTCCTTTGCCCAGATTGTCTTTCAACCTGTATCCTATTCCTATCTCTATTTATCCAAAACCCTCTCATCTTTCAAAGCCCAGCTCATATATCATCTTCTCTATCAATATCTCTATCTTTCTTCAACTGATCCCCTTCCCTATACCACCATAATCTTTCAGTTCTGAATGCTAATGGTAGCTTGAGGCTATATTGGTTATACTCACTGCCTTTGTCCATCGTAACTCCTGTACAACTTTAATATTCAGTTCAGTTTTCACCTCCTCCAAGAAACCTACCCTGTTGCTCCCAGGCTTAGCTGAGAACCCCATCAAGCTTCATGCCTTGTGTGTGTCTGTGTGTGTGTGTATCTTCCTCACTAAGCCGTAAGGACCTCCATGGCAGGGACAGAGTCACAATTATGCATATCTCTCCAGAACTTAACATAATGGGGATAACTCTTGGGAGCTTAATTGAGCCAAAAATCCTTGCCACTTGGGACATCTCCTCAGAGATGACATTTGCAGGGAGCAGTTACCTGTGGCCAACAAGGAGATGTTTACCCAGTACCCATTACCCAGTGCACTGCATTATTCTGGAGATTAAAGAAAGCAAGCCTGAGGCCGAGCATGGTGGCTCACGCTTGTAATCCCAGCATTTTGGGAGGCCGAGGCGGGTGGATCACCTGAGGTCAGGAGTTCGAGACCAGCCTGACCAATATGGTGAAACCCCGTCTCTACTAAAAATACAAAAATTAGCCAGGTATGGTGGTGCGCGCCTGTAATCCCAGCTACTCAGGAGGCTGAGGCAGAAGAATTGCTTGAACCAGGGAGGCGGAGGTTACAGTGAGCCGAGATTGCGCCACTGCACTCCAGCCTAGGCGACAGAGCCATACTTTCTCTCAAAAAAAAAAAGAAAAGAAAAAGAAAAGAAAAGAAAGCGAGCCTGGGCAACATGGTGAAACCCCTTCTTTACTAAAAGTAAATAAAATTAGCCAGCCAAGTGTGGTGGTGTGCGCCTGCGGTCCCAGCTACTCCAGAGGCTGAGGTGGGAGGATCGCTTGAGCCTGGGAGGTGGAGGTTGCAGTAAGCTGAGATTGCACCAATGTACTCCAGCCTGGGCAACAGAGAGAGACCCTGTCTCAAAAAAAAATAAAAAATAAAAATAAAGAAAGCAGAACCAGTCAGCCTAACACAGCCAAAGACTGAGTTTACTGCTGTGGTTTCTCCCTGGTATCAAGGGAGATTGTCCCATCTGCTTTCAAAAATTCAAATAAAGTAACAGACACTGAACAAGGCACTCGATGTGGTGTAGAAGACACATAATTATAAATAAGGCATTGTTCTGTCCCCAAGGTCCCCTCGTGGCAGACACAAAAGAGTGCAGTACACAAGTCCCATGGATGAGCTTGAGGCATCAGCTTTGCTTTGAAGAGTTAAGAGAAGCCTCACAGAAGAAGCGATATTTGACCTGGGTCCTCGAGGATGAGGAGGAATCTACTAGGCAAAGATGGGAACTAGGGGAGGACAATCTAGGCTGAGGGACCAGTCCGTGCAAAGGCTCACAGGCTGGCATGGACATGGCACGTCTGGGGGATGGCACATGTCTAGCTCGTAGGTGCCAGAGTCTTCGTGGAAGGTGAAGGAAGAAACGGGGGCAGAAGTGGAGCTTGGGACCTGCTTGTGGGGAGCCTTGAGCATTGTGTTAAAGATGAGGCTCTTATTTGACAAGCACTGGGGAGGCTTGAATGCTTCTAAGCATAAGAATAAAAACTGGCAGCAGTGCTCAGGACAGACAAGAGGGGCAAGAAGGCGTATCAGAGAGTATTGCTATAGTTGGTGAGAATGATAAGGATTAGGACAGAGTGCTGTGCTAGAGGAGAGGACGGCGCATGGCTTGAGAGATGTTGTGGGGGTGGAACCGCAAGGAGCCAAGCCTGTTCGGCATCCCGAATCCTTCCAGCACTACCCACATGGCCCCTATTCCCCCGCTCCCCAGCACATCCTTCTTCCCTCCTTGGCTGTTAAACCCTAAGGCAAGGAGATTCCAAATGCTGACTACATCTTCCTTGGCCCATCTCAGCTTTTGGCAAATAAATTGGTGCCATTCCCCAGAAAGCTTTTCTTGAACTTCATAAAGTTAGCAAAGAGGAGAAGTGTTAACAGTATGATCTGTTGAGTACCAAATTCTAATCCCAGCCCTAACACTAACCTAGCTTTTTCACTCCCTGAAATCCTGCCAAAATCAAAAGAGAAGGTCTGTGCCAGACACAAGTAATTTCAGCTGAACAAGCACTCCGAGGGTCACAGAGTGCTGTTTTGCTCGAAAAATGTTCTGCTGCTTCGGAACTGGCTTTGGGCTGCTGGTGGTGGCTCATGTGGATGACACAGTCAGAGGAGCATGGAAAGTATTTTTCTTTGGTAAACAAATATTTCAGTGTTGATGCTGAATTAAATCAGAAGCTCCAAGAATACAGGTGTCATTCATTTATTAACAGAATAGAAGAAGAGAGAAGGCATGATTCTGGACTGGCTCCTTCTAATGAGAACCAAAACTGATTCATCCCCAGCAGCTAGAGAAAAACCAAGCTTTGGGGAAGACAGGCAACACACATTCTTCAATGTCTATTATGCATCTAATTCTTTTAAAACACTATTGTTGGCGGGGCGCGGTGGCTTACGCCTGTAATCCCAGTACTTGGGAAGCTGAGGCGGGCGGATCTCTTGAGGCCAGGAGTTTGAGACCAGCCTGGCTAACATGGTGAAGCCTCGTGTCTACTAAAAATACAAAAATTAGTCAGGCATGGTGGCTCCTATCTGTAATCCCAGCTACTCAGGAGGCTGAGGCAAGGGAATCACTTGAACCCAGGAGGCAGAGGCTGCAGTGAGCCAAGATCGCACCATTGCACTCCAGTCTGGGCAACAGAGTGAGACTCTGTCTCAAAAAACAAAAAAATTCATTAAATTCCCAAAATGTTTCTATAAAGCAGCTGGTATTATGCCCATTGCCCAGATGATGAAGTTGAGGTATAGAAAGATAGTCCCATGCCCAGTGGAATGTGTAAGCAAACTTTGCTGTAGTGAAGTTCAGACTGTATAACAACATTCTTATTTTGAGAAGCCAGAGGAAAAAAATGATGTTGATTCCTGTAAATTTGTATGGGACTGCAGTTTTCCAAGCACACTCACATGCATTATTTTCACATCATACTCAGAATGGCTGTGTGAGGAGAATAGTAATATTCCCATTGCAGAGATGGAAGAATTGAGAGTCAGGGAGAAGAAAGGATTTGGCAGCCAGAAACAAGATTTGAACATCGAACTGAGTCCAGACCCAGTGCCTTTTCCATGGAAGAAGGCTCTGTTTTTATATGTAAATAAAACCTTCTATAGCGTTTGATAAGAAAGAGAAGGGCATTCTCAGGGGAGAGGGGATCAGGAGTAAAAAGGTCTTTGGGGAGAACTTAGGATGTATGATTTAGAGTCTGAGGTCCACACGGCCAGGTTACACTGATACACAATGGTGTCATCATCACATGCCAGCCTGGAAGCCATGCCACCTGGACTTGAACCCAGATTCTGCCTTTTAGCACTCATGCCTCGGTTTCCCCTTCTGTCAGTGGTGCTAATCATAGTACCTGTACCTCCTTCATAGAGAATGTTGTGAAGAGTTAACATAAGAAAAGTACTTAGAAGAGGGCCTGTTATTTAAGATAAATAAGCTTAATGAAGATGTGCTATTATTACTATCATTGTTACTACTACCTCTTCCACTAGAGGGTCCTGGGAATGAGGCTTGGTTGACAAGGAAGGCCTTAGAATCTCAGGTTACAAAGTTTGAACCCAAAGGAACAAAAGTAAGAGAAGGTCAATTTTAGTTGAAACAGGATAAAAGTGTTTAGGACAATGAAACCAGTAGGAGTGTGTAGGCCTCCCCAACACGTCTCTCCATCTGGATTACGGTCCCAGCTAAGGGCTTCCTCCATCATCACACTCACCCCAAGACACTGTAGTTGCCTGTCAATTACCTGCCTCCCCAGCTGGACCATGTCTGTGTTACGGGTGCATCTAGTGTCTAGCGCAGTGTCTGGCACTAAGTGCTCCACAGATGCTCTTCTGATGAATGAAGGAATAGATGAATGGAGTAGAATGATAGTTTAGAAAAGGAAGAGTCTATGGGGATACCAGCCCAGGGGCAGGCTCTGGGCTAGGATGAAGATAGAGGGAGTGAGAGAAAAGTAAGAAATGCAAGAGGCATTTGGAAGAAAGGACAAATAGGAATTTGTGAATGACAGACTATGGGAGTTAATGGGAAAGGAAGAGTCGTTGACTGCAAGCCTGGGCTCCTGGATGCTGGCAGTGGCCCTGTTAAAGATGAGAAGAAAGAAAGAAGTTGGTTTGAGGGAGGAGATTTGCCCTTGACTTTACCCTTGTTGAGCTTTATAGAAGTTACTGGTGGTAGCTCACGTCTGTAATCCCAGCACTTTGGGAGGCCGAGGTGGGTGGATCACTTGAGGTCAGGAGTTCAAGATCAGCCTGACCAACATGGTGAAATCCTGTCTTTACTGAAAATACAAAAATTAGCCATCTGTGGTGGTGGGCACCTACAATCCCAGCTACTTGGGAGGTTGAGACAGGAGAATCACTTGAACCCCGGAGGCAGAGGTTGCAGTGAGCTGAGATCACGCCATTGCACTCCAGCCTAGGCAACAGAGTGAGACTCTGTCTCAAAAAAAAAAAGTAGTGGGGGTAAATGGGGTAACACAGGGCAGCGTTGGGTGAGAGGTGTTGGCTGGAGATGGAGAGTTGAGGAGAACCGATTTGGTAACCTCAAGGAATACCTCTTTTTCTGGAAAAAGGGTAAGTACCAAGGTAGTAGTGGGCTGACCAGTCAGAACCTTGGAGGAGCCCTGGGGAAGACAGGCTGAAATAAAACACAAGCAAGAGGAGGGAATATTCACCAGGTGTCTTAAAAGAAGAAGGGCAGCTCTTAGCTCTTAGGACCACTTGCTCCCCTTTTCCTTTCTTCGTCAATCCACCCTTTGCCCAAGACTTGCCAATGGAAGAATTGAAACAGAAAGGAAGGCCATTTTATATCAGAAAGCCGATTTAGCTTAAAGTGAAGCATAAGAAGAAGAGCAAGCCATTTCGGGTTTTGTTGCTGTTGTTGTTGGTTTGTTCAGTTTCCTGGAACCATTTTATTATAATCATGGCTATCATGAACCCATAACTTCTCCTTTCTGAGTTTCTACAGGAAAGCTACCACTGCTGGGTTCTCAGGAGGACAAAAGCACAAGACCATTTCTGCACTTTTCTGCTTCCTGCTGGTAGGTGGGAAATCAGGGAACAGAAAACTAATGCTCATTCACACTATGGTACAATGGAAAGAAAATTGGCCTTGGAGTCGAATAATCTTAGGTATGCTCTGCAAGGAATGGGCTGACTCCGCACCTTTCTGGGCTGGTTCCCTCAAACACTGCTGATAATGATTCTGAACTCAGGAGATGGTTATGATGACTGGATAAAGGGGTTAAGTACCTTGCACAATGCAGATGCTCCAGGCACACCAGCTCCTGGTAATTCTTGCTGTTTCTCACAGGAACCTCACAGGCCTCTGCCATCTGCAAGCTTCAGACGAGCCACACAAGAGAGGCAAGCTAGGAGCTCATCCCCAAGGGAGCTTTCAGACTCATGGTTTCAAAGAATTTTCACTTTATTACACATTTGTTCAGGCTTCAGTCTGATTTGACTAAAATGTAAAGACAGGGCCGGGCACAGTGGCTCATGCCTGTAATCCCAACACTTTGGGAGGCCAAGGTGGGCAGATCACTTGAGTCCAGGAGTTCAAGACCAGCCTGGCCAACATGGCAAAACCCTGTCTCTACTGAAAGTACAAAAATTAACCAGGTGTAGTGGTGCATGCCTGTAATCCCAGCTACTCAGGAGGCTGAGGGAGGAGAATTGCTTGAACCTGGGAGGCGAGGTTGCAGTGAGCTGAGATTGTGCCACTGCACTCTGTTGCCTGAGCAACAGAGCGAGACTCTGTCCCAAAAAAATAAAATAAAATAACATGTAAAGACAACCTCACATATTTGGGGTGGCCAGGGCAGCCTGGCTTCCTAAGCTAATCACAATGTACGGGTTCAAGTTTAACCTCATCTCCAAACAAAATGTCTATTTCTTGCCAAAAGAAGGCTCAGAAAGACTAAACTGTCTACCTCATCAGTGGTGTACTCATTTGGAAGGGATCCAAGAGTGTTGGAGTCTGGGCCAGCCAAAAGCACCCCAGCCACTTTTGGAGAGAGCAGGCGGAAGTGAGGGCTCTGATTTTCATGTTAAATCCTCATTTGGCCTCGGAAATGTTAAAAATAAACTTTCACCTGCATCTGATTTTCCTCTTTGTTATTGCAGCCATTGTCTGTTTGAACAAAGAGGTAGCAAGAGCCTCTTTGAGCAGTTCATAGAGTTCAAGCCAGAGCCCAAATTGGAGGGACACAGATGTTAATGAACAAGAGGACCAGCAAGAGTGCCACTGGGAATTAAAAACTCCCCTAGGATTTTCAGGTCCCTGATGGCAGGCAGGGGAACTACAGACCCCATTTTTCTGTGCCAGCTGCCCCCACCTGGCTTTCAGAAGGACTTGGGAGCTGCATATGGATTTCCCCCTAAGCAACTTGATACTAAATTGAAATCTTGATGATTCAGCCCCCCATTACCCCAACTCTTCTCTCCTGTCTGCTTGTATTTTGGAGGCTCCATCAGATGTGGGTGGGATGGGGTTTCCAATAGGATAAGAAAGCACAAACTAGGCACTACAGAATGTGTTGTTGAATTTAGAGGCAGTGTGTCATTGTAGAAAGATCCTGGGTTTAACAGCTAGATAAATCTGGGTTCAACAGCTAGATAAATCTGGGTTCGAATTCATTACTTTTCAGCTGTGTGACCTTGGGCAAGTCACTCGACTCTCTGGGCCTCAGTTTACTTCTCCATAAAATGGGCATAAAAATACTGTACTGATTAAGGTGATGATAGCTGCTATAATAAACACACACCCTCAAAAATGTCAATTGCCTCTAATGTTATGGAAGTTTATTTTGTGTTCACATAAAATTGAAAACAGGTGCTCCTAATCTGTGAGCCGCTCTCCTCTAAGAGGGAATTTAGGTGGCTGGGCTCCACCAAAGTCATCAGCATGGACATCAGTCCAAAGGTGAGGGGAAGATGATGGAGGACTGTGGCAAGTGGAAGAGATTTATGCCAGGCCTAGAAGTGTCACACACCACTTCCACTCACATGCTAGTGTCTAGAACAGTCCTACAGCTGTAATTAATTTTTTAATTACAGTGTTTTTGTAATTGCAAAAAACGCTGAGAAATGAGGTCCAGCTGTGTACCAAAGAAGACAAGGAAACCAAGATTGGTAAACATCTAGCTAGTCTTTGCCACATACACCAACTTTTCAGGGAGATACTAAGCTTAAATAAAAGAGTGACTATGAGGCCAGGCGCAGTGGCTCATGCCTGTAATCCCAGCACTTTGGGAGGCTGACATGAGAGGATCCCTTGAGCCCAGGAGTTCGAGACCAGCCTGGGAAACATGGTAAAACCCTGCCACTGCTAAAAAATAATAAAAAAAATTAGCCGGGCATGGTGGTACATGCCTGTAGTCCCAGCTACTCGGGAGGCTGAGGCAAGAGGATCACTTGAGTCTGGGAGGTCAAGACTGCAGTGAGCTGTGATCATGCCACTGCACTCCATTGTGGATGACAAAAGAAGACCCTGTCTCCAAAATAAGTAAATAAATAAATAAAAATGATGACTATGAAACAGTACAGTTTTCAACAAATGTTGGTTACTTGCTTCTTTCTTTTCCCCATGGCCAAACATTTGCCAGAAGCAATGAGGGAATGCTTTATTTGTAATAACACAGATAGGAGTGAGGCCTGCTGACAAGCTCCTCAACCCCTTCACCCCACAGCCAACACCCACTACTTCTCTATAAAAGGGGCATAAAAATACTGTACTGATTAAGGTGATGATAGCTGCTATAATAACACCCAATAGTTCCCCACTGCCAAAGAGGAGGACCCTGGCATTCTGTGGGTGCTCCTTCCCCTCGTGATCAGGCCAGTCACTCACGATACCTACAGCTTCACCAAGTCCCAGCCCTTCCACAAAATCAGAGGGTTCAGGAATTAATCCTAAAGTCAGAAAACCACCATTTAGTAATAACTGACACAAGTTACATCTGGGGTTTTTTTGTTGTTTTTTTTGTTTGTATTTTTGTGACACAGTCTCGCTCTGTCGCCCAGGCTGGAGTACAGTAATGCGATCTCTGCTCACTGCAACCTCTGCCTCCCAGGTTCAAGCGATTCTCCTGCCTCAGCCTTCCAAGTAGCTGGAATTACAGGCATCCGCCACCACGCCTGGCTAATTTTTGTATTTTTAACAGAGACGGGGTTTCACCATGATGGCCAGGCTGGTTTGGAACTCCTGATCTCAAGTGATCCGCCCCCCTCGGCCTCCCAAAGTGCAGAGATTACAGGCGTGAGCCACTGCGCCCAGCCACAAGTTACATTTGACTGTCAATGTGTTTCTATTTAAATGTATTTGTATTGCCTTTAGGTGGGTCGCACGGTCTCCTGTCGGTACAGTCGCCACCACTCCCTTCTGTGCTACATCTGGCTTGTTTCCTTCATCTACCAGCCCGGCTCTTGGAAACCTTTGGGTTTGATCCCCCAAGACCTCCTGAGGGCTCTCTCGATTTCCACGCAGGGCTTCCACACTCAGCCCCGTGACCCCTGTCTTGCCCCCCGTTAGCCACGCAGATCCACGGCCTTGCCGGTAGCCTGAGGACACCGTGGCTCCGCATTCTCTTTCTGCACATGCGCGAATGTTGAGCCCGCCCTCCGCCAAGCACTGCCTTGTCCTCACCCCAGTGTTAGTTTCGTTATTCTCTTGTGTGTGCATCTGGGAGACAGGATTAACAAGCAATATCCTATGGAAAGTTGTGGTTTCACAGCATATGGGTAGATGGGTTTCACCAACTTTTAGAGTTGATCTTTATACAGTGTTGCACATTAGCATTTATACATTGTTTCTAAGGAGAATATGTCCAAATTCCAAACAACTGAATTCTGAATGAATCTGATGACCGAATCCTTTTATAACTTGAGAACTCTGCCCTTGTGTGGTCTTGATGGGACTTCAGAGCTGCAAGCGTCCCTTGGTTGGGAGGGAGGATCGAAGTTCTAGTGTGTGGTGAAAAGCTCATGGACTTTGGAAACATACAGACTTAGATTTAAATCCTGACTCCTAATAACTGTGACTTTGAGCACGTTACCTAAACTCTGTGAAGTATGTTTCTTTATCTATAAAATGAGAAGATAATCTTTCTTAGAGTGTCGATATAAGATTCAATGAAAGTGTATACCTTCATCTCTTAGAGTGGCTAGGACGTAGTAAACACTCATAAATAATTATTATATTTGTTATAAGGAAGACAGGACAATCGATAAATAATATTTGTTAAATTTTTAAAATAACTCTTGCTTATGTAAAAGTTCAACATAAAAGTAACAATTTTTTTTTTTTTTTTTGAGACTGAATCTTGTTCTATCGCCCAGGCTGGAGTGCAGTGGCGCAATCTCGGCTCACTGCAACCTATGCCATCCAGGCTCAAGCGATTCTCGTGCCTCAGCCTCCCTAGTAGCTGGGACTACAGGCACGCATTGCCACACCCGGCTAATTTTTGTATTTTTAGTAGAGATGGGGTTTCACCATGTTGGCAAGGCTGGTCTCGAGCTCCTGACCTCAAGTGATCCGCCCGCCTCAGCCTCCCAAAGTGCTGTGATTACAGGCATGAGCCACTGCACCCGGCCAAAACTAACAATTTTTATTATGGAAAACTAGGGGAAAGAAGAAACTTAAAATAAGGAAAATAGAAATCAACCAAAATTTTACTTCAATGAAAACATTTATTAACATTTTGGCATATTTTTCCTTCCAATGTTTTACTATGTATATGTAGTTTACACAATTGGGATTAGGCTAGATATAATGCTGGATATAATCCAATATTTTTCACTTAAAACATAATTTTTCTCAGTAAAAATTCGTCACAAATGCTAGTTCTAAAGAATTTACAGTTTAAAGGAATTTTTAAACTTCAATAATTTAATTATCCATTTCTTAAATGCTGAACATTTTGCTTACTTCTATATTTTTGCTCTCATGAAAAAATACTTTCATATAAAATCCTCAAAATTATATTTTTATCTATATTTGTGTTTATTTACTTAAGATGGTTTCTTAGGAGTTTTGCCAAGTAAAGGGTGTGTACATTTTTAATCCTCTTGCAACACTCAGCGGGGCAGCCCGTCAGAAATGCTATAGCAGCCAAGGTGCAGTGGCTCGCGTCTGTAGTCCCAGCACTTTGGGAGGACGAGGCAGGCGGATCATGAAGTCAGGAGTTCAAGACCAGCCTGGCCACCATGGTGAAACCCCGTCTCTACTAAAAATACAAAAATTAGCCAGACGTGGTGGCGGGGCGCCTGTAATCCCAGCTACTCAGGAAGCTGAGGCAGGAGAATCACTTGAACCGGGAGGCGGAGGTTGCAGTGAGCCGAGATCGCGCCACTGCACTCCAGCCTGGGTGACAGAGCAAGACTCTATCTCAAAAAAAAAAGAAAAGAAAGAGAGAGAAAGAGAAGAAAGAAAGAGAGAGAGAGAGAGAAGAAAGAAAGAAAGAAAAAAAAGAGAGAGAGGGAGGGAGGAAGGAAGGAAGGAAGGAAGGAAGGAAGGAAGGAAGGAAGGAAGGAAGGAAGGAAGGAGAAAGAAATGCTATAGCAACTTCTACTCGAGATGGTTTAAAATTCATGTTATTGCCTTCCTGCTCACTCCTATGAGGAGTCCAAGTCAGGACTACATTGCCAGAGTGTTCTGCTCTGTTACTTGGGAGAATGGACAGTGCCTGAGGGCCGTTCAATACGCACTTCCTAACAGTGCCCCAGTTTCCTTTTAGTGAATTGTCTCTGCCCCTTGTGTAGTCTTGATGGGATTTCAGAGTTGCAAAGGTCCCTTGGGTTGGGGAGAGGATGACAAGCAGTGTGGCCAGCGGAGAAGCCAGCAGCAGGAGCACCAGCATCCAGCAAGGCTCGGCCCCGGCTGCCAGGCGGAGAAAGGGCAGGCCCTGTGCTCTGCACTCCTGGAGCAGGGTCTGAGACCCCTCTATGCAGAAGGCTCACCCTTAGCCTGAGGGCCTTCCTCTGCATGGGGCGAGCCAGTGCTGGAGTCTTTGGATAATCCCTTGGTCCTCCCTTTCCTTCCCTTAATCTCAAATCCGGCACGGAGAAGGCACTTCACCCCAGAGAAGGTGACCAGCGCATGTCTGTCGAAATGGCCACGGAGGGTAACCGACAAGGCTTTAAGATGCGCCGTATAACTATCTCCTTTGGCTTTATTCCCCAAAAAAGCCCGGGGAAAAAATCACCTGGGATGAGGCTGGAGCGATCCTTTCTTATGCTGGACTCATACTGCCATCTAGTGGTGGGAGAAGGAAGCTGGGAAGGGACGGGACACCGGGCAGCGGGCGGTTAGAGCAAGATGAACCTGCAGTCCAGGAGGCCAAGGTCAGGCGACACTGGGAACCGCCCAGGGGGCACTTCAGAATTTTGGGAGGCATATGAAGGAGGCAAGGGGAGGAATTATGCTCAACAATAATTATAGCTGTTTTTTTGCCGGGCGCCGTGGCTCATGCCTGTAATTCCAACACTTTGGGAAGCCGAGGAGGGCAGATCACCTAAGGTCAGTAGTTCGAGACCAGCCTGACCAACATGGAGAAACCCTGTCTCCACCAAAAATACAAAATTAGCTGGGCGTGGCAGCGCGCGCCTGCAATCCCAGCTATTCGGGAGGCTGAGACAAGAGAGAATCGCTTGAACCCGGGAGGCGGAGGTTGCAGTGAGCCAAGATTGCACCATTGCACTCCAGCCTGGACAACAAGAGCCTCTGTCTCAAAAAAAAAAAAAAAAAAAAAAAAAAAAGAGAGAGAGAGAGAGAGAGAAGAGAGAATAATTACAGCTGTTTCTTGAGCACTTACTACCTGGCAAAGACTATACAAAGTGCCTCTCATGCTTTCAATCTTTCAGTCCCCCCAGCAGTCCCCAGTGAGGATGGGGAGACCAAGCCTAGAAATCAAGTAACTTGACCAAGTTCACACAACTTGTCAGTGGCAGAGGCAATCAAATCCAGGATTATCTGACTTTGTAGCTTGAATTTCTAGGGTCATTTCTGGAATCACGGAGAGAGATCTTCTGCATCCTTTCTATTCCATCGCCCACACCCCCAACCCTAATCTACTCCTGGACAACAAAGGGTGCTCTTGTTCACTGAGATGCACGGCCCTATTTCCACCTTCTGTGCCTCTCTTGGGTCCCCAAGTCTCTACCTGAACAACTGCAAAGGGAATCCTTTCCCTCCTTTGGCCTGGAGACTGTTGGGCAGGACTGGGAGAGGATAGTGGGTGGAATCTTTTGTCCACTGTCAACAAATATTAAAATGTCTCAGACTAGTTGGAAGTTATTTTCCCTTCTTTGTTATGTGAGATTGAGGTCCCTAAAGTGCACAGTCTCATTTCAGATCAGCCACTGCAAAGTTTGGTTCTAAATCCTGGAAGGACTTCTCATGCTTTCCAGGAACAATTGTTGGGACTGATCCATGACAGCCCTGGCCTGTCTCAGTCTTCTTTTTTTTCTTTTCTTTCTTCCTTTTTTTTTTTTAAGAGATGAGGAAGTCCGGGCATCGTGGCTCATGCCTGTAATCCCAACACTTTGGGAGGCTGAGGCAGGCAGATAGCTTGAGGCCAGAAGTTTGGGACCATCACTTGAGGCCAGAAGTTTGAGACCAGACAGCTAAGCCCTGTCTCTACAAAAATACAAAAAGAATTAGCCGGGCATGGTACTATGTGCCTGTAGTCCCAGCTACTCAGGAGGTGGAGGCAGGAGGATCACTTGAGCTCAGAAGTTTTAGGCTGCAGTGAGCCATGATTGCACTACTGCACTCCAGCCTGGGTGACAGTGTGAGACCCTGTCTCAAAAAAAAAAAAAAAGAGAGAGAGACAAGGAAGGTCTCACTCTGTCTAGAATGCAGTGGCATGATCACAGGTCACTGAAGCCTCAAATTTCTGAGCTCAAGAGATCCTCCTGCCTCAACTTCCCAAGTAGCTGGGACTACAGGCACACACTACTATGCCTGGTTAAGTTTTGTTATTTTTTTTAGAAACTGGGTCTTGCTATGTTGCCCAGTCTGGTCTCAAATTCCTGGCCTCAAGCAATCCTCCCACCTTGGCCTCCCAAAGCGCTGGGATTGCAGGTGTGAGTCACCATGCCCAGCCATCCCGGTCTTAAAGAACCAACCTGCCATCCCAGCAAACACACAAAAAGTCCAGGGACCCTTGGGCCTATAGTCACTCTCCACATGGGGGACCCTGAGGTTATTTAGGGAACAGCAGTCGTTCTTCCTGTCTGGCCCACCCAGATGAGTAATAAGTCATCTATTTTTAGTTTAGGGTTTTGTTTTTCTTTTTCTTTTCCCTTTTTAGAAATTTATCCAGGCCCATTTCCCAGGGCTGAGCACTTAAGTTGCACTAAATTTATTGCTGGGGACTTGGTACTTTGAAAAGGAGAGTGGTCCTCAAATGCACTTCAATTGTGATTTCCCCCCGAGATAAAAATTTGCTTGCAACAACTTCAACATCATTTATTCAATACTTATCCCTGGGAGTTCTAAAAGAAAAAAGGCTGGCTTTTGCCACCACCAAGTCTCTCTCTCCTGAGTGAGATTCCAGGCCAAGGGCTCTCACACAGGCACCACCATCTCTGTCCTTGCTCAGGGACTTCTATCATCACATGCTGGATAGTGGGGGAAGCCCCCTTCCCGGAAGTGGACAATCGCTCGCCCTTAAAAAGTATCAGTTGGTAGTTCTTTTGGGGGGATAAAAACCACACCCCCCAATTCACACAACCAATGCACCTGTTTATTTATTTACTTATTTAGAGACAGGTTCTTACTCTGTCACCCAGGCTGGAGTGCAGTGGCATGATCACGGCTCACTGCAGCCTCAACCTCCAGGCTCAGGTGATCCTGCAACCTCAGCCTCCAAGTAGCTGGGACCAAAGGAGCACAACACCATGGCCTGACTAATTTTTTTTTTTCCAGAGAGAGGGTCTCACCATGTTGCCTAGGCTAGTCTTAAACTCCTGGGCTCAGGCGATCCACCCACCTCAGCCTCCCCCAAAGTCCTGGGAGGACAGGTATGAGCCACTGTGCCTGGCCACTCTTTTCTTGTAATGATAGAATTAACTATTTACTCATTTAGTCAATCAACATTTATTGATCACTTATTATGTACCAGGCACTGGGATAAAGATGACTGTTAGTCACTCACAGTAAGGAAGAAAACTAGCAAATAAGACGATTACAATATGATGTAGAAAATGCTAAGCCAGAGATATAGAAAGGTCCTATTGGGTCCTTCTGTCACCTTGTCTTTCCACATCCCTACCCTTCACAGGCCTTCCCTCCAGCTTCCTGCCCCCGCTCCCCACTGCAGATCCCCTGGATTTTGCCTAGAGCTAAACGAGGAGATGGGCCCCCTGGCCCTGGCATGACTTGAACCCAACCACAGACTGGAAAGGAGCCTTTCGAGAGTGGATCACTTTGATAAGAAAACACATAGGAATGAAGAGAAGTCCACAAATGGCCACCCGTGCTGGTGCTCAAGAAAAGTTTGCAGAATGGATAAATGAAGGATCAAGGAATTAATAGATGAATAATTGAATGGTGGCTCAATAGATGACTTCATGAATGAGTCAGAAAATAAACTTCCAATCTTGAGGCAAAACTGAATTTTAGCATTTCCAATGCTTGTGCTTGTTCATTGAACACCATGTTCCCCAGAAAATTCTCTACAAAGATGTTCATTTTTTTAAGTTAAAAGTACTTAAAAGTTCACTGGGAATTTTGCAATGCAGTTGAGAAAACTGGAGCTGCCTAGGGGAATTTCAGCATTAGGGCTTGAAATTACTCACCCAGGAGAAATCCCAGTATAATCTGCCCTCCCATTAGTGGTAGGAGAGAAGCTCCAAGTTCCGAGGCTTCTCATTTTACCAAACAGGTGTACCACCCTTATCACTAACTAGCAAGTTAAATGTGAATCAAATTACCGTGTTCTATCACCAATGCAGTGCTTCCTACTGAAGAGGCGACCGCAGGAAATCCTTCGGTGTTGCAAACAATTGCATTCCAGCATGTTCTGTCAACATGAATGTTGTGCCGTAAAGAGGAAAAGGATCAGAGAGGAAAGAGGCTGTGTGGTGCAGAGGCCTATCTGAACAGCTGATTTTCTACATGCCCTTGAAGGCTCCCTGGTTCTCTGAGATAAACTGGCTGAAGCTTTTGACTTTGGGATTTAGTTGGTGGGTGAGATTGACATCTCGGTCTGGCTTCATTTCATAGAAACGACACATATTGGCTATTTCCTTTGCTGCAGGGAATCCCAGCTTCTCGAAAGCTTCCGGGGTAATCTTTTAAGAACAAATAAGAAGACAGAAAATGTTATAGCCCATACTTAAAATAGTTTGAAATGACATTATTCACCTTAATGATGACACAGGTCCATAATTCTTTTTTTTTTTTTTTTAAGACAGTGTCTCACTCTGTCACTCAGACTGGAGTGCAGTGGTGCGATCTCGGCTCACTGCAACCTCTGCCCTCCGAGTTCAAGTAATTCTCCTGCCTCAGCCTCCTGAGTAGCTGGGATTACAGGCACCCGCCACCACGCCCGACTAATTTTGTGTATTTTTGGTAGAGATGGGGTTTCGCCATGTTGGCCAGCCTGGTCTCAAACTCCTGACCTCAGGTGATCTGCCCGCCTCTGCCTCCCAAAGTGCTGGGGTTACAGGTGTGAGCCACAGCACCCAGCCAGGTCCACAATTCTTTAGCCTAACTCCAAAATCCAAGAGACTCTAAAGTTTTTTTTCCCCCATAAGCCATTTGGCAGCAAACTGACCTTTTTGAACTAAATTAGTGGCAAACCTGATCTAACTATGTGAAGCTATTTATGGTCTTTAATCATACCATTTAGTGGAAACATTCAAATATTTGCCTGCAGAGATATAGATGTGTTTGATTACAGGTTCCTGCTCCAGCCCGTGCTGGTGATGTTATATATGTAGACAATAACCTATCTAAAAGCCGAAAGATTCCTAAAGCTGAATTGTTTCTGGCCCCAAGCCTTTTGGGTAAGGTACTGTAGATCTGTACCAGCCTTCATGTGAATAGCACCTCACAGTGCTCTTGCCTATACTTCCTCTTCGTATTCCCCCACCAGCCCTCTGAAACCGTCCACCCACCTGGGCCTCCATGCGGCATCAAGATCCCCCCTCTCTGGCACCAGGCTCTCCTTCTCACCTGGCTGATGGCCCATCCATCCTCGCTCCCTTTCTTGGTTAGAGGTCTGTATTTTACCTCCAATTGCCCCAGCCTTTGCCAAGGCCAGGCCCAAGCAGAAATGGAGCCCATCCCACGCCAACTGAGCTGCCTTCTGTCACCTTCCATAAAATCCACTCCTTGAATCCTTTCTAACACTAACTAGATCCATAATTCCCCCTACTGAATTAGCTAAAAATCATTTCTATTGGATCCAGTATAATCTGTCTTTAGCCCTCAGAGATAAACTCTGACTTTGCAATTTTACTTGGCCTTTAAAAAAGGTGACAGACACAAACAACTTAGGCAAAACAATGATTGTCACATGCATTCATAATAATGAGAAAATTAAGAACAACCTACATGGCCAACAATACAGAAATGGTAGAATTAATTGTGGTACATCTACTCTCAGAACATAATGCAGTTTAATGTTTTTGGAGAAGTTTAACAAAATAGAAAAATTCTCATAACATTAACTGAAAAGGCCAGAAACAAAATGGTACATTTAGTGTTATTTTAACTGTGTTAAATATATGCATATGTATATATATGTGTGTATATATGTATACATTTAATACAATAATACAATTTAATAATTGTATTAAATATATACATATATACACATACTTATATATACATATACATATGTATATATTTAATACAATAAATATATATAAGTATATACAGTATATACATATATAGATACTTATATATACTGGAAAAAGACAAGACAATCTGTCAAATCTTAACAGTAGCTATCTCTGAGAGATTGAACTACGTGTGATTTGTATTTTCTTTTTCATAATTTTCCGAGTTTTCTTCAATAAGCAGTTGCTATTTTTGAAATCAGAAAAACGTTGAAAATTTGAAGTGAGTTTGGAAATAGAAGTCTATGTGAGAAGCATGGAAGATTCTTTCATGTCTGTCTCCTTGAGTCACTCTTTCATCCATAACTTTGATACCACATGTACTTCAGTAAAATAAGGGATTCTTTTACTGCAGATTTTTGAAGGAAAGAGGTCTGTTCTGTTATGTCTCACTTTCTGAGAAAACCATCTTCCTTTGGGGGTTAGACAGTTTCAACTAGACATTTCACACCCACTTGAGGAGGTAGGAGGAAGTCAGACCGTGAGGGCTGGAGCGCCACCTTGTGGCCAGATGCACCCTTCCCCGGAATTGTCAGACCATTCTACAGAAGTTCCAGCCTCTGATGCCCTACAGTCTGTGGTGCCAGAGGAGCTTCAGCTGCATTATAAAACAATTTGTATACCAAGAAGTGTCAGGGACCAAGTATATGACTAATAGATGCTTGGAAGGTTCTGAGCAATTCAGAACAATGTCTACTGCATCCTCTAAGAATCAATACACACACTCATCCCCTACACTCACGCTCTCTCTTTCTCTCCTTCCTTACAGAGTTCAAAACCACAAGACAAAATGAACATATGACCCAAATGCAAATGGCCTGGGAGAAGGGTCACTGAGAAGTGAATGTGTACTCAGGTGCAAGGAACCTTGCAGATCTTCTTGTGAGCCCATCTTTGAGTGGGTGGCTGCCTTCTTGGGTTCAGGAGTAACAATCTCTCCGAGAAATGTGTGTGTGGCTTCAATGAGATAACCAGATGTGGTTTTGTGGCTGGATTGACTCCCACACTGGTTTTCCAGAAAAAAAAAAATATCTCTTTGCCTCCTCACAACTTCAGTACCCGAGGCTGAATTGGGAATCTAGATATCCCCTCTAGAATCATTGGACCAAGAGCTGTTGATCCAAACAAGAACCAACTTTCTATCCCTAATTCTAGGAAATATTCTAGAACATATGTCAACAAACTATTTTTTTTTTTTTTGAGACGGAGTCTTGCCCTCTCGCCCAGGCTGGAGTGCAATGGCGCGATCTTGGCTCACTACAACCTCCACCTCCTGGGTTCAAATGATTTTCCTGCCTCAGCCTCCCCAGTAGCTGGGATTACAGGTGCCCACCACCATGCCCAGCTAATTTTTGTATTTTTAGTAGAGGCGGGGTTTCACCATGTTCGCCAGGCTGGTCTCAAACTCCTGACCTCGTGATCCACCCTCCTTGGCCTCCCAAAGTGCTGGGAAACAAACTTTTTTCTAAAGGCCTAGATATAAATATTGTAGGCTTTGTGGGCCATAAGTTCTCTGTTGGAACTACTCAACTCTATCATTGTACCCTGAAAACAACCTGTTTTCTTTTCCCTTCCTCTTGTCAATACCTGCTTGGGGAAATGGCTGGTGATGCCCAATATCACCAATTCTCACTCTTCTGTAAAAAGTCTGTCCTGGCCAGGCACAATTTCTTGGAGAAAATAACTTACCCCCAAGCCCAAGAAGGCAGCCCCCCACACAAGGAGGCCATTCCTGCATGATTTATAGCATGATCAGTTGCTGAGGGCTTACTAAATGCCAGACCCAGTGCCAAGCACCTGCTGTACAGATCTCATTTCATCCTCACAATGATCCCATGAAGGAGGTATAACAACTTTTTTTGGAACATATGAAGACACTGAGATGGAGAGAGGTTAAGTAAATTACCAAGGATAGAGGCAGAGCCAGAATTTGCCTCCTTCCCGTACTGCCTCTGGTTTGTCGTGTTTATTCCAGAATTAGCCAGGCCAGCCTTCTTGATGCCTCCTCTGTCTATACATGGTCATGTTCCCTCAAGGACCAACTCAAGCCCACGTCTTCCATGAAACCTTCTTCCACTGTTTTCTGGTCATCTATAGCACAGATAGTCTGAACAACACAATTAAGCACCTATAGTGTTATGTCTTATAATGATCATGGCGACTTGATGGGCATCAATATTTTTACTCCAACCTTGCTGCAAATTCCTTAAAGTAGCATTGGGTTCATAATAGAGACTCAATACATCTCTGCCATGTGCCAAACACTATGATAAGCCCTTTAAATATATTCTCTGTAACTTTCACAAGAACATCCAAAGTAGATACTATCATTCCCCACTTTGCAACTGAGGAAGCTGAGGCTCAATGAAGCTAAGTGTCTTGTTCCACATCAGCTAGCTCTGGACGACCGAAGTGGTCAGCAGCAAGGACTTATGAGAGGAGTTGGGATCATGTGTGTAAAAAGGCTGTATCTCAATCTTCACATTCTACGTTCTTTCCACTCAAAAGTAATTTTACTTTTACAAGTCAATTAACCCTAAGCCAAAGAAATAAAGCCATATGGGAGAGATTCCACTGCACCAATCGATGAAGATAGATTTATGGAACCACAATCCTTCTCAATTTCTTCTGAAAGTTTAAGTTCAATCCTGCCTAAATCCACAGAGAGTCTACCAAAATTTGTAAGTCAGTGGAATGTTAACCAAGGTGGCCTCTTGTGATCACATGGATGTCCCCTAAGAACTCACCTTTGCATCTCGGACTTCTTTCCCCAAAACCTTGGACAAAACATCAGCATATTGCTGTATTGTTAGTGCTTCTGCACTGAGCCCCACGGCCTTGCCTAAAAATTCCTCTGGAGAATTAAAAATGCTAGAGACGGCTGCTCCAATATCAGCAACAGAGATACCATCCATTGGTACATCTCCCATCGGTACAGCTAGTTTAAAAAAAAATAGAAAAAGATAAATAGTTAATTACATCACATCCTTGGTAGGTCCCACCAACCCAAACTAATCAATCATTTAAAGAAAAGGTGTGGGACGGCAATGTAAAACCCAGTGACCACAATCTATACACAGTTACAAGGTTTTGTTTGAGAAATTACAGGTTGAGCACGGTGGCTCACGCCTGTAATCCCAACACTTTGGGAGGCCGAGGCAGGTGGATCACCTGAGGTCAGGAGTTCGAGACCAGCCTGGCCAACATGGTGAAACTCTGTCTCTACTAAAAATACAAAAATTAGCCAGGTGTGATGGTGCGTGCCTGTAATCCCAGCTACTCCGGAGGCTGACGCAGGAGAATCACTTGAACCCAGAAGGCAGAGGTTGCAGTGAGCCGAGATGGTGCCACTGCACTCCAGCCTGGGTAACAGAACAAGACTTCATCTCAAAAAAAAAAAAAAAAAGAGAGAGAATACTACAGTGCCTGGATATTGATTTAAAAGAGCAACCATTTACTAAATATCTTCTCTATGTAAAGTATGATTAAATGTATCTCCAGCCAAAACTTCTGCTGAATTCCAGACTCATGTGTCCCACTACGTACTCAAATCCTTACCTGACTGTTCAATAGACATCTTAAACTCAACAGGCCCCAAACTGAACTCCTACACCCCACAACCTGCTTCCCTACAGCCTCCCACCTCAGCTAATGGCAACCCTATCATTCTGATTTCTCAGGTCACAAATCTTGCAGTCAGCCTTGACACTTCTCTCACATCCCATATCCTTTTCTTTTTTTTTTTTGGAAATCATATGCATGATATGTACAAAATCTGGCCACTTCTCATCATCTTCAATGCTACCACCCTGGTCCAAGCCACCATCATCCGTGACTTGAGTTATTGCAAAATTTGTCTCCTTGTTTCCACTCTTGCCCTTTTTTTTTTTTTTTTTTTCAGATGGAGTCTTGCACTTTCACCCAGGCTGGAGTGCAGTGGTGCGATTTCTGCTCACTGCAAGCTCCGCCTCCTAGGTTCACACCATTCTCCTGCCTCAGCCCCCTGAGTAGCTGGGACTACAGGTGCCCGCCACCATGCCCAGCTAATTTTTTGTATTTTTAGTAGAGACGAGGATTCACCGTGTTAGCCAAGATGGTCTCAATCTCCTGACCTCGTGATCCGCCTGCCTTGGCCTCCCAAAGTGCTGGAATTACAGGCACCCACTACCACACCAGGCTGATTTTTGTATTTTTAGTAGAGACAGTGTTTCACCACGTTGGCCAGGCATCCCGTCAGAAATGCTATAGCAGTGGAGGCACGGTGGCTCACGCCTGTAATCCCAGCACTTTGGGAGGCCGAGGCAGGCGGATCATGAGATCAGGCGATTGAGACCATCCTGGCTAACACGGTGAAACCCCGTCTCTACTAAAAATACAAAAAAAAAAAATTTTTTTTGAGACGGAGTCTTGCTTTGTCACCCAGGCTAGAGTGTGCTGTGGCGTGATCTCAGCTCACTGCAACCTCTGCCTCCTGGGTTCAAGCAATTCTCCTGCCTCAGCCTCCCGAGTAGCTGGGATTACAGGCACCCACCACCACGCCCAGCTAATTTTTGTACTTTTAGTAGAGACGGGGTTTCATCATCTTGGCCAGGCCAGTCTCAAACTCCTGGCCTCAAGAGATCCGCCTGCCACGGCCTCCCAAAGTGCTGGGATTACAAGCATGAGCCATCGCACCCAGCCCTGTCTGCTCAGAACCTTCTGATAGTTCTCTGTGTCCCTCAGAGGAAAAGCCGGTTGTTTACAAAGCTTACACAACCAGACCCTCTGTTAGTTCTGACCTCACCTCCTACTACCCTCCCCTCCCTCATTCTATTTCAAACAATCCTGTCACCTAAGCCTCCTGAGTAGCTGGGACCATAGGCCACCCCTCCCGGCTTCTGGTGAGTATTAATTCTGAATCTAGGAAGAAAGCCTGAATTGTCATTGGTATTCCCACATTCCCCCCACTGCACAAAGGCCAACTCTGACCATGGCCACAGAAAGTGTCCCCAAAGGGAAGGGGAATGCCGGCCAGTGGACCAGCAGCTTTGGAATTACCAGGAGTCCTTGTTAAAACTAGGCCTCAACCCAGACCTGGACTCAACCCGGAATTGGACTCTCTGCAGGTAGGGCCTGGGAACCTGTCTCCCAGGCAGGTCACGGTCCCTCTCAGCTCTAATTCTGACCATGGGACCCAGATCAGAAGAACACTTTTCCTCCATTGTTGCCACAGAAGTTCAGATGGATGAGCTAGAAGGGTCTTAGAAGTCATCCTGAGGCTGGGCATGGTGGCTCACACCTGTAATCACAGCACTTTGGGAGGCAGAGGTGGGAGGATCGCTTGAGCCCAGGAGTTCAAGACCAGCCTGGGCAACAAAGAGAGACCCCATTTCTTCAAAAATAAAATAAAATAATAATTGGCCAGATGTGATGGTATACACCTATAGTCCTAGCTACTCAAGAGGCTGAGGTAGGAGGATGCTTGAGCCCAAAAGTTTGAGGCTGCACAGTGAGCAATGAAACCCAGTATGGGCAAAAGACCCACTGCATTCCAGCCTGGGCAACAGAGACTCAGACTCAAAAAAAAAAAAAAAAAGTCATCTTGTCCAATTTTCCCGTTAAACCTTGAGGAATCTGCCAGGCGTGGTGGCTCACACCTGTAATCCCAGCATTTTGGGAGGTTGAGTTGGCTGGATCCCTTGAGTTCAGGAGTTTGAGACTAGCCTGGGCAACATGGTGAAACCCCGTATCTATTTAAAAATGCAAAAATTAGCCGGGCATGGTGGCGGGTGCGTGTAATGCCAGCCACGCAGGAGGGTGAGGCACAAGAATCACTTGAACCCAGGCTGTGGAGGTTGCAGTGGGCCAAGATTACGCTGCTGCACTACAGCCTGGGCGACAGAGCAAGACTCCATCTCAAAAAATAAAATAAAAATAACCTGAGGAAACTGAGGCTAGAGGTCACATAGCTAACTCCAGTACTTACATTAAGGACGGTCAGTATGTTAAGATTGGAAATGTAACCCTTTGTGCTTCTGATCCCAGATCTAGTTCTCTGCCCTAGAAGAGCAACTTAGTGTAGTGCCCTAGAGAAGCTGAGGACAATTTGGCATCCCTCTCAGCACTTCACATAGGGCTAAACACATAGAAGGCACTCAGATGACAGGTGTCCACTGCAGAGGGGCAAGAAGGGAGAGAGGGAGGCAGGTGAGTGGAGAGGAGGGCAACCAGGTGCCTAGTGAGTTTTCACTTCGTTTTACCCAAGGTGTAGTAATCTCCATCAGAGGCTTTCACGGGCCGCCACGCCGCGAGAAAGTTTTCAAAGTAGGCCGCCACGCGGACACTGGTCATGGGGATGCCAATGGACCAGAAGTACTCCTCCACCTCGCCCTTGCTGTCAAAGTGCGGCACCTCCAGCTTGCCATCCGTCAGTCGCTTGACGTTCTCCAGGCCGCTGTACACCACGTGCTTCAGACCCAGGTGCTTGGCGGAGTCTGCCACCAGCTTCCCCTGAAGATCAAAAGTAAATCCTCATATAGGCCGCTGTATTTGTATTTGCATTTGGACAGATGTTAAGAGCAGGATCTCTTCCATCTCCTCACCTCCCCTCTACCCCCTCTCCCCACTGCTTTTTTTTTTTTTTTAAGACAGAGTCTGGTGATTTCCGCTCATTGCAGCTTCCGCCTCCCGGATTCAAGTGATTCTCCTGGCTCAGACTCCCGAGTAGCCGGGGTTACAAGTGCGCACCACCACGCCCAGCTAGTTTTTTGTATTTTTTAGTAGAGATGGGGTTTCACCATACGGCCAGGCTGTTCTGAAACTCCTGATCTCAAGTCATCTGCCTACTTCGGACTCCAAAATTGTTGGGATTACAGGCCTGAGCCACGGCGCCGGGCCCACTCTCTCCTTTTCTTATTACCCCCATCCCTATGGAGAGGAAGCTCTACCAGCCTCAAAATATATTCAATTTACCTTACGAGAGGCCACCACAGCCGCATTGGTGAGCAGAGGCTCCACTCCAAAACCCCCAACTCCTCAGCCTGCTCCCAAAGGGGCTGTCAGCAGAACACCGGAGGTGGGGGAGTAGTAGAATAAGAAATTAGAGAGGTGGCAGAGGAGAAAGGAACCCCAGGTACCTGTTTGAAGCCAAGAAGCAACCTGGTGGGAACTGACCAGGAAGAGATGGCCTTTTTCTCTGGGCTCTCAGTGTCTTTGTGATCAACTGCAATCGCATTTATTTATTTTCTATAATTGTGTCTAGTAATGGAATATATCTACACACCATTTGGATATTGAGGGCATAATGGAGGCATATATACACACACACACAAACACACAGGTATATATATTCTCTTTTTTGTGTGTTTTTAGATCCAAATTTTCCAAAGCACTTTCATCTCTCTCTTCTTTTTTCCTTTCTTTTTGCTGTTAACTTCTTACTTTTCCTTAAAAAACCTTATGCGGCAGGCAGAGAAGACATAATTAACCTGGGTTAGCAGAGGCAGGAAGTGAAGCAGAGAGGTGACTTGTATCCCTACATTTCCTAGTAAGTAAATATCAGAAGTAGAATTCAAGTCTCCTAAAATAAGCCCTTCCAGAGTTTATCACTAAAACAGAGGCTGTGAATGGTATAATTAATTCAAGAGACATTCCTGGAACAGTTTGATCCTGCTCTCGATTTTTTGAATTGTGCCATTTCTTCAAGTGGCTAATACCATCCATTATATTTTTTTAAATCTAATCTTCATTTTTTCTCAAATGTATACATATACATAGTTTAAATTTTCAAATAGTACTGTCATGGGTTGGGAGGGAATGGATCTTATAATGAAAAAGAAATTCCCGGCCGGGCGAGGTGGCTCACGCCTGTAATCCCAGCACTTTGGGAGGCCGAGGCGGGCGGATCACGAGGTCAGGAGATGGAGACCATCCTGGCTAACACAGTGAAACCCCGTATCCACTAAAAATACAAAAATTTCTCCGGGCGTGGTGGCGGGCGCCTGTAGTCCCAGCTACTCCAGAGGCTGAGGCAGGAGAATGGCGTGAACCCAGGAGGCGGAGCTTGCAGTGAGCGGAGATTGTGCCACTGCACTCCAGCCTGGGCGACAGAGCGAGACTCCGTCTCAAAAAAAGAAAAAGAGATTCCCAAGAGGCTGAGGTGGGAGGATTACTTGAGGCTAGGGGATCAGGACCAGCATGGGCAACACAGTGAGACCCTGTCTCTAAAACATAAAAGAAAACAAATAAAATAAAATAAGTTCCCTGTGCCCCATGCTGATTACTGTTCTCCAGAAGTAACACTAATTTCATTTAGCTGTTTATTTTTGTAAACGTTTATACCACTAATTGTTGATTTTTTCAATTTGAAATATCATCTACTAAATTCCTACTATGAAAGATGAGGATTTAATGATTGTCTCTCACTCACTCGCTCTCTCTCCTCTCTTACTCACTCAGGTTGTCCACCACCACCACCACACATATACACAATTCCCTTGTTTCATTCTCCCAATCATTGTTTTTGGCTAGATCAATATTCAGTGCTTACACACAGCTGAAGCTGAGTTATGTGATATTCAATGGTTACATTTATTTTTTCTTTTTCTTTTTTATTTTATTTTATTTTTTTGAGATGGAGTTTCACTCTTGTTGCCCAGGCTGCAGTGCAATGGTACGATCGTGGCTCACTGCAACCTCCACCTCCCAGGTTCCACCGATTCTCCTGCCTCAGCCTCCCAAGTAGCTGGGATTACAGGCATGTACCACCATGCCCAGCCAATTTTGTATTTTTAGTAGAGATGGGGGTTTCACCATGTTGGTCAGGCTGGTCTCGAACTCCCGACCTCAGGTGATCCACCTGCCTCGGCCTCCAAAAGTGCTGGGATTACAGGCATGACCCACTGCACCCAGCCTACATTTACTTTTTCTACAAACTTTCATTTTCCCTGAATTTAATTCATTGTGGGTTTATTTGCTCTTTTATTTCTTTTTCTATGTACCCATCCCCAAATTATCTATCTGAAGTATAAATGAAGTGTAAATTACATCTTTATTCTCTCCATTTCACTCTCAAACTAGCCTCAAATTTGGGGGTACCCTTGCCACCACCCCCCCCATGCCATGTACAAACAAATGGTGAGAAGTGGAGAATCCAATGACTAGCTTCATTAAATGCTCACTCTGAATACTCAAGGTCTCGAGACCTAGACAGATGCTACATAACATTAATTTTACAAAGATACCTTTAACAAGTACTTAAAGTACATATTTTTTATAAATGCCAAAAGGGATGTAAGACATACATTTGCCCAGACTGAAGGCCTGTCCCCTTATAGGAAGGAAAGAAGCTGCTAGGGAGGGTAAGAGGAAAGGGCTCAAGAGGAAAAATGAAACAATTTGGTTTCTACCCGACACACTTCCTTATCTTGGTTGAGAGGGTCCCAGAAGTTGGTCACCAAGAAGGCCCCATAGACACCTTTTAAGGCACTGTCCACCGATGCTTTATCATTCAGGTCACCTTTGACCACCTCAGCTCCAAGGCGCTGGAGCTCCAGGGCATTTGGTCAAGTCACATCCCTGGTCACTGCTCTCACTGCAAATTTTTTGCTCTCCAAAATTGCCCTGGCCACAGAGCCACCTTGAGCTCCTGCAGGGTCAAGAGAAGAAGAAACACAGGAAGGATCAGGAAGAATGTTCACTGAAAGAAGGTCAGAAATCTCATAATTCAGAGTAGAGCTGCTGCAGTACCTACTGCAGGGGGTGCTACATGGCCCTTCACATATCCCCATGGCTTTCAAACTAAGTTCTTTGTGGCCTCTTCAGAGGCATTTTTGCAGAGGACATGGGAAGAGAAGAGTGGGAGAGGCTCGAGGCAACAAGAAGGGCAAGTGAGCAGGGTGTCAAAATGAGGGATGCCCACAGGTTCTCCAGATTCCATAAGGGCGATTATTCTTCTTTTACCTGGTTATAGATCTTATATTGGGGTTATTAAGACAATTCTTCAAAAGAGGTTCCTGTGCTCTCTGTCTCTCTATGTACATATATACATACATATTTATATTTATTTTTATATATTTATATATGTGTGTGTGTGTGTGTGTGTGTGTGTGTGTGTGTTTGAGATGGAGTTTTGCTCTTGCGGCCTAGGCTGGAGTGCAATGGTGCAATCTCAGCTCACTACAACCTCTGCCTCCTGGGTTCAAGCAATTCTCCACCTCAGTCTGTGAGTAGCTGGGATTACAGGCATGCACCCAGCTGATTTTGTATTTTTAGTAGATACAGAGTTTCGCCATGTTGGTCAGGCTGGTCTCGAACTCCTGACCTCAAGTGATCCACCTGCCTTGGCATCCCAAAGTGCTGGGATTACAGGCATGAGCCACTGCACCTGGCCCTGGTCTATATTTTTTTAGAAATTTAAAAACTTGTAAAAAGTTTGTTTTTTTTTTTTGAGACGGAGTCTCGCTCTGTTGCCCAGGCTGGAGTGCAGTGGTGCGATCTTGGCTCACTGCAAGCTCCGCCTCCCGAGTTACACCATTCTCCTGCCTCAGCCTCCTGAGTAGCTGGGACTACAGGCGCCCGCCACCATGCCCGGCTAATTTTTTATATTTTTAGTAGAGACGGGGCTTCACCGTGTTAGCCAGGATGGTCTCGATCTCCTGACCTCGTGATCTACCCGCCTCGGCCTCCCAAAGTGCTGGGATTATAGGCGTGAGCCACCGCGCCAGGCAAAAAAAAAAAATTGTAAAAATTTTTTACCACATTCAAGACCAATTACGATATGATCATTACTTGCCTAATGTATTCACCCTGCAAATATTTATGGACTATCCTGTGATATAGGCCAGGTGCTATGCTGGGTTGCTAACATTTGTGTTGCTCCATCAAATTGGCTGGATACCTGTCCTGGATACTTTTTTGTGTTTCCAGCTCCATATTCACTTTCTCTCTTCTACTTAGTGCACTCAACAGCTGATCCTTATGGATTCCATCAATGGGCTCTCGTGCCCTCAAGTTGGTTCTGGGCAATGAGAGACCCAAGGGCAAGAGAGATGATCCCCTTAACATCGCTACTGTCCCCAAGCTCTGGTCATCTCTCTTGCCCTTTTCTCCTTCCTCTTGTTGCTTACTTATTCCTTATTGGTCTCTTCCTTGTCCACCGTTATTAAATTTTTCTCAGCTTCTCTGAAGGAGTGTGGCACCTGTTTCTTGTGGGACTCCAGCTAATACACCACTGATAACCCTATAGGAAGGTCAGGGGTTATTCAGTGAGCTCTGTCTTTGCACACAGAGTTTCATAGTAAATTGTCTACTAGTAAATATGAACACACAGCCAAAGTTCACCAGATGTTTGAGGTAAGCCTCCAACATGAAAGGCAAAACCAAAATAAACAAACTGATGGAAACAGAAACAGTCCAGAGAACTGAAGAAAAAAATTAAAAAGAATTAA
Organism: Homo sapiens; assembly: GCF_000001405.40. NCBI lineage: Eukaryota > Metazoa > Chordata > Mammalia > Primates > Hominidae > Homo > Homo sapiens. The sequence goes on along the minus strand of NC_000003.12, from coordinate 185,966,677 downwards.
TATCCTCTAGGGCCAGGCACGGTGGCTCAATCCTGTAATCCCAGCACTTTGGGAGGTGGAGGTGGGCAGATCACTTGAGGTCAGAGTTCAAGATCAGTCTTACCAACATGGTAAAACCCCTTCTCGACTAAAAATACAAAAATTAGCCGGGTGTGGTGGCAGGTGCCTATAATCCCAGCTACTTGGGAGGCTGAGGCAGGAGAAGCATTTGAACCCAGGAGACAGAGGTTGCAGTGAGCCAAGATCTCGCCACTGCGCTCCAGCCTGGGTGACAGAGTAAGACTCCAAATTAATATCCTCTGAGATTAGAAAAGGTTTTGCATTCCAAACACTATATCAGCCCAAAAAGAGGAGAAGAAGAGACAGGAGAAAGAGAGCAAGCATTCAAAAGATAAGCAGCTGCTCTCAAAAATTTATTATAGCAGAAATAAAATGTCAGTAGAAAAAGTTGGAGAACTCTCCCAGAATTAGAAGGGGAAAAATAAAGCAAGTAAAATAAGAGAGAGAAAAATAATTAGAAGATCAAGCCAGGGGAATTATAGAATGAGAAATAGATGGAGGTATTGAAATTATCTAAGAAAATAGTAATTTCTTGGAGTCCAAGGATATTAACTGAGCTTCCAGATTGAGAGGTCACTGAGTGCCCCATACAATGATAAATGAACTCCCACTTTATGCGCATCACTGTGAAATTGCAGAACACTGACTGCTGGTGTGGATATTTGTCCCCTCCAAACATCATGCTGAAATGTGATTCCCAATATTGAAGCCTAATTGGAGGTGTTTGGGTCATGGGAGCAGATCCCTCATGAATAGATTAATGCCCTCCCTCAGAGGTGAGTTCTCATCTATTAGTTCCTGTGAGAGCTGGTTGTTAAAATGAGCCTGGCACCTCCACCCTCCCTCTTGCTTCCTCTCTCTCCATGTGATCTCTGCACATGCCAGCTCCCCTTTACCTTCCACCGTGAGTGGAAGCAGCCTGAGGCCCTCATCAGATGCAGATGCACAATCTTGAACTTCCCAGCCACGAGAATCATTAATCAAATAAACCTTTTTTTCTTTATAAATTAGAGAAAGTAAAACAAAACCCTTTTTCATCCCTCCTAGGATGGCCATTATATGGAACCATTCACAATTAAAAAGCAGGTGGGTTGAATATTTTACTCTGACTTTATAAAATAAAAATCTAAACAAACTGAAGTACTTTCTATTTGAGTATAATTTGTGCTTTTTGCAGGGGGTTGGGGGGTGCTGGAGTAGGTAGGGTGGGTCATGGTCCTTGAAAAGGATTTTTATAGGGAGGTTTCTGTTATTGTCCTGGGACCATGTTTTTGAATGACTTTTACATGCTGTGCTATGCCCTGGGGATGTAGTGGTAAACAATAGCAGGTTTGAACAAGTTGGATATAAGATAAAATTTATGAAAGACATTATATATTGGATTATGGCCTAATGAGTTCAAGGATTTACCCCAGATTATACAGCTGCTTAAGTAAGGATTTCAGGATTCAAACCTGAACATGGCACCTGCCAGCACAGAGCTTAAAGACTAGCAGAGGAGATCATTAAAGAGCAATTATAATACAGCGTGATATGTGCTATTAGGGGAGGAGGTAAAGGGCTGAGGGCACACAGGAGGACATAAGTGGAGCATCTAACCCAGACTAGAGAGAGGCTTCCTGAAGGAAGTGGTAACAGAAATGAGCCCTAAAGAACAGGCAAGAATTGGGAGAAGAGAGGCATGTGGAGTGTGTTGCATGCAAAGCAATTGCAAGTGCTTTATTCTAGAGGTGACAGAGAAGGGAGTGAATTCAGAGAACTGAAATGAATCTGACTGAGAACTGCAGGTCAATGTCACACATGAGGCTGGAGAAGCAAAATAGGCCTAGAGGGCTGCACTTTGTTCTGGGAGCAGGAGATTTTATGAAATTGAGCAGTATGTTCAGACTTACATGCTGGGAAAGTGCTCTGGTTAATGGAGAGTGTGGAATAGGATAGAGAGACCACAGACAAGGGTACAATTAGTGGGCTTTAAAATAATCTAGGTAAAGGTTGATAATGACCTGTGCTAGAAGGGGTTATTCAGGTGGAGGGAATAATGCAAATTTAAGAGATACTCAGAATATTAAAGGATACATTTTTAAAGAGTAAAATGATAATTTGTACACACATAAAATGAATGTGTCAAAATTTTATTTAACTCATTAATTAATGAGGGAACCAGTACAATGTTATAAGAAAAATTCAAAGAACACACATATATGTAGGCAATCAAGAATGCCAAAATGCTAAAATGAATGTACAATTAGGGACAAAACCAGTCAATATCCACCAGGCAATAATCAATTGTGGTCCACCAGACACAATTCATTTGTATTTCTTTTTTTTTTTTTTTTTTGAGACAGAGTCTTGCTCTGTTGCCCAGACTGGAGTGCAGTGGCGTGATCTCAGCTCACTGCAACTGCTGCCTCCTGGGTTCAAGCGATTCTCCTGCCTCAGCCTCCTGAGTAACTGGGACTACAGGTGCCTGCCACCATGACTGGCTAATTTTTGTATTTTCAGTAGAGACGGGGTTTTACCATATTGGCCAGGCTGGTCCCAAACTCCTGACCTCATGATCAGCCCACCTCGGCCTCCCAAAGTGCTGGGATTACAGGCATGAGCCACCACACCCGGCCTTCATTTGCATTTCTATGGACAAGAATCGGTTGCGTTATTATCTATTTGCTACAACTTATAGAGTTATAGATATCTTAAAAACAAGGAAAGGCTCACAAAAGTGAGAACGGTGCCCTGGGCATGGACACCCAGCAACCTTTTTTTCCCATTTCAAAGTCTTTCACAGTTTTCCTTTTTTTTTTTTTTTTTTTTGAGACGGAGTCTCGCTCTGTCACCCAGGCTGGAGTACAGTGGCGCGATCTCGGCTCACTGCAAGCTCCACCTCCCGGGTTCACGCCATTCTCCTGCCTCAGCCTCCCGAGTAGCTGGCACTACAGGCGACAGCCGCTACGCCCGGCTAATTTTTTTTTTTTTTTTGTATTTTTAGTAGAGACCGGGTTTCACGGTGGTCTCGATCTCCTGACCTCATGATCCGCCGGCCTCGGCCTCCCAAAGTGCTGGGATTACAGGCGTGAGCCACTGCGCCGGGCCTTCACAGTTTTCCTTGACAAGATGATATCAACAGGATTTTGGTGATTAACTGGATGTGGTGATGATGAACAGGGAGGATTGAGAGAGAAAAGTCAAGTGTGACCATTTATTCAAAGAGGTTGAGGGGGCATTTAGCAAGATGTTGATGTTGGAACAGAAGGGTACCGTGAGAAGGTTTTGTAGGCAAGGGAGTCTGAGATGTGGGGTCAAGGAAAGGATGCGTGGCGAAATATAGGGTTGAGACTAATAACCAGAGGGGCTTACATCTTGAGCAGTAATGAAGGAGAATGGGAATGTGATACAAGGTGGTATTAGCTGTCTACAAGGTTTGAAAAATTAATCAGATTTGAAAGATGGTTCTGTTTAAAGGTGGAACATGGAGAGAAGGCAAATGGAGTGTGGAAAAAGCTTCTAAGAGGGAGAATGGAAAAAATCAGAGAGATTTAGAAGACAGAATTAATAGAGTGACTGGCCACTCCCAAAAATCTTATCCAACTGCCTACCCAGTCTCTGGATGCCTAGTTGGCAACTCAAGTTTAATGAGACCAATTCAAGTTTAAGGAGTTCCTGACCTCCTCCTCCCCACTGTCTCCCATATTTCAGTGAATCTCAACTTTATTCTTCCAGTTACTCAAGCCATAAAACTTCAGAGTCATTTTCAACTCTTCCCTTCTTACCCCTGATATCTGGTCCACCAACAAATCCTGCCAACACAACTTTTAAAACCTCCACAGAATCTGACCACTCTCCACAATCTCATTGCTACCACCCTGGTCTAAGCTACTATCATCTCGCCTATTTTATGACAACCACCTCCTAACAGGTCTTCCTGCTTCAGCCCTTATCCCCTATAGTCCCTTCACAAAGCATAAGCTAAAATGATCCTTTTAACACCAAAGTCATGTGATTCCTCTGCTCAAAATCCTTCAGTGTCTGGTATGCTGTTGCAATCCTGCAGTCCCAGCTACTTGGGAGGCTGAGGTGGGAAGATCACTTGAGCCCAGGAGTTTGAGGCTGTGTACTATGATGGCTCCTGGGATGGAGAGTCACTACCCTCCAGCCCAGGCAACACAGTGAGACCCTGTAGCTAAACACAAACACACTGAAAAAACCAAACCCTTCGATCACTTTTCTCTTTCAGGAAAAGCCAACATCTTTACCATCACCCTAACGCTTAATAGAGTCATCCCCCGCTCCATTGCCTCTTCTTCTCCTTTTAATATCATACTTGACTGTTGATTTTTGAGAATTTATTTCACTCTGCTTCCTGCTTTAGCCCTTGACTTCCTCCAGACAAATTCCTGTTCTCATAGAGCTTATATTCTAGTGTGGAAAGACAGGCAGAAATAGAAGAATTGAAGTAAGGAAGGGAGCCAGACATGGGCAGGGTGGAAGCAGAGTTGCAATTTCAAATATAGAGGTCTGGAAAGTCCCCATGGAAAAGGTAACATCTAAGCAGAGACCTGAATGGCATGAGGGGGAAAGCAGTGGGTAACTGTGTTAGTTCTTTCTCACACTGCTGTGAAGAAATACCCAACACTGGGTAATTTATAAAGAAAAGAGGTTTAATTGACTCACAGTTTCACATGGCTAGGGAGGTCTCAGGAAACTTACAATCATGGCGGGAGACACCACTTCACAGGGTGGCAGCAGAGAAAATGAGGGCCCAGTGAAGGGGGAAGCCGCTTGTAAAACCACCAGATCTCATGAGAACGAACTCACTATTGATACGAACAGGAGACAGGGAAATACTGGGTAGAAGAGGGTGGTTCCTGGCAAAGGCCCCACCCTTAAGCCTGGATACCTGCTGCCCTAAGTAATAGGCATTCCTGTTTTTGCACCCCAAAAGTTGCCTTCTGGCCTGCCACCACCCCTATCCTGTATCCATATAAGCCCCAAACCCCAGGCTCCAGAAGCAGACTAGGAGACAAGGAGACAAACAGATGGCAGAATGGTGCAGCAGAGGAGAGAAGAGAAGGAACGTCAGGAGGAGTTTGGCTGAGGATGTTCGGAGAATCAGCCACTGGACAGCCAAACTCCAGGGCAAGATCATATTTCTACTCCATCCCCTGTCTAGCTCCCCAACCATCCCACTGAGAGCCACTTCCACCACTCAATAAAACCCCTGCATTCATCCTTCAAGTCCATGTGTGACCTGATTCTTCTGGGATGCTGGATGAGGGCTTGGGATACAGAAAGTTGTCACACTAGCCCCCTCCTTTTGCAAAAAGGCAGAGGGTTCACTGAGCTGGTTAACCCTTAAGCCATCTGTGGATGGCAAGGCTAAAAGAGTGCACTGTAACACATGCACACTTGGGCTTTGAAAGTTACAGACACCCACCCCTAGATGCTGCCATAGGGCTGGAGCCCAAAAGCACTTGCCCCAGTTCCTGCACCTACCGGTATGCATGCTCCCCATCTCTTAAAGAGTTTGAGCTTGCAGTGGCAGAACAGAGAGCCACACCCCTGTGGCACACCCTGTGGTGGGGGACCAGGACCAGGGAACTCTCTCTTTTCACTATCATGAGAACAGGCTGGGGGAACCGCCCCCAGCATTCATTTATCTCCACCTGGTCACTCGTATGACATGTAGGGATTGTGGGAACTACAATTCAAGATGAGATTTGGGTGGGGACACAGTCAAATTATATCAGTAACAGAGGGAGATCATTCTAGGTTGAAGAAGCAGCCAATACAAAGGCCAGAGCCTTTGTATTTGTGGGATTGTTTTGGAGGAACAGCAAGAAAGCCAGGGTAATGAAGCGGAGTGAGAGGAGGGTGGCAGGAAGAGAGTTCTGACACAACATTTCCAAGGCCCTGTTGCAGGGCATTAGCAGGACTTTGCACTTTACTGGGAGTGCCATGGGGCTGGGATCTTTTAGAGGGTTTTGAGCAGAGGCCTGACATGATCTGACAGTTTCAAATGGATCCTTGGGAGGCTGAAATGAGAATAGATTGAAGGAGAAAAACCTGATTTGATTTATATTGTGCAAAGATGGCTCTGACTGTTGAGGAACAAACTGTAAGGGAGCCAGGAATGCAAACTTCCCACACACTCCATCCTTGCAGACTCCCTGGAAGATTGGTCAGGCATTGGATATTCACTACAAACCCCCAGGCCCCTCACACTTGTACCTTTTGCTTATTAGGAAGTGAGTGGAGAGAAGACTTCAGAGTATAGCTTATGTTGAAATGAGACTTATACCAACCAGTTAGCCCCATGACTGGGAAAGGGAGATTACGTCAGTGTCCTTGTCCTGCTGAGATCAAGTTACAAATCAAATCATGCCACCCCTTTACCACATCAAGAACTAAAGCAATAGGATACTTTAAAAAATTTCTTCCAAAGAGCTCTTTGTTCAGCCCACACTTGCAGGCTCTAAAGTTACAAACAGGAAGACAGGAGAGTGAGCAAAGTCAGCATGCCCTAAAAATTAAAGACTTTTTACCTGTTGCTCCAAACACTGTAATTACTTTCTTGCTGGCCATGTTATCAGGAAAAGAGAGAGTCAGTGGAGTAACAGAACTTTCCCTGGAGCAGCGACACCAGCCGAAATGCTGTGTTTCTTCTCTGGTGAGAATTATAAACCCATTCCAATTACCACGCCTTTTATTGTGCCCCTCCTTGTTCCTGTTACCACTAGTCCACTTACTCACTGTGACACTGCAATTTTCAATTTTCTTTTTTTCTTTTTCTTTTCTTCTTCTTTTTTTTTTTTTTTTTTTTTTTGAGATGGAGTTTTGTTCTTGTTACCCAGGCTTGAGTGCAATGTCACAGTCACAGCTCACTGCAATCTCCACCCACTGGGTTCAAAGGATTCTCCTGCCTCAGCCTTCCAAGTAGCTGGGATTACAGGCACGTGCCACTATGCCTGGCTAATTTTTTTTTTTTTTTTTTTTTTTTGTATTTTTAGTAGAGACGAGGGGATTTCACCATGTTGGCCAGGCTGGTCTCGAACTCCTGACCTCAGGTGGTCCGCCCACCTTGGCCTCCCAAAATGCTGGGATTACAGGCATGAGCCACTGCACTCAGCCAACACTGCTGTTTTCTTTCTTTCTTTCTTTCTTTCTTTCTTTTTAATGGAGTTTCACTCTTGTTGCCCAAACTGGAGTGCAGTGGCGCAATCTCAACTCACCGCAACCTCTGCCTCCCGGGTTCAAGCAATTCTCCTGCCTCAGCCTCCCAAGTAGCTGGGATTACAGGCATGCACTATCACACCCAGCTAATTTTGTATTTTTAGTAGAAGTGGGGTTTCACCATGTTGTTCAGGCTGGTCTCGAACTCCCAACCTCAGGTGATCCACCCACCTCGGCCTCCCAAAGTGCTGGGATTACAGGCATGAACCACTGCACCTGGGCTGACACTGCAATTTTCTAAATGAAGACTGATTCACTCACATATTTATTTGTTCAGCAAATGTGCATTGAGTGCCTTTGGTATACAAGGCATTGAACTAGATGTCCTGGTGATGTGGCTCTTGTAAGGGGGCTAAGCTCATAAATAAATAAAACTGTAGTACAGGGCAATGGCAAAGGAAACTCAAGGGACCTAAGTCATGGAGGAGAAGCACAAAACCCAGAATTAGGGAAGGTTTTCTCAGAGGAGATAATGCTGCAGTTGGCCTGAAGACCCAACATGAGTCATTTATTCAGGGAGTGTAGGGAGAGAAACCATCGCAGGCAGGAAAAACTTCACACAGCCAAGCCCAAAGGCAGGGCAATGATCCCACAGGGTCATGATGGCTGCAGCAATGCTATGTGAGCAGCAGGAAATAAGACGGAAGGAGAGCAAAGGCCCAGAACACAAAGGGCATGCTAGGCATGGTGAGGAGCTTGGCTTATCCCAACAGCCACAGCAGTATTATGAGATCTTCTGGCAGCAGAGTAGTGGCTGGGTTGAAATAAGACAATGCTGGAAGCAGGGACAGTCCTAAGCTTATCCTGAAGAAATGACATAGGTGAGAAACACTAAAGGCTTGAACAGAGGCAGCGTCAGGAGTTGTATTGTGTCCTCCCTCCACCAACAAAATCCATGGTGAAGTCCTCATCCCCAGTACCTCAGAATGTGACCTCATTTGGAGATAGGGTTCTTTTTTTTTTTTTTTTTTTGAGACAGAGTCTTGCTCTGTTGCCCAGGCTGGAGTGCAGTGGTGCAATTTTGGCTCACTGCAACCTCTGCCTCCCAGGTTCAAGTGATTCTCCTGCTTCAGCCTCCCAAGCAGCTGGGCATACAGGTGTGCACCACCACACCTGGCTAATTTTTTGCATTTTTGATAGAGACAGGGTTTCACCATGTTGGCCAGGCTGGTCTTGAACTCCTGCCCTCAAGTTATCCGCCCGCCTCGGCCTCCCAAACTGCTGGGATTACAGGCGTGAGCCACCATGCCTGGCCTGGAGATAGGATCTTTACAAAGCTAATCAAGGTAAAATGAAATAATTAGGGTGGGTCCCAATCCAATATGACTGGTATCCTTGGTAAAAGGGGAAATTGAGACACAGATAGGTACTGGGGAAAGGCAATGTGAAGATACAGGGAGAACACCTATGATCATGAAGCTGGCTATCTACCAGCCAAGGAGAAAGGGCTGAAGCAGAGCCTTCCTTCGTAGCCCCCAGAAGGAACCAACCCCGCCAACACCTCGACTTCCAACCAACAAGAGACAATGGGACAATACGTTTCTGTTACTTACGCCACTAACTTGGCGGTACTTTGTTATGGCAGCCATAGCAAATTATTACAGGTGGTGACAATGGGAGTAAAGTGAAAGAAATTTAAGAGGTAAACTGAGAAGGTCTTCATGATTGATTGGATGTGGAGAAAGGGAAAGTAAGGAAGAAAAAGGGCTAAAAAAATGACTCTGCCAACTGGATGGGGAATGGTGAGCAGGAGCAGGGGTCACGGGGAATGACTTCAGAGTTGGACTGGTTGGAATTGAAACTACATCTTGGGAGGTGAGGAGGTGAAGAATACAAGTGCAGATGCCTCCTTTGAAGAGCCCTGCCATGAAGGAAGGACAAGTGAACTGTGGTTACAAGATAAAGTGGAATTTTTTTTTGAGACGGAGTCTTGCTCTGTTGCCCGGGCTGGAGTGCAGTGGCATGATCTCAGCTCACTGCAACCCTGCCCCCTGGGTTCAAGTGATTCTCCCACCTCAACCTCCCGAGTAGCTAGGACTACAGGCATGCACCACCATTCCCAGCTAATTTTTGTATTTTTTGTAGAGACGGGGTTTTGCCACGTTGCCCAGGCTGGTCTCAAACTTCTGAGATCAAGTGATCCTCCTGCCTCAGCCTCCCGAAGTGCTGGGATTACAAATGTGAGCCACCAGGCCTGGCCCTGTAATTATTTTAATAGGAAAGATATGAACATGTTTCTGAATTCTGCCTCCACGCCCTTCAGCTTTCTCAGGAACCTAACTCCACCAATCATATATTCATAATAGCATATGAATGGAATTGAAAATAGCAGTTGAGGCCAGGCGCGGTGGTTCACGCCTTTAATCCCAGCACTTTGGGAGTCCGAGGCGGGCGGATCACAAGGTCAGGAGATTGAGACCATCCTGGCTAACACGGTGAAACCCTGTCTCTACCAAAAATAAAAAGAAATTAACCGTGCATGGTGGCGGACGCCTGTAGTCCCAGCTACTCGGGAGGCTGAGGCAGGAGAATGACATGAACCCAGGAGGTGGAGCTGGCAGTGAGCCCAGATCGCGCCACTGCACTCCAGCCTGGGTGACAGAGCGAGACTCCGTCTCAAAAAAAAAAAAAAGAAAATAGCAGTTGAAATAGAATGGCATATGAATGGACTATAATAGCATATGGATGGAAACTGAAAATAGCGGTTACCTAAATGATACCTCAGCTTTGTTGCCAAACAGAAATGAATACAGACCCAAAACAGGGGCAAATCATGGATCTACAGCCCCTCTGCCCTTTACCTGTCCCTCTACTCTTTCATTTACATCTCCTGCTCCTGCCCGATTATTCTCCCAAGAGGAAGCAATTCTAAGTTCCCTCCTCCACAATTGTAAACCGCAATGAAACTGAGAGGTAAATTCTGGAGTTGTAAAGATTAAAAGAGTTGGTTATACACAAGTGTTCATTTCTTGAGGGCAAAGTTGCAGTGGCTGGCCTGGACAAGCTACATCCAGAGGGCCCAGGTAAGTGGGAAACTGTATGTTCTCATTTCCAAGATGAAGATACTAATGGAATAAAGCGAGATATGTCACAAGAAAGATATATAGTGCCTCTGCTACCCTAAACTACAAGTCCCACACTAACCATACAGGGAATTTTCAGTCCCATTCAAAGCAGAGGCGCAAAAGAGACAAAGATTTACATCCAAGGTAGTTTATCCACAGCATTATTTGTATTGACAAGAACTGCAGATAAGCTAAATATCAACCATTAGGGGGTTAGTTAAATAAATTGTGGTAGAGCCATAAGACAGAATGATAGAGATCTCCATTAAAAATTACATTTTGCAGGAATTTTTATAAAGTGAGAAATGCTCACAATGCAAAGTCATACAGAATCAATGACATAGGAGTTAAAAAGAAATTACTTAGGCAGATAGTGAGGATAAGGAAGTCCTTAGTAATGTTTTCCCTTTAATGAAAAGCAGCCCCAACATCATTTTCTTCTCTAACAAAGAGCAGCCTGTAAAATCAAGCTGCAGACATAGACAAGCAAGCTGGAAACTTGCACAGGTGAATGTCGCCAGTCGTGCCAATAGGAAAAGGCTACCTGGGACTACGCATGATCAAAATGGCAGATCCATCTTCCCTTCTCTTTGCCAGCCATGCATACAGCAAGGAGCAGACAAGATGGCACTGGCCAAGTGGAAAGCCCATTTGCATAATAAGATTAGGGTGGGATGACCAGCCTTCCCCACAAGCTAGGTAAATGTCACACCTGGTCAAACCAATCTGTGGGCCCTACATAAATCATACATTGCCTCCTCAAGCCTACCTGTAAAATCTGCTATGGTCCACCGCAGGCCAGCTTTTCCCTTTCAGACGCCCCTCTGTCTGGTAAGAGAGAGGAAACTGCTCTCCTTTCTCTTTTTTTTGCCTATTAAACCTCTACTCCTAAACTGACTCCTTGCGTGTGTCCATGTCTTTAATCTTGGTGCGAGACAACAAATCCCAGCTATTTACCCCAGACAATGAAGCCGCTACATCAGCAGTATAGAGAACTTCATATATAATGTGATTCAAGGATGTAAAGGAAAAAAAATCTGTACATGCACACACACACACATGAACATGTACACACATACATATTACCTAAGAGTAATCGAGTGGTTTTATGCAATACATTGGTGGTACAGCCAAAGGACTGGGTGGCATGACATGACATGACTGTTGTCACATCTTGATTACAGCATGATATGATGAGCTGCACATCTTAAAGGCTGACTGAAAAAAAAAAAAATCAAAAGTCTACAAGGACATGACCACACTACTTATGGTAGCCAAAAGTTGGAAGCAACCCAAACGTCCAATTCTAAGGATTAGAAGGGTAAAGTGTGGCATAGTCAAACAATGACATACCATACAGCAAAAAGAATAAATTAACTTTAGCAACACGCAACAACCTGGAAGAATCTCACAAATATAATGTTGAGCAAAAAAAAGTAAAGGAGTGTATAGCACATGATTCAATTTCTATAAAACTCAACCACAGGAAAAACTAATCCACAGCGTAGACATCAGAATAATGGATACTTTGATGGAAAGTTACTGAAAGACGCTTAATGGGAACTTCAGAAGGACTAGTAATGTTCTATTTCTTAATCTGGGTATTGACTGCATGAGTGCATTCATTTTGTAAAAATTTATTCAGCTTTACAGTTAAGATGTATGTAATTTTCTATATGTATCTTCAACTTCAGTAAAAAGTTTATTTTTGAAATAATCTGTAAGGAAAAATGAGACGTATAAGTGACTCAACAAGAAAAGCTAAAATGAGCAAGCACCAGTCTATAAACATTTACACTGCGAGCAAGAAGCTGTGGCTTTTTACCTAGGCTAATCTCTACCAGGACAAACCCACTAAACTTACAAACCATTAAAAAAAAAAAGCACTGTGCTCGCAGAGCATCATCAATGATGCCCTTTTTTTTTTTTTTTCCTTTTTTAAGTTTGACAGTTTGTTGAGCTGAGGTCAAGGTGTTTATTTAGGGTCCCTTTGATGAAAGAAGTCTGCTTTTGGGCCGGGCGCCGTGGCTCACGCCTGTAATCCCAGCACTTTGGGAGGCCGAGGCAGGCGGATCACGAGGTCAGGAGATCAAGACCATCCTGGCTAAGACAGTGAAACCCCATCTCTACTAAAAATACAAAAAATTAGCCGGGCGTGGTGGCGGGCGCCTGTAGTCCCAGCTACTCGGGAGGCTGAGGCAGGAGAATGGCGTGAACCCGGGAGGCGGAGCTTGCAGTGAGCCGAGATCGCGCCACTGTACTCCAGCCTGGGCGACAGAGCGAAACTCCGTCTCAAAAAAAAAAAAAAAAAAAAAGTCTGCTTTTGGGGTCTGTCCAATGAAGAAAATGAGCAGGATTCTCGACTCCTAACATTCAGCTGTATAATCGTTTGCCTACGTTTATCTCTTACTTCCAAGTATAATTAGCTCAGCCCAGCTTACTCTGAACTGGAAGGCTGTATATCATAAAGATTAAAGCTTCTGAGCATGACAGTCCTGGGTTTAATGTTTAACACCAAGTTCTGCCACCTACAGGCTGTGACCTTGGGCAAGTTTTACTATTCCTCCCAGCTTCAATGTCCTCATCTATGTAAAATGGGTGTAATAATGGTATTTACCTCATATAGTTGTAGTGAGGATTCAATAAAATTAAACCACTTAATCTATGTGACACATTCAAAAGAAATTAACTGCTGTTATTTCTCAACACATTTTTTTCACTATCAGCCTAGTTTGCTACCCCAACCAGCCTCTCACACTTTATCTTCTCCCACCTCCTGCCTAAAATGGTAGTGCTCAAAAAACAACAATTCATTTATAAAGAGAAATAAGGCCAGACGTGGTGGCTGTCACCCGTAACCCCAGCACTTTGGGAGGCTGAGGCGGGCAGATTGCTTGAGCCCAGGAGTTCGAGACCGTCCTGGGCAATATGATGCAATCCTATCTCTACAAAAAAATGCAGAAAAATTAGCCAGGTATGGTGGCTTGCACCTATAGTCCCAGGGAAGTGGGAGAGTTCCCTGATTTCCCCTTGCAGGATGTGCGACAGGGATGCAACTTGCCTGTTCCGTCACCTTGCAGCTCAAATCCCTAGGGGGAGCATGCAAACAGGCAGGTGCAGAGGCCAGGGCAAGTGCTTTGGGCTCTCAGCCCTGCAGTAGTGTCTAGGGGTGGGTGCCTGCAACTCCAGTGTTACCAAGTTCTTTCAGCTTTGCTGTCTGCAGACGGCTTGAGTGTTAATCAGCTCTTAACACAAGGGCAGAGGGCCAGTGTAACAGACTTCCATATCCCGAGCTCTTGCCCAGTGTTCCAGAAAAATCGAATCACACACAGGCTCCAAGGATGAGTGCAAGGTTTTGTTTGTTTGTGTGTGTGTTTGTTTGAGGTGGAATCTCACTCTGTCACCCAGGCTGGAGTGCAGTGGCGCAATCTCGGCTCACCGCAACCTCCGCCACCCGGGTTCAAGTGATTCTCCTGCCTCAGCCTCCCAAGTAGCTGAGATTACAGGTGCCTGCCACCAAGCCAGGCTAATTTTTGTATTTTTAGTAGAGACGGGGTTTCACCATATTGGCCAAGCTGGTCTCAAACTCCTGATCTCAGGTGATCTGCCCACCTCGGCCTCCCAAAGTCCTGGGATTACTGGCATGTGTCACTGTGCCCAGCTGCGTGCAAGGTTTAATTGAGTGGTGGAGGTGGCTCTCAGCAAGATGAGTGGGGAGCTGAAAGGGGGGATGGAGTGGGAAAGTGATCTTCCCAGCAGCTGGCCTCTTCCAGCAGCTGGCTTCTTCTCCAACGGCCCCTGGCCAAACTCCCCTCGGCATCCAGATGTCCCGCCTCTTCTCCCTTTCTCTGCCTGGTTGTTCTGCTGTTGCTGGTCTGCTGGTCTGCTGCTCTGCTGCTCTGCCGGTCTCCTCTGGAGCCTGAGGTTTGGGGTTTCTATTGGGGCAGGATAGGGGACCTGGCAGGCTAAAAGGCAAATTCTGGGACACAAAAACAGAAATGCCTGTTCTCATTTAGGGCTGCAGGTATCCAGGCTTGAGGATAGGGCCTTTGCCAGGGAGCCGCCCTCTTCTACCCAGTATTTCCTTGTCTCCTGCCCATATCACCAGCTACTTGGGAGGATAGGTGGGAGGAATGCTTGTGCCTGGGAGGCTGAGGTTGCAGTGAGCCGTGATCATGCACTGTACTCAGCCTGGGCAACAGTGCAAGACCTTGTCTCAAAAAAAAAAAAAAAATCACAATTCTAAATAAAGACAAGCTCCAAGAGGGCCACAACCTATGCATCCATCAGTGGATGAATAGATTTTTTTTAATGTGGTATATATACACAACGGAATACTAATCAGCCATAAAAAATAATAAAATCATGTCATTTGCAGCAACATGAATGGAACTGGAGATCCAGTTCCTTATATTAAGTGAAATAAGCAGGCATAGAAAGACATGCCTGGGAGGCGGAGGTTGGAGTGAGCTGAGATCACGCCACTATACTCCAGTCTAGGTGAAAGAGTGAGACCGTGTTTAAAAAAAAAAAGTTATTCTCATTCTCATGAAGGTAGAGAGTAGTGGTTATCAGAGGTGAGGAAGAGATGAGGGGGCTGAAGACAAGTTGGTTAAGGGATAACAAAATATAGTTAGATAAAAGGAGTAAGTTCTAGTATTCGATACAGTACAGTAGGAAAATTATAGTTAATAATAATTTATTGTATATTTCAAAATAACTAGAAGAGATGTGAAATGTTCCCAGCACAAAGGAAAGATAAATGATTGAGGTGATGGCTATCCCAATTGCCCTAATTTGATCATTACATATTGTATGCAATTATCAAAATACCATATGATCCCCAAAATATGTACAACTATTATATATCAATAAAAAAAGAAAAAGAAAATCAAAATTTTACATTTTTTGAGGAACTCAATAAACATCTCTACAATTTATTTAAAAGAATAAAGTTTCATAAATAACTAAGTCAATCTTTTAAAAAATATAAAGAAAGTGTATTGGCGTTAAGACAGAAAAACAGTACCCTCCCTATATGGGAGATATATATTAAGAGAATTATTCCAAGAAATTGGCTCACAGAATTTGTGTGGGTTTCCCCCAACAAGTCTGAAATCCATACAGCAGGGTATCAGGACAGGCAGGCTGGGATTCTCAGGGACAGGACTCTGCAGTCCACAGGACTAATTTTTTCTTCCTTAGGGAAGCCCCACCTCTGCTCTTTAGATCTTTAAACTGATTGAATTAGGCACACCCAGTTTATCTAGGACAAGTTCCCTCACTTAAATTTAACAGAGTAATGGATTTTAATCACATCTACAAAATACCTTCCTGGCAACACCTAGATTCATTTTCATTGAACAACTAACCAAACTGACGCATCAAAAAGATAATTGCAAAGGGAGGCTCGTCTTACCAGTTTTAATGACACGCCCATAAAGCCTTAGTAATAAAATGTTTTAAGCAATATTGTTGCAGGCACAGTCAAGTAGACAAATGGAAGAGTAGAGAGCTTAGAAATAGACATGTGCATATATGGAAATATACAATAAAAGTAGCACCACAGAGGAGCCAAGGACAAGTTATTTCATACCCAATGTTGGGAAAACTGGTGATATCTATATGGAGAAAAATAATACGATCTATATCTTATACCAAACAAAATTTCCTAGTACACTGGTAGCCAGTTTAAGACTTAATAGAAGGTCGGGCGCGGTGGCTCAGGCCTGTAATCTCAGCACTTTGGGAGGCGGAGGCGGGCGGATCAGGAGTTCAGGAGATCGAGACCATCCTGGCTAACACTGTGAAACCCCGTTTCTACTAAAAAATACAAAAATAAATAGCTGGGCGTGGTGCCGGGGGCCTGTAGTCCCAGCTACTCGGGAGGCTGGGGCAGGAGAATGGCATGAACCCAGGAGGCGGAGCTTGCAGTGAGCCGAGATCGCGCCACTGCACCGCAGCCTGGGCGACAGAGCGAGACTCCGTCTCAAAAAAAAAGACTTAATTGAGAGGAGCTACAACAAAAGTACCTAAAAAAAAAAAATCCTTAATAGAGAGGGTATTTTCATGCACGTCCCTGTGAAGAGACCACCAAACAGGCTTTGTGTGAGCAACATGGCTGTTTATTTCACCTGGGTGCAGGCGGGCTGTGTCCGAAAAGAGAGTCAGTGAAGGGAGATAGGGGTGGGGCCGTTTTATAATATTTGGGCAGGCAAAGGAAAATTACAGTCAAAGGAGGTTTGTTCTCTGGCGGGCAGGAGTGGGGGTCTCAAGGTGCTCAGTGGGGGAGCTTTTTGAGCCAGGATGAGCCAGGAAAAGGATTTTCACAAGGTAATGTCATCACTTAAGGCAAGGACCGGCCATTTTCACTTCTTTTGTGGTGGAATGTCATCAGTTAAGGTGGGGCAGGGCATATTCACTTCTTTTGTGATTCTTCAGTTACTTCAGGCCATCTGGGCGTATACGTGCAAGTCACGGGGGATGCGATGGCTTGGCTTGGGCTCAGAGGCCTGACAGGTATCAAATAGAAGAACAATATCAGCACAGTCTCCGTTAAGACACTTAGAAGTAAGCCACGCAGTCTGAATTAGAGCCCCCAATTCCCAGGGTAGTGGCAGGCAGTGGTAGAGAAGTGCCAAAAGGAGAAAGCAAGCATCTCTCTAAGGACTCCCTAGACTAATCAGGAAGGGTTGGGCTGACTGGGGATGGGAGGCAGGGTTTTAACTAGTTCAGCATTGAAAACTCTTTTATAACTGGTCATGTGACCTTTAACCTTGTCATACTGCTGTTGTCTGTGAATATCTGTGTTACTTTTTTTTTTTTTTTTTTTGAGACAGAGTCTCGCTCTGTCAGCCAGGCTGGAGTGCAGTGGCACGATCTCAGCTCACTGCAACCTCCGTCTCCTTGGCTCAAGCAATTCTCCTGCCTCAGTCTCCCGAGTAGCTGGGATTACAGGCGTGGGCCACCACACCCGGCTAATTTTTGTATTTTTAGTAGAGATGGGGTTTCACTATGTTGGTCAGGCTGGTCTCGAACTCCTGACCTCAGGTAATCCGCCTGCCTTGACCTCCCAAAGTGCTGGGATTACAGGCATGAGCCACTGCACCTGGCCTTTTTTTTTTTTCAGTGTAGAGATGGGGTTTCCCACTGTTGTCCAGGCTGGTCTTGAACTCTTGGGCTCAAGTGATCCTCCATCCCTGATTGTTCAAAGTGCTGGGATTACAGGTATGAACCACTGTGCCCGGCCTGTGTTACATTTTTTTTAAAAACTCAGTCCACTCTTTGGGTTTTCTTTTAATGGTGTTGGCCCCATAAATATTCTATCTTAAGCAAAAAAGTTGCTTAAGGAATCTATCTTAAGCAAAAAAGTTCTGGCGAGGACAATATTAACATTAAGACATTCCATTTGACCATAGAAAATCAGTAAAAGACAATGTCTTATATCAAATTTGTCATCCTCTTTCTCTTCTGTTCAGTTCAGAAAATTCGTTCCTGCACTGAACCTTGTTTTCTGTGGTTTCTCCAGTGTTTTCGAAGTGAGAACTTCCCAACTGCTGTCAAATGTTTAAAAGAAATCACTTTTTAAAACCTAGAGGAAAATGTAAGGATACATGTCATCTCAGAGTGAGAAAAGACATTCTAAGCCTAAATGTAATAAAATTTTAACAAAGAATATTTGTAGGTCTGAGTACAGAAAAATTTTAAACTTCTTGTGGCTGACACAAATCGGAATAGCTGCTCAGCTCACAATGATTTCTTACTAACTGTATTTGTGTCACTGTTTATTCCAGTAATAGACCTGCCTCCAAGGAAGAGGGGTAGACACATGACCCCGCTTAGCCAATCATAGTACCTTTCCCTTCCTACTTCCTATTCATTTTTTTCATGCATTCATTCATTCCACAACCGTTTATTGAATGGAAATTCAGCAATAAGCAAAAGATTCCTACCTTCCTGAAGCTTAGAGTTTTGGGGGAATAAGCATTAATTGAACAATTCCATTAGTAAATATATAATTTCAAGTAGAAAGAAGTGGCTCAGAAGATCACAAGTCTATGAGAACATCTATCAAAAAAATCAGACATATTATTGGAGGCAAGAGGAAGGCAGTCAATACTGAGGGGTGTCACTGGAGATGAAAGATGAAGAATGGGTAGGAATCAACCAGGTGAAGGAGATAGTGTGGGTGGAGAGAGCACAGCAGGCAGGGAGAACCACAGCCATCATCATTTCATGGTAAAAGCAGTAAGGGATTAGCGGAGATGATCCATGTCACTTGTAAAAGAAATGCAAATTAAAACTACAAAATGCTATTTTTCACCTATTAAAAAACTTTTTAGTTATGATGGCAATGGTGTAGTGAACAGTCATTGCTACTAGGAGTGTAAATTAATGCAACTTTTCTGGAAAGTAAGTTGACAATATGTTTCAAAAGTCCTAAAAAAGATGATACTTGTTGACAAAGTATTTTCTCTAAGTATTCTTCTTTTAGGAATCTATCTTAAGCAAAAAAGTTTAAAACTCAGATATAAATTTATATACAAAAATACTCAATTTTGTTATTTAAAATGTTGAAAAACTAGAAAAAACAAAGAAAATGATTAAATAAATTATGTACAGCCATATGGTAGAATATTATGCAGCCAGTATTATACATGCAAGATATAACATCACTTTCATAATCAGGACAAAAAAGCCAATTACAACATTCCATTGCCAACAAAAAAATTCAGTGCTCAGTGTATAATTAGTCACTTAATTACTCCATGTTAAATAAAAATTCATGGATGAAAGCAAATATGATTTATAACTTCCAAATGTATAATAAGATTTTAAAGAATATCCAGTTTTATATTTGTATATTCAACTGCCTACTTGACAACTTCTACTTTGATGTTTCAAAGCATCTCAAACTTAATTCAAAATCAAACTCTTGTCCCTTTAGCCCTGCCCAAACTCCTTCTTCCTCAAGTTTCCCCATCTCAGTATGGGGCACCATAGACCCTCTTGAGTTCTTGACATCTCCATCCCCTTACCCTATTACAAGTCCACTCAATTCTGGACTCAAAATAGATCTACCACTGCCCTTTTTTCTCTATCTCCTTTGCTATTACTGTGTTGCAATGGTCTCTTACCTGGACAAATGCAATAGCTTCCTAACTGGTATCCTAGCTTTTACCTCCTTCCAACCCATTCTCCATCCAATGGGGAATGTAATCTTATAAAAATAAAAACTGAGTCAAGACATTCCCCCTAATTAAAACATTTCGATAGCTTCCCATTGCATTTATTTAATTATTTATTTATTTTTGAGGCAAAGTCTCACTCTATTGCCCAGGCTGGAGTGCAGTGGCACGATCTTGGCTAACTGCAACCTCTGCCTCCCGGGTTCAAGAGATTCTCCTGCCTCAGCTTTCCGAGTAGCTGGGGTTACAGGTGCCTGCCACCACGCCTGGCTAATTTTTGTATTTTTTTAATAGAGGCGGGGTTTCGCCATGTTGGCCAGGCTGGTCTCGAACTCCTGACTTCAAGTGACCCATCCACCTGCCTTGGCCTCCCAAAGTGCTGGAATTACAGGTGTGAACCACCGTGCCCAGCCCCCACTGCACTTAAATAACATCTGACATCCTTTCCATGACCTGCATAATCACTGCTGACTTATTATGAGTTAGACATTGTTCTAAGGGCTTTTTATGTAAAATAGTAATTCTTTGGATCCTGACAACAAGCATAGGAAGTAGGTATTATTATCATTCCTATTTCACAGATGAAGCCACAGAGGCACAGAGGTTACACTTGCCCAGGGTCTCTCAGAGAGCTACTGTGGAGGCAGGAAACAACCCCAGGAAGTCCAAGCCCTGCTCTCTGTACCACAGTCTCTGGTCCTCAGATGGACCCACTGGGATCCCATGGTTGGGTCTCTCTGTTCCTGGAACCCGACAAACATCCTCACCCCAGTGCCTTTGTGACCTTGCTAATCCCTTCCCAGGAACACAGTTTTCTCTGCTTTTTAAATGGCTGGCTTCTCACCCTCCAGGTCTCCATAAATAGGAATGGTATAATAGGTTATGGCACATATTTGCAACGGAATACCATACAACTGTTTTAAAATATGAGATAAATCTATGTGTACTGACGTGGAACAATATTTAGCATATTTTAGATTGCTAAGTGAAAAAGGCAAGTTACAGAATACCATGTTAAAATTTAAAAATATGAGCGGGGCATGGTGGCTCATGCCTGCAATCCCAGCACTTTGGGATGCTGAGGCGGGTGGGTCACCTGAAGTCAGGAGTTCGAGACAACAGCCTGAGCAACAGAGTGAGACTCTGTCTCAAAAAAATAATAAATAAAAATTAAAAAATAAAAAATATGTATAGCATGATTCCATTTGTTTATGAAAAGAAAATTTTAAGGCTGGGCTCAGTGGCTCATGCCTGTAATCCCAGCACTTTGGGAGGCCGAGGCGGGTGGATCGTGAGGTCAGGAGATCGAGACCATCCTGGCTAGCATGGTGAAACCCCATCTCTACCAAAAATACAAAAAATTAGCCGGGTGTGGTGGCAGGCACCTGTAGTCCCAGCTACTTGGGAGGCTGAGGCAGGAGAATGGCATGAACCCGGGAGGCGGAGCTTGCAGTGAGCCGAGATCTTGCCACTGCACTCCAGCCTGGGAGACAGCAAGACTCCGTCTCAAAATAAATAAATAAATAATAAAAAAATAAAAATAAAAATTTAAATTTATCTATCTAAGGTCTAGAAGGTTATGCACTACATTTTTTAACTAGGGTGACCTCTGAGGAGCGAGACTGGGAAAGAGAGGATAGAAAATAGGGTTTGCATTTTTCACTTTGCACATTTCTTATTGTTTGAATTTTTATCCCCACCCTATATTAGTAACATAATAATAATTCTAAGACAAAACATTTTCTTCATATGTTTAATGTTTGAGCTCTAAATTTTGTTATTTGGGTATTCTAATTTTTATTCTCTTCCTCTCTTTCCCAGATTTATCTTAAGTATCTGGAGAAAGTCTTTTATTTCATTCTTCTCTCTCTCTCTTTTTTTTTTTATTTTTTTGAGAAGGAGTCTTGCTTTGTCGCCCAGGCCGGACTGCAGTGGCGCTATCTCGGCTCACTGCAAGCTCCGCCTCCCGGGTTCATGCCATTCTCCTGCCTCAGCCTCCTGAGTAGCTGGGATTACAGGTGCCCGCCACGGCGCCCGGCTAATTTTTTGTATTTTTAGTAGAGACGGGGTTTCACCGAGTTAGCCAAGATGGTCTCGATCTCCTGACCTCATGATCCGCCCACCTCGGCCTCCCAAAGTGCTGGGATTACAGGTGTGAGCCACCGCACCCGGCCTCTCTCTCTTTTTTTTTTTTTTTTTTTTTTTTTTTGAGACAGAGTTTCACTCTTGTCACCCAGGCCGGAGTGTAATGGTACGATGTCTGCTCACTGCAACCTCTGCCTCCCAGGTTCAAGTGATTCTCATGCCTTGGCCTCCCGAGTAGCTGGGATTACAGGCATGCACCACCACGCCCGGCTAATTTTTGTATTTTTTAGTAAAGACAGTGTTTCACAATGTTAGCCAGACTGGTCTCGAACTCCTGACCTTAGGTGATCCACCTTTTTTAGGGTTCAGAACATTGAAAGTGATTGGTTGTTTCAACTCAATTATCTACAATACGTAGCCATAGTCAGCATAGTAACTCAATGTTGTTCTTAATTTCCACTCAGTCCTAAGCTGGTTCGTGAAGACCTGCCTTAATGAAGTCTCAAAGTTTTTGACTTCCACATTCATACTTCCAAGTAGTGAGTGGGTGTTCAGTCACTTTTTATACAGAGATGCATTAGTTCTCTGAGAGCACTCCTACACCACTCCCTTGAAGATCTCACTTACACAAAGTAAGGTTTCCTTGACTATCTCTATACTAGTAATTTCATTTCCGTATATTCCACCCAGCTATCCCCTGAGCCCCAGACTGCTCTAACCAGTACTCACTTGATGTCTCCATTTGGAGATGGTACCACTGATACCATTAGCTAGGAAGAAAAATGAGGTCAGGAGGGATAAAATGATGAGCAGTTACTCTAGCTTCCGTTTCTCCTTCACCTCCACATCTCAGTAGTATTTTGAGAGACCACTCCTGGCAAAAATTCTGAATCAGTCTGTCCATTCTGAATTCTGATGTCTCCAATCAGGAGAGATCAAATACACAGTAATTTGAATAGGGGAAGTTACATATATGTAATTACTAACTATAAGTTAGTAATAGGGGTACTGAGGTAAGTGAGGATGGGGTAATGACGGATTAACTAGTAAGAAGTAAAGAGAACTCTTAATAATATGGGAATAGCAGGTACAAGGAGGAGCCCTAGCTCTAGGTCTGAGATAGAGTGCCCAAGAAGAACCTCCTTTTCCCTCAAGAGCTCAGATTCAGACTTTGGAGCGGGCACAGCCATGGATCTCTGGAACACAGAAAACTTGCCGTGATGCCACACTGGCAGAACTTCATGAAAACCTGCCCCTGGGATTTTCCAGAAACCTTTAAGGTGTCAGGGACAGTTGTTTATGGGGTGCATCTCACCTACAAAGCTATCTGATGTGGCTCCAGGAGAGGCTGCCCTCTGCTGGTTGCTGCTGGGAACTACACACTGCAGGAGCCAGACACTGAAGAAGCTGCAAATGTTACGAAACCTGGCCAGGGGTGGGAACCGGTGCTCTAGAGGCAGCTGCTGGCTACTAGGTGCTGCTGACTGCCAGGCACTGCAGGAGCCGGGAAACTAGAAACACTGTCAGCATACTACAGAAGCTCAGTGTTGGAGAGAGCTATGCTCTGCAGGAGCTGGTCCCTGGGGAAGCCTCATGTGATGCAGGAGCCTGTGGCACACACACAGGAATCAGGAAGTAAAAGCTTTCCTCCTGTAATGCCTGTCCAATTCTGACAAAGCTTCTGTGCCATCTGGGAAAGAAAAATATTGAAAGGTTCCAGATCTGTTTTCACAGAGCAGGCAAAAAGTATGAATTGGGAGCAACTAGCACAGCAAGTCATCTCCATCCTCTCTAACCTCATTGGCCACTGCCTTAGGTCAGGTTCACTCACTTGCTTGCTCTTTTTATTCCTTGTCTGGACTGTTGAAAGAGTCTAGGAACTGGGCCCCTGGCCTGGCTGCCACTGGCCCAAAGGATGACATGTGAATGTGAAAAAGGAGGCCCTTCCTTCGGGTGTACAGAGCACAATGCCCGGCTCTCAGCTCTTACTGACCCTTGCTAGGTACACCGGGCACAGCTCAGAACAGAAGCCTGGCTCCTCACCTGCTCCCGGTCTCCAATCTTCCCTGCTCATATCACTCCTCAAACCCATGCACCACACTGCCACCACTTTTCTCAAACTTAAAATTGAAAGTATAATTCACCTTTTCAGCACCCCTCAATACTTCTCTACTGCCCATTAAATAAAATCTGAACTCCTTAGCTAGGCATACATGGTCATCTGTGATCTGCTCCTTGCCTGTTATCCAGTATGTTGAATGACTAAATGAGAGAAGGCAAAACAAAACAACAACAAAAAAAACAAAAACCCCACTAAAGACAGAATGCACTAGTGAATCCCAGGGCAGAAGTTGAAAATTAAACAAGAAATGCTGGAGGAGAGAGTCTATGACTCTGGAAGGAGACAACAACAAACAAATTTGAGTGCAGCCTCTGGCTTGGCTCTAAGCTACAGGAGTAAGCCTGTTAGACAGCATTCCCTGTTGGGTGCATTATTTTCTCTGTATATATCTCCCCTACCAGGACTAGACATTTTTGTTGTTGTTGTTTTTGTTTTTTGAGATGGAGTCTCACTCTGTCATCCAGGCCGGAGTGCAGTGGTGCAATCTCGGCTCACTGAAACCTCCACTGCCCAGGTTCAAGCGATTTTCCTACCTCAGCCTCCTGAGTAGCTGGGATTACAGGTGCCTGCCACCACGCCCAGCTAATTTTTGTATTTTTAGTAGAGACGGGGTTTCACCATGTTGGCCAGGCTGGTCTCGAATTCCTGACCTCAGATGATCCACCTGCCTCAGCCTCCCAAAGTGCTGGGATTATAGATGTGAGCCACCTCACTCAGCCTAGGGCTCAAGGTTTTTACAGTCATTTCTGACTATCCCTTTCCCCATATTCCTATCACATTGGCCAGTCAAGCCCACCCTTTCATAGTCTCCCTACTCCCTGCTTAGTCCTCATTCTTGCTGCCTTGGGAATCTAATCCTCACTGCCTCATATTTACAGTACTGGATCCATATCCCACATGGCCACTCATTCAACAGCATGGCCCTGCGCTAGATGCTGGAGACACAGACATGAATGACACAAGACCTGCAGCCTGACCTTCCTATCTTTGCCAGGACAATCTTGCCTACTTTTAGCAAGTTAGTCTCCTGCTCAGGGACCTCTAAAGGCACCCTGATGCCTACCCAATCAATTCTAAATTCATACGTTGCTTTCTTTTAATCACTCAACAAGTACTACTAAAGGCTTACTGTGTGCCAAGCACTACGTATAAGGCAGTGGTCAAAAGAGGCACTGGCCCTGCCCTTAAGGAACTTATTATCTAGTGTGGAAGACAGACATAAAAACTATATTCACAGAAATAATAATGCAAATAGGGCTGAGCGCAGTGGCTAATGCCTGTAATCCCAGAACTTTGGGAGGCCAAGGCGGGCAGATCCCAAGGTCAGGAGATCGAGACCATCCTGGCTAACACAGTGAAACCCCGTCTCTACTAAAAATACAAAAATTAGCCGGGCGTGGTGGCGGGCGCCTGTAGCCCCAGCTACTCCAGAGGCTGAGGCAGGAGAATTGCTTGAACCCAGGAGGCGGAGTTTGCAGTGAGCCAAGATCGCGCCACTGCACTCCAGCCTGGGCGCCAGAGCGAGACTCTGTCTCAAAAAAAAAAAAAAAAACCCACAAAGAAATAATAATGAAAATAAAATAATTATATAATTATTATTCTTTAATTATAGTTGTGAGTAATATGAATGTCAAGGGGTGCCATAAGAATGTATAAACAAGAGATCTAATCTAAGCCAAAAAGTAAGATAAGGCCAGAGATCTGAGTAGGAGTCCAGGTTTAGGTGTGTGTTGGGAGTACAGGTGTTCTCAGAAAAAGGGGACAGCTCATTCAGAAGTTATTTAGTCACTTGACACTTGAGTCATCACCAAATCTCTGGATCTCAGGTACCTCAAATATTGATTCTGTTCTGGATGACTATTTTACCAAACAAGAGCCAAATTGCAAGCTCTTATAACTCAATAATAAAAAGATAAATAACCCAATTAAAAATGGGCAAAGTATCAGAATATTCGTTTCTCCAAAGATCTACAAATCACCAATAAACGCATGAAAGCATTATCATTATCGCTAGGGAAATGCAAACCAAAACCACATCGAGATACCACTTTAAACCCACTAGAGTGGTTATAATTTTTTTTGAGACAGATTTTTGCTCTTGTTGCCCAGGCTGGAGTACAATGGCACGATCTTGGCTCACCGCAACCTCCGCCTACCAGGTTCAAGCAATTCTCCTGCCTCAGCCTCCCGAGTAACTGGGATTACAGGCATGTACCACCACGCCCGGCTAACTTTGTATTTTTAGTAGAGACGGGGTTTCGCCATGTTGAGGCTGGTCTCAAACTCCTGACCTCAGGTGATCCGCCCACCTCAGCCTCCCAAAGTGCTGGGATTACAGGCATAAGCCACCACGCCTGGTCAATTTTTTTTAATACAATATAACAAGTATTGGTGAGGATGTGGAGAAATTGGAAGCCACATACACTGCTGGTGGCAGTGTGAAATGTAAAATGAATGCAGCCACTGTGGAAAACTGTTTGGCAGTTTCCCCCCAAATTAACCGTAGGGTTACTATACAATCCAGCAATTCCATTCCTAGGTGTATACCTAAGAGAGATAAAAACATGTGCTCGTACAAAAATTTGTACATGAATGTTCACAGCAGGATTATTCATAAGTTAAAAAATGGAAACTATCCAAATGTCTATTAAATGATGAATGGATAAATAAAATGTCATATATCCATACAACTGAATATAACTTGACAATGAAAAAGAATGAAATAGTAGTACATGCTACAACATGGATGAACCGTGAAAACGTACGCCAAGGAAGCCAGTTACAAAAGATACATACCATATGATTCCATTCATATAAAATGTCCTGAATAGGTTAATCTATTGAGAAAGAAAGATTTGTGATTGCCTAGGACTGGGAGGGTTGTGAGGAGTGGAGAGGAGGAGGGATGCAAAATGACTATTAATGAGTGTTTCTTTTCTTAATGTGATGAGACTACTCTAAAATTGTGGTGATGGTTGCACAATTCTGTGAATAAAAGCCATTTGAACTGTACACTTTAAATAAGGGAACTGCATAGTAGGTGAGTCGTATCTCAATAAAGCTGTTAAAAAAAATCAGGAGTTGGGGATATGGGGCTGAGGCAGGAGGAACACTTGAGACTGGGAGGTGCAATGAGCCACCGCACTCCAGCCTGCACGACAGAGCCAGAGAGACCCTGTCTCAAAAAAAAAAAAAAAAAATCAAATGACCCTTTACCAGTATCAAAGTGCCTCATCAGCCAGGTACCACCTTTTCAATGGATGGGGAGACTGAAGTGTAGAGGAATTAAGTATCCGACTTGGGGGTTGGGGGAAGTGGCTCACGCCTGTAATCCCAACACTTTGGGAGGCCGAGGTGGGAGGATCGCTTGAGCCCAGGAGACCAGCCTGGCCAATATGCCAAAACTCCGTCTCTATAAAAAATACAAAAAATTAGCCTGGCGTGTTGGCAGGCGCCTGTAATTCCAGCTGCTACGGAGGCTGAGGCGGAGAATCACTTGAACCCGGGAGGCAGACGTTGCAGTGAGCCGAGATCGCGCCGTTGCACTCCAGTCTGAGCGACAAAGCAAGACTCCGTCTCAAAAAAAAGAAGAAAGAAAGTATCCGACTTGGTCTTGGGCTCTTCTCACTATAATCCAACTATATTCTCTTACGAAATGGCAGAATTAATCTTCCCTCCTTGTGACACCCCTGTAGTTATACATGCCTCTGGCACTTACAATCATTTTTTCTAATTGTGTTTAACGGTTCTAGCACATTACTTTGTAACTTTAGAATAGAGATTGTGTCTGATTCCTGTGTATTAAGGTCCGACCTTTTTTATTTTTATTTATTTATTTTTTAGACAGAGTCTCGCTCTGTCGCCCAGGCTGGAGTGCAGCGGTCCGATCTCGGCTCACTGCAACCTCCGCCTCCCGGGTTCAAGCGATTCTCCTGCCTCAGCCTCCCGAGTGGCTGGGATTACAGGCATGCATCACCACTCCCGGCTAATTTTTTTGTATTTTTAGTAAAGACTGGGTTTCACCATGTTGGCCAGGCTGGTCTCGAACTCCTGACCATGTGATCCGCCTGCCTCGGCCTCTCAAAGTGCTGGGATTACAGGCGTGAGCCACCGCACCCAGCCGATCTGACCTTTTTTTTTTTTTTTTTTTTTTTTTGAGACGGAATCTCGCTCTATTGCCCAGGCTGGAGTGCAGTGGCGCGATCTCGGCTCACTGCAAGCTCCGCCTCCTGGGTTCACGCCATTCTCCTGCCTCAGCCTCCCAAGTAGCTGGGACTACAGGCGCCCGCCACCGCGCCTGGCTAATTTTTTTGTATTTTTAGTAGAGACGGAGTTTCACTGGGTTAGCCAGAATGGTTTCGATCTCCTGACCTCGTGATCCACCCGTCTCGGCCTCCCAAAGTGCTAGGATTACAGCGTGAGCCAGCGCGCCCAGCCCGATCTGACCTTTTTTAAATGAAGACGTATTCAGGAAGGAAATATCTACAAGTAAGACAAAATTAAGTAAGAACCCAATGTACGAACATTCACTTCTCTAACAAAGGAAAGACACAAAACAAGAAACTAATAAGGCGGAGAAAGGAATTGAGATTGGGGGAAACAGCATCTCCTTCCTCCCTGCACACTCGGCAGGTTCCCTGGAAAGTTCTAGAAGGGATTCAGAAGTGGCTGGTGACATCACTGTGGCTCCGTGGCGCCCACTACAGCAGCCAAACGACACGCTAGCTTTCCCGCCTCATAGAGGCTCGTGAATGGGGGTGGGGCCCTGCGAGGGGCGGGGTCACGTCACTTCCTGTGCGGGACGCGCTGCAGCTGGAGAGGAAAGGCAGAGCGAGGAGGGGCGAGGCCAAGAAAGCGCGCGTTTCTGGGAGGGGAGGAGCCTGGCTAAGGAGCGCCGCGTCACATCCGGTAGAGTTAGAGCCCGTGCGGAGGCGGTGCGGAGCATTTCGGCTCTGAGCGGCTGGGCGACCGGCGCGTCGTGCGGGGCTGCGGCGGAGCCTCCTTAAGGAAGGTGCAAGAGGTTGGCAGCTTCGATTGAAGCACATCGACCGGCGACAGCAGCCAGGAGTCATGAGCGACAGCGGCGAGCAGAACTACGGCGAGCGGGTACGTAGAGCTGCGGTAGGGGGTGGCTGTGTGGTCCTAGCTCCTTGCATCTTTTTCTAGGCCCGTCGGCCTCGGGCCAGGAGGCAGGGGCGTTTTAGGCTCCGAAGTCTGAAGCCGGGAGGGCAGGCAAGGGAGACAGCATTTAACCAAAAAAAGCCTTTGTGGATAGTGCCTTAGTGCCTTTGGTCGTGAAGGAGGGAGGCCCCCGGCGGGTTTATGTGGCTTCTGCCCGAGACGGCCGTTTTTCCCGTTATAAGAGGGGGAAGATGAAAATGGCCGCTGCGTCCCCGCGGTGTTGGGGGAGGGGAGCGATATCTTATTTCGGCGTTGCTCTCCTGCGAAGGTCCGCCGCAGCCATCTTGGGCTGGCGGGCTGGGCGAGCTGCCAGAGGCACAAAATGGCGGAGAAGCCGCGCGGCAACGCGGACCCGACCCGCAGCGGGCCGCGCTTCGTAAGGCCGCGTGGTGGGGTGCAAGGGGACAGACGACGTTCTTTTGGGTCTTTGGGCCGGTGTTTAGGTTAACGAAGGACCGTCTTTGCCTCCACGGAAAGGACGGAGTCTGGGATGTCTTTGGGGCCTCTTAAGATGGAAACTAATCCAAGGCCGACTAAGTTCTGGGCCCGTTAGGTGGAGGGGATTGCGTGAGGGCTTTGTGTTTGGCCTAAATGAAGCGCTTTTCTCTGATGCCGAAAGGGCTTCCCAGGCAAAAATCTGTATCAGTATTCTATTAGGACAGACCACAAAGTCGTTAAGATGATTTTGTGGACATCGCATTTCCACGGGATTGTGAAGGAGAAATTGGCGGGCAACCATTTACGGCGCCGTTATTTCCTTTGTTTTGAGGCGTTCTAATACTTAGAACCACAGCGTGTGTTGGCTACAGTTTTCTTTCCCTTAAGTTTCCACCTCTTAAAGGTGTTCAGTGAGGGTTGATTGAATTGCGGGAACAAGACAGTTCTAGGGTTTAAACAGCATACGTAGCTGGTCTGTGGGGCTCTGGGTATTGGATTCGGAAAGCATTGAATGATGCGAACATACGAGGCTTGCTAGAATTAAGAGGAATCTGTTAGAAGGGTGATAGAAAAGCACCATAGAAATTGATTTTTGAGGCTGTGGGAATAATTTGTGCTTTTTTAAAAAAAAAAAACAATTTGTTACCTAAGTTTCCCCTTGTTGGTAAAGCTACCTTAAGATCTGAATATGATTTATCAGGTAAATAAGACTATTAAATGTCTTAGCAAACTTTTGATTAAGATTTTATATGATTCCTCAGAGTATTTTAGGAAGAAATTTTCAGTGATGAAGCGTGAGTTTCCTGCGTAATTTTGGAGCCCAAACTGCTTAATTTGGTTTGAACTAATCAAGCCTTGCGTTTACATACTCGGATGAGCATAGAGTTTTTAGTTTTTGATGTTTTTCCCGAAGCCGATTGACTCCAATGTCACGAGTGTTTTAGATTTTTTTTTAAGTTCTTGCTTTCTTGGGTAAGAAAGTTGGGATTGAGCTCAAAAGTTGTTAAAAAGTCGTGACTTCTGATCATTGGCAGTTGAATCTGTTATAACAGTCATTGGTGTTTGGACTGCAAAGTAAGCGATTTTAAAGTCTTTTGTTATTAAACAGAAAAATTCAATTATTGGGTACCTTTCTACTCTTCAAAAATACTAAATGACTGGCTTCTGACTAGAGCTCTCGATTGAATACACGTGAAGAATGCTTGAGAATGGAAAATTGCCCAGAGTTCATTAGTATATTTTACGTGAGAAGGGAAACAATTGAAACTAGGTTCCAGTTTGAGACTCGGCTCAAGAGAAATTTGAAATTTTCTGATGGGTTATCTTTTTACTAGTAAAAGTACACTGTGTTTTTCGCAATCTTTGAATTGTAGAGGGAGGTTAACTTAATGTGTTAAAAATTGAGTTTTTTTTCTTACATAAGAGTCTTCGCTTTCTGGCCGAGATCTCTAAACTTTTACGTTGTGAAATACTTCCATATTGTTGTGTTTGGTGTTTGCGTGTTTGTGTTCCAATTGGAACCTTTAAGGGTTGGAATACACCTGAATCAAACACGTGTCTAGGCTTCCAAAGCAAGCTTGGGAAAACCATAAAGCTCAATGGAACAGCTTGATCTTAGACATGCCTGTGGTGTAAATGATGCTTCTCTGGAGCCAGAAAAATGAGTGTTATTCAACTCCAGGCTTCTGAACTGGGTCTTAATGTAAATCACTAATCTCTTCAAATCAGTGGAATTCTCCCTTATTTATCTGTCTCTAATCCAGACAACCCCACCCCTCTGTGCCCCACCTTTTCCAGTGACTGTAGGAGTTTGTTGTTGTGTCCCTCCCCTTTAAGGTTGGGTGTGTGGGATAAATTATTCTCAGTTTGATCACTCAATAGAATACATTTGGGTGAATATAATGACATTTAAAGAACTGGTGTGTCCCTCATCCCTCGTTGGTCTGTGGGATTTATTTTTTCCCCCCTCTCAAAGGTAATAGATTAACACTAAAATCTGTCTATAGGGGTCTAATTAGCAGGCTTAACCTGATCTGGCCAAACCACTTTCAAAAGTAAGATCTCGTTTTCATCTCCGGATTCAAGACTCTTCCCCCAAAATTGCTTGCATTTTGTAAAGGGGTTGACTAGCACCATTTCTTTGTAAAAAGAGGCACTCCTGGCCTTTAAGTCACAATTACAAGAAGTTGAATAAAAAGTTGATGAAGTGCAGGGTAATCTTTAGAGCCCAATAATGGTCACAGCGTATAGGTTGTGTGAGATTTGTATGTTGGTCTTGCACGCAGTGTAATGTTCTGAGCCTCTCAATATTGTAATGAGTTTCTACGAGTGAGTCTTTACTAAAGGAATCCAGAAACTAAGGAGACACTGATGTATGGACCAGATGTTAAAGAAAATGTTTTGACCCAGCAGATACTCTGATAGAATACTGGCTATTATTTTTGTAAAGCCGATGTGATTGCAACATAGGCACGTAATCTTTATCATTAGAGATGAATAGCAGCATCTGGACACCAACCCATCAAACTGCTTTTCAAATTCTGCAGTTTTTCTCATCTTCTGCTGAATCTTGGGATGTCTTTTTATATTCCTTGGTTTTAGCTCCTAAACTCTAAATTCTAATTTTCAAAACTGAAACATCTCTGAATCTACTTCTTTCTAAAGAATTGCAGCCATCTCACCAAATTTCCTTTAAAAAAGGATTGAATTGTCAAATAGGAGGAAATTGTTTTGTATTGTGAGTCTGGTTAGGTTTATCAGTCTCTTGAAACCCGGTTGAAATATTTTTTTCTTGGTTTTAAACAAGAATGCTTTAATATTGTGGATATTGTCTGGAACTAGAACGTGACATTTTCAAGCTGACATTACAGGTGATTTTATAAGGTAAGTACTACTGGTTTTGCCAAAAGGTTGAAAAGGAATTCAGGTGGTGGGGGAAGTGTTAATGGGATTTGCCTTACATAGCGTTTTTTCCTCCTTTCTCTACAATAAAATCCGAACGTAGGTGGTAAATATTAATGCTTTCATAGCTATTTTGCCCAGGACAAGGGCAGAGCTACAGCTGTGTATATTTCTTGAGCCTTAGCATTTTATGTTGATCAGTGTTTTTACATATGCGACTGTTTTTTTAACAAGGCATGGTGACTGATGTTTAGGAATTTTAAGTGTTTTGACCCAGGTTAGTATTGGGGGTGTGGGCTATGTAGAATTAGATATTGAAATCACTTAGTCTTGTTTTTAAACTGCAAACCAAAAGAAGTTCTTCACTGTAGCAAATTACAGTCTTGAAATTCCCCCAAAATCTTTGCTTTGAATTGGGTTTTGGAGGTTACATTGAGATTGATGTTATCAACATAGATTGTTACCTGACAGTTTGGATAAGGGGCCCCTTTTTCTCTAATTTTTGTGGTTAGAAATTAGGTTAAAAGGTAGTCTTCTGAAAAGTCAAAAGATATTTATATTTGCTTTTGTTGGGGAGTACTGACTGTTTTATGAATGTAAATTTAACAGTCTGTGCTATATTTACAAGAGAGTTTTTATAAGCACAGGCCTACAACTAATTTCAGATGATGTTTTTTTCCAGACACTATTCTCCAGTTTTTGAGGATTTACTTATCCATTTACTCTTCTGGTAGACAGTTTGGCTGCCAGAAAAAAATATAGTCCTTATTATATTGATATGAGCATTGACCTTTCCATAACAGGATTAATGAGGTTTTCTTTGCCCCTGTCCCTCCCAATTTTTAAAATATTGCCTTGTCAGTCAACTTAATGAGTTTGTGCATGTTTAATGTTAAATGGATTCTAGTTGTATCCCCTAGAAACATTTTAACAAAAATTGTGTTGATAGGACAAGTTTCTGTTTATTTCTAACTAGGGTCTCTTAACTAAATGTACATAACATTAGCCCAAGAGTTGATCTTCTGGTTTTATAAAGTAGCCACTTGAACTTAGCTGAGTTGAATTAAATCTAATATTTATAATAATTTAGTAATGGTTTTGTTCTTAGACTATAAGAGAAGGAACCAGGTTAGGAAGGGGTAATGAAGTAACAGCAGGAAGGTATCCACATTGAAAACAGTTGTGATAGCTAGAGCTATGGCCTCTATTCTTGTATCTTCTGCATCTAAGTGCCCTGTCTGTATCGAAGTTTTAGGAGGCCCTAAGGAAACCTGCTTGGGCATTCTGATTCCATGATTACATTTGTGCTGCCAGAAAACATTTCCCATTGCATTTTAGTGATGGAGATTTAAAGAAAGCCAATTACTGTAACTCCCTTAAATAAAAACATATTTAAAAATTTTCGGATTAAATAAACAATAATTGACTCTAAAACTAGACTGGAAATTATCCTTTTGTTAGGAAAGACATCACAGCACTTGCCAGATTAACGATGGTTGTCTTTATGCCCAGATAGGTATAAAGACTTGCAATTTTTTTAAACAAAGCCTTACATTTTTTTCAGGAGGAAAAACCAGGAGAGGAAGTAATTGACAATAAAATGAAAGATCATCAAAGTGAAATGTAGGATAACAAGAAAAACTAGCATGTTTTATGTAGGCAGTATTTTATTTTGTTTAGTATGTTCAACAGACATTTACAGATCAACTAAATTCAATCTTTTTAATTATTTGAGGAGGTGAGCTGTAATTTAAATAGTGCCACCTTTTAAAGTAGTATTTCTCCTTTGGACATCCAGAAGACTTAATATTTTCTAAATTGAGGGGGAAAATGTACAACAAAACTCTTTGAAAATACCAGTGTTGGATTCAAGTTTGTTCTGCTTTCCTTCATAGCTACTGGCATATTGTAGGTGGTTGACTTGATTTTGTCTTTTTATGATTCATACTATAAAATCTCACTAGAGCAGCTTTTCCAGGGGGTGGGTTACACTTAAGCTCCAAATTGTCAGGTTCCCTGACACCGTCTTTCTGCAGAGCTCTTTAAATACAGTACAAAAATGTGTGACGCTAAATACGTTTCTTTATCCTATCTAGACAAGTCACAATACTGTAAACCTCTTCAACCCTGAGCGTTTGTCATTGTACAAATGAATTGTCCGTGCTTTCCTTTCATGCACTTATGTATTAATGTGTCACTTTTTGACTAGAGGTGTGCTTTTGACACTTAACCTATTTTCTATTGAATATAATAAGAAGTGTGAAATGTAACTAATAGTTCTTAAAATGTTAAATGAACAGTAAATGTTCAGTGGCGCACTTCACATTCAACTTAAGCATGATAAGTCTATTTGGAGTAGAGAAATGAGATTACCATATATTCTAGAACCAGCAGAAAACTATGTAGTTTTCAGTTTTTTGAGCTGCATATTCTAGTTTCTTTTTTTTTTTTTTTAATCCAAATCAACAAAGGGATTTTTTTTTTCTAGTTTCAGTTTTGGCACTGGATTTTATCCTGGAGTTTTAAAATATTCTTCATCCTGTTCTTTTTCTATTAAGGTTAATGTTGAAGAAGGAAAATGCGGAAGTCGTCATTTGACAAGTTTTATAAATGAGTATTTGAAGCTCAGGAATAAGTGAAGCTGAAATTTGAAAAAATAAAAGAAAGAATGCATGCTAATTATCAGACCAGAAGTCCCACTTGTAGAATATTGAGCAATTTGTGTGAAGTGGGGAAGATGAAAGAAGTCAGAATTTGAAACGGAAGAATGAAGAAAAGAAATAAAAATGAAGTTAAGATAAGAAGTAATCTGGAATCAGAAAGCACTACGCTAAGTAATTACTAGTCTGTTTATGTGTCCCTGTATATTTTGCTAAACATGCATGCATTATTTGTTTAATAGAGGAAAATATATACAGGGTAAAGAAGTGCCTTCCAGGGGAAACGTTTAAATTAGGTAATTCTGATTTTAACTGCTTAGTTAAATGATTGAAATGCAATTTTTAAAAAATATTTAGTAGTCAAGCACCAGGCAGCAGTGAGCTCTCCAGCATGGGTAACAGTGGGCTTCATGTTGTCCTCTCTAGATAAACTTTACCTGTCTAATGTTGCTGGTCCTGGGGCATGAGCGAATACCTCCAGGGTTGGAACTGGTGGTCTTTGCCACCTCCCTGGACTCTTAGATTGCACTGTCCCCTTTCCTTCAGTACTGAGCAATGTATAGTAGAATATTTTCTGTTAAACCATTTTCAAAGGAATGTCACCAGGATGGTTATGGAACCAAACCCCCAAAATCCAAACAAAGCATTGAACAAAATAGTTCCCTTTGGCATTAGTGTGTTAGTTTTTTCCATATGGCACTAGTGGAAATCTGTGAGCATTTGGGCCCTAAATTTAAGATGCATATTTGCTAAATACACAGGGATGGTTTTTCAAATTCTGTTTCTGTTTAATGCCTATTTCAGCTGATTGACTAGGATTACTGATAAAATACCGTAGCTTCCCCTTAGAAGAGGTGGGTCACACAAGTGAACAGGATAGCTAATACAAATTGCAGTAATGGCAGATGCTTTCATTCCTATTTCTCCTTTTTTGCTATCAACATTTAGCTATTGTAATGTTAGAGGTAACGGTTACAAAGTAGCTTTATTCTGGTTACCTGGTATCCCTTGCACTTATTGAGAAATTCAACCCAAAAGCTGTCCCTTCTTTTCTGTGTGTTTTGTTTTAGCTGAGTAGAAGGGTCAAGTGATTGGTGTAATGTTACTTTCAGTTGAATGAGACAAGTACACATATCAAAAATAATACCCAGTAGTAGTCAGCCAGCGGTTTTCTACCCAGTTGAGAATGCCAAGGGTATCATGTCACACATGTCTTCCTGAAATAAACTTTCTCTGAGAGTTGTCAGGTCTTCATGCTCTTGGAGAAAGTGACTTAAATGGCATTTCTTGGAGAATCCATTTTCTGATGCTTTCAGGCCTGTTTATTTCTATATCTTGCAAGCAGAAGAAAATTTTCTCTTAAGAAGTTTTGCATTCCTTTGTCAAATTTCTTGCCATAGATAAACTAATGATGATAAATGTTATTTTATGTTCCAAATTACTCAAAGAGCAGGCAGGAAACTGAGGTAAATGTGTGAATGAATATTACATTTTAATTCCAAGCCCATGGATTCTTTTATCAAGAAACCTGACAGGTCCTTGGGGTGCAAAAGAGGAAAAGACCTCTTAACCCCCAGCCCACTAAAGGAAAGAAAGCAATTTGGAATCTGGTTATGACCCAAGCTGGATAGACTTAAGGTGAGAAAACGTTGCTAGTGGACCATTGTGTCCATTTGTTTTTGTTTTCCCCCTTGACCAAAGCATCTGTGGGTCCTAATGTGTCTCCTCCTCGGGCCATAGGGAAGATGAGGAGGAGGCCGGCTTCTGTTCCTGAGAACAGGCAGTGTGTGAAAGACTGCCTTAATCAGAGGTCTGATTAATGCTAAGGGGAGTCAAAACAAGGAAGGGGATGACAGTGTTTCAGGAAGATAACCTTTGCCAAGGGAAAAAAATGAGTAGGAAGCATGTAACTTCTGAGGTTGACTAAGTCAAGTAAGTCAGACTTAACTAGTATGATAAACAGTGTTTTAAGAGATGCAGTGTTTATGAGCCACTATTTTAAATCTAACAAACCACATTCAGTTTTTAAAATAATACAGGGATTGGATGGTTAGTCCTTTCAAATATGTTTTTGTAAGGTGGTTGCTGTTCTCAGAATAGGGAGATGTGGATTATTTTGTTGGAAGGCTAAGTGTGTTGTATTTTTACTTGATGTATTCCCTTTAGGTTTTGTATTAGGATGTGGCTGAGATCCAGTCTGTGAGAGCTTGATTGATTTCCTGAGCATTTTTTCAGGGAAATTTTGGTTTTATTCATGCTAATTTTAGTTTCATGGTCCCTTTTTTTGAGGCAGTGGTGTCCAGTTCTGTCTGTTGGTGTGGTTTTAATGTGTTGACCATGTCAGCCCTGAGAGTGGAATTTGAAGTATGCTTAGATTTAGGGACTTCCCCAACTGGTTTTTATAGCTTTACCTGTCTGCATTGAGATTTAAAGTTAATTATGCTTTTGATTTGGGTGCTAATTTTAGGTCTTATTTCTTGTAGGCAAGTTTTATTCCCTTGCCATATGTATTTCCCAGCCAGTTAAATGGCCAAAATAACTTCAGAAAGCTTTAACTTCTTTAAGAAAATATCCCTGATAAAGGATCGAGACGTTTAGGTGTTACCCAAACAAGTGTCAGTATAGAAAAGGAAGCCTTTGCATTCTGGTATTTCCCTTATTCCTGGCCCAAGAAATGATTGCTTACAAAATATATCTGCATAGTCCGTTAGTTTTGGAGGCTGAGTGAAAACTCCTGTGATTTCAGAAATATTGTATCTGTGATCTGCTAGATTTTAAGGAGAAAACTTCATTAAGTCTTATTTTCTAGGTTAGGAGTACTGTCTCTTCCCTCAGTGGACAGGCTGCCGAAGCATCTTAGCTTAGAATAAAGGTTTTTCTGTTAAAGCCAGGAGCTTAAAGAGGATCTTGACTTGACCCATTCTTCCTTTATACTCAGATTCCTGGGCTGACTGATTTCTGTTAACTACAGTTACTTTATTGGTAGTCTTAACTGTTACTGTGAAACACCCATATTCTGCTTTCACTTCTGGAGAAAATTGTTTCATTTCCATAGAGGTAATCTTTCTAGTGTTGGAGTAAACAGGCTTTTAGCAACTTTTGGGTTCCCCATTTCTATATTCTCACCTATGTTAATTTTTGCCTGTGGTAAAAATAGCAAAAACTACACCCTCATTTTTGAGACTTCCTCCTTTGTCCATGGAGAGAAGGGAAGTGTCCGTTCAGAATACTTGATAGGGAATTCCAAGGGATTGTTGTTAATTGGAAGCCCCAGAGCATCACTACATCCTTTAACCATTTCTTGATGTTAAAGGCAGCTGTTCATATA
This sequence comes from Homo sapiens, assembly GCF_000001405.40. Classification (NCBI taxonomy): domain Eukaryota; kingdom Metazoa; phylum Chordata; class Mammalia; order Primates; family Hominidae; genus Homo; species Homo sapiens. The sequence continues at coordinate 185,928,422 of NC_000003.12, read as the reverse complement.
TTTTTCTTTTAATCTTTTTACAGTCAGTCATGGAGGGAGGTAGAGGGGAAAGGCTGTCACATTTCATGTCACCCCACCATGTTTTATAATGGCTTTGAAGTCATTTGAACGTTTCTAGAGTCGTCTGGGGCCTAGAGACCTGAACTCATTTTACTGGATGAGTTAGCCTTTCCTTCTGTGTTAAACCTCAAACCTTAATTTGTCTATTCTGTGTTACATTATAAATGTTTTCCCTGAGCATCAAAGGATCATCCAAATTTTCTCCATTATGTTGTAAACCACAAAACTATCTTCTAAAGTGTTTTGAGCTGTAATTTAGAATAATCCTCTACTGTCCTTTCAAGAATGTCCAGAATACTCTGAAGATGTATCACACAAGGAAATCTCTTGTGATTTTATCTGAAAGCTTCACCTTTGATTCATGCCATATAGTGACTTACTGTAATACTGCTTCCTTTTGAGTCTTGCCATTTCTGCTCTCTGGAGTAGAAAGGCTTACCAGGCTTTACTTTGTCTAAGTTTGATAACCTAAAATAAAGGTTGCCTTGATAATTTTACCTAGCTATCAGACTGACTAGGAGTAGGTTCTGTCCTTTCCTCATCTACTGTTTTGGTGCCTTGGCAGAACTTTTCCTTGGTTTCATTACTTAGTATACCCTTTTGTTGATTATGTGTCTTTAGCTCGTTGGTGACCTAGTTATCCTGGTTACCATTCCTTTGCTATTTTTCATTACAAATCCCCCCTTAACCTGCCAGCCAATCCCAGTTTTGGTTGGGAAAGCTATGAGTACACAATGTTTACCTAAACTTTGGCTTTTGTATGTAGTTTCTGTACTCTTTTGCTTCCTGGGCCCTAGGTTAGGAGCTCCTGATTTAGCTGCCTGGTTTTGATGTGTACTTAAGTAACTAGGTAAGTTAGGTTAATTCCTGGTTTTCCATAAGTTTGCCCTGGCTCATCTCCATTTAGCTGGAGAAGCTGTGGAGGATCTCTGACACCCTCTCTACTCTTATTTGTGTGTAGTTCGCTGTTCTGTTGTAGCTCCATCTGGTTGCTTTCAGTTTTTTAGGGGGCCTCCCACCATGGTTAGATGCAATAGGGTTTTACAGGGTTTAGTGTCCTTCAAGCTAGCCTTTGCTTTCCACTAGGTTTCTGCTTTTCTCTAGGATTTGAAACTGAGATCATCATCTTTATCTCTTATCACTGAATTATAAGTAGTAACTTGAAAGGTCAAGGTCTTTTTAAAAATCAAGCATTTTTTTAAGTAAATTATATAAATTATATAGGATTTTGTTTTATTGATTGCAACTTGATTGAAATAGGTATAAAGTATAGGTGTCATAGTTAATAAGGTTCCGCCTCACCCTAGTCTTTATGGAGTAACATTCTGAAACACAGTCCTTGGACAGTTCCCTTAACTGCTTGACTTTGGCACCCCTTTCTGAAGGAAGTGGGGTCAAATAACTCTTATCCCTGCTCCAAAAAGGTGGAAGAAAGGACAAGTTAATTGACTTATGTCATTTGGAGCAATGAAACTATTAACACCAGGTATATTCAGTTCCTGCCCTTACCTATATTTTCTTATCTTGGAAGGGGATTGCTGTCCCTCACCATTTATCTCACAGCAGCTTATTTGTTTTTAAAGTTGCCCAGAAAGTGTGCAAATTAAACTTTTAACATCTACGTGTAGGAATCCCGTTCTGCTTCCAGAAGTGGAAGTGCTCACGGATCGGGGAAATCTGCAAGGCATACCCCTGCAAGGTCTCGCTCCAAGGAAGATTCCAGGCGTTCCAGATCAAAGTCCAGGTCCCGATCTGAATCTAGGTAAGAAAGACTGTCTTGAGATTTCCTCGTTACTCTTAGCTCTGAAATTGGTGCGTGTTTTGTAAACCAGGAAGGTAGAGAGGGTTAGATTATTTGTTGGCCTATTAAATATTGGTACTAGAAGTGAACTTAAGTTCTGGGAGGCAAGACTAAAAGCGGTTAAGAGCCTGGGCTTTTGGAGTCAGGGTTTTCTATTTTTGCTGGTTTGGGCAGATTAACCTTTCAGCTTTAGCTTCTTTATAAAAGGCAAATTAGTAATACAGTACCAGTTCTTCAGGGTTGTTGTGAGGATTTACTAAATGTAAGTAAACTGCTTACTAGTATGGCAAATATACTGCAGAACATTGGCTTTCAGTAATTAGAATTCTTGATAAATAAGTATATATATGGTGCGCTTTTTTTTTTTTAATGTTGGTCAAAAGTAGGCTATATATACATCCTGGTTTGCCTGGGGCGATACCATTTATGCCTGTGGTCAGGCATAATTAACAGCACCCCTTTTCTTAAATGTGTGTCCTCGTTTCGATGACAATTTAGAGTCACTCTAGTTAGTCAAGAGCCACTCAATTTTTTGTTTTTTTAACTGCTGGGGAATACTCCTTGTGATTTTGTTACTGTATTAAATTAATGGTGGGCATAATGGGAGACAGAAAAGTAGAGAATGGTCTTCTGAGGGGGAAAGATGGGCACAAGCCAAGCTAGTAAAATGCTGCGTGCCTTGATTTGTAAAAGATAAGTAATATGTCTTTAATTGGAAGAAATACTGGAGGAGAGCTTGTGGTTTTTAGAACGCTTCCTAGCAAAGTTGAAATGACTAAATAATTAGAGAAGAAAAGTATTGATCCTACTAAATTGGTAACCATGTTAGCATATTCCTGGATTGTTCCCTCTTTTGGAGTTTAACTTTAGAACAGAGTAATAAAGAAGACAATATTTGTTTTCAGTCATAACCTTAGGAGGTCTTTGTCTTGCAGGTCTAGATCCAGAAGAAGCTCCCGAAGGCATTATACCCGGTCACGGTCTCGCTCCCGCTCCCATAGACGATCACGTAGCAGGTCTTACAGTCGAGATTATCGTAGACGGCACAGCCACAGCCATTCTCCCATGTCTACTCGCAGGCGTCATGTTGGGAATCGGGTAAGATGAAAAACTGGTTTTGAAGCAGTCAACTGCCTAAATTTACTTTTTCTTAAAGTTAGAGCTGATTTTGACAATAGAGCTTTAGCAGTTGGTGCGTGAGTGAAATCTTCAGAGGCTTTTTTAGTGTTTTGAGAGAGTCTTTTAAGTTAATCTTCCATGACGGGGTCTGCATTTGGGCTGCCTGTCAATTAAGCATAATACTGACACAATGGTGTAACTCCTTAGCCCATCAAAAAAAAAAACTTCCGACTGCATTACTATACTGTAGTATAGTATTAGTACATTAGTTCAAAATATAGTTCTATGCTAACATTAACTCTTTCCAGGCTGCATAAACCTAGTTAGATGCTCTCCTGACTTTCCCATTTAATTTGAAGCTAATTTCTTTTGGGTGTTGTTAAGGCATTTTTTACATTTCATGAAAGGCTTCAAATGAGATGATATTTATTGTGATTTCACTGTATAATCCAAGTGGTTTAGGAGGAGGGTGCAGGGGGGGACTTAATGTTTTTAGAGTAGAGTAGAATTTTTCCCTAGTAAATTGTTAGTTTATGAAATAAATGGAATCTTTAGGTAAATTCATCACAGCATCTGGAATGTTAGCAACATATGGCTCACTCTTTATTCTTTCCTCTTGTCATCTTTTTTTGAGACAGGGCCTCACTCTGTCGCCCAGTCTGGAGTGCAGTGGTGCAATCTCAGCTTACTGCAGCTTCTACCTTGCAGGCTTAAGCGATCCGCCCACCTCAGCCTCCTGAGTAGCTAGGACTAGAGGCATGCCACCACACCCAGTAATTTGTTATATTTTTGTAGAGACATGGGGTCTCACTGTGTTGCCCAGGCTAGTCTCAAAACTCCTGAGCTTCAAGCAGTCCACCAGCCTTGGCCTCCCAGAGTGTTTGGATTACAAGCATGAGCCACTGCGCCTGGCCAACTCTTGTTTCTTACGATTGCAAGCTGTTTATGACCTGTAAAATGGTTTGGTACGCATCCCCTCAGGCTTCGTTTATGTACTTACTTGTGTATTGTGTTTCTGAAAAAATCGAACCATACATGCTCATCTTTTTGGCAATTCAGAGCATTCTATTGAATGGAAGGTGTGTCAACATTACAATTTTTTCTAGCTGATAGACACAGTGTGGTTCCAGTTATCCTTGTATGTCATGTTATGAATATGTGAATTTTTCTTAGAATAAATTCATAGAAGGAAAGATGCCAAGTTGCTTTTCGCCAGCACGAGTGCTTGTTTACCTACTTAATTCTAAGGTTGAAATTTTTTCTTTTGCATTCTTTCCTACCCATTCCCAAAAATACTTGTAGTACTTGCTGTAATTTTGTAATTTCTAAGCAGTGTTTGGTCTAATCATTATGTACTTTTCTTGTTAGTGACATTTTGGCTAGTATACAGCTCCCTTTTTAAACAACTTTGATTTTATGACAACTTTTCCAAAGTTTAAAACTTTTTTTTTTCCCTAGGCAAATCCTGATCCTAACTGTTGTCTTGGAGTATTTGGGCTGAGCTTGTACACCACAGAAAGAGATCTAAGAGAAGTGTTCTCTAAATATGGTCCCATTGCCGATGTGTCTATTGTATATGACCAGCAGTCTAGGCGTTCAAGAGGATTTGCCTTTGTATATTTTGAAAATGTAGATGATGCCAAGGAAGTAAGTAAAAGCCCGTTCCTTTGTAAACCATCAGTTCTATTGTTAACGCCAAGTTATCAGTGACCAATTGCTAGGATAAGGACAAGGACAAGTCAGTAATACTTCGAACTTTTTCTCCAACCTCTTGTGGAGACTCAAGATACATGCAGAATAACAAAATTTTGTATAACTTGGGGAAGTTGGTCCTACCACCTGCTTTATTAGTTGCCACCTATTGGGGTCAACTATACCCCAATTCCGCCAGGATATGTAGTCAGTGTTTACACTGGGTTCACATTCTAGAGTCAAAAATAACCAAAAGCAAAGTTATGATGCAGAAGGAAAACATTGTTCCTTTTTTGGCTAGTGAATGATGTCATATTTGGATTTTGATTTGTTTTGAGGCAGAATATAGAGTCAAGATTTGAAATGTGGGGCTAGACCCCATTTAAGAAATTCAGATTTTAGGTACATTAAGGATGGTAGCTAAAGTCATCTCCAAGTATAGAGAAGAGGAAGAACTGAGAAACACTTAATGACAAACGGAGTTTCACTCTTCTTGCCTGGGCTGGAGTGCAATGGCGCGATCTCCGGCTCACCGCAACCTCCGCCTCCTGGGTTCAAGCAATTCTCCTGCCTCAGCCTCCTGAGCAGGTGGGATTACAGGCTACCACACCCAGCTAATTTTGTATTTTTAGTAGAGACGGGGTTTCTCCATGTTGGGTCAGGGTGGTCTCGAACTCCCAACCTCAGGTGATCTGCCCCCCTCGGCCTCCCAAAGTGCTGGGGGATTACAGGTGTGAGCCACCATGCGCGGCCGCCCATTTCCTAATTAAATTTTTGCAGTAGGATCATAGCTCTCGGAAAATAGCATAAATTTTATCTTAATCTCTAGTGCCAGAAACTGCCTGGGCGTAAACACTAGCTTGAACATCTGAACTAGAAGATAGCATAGTATTGGAATTAGAAACTTAAATTCTATTTAGGTGAAAGGATGTTTCCTCAAATTATGAACAAACTTTAATGTGTTTGAAACGGGGTATTTTTATTTTTTAAATGTATGCTGTTAATACATACTTTGGGAAAAGGAACTATATGTACTTAAGGCTGTGCTTCAGTCTTAGCTTTTGGCTTCCAGAGAAGGGCTAAGAAAACTTCCAAGGGTTAAATAATGTGTTCAGGTTTCAGTCATAGGATCTCAGTCGCAACTATTTAACTCTGTTGTTTTAACCCAACAGCAGCCAGATGAATGAGTTGGGGCCCTATTCCAATAAAAGATTATTTTGGGGCATTGGAATTTGGATTTTGTGTGTTTCTTCACTTGTCATGAAATACTGTTTTTCCCCCTAGTTATTTAAATTTTTAGCTTATGGGTTATACAGAAACAGCCAGCTGGCCAGATTTGACCTACAGGCTATAGTTTGCCAATTGTGTGCTGCTTTGGAGCTGGAAATACTGTCAGGATCATAGTTAGGTAAAATAATTGTTTCAAGTTTTTATGAGTAGCTTTTACAAATGAACATTTAGTAGAGGGAACAACACATTTGTAAGTTGTAGACCTTACGTTCTGGCTAACATTAAGATAACTTAATGCACCTAACTGAAATGTCCAGTGGGATCTTACTCATAGCCACAGGATAATTAGTGGCTTTGTTCAGGATGTATGTAACAATTTATTTACCTTTTGAAGGCTAAAGAACGTGCCAATGGAATGGAGCTTGATGGGCGTAGGATCAGAGTTGATTTCTCTATAACAAAAAGACCACATACGCCAACACCAGGAATTTACATGGGGAGACCTACCTAGTAAGTTTATTTTCAAAATAAATATAATTGGCAGTTTTTCACTTGTCAAAGAAACACTTGTATTAGTGGAAAGTCTTCAGCACTTAGGTTTGTGCCATAAACTTGACTGTTGATTGATTAAATGCTCCTCATTAGGGCATTTTTCTCATAGTAGAAGTTCAACCATTACAGGTAAAACTAAATCTTAGTCAAGTCCATTTTTAAATTTTTTGTTTGTTGTTGTTTGGTTTTGTTTTTGTTTTGTTTTGAGACGGAGTCTTGCTCTGTCGCCCAGGCTGGAGTGCGATGGTGCAATCTCAGTTCACTGCAACCTTCGCCTCCTGGGTTCAAGCAGTTCTCCTGCCTCAGCCTCCCGAGTAGCTGGGACTACAGGCGCGTGTCGCAACGTCCGGCTAATTTTTTGCATTTTTAGTAGAGGCAGGTTTTCACCATGTTAGCCAGGATGTTCTCGATCTCCTGACCTCATGATCTGCCCGCCTCGGCCTCCCAAAGAGCTGGGATTACAGGCGTGAGTTGCTGCACCCGGCCTAAATTTTCTTAAATAGAGCAAAGTGATACTATTTTTGTTTCCTCTTAGAAATATGTGGGATATGCAGATTGACCTCTGGCAGGATCTGTGTGCCTCCTTAACCAAAGATTTTTAAAAATAGGTTTATATATATTGAAACAAGGGAAAGGGCAATGTTTGCTCAATATAGGTGAGAATTTTAACAGGAATAATTTTCATTTTCCAGTTAATGTGTCAGAAAAGGCCTACTAGTAGATATAAAAACTCATGTCCAGAAAGATAAGGGAGGTCACCTGAATATTTTTTTCTTCATAGTGGCAGCTCTCGCCGTCGGGATTACTATGACAGAGGATATGATCGGGGCTATGATGATCGGGACTACTATAGCAGATCATACAGGTAAGTTATGAGGTAGAAAGGTCAACGTCTGAATCTCAGTACAGTGTACAGAGCAGCACTATGCTTAAGTTTTAGCCTTTGTTAAAAGCTTTGCTTTAGTACTTTTACTCGAGAAATGCAGAGTAGAAAGTTAAATCAGATTCTAAGGTTCTGTGTCTTAATCAATTTAATGTGTAACTGGATTTCTGTTCAAATATTCTAGAATATAAATGGGATTTAAATGATAACTTGGAATATTAATAATAAAATGTGTTTTATTTTTAAACATTGAATGAGGCCAGGCGCAGTAGCTCACGCCTGTAATCCCAACACTTCAGGAGGCCAAGGCAGGCAGATCACCTGAGATCCAGCCTGGCCAACATGGTGAACCCCGTCTCTACCAGAAATAAAAATTTAGCCGGTTGTGGTGGTGCACGCCTGTAGTCCCAGCTACTGGCAGGTGAATTGCTTGAACCCGGCAGGCAGAGGTTGCAGTGAATTTAGATTGCACCACTGCACTCCACTGTAGGCAACAGAGCGAGAGACTCAAAAAAAAAAATAAATAAATGAATACATAGTGAAAGCAAAATTATAGGCTGAGGCAGGGGAATTGCTTGAGCCCGGGAATTTGAGACCAGCCTGAGCAGCATAGGGAACCTCCACAAAAAATGAGGCAGGAAGCCGGGGAGGTTGAAGCTGCAGTGAGCCAAGTACGCTCCCACCTGAGTCTCCTCCCCCAGAGCAAGACCCCACCTTAAAAGAAAAAATTATAGCCTCTGTCTTAGCCTTTTAAAAGCAAATTTATAATGGCTTATAAAAGCAAATTTCATAAGCCATTTTGGAAAGCCAACACTTTTCAGGCAGTTTCTTGTAATCTCTTAATGCATGCATCGTACACTGAGGGCAGGTAAAATGGATGCCTTGAAAGAGTCCAGAGAATAATTTTAAAGATGTTAATTTAGTATGACAAGGGTATGTGGCTTTTTATTTTTGCCAAAAATTTGGTATTTCGGGGTTTGGGTAGGGAAATGTCAATCATAGTTTAAAAATAAAGATATCTTTGAGAATACTTCCAAAGATAAAAATGAAGTAAAATTGTGACATTTTGGTCCTCCCTTGTCAAAATGTGTAATTTGACAAGTCAAATAATGTAGTTAGTAAGTATTGACCACAGTTGTCATTGATAATGGTATTGAGGTATATGGATGTCTATTTTGTGCATTATTTGGCAATGTTTAAGAAGTTAACAGTTGTCAGTCATTGTCTGAAAGTGAGTCTGTAAGTGTATTGTTCAGCATTTTATCACCCATGAAAACCCTTTTTTTATTTAAAGCATCACTCTATTGAATGGTACTAAAGGTACAAATTTGTTGGGGCTGAGATTTTTTTCTTAGTTTGATTTTTTTTTTTAAGAGCATTTACTTAGGAATGTTCTGTGTTCTAATACTACTTATTTCAGCCACCAGAGAGAACCCTATGCCAGTTTCTAAAAAGGGTGGCAAATCACTTGACCTGCAAGAAACATCTCATTCATGCTCTATGAAAGTTTTTATTTTACTAAATGAATGACATAATTTTTTAAAACTTACAAACTGAATGCGTGTTGTGTTGCCTTTCTGTCTTCACAGAGGAGGAGGTGGAGGAGGAGGAGGATGGAGAGCTGCCCAAGACAGGGATCAGATTTATAGGTATGCCAGGAGAGGACTTAGCATCTGTACAACAGTATAAAGCTTCACATAAAGATGTTTGCCTAGTAATGTTTTGGTAAATTATAAGTGGAATACCCAAAATCAGACTGTTTGAAGCTCATGAAAATATTCTAACGGAAACTAAATGTATAAAGTCTTTGTATATTTATAAAAATTAATTGGTTTTGCAATAGATTATTTAGTGATACCATTTTATACCGTGATGAGGTACAGTGATGTTAGTCACTGATAACTCATTTTTTTTGTCATTATGTTCTTGTATTACATTTTCCTTGCTTTTTAAAAGTAAGCATCTCAAATAGCACAAGAACATTCAAGCCAGCCTTTTTAACACAAAGCTAAATCCTGAAGCACTTGTGAAATTAGTTTTGGGTGTTCAAGAGGGTGCTGTTGGGATTATTTAATGGTATGGGAATTTTCTCATTTTTATTTTTAATTTTTGGAGACAGAGTGTTGCTCTGTTGCCTAGGCTGGAGTACAGTGGAGCAATTTGAGCTCACTGCAGTCTCTGCATCCCGAGTAGCTGGGATTACAAGCATGCACCACCGCACAGAGCTAATTTTTTTTTTTTAGTAGAGACAGGTTTTCACCATGTTGGTCAGGCTGGTCAAACTCCTGGCCTCAAGTGATCCTCCTGCCTTGGCCTCCCAAAGTGCTGGGATTATAGGCGTTGAGCCACCGCACCCAGCCAGGAATTTTCTTTTACAAAACTCTCTTAACATAGTTCACAAAATTTAAAAAGTAAGTAGATTAAAATATAGCAAGGATTATTTGACCTTAAAGTTATTAAGAGTGCTTATTTGACACTTGGGCCTGATAATGTGCTTCATTCTCAAGATTTAAACAGACCTTGAAGGTTCATGCAGCTTTCCTTTTTTGGGGAACTGATGAAAGGGCAGTATATATAGTCATAAATTTATATGTTTGGTCTAATTGTGATCTATTGAGACTTAGACAATCTTGACATTTGTTTATAGAAGGCGGTCACCTTCTCCTTACTATAGTCGTGGAGGATACAGATCACGTTCCAGATCTCGATCATACTCACCTCGTAAGTTTTTATCTTAATATGATTGTTTATATTGTAGTATGGCTTGCTCTGATGACAGTGTATTCCCTTTATCAGATAATGGATTGGTTTCAGGTAGTTTCATACCTAATGATTCTCCACACATCCTGAACATTTTTTGGTTCAAGAAAGTTTGTGGAAACAACCCTTAGAATCCTATTATTTTTTAAGAAGGAAAAATTGGACAGCCTCCTGAGCCAGAGTAGGCTCGGAGACTCCTGTTGTTTCTAACTGAAATAGTAAATAATGTATTTCCACCATTTACCCAGAGTAGGCTCAGAGACTCCTGTTGTTTCTAATTGAAACAGTAAATAATGTATTTCCACCATTTAGTAGCTTTTCAAGAGTCCTTAAAAATTTTTGGACAGCACAGAAACATGGATTACTTAGCCCTTTAGTTCTCAGATTGAGTTATATACTTCCCAGCAATTTCTGTTATTTAAGATTGCTATCTCATTTCTGGTGTAATACTTACATGGAAGTCTTTCTCTATTTGGGGGTGGTGGGGTTCTGGCACATAGGAATTTCTTAATGGCAGAATATTCTGAAATTCTCGGCATTAAAGTATACTTGATAATTAGTTCACTTAATATTAAAGCATGTTCATTCTTTTCTTCCCAGGTCGCTATTAAAGCATGAAGACTTTCTGAAACCTGCCCTAGAGCTGGGATATTGTTTGTGGGCAATATTTTTTATTGTCTCTTGTTTAAAAAGTGAACAGTGCCTAGTGAAGTTAGGTGACTTTTACACCTTTTACGATGACTACTTTTGGTGGAGTTGAAATGCTGTTTTCATTCTGCATTTGTGTAGTTTGGTGCTTTGTTCCAAGTTAAGTGTTTTCAGAAAAGTATGTTTTGCATGTATTTTTTTACAGTCTAAATTTTGACTGCTGAGAAGTTTCTATTGTACAAAACTTCATTTAAAAGGTTTTTCTACTGAATCCAGGGTATTCTGAAGATCGAAGCCTGTGTAAAATGCTACCAAATGGCAAAAAGCAACAATAAACAGTTTGATTTTTACTTTTCTTTCTAACATATCAATGCTTAGCAGAACTATTCAGATTGTCAGTAGTAAATTTAAAGACAAATGCCCGTTTTCCTCCAGTCCATGAAACATACCATACTTATATACCTGCAACTAAGTGTTTAAAATTATGCTCTGTAACTCTGTACTGCTAGTATTAGAACTAAAAATCTTAAAATACAGCCAGTGCTTAATGCTTATATCAATGTGGATTTGTCGGCTTTTATGTAATCTGTAATATGTATAGCAGGAAATACGAAGAGTTACACAGTGTATGCCTTAAAAGGCTGTTTCTTAAAGGTGTTACAAGGGGATAATGGTATTTCAACTAGTTATCAGCAAGTGACAATACATTCCACCACAAATACACTCTTGTTCTTCTAGCTTTTAGACTATATGAAAAAACCGGGTGCTTCAAAGTACATGATAAGGGAACACTATACCTGTCATGGATGAACTGAAGACTTTGCCTGTTCATTTTTTAAATATTATTTTCAGGTCCTTTGCTTACCAAAGGAGGCCCAATTTCACTCAAATGTTTTGAGAACTGTGTTTAAATAAACGCAAATGAAAAGAAAAATGTTGGTGCAGCTGTTCACAAAGAAGTGTTCTTGTTCTATTATAATTAGAGTTCTTCTGTAGTTTAATCGTTAGGGCAGTGTGTTCCTTGGGCTGAGGTGTATCTTTGCTATTTTGGGCTGGGTTGAGGGGGGGATGAATTTCTGTATTCCTGGAAAATTCAGAGTGCATAACTAGGTATTAGAGTGATCTCCATTTGGGGATGGAGTTACAGTAAATAACTAGACTGCGGGTACTTTAATACATGTTCTTATTATTTTGCATTTAAGTAATTTTCATGACCAATTGTAGGGATGTTGCTACAGGTGGGTTATTTTGTTGCCTTGCTAACCTTTATCGCATCTAGGTATTAGTATGTTTCAGGTACTTTGGGAAGAACTTTACATATAATCTTTAGCAATGAAATGATGTAGAGTAACTTACCTTAGTTCAAATAGCTGTTTAAGTGGCAATGCCACGATCTGAATTGAACCTAGGTGATCTTAGTCCACAGTTCTCTTGATCATGATGTCTCAAATCTGGGTACCTGGGTGATGGAAAATACCAGTAATGGAGCATAGGCAGTATTGGCAGGTCTTAATTTGTAAAACTTACTGTCCAGGGTGTTTTCAGTGTTTGCCAACTTGTGGTAAATTAATATGCTTAGAGAACTACCCTTAGGTTTGTTTCTGATAAGCATGTGGAAACAACTTAGTATATGCCTGATGGGTTATTTCAAATTGTTCTCAATGAGTTTTGAAACAAGAATTTGTAGTATTTATATATAAAGTTGAGTTTTAGGGTGTGGTCCCAGAGGGGGTTGTGTTATGGATGGATACATTAAAGGCTGAGAAACCTGGTTTTATCGTGGTAGTATATACAGGCATCCTTTCCTGAAGTAACTACATTCTCCACCATTTTCTCCCCAACCAAACCTCTCCCCATCAGTTAACTGATGGCTTGCGAGTTCACACTCCTGATAATCTCGAACATAACCCTCGGTTTCTATCCTAAAGCCTGAGTTTTAGCCCTTTAGTTGTGTAGCCATCCTTTATCCTGCTGATTGAAAGTTTCCTTTTTTAGGCTAGTTTGAGTTGTTTTCTGGCTTTTAGATTTGAAAGAATTTTAGCCATTTGACATGGCTACAAAGAGTGTTAACAGGCAAAAGACTGAGGAAAATTTGGAATTTTACCAAGTTGAGATAGACTGAGAAGTAGTGAGACAAAGTGGTAGTCTTTTGATGTGCTGTAATGCTAGTCGCCAGTTTCATGAAAGGGAGGCAGCAGTTACCCGTAGGTAACCCCTAGGTAACTGCTGCCATGGGCAGCTGAATCAGACAAAAGCCATGGGAAAGGATAAATTTGAGTCTTAAAGTTACTGCCTCAAGGCAAAGGGACTTGGAGGCTTTTATATGCCAATACAAACAATCCATTTCTTATAGCTGTAGGGCTGAGACTACTAAAACCAAATGTAAAGTTCATTTGGAAGATTGCTAAGTTAAATAGTTTTATACTAGGCTTTTGTGAAACTTCTCAGGAAATCAACAGGGTCCCAGCAAGTGGAAATAAGGCTGTGTCAAAAGATTTGTAGACCTGGGAGCAGGGGTTTCCGATCTCCTGGCCATGGATTGCCTGAGCTCCGCCGCCTGTCAGATCAGCAACAGCAGATTTTCATAGCAGGAATCCTATTGTGAAGTGCGCTTGAGAGGGATCTAGCTTGCACATTTCCTTATGGAAATCTAACTACATGTTAGAGAATGCTCAAGGTCTGCAATGTTTACATTGTTGCCCCTACATAAGGAATATATGCCTTAAGATAAAACTAATAGCTCTTAGCCCTCTTACACCATTGACTAGGATTCCAATTCTGCAAGGCCCAGGAGGAGAAATTGAGAATTAGAAGTTTCACCGAGAAGAAATAAAAAGATTTGGTTTGCATTATCAAAATTTCTGTAAATTATATGGAAATTTTGAGGATGGATTAGGCTGGATTTATTAGCAGTGGACACGCCTCCAATATTCCTTCAGCATGCCATCTCAGTGGATTTTGATTGGCTCTTGTAGGATTGGACTTAATGCTAGCTTATGCCAAATGTCATCAAAAAGCCAGAATGCTACTACAGTAATGTAAAGGATTATTGTATATAGTGTAAAGGATTATTATGTGTAATCTTTAATATATAATGTAAAGACTTAAAAGTGACAAGAATACTGGATTGGTTCTATTCCACTCACTCTGTCCCTTACTAGCAAGACAAGACCCAAAATAATCCCTTCTCCCCATGAGTAATCAGTTGATGAAGTTAAAACTATTTCAAGAGCTTTACTGGCCTGGCAAGAGGAGATGAATTGAAATGGGATCCCACGTTAGTACTAAGAGACCAGTTAATCACTGTTTTTTGGTGGGGGGGGGGGTTCGTTGGTGTGTGTGTGTGTGTGTGTGTGTGTGTGGTTTTTTGAGACAGTTTCACTCCTGTTGCCCAGGTTGGAGTACAGTGGCACGATCTCAGCTCACTGCATCCTCCACTTCCCAGGTTCAAGCGGTTCTCCTGCCTCGGCCTCCCAAGTAGCTGAGATTACAGACGTGCACCACCACGCCCGGCTAATTTTTGTATTTTTAGTAGAGACAGGGTTTGACCGTGTTGGTCAGGCTGGTCTCGAACTACTGACCTCGGGTGATTCACCCACCTCGGCCTCCCAAAGTGCTGAGGTTACAGGCGTGAGCCACCCATTCCCAGCCAAGACCAGGTAATCACTGTTAGCCCTTAGAAGGTGAAGTTGGCAGGGTTAATAAAGGAGCAAGATAAAATGTGTGTGAAGGGATCTGGCAGGAATTTCAAGCTGTAGTTAACTAGATACTAGGTTCACAGAAATAATAGTCTTTTTGCCAAAGACACCTGTAACTATTGAACTGTTGTAGAAAGATAAATACCCAAACTTACCAAAAATAACAGTTGACCAACATCATGGGTTTGAACTGTGTGGGTCTCCTTACAGGAATTTTCTGCCTCTGCCACCCCTGAGGCAGCAAGACCAGCACCCCCACCCCCTCAGCCTACTCAACATGAAGATGATGGAGATGAAGATTGTGAGCCACTTTGATGTATTAAATAGGTTTTATTTTAACGGATACACATAATATAAAAGTTTTGTGTTACCCGTTATTGGGAAGGCTTCTTACCAACGGGCTGTTAAGGCAGCTCCCAGTCAAAAGATGTGCTCAGCTGGGTATAGAGGATTACAGGAGAACAAGGACTGTAAGACCTCGAGAAGAAAAACTTGGCTCATTGTCTTCGTCTGGAGAAATAGGCATGAGTTTACAGGTATCTTCTGGACAGATCAATATCTAATCATCTTCGTGGTTAAAGGGTTGGAGCAGCAGGATAGATTGGTAACAGCAAAGGCAATGAACATATCTTCAACATGAGTATCCACTCAAGTTTAAACATTACCACAACTGAGCTCCAATGTGAAATATACTTTGATGGGAATAACTGCAATACTAAGTTTCCTTGTGAGGGGGGACAGTAATTTGTTCTCACTGAAAATAACATTCTGTGGATTTGGTTTCTAGTCATTCCTTTATGGGACCTTATATCCATACCTGTATTGTACCATGTGACTTGGCTTCTGTACCAGAGTTCACCTGGAGAAAACCATTTCTATATAGTTGATAGCAACTATACATACTGCTTTTATTGATTTTGTTTTGAGACAGGATCTCACTCTGTCCCCCAGGCTGGAGTACGGTGGTGTGATCACAGCTAAACTGTAGGCTTAAACTTGTGGGCTCAAGTGATCCTTCCATTTTAGTCTCCAAAATAGGGAACTACAGGTCCAGCTATTTTTTTTTTTTTTTTGAGACGGAATCTTGCTCTGTTACCCTGGCTGGAGTGCAGTGACATGATCTCAGCTCGCTGCAACCTGTCTCCCGGGTTCAAGTGATTCTCCTGCCTCAGCCTCCTGAGAAGCTGGGATTACAGGTGCCCGCCACCACGCTGAGCTAAATTTTGTGTTTTTAATAGAGGCAGGTTTTCGCCATGTTGGCCCGGCTGTTCTTGAACTCCTGACCTCGGGATCTGCCTGCCTCAGCCTCCCAAAGTGCTGGGATTACAGCCGTGAGCCACTGGGCCCGGCCGAAGAGATTGTTTTTAAAAATACTTAGGAATTACATGTAACTAGCTTAACCATCAAACCTGTTAAATTAGTGGAATCAAGCTCAAGTTTCTCACTAAAATTTTTGAAAAGTGTTTGTGGAAGATTTCAAAGAATTTATTTTAATTAAATGTTTTAATATTGTTACTAATAGCTTATATTTTATTACATTTTCCTCAATTATTTTATGTAAAGAAACTGCAGGGGTTTTGTTGTTTTGGGTTTTTTGTGTTTTTTGTGTTCTTTTTTTTTGAGATGGAGTCTCACTCTGTTTCCCCAGCTAGAGAGAGTGGCATGATCTCAGCTCACTGCAACCTCTGCATCCCGGATTCAAGCAATTCTCCTGCCTTAGCTTCCCAGGTAGCTGGGATTACAGGCATGAGCCACAACGCCTGGCTAATTTTGTATTTTTAGTAGAGATGGGGGTTTCTCCATGTTGGCCAGGCTGGTCTCGAACTCCTGACCTCAGCTGATGCCACCTCAGCCTCCCAAAGTGCTGGGGTTACAGTCGTGAGCCATCGGGCTCAGCCCTGCAGGAGTTTTTTACTAAGTCCATTATGGGTACCCAAATCACCACCAGTTTACCCCCAGTGTACCTCACCGCTATTGTCATTTTCTGTGTATGCCTTGATGCACAAAAGGTTGGGAAGCTCTGCCCTCCAGTGAAGCCCATCAGCTGATGAGCTTTCCCTTGCACGTCGGGCTTCCATTCACAATCTGTTTTTTTTATTTTTTATTTTTTTGAGACGGAGTCTCGCTCTGTCTCCCAGGCTGGAGTGCAATGGCGTGATCTCGGCTCACTGCAACCTGCGCCCCCCGAGTTTCTGCTATTCACCCTCAGCCTCCCAAGTAGCTGGAACTACAGGCGCCCACCACCATGCCCGGCTAATTTTTTGTATTTTTAGTAGAGACGGGTTTTCACCGTGTTAGCCAGGATGGTCTCAATCTGACCTCGCGATCCACCTGCCTCAGCCTCCCAACGTGCTGGGATTACAGGCGTGAGCCACTGCGCCCGGCCACAATCTGTTTCTTTCTTAAATATGAACAGATAATCAAGGATCACTAGGTTTTAAAATCTTCAAGAACAAAGACGGGAATCTAAACAAACAATTGGAAAAGGGAATTAGGTTAAACAATAACCAGAAAACACTAATAAAAAATATTGCTAAATTATACTTAATTAAAATTTAAAAAGCTTTGTGCTGCAAACGATAACATCAAGAAAGTGAAAATAAAGCCTTCTATAGGGTTTGATAAGAAAGAGAAGGGCATTCTCAGGGGAGAGGGGACCAGGAGTAAAAAGGTCTTTGGGGAGAACTTAGGATGTATGATTTAGAGTCTGAGGTCCACACGGCCAGGTTACACTGATACACAATGGTGTCATCATCACATGCCAGCCTGGAAGCCATGCCACCTGGATTTGAACCCAGATTCTGCCTTTTAGCACTCATGACTCCCTTCTGTCAGTGGTGCTAATTATAGTACCTGTACCTCCTTCATAGAGAATGTTGTGAAGAGTTAACATTAAGAAAAGTACTTAGAAGAGGGCCTGTTATTTAAGATAAATAAGCTTAATGAAGATGTGCTATTATTACTATCATTGTTACTACTACCTCTTCTGCTAGAGAGTCCTGGGAATGGGCCTGGGTTGACCAGAAAGGCCTTAGAATCTCAGGCTACAAAGTTTGAACCCAAAGGAACAAAAGTAAGAGAAAGCCAATTTTAGTTGAAACAGGATAAAAGTGTTTAGGACAATGAAACCAGTAGGAGTGTGTAGGCCCCCCCCTAACACGCCTCTCCATCTGGATTATGGTCCCAGCTAAGGGCTTCCTCCATCATCACACTCACCCCAAGACACTGTAGTTGCCTGTCAATTACCTGCCTCCCCAGCTGGACCATGTCTGTGTTACGGGTGCATCTAGTGTCTAGCGCAGTGTCTGGCACTAAGTGCTCCACAGATGCTCTTCTGATGAATGAAGGAATAGATGAATGGAGTAGAACGATAATTTAGAAAAGGGTCTATAGGGAGCCCAGCCCAGGGGCAGGCTCTGGCCTAGGATGAAGGCAGAGGGAGTGAGAGAAAAGTAAGAAATGCACTGGCCATCAGAGAAATGCAAATCAAAACCACAATGAGATACCATCTCACACCAGTTAGAATGGCGATCTTTAAAAAGTCAGGAAACAAAGGTGCTGAAGAGGATGTGGAGAAATAGGAACACTTTTACACTGTTGGTGGGACTGTAAACTAGTTCAACCATTGTGGAAGAGTGTGGTAATTCCTCAAGGATCTAGAATTAGAAATACCATTTGACCCCGCCATCCCATTACTGTATATACCCAAAGGATTATAAATCATGCTGCTATAAAGACACATGTACATGTATGTTTATTGTAGTACTATTCACAACAGCAAAGACTTGGAACCAACCCAAATGTCCATCAATGATAGACTGGATTAAGAAAATGTGGCACATATACACCATGGAATACTATGCAGCCATAAAAACGGATGAGTTCATGTTCTCTGTAGGGACATGCATGAAGCTAGAAACCATCATTCTCAGCAAACTATTGCAAGGACAAAAAACCACCACACGTTCTCACTCATAGGTGGGAACTGAACAATGAGAACACTTGGACACAGGAAGGGGAACATCATACACCGGGGCCTGTCATGGGGTTGGGGGAGGGTGGAGGGGTAGCATTAGGAGATATACGTAATGTAAATGAGTTAATGGATGCAGTACACCAACATGGAACATATATACATATGTAACAAACCTGCACGTTGTGCACATGTACCCTAGAACTTAAATAAATAAAAAAAAAATACACTTGTCTAGAAGACAGGAGACTTCATTATATTACTCTCTTTACAATTAATTAATGTAAGACCGTTTAAAATATGCCTAATTTTCCAGGCATTGGTTTGCTTTTCTATAAAATGGGAGGATAGAAAATAACTTCCAAATTCTTACAAATCTAAGAATCTTTGGATTTAGATATGGAAATTCATAATTATTGAGATGGAGTCTCGTTACTATGCAATATAGCAAAGTTGGAAATAAATTCTAAATTTTATTTCATTTATATTGATCAATAAATTGTTACATTTCAAAAAAATGCAAGAGGCATTTGGAAAAAAGGACAAATAGGAATTTGTGAAAGACTATGGGAGTTAATGGGAAAGGAAGAGTTGCTGACTGCGAGCCTGGGCTCCTGGCCGCTCGCAGTGGCCCTGTTAAAAATGAGAAGAAAGAAAGAAGTTGGTTTGAGGGAGAAGATTTGCCCTTGACTTTACCTTTGTTGAGCTTTATAGAAGTTACTGGTGATAGCTGAAGCCTCTAATCCCAGTACTTTGGAAGGCTGAGGCAGGCGGATCACTTGAGGCCAGGAGTTCGAGACCAGCCTGGCCAACATGGTGAAACCCCATCTCTACTAAAGTACAAAAAAGAAACCTAGCAGGGCGTGGTGGTGCGTGCCTGTAGTCCCAGCTACTCGGGAGGCTGAGGCAGGAGAATCACTTGAACCTGGGAGGCGGGGTTTGCAGTGAGCCAGATCATGCCACTGCACCCCAGCCTGGGAGACAGAGCAAGATTCTGTCTCAAAAAAATAATAAATAAGTAAAAGTTAAACATAGAATTACCATACAACTCAGCAATTCTACTCCTGGGTTTATACCCAAAAAATCGTAAACATAGGTTCACACAAAAATTTGTACGTGGATGTTCATAGCAGCATTATTAGTGATAGCCGAAAAACAGAAACACCCCAAATGTTCCTTCAGCTGATGAATTGATTAATAAAATGTGATATATCCGGGCCGGGCGCGGTGGCTCACGCCCGTAATCACAGCACTTTAGGAGGATGAGACGGGCGGATCACAAGGCCAGGAGATCGAGACCATCCTGGCTAACATGGTGAAACCCCGTCTCTACTAAAAATACAGAAAATTAGCCGGGTGCGGTGGCGGGCGCCTGTAGTCCCAGCTACTCCAAAGGCTGAGGCAGGAGAATGGCGTGAACCTGGGAGGCAGAGCTTGCAGTGAGCCGAGATCGCGCCACTGCACTCCGGACTGGGCGACAGAGCGAGACTCCGTCTCAATAAATAAATAAATAAATAAATAAATAAATAAATAAAGTGATATATCTATACAATGGAATATTATTTGGCAATAAAAAGGAATGAAGTAATGATACATGCTGACATGAATGAACCTTCAAAACATTTTAAGTGAAAGGAACCAGTCACAAAAGACCATATATTACATGATTTAATATATATGAAATATGCAGAACAGAGAGTTCTATGCAGAGAAAGTAGACTAGTAGTTTCCTAGGCACGGCAATTTGCAGGAGGAAGGGGAAGTGACTGCTAATAGGTATGGCAGTCACTTTGGGCCTGAGGAAAAATATTCTAAAACTGATTGTAGTGATGGTCACTTAACTTTGTAAATATACTAAAAGCGATGGAATTTTGCACTTTAAGCAGACGGATTTCATCTTAATAAAGCTGTTAAGCACTTCCAGTCACCTAAAAACACTATTAAGAGAGTAGGGCCAGGAGTGGTGGCTGACACCTGTAATCCTAGCACTTTGGAAGGCTGAGGCAGGAGGATCCCTTGAGCCCAGTAGTTCGAGACCAGCCTGGGCAATATAAGGAAACTCTGTCTTTTAAAAGAAAGAAATAGGCTGGGCGTGGTGGCTCATGCCTGCAATCCCAGCACTTTGGGAGGCCGAGGTGGGCGGATCACTTGAGATCAGGAGTTCAAGACCACCCTGGCCAACATGGTGAAACCCTGTCTCTACTAAAAATACAAAAATTAGCCGGGTGTGGTGGTATACACCTGTAGTCCCAGCTACTCAGGAGGCTGAGGCAGCAGAATAACTTGAACCCAGCAAGCGGAGTTTGCAGTGAGCTGAGATCACGTCACTGCACTCCATCCTGGCAACAGAGCGAGACTCCATCTCAAAAAAAAAAAAAAAAAAAAGACACTGCAGCTTCTGCCCTCCTCTCTCTTCGGTCACTTGCTTTGGGAAAGGCCAGTCATCCTGTGGAGAATCCATGTGGTAAGGAACTGTGGCATCTTGCCAACACTCAGCCCCATCTTGCAGCCATGTGAGTAAGCCATATATTATCTTGGAAATGGATTGTTCAGCCTACTAAAGCCTGCAGGTGGCCACAGCCCCATGTAACCTCTTTACTGCAACTTCATTAAAGACCCTGAGCTAAACCACCCAGCTAAGACACTCCAGAATTCCTAACCCACAGAAACTGAGAATAAATGTTTATTGATGTTTTAAATCAGTATGTCTTAAAGGAATTTCTTACACAGAATAGTTAAATACAGAACCCAATTTTTAAAAGTGCACAACATCTTGAACAGGCATTTCATGTAAATAAAAAGGATATGCAAATAGCTAATAAGCTTAGCAAGGAAATGCAAATGAAAGCTCCAATGAAAAACTGCTGTATACTCACTAGAATGACTCAAAATTTTGAGGTTTTTTTGAGGCAGGGTATTACTCTGTCGCTTAAGCTGGAGTGCAATTGTGTGATTATGGCTCACTGTATCCTCGACCTCCCAGGCTCAAGCAATCCTCCAACCTCAGTCTTCCGGGTAGCTAGGACCTCAGGCACATGCCATCACACGCAGCTAATTTTTAAATATTTTGTAGAGACAGGGTGTCCCTATGTTGCTCAGGCTGGTCTTGAACTCCTGGGCTCAAGCGATTTGTACTCCTCAGCCTCCCAAAGTGCTAGCAATACAGGCATGGCCACCGAGCCCAGCCCAGAATGATTAAAATTTAAAAATTTACAATAGCAAGTGTTGACGAGAATGTAGGGCAACTAAAACTTGTATACGTTGCTGGCAGAAGTATAAATTGGTACAACCACTTTGAAAAACTATTTGACAATATATATTAAAGCTAAACCTTCATATACCCTATGACCCAGAAATTTCACCCCATAGAAATGAGTGCTTACATCTGCAATAAACATGTACAAGCCAGGCATGGTGGCTCACACTTGTAATCCCAGCACTTTGGGAAGCTGAGGCAGGTGGATCACTTGAGTCCAGGAGTTTGAAACCAGCCTGGCCAACATAGTGAAATCCCATCTCTACTACTACTACTACTACTACTATTACTAATAATAATAATAATAATAATAATAATAATATAGCCAGGTGTGGTGGTGTACACCTGTAGTCCCGACTATTCAGGAGGCTGAGGCACAAGAAGATCTTGAACCTGGGAGGCAGAGGTTGCAGTGAGCTGAAATCATGCCACTGCATTCCAGCCTGGGTGACAGAATGAGATTCTGTCTCAAAAAAAAAAAGTATGGGAATGTTCATAGTAGCTTTATTCATAATACATCCAAACTGAAAACAACTCAAATGTCCTTCAATGGGAAATAAATTGTGGTATATTTAT
The DNA here is from genome assembly GCF_000001405.40 of Homo sapiens. NCBI lineage: Eukaryota > Metazoa > Chordata > Mammalia > Primates > Hominidae > Homo > Homo sapiens. The sequence goes on along the minus strand of NC_000003.12, from coordinate 185,906,174 downwards.
ATGATGAAATAGAATACATCAATACAAATAGGGAATACCGGCTACAATTGGTTACAGGGATGGATCTCACAGACATAATGTTGTTGAGTGAAATAAACCAGACATAGAAGAGTACGTAATATATGATTCCATTGATATGAAGTTCAAGAACAAGCAAAACTAACGGTTGTTGAAAGAAATCAGAAGAGTGGTTGCTTCTTGAGGTTGTATTGCCTGAGAAGGCGTGTAAGAGAAAGCCTTTCATGGTACCAGAAATATTCTATATCTTGATCTATGTGTGGCTATACAGGTGTAATCATATGTAAAATTCATCAAGCACTATAATCAAAATTGTATATATACATTTAAAATTGTATATTTTTCAGTATATAAATTATACCTCGATTAAAAACTTTAAACTAGGCCGGGTGCGGTGGCTCATGCCTGTAATCCCAGCACTTTGGGAGGCTGAGGCGGGCGGATCACGAGGTCAGGAATTCGAGACCATCTTGGCCAAAATGGTGAAACCCCATCTTTACTAAAAATATAAAAAACTAGCTGGACATGGTGATGCATGCCTGTAGTCACAGCTACTCGGGATGCTGAGGCAGGAGAATCACTTGAACCCAGGAGGCTGAAGTTGCAGCAAGCCGAGATTGCACCACTGCACTCCAGCCTGGGTGGCAGAGTGAGAATCCATCTCAAAAACAAAAAATAAAATAAAATAAAATAAAACAAAACCAGGAACAATCAGAGAACAAAATAGAGCTCTTAAAAATTAAAAACAGGGCTGGGCACGGTGGCTCAGGTCTGTAATCCCAGCACTTTGGGAGGCCAAGGTGGGCAGATTACTTGAGGTCAAGAGTTCAAGACCAGCCTGGTCAACATGGTGAAACCACCGTCTCTACTAAAAATACAAAAATTAGCCAGGCGTTGTGGCACACAGGTAATCCCAGGTGCTTGGGAGGCTGAGGCAAGAGAGTTGCTTGAGCCCAGGAGACGGAGGTTGCAGTGAGCCGAGATGGCGCCACTGCACTCCAGCCTGGGTAACAGAGCAAGACTCTGTCTCAAAAACAAAAAAAAAATAAAATAAAACCAGGAACAATAGGAGAACAAGATAGAGCTCTTAAAAATTAAAAACAGGCCGGCTGCGTGGCTCGTACCTGTAATCCCAGCACTTTGAGAGGCTGAGGCAGTTGGATCGCTTGAGCTCAGGAGTTTGAGACTACCCTGGGCAGCATGGCGAAACTCTGTCTACACAAAAAAATATGAAAATTAGCTGCAGGTGGTGGTGCTCACCTGTGATGTCAGCCACTCGGGAGGCTGAGGTGAGAGGACCGCTTGAGCCTGGGAGGTCAAGGCTGCAGTGAGCTGTGATTATGCCATTGCACTCCAGCCTGGGTGACACAGTGAGACCTTGTCTCAAAAAAATAAAATAAAAACACCATAGACCAGGCACGATGGCTCATGCCTGTAATCCCAGCACTTTGGGAGGCCAAGGCAGGTGGATCACTTCAGTCCAGGAGTTTGAGATTTGGGCAACATGGCAAAACCCCAGGTCTGCAAAAAACACAAAAATTAGCCAGGTGTGGTGGCACATGCCTGTAGTCCCAGCTACTTTACAGGCTGAGGTGGGAGGATCACCTGAGCACAGGAGGTTGAGGCTGTGGCAAGCTGAGATGGCGCCACTGCACTCCAGCCTGGGCAACAGAGCAAGACCCTGTCTCAAAAAAAAAAAAAGGAAGAATTAAAAACATTATAGATGGGATTTTAGTTCAATCAAAGGTTGAAATGTAAAGTTGAGGAAACTCCCAGAAAGTATAATAAAACACAAAAACCAAAGAGATGGAAAATATGGGTAATAAAAAATTAGAAATTTATTCCATGAGATTGGGAATAACAGATGTTGCAGAAAGAGAGAACGTGGAGGCGAGAAAATTATTTCAGATATGGTACAAGTAGATTTCCCCCAGCATCATGAATGTCACCTCATTGGAAGTCACCATATTGAAAAGGCCTACTGTGTACCCAGCACACAAAGCCATGTTGTGAAATTTAAGAATACAGGTAGGGAAGGAAGAGAGGGAAGGAAAGAGAGAGAGAGAGAGAACACAGTTCTCATTCAAAGAAATAGAAAACAGAATCAGAGTGGCACTGAAACTTTTCAAAAGCAACACAGGATGCTAAAAAACAGTGGAGAAATGACTACAAAATTCTGAAGAAAAATTATTATTATTATTATTATTATTATTATTTGAAACAGGGTCTTGCTTTGTCACCCAGATGGAGTACAGTGTCTCAATCTTGGTTCACTCACTGCAGCCTCAACCTCCTGGGCTCAAGGAATCCTCCCACCTCAGCCTCCCGAGTAGCTGGGACCACAGGGATGTGCCACCACGCCCGGCTAATTTTTTTGTATTTTTTGTAGAGACGGGATTTTGCTGTATTAGCCTAGGCTGTTTCAAACTGCTGACTCCTGAGTTCAAGGGATCCACCTGCTTCGGCCTCCCAAAGTGCTGGTATTGTTACAGGCATGAGCTACTGTGACTGGCCAAGAAAAATTATTTTCAACCTAAAATTCTAAATTTGAGAGTTGAATAAGGACATCTTAAGGCATACAAAGACTTCCCTTCTTAAAAAAAAAAAAAAAGTCTGGGCGAAGTGGCTCACGCCTGTAATCCCAACACTCTGGGAGGCCAAGGTGGGTGGATCACCTGAGGTCAGGAGTTCGAGACCAGCCTCAACATGGAGAAACCCCGTCTCTATTAAAAATACAAAATTAGCCAGGCGTGGTGGTACATGCCTGTAATCCCAGTTACTTGGGAGGCTGAGGCAGGAGAACTGCTTGAACCTGGGGGGCAGAGGTTGCGGTGAGCCGAGATCACGCCGTTGCACTTCAGCCTGGGCAACAAGAGCAAAACCTCCGTCTCAAAAAAAAAAAAAAGATAACCTGGCCAAGCGCGGTGGCTCACACCTATAATCCCAGCACTTTGGGAAGCCCGGGTAGGCCAAACATGAGGTCAAGAGATTGAGACCATCCTGGCCAACATGGAGAAATCTCATCTCTACTAAAAATATAAAAATTAGCTGGGCATGGTGGCACACACCTGCAGTCCCAGCTACTTGGGAGGCTGAGGCAGGAGAATCACTTGAACCCAGGAGGCAGAGGTTGCAGCGAGCCGAGATTGCACCACTGCACTCCAGCCTGGCGACAAAGCGAGACTCCATCTCAAAAAAAAAAGAATACCCTATGCAACTTTTGAGGAATCTCCTAGATGATGTGCTTTGGCAAATAAGGAAAATGGAACTCTTTTTGTATTCAGAGACACTACTGAGAGGCTTTCACAGGTTTGAAGTAGTCAAAGAAAATTAGATACGTGCACATAAAAAATTTAAAAAATGAAAAAAAATTGGAATTCTAGGATATAAAACAATATTTGTAGGGAATAAGAAAGCCATTCATGGCTGGGTGCCGTAGCTCACACCTGTAATCCCAGCACTTTGGGAGGCCAAGGCAGGCAGATCACTTGCAGTCAGGAGATTGAGACCAGCCCGGCCAACATGGTGAAACCCCGTCTCTACTAAAAACACAAAAATTTGCCGGGTGTTGTGGCGGGCACCTGTAATCCCAGCTACTCGGGAGACTGAGCGGGGAAAATCGCTTAAACCCAGGAGAAGGAGGTTGCAATGAGCCAAGATCATGCCATTGCACTCCAGCCTGGGTGATAAAGCGAGACTCATTCTCAAAAAAAGAAAAAGAAGAAAAAAGGAAAGTCATTCATGCTATATTATAGTACGTGTCTCAAAAGTGAACAATATTGAGATGGTCAAAATAAGGTAAACACTTCCTATCAACTCTGAAAAGTATCATATCCCTAAATGGTGAAGCTGGGAGGAGGAAAACTGTGGGTGTATGAGAAAAGCATGTTCAGTCCTCAAGGAATTGATTTCACTGAAAAATATAGAAACTGATTATACTTGACTTGAAGTAGAATAAAAAATAAATGTGCAAAAAAAGTGTGTATGCAGTTGTGTGTGCGTGTGTCCTAATATTGGCATGCTTTTTGTACTTTTTCTGCATTAAATTTTTGCTTTCAAAGGGGTTAGTTAATGCTTCTGAATTTCATGTGGTCTGGGAACTCTGAAAACAGGCTCCTCTGTTTGATGTCCCTCTTCTTTCTTTCTTTTTTTAATTTTTTTATTTTTTTTATTTTTTGAGACAGAATTTTGCTCTTGTCGCCCAGGCTGGAGTACAATGGCGCCATCTCGGCTCACTGCAATCTCCACCTCCTGGGTTCAAGCGATTCTCCTGCTTCAGCCTCCAGAGTAGCTGGGATTACAGGAGCCCGCCACCACGCCCAGCTAATTTTTTGTATTTTTAGCAGAGACAGGGTTTCAATATGTTGGTCAGGCTGGTCTTGAACTCCTGACCTCTGGTGATCCACTCACTTCAGCCTCCCAAAGTGCTGGGATTACAGGCGTGAGCCACCATGCCTGGCCACAGTCCCTCTTATTTCTACTGAGAACTTTACATGGCTCAGCTGTGTGGCCTTTCAGGAAATTTAACTATACTGATCAAACTATACAGATCAAAACTGACCTGTCAGGAAATCAAGAAATGGACAGAGGAGCGGTTTGTTATAGCTCAAAATAGCATGGAAAAGAAAATGAAGCTCTACTTAGAATAAGCAAAGGATATGAGAAAATAAAACTCATTCTGAAGGATCCGGCTGTGTTTATGAGCTGCAGTCTTGCTAGTGATTTAAGAGATAGGCTTGTTCTGGAGGATTTACATTAGCAAAAGTTGCAAACCTGAAGTGTAGGATTGTAGATTTAAAAAGAAAATACAAATTTCATGCTGTATACACAGCAGTTCTATGAACAAAGTGGGTTTGTTGTTGTTGTTGTTGTTTTGTTTTTGTTTTCTTTTTGAGATGGAGTCTCGCTCTGTCTCCCAGGCTGGAGTGCAGTGGCACAATATTGGCTCACTGCAACCTCCGCCTCCCGGGTTCAAGCAATTCTCCTGCCTCAGCCTCCTGAGTAGCTGGGATTACAGGCATTCGCCATGTCGCCTGGCTAATTTTTGTATTTTTGGTAGAGTCGGGGTTTTGCCATGTTGGCCAGGCCGGTCCCAAACGCCTGACTTCAAGTGATCGGCCACCTCGGCCTCCCAAAGTGCTGGGATTACAGGTGTGAGACACCGTTCCTGGTCTGAACAGTGTTTCTATCGTTTTAAATTTGGTAAGGCCGGGTGCAGTGGCTCACGCCTGTAATCCCAGCACCCTGGGAGGCCGAGGCGGGCAGATCACCTGAGGTCGGAAGTTAGATACCAGCCTGACCAACATGGAGAAACCCCGTCTACTAAAAATACAAAATTAGCTGAGTGTGGTGGCGGGCACCTGTAATCCCAGCTACTCGGGAGGCTGAAGCAGGAGACTCGCTTGAACCTGGGAGGTGGAGGTTGCAGTGAGCCGGGATCACGCCATTGCACTCCAGCCTGGGCGACAAGAGTGAAACTCCATCTCAAAATAATAATAATAATAAAATAAAAAACGAGGCTCGCTGGAAAGGAATTACAGATGTTTCTGACCCTTGTTAAGGGATTAATCAGATTTACAGAGTTAATGGTGCAGTCTGGATCTGAGGGCTGGAATCAATTTCCCTGAGACACTCACTTCCATCCAGCAGAAAGTAGGAGGGTGTCCAGTGAGTCACTCCCTGACCGGAAACTGCTGACACCAGGCACCAGCAGGTTGCTGACTCAGGCCAAGGGGAGCTCCAAGCCCTCATCACCCTCAGTGCATGAATCTTCACAGCAGCCATTGGAGCAGGGCCAGGCTTACAAATGGCCTTTCATGCCACTTACCAAGAGTGAGTGTTCACTAATTTTTCTGCCCCAGGCAGAGGAATAAATGACAGTGACTTTCTTGGCATTCTCTCCTGAGAGAAGTACAGTGAGTTCAAAATGTAGAGAGTCAGGTAAACTTTGCATTTCTGTACAGGTCCAAGTCTAGAAGTTGTGCAAATATAATCACATGTGTGGGTTTGCCTATTTATTATCACATCATTGAAAACAGCTAGATGAATGAAACATTTATGTGTGAAGTTTAAAGACAGGGAAAACAATACCATATTTGTGGAGACACCTACATATGAAGTAAGGTGATAAAAACAAGCATGAGGATAGTAAATGCAAAGAGAGGCATATATACGGAGCTTCTGCTTGTATTTGTATTGCTTTATTTTGTAGTCTGAGTGATAATGATAAGGGTGTTTCCCATTATTCTGTATACTCTTGTGTGTGCTTATATTTAATATTTAATAATATTTAAACATTTAATACTTTTTTGTCTCAAAAAGTATTTTACCTTTTTCTGAGCTTTATTGGAGTATAATTTACATGCATGGCTGGGCGTGGTGGCTCACACCTGTAATCCCAACACTTTGGGAGGCCAAGGCGGGTGGATCACATGAGGTCAGGAGTTTGAGACCAGCCTGGCCAACATGGTGAAACCCTGTCTCTACTAAAAATACAAAAATTAGCCGGATGTTAAATTAGCCAGATGTGGTGATGCGCACCTGTAATCCCAGCTACTCAAGAGGCTGAGCATGAAAATCGCTTGAATCTGGGAGGCAGAGGTTGCAATGAGCCGAGATTGCGCCACTGCACTCTAGCCTATGTGACAGAGCAAGATTTCACCTCAAAAAATAAATAAATAAATAAATAAAATAAAATAAACATCTACATGCAAAAAAAGTACCCTTATTACACAATTCAATGAGTTCTGACAAGTGTATAGTCACATAACTACCTCTGAAACTCATGATTTAGAATATTTTCATCACTCTCCAAAATTAAAAATATGAAAGCTGAAAGGCAAGTATTTACACTTCAAGCCATGACAGAAACTGATACTCAACCAGCTCTCCCTCAGTAAACAGCTATAAAGCTGGACAAAATACATGAAATAACTGTTGTACCTCAGGCAACACAGCACCATGATTCTTCAGCAAAGGGAACAAACAAAACGAGCCCGCATGCCATGGCTTTCTCTCTGGAGCCAATTTCTGGACTGTGGTGTCTGAGGGGTAGCCCAACCAGAGGACAAAAGTCTCCCTGACTTAAGAACACGGAAATCAGAGTTCAGGACTACCTTGTGTCTGGAATGTGTAGGGCAGATTACCAAAGAGAAAGAACCAATGCCAAGGAGGACCTCCAAAAATCTGCGTCGGGACCCTGTTGAGTCTTCGTCTAAATACTAAACTATGCATGCACAGAACAAGTCTCCAAGAGGCTGGGCAATGAACAATTACCAGAGAAATAACAACTATCATTTAGCTGAGAGCTAAATAACTACCGAATCTCATACAGGTCTGAAAGATGTTCAAGTTTCAACCAGCCAGAGTGGAAATACTTTATAAAAAATGAGACCACAGCAGACATCTCAGAAAGACCCCATCTTAGGAGAAAGACTAATCTAGCCCTAGAGTTAAAGGTTTCTCTAGACCCACCCTAACAAAGCTAAAAAATAAGTTTCAAAAGTATTAAGCTAATTCCCAAGTAAATTAAGTCCCTGAAAAAGAAAATCTAAAAATCTATCAAGGAAGTTAAAAAAAATTTGGACACTCAACAATTTAGCATCCATAATGTCTAGCATATAATTTAAAAATTACTAGATACAGAAAGAAGCAGGAAAGTATGATCTATAATGAGGAAGAAAGTTAGTAAATAGAAATACACCCCAACATGATGGAAATGATGTTATTATCAACAAGGACTTTAAACCTGCATTATAAACACATTAAACTATTTTAAGGAAAAGATGAACACAATGAGAGAACAATTGGGAAATGTCAATAGAAAGACGGAAAATGCAGAAAAGAATCAAACAAAAATTTTAGAATCTAAAAATAAAATATACGAATGAAAAATTTAAGTGGATAGGTTTGTTGTTGTTGTTTGTTTGAGACGGAGTCTTGCTGCTCTGTCACCCAGGCTGGAGTGTAGTGGCATGATCTTGGCTCACTGCAACCTCTGCCTCCCGGGTTCAAGCGATTCTCGTGCCTCAGCCTCCCAAATAGCTGGGCCTACAGGTGTGCATCACCATGCCCAGCTAATTTTTAGTATTTTTAGTAAAGACGGGGTTTCGCCATGATGGCCAGGCTGGTCTCAAACTCCTGGCCTCAAGTGATGCACCCAGCTTGCCCTTCCAAAGTGCTGGGATTACAGGTGTGAGCCACTATGCCCGACCTGAACAGGTTTTTTTTAATTATTATTATTTAATTAGAGACAAGATCTCACTCTATCACCCAGACTGCAGTGCAGTGGCGTGATCATGACTTACTGTAGCCCTGAACTCCTTGGCTCAAGTGATCCTCCCACCACAGCCTCCCCAGCAGTTAGGACTACAGGCACATGCCACCACACCCAGCTAATGGTTTTGTTGTTGTTGTTTCACTTTTTATAGGGATAGGGTCTTGCTGTGTTGTCTAGGCTGGTCTTGAACTTCTGGCCTCAAGTGATTCTCATGCCTCAGCATCCCAAAGTCCTGGGATGACAGGTGTGAGCCACTGTGCCTGGCCTTGATAGGCTTAACAGCAGACTAGACACACAGAAGAAAGATCAGTGAATTTGAACACATGACAATAGAAACTATCCCAACTGAATCACATCAAGAAAAAAAAAGTCCAGAAAACTGTTGTCAAATTATCAGCAATCTATTGGACGATATCAGGCCATCTACTAGGTGTGAAGTTTAAGTACCAGGAAGAGAGGTGAGAGATACTCAAGCAGAAAAAATATCTGAATAATATTTAAAATATAGCATGTGAATAATTGTCAAAATGGTTTCAGAATTTTGAAAATATAAGCCCACAGATCCAAGAAGCTCCGAGAACCCCAGGAATGATAAAAATCAAAGAAACATGCCAAGGAACATCAGAATTAAATGTCTCAAAACCAAACCAACCAAAAACAAACAAACAAACAAACAAAAAAACAAACTTAAAACCAACCAGAAAAGTCCAGTGGTTGACGTCTGTAATCGCGGCATTCCGGGAGGCCAAGGCAGACAGATCACTTGAGGTCAGGAGTTTGAGACCAGCCTGGGCAACGTGGCAAAACTCCACGTCTACTAAAAATACAAAAAGAAAAAAAAATTAGCTGGGTGCGGTAGCTTGTGCCTGTAGTCTCAGCTACTTGGGAGGTTGGGGTAGGAGGATTACTTCAGCCCAGGAAGTGGAGGTTGCAGTGAGTGCCACTGCACTCCAGCCTGGGTGACACAGCAAGAACTTGTCTCAAAAAAAAAAAAAAAGAAGAAGATGAAAAAAAAAAAAAAAAAAGCAACCAGAGGAAAAATATGCATTACATAGAGGAACAGTGATAAGAATAGCCTCTGACGTCTCATCAGAAATAATGCAGCTCAGAACACAATGTAACAACAATTTAAAGTGATGAAAGAAAAGTAAAACCTGTCAAACTAGAATCTATATCAAGAGAAAATGTCTCCAGGTGTGGTGGCTCATGCCTGTAATCCAAGTGCTTTGGGAGGCCTAGGCGGGTGGATCACTTGAACCCAGGAGTTCCAGGCCAGTCTGGGCAACTTAACAACATCGCTTATCTACAAAAAACTTTCAAAAAAACTAGCTGGGCGTGGTGGTGTGTGCCTGTGGTCCCAGCAACCTGGGAGGTTGAGGTGCGATCACTTAAGCCAGGAGGTTGAGGCAGCAGTGAGCCATGATCGTACCACTGCACTCCAGTCTGAGTGGCAACGTGAGACCTCGTCTCAAAAAAAGAAAGAAAGAAAGAAAAGAAATGAATGAGAGGAGCTTCCCTTCACGGGTCTTACTGATGCTAATAAAAACATTAGGTTAGTTAACAAGAGAATGAGAAAGGCAAAAGGGAGAATCAAAAGACTCATCCCAAGAAGGTAGAAATTTTTAAACAATTATTAAGTAATCAGATGAATAAAGAAAACATTCAGCCAGGTGTGGTGGCTCATGCCTGTAATCCCAGCAGTTTGGGAGGCCGAGGCAGGAGGGTTGCTTGAGCCCAGGAGTTCGAGACCTACCTGGGCAACATGGTGAAACCTCTTCTCTATAAAAAATGCAAAATTAGCCAGGAGTGGTGGCATGGGCCTGTAGTCACAGCTATTTGGGAGGCTGAGGTAGGAGGGTTGCTTGAGTCCAAGTGGTCAGGCTGCAGTGAGTTGAGATCATGCCACTGGGCTTCAGCCTGGGCAAGAGAGTAATATCCTGTCTCAAAAGGAAGAAATGTATGCCAAAAAATTTGAATACCTAGATGAAATAGACCAATTCCTTAAAAGACACTATTTTAAAAATGGAATTTAAAATTTTTCGATTTGGCTGGGTGTGGTGGCTCATGCCTGTAATCCCAGCATTTTGGGAGGCTGAGGCAGGCAGATCACTTGAGGTCAGGAGTTCAAGACAAGCCTGGCCAACATGGTGAAACCCTGTCTCTACTAAAAATACAAAAATTAGCCAGGTATGGTGGCATGCGCCTGTAGTCCCAGCTACTCGGGAGGCTGAGGCACTAGAATCACTTAAACCCAGGAGGCAGAGGTTACAGTGAGCCAAGATCACGCCACTACACTCTAGCCTGGGTGACAGAGAGAGACTGTCACACAAAAAATAAAATAAAATAAATAAATAAATAAAATAAAAATTTTCCATTAAAAATAAAGCTCCAAAAGCAAAACAAAAGCCGGGCGCGGTGGCTCACGCCTGTAATCCCAGCACTTTGGGAGGCCGAGGCGGGCGGATCACAAGGTCAGGAGATTGAGACCATCCTGGCTAACACGGTGAAACCCCGTCTCTACTAAAATACAAAAAATTAGCCGGGCGTGGTGGCGGGCGCCTGTAGTCCCAGCTTCTCGGGAGGCTGGGGCAGGAGAATGGCGTGAGCCTGGGGGGCGGAGTTTGCAGTGAGCCGAGATTGCGCCACGGCACTCCAGCCTGGGCAACAGAGCAAGACTCCATCTCAGAAAAAAAACAAAACAAAACAAAACAAAAAAAACCCCTCCAGACTAAGATAACTTCACTAGTGAATTCTATCAAACATTTAGGGAAGAAATAATACCAATTTCATATAAATCTTTTTTGTAAAATAGAGAAAGACACACTTCTCTATTTTACATTACTCTGATATCAAAACTAGATAAAGGCATTATGAGAAAAGAAAATTGCAGGGATATATTCCTGATGAAAATAAGTACAAAATCTATACCAAGATAATAACAGATTGAATTAACCTATATATTAAAAAGATTACATATCACAAATAAATGACCTTTTCTGAGGCATGCAAGTTTGGATTAATACTCCAAAATCAACTGATGCTATTTACCACATTAACAGAAAAAAAAGGAGTAAAGCTAGATGACCATTTCAATAGATGCAGAAAAAGCATTTAACAAAACTCAACACCCATTCATGATAAAAACCCTCAGCAAATTTAGAGGAAAAAAATATTCAACCCAATAAAGGGCATCTATGAAAAACTTAAAGCTAACACCATACTTAATGATGAAAGACTGAACGCTTTTTTCCATTATATCAAGATGAAGTCAAGGCAGTCCACTCACTATTTCTACTGAACATCATCAATACAATGAGAAAAGAAAAAAAAAAAAGAAAAATCATACATATAAGAAAGAAAGAAGTAAATTGATTGATTGATTGATTGATTTTTTTGAGACGGAGTTTCACTCCTGTTGCCCAGGCTGGAGTGTAATGGTGCGATCTCGGCTCACTGCAACCTCTGCCTCCTGGGATCAAGTGATTCTCCTGCCTCAGCCTCCCAAGTAGCTGGGATTACAGACATGAGCCACCACGCCCGGCTAATTTTTTGTATTTTTAGTAGAGATGGAGTTTCTCCATGTTGGTCAGGTCGGGAATTTATTTTATTTATTTATTTATTTATTTATTTATTTTTTAGACAGAGTCTCGCTCTGTTGGCCAGGCTGGGGTGCAGTGACACAATCTCAGCTCACTGCAACCTCTGTCTCCTGGGCTCAAGCAATTCTCCTGCCTCAGCCTCCCGAGTAGCTGATATTACAGGCATGTGCCACCATGACTAGCTAATTTTTGTATTTTTAGTACAGACGGGGTTTCACCATGTTGGCCAGGCTGGTCTCGAACTCCTGACCTCAGGTAATATGCCCGCCTCGGCCTCCCAAAGTGCTGGGATTACAGGCGTGAGTCACCACGCATGGCCGTAAAACTCTTTTTTAATTTAATTAATTTATTATTTATTTATTAATTTTTGAGACAGAGTCTTGCTCTGTCACCCAGGCTGGAGTGCAGTGGAGTGATGTTGGCTCACTGCAACTTCCCCCTCCCGGATTCAAGCGATTCTCCTGCCTCAGCCTCCTGAGTAGCTGGGATTACAGGCATGCACCACCACAACTGGCTAATTTTTGTATTTTTAGTAGAGACAGGGTTTCACCGTGTTGGCCAGGCTGGTCTCAAACCCCTGACCTCAGGAGGTCCACCTGCCTTGGCCTCCCAAAGTGCTAGGATTACAGGCGTGAGCCACCGTGCCTGGCTGAAATGGACCTACTCTTATGTGATCAATTGGTTTTTTACCAAAGTATTAAAGGAATTTAATAGGGAAATTAAGTCTGTTCAACAAATGGTACTGGCACAGTTGTCTATGTAAACAAGACATATTAAGTAATTTGCTTTCCAGTTTTTTTTTGAGACGGAGTTTTGCTCTGTCGCTCAGGCTGGAGTGCAGTGGCGCAATCTGGGCTCACTGCAACCTCCGCCTCCCGGGTTCAAGTGATTCTCCAGCCTCAGCCTCCGAAGTAGCTGGGATTACAGGTGTCCACCACCATGCCCGGCCAATTTCTGTACTTTTAGTAGAGATGGGGGTTTCTCCATGTTGGCCAGGCTGGTCTCAAGCTCCTGACCTCAGGTGATCTGCCCGCCTTGGCTTCCCAAAGTGCTGGGATTACAGGCGTGAGCCACCGAGCCCGGCCCCAGTTTTTTATTATCAAAGATATTTAAGTGCTAATCAGAGTTTTTAAATTAACAGGATGATTCCACTTAAGTTGATGTTATAGCAAGATGATTTGGCTTTATTATTTGGTCTTTGTGACCTCAATGAAGGGAAAAGTATAAACTTTTTTGTTGTTTTTGAGACAGAGTCTCACCCTGTGTCACCCAGGCTGGAGTGCAGGGGCGCGATCTCAGCTCTCTGCCTCCCAGGTTCAAGTGATTCTCCTGCCTCAGCCTCCCAAGTAGCTGGGATCACACGCACGTGCCACCATGCCTGGCTAATTATTTATTTATTTATTTATTTTTTAGTAGAGTTGGACTCCTGACCTCAAGTGATCTGCCCACCTCAGCCTCCCAAAGTGCTGGGATTACAGGTGCGAGCCACTGCGCCCAGCCTATGTTTTGTTTTTAATACTGAAAACATCTTTTGTTTTCCTGTAGATGTATCTGTACATAACGTGTTATGACAACAACAACAAAAAACTACAAACAAACTAATAAAAATAACTACATCTTATTATCCCTGTTTAACAGATAAGAAACTGAGATCCAAGGACACACATCCAGGACTTGGAAGACTAGAAGACTGAACTGGGGTCTACCTGATGCCACCACCTTTGCTCTTACAAAATTAACTGTAAGTATGTAGGACTTCAGCAGGGAGGAGGTTATCCGAGTGAGAGCCTGGCGTTAGCATTAGTCATCTGTAGAAATCACTATATCCAGGAGGGTGGGATAACTGGAATTGTTGGTCCATCAAATACAATTTTTGATAAACAATCAGTATCAAAACATTTTAAATGCTCATACTTTTGTTGTGGTCATTTCAGCCTTAGGAATCAATCCCAAAGAGAAACAGACTTGTGTTTGCCAAATCAGATTTTCATTACAGCATTATTTATAAGAGCAAAAAGTTGGGAACATTAGACATATTCAACAATAGAGAAATGTTTAAATAAATCCCAGCATATTCATGATGAATGATTATGCAGCCATTCAAAATCATTTTTGAAGAATGTTTACAATATAATGTTAAGTGAAAAATATATAAATATATAATATATACAATAATATATAAAGCCATAAATAGAGTATACCCAAGTTTCTTTCATCTAAATGGTTTTGCCAACATTTTATTATCTTGACCCTCAAAGACCAACTTTCAGGAGAAGAAAGATATTTATCTTTCTGTTTTATAAAACAAAACAAACACACACACAAAATCGATTTACTTCCACCTGGATCTTTGTCCAACTTGACCCAAGCAAGCTTCCTTTAGGAAAACTGATACTCTCAACACTGAGATTTGTTTTGCATGAAAGGATCCCAGTCTGGGTTCCTCACTTATGTGTTTCTTCTCACTTTTAGCTGAAGTCAATTTGTCCCAAGAAGAAACAGTACTTGCCAATTACTGAGCTGCCTTCCAGGTGTGGAAAGATAGTATCTCGGGGCCCAGCACTGTGTCTGGTCTGCAGAATCTGAACGGTTGCCTGGAGCAGTGGGAGTAAACCTGGAGATTTCAGCTTGGCAGCCTGGGTGGGTCTCTTCTTTGATAGGTTTGCTTCCACACCCTCCATATATCAGGCAGCAAATATCAACAGGGCTGCCATCTTCAGAAAAGGTCTATCTATGTCAGAGTGTTGGGCGGCATAAGCTACCCTACCTTAAGGATCCTCCTGCCCAGGAATTTTGCAGCCATCCTCCTTCAGCTGTAGCCTTCGGGGGCTACTGAGAAAGTTCAACAAGCAGACATCTAGATATAGGTGCACCTGCTAAGGTCTGGGACTACTAGCACCCTGCTACTAAAGGTGACAAAAGTAGGGTGGTCTGTTCCACCAGAACAACTGGCTATGGTCTTAGCAGGATAATTCCACCCTTATGTTGGGTTCTGCAACGGCATTGCTCAAGTAGACACTACAGACCATCCAAACCCTGATTGTGGACATAGTGACATCCACTGGACCCGCATTTAACACAATTCCCTCTAAACAACAATCATTGCAGCACTTGTCAGCACCTGAAAGTTAACTTACTCTACCTGCTCCAACCCTACATACCTTCATAATACAAAATCATGATGGACTCCATCATGAGTCCATCTTCCTCTTGTAGCCACAACCTAACTTAGGCCAGAATAGCAGTTCCAACAGTATTTGCTGCCTAGAATATCCTACTGAGAAATATACCGTTTTAATTTTTATTGGCATATAAATTACATACAGTAGGGTATAGGGTACATAAAGTGCACTTAAGTATGTACAGTTCAATGAATTCATGCATATGTATACATCCATGTGACTATTCTGCAGATCAGTATAAAACATTTTCATACTCCAGAAGGCTCCTCTATTCTCCCTAGTGAATACAGAGGTTACCACTATTCCGACTCTTATTACTAGAGTTTTCTTTTCCTTTTTTTTTTTTGAGATGGAGTTTTGCTGTATCACCCACGCTGGAGTGCAGTGGCACGATCTCACTCACTGCAACCTCCACCTCCTGGGGTCAAGTGATTCTCCTGCCTCAGCCTCCTGAATAGCTGGGATTACAGGCACATGCCACCACGTCCAGCTACTTTCTGTATTTTTAGTATAGACAGTGTTTCACCATGCTGGCCAGGCTAGTCTTGAACTCCTGACCTCAGGTGATCTGCCTGCCTTGGCCTCCCAAAGTGCTAGGATTACGGGCGTGAGCCACAGCTTCTTTTCTTCTTCTTCTTCTTTTTTTTTTTTAGATGGAGTCTTGCTCTGTTGCCCAGGCTGGAGTGCAGTGGTGCAATCTCAGCTCACTGCAACCTCCTCCTCCCAGGTTCAAGTGATTCTCCTGCCTCAGCCTCCCAAGTAGCTGGGATTACAGGTGCCCGCCACCACACCCAGATAATTTTTTGTATTTAGTAGAGACGGTGTTTCACCATGTTGGTCAGACTGGTCGTCGAACTTCTGACTTGAGGTGATCTGCCCACCTTGGCCTCCGAAAGTGCTGGAATTACAATCATGAGCCACCATGCCTAGCCAGTTTTCTTTTTGTACTCTTGGTCTGGCTCCTTTTGCTCAATTTATCTGTAAGATTCAGCTATGTTGTTGCATGTAGCAGTAGTTTGTTCTTTTTCATTACTGTGCAGTGTTCCATTTTCTATGTACATCACAACTTATTTGTCCATTCTTTTTTTTTTTTTTTTTTTGATGGAGTCTCACTCTGTTGCCCAGGCTGGAGTGCAGTGGTATGATATTGGCTCACTGCAGCCTCCACCTCCCGGGTTCCAGTGATTCTCCTGCCTCAGCCTCCCAGGTGGCTGCGACTACAGGCATGCGCCACCACGCCCGACTAATTTTTCTATTTTTAGTGGAGACTGGGTTTCGCCATGTTGGCCAGGCTGGTCTCGAACTCCTGACCTCAGGTGATCCACCCGCCTCGGCCTCCCAAAGTGCTGGGATTACAGGCGTGAGCCACTGTGCCGGGCCTGTCCATTCTCCTTTTGATGGATATTTGGGTTGTCACCCGCCTGAAGTTGCCATGAATAAGATTGCTATGAATACTCCTGAACATATTGTTTGGTGGACATATGCACTTCACTTGGGTGTATAACTAGGAGTGGAATTACCAGGTTACTACATACATGTGTTCGGTTTTGGTAAATCTTGTAAGACACTTTTCCAAAGTAGCTGAACCAATGTACACTCCCACCAGCAATGTATAAGAGTTCTAGTTGCTCCATAATTTCACCAATAATTGGTATTAGTGTGGGTGTATGGTGGTATACCACTGTGGTTTTAATTTATATTTCTCCATTGTTTATTGGTCATTGAATCTGAGTTTCTCCAATTCTTTTTTTTTTTTTTTTTGAGACAGAGTCTCGTTCCGTTGCCCAGGCTGGAGTGCAGTGGTGTAATCCCTACTCACTGCAACCTCTGTCTCCTGGATTCAAGTGATTCTCCTGCCTCAGCCTCCCAAGTAGCTGGGATTACAGGTGCTCCCAACCATGCCCAGCTGTTTTGTATTTTTAGTAGAGCTGGGGTTTCGCCTTGTTGGCCAGGCTGGTCTTGGACTCTTGACCTCAGGTGATCTACCCAGCTTGGCCTCCCAAAGTGCTGGGATTACAAGCGTAAGCCACCGTGCCCGGCCGAGTTTATACAATATTATTGGCCACTTGGATATATTCTTCTTTTTTTTTTTTTTTGACAGAGTCTCACTCCGTCTCCCAGGCTGGAGTGCAGTGACGCAATCTCAGCTCACTGCAACCTCTGCCTCCTGGGTTCAAGCGATTCTCCTGCCTCAGCCTCCCAAGTAGGTGGGATTACAGGCGCCCACCACCACGTCCAGCTAATTTTTTGTATTTTTAGTAGACAGGGAGTATTACCATGTTGGCCAGAACTCCTAACCTTGCGATTCGCCCACCTCGACCTCCCAAAGTGCTGGGAATACAGGCGTGAGCCACCGTGCCCAGCCCAGACTTAATTTTCCGTTGCCTACTCTACAGCTCTTCCTGAAGGTTTCCATTCTTCTCCTAGTCACTTTCATTGCTTCTTTCAGAGATATTTATTCTAAAGGCCCTTCCTAGTCTAGGGACCAGTCTTGTGAGCAAAGATACCTCTTGGCACTCCAGCCTCCAGCCATTTGATTCACTATCATCCATTTGAGTTTTCCAAATGCAGGCCCTAGACATTGTAGAACACAGAAGGGTTATCCCTGTCAAGCTCTCCTCAAGTTGCATATTCTTAAGCAAAATAAATTACTGTTGTTCTACACCACTAGGTTTTGAGAGTGATTTGTTATGCAGTAATACATAAAGAGAACAGAGGGAATAAATGGAAGATTCACCTGGGGCTCATTACATTGTAAGAGATAAGGTAAAAATCCAAGCTAATTCCTTTCCACATAGTGACTCCAGTGTCTCAGTACCTGTAAATGTCAGAATGTCTTGTTCATATATTTTTTTACAGCATTGAATATAATGATTAACATATAATAAGTATTAAAAATGCTTGTTGAGGTTGGGTGCAGTGACTCACGCCTGTAATCCCAACACTTTGGGAGGCCAAGGAGGGCAGATCACTTGAAGTCAGGATTCAAGACCAGCCTGGCCAACATGGTGAAACCCTGTCTCTACTAAAAATAGAAAAAATTAGCCGGTCATGGTTGCAGGCACCTGTAATCCCAGCTACCCAGGAGGCTGAGGCAGGAGAATTGCTTGAGCCCAGGAGGCGGAGGTTGCAGTGACCCAAGATCACGCCGCTACATTCCAGCCTGGGTGACAAAGAGAGACTCTGTCTCAAAAAAAAAAAAAGTAAAAATTTAAAGAAATTTTTTTAATGCTTGTTGAATGGAACTTTATATATTCACTGTGAAAATGTCATCTTTACGATATTGATCCTTCTCAAGCAAGGATTATCTCTTCTATATTCATATACTCCTTTATCACATTATAGTTTTATCGTTTTCTTTGCTTTTAAATCAATATCTTTGCTTTTAAATCAAGTCAATTAAATTTTTATTACTATTGTGAAAAACTGTTTATATTGCATTTTGCTGTATGAAAATAGAAGAGAAAAATATAATGAATTTTTATCATATACTGTAAAATCTTGCTTCAATTTAAATTTTAAATACTTCCAGTTTTAGGCTGACATCTGTGACAATGGAATCAAAAGATAACATTAAGAAAATGAAAACACAAGCCATCAATTGAGAGAAGTTATTTGCAAATCACGTATCTGATAAAGAACTTGTATCCAGAATATATAGAGCTCTTACACTTCAATAATAAGACAAACAATGCTCAATTTGAAAAATGGGCAAAAGACTTGAATAAACATTTCACCAAAAAAGACATGCAAATGGCTAATAAGCACATGAAAATATGTTCAACATCATTAGTCACTAGGGAAATGCAACTTTAAACCACAATGAGATATCACTTCACACACACTAAAATGGCTATAATTACAAAGACAGAAAAGAACAAATGTGGGTGAGGAAGTAGAGAAACTGGAACCCTCACGTACTGGTGGCAGAAATACAAAAATGGTAGAGCCACTTTGGAAAACAGGTAGGTTTTGTTTTGTTTTGTTTTGTTTTGAGATGGAGTCTCGCTGTGTCACCCAGGCTGGAGTGCAGTGGTGTGATCTCGGCTCACTGCAACCTCTGCCTCCCGGGGTCAAGTGATTCTCCTGCCTCAGCCTCCTGAGTAGCTGGGATTACAGGTGCCCGCCACCACACCTGGCTAATTTTTGTATTTTTAGTAAAGACAGGGTTTCACCATGCTGGCCAGGCTGGTCTTGAACTCCTGACCTTGTAATCTGCCTGCCTTGACCTCCCAAAGTGCTGGGATTATAGGCGTGAGCCACCGCTCCCGGCTTTTCTTTTCTTTCTTTCTTTTTTCTTTTTTTTTTTTTTTTGAGATGGAGTCTTGCTCTCTTGCCCAGGCTGGAGTGCGGTGGTACAATCTCAGCTCACTGTAACCTCCATCTCCCAGGTTCAAGTGATTCTCCTGCCTCAGCCTCCCAAGTAACTGGGATTACAGGTGTGCACCACCATGCCCAGCTAACTTTTTGTATTTAGTAGAGAGGGGTTTCACCGTGTTAGCCAGGATGGTCTCGATCTCCTGACCTTGTGATCTGCCCAGCTCAGCCTCCCAAAGTGCTGGGATTACAGGTATGAGCCACCACACTCAGCCAGATAGTGTTTTTAAAATATAAGTTTGTTCTAAAACCCAGCCATTCCATTTCTAGGAATGTACCCAACAAAAATAAAAACATATATCCACACACAAAAAAACATGCAATCACATGTTCACAGCAGAATTCTTCCTAATAGCTCAAAACTGGAAACAACGTAAATGTCCAGCTCCTGATGAATAGTTAAACAAAATGTGGACCCAGGCAGGTGGATCACCTGAGGTCAGGAGTTCGAGAGCAGCCTGGCCAACATGGCAAAACTCCGTCTATACTAAAAATACAAAAATTAGCTGGGCGTGGTGGCGCACGCCTATAATCCCAGCTACTCCAGAAGCTGAGGCAGGAGAATCAGTTGAACCCAGGAGGCAGAGGTTGCAGTGAGCTGAAATTGCACCACCGCACTCCAGCCTGGGCGACAGAGTGAGACTCTGTCTCAAAACAAAATACAAAAAAACAAAAAACAAAAAACAAAATGTGGTATATCCATATAATGGAAAATGATTTGGCAATAAAAATGAAGGTAATTCTAATACATGCTTCGACATGGATGAACTTCAAAAACATTATGTTAAGTAACACATTATACCAAGTGACAGAAGCCAGACACAACCATTATATTTTATATGATTTCATTTATATAAAATGTCCAGGAGAGGAAAATTGATAGAAACCGATGGCAAATCTGTGGTAGCCTGGGGCTGGGGGTGGGAGGAGAGAATAACTGCATGAGGTGACTTTTTGGAGTAATAATAATGTTCTATAACTGGATTGTGATGGTAATTGTACAACTTTACACATTTCTTTTTCTTTCTTTTTTTTTTTGAGAGGGAGTTTCGCTCTTGTTGCCCAGGCTGGAGTGCAATGGCATGATCTCGGTTCACTGAAACCTCTGCCTCCCTGGTTCAAGCGATTCTCCTGCCTCAGCTTCCCAAGTAGCTGGGATGACAGGTGCCCACCACCATGCCTGGCTAATTTTTTTTTTTTTTTTTTTGAGATGGAGTCTCACTGTGTCGCCCAGGCTGGAGTGCGGTGGTGCCATCTCGGCTCACTGCAACCTCTGCCTCCTGGGTTCAAGCGATTCTCCTGCCTCAGAGTAGCTGGGACTACAGACGCGTGCCACCACGCCTGGCTAATTTTTTAAATTTTAGTAGAGACGGGGTTTTACCATATTGGTCAGGCTGCTCTCGAACTCCTGACCTCAGGTGATCCACCCGCCTTGGCCTCCCAAAGTGCTGGGATTACAGGTGTGAGGTACTGCGCCTGGCCTTTTTTTGTATTTTTAGTAGAGACGGGGTTTCGCCATGTCAGCCAGGCTGGTCTCGAACTCCTGACCTCAGTTTATCCGCCTGCCTCGGCCTCCCAAAGTGCTGGGATTCCAGGCGTGAGCCACCGCGCCCAGCCACACATTTCTTATAAGTCACTGAATTATACACTTACAATGGCTGAATGTGTAAATTATACTCAATAAAGCCTTTTTTTTTAAAATAGATACCTAATTATGTTAGGGTTTTAATCAAGAAAGGATGCTGAATTGTAATCAGTGCTAGGAAGCTGGCAGAAATCTCCATTTAGTCAGAAGAGATGGCTTTTTTTTCAGAGGGAAGCAATTGTTCCCAGAGGAATCTATTCAGTAAAGTCTGAGCGACCTTGTGAAAAAGGAATGTTCAACTATATGTCCTACTGATGCCAACTGTTTCTATTAACTCCATTCATCCATTCAACAAAAGTCATAGAGTGCTTACTTAATTGCCAAGTATTATTTGTCAAACTGGAAGGGGATAATAAAAAATGAAAAGACAAGGTCTGGCCTCTGACTTGTCAGCATTTCAAAACTTGTGGCTCCATTTAGCAGTCTTGGCCCTTCTTCCTTTTGTAGCTCCTACCCTCTCTCTCAGACTTCAGAGCCAAGATCCTTGCTTTTTCCACTTCCTCACCTTTGGCTTTCCTTTTCTTTCTGGCCATATTTCAAGCATATAGGAAGATACAGTGAAAAAAATATGAGCATCCATGCCCCAGTTAGCTGTTAATCTTTTAGAACTTTTTTAGATCTTAATCTTAGGTCTTTTGTTTATTTGTTTATTTATTTATTTATTTGAGACGGAGTCTCGCTCTGTCGCCCAGGCTGGAGTCAGTGGTACAATCTCGGCTCACTGCAACCTCTGCCTCCCAGGTTCAAGCAATTCTCCTGCCTCAGCCTCCCGAGTAGCTGGGATTATAGGCGCGCGACACCACACCTGGCTAATTTTTGTATTTTTAGTAGAGACAGGGTTTCGCTATATTGGCCAGGCTGGTTTCAAACTCCTGACCTCGTGATCCACACGCCTCGGCCTCCCAAAATGCTGGGATTACAGGTGTGAGCCACCATGCCCGGCTTATTTTTATTTAGAGACGGAGTCTTGCTCTGTCACCCAGGCTGGAGTGCAGTGGCACAATCTCAGCTCACTGAAACCTTTGCGTCCCAGGTTCAAGCAATTCCCCTGCCTCAGCCTCCAGGTAGCTGGGATTACAGGCACCTGCCACCACTCCTGGGTAATTTTTTTTTGTGTGTATTTTTAATAGAGACAGGGTTTCACCATGTTGGCCAGGCTGGTCTCTAACTCCTGACCTCAGATGACCCACCCACCTCAGCTCCCAAAGTGCTGGGATTACAGGCATGAACCACTGCGTCCGGCCCTGAACATGTTTTTTGAGGCTGATACATATTTTAACTTCTATTGAGTATTCCATTATATGAATAAAGCATGATTTATTTATCTATTCTATTGCTTGACATTTAGGTTTTTCCATTTTTTTCTGTTGTAAACAATGTTACAATGACTTTCTTGTACTTGTTTCCTTATGCAAATAAGCAAGGTTTTTTATGGGCTCTACACCTCAGAGGGGAAATGCTGGGTGATATGGTATACAGTTTTTCAAATTTGATAGATAGTTCTAAATTTCTGTTCCATTGTCCAATTGACACGCATACTAGTAGGACCTGAGAATTCCCATTTGCCCACATTTTGTCAACATATGGTTTTATTACATTTTACCTACATTAAAGGTGTAGGCCGGGTGTGGTGGCTCACACCTGTAATCCCAGCACTTTGGAAGGCCAAGGTAGGCAGATTGCTTGAGTCTGGGAGTTGACCAGCCTGGTCAACATGGCAAGACCCTGTCTCTACAGAAGTTACAAAAAATGAGCCAGGCATGGTGGCACACACCTGTAGTCCCAGCTACTCGGGAGCCTGGGAGGTTGAGGTTGTAGGGTGCCATGATTGTGCCACTGCATTCCAGCCTGGGTGACAGAGTGAAGGTCTCAAAAAAAAAAAAAAGGTATAAAATGGCAACTCACTGTGGTTTTTAATTTGCCTCTTCCTAATTACAAGAAGGTTGAGCATATTTCATGTATTTGTTGCCACTTTAGATTTCCTCCTCTGTAAGTTTTCTGTCATTCCTTGGCTATTTTCATATTAGATTGTCTTTTTCTTATTGATTTGTTGTGACTCTTCAGTCTTTGTTACATGCATTTATATTTTTTCCATCTACTTTTCTTTCTCATGATCTTTGTTAAACAAAATTTTAAAATCTTGAATGTTAACAAATATATAAGCTTTTCTTTGAGATTGTGTTTTTTATATCTCGTTAGGAAATCCAGTTTGGCGTGGTGGCTCATCCCCCCATACTTTTTTTTTTTTTTTTTTTTTTTGAGACAGAGTCTTGTTCTGTCACCCAGGCTGGAGTGCAATGGCATGATCTCAGCTCACTGCATACTCCACCTCCCAGGTTCAAGCAATTCTCCTGCCTCAGCCTCCCGAGTAGCTGGGATTACAGGCATGAGCCACCACGCCCAGCTAATTTTGTATTTTTAGTAGAAACAGGGTTTCACCATGTTGGCCAGGCTGGTCTGGAACTCCTGACCTCAGGTGATCCACCCGCCTCAGCCTCCCAAAGTGCTGGGATTACAGGCTTGAGCCCCTGCACCCGGCCCCATACTTTTTAAATTCAAGCAATTCTTTTACATAAAGAGCTTTCATATGGGCTCCATTTTACATGCTCTCTACCTCTACTTCTCTATCAGCAGATTTTCTGGTATTCAGGAATACCACCCCAAAAACCCTCCTTGAATCCCCTCACACGGAAGGAGGGCCTGCCAGGGAGAAGAATCAGGCACAGTTATTGGGACCAGTCAGGACTTCTAGGGCCAAGAAGGCACTGGTTGGGGGTCAGGAGAGAAAGCAGTCCCTCCCCCCTCTGGGCACCCTGAGTGCGGCAGGGAAAGCTAGAAGCGTAGCTAGAGATACTCTTCTCACAGACATTCATTTTCCCCCGCCAGACAATTAACTGGAGGTTCCTCTAGACAGCCTGGTTTTTGTTCTGTTTTCCTCTGAAGATTTCACCATTTGCAGAAACATAAGATAGGTTTGTGGAGAAATTTGAGAAATCACATTTTTTGTTTCCTGGCTAGGGGTGGGAGGTGAGGATCATGAGGTTCTTCTCCCAAACCCAGCCCACCACTGCCCAGGAACCACTTCAGTCTCTACCTGTTTAGTGGCCCTATCTGCCAAGTGGCAGGCTCGGGCAGCCTCTGCAGGCTCCATGTATTGGTGGGTAGTCATGACCCCCTGTACCACTCAACATTTCCTTATTTCTGGAAGCTAGAACAGAAAGAACCCTAACCGTGTGTTCTCAGTTCTTGGAGGACCTCAGGGACTACACTACGAATAGGTCAGATAACTAGATTACCTGAGGGGCCATCACCCAGGATACCAGTCCCTCATAGCCCATGATCCATAATCACATCAATCCTCGGATTCCTCTGGCCCTCTCTGACCATCTACTCCGTCTTCTCCCTCTTCCTGTTCTGCTCAGCCCTTGAGGACACCTCTTGTCTGTGTGCAGATACCCATTCCACTGACCCAAAACAGTGATTCTAAGTATTACATGAGTGAGGTACTAGATTCCTGGTGGTACCAACTCGAACACCTGGTCACTTGTGAGGGGCACAGGCTGGAGGACAGACACAGGAACTGGACAACTGCCCCAAGCACCTTTACCATCTCTAGGAATCGCCTCCCCTTGGGAGGGGAAGTCTCTCTAGGGTCAGGCCCCAGATGTCAAACCATCAGAAACAAAAAAATAAAAAGGCATGACTAATATAGTAGTCCCTCCTCATCCTCAGTTTCACTTTTTACGGTATTAGTCACTGACAGTCAACTGTGGTCTCAAAATAGTAAGTGTATTAAATGGGAAACCCCAGAAATAAACTATTTATAAATGCTATTTTATTTTTATTTATTTTTCGAGATGGAGTCTCGCTCTGTCGCCCAGGCTGGAGTGCAGTGGCGCAATCTTGGCTCACTGCAACTTCTGCCTCCCAGGTTCAAGCGATGCTCCTGCCTCAGCCTCCCGATTAGCTGGGATTACAGGGCATGCCACCACGCCCAGCTAATTTTTTTGTATTTTTGTAGAGACAGGGTTTCGCCATGTTGGCCAGGCTGGTCTCAAACTCCTAACCTCAGGTGATCTGCCTGCTTCGGCCTCCCAAAATGCTGGGATTACAGGCGTGAGCCACCGCATCTGGCTTATTTATAAATTTTAAGTTGTGCACCATTCTGAATAGCATAAAATCTCACACCCATCTGCTCCATCTCACCCAGGACACGAATCATCCCTTTGTCCAGCATAACCATGCTGTAAACACTATCCAGCCATTAGTCACCTAGTAGCTGTCTTGGCTATCAATCAAAAAAACATTACTATCAGGTTCGGTACTATCTGCAGCTTTAGGCATCCACTGAGGATCTTGGAATGTATCCCCTGCAGATAAGGAGGCACTACTGTATATTCCATATGCCAGGGTTCAGAACACTACGCAAACATGTACTTGTTTATTGATACGTCACCTTCCTCTGCAGGTCTGTAGGACAAAAGATTTAAATATAGTTAATTTGTCTTGATATCTTCAGCACATAAGCGCAGTGCATCCTGGCACACTGTACGCAGCTAGAGCTAGAAAGGTGGGCCAGGGAATAGCAAACACTAGCGAGAGAGACCAGGGATGGCTCTAGCTGGATTCTCCTTTTATCCACCTGTAAATATGACGTCCCTCAGGGTTCTGCCTGAGGCCGTTTTCTCTTCTCACCCTCTCCTGAAACATGCTAATTTCTGACTGTGGCTTCCATTGTCATAGTTAGCAGTTAGCTCCCTTCTCTGTATGCCCAGCTTCAGGTCTATGTATGAAGGTGGCCACAGGGCTTCCCTCCATGGATGTCTTCCTGGCATCTAAAACTCACTGTGCTCAAGCTGAATCACCAGCTTCTTCCCCAAACTGGCTCCTCCGCCTACATCCTCTATTTCTGTGTTTGTCCCCCTCCCTCTCCCACATGTTTTACCTGGAAGCCTAGAAGTATCATTAACTTCTGTTCTCCCCTGGCCTCTCATCCCCTCAGTCATTCAGTTCTGTTGAGTCCATCTTGTACATACCTAGTGAATGGGTCCATTGCGCCCCCTCTCTGCCAATACACTGCGCAAGCCACCACCCCTTCTTATCTGGACACACAGCAACAATCTCCTAAGTGGTCTCTCCGCCTTTGCCTTCTCAGTAAAGTAGACGTACTTTTATTTCTGTCACAGAATCAGGGCTAATTTGAACGCAGGTCAATTTTTTTTTTTTTTTTTTTTTTGAGATGGAGTCTCGCTCTGTCACCCAGGCTGGAGTGCAGTGGCGAGATCTCAGCTCACTGCAACCTCTGCCTCCCAGGTTCAAGCAATTCTCTGCCTCAGCCTCCTGAGTAGCTAGGATACCAGGCATCCACCACCATGCTCGGCTAGTTTTTTTATTTTTAGTAGGGGTGGGGTTTCACCATCTTGGCCAGGCTGGTCTTGAACTCCTGATCTCGTGATCTTCCTGCCTCAGCCTCCCAAAGTGCTGGGATTACAGGCGTGAGCCACCGCGCCTGGCCTGGTTTTTTTGTTTTAATTATTATTATTATTATTTTTGAGATGGAGTTTCACTGTTATCACCCAGGCTGGAGTGCAGTGGCACGATTTCAGCTCACGCCTGAGGTTCCAACCTCTGCCACCCAGGTTCAAGCGATTCTCATGCCTCAGCCTCCTGAGTAGCTGGAATTACAGGTGCGCATTACCACACCGGGCTAATTTTTGTATCTTTAGTAGAGACGGGGTTTCACCGTGTTGTTCAGGCTGGTCTTGATCTCCTGACCTCCAGTGATCCTCCCACCTCAGCCTTCCAAAGTGCTGGGATTACAGGCATCAGCCACTGCACCCAGCCTGGGATACGTGAATGTTTTAACAAACAGAGTTGTAATAGTTGACATGCCAAAAGGAATAAGGGGGCGAGACTGTGGTATCTTACTGTCCCTTTAAAAGATTACAGACCTTGTGGGAGAAGTCCTTCCTCCACCTCATCAGCCACAGGAATGACAAGATGACAGACTGCAACAGCCAGTCTGTCCACGCACAGTGCAGGTGGAAGTGCAGAAGACTGTGCAGGCACCGCAGGAGACTGGGCGGGCAGCAGGACACCAAGCCTGGAGCAGAGCAGAGAACAAGATTTCTTGGAGTGTGAAGGTCAGTGCCTCTAGCTTCAGAGGGGTTGGGGTTAAGGAATTGAAAACAAAATAAAACAAAAATCCTAAATTATCGATACTTATGGATATTCCATCCTCTTTAGATTGTATCATTTGACTATGACTCACAAGAAATATATTTTTACATTGTGGTGTAATATAAAAATACATAAGAAACAAATTTTTCAAAAAGAATATATGTTGCTATGTGTGACAAAGTAAAAATATATCAAAATTTGTATTAAAGATTAGCAGAGGCCAGGCGCAGTGGCTCATGCCTGTAATCCCAGCACTTTGGGAGGCCGAGGCGGGCAGATCACCTGAGGTCAGGAGTTCAAGACCAGCCTGACCAACATGGTGAAACCCTATCTCTACTAAAAATACAAAATTTAGCCAGGCGCAGCGTCTCATGCCTGTAATCCCAGCTATTCAGGAGGCTGAGGCAGGAGAATTGCTTGAACCCAGGAGGTGGAGGCTTTGATGAGCTGAGATCGTGCCACTGTACTCCAGCCTGGGCAACAGAGTGAGACTCCATCTCAAAACAACAACAACAAAAAGATTGGCTGGGCACGGCGGCTCCCCCTGTAATCCCAGCACTTTGGGAGGGTGGGCGGATCACCTGAGGTCAGGAGTTTGAGACTAGCCTGCCCAACATGGTAAAACCCTATCTGTACTAAATATACAAAAATTAGCTGGGCGTGGTGATGGGCATCTGTAATCCAGCTACTCAGGAGGCTGAGGCAGGAGAATCACTTGAACCTGGGAGGCGAGGGTTGCAGTGAGTTAAGATCGTGCCATTGCACTCCAGCGGGGGCAACAAGAGTAAGACTCCATCTCAAAAAAAAAAAAAAAAAGATTAATGTGCCGGGTGTGGTAGCTCACGCCTGTAATCCCAGCACTTTGGGAGACCAAGGCGGGTGGATCACTTGAGGCCAGGAATTCAAGACCAGCCTGGCCGACATGGCGAAACCCTGTTTCTACTAAAAATACAAAAATTAACCAGGCGTGGTGATGCATGCCTGTAGTCCTAGCTACTCGGGAGGCTGAGGCAGGAGAATCGCTTGAAGCTGGGAGGCAGATGTTGCAGTGAGCTGAGATGGCACCATTGCACTCCAGCCTGGGAGGCAGAGCAAGACTCTGTATCAAAAAAAAAAAAAAAAAAAATTAAAAATTTTTAAAAATGAAGCTTATTATTGTATATTAAATACAATATAGAGAATTTTCAATAAACACTACAAAAACAAAAATTGGAAAACACTGTGATTATAAAAACGTGGGCTGGGCTCCCAGCACTTTGGCAGGCCGAGGTGGGAGGAGCACGTTTGAAACCCTGGATGCCAGGAGTTCAAGATGAGCTTGGGCAACATAGTGAGACTTCATCTCTACTGAAAAAAAAAAAAAAAAAGGCCGGGCACGGTGGCTCACGCCTATAATCCTAGCACTTTGGGAGGCCAAGGCGGGTGGATCACCTGAGGTCACGGGTTGGAGACCAGCCTGGCCAACATGGAGAAACCCCATCTCTACTAAAAATACAAAAATTAGACAGGTGTCGTGGCATATGCCTGTAATCCCAGCTACATGGGAGGCTGAGGCAGGAAAATCGCTTGATCCTGAGAGGCGGAGGTTGCAGTGTGCTGAAACCGCGCCACTGCACTCCAATCTGGGCAACAGAGTGAGATTCTGCCTCAAAAAAAAAAAAAAAGTGAGTATCGAGTCTTGTTTCTAGGTCCATACAACTTGCTTAGTACTTTCCCTGAAGACAGCCAACAAACTTGGGTATGGGTAGCTCCAATATCTCAACAAAATATCTGAAAAGATCAGTACTTCAGTACTTAATTAAGTATAATAACAAAAGACTAGAAAGAATCCGAGTATCTTTTAGGAGGGAACTGATGGAATTAATTATGGTATATAATAGAATACTGCGCAGATGTAAAAAGCCATGAGGGGCCGGGCATGGTGGAGCATGTCTGTAATTCCAGCACTTTGGGAGGCCAAGGCAGGTGGATCGCCTGAGGTCAGGAGTTCAAGACCAGCCTGGCTAACATGGAGAAACCCCATCTCTACTAAAAATACAAAAATTAGCCAGGCATGGTGGCGGCATCTGTAATCCCAGCTACTAGGGAGGCAGGAGAATCACTTGAACCCAGGAGGCAGAAGTTGCAGTGAGCCGAGATTGCGCCACTGCATTCCAGCCTGGGTGACAAGAGCAAGACTCCATCTCAAAAAAAACCAAAAAAACAAAAAAACAAAAAAAGCAATAAGGAATACCTATATATACTGCTATAGTATATATAGCAGTATATATAGTATAGGTGCTCTGGACATATTAGCAAATGAAAAAAGAAACCCCCAAAACTGTGTATGGTATGCTAGAGGGAAGGAAAGGATAGAGGAGACAGGGATCGAAAAACCCTTCCGAATACATCTTGTTTTACACATTTGACCATGGAATCATGTAAACATTTTATATAAGCATAAAATATGTATTTTGTTTTTATTTTTTATTTTTTTCAGAGATAGGGTCTCACTCTGTTGCCCAGGCTAGAGGGCAGTGGCATGACCATAGGTCACTGCAGCCTCAACCTGCTGGGCTCAAGCAAGCAATCTTCCCTTTTCAGCCTCCTGAGTAGCTAGGACTACAGGTGTGCACCACTACACCCGGCTTATTTTTATTTTTTTAAATAGAGACAGGGTTTCACCGTGATGCCCAGGCTGATTTTGAACTCCTAAGCTCAAAGCAATCTGTCTGCCTCAGCCTCCCAAAGTGCTGGGATTACAGGCGTGAGTTACAATGCCCGGCCAATTTTTAAATTTTTTTTGTAGAGACAAGGTCTTGCTATGTTGCCCAGGCTGGCCTTGAACTTGCCTCAAGTGATCCTCCCAAAGCACTGAGATTACAGGTGTGCGCCACTATGCCAG
The DNA here is from genome assembly GCF_000001405.40 of Homo sapiens. Taxonomy (NCBI): domain Eukaryota; kingdom Metazoa; phylum Chordata; class Mammalia; order Primates; family Hominidae; genus Homo; species Homo sapiens. The sequence goes on along the minus strand of NC_000003.12, from coordinate 185,876,011 downwards.
CCAAAATATGTATTTAAAAAAAAAAACTCCAAAATATCAAAAGCAAAATGAGATAAACAACCCTAATTTATGTATGTTGAGTTGGTGGTATAACCATACAAATATGAATTATTTCAAATGAGTTTAAAATGCTCTAATTTGAATGTATATTCTTAGTGGGATATACCCTAAGGATAAAAACAATTGGAAAAAAAAAATCCAAATTCATTTTTAACAATCATGTTTGTGTTAATGTCAGTGCTGTTATTCTAAGATTGTTGTGTGTGCATTTTGAGATAAAGCAACAGCGTGGTTATACCGATTTTTTGGTGGAGGAAGAAAAGAAGTAGATTAAGGTAGATGAGGTTAAGAAAAAATCCTGTATTCCTGAGTTTGAATTGGAAGTGTCACTACATGGCTGGGCACAGTGACTCACTCCTGTAATCTCAAAACTTTGGAAGGCCGAGGTGGGTGGATCATTTGAGGTCAGGAGTTCAAGACCAGCATGGCCAACATGGGGAAACCCCATCTCTACTAAAAATACAAAAATTAGCCGGGCGCGGTGGCAGGCACCTGTAGTCCCAGCTACTCAGGAGGCTGAGGCAGGAGAATCACTTGAACCCAGGAGGTGGAGGTTGTAGTGAGCCGAGATCATGCCATCGCATTCCAGCCTGGGTGCCAGAGCGAGACTCTGCTCAAAAAAAGAAAGAAAGAAAAAAAAATATATATATATATATACACATATATATATACACACACACACGTATATATATATATACATATATATATATATACTTTAGCTAAGCTGATACAATACAAATTCACCACAGTCACCTCTTGTCAACTTGGCACTCTTACATACCTCTTTTTTTTTTTTGAGATGGAGTTTCACTCTTGTTGCCCAGGCTGGAGTGCAATGGTGTGATCTCAGCTCACTGCAACCTCCGCCTCCCAGGTTCAAGCAATTCTCCTGCCTCAGCCTCCCAAGTAGCTGGGATTATAGGCATGAGCCACTACGCCTAGCTAATTTTGTAGTTTTAGCAGAGACAGGGTTTCACCATTGTTGGTCAGGTTGTTCTCAAACTCCTGACCTCAAGTGATCTACCTGCCTCGGCCTCCCAAAATGCTGGGATTACAGGTGTGAACCACCGCGCCTGGCCTTACATACCTCTTTTAATCATACTAGTCATACTTAGCTTCCAAGTGGAGAAAGTAACAAAATCATGCCTCTGCCTAATACAATGCAACTATCCCTCATTCAAACAAAAACATGCTAACATTTTCCCAAAAAAACTATACAAATGATACAGGAGCTAGAAAGAAATTATTTAGGCAAAGAGTGAGGGTAAAAGAGTCCTCAGTAAGGTTTCCTTGTAGTAAAAAGCAGCCCCGAAATAATTTCTTTTCTAACAAAAAGCAACCTGAAAAATCAAGCTGCAAGCATAGATAAGCAAGCTAAAAGCTTGCATAGGTAAATGCGGGCAGCTGTGCTAATAGAAAAGGGATACCTGGAAGCCAGGAATATTCAACATGGAGGTTCCCTCTTCCCTTTTCTTTGTCGCCACATGTGCAGTAAAAAAGCAGGTAACATGGTTCTGACCAGGTAGAGACCCCATCTGCAAATCCAAAATAATAAAAGCCTAGGGTGGGATGGCCAGGTTCTTCGTGAGCTATGCAAATGGCACACCTGGTCTCAGCAATCTCTCGTGCCCTATGTAAATTTGACGTCATTTCCTCTGAAGGAGAGAGAGCCTCTTTTCTCTCTCTTTCACCTGTTAAACCTTTGCTCTCCAACTTACTCCTTGTGTGTGTCCGCGTCGTCGATTTTCTTGGCATGAGGCAAGGAAACTCGGGTATTACCCCAGACAAATGAGGCCACTTCACAAAGTTCCTTTATTTATCTGTGGGGGAGTTTATTCCTCTTCCAGCTAGGTATACTCCCTCTTGATATACTGTCATTAAAATACTGAGATAGGAAGTTAGCTACCTTTAACATCTCTTGGCCAGGCACCGTGGCTCACACCTATAATCCCAGCACTTTGGGAGGCTGAGACAGGCGGATCACTTGAAGTCAGGAGTTCAAGACCAGCCTGGATAACATGGCAAAACCCTATCTCTACTAAAATTACAAAAATTAGCCAGGCGTGGTGGCATGTGCCTGTGAGCCCAGCTACTTGGGAGGCTGAGGCAGGAGAATCGCTTGAACCCAGGAGACGGAGGTTGTAGTAAGCCGAGATCACGCCACTGCACTCCAGCCTGGGCGACAGAGCGAGACTCTGTCTCAAAAATAAAAAACACCACAAAAACAACATTTCTTGTATTATATGGTAGGGGACTGGCTGGGAGAAGGAAAAATTGGTTAATATAAACACAAATAGTTTCATATCAAAATAAGGAAGAAATATTTCTAACTATTACAGTCCTTATTTTCACAACCGATCATAGGTTCGTAGCCAGAATTTATAACTACTTTCATCCATTAGCCATTATGTCTCTCATTTGCTCTCAGTACAAAACAGCTGGTTAAGGTTCCTTGACTGGTAAGACGACTCAACCCTTTGCTCCTGAAGAGTCTGGTCTGTTAGCAGTCCTGCCTGGCTGGGTTGGTTGTAGTTTTCTACTGACTTTAATTACTGAACATGGGAGCACACACAATATGCACCTAAAATAAGCTGACAATGATGCTTTCTGACTGTCATAGAATGACTAAGAAACTGTGCAGGTAACTTTAGATCTCTTTCTTTTCTTCTTAAATATTCAAGGAGATTATCACCACATTTTGTATGCTGTGTTTCCAAGAATCATTTTTATTTTGAAGGTTTTAAGTTTTCATTTGCGAGAACACCAATACCAAAGAATACATTGTCAGGCCGGGCGCGGTAGCTCATGCCTGTAATCCCAGCACTTTGGGAGACTGAGGTGGGCGTATCACCTGAGGTCAGGAGTTCTAGACCAGCCTGGCCAATATGGCAAAACCCCGTCTCTACTAAAAATCCAAAAACTAGCCAGGTATGGTGGTGAGCACCTGTAATCCCAGCTACTCAGGAGGCTAAGGCGGGAGAATCACTTGAACCCAGGAGGTGGAGGTTGCAGTGAGCCGAGATCATGCCACTACACTCCTGCCTGGGTAACAGAGCGAAACTCCATCTCAAGAAAAAAAAGCCGGGGGTGGTGGCTCAAACCTGTAATCCCAGCACTTTGGGAGGTCAAGGTGGGCATATCGCCTGAGGTCAGGAGTTCGAGACCAGCCTGACCAACATGGTGAAACCCCATCTCTACTAAAAATACAAAAAAATTAGCTGAGCATAGTGGCACGTGCCTGTAATCCCAGCTACTCCTCGGGAGGCTGAGACAGGAGAGTTGCATCGCTTGAACCCAGGAGGTGGAGGTTGCAGTGAGCTGAGATTGTGCCACTGCACTCCAGCCTGGGCGACAGAGAGAGATTCCATCTCAAAAAAAAAAAAAAAAAGAATACATTGTCATTTTCATTGGTTTGGCTTTTGAATGTTTGATATAACCATATTTTAAATAACTTTTATTATGTTGTCTTACATTTACTTTTTTTTCTTTAGAATGTAAGATCAAATTCAGCTTATTAGAATAAGTATTTTTCTCAATTTGTCATAATTTATACTTTCAGATCCATCAGTTAAACTGGAACCTGCCTTTGTATTTATTCTATTAAATAATAAATTTTAAAGTATTTTGTATAATAAATTGTCACAGACTCAAAATGTATTGCATTGATAATAACGCCTTTTCTGAAAAAGACTGAAAACTCTTTCTTTTTTCCTTTTTGGAAACAGGGTTTCCGTCGCCCAGGCTGGAGTGCAGTGGCATGATCACAGTTCACTGCAGCCTTGACCTCCAGGGCCCAGGTGATCTTCCCACCTCAGCCCCCCAAGTAGCTGAAGCCATAAGTACCCACCATCATGCCTTGCTAATCTTTGTATTTTTTTTAGAGACTGGGTTTTTTTTGTTTTGTTTTTTTGTTTTTTGAGATGGAGTCTCACTCTGTCGCCCAGGCTGGAATGCAGTGGTGAGATCTCGGCTCACTGCAACCTCCACCTCCCAGGTTCAAGCTTTTCTCCTGCCTCAGCCTCCTGAGTAGCTAGGATTACAGGTGCCCACCACCACACCTGGCTAATTTTTTGTGTGTTTTTTAGTGGAGATGAGGCTTCACCATGTTGGCCAGGCTGGTCTCGAACTCCTGACCTCAGGTGATCCACCTGCCTCGGCCTCCCAAAGTGCTGGGATTACAGGTGTGAGCCACCGAGCCCAGCCAAGACAAGGTTTTGCCATGTTGCCCATGGCTGGTCTTGAACTCCTGGGCTCAAGCCATCCACCTGCCTTGGCCTCCCAGAATGTTGGGATTACAGGCATTAGTGGCTGCAATGCCCCAAAAGCTCTTATCTAAATTCATTAGAAAGTCTCAACAATTTTGCCAACAGCAGATACGATAACTTTGCTTCAACTTCAGCTGCAACCCTGTAACATTAACCCTCCCATTACAATGATAATCCAATTGACCAGCATACACCGGGGGAAAAAAGACCAAATCCTAACTAGTTCATGTATTTTCCACATCTCTATCCCCACTCATTACAGATGGGCAGAGGATATGAAGTTTTGGCTAAGCATCCTTATGATGAACTCTGGTGTTTTCTATTCCATTATACTCTAGTATATTCTATTTCATTTAAAAAAAAAAAGCGGGTTGAGAGCCACTAACTTGATTTCATGACACATTAATGAATTGTGACCTTGCAATTTGAAAACCACTACCCCATGGTGGGTTATATTTACAATATAAAAATTTCCCCCCTCTTTGTTAATGTGTAAATTCACTTAACTCTTTTGAGTCTCTATATCTTTCTTTGTTTGTTTTTTTTTTTTGAGACAGAGTCTCGCTCTGTCACCAGGCTGGAGTGCAGTGGCGCGATCTCGGCTTATTGTAACCTCCGCCTCCCAGGTTCAAGCGATTCCCCTGCCTCAGCCTCCTGAGTAGCTGGGACTCCAGGCGCACGCCACCATGCCCGGCTAATTTTTTTTTTTTTTTTTTTTTTTTTGTATTTTTGTAGAGACAGGGTTTCACCATGTTGGCCAGGATGGTCTCGATCTCCTGACCTCGTGATCCACCTGCCTCGGCCTCCCAAAGTGCTGGGATTACAAGCGTGAGCCACTGCGCCTGGCCGTATCTTTGTTTTTATTCTCTGTATTTGTGCTCTTTGATTTCCACTGCTCCTCATAGTGATCTGTACAGAGCAGGGACATTATGGAAATTATCAGTGTGTGTGAGCTTATAGCCCATGACATGATTTTCTGCTGCCTTCAAAGAGAAAAGTCAACCTGACGAGACAAGACCTCAGTTCTTGTAGATTTCCTTGTAAGTCTTCCTCTTATACAACATCTCAGGAGCAAGTCTTAAGATCATTCTTGTCTTTGGATCTCTAAAAATTATATCTTTTTTTTTAGGCCGGTTGCGATGGCTCACGCCTGTGATCCTAACACTTTGGGAGGCCGAGGCGGGCGGATCACCAGAGGCTGGGAGTTTGAAACCAGCCTGACCAATATGGAGAAACCCTGTCTCTACTAAAAATACAAAAAATTAGCTGGGCATGGTGGTGCATGCCTGTAATCCCAGCTATTCGGGAGGCTGAGGCAGGAGAATCACTTGAACCTGGGAGGCGGAGGTTGCAGTGAGCCGAGATCACGCCACTGCACTCCAGCCTGGGCAACAAGAGCGAAACTCCATCTCAAAAATAATAATACTAATAAAAAATAAAATAAAAAAATAAATAAATAAAAATTTAAACACCCAACAAAGAGATATCTTTAGAAAGGGTGGATATTGTTCTGATCATTCTATTGCTACTTAATAAGCCATCCCAAATTTGATGGCATAACAATAATTTTATTATGTTTGTGGATTCTGTGGGTCAGTAATTTTGAGAGGACACAGGGTCATTGGCTTGCCTCTGCTCCACAACGTCTGGGGTCTCAGCAAGAGGAGACCCACATAGCTGGAAGGTGGGTCATCTGGGGGTTTCATCCCCCATATGTCTGGTGTGGGGCTGGGATAACTGAAGCTGCCTGTCAGCTGGTGTGTTTCCGTAGGGCCTCTCCAAACGACGTGTGATGAGTGGGCTCCTAGAGGGAATATCTGGAGAATAAGTAGTCCAAGATAACCAGGTGGAAGCATCATCAGCTTTTTGACCTAGTCTCAGAGGTTACATCGCAGTGCTTCTGTCAGATTCTGTGACTAAAGAACTCATAATTCCTCCCCAGATTCAAAAGCATAGACTCCGCCTCTTAAGGCAATGCTTTAAAAACACCAGAGGCATCTTTCTTTGATGGGGTTTTACATGTCTTTTCATGATCTGTGCTTGGCTTTCTTTCATTCAACAAAATATTGGCAGAGCTCTTACCTATGTCACACACTGTGTCAAACACTGAAGATGCAGTGACAAACAAGAGAGAGATGATTCCTACCCTCATGGAACCGACTTTCTTTTTTTTTTTTTTTTTTTGAGATGGAGTCTTGCTCTTGTCGCCCAGGCTGGAGTGCAATGGCATGATCTCGGCTCACTGCAACCTCCGCCTCCTGGGTTCAAGTGATTCTCCTGCCTCAGCCTCCCAAGTAGCTGGGATTACAGGCACCCGCCATCATACCCGGCTAATTTTTGTATTTTTAGTAGAGATGGGGTTTCACCATGTTGGCCACACTGGTCTCAAGCTCCTGACCTTGTGGTCTGCCCGCTTTGGCCTCCCAAAGTGCTGGGATTACAGGTGTGAGCCACTGCACCCGGCTGAAACCGACTATCTTAAAAGGGAAATAGAGTAAACAGATGATCACAAAAAGAGTGCTGTTTTTTTTTTTTCTATTCAGCTATGTTTTCTTCCCTTATTTCTCTGATGATGGCTTCCTCATTGTCAGCCTTCTCTATTTCCTATAGTTTCCTTATTGTTTTCACTTCAATGTTTCTAATCTATGTTCTAAGTCTTTTAGTTTTTCTTACATTGTTTTGTGCCTTTTTGGTTTTGTTTTGAATCACTCTGTGCAAATGCCCTGTGATTTGTGTTTCTGGCTTGATGTTTCTTCTCAATCACTTATTTGCCCAGTGACATCTATTCAAGTTTTTATTGCTTTTCTTGATGTCTTTGGCTCATTTGTTCACCTCCAACATATGATATGCCTACTATGTTTCAGGCACTGTGCTGAGTACATGGATACATAGCTCTGCACAGCCTCTGCCTCAGGCAGGAAACACTCTTTAGCAAAGGAGCACAGACTCTGAGGTCAGGCACATGGAGCCTGGAGTTTAGCTTCATCACTTACTAGTTGGATCCATACTTGATAGATTTCATAGCCCCTGTCCTCTTTTTCCTCCTGAGGATGGTAATACCTCACAAAATTAGTACAGTGCCTGGAACTGTACTGATTGTAGAGGCTTAATACACATCTATTCCTTTAATTATGGAATTCAGTGGAAAGTTAATTAAATCAACATATTCAAAACAATGTGAAAGACTTAATATAAAGTCATGTGTATTAGATGTTTGGTGAACAGAGAGATGGTACCTACCTTAGCCTGGCATCTTGAAAAATTTCCTATAGAATAGCAATTCTCATCTTGGGATGAGTGGAGGGGCCAGGGATACAGAAGCTGCTGTGGGGAATCTTTAATCTGAAGGGGAGAGGCTGAAAAAAATTCAATATTATGAGACTTTTATATTTGGAGAAGTAAAAAAACTTTTCATAATCTATAATTAATAATTTATAAAAAGTAAACATAGGCTGGGCATGGTGGCTCACATCTGTAATCCCAGCACTTTGGGAGGCTAAGGCAGTCAGATCATTTGAGGTCAGGAGTTTGAGACCAGCCTGGCCAACATGGTGAAACCCCATCTCTACTAAAAATACAAAAAAAAAAAAAAAAACAGCTGGGGACAGTGGCTCATGCCTGTAATCCCAGCACTTTGGGAGGCTGAGGTGGGTGGATCACCTGAGGTCAGGAGTTCGAGACCAGCCAGGCGAATGTGGTGAAACCCTGTCTCTACTAAAATAAAAAAATTAGCTGGGCATGGTAACACACACCTGTAATCCCAGCTATTTGGGAGGCTGAGGCAGAAGAATTGCTTGAACCTGGAAGACAGAGGTTGGAGTGAGCTGAGATTGCATCACTGCACTCCAGCCTGGGGGACAGAGTCCTCTGTCTCAAAAAAAAAAAAAAAATGTAAATATAAAATCATCTCAGATGGTGGAGATATTCAGAAGGTAGATTATAAATTTTGTTTATCAGTAATTCTCAAAAGGAAATAGAGTTTCATGGGAAGGCTGGTATGAGATATTTGTATATATTATTTAGCAGTATGGTTTTTAAAAGATTGAGAAACTTCACTATAATAGGTAATGACCAAGCTAAGCCTTGAATAACAAGTAGGAATTAGCCAGGTGGAAAAGAGAGGAAGATGGAATTCCAGGTAGCAGAAACAGCCCTTACAAGGGCTCAGGGCTGTGACAGAGATGGGCTGTTCTGAGGATTTTAAGTAGTTGCATATGGCTGTGAGTGAGTGGTAGAAGATGAGCATGGAGAGGTTAGCAAGGGCCAAATCTCAAAGTATTTACATGTTCTACTAAGGGAATTATACTGAAAGAAATTGGGAATCATTGAAGAATTTTGAGGGAGGGAATGACAAACAGATTTGCTGTTTTCATAGTACCTACATATTTCCTTTCATGGTCATAATTTCTTCTTTAATCTCTTGGAAAGCAGTAGGTGTGGGTTTATTGACCCTGGCTTCAGTCAGCTGGTATTGGTACTTCTGCCCTGGTAGATGCCCTCCTCCCCATGCTGACTTTCTCTTTCTCTTACAGATTTCAATACTTGTTGATTATGTGATTGGACCTAAATAGTTATGCTGTTTTAAAGCTGATCTTACTGAATTGTTGTTACCTCTCAGATGTCATCATTTTACTTTTTTTGGTGAGTTTATTTAGAAAGCATTGAGTTTAACTGGGAGGTAGCAAGAGGAAGAGAAAAAGAAATCTTTGTAGTTCAAATAACTTAATTGATTCTGTACCTTGCCCTGCATGACTCTGAGCAAGTCACAACCTCTCTGAGCTTGTTTCTTCCCTAATAATATTCACTGCATAACCCTGTTGTGGGAATTAGAGAAACTATTCTCTAAGTGCCTGAATCATGCAGGTGTTCAATAATGATAAACTCTGCAAGTGTCCTCAGTGCCCCACCCTATCCTTGCAGCACTCACTGTTCCCATACAATCAACAGCTTCTAACTGCAAGCACCTGTGACTCTCTGCCTGCAGGCTTTCACTAGTCACAGAGGTGTGATGGACCCTTGCTTGGGGCAGGCTGAAAATGCCAAGGAGGTAATGCCCCCAGGAGCAGCCCTTTCAACCAAGATGAATGAGAGTTGGGAGATTAAAACTCCTTCTTTCTTGTCCTCTGCGAGACAAACCTGAAGCCTACTCCCAACATTCTCCCAGAGGTCCCGTGGAGTTACCTTCAATGGTAACCTCATTGAAGTGCCCTATATTGGCTTCTTTCTCTTCCCAGCCTCACTCCCCGACTCTCCTACCAGTGATTACCTCCCAAATAAACAACTTGCCCTCAAATCCTTGTATCACAGGCCAGGTGCAGTGGCTCATGCCTGTAAGCCCAGCACTTTGGGAGGTCGAGGTGGGTGGACTGCCTGAGGTCGGGAGTTCAAGACCAGCCTGTCCAAGATGGTGAAATCCTGTCTGTACTAAAAATACAAAAATTAGCTGGGCGTGGTGGCGCATGCCTGTAATCCCAGCTACTGGGGAGGCTGAGGCAGAGAATTGCTTGAACCTGGGAGGCAGAGGTTGCAGTGAGCCAAGATCGCACCACTGCACTTCAGCCTGGGCAACAGATCGAGACTCTGTCTCAAAAAAAAAAAAAATCCTTGTATCACAATGTGCTTCTGGGGGAATGCAGCAGAAAACAGTAGCAATTATTCATTTATTCAACAGCTATTGAGTGTAGATGATGTGTCAGTTACCGCTTGCAGCTACTGTTCCCTCCTCCTGGAAACTCTACACCTAGGATTCTCAGTTTCTTGAATTTTAAACAATTATATTATTAAAAATTAAAGGAAAAAGGTAAATTCTTTCCTGTAATCTCAACAGCTTAGCACAAAAGCTATTCTTATTTCTTCCTATTCCTACCTATTCTTCACCCATGTGTGCACACATTTCACTGGTGCAATTGTAGGCATAATCTGGTATTCTGTGGTTTATTTTTCTACTCAGCTCCTTACCATGCTTATTTTTCTTAGCCTTCAAAATTAACATTTTAATGGCTGCATTATATCCTGTTGTCCTATTGTAGGACATTGCAATGTTTAATTTTATATGTCAGCTTGAGTAGGCCACAAGATGACCAGAGATTTGGTCAAACATCATTCTGGGTGCTTCTGGATGCAATTAACATTTAAACCAGTAGACCAAGTAAAGCAGATTGCCCTCCCTAAGAGGGGTGGGCCTCATCCAATCAATTGGAGGCCTGAAGAGAACAAATAGCCTAACCCTCCCCTGAGTAAGACAGAATCTCTCCTGCCTGACTGCCTTCCAACTGGAACACTGGCATTTTCCTGCCTTCTGGCTCAAACCAAGACACGAGCTCTTCCTGGGTCTTGAGTCTGCCAGCTTTCAAATTCAAACTACATCATCAGCTCTCCTGGGTCTCCAGCTTGCTAACCCACAGCAGGTCTTAGAAATTGTCAGCCTCCATAATCATGTGACCCAATTCCTTTTATTAAATCTCTCTCTCCCTCTCTCTATATATATCTATATATGTATATATAGAGAATATATATGTATATATGCATATATATTCTGATTTCCTGTTTGTTTCTCTTGAGAACCCTATTATAGACAGGTAGGTTGTTTTTTACAGTTTTTTCCAATTATGGCTAGAACTGCACATAAAGTTTGTTTTTTGTTTTTTTTTTTTTATGAGACAGGGTCTTGGTCTGTTGCCCAGGCTGGAATGCAGTGGGGCAATCATAGCATCATAGCTCACTACAACCTTGAACTCCTGGCCTCAAGTGATCCTGCCGTCTCAGCCTCCTCAGTAGCTGGAACTACAGGTGAGCACCACTGCACCTGGCTAATTTTTTTTTTCTTTTTTTTTTTGAGACAGAGTCTTGCTCTGTCCCCCAGGCTGGGGTACAGTGGTGCAATCTCGGCTCACTGCAACCTCAGCCTCCCGGGTTTAAGCGATTCTTCTGCCTCAGCTTCCTGAGCAGCTGGGACTACAGGCATGCACCACCATGCCTGGCTAGTTTTTGTATTTTAGTACAGACAGGGTTTCACCATGTTGGCCAGGCTGGTCTCGAACTCCTGACCTTGTTATCTGCCCGCCTCAGCCTCCCAAAGTGCTGGAATTACAGGTGTGAGCCATTGCGCCCGGCTGCACATGGCTAATTTTTAAATATTTTATACAGATGGGGTCTCACTTTGTTGTCTATGCTGGTGCACATAACGTCTGTATTTATTTATTTATTTATTTATTTATTTTTGAGGCAAAGTCTCGCTCTGTTGCCCACACTGGAGTGCAGTGGCACAATCTTGGCTCACCACAACCTCCGACTCCCGGGTTCAAGCGATTCTTCTGCCTCAGCTTCCCGAGTAGCTGGGATTACAAGCACGCACCACTATGCCCAGCTAATTTTTTGTATTTTTAGTAGAGACAGGATTTCACCGTGTTGACCAGGCTGGTCTTGAACTACTGACCTCAGGTGATCCACCCGCCTCGGCCTCCCAAAATACTGAGATTATAGGCATGAGCCACTGCACCTGGCCTATTTATTTTTTGGGATGGAGTCTCTCTCTGTTGCTTAGGCTGGAGTGCAGTGATCTCAGCTCACTGCAACCTCTACTTCCCAGGTTCAAGTGATTCTCTTGCCTCAGCCACCTGAGTAGCTGGGACTATAGGGGTGTGCTACCATGTCTTGCTAATTTTTGTATTTTTAGTAGAGATGGGGTTTCACCATGTTGGCCAAGCTGTTCTCGAACTCCTGACCTCAAGTGATCCACCTGCCTCGGCCTCCCAAACTTCTGGGACTACAAGTGTGAGCCACCACACCTGGCCAGGTCTTTATGTCTATAACTTATTCTTTTTGTCTTTAATTTTCTTTATTTTATTTTATTTTTTTGAGACGGAGTCTCACTCTGTCTCCCAGCCTGGAGGGCCATCGTGCAATCTTGGCTCACTGCAACCTCCACTTCCTGGGTTCAAGCAATTCTCCTGCCTCAGCCTCCCGAGTAGCTGGGATTACAGGCACCCATCACCACGCCCAGCTAATTTTTGTATTTTTAGTAGAGATGGGGGTTTTACCACGTTGGCCAGGCTAGCCTCGAACTCCAGACATCAAGTGATCTGCCTGCCTTGGCCTCCCAAAGTGCTAGGATTACAAGTGTGAGCCACCGCGCCTGGCCAATTTTCTTTATTTTAAATGAGCAGTACTTGAATATTATATCAATTAAAAAGATGTTCCTGCCACCATGAAACCCACTGTTACACATTTTCTTGTATGTCTTTCAAGCAGACTGTGCCCATATATCACACAAATGGCAGCATAGTTTCCACACTGTTCTATGCTTTTCCATTCAATGATATACCTTGGCATTCTTTTCTTTTTTTATTAAGGCTCTTTTCCCCTAGTTTTATTGAGGTATAATTTATAAATAAAAATTGTACATATTTAAGGTATATAATATGTGTTTTATAAAAATATGAAACCGCATTTTATTTAAAATATTACTAGATTTCTTAAAGATGTAAATAATTGAAGTAAACTTAGTTTATATTACTTGTATAAATTTGTTCACATTTTATCCTCAATCTTGAAAAGATTTTAGCTAGGTAAGCATTTTCAAATCGACAGATACTTTAACTCAGAACTTTGCGTTAGATTCTTATTTTTTATTTTAAATTAAGAAGGTACACGTGCTGGTTTGCTACAAGGGTATATTGCATCATGCTAAGGTTTGGGCTTCTATTGCCCCTGTTACCCAGATGGTGAACATGGTGCCCAATAGTACCCAAAAGCAAGTTTTTCAGCCATTATCTCCCTTCTTCCCTCCCTGCTTTTGGAGTCCCCAGTACCTATTGTTTCCATCTTTATGTCTGTGTGTACTTAAGGTTTAGCTCCCACTTATAAGCGAGAAAATGTGATATTTGGTTTTCTCTTTGTTAATTTGCTTAGGATAATGGCCTCCACCTGCATCCATGTTGCTGCAAAGGACATGATTTCATTCTATTTTATGGCTGCATAGTATTCCATGGTGTGTATGTACCACATTTAAAAAAAAATCCAATCCACTGGGCCCAGGCATGTTGACTCAAGCCTGTAATCCCAGCACTTTGGGAGGCCGAGGCAGGTGGATCACCTGAGGTTAGGAGTTCGAGACCAGCCTGGCCAACATGGTGAAACCCCATCCTTACTAAAAATACAAAAATTAGCAGGGCACGGTGGCATGTGTCTGTAATCCCAGCTACTTAGGAGGCTGAGGCAGAAGAATCGCTTGAACCCAGGAGGCAGAGGTTGCAGTGAGCCGAGATCGCGCCACTGCACTCCAGACTGGGCTACAAGAGCAAAACTCCATCTCAAAAAAAAAAAAAATAAATAAAAATAAATCCAATCCACTGTTGATGGGCACCTAGGTTGATTCCATGTCTCTGCTATAGTGAACATGCTGCAATAAACATACAAGTGCATGTGTTTTTTCATAGGACGATTTATTTACTTATTTGTTGAGATGGAGTTTTGCTCTTTTTGCCCAGGCTGGAGTGCAATGGTGTGATCTCGGCTCACTGCAACCTCTGTCTCCTGGGTTCAAGGGATTCTCCTGCCTCAGCCTCCCAAGTAGCTGGGACTGCAGGTGCCCACCACCGAGCCCGGCTAATTTTATATTTTTAGTAGAGACAGGGTTTCACCATGTTGGCCAGGCTGGTCTCAAATTCCTGACCTCAGGTGATCTGCCCACCTTGGCCTCCCAAAGTGCTGGGATTACAGGCATGAGCCACCACGCCCAGCCTGGACGATTTATTTTCCTTTGTGTATATACCCAGTAATGGAATTGCTGGGTTAAATGGTAGTTCTGTTTTAGTTCTTTGAAAATCTCCAAACTGTTTTCCGCAGTGGCTGAATTAATTTACATTCCCAACAACAATGTATAAGCATTCCCTTTTCTCTGCAGCCTCACCAACATCTGTTGTTTTCTGACTTTTTAATAATAGCCCTTCTGACTGGTGTGAGATGGTATCTTGTTGTGATTTTGATTTGTGTTTCTCTGATTATTAGTGATTTTAAACATTTTTATTTTTTGTTTTTATTTTTGAGAGAGAGAGTCTCGCTCTGCTGCCCATGCTGGAGTGCAGTGGCATGATCTTGGCTCACTGCAACCTCTGCCTCTTGGGTTCAAGTGGTTCCCCTGCCTCAGCCTCCCGAGTAGCTGAGATTACAGGTACCTGCCACCTCATCCGGTTAATTTTTGTATTTTAGTAGAGATGGGATTTCACCATATTGGTCAGGCTGGTCTCAAACTCCTAACCTCAAATGATCCTCCAGCCTTGGCCTCCCAAAGCTCTGAGATTACAGGTGTGAGCCACCATGCCTGGCCTGAACATTTTTAAATATGTTTGTTGTCCACTTGTATGTCTTCTTTTTGTTGTAGTTGTTGTTGCTCAGGTGATTCTCTCATCTCAGCCTACCTAGTAGCTGGGACTACAGGGGTGTGCCACAACCACTAGCTAATTATTTGTATTTTTACAGGGTTTTGCCACGTTGCCCAGGCTGGTCTCCAACTCCTGAGCTCAAGCAATCCTCCTGCCATGGTCTCTCAGAGTGCCAAAATTACCAGTGTGGGCCACCATGCCCGGGCTGTATGCCTCCTTTTGAGTGTCTGTTCATGTCCTTTGCCCACTTTTTAATTTATTTTTTATTTTTTGAGACAAAGTCTCGATCTGTCACCCAAGCTGGAGGGCAGTGGCATGATCTCGGCTCACTGCAACCTCCACCTCCTGGGTTCAAATGATTCTCCTGTCTCAGCCTCCAAAGTAGCTGAGATTACAGGCGCCCATCATCATACCTGGCTATTTTTTGTATTTTTAGTAGGGATGGGGTTTCACCATGTTGGTCAGGCTGGTCTTGAACTCCTGACCTCAAGTGATCTGCCCACCTCGACCTCCCAAAGTGCTGGGATTACAGGCATGAGCCACCACACCTGGCCATTTGCCCACTTTTTAATGAGTTTTTTTTTTTTTTTTTGCTTGTTAAGTTCCTTATAGATTCTGCATATCAGACTTTTGTTGAATGCATAGTTAGCAAATATTCCCTCCCATTTTGTAGGTTGTCTGTTTTACTCTGTTGATGGGTTTTTTGCTGTGCAGAATCTCATTAGTTTAATTAGATCCCACTTGTCAATTTTTATTTTTATTGCAATTGCTTTTGAGGACTTAGCCTTAAATTATTTGCTTAGGCCAATGTCCAAAAGGGTATTTTCTAGGTTTTCTTCTAGGATTTTTATAGTTTGAGGTCTCACATTTAAATCTTTAACCCATCTTGAATTAATTTTTGTATATGGTAAGAGGAAAAAGTCCAATTTTACTCTTCTGCATATGCTCAGCCAGTTTTCTCAGCACTATTTATTGAATAAGGAGTCCTTTCTCCATTGCTTATTTTTGTTGACTTTGTCCAAGATTAGTTGGTTGTAGGTGTGTATTTTTTGTTTTGTTTTTTTGTTTTTTTTTTTGTTTTTTTTAATGGAGTTTTGCTCCGTCACTCAGGCTGGAGTACAGTGGCATGATCTCGGCTCACTGCAACCTCCACCTCCTAGGTTAAAATGATTCTCCTGCCTTAGCCTCTTGAGTAGCTGGGATTACAGGCATCCACCACCACCATGCCTGGCTAATTTTTGAATTTTTAGTAGAGATGGGGTTTTAGCATGTTGGCCAGGATGGTCTTGAACTCCTGACCTCAGGTGATACACCCACCTTGGCCTCCCAAAGTGCTGGGATTACAGGCGTGAGCCACCTTGCCCGGCCCCCTTAGCCACTTTTATGACAGGTTTTCCTCACTTCCTTCAGCTTCTCTCACTACTATATTTTGTGGCAACTTTCAACATTCCAGTATAGGGATTCTTCCCGAGGTGGACTAATCAATATCTTCCTTCTCTACTCATTCACTTAGTCACTTTTTAGCCACTTGACAAATGTTTACTGAGTATTTACTATGTGCTGAGCTCTATGCCAAGCCACAGCATAGAATGCTCAGCAAAATAGGCCATATCCCTGCCTTCCTAAAGCTCAGTCTAGGGAAACAGAGGCACTGAACCAGAAATTTCAGAGTGGTCAGATGAGTGAAGTAAAGGAGGATGTTTGGGGTGCAATACACCACACAGGAGGAAGAAGCTGGCCCAGGAAGGCGTCCTGAAGAAAGTGTCACCTAAGTTAAGACCTGGAGAATGAGGAAGGAATTAGACAGGTGAAAGGACTCTGGAAAGTTTCTCTGGCAGGAGATGACAGGAGATAGTGGAGAGAAGAAGAGAAAGCTTAATATGAAGAAAGCTTAGTGGACTAGAGAGATGAGGCTGGCAAAGTTGGCCAAGTCAGGCCATGGAGGCCTCATGGATTTTTGTCCTGGAGCCAAAGGAAAACCACTGCTTTCTGTTAATTACTTCAGTTTGGTGTTTTTTTCCATCCTTTTCTATCTTTTGGATTATTTGAATATTTTATATATTGACTTTTTCACTATATTTCCTGCATCATTTAGTGCTTGTTCTAGGGATCACAGTATGCGTGTTTAAATTTTCACAGCCTAATTTAGAATTTATATTGTATCATTTTATTTTATTATTATTATTTTGAGACAGAGTCTTGCTCTGTTACCCAGGCTGGAGTGCAGTGGCGTGATCTCAGCTCACTGCAATCTGCCTCCCAGATGGAGTGGTTCTCCTGCCTCCACCTCTTGAGTAGCTGGGACTACAGGAGCACACCATCACACCCGGCTGATTTTTGTATTTTTAGTAGAGATGGGGTTTCACCATGTTGGCCAGGCTGGTCTCAAATTCCTGACCTCAGGTGATCTGCCCACCTCGGCCTCCCAAAGTGCCGGGATTACAGTCGTGAGCTACCGCACCTGGCCATATATTGTATCATGTTATATAAAAGGTAGAGTTGAGCATGGTGGGACACACCTGTAATCCCAGCTCATCAAGAGGCTGAGCAGGAGGATGGCTTGAGGCCAGGAGTTCAAGGCTGAAGTGAGATAAGATCGCATTACTGCATTCCAGCCTGGGCAACAGAGCAAGGTCCTGTCTAAATAAATAAATAAATGGCAGAACCTTGAAACCTCATTAGTCTGCCCACCCCCACCATTCCTTTATGCAACACTTGTCATATATATTACTTCCATATACATTAGAAATCCTACAAGGACCTCTTACAATTTTTACTTTAAACAGTCCTTTTTAAATAAATTAAGAGGAAAAAGTATTTTATATTTACCCACATATTTGCCATTTTTTATGTTCTCCATTTCTTCCTGAAAATTATCTTCATTTTAGCATCAATTGCCTTCAGCCTGCAGAATTTCCTTTAGTATTTTTTTTAAGAGAGACTCAGGCTGGGTGTTGTGGCTCATGCCTGTAATCCCAGCACTTTGGGAGGCTGAGGTGGGTGGGTCACTTGAGGCCAGGAGTTCAAGACCAGCCTGGCTAACATGGTGAAACCCCGTCTCTACTAAAAAATACAAAAAATTATCCAGGTGTGGTGGTGGGTGCCATAATTCCAGCTACCCAGGAGGCTGAGCCAGGAGACTCACTTGAACCTGGGAGGTGGAGGTTGCAGCTAGCTGAGATTGCACCACTGAACTCCAGCCTGGACCACAGAATGATACCCTGTTTCAAAAAAAAAAAAAAGACAGATTCTCACTCTGCCACCCAGGCTGGACTGCAGTGGCATGATCATGGCTCACTGCAGCCTCAACTTCCTGGGCTGGAGTGATTCTCCCACCTCAGCTTCCTAAGTAACTGGGACTACATGAGGAGCATGCCACCACACCTGACTAATTTTTTGTATTTTTTTGTAGAGATGAGGTTTCACCATTTTGCCCAGGCTGGTCTCGAACTCCTGGGTTCAAGCAATCCACCTGCCTCAGCCTCCCAAAGTGTTGAGATTACTGGGATGGGCCCCTTTAGTGTTTCTTTTTCTTTTTGAGACAGAGTCTCGCTGTGTCACCCAGGCTAGAGTGCAGTGGTGCGATCGCAGCTCACTGCAACCTCCACCTCCCGGGTTCAAGTGAACTTGTCCCAGGTCCTGAGTAGCTGGGATTACAGACATGAGCCACCACACCCAGGCAATTTTTGTATTTTGAGTACAGACAGGGTTTCACCATGTTGGTCAGGCTGGTCTCGAACTTCTGATTTCGTGATCTGCCTGCCTCGGCCTCTCAAAGTGTAGTGTTTCTTATAGTATAGTCTTGTTAATAAACAAATTACCTTAGCTTTTTTTTTTTTTAATCTGAAAAGGTAATTCTTTCACTTTTATTGTTGAAATATATTTTTTGCTGAATATGTAATTCTGGGTTGATGATTTATTTTTCAGAATTTAAAACATATTGTTTTACTGTCTCCATAAAATTTCTACTAAAAGTAATTAGTCACTTAAATCATTGTTCCCCTGTATGTAATGTTTTCATGATTTTCCCTTTATCTTTTTTCAGAATTTTGACTGTGCTGCTTCTAAGCATAATTTTCTTTAGAGTTTCTGGCTTGGATTTCACTGACTTTCTTTAATCTGTAAATTTATAATTTTCACTAAATAAAAAAAAATTGGCTGTTTTCTAAAATTTTCTCTTTGCTTCATTCTGTCTTTCCTTTGATAATAGATATATTGGACATTTTATATTGTCCCACAAGTCTCTGGGGCTCTGTTTATTTTTTCAATATTTTTCATTTGTTATTCAGATTGGATTTTTTCAAGCTTCCTGGGTTGTTCCTCTGTCATCTATATTCTCCTGTTAAAATCATCCAGTGAGATTTTAATTTCAGAAATTGTATATTTCAGTTCTAAAATTTCTATTTGGTTATTTGATATGGTCCCTATTTACCCCCTAAGGTTCCCTATCTTTTCATTTATTGTGAGCATATTTTCCTTTACTTCTTTGAACATAGTTATAATAGCTGTTAAATCCCTATCTACTAATTTTAAGTTTTGAGTGTTCTCACCATTGGTCTCTGTTGATGTCATATTTTCCTGAGTCTTCAGACTGTATCCTAGACCTTGTCAATGCTATCTTGTAGAGATTCTGAATTATTTTATATTCTCTAAAGAACATGGGTAATTTAAAAACAGAGAACTAATTTGAGTTGAACTTAAACTGTAAACTCCATATCTTTGATGGCAGCTCAAATTCTCTTGTTCTTAGCTCACATCTGTCTCATGCCTATGTGGTTCAGGGGTCGAACAGAAATTTGGACAGACTTTATATACAAAATTTATTACCCTTCCAATATGAGTCTTTTCTTTCTGGGATTCTACCTTCCCCTCACCAGCACCAGAGGATTCCCTGAATTTTGTCTGGTGGTTTTTCAGCAAGTGTTTTGTCTGTTGTAGTCACTACATGCAGTGCTGACTATGGTCTGACTTCAGGAAAAAAGCTCTATAAATGGATAATTTACCCTGTGATGTTCCTTTTTTTTTTTTTTTCCTTGAGTGTTGACTCCTCTCCAGAATCTGCCTGCTTTTGTTTATTCTAAAATGCCTTCAAAGTTTTGTGTTGTATTTTGTCTGGAGTTTTACAGTAATCTGTGCAAGAACTGTGTCTGCTAGGAGCCACTTAGCCATACATTCTGTAGTTTATTCTTGTTTTGAATCATATGCTTGGAATAAATATCCAGGGTTTGGATTTATTTTAAAATGTATAAAATTTTATGTCTCATGGTATGCTTGCTCATAGCTATTTCTTATTAAATATTAATATTTAGAGAATGTCCTTTAAGTCTCTTTCTTTCTCTCTCTCTTTCTCTCTCCCTCTCTTTCTTTCCTTTTCTTTTCTTTTTTCTTTTTTTTTTTTAATTTGAGACAGAGCCTCACTCTGTCACCCAGGCTGGAGTGCAGTGGTACAATCTTGGCTCACTACAAACTCTTCCTCCCAGGTTCAAGTGATTCTTTTACCTCAGCCTCCTGAGTAGCTGGGACTATAGGCGCATGCCACCATGCCCACCTAATTTTTTTTTTTTCTTTTTGAGACAGAGTCTTGCTCTGTTGCCCAGGCTGGAGTGCAGTGGCACAATCTTGGCTCACTGCCAGCTCCGCCTCCCAGGTTCACGCCATTCTCCTGCCTCAGCCCCCCAAGTAGCTGGGACTACAGGTGCCTGCCACCACGCCTGGCTAATTTTTTGTATTTTTAGTAGAGACAGGGTTTCACTGTGTTAGCCAGGATGGTCTTGATCTCCTGACCTCGTGATCTGCCCGACTCACCCTCCCAAAGTGCTGGGATTACAGGTGTGAGCCACCACGCCCGGCCCTTGTATTTTTTGTAGAGATGAGATTTCACCATGTTGGCCAGGCTGGTCTCAAACTCCTGACCTCAAGTGATCTGCCAGCCTCAGCCTCCCAAAGTTCTGGGATTACATGCATGAGCCACCATTCCCAGCCTATTTATTTCTTGTTTCATTGTTTTTTGTTTTGTTTTTTGAGATAGAGTTTCGCTCTTGTTGCCCAGCCTGGAGTGCAATGGCACAATCTCAGCTCATCGTAAAGTCTGCCTCCTGGGTTCAAGCAATTCTCCTACCTCAGCCTCCCGAGTAGCTGGGATTATAGGCATGTGCCATCATGCCCAGCTAATTTTGTATTTTTAGTAGAGATGGGGTTTCTCCATGTTGGTCAGGCTGGTCTCGAACTCCCGACCTCAGGTGATCTGCCCATCTTGGCCTCCCAAAGTGCTGGGATTACAGGTGTGAGCTACCACACCTAGCTTTTTTTTTTTTTTTTTTTTTTTTTTTGAGACAGAGTCTTACTCTGTTGCCCAGGCTGGAGTGCAGTGGCACAATCTTGGCTCACTGCAACCTCCACCTCCCAGGTTCAAGCGATTCTCCTGCCTCAGCCTCCCAAGTAACTGAGATTACAGGTGCCCACCACCATACCCAGCTAATTTTTGTATTTTTAGTAGAGACAGCGTTTCACCATGTTGGCCAGGCTGGTCTCAAACTCCTGACCTCAAGTGAGCCACCTGCCTTGGCCTCCCAAAGTGTTGGGATTACAGGTGTGAGCTTCTGTGCCTGGCCTGTTTCATTGTTTTGATCAAAATGTTTCATGTATTTTATTCTCTTTGATTTTTCTCTCCAATTAACTTATTTTCTGATGTTTTTATTTAGCATGTTTGCTTTGGGTATAGATTCTTATTTTATTTTATTTTTTTTGAGATGGAGTCTCACTCTGTCGCCCAGGCTGGAGTGCAGTGGTGCGATCTCGGCTCACTGCAAGCTGCGCCTCCTAGGTTCACCCCACTCTTCTGCCTCAACTTCCCGAGTAGTAGCTGGGACTACAGGTGCCCGCCACCATGCCTGGCTAATTTCTTTTTGTATTTTTAGTAGAGACGGAGTTTCACTGTGTTAGCCAGGATGGTCTTGATCTCCTGACCTCGTGATCCGCCTGCCTTGGCCTCCCAAAATGCTGGGATTACAGGCGTGAGCCACCGCACCTGGCCTAGATTCATATTTAAAAAAAACCAAAAAAACAGAAAAAAAGGTGAAGGGCTGAGTGCAGTGGTAGCTTATGTCTGTAATCTTACAACTTTGGGAGGCCAAGGTGGGTGGATTGCCTGAGCTCAGGAGTTTGAGACCAGCCTGGGCAACATAATGAAACCCCATCTTTACTAAAATACAAAAAATTAGCTGGGTGTTGTGGTGCATGCCTGTAGTTCCAGCTACTTGGGAGGCTAAGGCATGAGAATTGCTTAAATCTGGGAGGCGGAGGTTGCAGTGAGCTGAGATCATGCCAGTGCATTCCAGCCTGTGCTACAGAGTGAGACTCTGTCTCCAATAAAAACAAAAAACAAAACAAATAAAAAAAACAGGCTGGGCACAGTGGCTCATGCCTGTAAACCCAGAGCTTTGGAAGGCCAAGGCGGGTGGATCGCTTGAGGCCAGGAGTTCAAGATCAGCCTAGCCAAAATGGTGAAACCCCCTCTCTACTACAAATACAAAAATTAGCTGGGTGTGGTGGCATGCACCTGTGGTCCCAGCTACTCGGGAGGCTGAGGCAGGAGAATTGCTTGAATCTGGGAGATGGAGGTTGCAGGGAGCCGAGATTGCGCCACTGCACTGCAGCCTGGGCAATAGAGTGAGACTCTGTCTCAAAAAAAAAAAAAAAAAAGGAAAAAAGAAAGAAAAAGAAAAAAAAGGTGGAGGATAGAACGTGGGAGAAAAGTGTTTCTATCTGATTTCCCATCCTAAATAAGCAAATGCCCTAGGACAGTGGACCATAGAAGAGAATGCTTTGTAGACATTAAAATGAAATTGTAGGCCGGGCACAGTGGCTCACACCTGTAATCCCAGAACTTTGGGAGCCTGAGGCAGGTGGATCACGAGGTTAGGAGTTCGAGACCGACCTGGCTAACATGGTGAAACCCCATCTCTACTAAAAATACAAAACTTAGCCAGGCATGGTGGCAGGCGCCTGTAATCCTAGCTACTCAGGAGGCTGAGGCAGAGAATTGCTTGAACCCAGGAAGTGGAGGCTGCAGTGAGCAGAGATTGCACCACTGCACTCCAGCCTGGGCAATAGAGCAAGACTCTGTCTCAGAAAAAAAAAAAGAAAAGAAATTGTAGAAGAATATTTAATAATTTGAAAAATAGTTCAGGTATACTGCAAAATTAGTTGATTAAATGAGACATAATCTCATTTTTGCAAAAAAACAAAAAGGTGGGGAGAGTAAAATGTAGAACCAGTGCTTAGGCTCCAGGAGTGCAGTTCACAGACTGAGTCATCATTGTCCAGAGCTCCCACAGGGTGCCCACAGTGGGTCTCGGGGCCTTCTAGCTCCAACCTCAAAGCTTGTCGAGTTTAGAATTTTCCACTCTTTACATTCATACCCTTGCTATGGCCTCATGATGGGCAGAATGTACTTCCACGCCCTTAAAAGAAAATGACTCTCTTTTGAGCTCTAGAGGCCAGGCTATTTGTTATTTCCTCATTGTTCATACTCTACCCTGGGCCTGGCTCACATAAACTGTATTTCCCAACCCTCGCCTCTAGAGATTTGGGGTTTGTGTTCCTTTTTCCCCACTGAATATCATGTATTCCTTATGTAAATATTTCCCTCCTCACTGGAGACTCATATCTCTATGCAATGAAGCAATTTGTATTAAATAAAATGTCTTGTTATATCCTTTTCCCAGATGTTGATTACCTATAGACACTAGATCATTTGCATAACCAAATTTGGACCTGTATTGATAGACCAAGAGATTAATTTCTATGACTTAATGCAAACATCTTTATGCTTTATTATGTCAACCATAATAATTCTACACAAATTAAGGTAATCCATAACACAATAACTTAAAACCATAATCACTTATTTTTCCTTGTGTGTTTTCAGGTTGGCTGATATTTAAGATTTCAGTTGCAGGTTGGGTCCATGTTTGCCCCCACATATTTCTCATCTCCCTTGTACCACAGATTACCTGAAGCATGTTATTTTCATGGCAAAAAGCAGGAATGCAAAAGAAAAGGCCCAACTGTGCTAGCCCATTTTAAGTCTTCCTTTTCATTATATTCACCCTCAATCTATTGGCCAATGCAAGTCACATGGCCAAGCCCCAAATCAAGGTGCACAGACTATATCCTGTCCATCATGAGGCCACAGCAAGGGCCTGAATATAAAATAATTACACAGGGCATGGAAGAATTGGGATAAATAATTCAATCTACCACATTCAGAATGCCATATTTGTATTTGTATTTCTTTTTTTTTTTTTTTTTTTTCCACACAGGGTCTCTCTCTGTCGCCCAGATTGGAGTGCAGATCATGGCTCACTGCAGCCTCAACCTCCAGGGCTCAAGCGATTCTCCCATCTCAGCGCTCTGGGTAGCTGGGACTACAGGTTCATGCCATCATGCCTAGCTAATTTTTTGTTTTGTTTTGTTTTTGTTTTTGAGATGGAGTCTAGCTCTGTCGCCCAGTGTCTGGAGTGCAGTGGTGCAATCTCGGCTCACTGCAACCTCCGCCTCCCGGGTTCAAGCGATTCTCCTGCCTCAGCCTCCCAAGTAGCTGGGATTACACGCGCCCGCCACCAAGCCCAGCTAATCTTTGTATTTTTAGTAGAGACGGGGTTGCACTGTGTTGGCCAGGCTGGTCTCGAACTCCTAACCTCGTGATCCGCCCACCTAGGCCTCCCAAAGTGCTGGGATTACAAGTGTGAGGCCACTACGCCTGGCCATGCCCAGCTAATTTTAAATTTTTTTGTAGAGATGGGGTTTCACTATGTTGCCCAGGCTGGTTTTGCCCAGGCTCCAGCGATCATCCTGCCTTGGCCTCCTGAAGTGCTGGGATAATAGGCATAAGCCACCGCACCCAGCCTGTATTTATTTTATGTATATATTTAAAATTTAAGTAACATTTCAGCAGCTGTTAGAGAGCAGACTTAATAGTGAAGCAGACTTGGGTTTGAATCCTCCCTCCAGCACTTTGCTGGCTACGAGAACTTGGGGCAATTACCTCACCTCTCTGAATCAGGGCTTCTCATGGTTCCCCATTAATCATCCACAATTCTATTACTCACATATAAGCTCTATAAATATTTTGGCATGTTTATTTTTCTAAGCATATATTAATTTCCCCCATAAACTTTGAATGATACAATTTATTAAAAATTCTGACATCATGAGCTATGATCGTGCCACTGCACTCCAGCCTGAGCAACAGAGTGAGACCCTGTCTTAAAAAAAAAAAAAATCTTACTTCCACATAGCGTTTCCCCAAATAGTAAAAATTTCTTGAAAGAACAGTTCTTTTCTACTCCCCTCCTCAGTTCTTATTAGAATCCAGGACCTGGGCCGGGAGCAGGGAGGTCAAGAGATTGAGACCATCCTGGCCAACATGGTGAAACCCCCTCTCTATTAAAAAAAAAATACAAAAATTAGCTGGGTATGGTGGACGCCTGTAGTCCCAGCTACTCAGGGGGCTGAGGCAGAAGCATCGCTTGAACCCGGGAAGTGGAGGTTGCAGTGAGCTGAGATCGCGCCACTGCACTCCAGCCTGGCGACAGAGCAAGACTCTATCTGAAAAAAAAAGAATCCAGCCACCTGGTGTATGGGTAGGGGGTGAGGTGGTAATCTCAGGCTGGGTTCATGTCAGAATCACATGGAAACCTTAGTAAAAAATGTAAAATTTGGCTGGGCGCGGTGGCTCATGCCTATAATCCCAGCACTTCGGAAGGCCGCGAGGTGGGTGGATCACGAGGTCAGGAGATCGAGACCATCCTGGCTAACACAGTGAAACCCTGTCTCTACTAAAAATACAAAAAAATTAGCCGGGCGTGGTGGCGGGTGCCTGTAGTCCCAGCTACTCCAGAGGCTGAGGCAGGAGAATGGCGTGAACCCGGGAGGCTGAGCTTGCAGTGAGCTGAGATCGCACCACTGCACTCCAGCCTGGGTGACAGAGCAAGACTCCGTCTCAAAAAAAAAAAAAAACGTTAAATTTGAAGGCCCCGAGACTTGCAAAGACAGAACCTCTGGGGCTGGACCTTTGGAATAAGCCCCTTCACTCTCTGTGCCCACTTCAGGATGGACTGATTTTCACAGTCAGTGGAGAGCGTTAAAGAGACCTAAGCCACTCCTGCTTTCCATCATGGAAGTCATGTACACTCAGAGAGGTTGTCCAAACACTTTTAACTGACTACAAGGTTCAAGGAAAAGTGTAGTTTTTAATTGCTGCATAATTTTTATCATATGGATGTAACCGTTTATTTTCCTTTTGCTGGACACTTTGGCTGTTTCCAATTTGTCACTATCACAAATAAATAATGTTACAATAAACATATTGTACGTAAATCTTGAACCACGTTTTTTATTATTTCCAGTGGAAAAATTCCGAGAACTGTGATCACTGGGCTGAAGGGTATAAACACTTTTACGGCTCCCCACCAAATTGCTTGACAGAAAGGTTATACTGATGTATTCTTCCACTGGCATAATCTTTAGGTGTTTTTTTTTTTTTTTTTGAGATGGAGTCTCGCTCTGTCACCCAGGCTGGCGTGCAGTGGTGCAATCTTGGCTCACTGCAAATACACCTCCCAGGTTCAAGTGAGTCTCCTGGCACAGCCTCCCGAGTAGCTGGAATTATGGCGCCCACCACCACACGTGGCTAATTTTTTGTATTTTTTGGTAGAGACGGGGTTTCACCATGTTGGCCAGGCTGGCTTCAAACTCCTGACCTCAAGTGATCCTCCCGCCTCGGCCTCCGAAAGTGCTGGGATTACAGGCATGAGCCACCACATCCGGCCCTAGGTGGTGTTGTTAATGCTTTTATTTGGAACTCCAAAGTGATTATTTTCACTTAGGGTGAGAAAAGTGAAACTCTCATAGAATTGAATGGGGAATATGTAAAGATAAATTTATTTTAAAAATTGAAGTTGCAAGAAGCAATACAACTTTTCAATATGAAAGATGATCTAACTCATTAAATATGCTAAAAATTGATGTCATATCCAATAATGCTTACAGAAAGTAAACTACAAATGGTTCCTAAAGGAGCCCTTCAGGTAACCATGAGAGTTCCAAGTAAAGAAAAATCTGAATGACGAATGAAAAAGAGGAGTAGGAAACAAGCCAGAATCTGTCAATTCACTTCTAACAAGAGGAAAAAAACCAGAATCTCTATTGATTTACTTCTAATAAAAAGAGGAGGCTGGGCGCAGTGGCTCACGCCTGTAATCCCAGTGCTTTGGGAGGCTGAGGCAGGTGGATGATGAGGTCAGGAGATCAAGGTGGTGAAACCCCATCTCTACTAAAAATTAGCCGGGTATGATGGCAGGTGCCTGTAATCCCAGCTACTCAGGAGGCTGAGGCAGGAGAATGACTTGAACCCAGGAGGCAGAGATTGCCTTGAACCGAGATTGCGCCACTGCACTCCAACCTGGTGACAGAGCGAGACTACCACCCTGCAAACCCCCCAAAAAAGAGGAAAAGTGGCCAGACATGGTGGCTCATGCTGTAATCCCAATACTTTGGCCAGGAGTTCGAGACCAGCCTGGCCAACATAGTGAAACCTTGTCTCTACTAAAAATACAAAAATTAGCTGGGTGTGGTGGCAGGTGCCTGTATTCCCAGCTACTTGGGAGGCTGAGGCATGAGAATCACTTGAACCTGGGAAGCAGAGGTTGCAGTGAACAGAGATTGCACCACTGCACTCCAGCCTGAGCAACAGAGCGAGATCCTGTCTCAAAAAAGAAGAAACAAAAATGACAAAATGTGCTAAAACTAGAAAATTATTTAAGAACAATACAAAGGGGTTTCAGAAACCCATTGAGGGGCAAAACAACATGAAAGGAAAATGCTTTATGTTCAAACCAAAATAGTGGAGCTAGAGGTGATCCTAGCAGACTCTGAAGTCACCCCTTAAATTGTCACTAATGTGAAAAGGACAAAAACCCGGAAAAGGAAGCTAGCAGAGGGGCTCAGAGGGCAGGCAGCCTGCAGACGCTCCATCACTGGGGCAATCCAAATGGCAGCCGGGCTCCCCGGGACCCTTCATGTCTGATTGGAAATCCTACCAAACCCTCTGCTGATTCAGGAGAGCCTGCGTTGCGGAGGGCCTCTCTGAGCCCTGGCTCCAGCTTTTCTGAGGCTGTGTTCGTTTTGCAGTGTGTCCATACGGTTCCTTACTCCTCTTTCAATAAACCCCCATTGAAACAGCACGTTAGTGTATTCAAGTTCACTAAGATGTAGGGGTCACGGGGAAGGGTCACATTGCCCATTACACCACAAACCACGTAAAATTGCATTTTAGGCTTTCTTGTTCTCAAGAGTCCTTTTGATCGTTCCGTCCTGGAGGTTTCTCACTGATCTTTATTTCATGCAGGGCCCTTAGCCCAACAATTTTCTAGCCCTCCCTTCCCCTCTCCTCACTCCTTCACCCTATAGGGAACACCTTCCCCCACCTCTGACCCCCAAGAAAAATTAATTTCCTGCTTCTACAAGTGCAGCCTTTCGGCCTTTTTTTGGTTCCTGAGCCTTAGCCAGTTCTTATGCCCTCGGGGTTTATCATGGTATTTCCTGAAACAAAGACAGCTACTTTCCCAAGAATTCTGGTAATAGATCTTACCACTAAAAGACACCCCCAAAAGATGATCAGATCCAGCACTTTGCCTGCAGCAAGTGATTTCCGCACAGAGATTAAACAAATTACCCCAAGGCCATAGGGTAAAGAAGTGAGAGGCCGGGCGCCATGGCTCACGCCTGTAATCCCAACACTTTGGGAGGCTGAGGTGGGTGGATCACGAGGTCAGGAGATCGTAGACCATCCTGGCTAACACAGTGAAACCCCGTCTCTACTAAAAATACAAAAAATTAGCTGAGCGTGGTGGTGGGCGCCTGTAGTCCCAGCTACTCGGGAGGCTGAGGCAGGAGAATGGCGTGAACCCGGGAGGCGGAGCCAGCCTGGGTGACAGAGCAAGACTCCACCACAAAAAAAAAAAAAAAAAAAGAAGCAGTGAGGACCAGAATCCAGGTTTTCTATTTCTAAAGCTGTGCCACTCTTTTGTTTCTGATATGAGTTAATAACTTACCTCAGACAGCCTGCTTTAGTCTGTTATCAAAAGCAGAATCTTTGTCACCATTCTTTATTCCTTTTGTTTTTGGCAATAGCTTTTAGGAGTAACTGAGTTAGACTATCAAAATTCCTTACTGCTGGATTTTTTTTTATTATTATACTTTAAGTTTTAGGGTACATGTGCACAATGTGCAGGTTAGTTACATATGTATACATGTGTCATGCTGGTGTGCTGCACCCATTAACTCGTCATTTAGCATTAGGTACTGCTGGATTTTTTAAAGATCAGAGAAGTGCTGACTTGAATAGCATCATAGACCTTGTAGATTACCCATCCATACGTCTCCTCCTTCTCTCAGAAAAGACATATATAATAAAAAGCGTAAACAGTTGGGAATAATGCTAATTTTAAAATGGAATCATTTCCCACTAACTTCCATTATTAATTTGATGATGGCTTATCACAGAAAAAAGGCTTCACCGTAAGATAAATACTATTTAAGAAATCAACAAGATTTTTTCCCCTTTATTTAAATAGGCAATTTTAAATAAACACACATTCAGCTGTTACAAGAAGTGTGGGGGTGTGTGTGTGTGTCTGAGACAGTTTTGCTCTTGTTGCCCAGGCTGGAGTGCAGTGGCGCACTTTTGGCTCACTGCAACCTCCGTCTCCCGGGTTCAAGTGATTCTCCTATCTCAGCCTCCCAAGTAGCTGGGACTACAGGCATTCACTGCCACACCCGGCTAATTTTTGTATTTTTAGTAGAGACAGGGTTTCACCATGTTGGCCAGGCTGGTCTCGAACTACTGATCTCAGGTGATCTGCCCGCCTCAGCCTTAGTGCTAGGATTACAGGCGTGAGCCACCATGCCCAGCCTACATTTAGTCTTTTAGTCTAGCTTGAGCTCAGGACGGTCTCTCTTGGAGTGCGCTACAGAAGTAGCAAATGGTTTCTTTCCTTGACCTCGTGAGGGCTCCAAATAGCTCTTGTTCTTTTTGAAATAGCACCAACACTCCCCTTACCCTCCCCCCACCACACACTGCTTGTAACAGCTGAATGTGTGTTATTTAAAATTGCCTATTTGAATAATGGAAAACTTCTGACAAAAACAACAATTTTACTTTTGGTGTGGTACTTATTTGGTTGTTCTTTTGGCAAGAATTAGCTAATCAGATCAGCTGCTTCTGAGATCACTTCTGGTGTGAGTGCTAAAGATGTCTTTCATATAAAGGAATGAGATTTTTATAAATTTTTATCTAGGAGAGCATATATCTAATTTGTCTAAAAATGAAACAAATTACAGATAAATTTTAAAAAACCACACCAGATGTACCTGGGATAGATACATGGATAACTCCTATTAAAACTAACATTTAGTCTCTCCATTCTAATAATGCCAACTATTAGAAAGTCTCAAAATCCAATAACTAGATGTAATATTGGTCTTAAAAAACTACTGAGGCAGTGCCATATTGCTAAATATGTTGACAGTGACAGCAATTTCATAAAACACATACCTTCCCTGAGGATTGTTCAGTTGAATAATACGGCAATCTTCTCAGCCATGCCCCCTCCTTCCTCCTTTCAGAAATGTGAGAATCTCCAAGATAATTTCTCTGAATGGCTTTGAACAAAAGGTCTCACAATTTTTATTGTATCTTAGACCAGGCAATTCTTTATTGTGTGATCTCTATTAACATTTCCAGAAAATGCCAACACTAGACTTACAGAAATTTTGCTTGGGTTTATTTTAAAATCATGTGTGAGGTCCCACTCTTCATTTAGGCAAAATTACAAATTTACAACTGGTTTTGAGACAACAGGTCAATTTCTTCTTTGACACTTTCTTCTATCTCCACCCCTTCCTTTTAAATTCGGTAGAAAAAAAGTTAAAATTAAATTTATGTTAACTTAGCAAATTTCACTGAGTACCTTCCTTGGGCCTGTTAGAGATGTTTCAAAAGTGTCTACAACAAATTCTAAGAGGTCAGTGAAGAGGAGCTGAATACAACTAAACAACCACAACCACCCACATTTCTATAAGGAACCTGCGGCTTTTTGTTGTTGTTGTTGTTGTTGAGACAGAGTCTCACTCTTGTCATCCAGGCTGGAGTGCAATGGTGTGATCTCAGCTCACGGCAACCTCCGTCTCCTGAGTTCAAGAGATTCTCCTGCCTCAGCCTCCCATGTAGCTGAGATTACAGGTGGCCACCACCATACCCCGCTAATTTTTGTATTTTTAGTAGAGTTGGGGTTTCACCATGTTGGCCAGGCTGGTCTCGAATTCTTGACCTCAGGTGATCGTCCCCCATTGGCCTCTCAAAGTGCTGGGATTACAGGTGTGAGCCACTGAGCCCGACTAACCTGCTGCTTTTGTGTAGTTTAAGTTCTTGACCTTTCCAGGTCTAATTCCTATCTTGCCCCAGCTCTAACTCTCAAATAGTCCCATTTTGCTCTGCTAGGGCCAGATCACGGTAAGAATTATGCATAGTTCTTGGCATCACAAACTTGCATATGCAAAGGTGGGTAATCAGAGGAGTGAAGAGTGGATCCTGGTTCGTGGGAGGAAAGTTGAGGGAATGTGGGTGGGGGAGACACTGTAAGAACTGAGAGGCCATGTGAATCAGTGACATTGAAGGAGACACTGGTCTGCTTAGCTCTGCGTGAACAGCACCTCACCCTACTTCCCTGAGCCTCCAAGTCCTCATTCATAAAATCAGTGGGTGGGTTTGAAGATCTTGAAGATGTCTTTTAGCTGTAACTGGTTTTGAGTCTATAATTAGTGGGGAAATGATTTCAGATCAATTCAAGGAAAAGCTTTCTTCCAATCAACGAATCTTCCGATGACAGTCAGCTTCAGGAGGGAGCTCTCCATTGGTACTTGCAGAGTTGGGGTGCCCATCTGTCATGAGGCCTGTGCCAGGATCTCCTGCATCCACTGGGCCAGATGGACCAGATGACTGCGAAAGTCCTTTCCAACTTTGTCTAGAAACTTTCAAGTAATTGCCAAGAGAGCAACTCCCATTGTAGCAATGCTGAAGTGCTCTGAGTCAAGAACCTCAGCAGGAGGAGGGAAAGCCCCAGTCTGCAGTAGGGCAGTGATATCCCCACCTGCCACCTACTGAGTGACAAGTATTGTGCCAGGTACTTGACATAAAACATCTCTCTTTTTAGAGACAGCGTCTTGCTTTTTTGCTTAGGCTGGTCTTGAACTCCTGGCTTCAAGCAATCCTGCCTTGGCCTCCCAAAGTGCTAAGATTATAGGCATGAGCCACTGTGCCCCATCTGGCATTTCTAACTCTTATAGCAATTTAATGAGGTAGGTATTATTCTCCTTTTACAAAAGAGAATCAAGGCTCAGAGAGGCTAAGTAACTTTACTAAAGTCACACAGCTAGTAAGTGAAAGAGAACTTAATGTTAGGACTGCTGGCTTCATTACAGCACTTTTCACTATGTCTTCCTTTCTCAGAGGAGCAGTGTATAATGGGAGGAGGCAAGAAGCATGGAGAAGGGATAGAACGTCAGGGAAGTCAAGTACAGTATAAATTAGAAGCCATGAACTAAAGATGAAACTCCCATGGTCTGTGGGCAGGGAGGGGGTGTTTACTTACATGCCGAGTTTGACAGGCCACTGTCCCAATAATAGACATTTAATTATTAAACAATAGGCTCCTGGTGCTTCTGCCATCAAGACCTTAGAACATGTTGCCTTGATCATTCTCTAAGGCCCACCACAAAGTCGTCTCTGGTCTGAGATGCTGTAAAATTCCTCACAGTTTAAGCCCAGAGTACCCATGAGGAAAAGATGGGCTGTACCTTCCATGAGTCAGCTTACAACCCAAACCCAAGTTTCCTTTCTGTCCCCACTCTCCAATGCTCAATGTTTAGCAAGTCTGGGCACACTTGGTTCCACCATAACTTCTCAAATATGGTCTATGAATCACCTGCCAGGATTGTGTGGGGCACTAGTAAAAACACAGACTTCTGGGTTCCTTAAGTCTAGATGACCCCAGGAGCGGGACCCTGGAATATGAGTTGTTGTTGGTTTTTTTTTTTTTTTTGAGACAGAGTTTCGCTGTTGTTGCCCAGGCTGGAGTGCAATGGCGCGATCTTGGCTTACTGCAACCTCCGTCTCCCAGGTTCAAGTGATTCTCCTGCCTCAGCCTCCCAAGTAGCTGGGATTACAGGCATGCGCCACCACGCCCAGCTAATTTTGTATTTTTGGTAGAGACAGGGTTTCTCCATGTTGGTCAGGCTGGTCTAGAACTCTTGATCTCAAGTGATCCACCTGCCTTGGCCTCCCGAAGTGCTGGGATTACAGCCTTGAGCCACCGCGCCCGGCCTGCATATTGAAGTTTCTAAACTACTCTTTCTTGGTAGGGGTTGGTATCTGAAATCCAAGGGAAATAACTAGACAAGGCACAACCAAGGCTTCATTGTGTTAGCTCAACCATTCCCTGAGAGAAAAAGAGTTAAAAACTGAATAGGAAGAAATGGACTTATTTGCACCTTAATAAAGCAACCTGGGAATTGTATCCAATTTTTGTTTTTATTTTTTGAGACTGGTTGGCACCCAGGATGGAGTGCAGTGGCACAATCACTGCTCACTGCAGCCTCAACCTTCCAGGCTCAAGTGATCTTTCCACCTCAGCCTCCTGAGCAGCTGGGGCTACAGGTGCACACCACTGCACCTGGCTAATTTTTAAAATTTTTTTGTAGCGACAAAGTCTCACTATGTAGCCCAGTCTGGTCTTGAATTCCTAGGGCTGAAACGATCCTCCTGTCTCGGCCTCCCAAAGTGTTGAGATTACAGCCATGAGCCACCACATCTGGCCAGAAATCCCTACATTGAGAAGCAATTTAGAATGCTGGTAAAAGAGGAGCTGTTAAGTCAAACCTTTATTGTGATTTCGATCTAGTTATTTGTCCTTTGGTAAGTTACTTATCTCCAAACCACAGTTTTTCTGTAAAATGGGTATAATAAGATCAACCTCATATTTGTTTGAGCTCATGCATCTAAAGTCCGTAACACTATACCAGGGGCATAGTACAAAATCAGTCATTCCATCTTGAGGACATCAATATAAAATATAGATTGGAAAAATTATAACAATAAAAACCTTAAAAATGTGAAAAGGCAAATATCCACAGGAAGCAGGACAATGGAAACCATGAGGTTTGAGGGATTTCTTCAGTTCTCCTACAGATGTTTTATTGCATAAGAATAGACCAGTATCCATCACCCAGCTGCTATATGATGATATAAGTTAGATCCCTAGCTCAAAGGTCACCATTTCCAGAGAATCTGTTGGTTTTCCTCACTGGGAGTGTCTCCAATCTCTCCTCAGGCATATACCACCTTTC
Source organism: Homo sapiens (assembly GCF_000001405.40). Classification (NCBI taxonomy): domain Eukaryota; kingdom Metazoa; phylum Chordata; class Mammalia; order Primates; family Hominidae; genus Homo; species Homo sapiens. The sequence continues at coordinate 185,841,837 of NC_000003.12, read as the reverse complement.
CATCTTTGTTATAATTGACTCATGTGCCCTTAGACCATAGATTCATTGACAAAAGTTGCTTTTTCACTTTTTTTTTTTTTTTTTTTTGAGACTTAGTCTTGCTATCACCCAGGCTGGAGTGCAGTGACACGATCTCAGCTCATTGCAACCTCCGCCTCCCAGGTTCAAGTGATTCTTGTGCCTCAGCCTCCCAGGTAGCTGGGAGTATAGGCATGCACCACCATGCCTGGCTAATTTTTGTATTTTTAGTAGAGATGGGGTTTCACTATGCTGGCTAGGTGAGACCTGAGGTCAGGTGATCTGCCCACCTCGGCCTCCCAAAGTGCTGGAATTACAGGTGTGAGCCACCATACCTGATCTTCTCCACTGTTTTTTGTTTTATTATGGCTGTACATTTATATATTTAAATGCATTATAGTACTGCTTGGATTTCTTCCATGTGAACCTGCAAATTCACTCTCTACCCCTTCCTGCCCTACTGTTTCTGGAAGCTGCTCATTATAAATGGCACCAATAGGCTTCCTTGCTCTCCACCTCTGCTTCAGTTTAGCCATTAGGGGCCCCTGGCAGGAATGGGAGGAGAGTAAGATAATGTTTATTCTGCAGTTCCCAACCTGTCATGCTGCACTAAGTAGTGACTTACGTTCTACTCAAGTCCATGATTTCTATTGGGTAGTCCTCTTCCATAGCTTTTTTTGTTCCATTAAGCTGTACTTCTTGTCACCCTTTAGGCCAAGGAGTTGAAACTGCTCCCTGTGGCTCTAGTGGCAGGGTGCTTCACCAACCCATGTTTATGTCCCTTAAGCCCACCCACACTTCTAAACAGTACAGTTGTCCTTCAGTATCCTCTTCGGAATCTCAAGACCCCCATGAAGATACCAAAATCCATGGATGCTCAAGCTCCTTACATAAAATGGTGTAGTGTTTGCATATAACCTGTGCACATCCTCTCATACACTTTTTTTTTTTTTTTTTTTTGAGACAGAGTCTCGCTCTGTTGCCCAGGCTGGAGTGCAGTGGCGCAATCTTGGCTCACTGCAACCTCTGCCTCCCGGGTTTAAGTGATTCTTATGCCTCAGCCTCCTGAGTAGTTGGGATTACAGGGGTGCACCACCATACCTGGCTAATTTTGTATTTTTTGTATTTTTTTTTTTTGAGATGGAGTCTTGCTCTGTTGCCAGGCTGGAGTGCAGTGGTGTAATCTCTGCTCACTGCAACCTCTGCCTTCCAGGTTCAAGCGATTCCCCTGCCTCAGCCTCCTGAGTAGCTGGGACTACAGGCACGGGCTACCATGCCTGGCTAATTTTTCGTGTTTTAGTAGAGATGAGGTTTCACCATGTTGGCCAGGATGGTCTCGATCTCCTGACCTCATGATCCACCTGCCTTGGCCTCCCAAAGTGCTGGGATTACAGGCATGAGCCACTGCGCCTGGTCATTTTTGTATTTTTAGTAGAGACAGGGTTTCTCCATGTTGGCCAGGCTGGTCTCAAACTCCTGGCCTCAAGTGAGTCCTCCCAAAGTGATCCCATATACTTTAAATTATCTCTAGATTACTTATAACACCTAATACACTGTAAATACTAAGTAAATAGTTGTTATATTGTTTTAAAAATTTGCATCTTTTTTTATTTTTAATTTTTTAAATGGTGTCTTATTCTGTTGCCCAGGCTGGAATGCAGTGGTGTGATCATAGGTCCCTGCAGCCTAGAACTTCCGGGCTCAAGTGATACTCCTGCCTCAGCCTACCAGATAACCGGGACTACTGGTATGCAAAGCCAAGCCCAGCTAACTTTTTTTCTTTTTTTTTTGTAGAGAAAGGGTCTCACTTTGTTGCTGGTCTTAATCTCCTGGTCTCAAGCAATCCTCCTGCTTCAGCTGTCCAAAGTGCTGGGATTACAGATGTGAGGCACCTCACCTGACCTATTTCTATTATTATTTGTTGTTATATTGTTATTTTTATTGTTTTCTGAATATTTTCAATCCATGGCTGGTTAATCCAAGGACACAGAAGACCTACTATACTTCTATGAGATTTTTAATCACCCTGATTAAGTTAGCCATCTGTTTCCTACCAGGAGCCTGACTAATACATGTACTAAAAGCCTTATTTTTTTAAAGAAAGTCTCCTCATTTGGCTGGGCGCAGTGGCTCACGCCTGTAATACTAGCACTTTGGGAGGCCAAGGTGGGTGGATCATGAGGTCAGGAGTTTAAGACCATCATGGCCAACTTAGTGAAACCTCGTCTCTACTAAAAATACAAAAAAAAAAAAAAAAAAAAAAAAGCCGGGTTTGGTGGTGTGTGCCTGTAATCCCAGCTACTTGGGAGGTGAGGCAGGAGAATCACTTGAACCCAGGAGGCAGAGAATTCAGTGAGCCGAGATCGCGCCATTGCACTCCAGCCCAGGTGACAGTGCAAAACTCCATCTCAAAAAATAAAATAAAATAAAATAAAATAAAAATAAAAAATAAAGTCTCCTCACTTTTGAAGCTCTTTCTTCTTTAGGTATTTATCTATGTATTTCTAACTAATTTGCTTATGCCATTCTTAGATTTTTCAATTTTAGCCATTATCTGTTAACTTCCCATCAAGTCAATCGCACAAAGGTCAAGGGTACAAGTGCAGGTTTATTATATAGATAAACTTGTGTCATGGGGTTTGTTTATACAGATTATTTCATGAGGTATTAAGGCTAGTACTCACTAGTTATTTATTTTTCCTGATCCTCTCCCTCCTTCCACCCTCCAAAAGGCCCCAGTGTGTGTTTTTCCCTTCTTCTTCTTTTTTTTGGAAACCAGAGTCTGTCACCCAGGCTGGTGTGCAGTGGCGCGATCTCAGCTCACTGCAACCTCTGCCTCCTGGGTTCAAGGGATTCTCATGCCTCAGCCTCCTGCGTAGCTGGGATTACAGGTGTGCGCCACCATGCCTGGCTGGTTTTTTGTATTTTTAGTAGAGACAGGGTTTCCTCATGTTGGCCAGGCTGGTCTCAAACTCCTTGGCTTCAAGTGATTCACCTGCCTCAGACTCCCAAAGTGCTGGGATTACAGGTGTGAGCCACGGCGCCCAGCCTGTTGTTCTCATCTTGTGTACAAGTGTTGCCATCATTTTGCTCCCACTTATAAGTGAGAACATGTGGTATTTGGTTTTCTGTTCCTGATTTAGTTTGCTAAGGATAATGGCCTCCATCTCCATTCATGTCCCTGCAAAGGACATGATCTCATTCTTTTTTATGGCTGCACCAACAACCTTTTTATGGAGCTTAAGAAACTGATACTAAACTTCATACAGAAAGGCAAACATACAAGAATAGCCAGGAAAATACTAAGAAAAGAAAAAAGTCACAAGGGGGACTTGGCCTACCAGACATGAAAACATACCATAAAGCCTTTACAACAGTAGAGTATGGTAATATGGATAGACCAGTAGAAAAGAAAGTCCAGAAGTAGGACCAAGTACATATGGAACTTTAGTATGTAATAAAGATGGTGTCTCAAAACACCTGGGCCAAAAGGATTTTTAAAATAAATGGTACTGGAACAATTAGGTACTTAGAAGAAAAAGGTAAAAGGAGATCCATACCTCATACCATCGACAAGAACAAATTCCAAGTGGATCAAGAATCGATCAAAAAAAAAAAAAAAGAATCGATCGATCTACCTACCTACCTACCTATCTATTTATGTATCTATCTATCACCATACACATACTATTTTTAAAATGAGTAAATTTCTCTTTAATCTGGGGTAGGGGAAAGCATTCTAACTATAACTCAAAATTAAATAAAATGAAATAAAAGATTGATAAACTTGACTACATAAAAGTAAAACCTTTTGCATAGGAAGAAACACCATGAACAATGTAAAAAGACAATTAAAACCTGGGAGAAAATATTTGTAACACGTATCTCAGATAAAAACCTTACATCCATAATATTTAAATAACCATAAAAGTTGAGAAGAAAAATAGATCAAAACTCTTCAATAGAAGAATGGGCAAAAGACATGAACAGAGAATGTATCCCCAACAACAACAAAAAAGATGATCTTTAAACACATGAAAAAAAAGTTCGTTTTCACTCATAATGAGAGAATTACAAATTAAAACTACACTGAGATACAATTTCTCACTTATCAGATTGGCAAAAAGTAAAAAGCGTAATCACAGAGTTTGTTGGCAGGCTGTTGGGAAACAGGCACTCATACAGTGCTGGTGGAATGCAAGCTGGTATAATCTCTATGGAGAATTTCACAATAAATATTTAACACACATACACACGCACAGTGCACATGTATTATTTTTTGACCTAGCAACCTTACTCCTAGGAATTTACCCTGAAGATAAACCTCCAACAATACATACATACTAGGTTATTCATAGCATCATTTTTGTAAAATTACAATATATTGGAAGTCACTGACATGCCCATATATATGGCATATGAGTATTATGCAGCTGTTTAAAAAAGGAGAAAGATTTCTATGAACTGATACAAGATCTCTTGTTAAAGGAAGAAAACAAAGTGGAAAAGAGTATTGGCAATATGCTACCATTTTTGTAGGAAAGGAGGAAATATGCATGTATATGTTCATTTGTGTAAAAAGAAACAGGAAAGGCCGGGTGCAGTGGCTCATGCCTGTAATCCCAGCACTTTGGGAGGCCGAGGTGGGCGGATCACGAGGTCAGGACATCGAGACCATCCTGGCTAAGTCGGTGAAACCCCGTCTCTGCTAAAAATACAAAAAAAATGAGCCGGGTGTGGTAGCGGGTGCCTGTGGTCCCAGCTACTCGGGAGGCTGAGGCAGGAGAATGGTGTGAACCCGGGATGCGGAGCTTGTAGTGAGCCGAGATCGCGCCACTGTGCTCCAGTCCGGCCGACAGACCGAGACTCCGTCTCAAAAAAAAAAAAAAAGAAAAAGAAAAAAAGAAACACAGGAAAGAGAAACCAGAAGTTAATACAATTGTTTACCCTCAGGGATTGGGTGGAAATGAACTGGACAGAATAGAAGGAATGGGGAGGGGATGGAATTCCTCTGACTATACATTCTGTGTTTTGCAATCTTGTTAATATTTTACTTAACAACAAAAAGAAAAACAACTAGGATGGCGGCGGGTTGGGGGGGGGGCGGTGGTGGTGGGAAATAAAGTAGAAAAAACAGAAGCGGCCTGGCCTGGTGGCTCACGCCTGTAATCCCAGCACTTTGGGAGGTCGAGGCAGGAGGATCACGAGGTCAGGAGTTCGAGACCAGCCTGGCCAATATGGTGAAATCCCATCTCTACTAAAAATACAAAAATTAGCTGGGCTTGGTGGCGCACACCTGTAGTCCCAGCTACTTGGGAGGCTGAGACAGAATTGCTTGAACCTGGGAGGCGGAGGTTGCAGTGAGCCAAGATTGTGCCACTGCACTCCAGCCTGGGCAACAGAGTGAGACTCTGCCTCAAAAAAAAAAAAAAAAAAAGAAAAGAAAAAGAAAAGAAACAGCAGAAGCAAATGAATCAATCCAATTTTAAGTGTGTAAGATTGAATAAGTAAATATATTGTAGATAATGGGAGCCAGGTTTCTCACTATTGAAGGCAAGAGTTACAAATATGAAAAGTGGGAAGGAGAATCTTACAGTGTTTCACTGGAATCAGAAGTATCAGTGTGGGCTGGGTGTGGTGGCTCACGCCTGTAATCCCAGCACTTTGGGAGGCCAAGGTGGGTGGATCACCCGAGGTCAGGAGTTTGAGACCAGCCTGGCTAACATGGTGAAACCCTGTTTCTACTAAATAAACAAATATACAAAAATTAGCCAGGCGTGGTGGTGGGCACCTATAACCCCAGCTACTCGGGAGGCTGAGGCAGGAGAATCCCTTGAACCCGGGAGACTGAGGTTGCAGTGAGCTGAGATCGCACCACTGCACTACAGCCTGGGTGACAGAGTGAGACTCTGTCTCAAAAAACAAACAAAACAAAACAAAACAAAACAAAGAAAGTATTAGCGTGAACTTGGGATTTTTTTTTTTTTTTTTTTTTTGAGACGGAGTCTCACTCTGTCACCCAGGCTGGAGTACAGTGGCATGATCTCAGCTCACTGCAACCTCTGTCTCTCGGGTTCAAGCGATTCTCTGCCTGAGCCTCCCAAGTAGCTGGGATTATAGGTGCCTGCCACTATGCCCAGCTAATTTTTTTTTTTTTTGTATTTTTAGTAAAGACGGGATTTCATTATCTTGGCCAGGCTGGTCTTGAACCCTTGACCTTGTGATCCACCTGCCTCGGCCTCCCAAAGTGCTGGGATTACAGGCGTGGGCTACTGTGCCCAGCCCAAACTTGTGATTTTTAATACAGCACTAGCCAGAATAGACAGGTGTAGGTCTATGTGTGTGTTTATGTATATAATCTATTACCTACCTCCTTCAACTAAGAGGGTGTAGAATCAATGATATTCCTGTAGCAGTGAGCATATGTAGCATGCAGATCTTGGTTTATAAATACTAAAAAGTACCTAGACTCCTTGGATAAGTGGTTGATTATAGGCAAGGCAGATAAAGTACAAACCTAAAATAGTAACAGAAGTTCACACGTGCCAGCTTGAAGGGGCTGTTGCTGGCCAAATCTGAGACAATTTGAGCATCAAAATACTTACTAATAGTAAACATTGATGTCACTTTAAATACAATAGGAATCCAGGCCAGGAGTGGTGGCTCACGCAGCACTTTGGGAGGCCAAGGTGGGCGGATCACCTGAGGTCAGGAGTTTGAGACCAGCCTGGCCAACGTGGTTCAGAGTGACAGAGCCAGACTGAGCAAGACTCCATCATAAAACAAACAAAGGAAAAAAAAAAAAGAATCCATTTGTCCACAGTGATACAATACATGGGATGAAGGGAAAGCTCTTACAGTAGAAAGTCAACTAATAAATATAAAAGAAATGATTAAATCAGAATCACCGCTTGTCAACCCTAATAATAATCCAAGCAAGACTCAACACTAGATACTAAAACTCGTGGTTGAAATTTTGATGGGTAACAGAGCATCTACATAGTTTCAAAGTATCTCCCCAAGAGATACTTAGTAATTTTACAATGAAGAAACCTGATACATACTGACACACTGTCTTAACCAAGGGAGCAAAGTTAACATCACCAATAATGGGACCAATCAACAAGTGCTTCCAGACACAATGCACATTATCTGACCACAATTATAACCTCTGTGGCATTCCTGCAAGACAATACAGCACATAAATCTAATCATACGAAAACATCAAACTCATATTCAATGGCATTCTACCAAATAAATAGCCCGTAGTAATCAACATCAATGTCATGAAAAACAAACAATGACTGAAGAACTGTCCAAATTAAAGGAGAGTAAAGAGACTAGGTAACCATACACAACAAATGATTTGGGCTTTTTTTTTTTTTTTTTTTTTTTGAGACGGAGTCTCGCTCTGTCGCCCAGGCTGGAGTGCAGTGGCGGGATCTCGGCTCACTGCAAGCTCCGCCTCCCGGGTTCACGCCATTCTCCTGCCTCAGCCTCCCAAGTAGCTGGGACTACAGGCGCCCGACACTACGCCCGGCTAATTTTTTGTATTTTTAGTAGAGACGGGGTTTCACTGTTTTAGCCGGGATGGTCTCGATCTCCTGACCTCGTGATCCGCCAGCCTCGGCCTCCCAAAGTGCTGGGATTACAGGCGTGAGCCACCGCACCCAGCCTGGGATTTTCTTTTGCAATAATATTGACACAATTCATAAAATTTGAAATTTGAAGAGTCTGCAGATTACAGTATCAATGTTTATTTACTGGTTTTTATCATTGTACTGGGAATAGACTTTTCTTTCTTTCTTTTTTTTTTTTTTTTTGAGACATAGTTTCCCTCTTGTGTCCAGGCAGGAGTGCAATGGCGTGATCTTGGCTCACTGCAACCTCTGCTTCCCGGGTTCAAGTGATTCTCCTGCTTCAGCCTCCCGAGTAGCTGGGATTACAGGCACGCGCCACCACACCCTGCTAATTTTTGTATTATTAGCAGAGACGGGGTTTCACCATGTTGGCCAGGCTGGTCTCGAACTCCTGACCTCAGGTGATCCACCCGCCTCAGCCTCCCAAAGTGCTGGGATTACAGACGTGAGCCACCGTGCCCGGCCTAATTTTTTTTTTAAGCAGATACAAACTGAGGTATTTAGGCATATGATTCAGAGAAACATAAAAGATAAAACAAATGTTAACATTTGGGGAATCTGGGTAAAGAGTATATGGGACTTCTTGTAATATTATTGTGTATATATACACACACATATACTTTTTTTTTAAATGTAGATTCTGGGTAAGCATATTAAGAACGTACTGTAAAACAAAACAAAAGAAAAATAGATTCGTGGGCTTCTACCCTGAAAATTCTGATTCAGGAGTTCTCATGGTAGGTCTTGGGAATCTGTATTTTTGAAGGTTTTCTTGGTGATTATAATGCACATCTGACAAGAATTAACCTCTGTCTCGAAGTAATAAAAATGTAACTAAACATCCATGTACCTGCCACCTACTTTTAAAAAACAAAAATTGGCAGGGCTTGGTGGCTCACGCCTGTAATCCCATCACTTTGGGAGGCTGAGACTGGCAGATCACCTGAGGTCGGGAGTTCGAGACCAGTCTGGCCAACATGGAGAAACTCCCTCTCTACTAAAAATATAAAAATTAGCCGGGCATGGTAGTGCATGCCTGCAATCCCAGTTACTCGGGAGGCTGAGGCAGGAGAATCACTTGAATCCAGGAGGCAGAGGTTGTGGTGAGCCAAGATTGCGCCATTGCACTCCAGCCTGGGCAACAAGAGTGAAACTCCGTGTAAAAAAAAAAATTAAATTAAAAAAACAGAAATTCTATCTGTGCCCTTCCACCTCCCCCTATTCCCTTTTCTCCCTCCTTAAAGGTAATCATTATCCCCAATTTAGAGTTTGCTGTTCCCATGCATGTTTTTGTACAATTATGCCACACAAATGTGTCCATATCAACAACAGAATTGCTTTGCATGTTTTCAAACTTTGTAGAGATCAGCTGTAGTGGCTCACACCTATAATCCCAGCACTTCGGGAGGCCAACGAGGATGGACAGCTTGGGCTCAGGCATTCGAGACCAATCATAGGGAACATGGCGAAACTCCCATCTCTTGCAAAAGTACAAAAAATTAGCCATTGTGGTGGTGAACACCTGTAGTCCCAGTTACTCAGTAGGCTGAGGTGGGAGGAATCTTTCAGCCTGGAAGGCAGGGGTGGCAGTGAGCTGAGATCATGCCATTGTCCTGCAGCCTGGGTGACAAAGCAAGACCCTGTCTCCGGTGGGTCTGGGGGGCAGGGAAGAAAGAAAGAAAACTTCGTATAACCAACATCCTTCTATAACTTTTCACTTAGCATATGTTTGTTTTTGTTTAGGTGGTTAATGTTGACACGTTGCCTATTTTATTTCATCCAGAAGTGAGGAAACAGTAATGATTCCAGAGAAAATGAATAAACATGTGTCCCCTTTGACTCAATATATAGTAGTCAATTTATAGCTATGCCACAATGTACCAGTTTTATTGTTGATGGACATTTAAATTTTTCACCATCACAGTGCTACAATGAATGGTCATATATGTTTCTTCCACAAAGGGTGTGGATGTTTATTTTCTCTGGAGTCATCAGTTTTTACCTCTCTTCTAAATCATGCATAGTCATCCATTATAATTTAAGAAATATGGAGTCTATGGGCACAGATGCAAGTATGTGGGCAAATATTTGAAGTGCTTTTCTGCTTGCTTCTAGTCTCTCAGTGAAATAGAAAGCAGGGTTATCAGCTGAGACCCTGGGTGGAGATGATCAATTAGAAGCTGAAAGTGAGATAAGAAATAACCATCTTGGAGAAAGACTGCCAGGCCGTACTCAGGGCCTGTATCTTCAGCTTTGCTAGATACTGACAAATTACTCTTCAGAGTAATTGTACCTGTGTATACTCTTGCCAGCAGTGGATGACTGTTTCTGATGCTCCATACCCTCACTAAGACCCTTGAACCATCAGAATTTTAAGATTTTTGTCAATTTGATTTTATGTACATATGTATGTATAAATGACAGGGTATCGCTCTGTCACCTAAACTGGAGTGCAGTGGCATGATCATAGCTCACTGTAGCCTGAACCTTTTGGACTCAAGGAATCCTCTTGCCTCAGCCTCCTGAATGGCTAGGACTACAGGTATGTACTACCACACTCTGCTAATTTTTAATTTTTTTTTTTTTTGTAGAGACTGGGTCTTACTTCATTGACCAGGTTGGTCTTGAACTCCTGGCCTCGAGCAGTCCCTCCTGCTTCAGGCTCCCAAAGTGCTGGAATTACAGGCATGAGCCACCATGCCCAGCCAGTGAATAGTTTTAATTTCCCCAATTACTCATGAGTTGAGCTTGAGTTTCATCTTCTGTGAATTAGCCCATTCATACACTTTGCTCGTTTTTCCAATGGTTGTCTTTTTCTAATTGATTTATAAGATCTCTTTATGCAGCTTGGATAATACATCAGTGTTTACACTATGACTGTACAAACATTTTCACTGTTGAGCCTATGACCATTGCTCCTTTCTTGTATGACCACGTATTTTTCCTTCAGTTAATGATTTCCTTGTTTTCCCACTTGTCTGGCTTTCCATATACTTGTGATTAATTTTTTCCAAATGCTCCAACATGTCTGCTATCCTATCAGAAATAATCATTATGCACTCACAGAAATGAGTTCCATTTTGTTGTTGTTCCTTGAAGACCTCATTCTGAGCCATCTATCCTCTTGTTCCAATCTGTGCTGGTTGCTCGTGGGATGGCTGCATTGCAGGCATTCTGGATTTTTAAATTCAGAGTCTACCATGTTGGATTCCTTATTTCCCAAATCCCATGTAATCTTCTTCCATGGTTTTGCTGGCACTTATCTCCCAGTAGCTTCCCCAAAACGGGCATGTCTGAATTCTTGCATATCTTTTTAAACTGATGGTCTCACTAGGTTTAGAATTCTAGATTGAAGATAATTTCCACTCAGTTTTAAAGGCATTGCTCTATTGACTCCCTAGTTTCCTGTTTTAGGAAAATACATTCTCATTCCTGTTCCAACTCCTTTGTATGCGACCTATTTTGTCCAGATGCTTTTATAATTTGAGTTCAGAATTTCATGATGATGTGATTTTTAGATCTTCTATCATTCATTTTGCTGGGCCTTCTGCAAACTCTTTGATCTGGAGATCCATGTCTTTGATTCTGAGAATCTTTTTTGTTTTGCATTATTTCTTCTGTCTTGTTCTCAAACATTTCTGAGTTAACATTTGGATTGGATTTCAAATGTGGAACAGATACTTTGTGTGTCTGTGCCTTTGCATATGCTATTCTTTCTGCCTAGGATGTATTTCCTCTCTTACGTCTTGTATTCTAGTAAATCCCTAATTATCCTTCAAAACCAAAATCAATTCTTTCCTGATGTTCCCTTCCCCAACACTGGGCTGAATGGGATGCTCTATCTTGTATGCTCACAAAGTCTACTGTGGCACCTCTAATGCCATGCTATGGTCTGTTTATATATCTGCCTCCTCCACTGACCATAAATTCCTTGAGATCAGGATGATGTTTATTTATTCTGTATCCTCAGTGCTTAGCACTACACAGTGCCATGAATAAATGAATTCAACAAGGGGATTGTGCAAGATAAATACCATCACATACATCTTCGTTTAATCCCTTAGAGCAAACCTCAGATGGTCATTGTTTATTCAACAATATTACCCGAGCCTTTATTATGGACCAGGTTTCATACGGGCCAAAGGAAATTCTAACAGGAAAATGAGAAGATCTTATTCCTCCAGAAACCCACCATGTAGTAGGGAAGGCTTCCCTCCATCCTCCATGTTTAAAAATTCAGATATAACTCACATACCGTAAAATTTACTCACTTAAAATACACTTCAATGGTTTTTAATATATTCACAGTTGTACAACTATCACTAGACAAAATATTTTTTATCTGTATGAAGTGCTGTGTGTATCATGGGGCCAAGTCAGGGGAAGACAGGAGTTTACCAGGGGAAGAAATGCATTCCAGGGAAAGAGAACAAATGTGCAAAAAGACGGAATTCTGAAATGACCTAGCATTTGCATAATATGAAACTGCAGGGGGAGGTAGGCTAGAGTTTATAGTGAGGAAACAATTGGGCTAGTTTACAAATGAGGAATCTGAAGCTCAAATAGATGAAGTAACTGGCATAAGGCAATTATCTTATGCTAACTCAAGAAAAGGTGTCTAAGGCAGGGGTCCCCAACCTTGGTGCCATGGACTGGTACTGTGGCCTGTTAGGAACCCGGCTACACAGCAGGAGGTGAGGAGCAGGCAAGCATTACTGCCTGAGCTCCACCTCCTGTCAGATCAGCGGTGGCATCAGATTCTCATCGGAACTTGAACCTTATTTTGAACTGCGCATGTGAGGATAGGTTGCATGCTCCCTATGAGAATCTAACTAATGCCTGATGATTTGAGGTGAAGAAGTTTCATCCTGAAACCACCCCCCAACCTGTCTGTGGAAAAATAGTCTTCCATGAAACCGGTCCCTGGTGCCAAAATGGTTGGGGACTACTGGTCTAAGGGACATTACCCTACTACCAAATCATTCCTGATGCACAGGCAGGTGCAGGACCTTCTAAGAATTACCTCCAAATGTTGGCTTTGCCTCAGCCTTCCAGCAAATAGGCTTCACTTTCTCTTTCAACTTCTCACATTATCTAGAGACACTGGTTATACTGACTACATTATCAGTTGAGCAAAAAAACATTCCGCTATAGCTTTGTAGGTTCAAAAGGATCGCTTGAGCTCAAGAGTTTGAGACCAGCCTGGGCAACACAGTGAGATCCCATCTCTTAAAAAAAATTTTAGCTGGGCATGGTGGCATGCATCTGTAGTCCCAGCTACTCGGGAGACTGAGGTGGGAGGACTGCTTGAGTCTGGAAGTTTGAGATTGCAGTGAGCCATGATCACCCCACCACACTCCAGCCTGGGTGACAGTAAGACTTTTTTTAAAAAAAAAAAAAAAAAAAGAAAAGAAAAAGACTTAACACTTATGAACTCTTTGTTGTTAGACTAAAATGTTTTTTCCAGGTGTGTTTCAGGCCCTCCATGTGATTAAGAAAAAATTATACTTTCCTGAGCTTCAGTTTTCTTACCTGAAAAGAAGGATTAAGAAAGCTTGTCCCAGCCACCTTATCACTGTCTTGCCCAAAAGAATCGCTGGGAAACAATGAGGATCTGTACTGCCTTTGAAACTCTTGAGGAAAACATTAGTTAATTCATGCTTTAAAAGGTAATATGCCTACTATAAGATTTTCTCCAAATTTCTGACCTCTGTTAAACATTCATAAAATCTTGGCTTATCAGGTGTAAACCAAGTCTAGATCAATCAAGATGGTCTCTGTTTCAGCTCTCTGGGGGAGGGATAAGTAGGGGAACTCGAGAGAAAACAGGTAGAAAATAAGTTTTGCCTGGCAGGAGCAAGGCCTCTGAATTTCTGACTTTGCACTTGGAGGCTGTCCCCTATTGTCTTCAAAGGTCCCCAACCCCTTCTCTATCATGTGAAAAATAACTCTGCATTCTAAGATAAGGCACTGTAGATGCTGCAAACCAGGGGTGTAGTGGAAGCATGCCCTCCATCACACTTACAGTTCAAGCCCTCCTTCTGCAGCCCTGCTGTTTCCAAAATTCCAGCAGGACAGCTGACAACTGCAGCAAAGAGCAATTATTTCTCTGAAAAAAAAAATTTCAAAGTGACTTGGTGAAGCAGGGTAAGAAGAGTTCACCAGAAGCCACCTGATAGGGTTCGGCTGTGTCCTCACGCAAATCTCATTTTGAAACGTAACTCCCATAATTCCCACATGTCATGGGCGGGACCCGGTGGGAGGTAACTGAATCATGGGGGTGGGTTTTTCCCATGCTGTTCTTGCAATAGTGAATAAGTATCACGAAATCTGATGGTTTTATAAAGGGCAGTTCCCCTGCACACGTGCTCTTGCCTGCCCCCATGTAAGATGTGCCTTTGCTCCTCCTTCACCTTCCGCTATGAGGAGGCCTCCTGGGCCGTGTGGAACTGTGAGTCCATTAAGCCTCTTTTTCTTTATAAATTACCCAGTCTTGGGCATTTCTTCAGAGCAGTATGAAAATGGACTGATACACCACCTCTGCCAAGAATCTGTACATTGTCTAATGTGTTTTTCGTCTCACAGTAAGACCAAATAATTGATGTATCTAAAATGCTACACAACAACAACAACAACAACAAGTTTTTCTGACCTGTTGGAGAGGAATGAGGCCAACTATTCCTGCCACTCTCGTTTCTCCTTTACATGTACCTGTGAATAATAAGCAAATATGCTGTCCTATAATATAAAGGTGACCATATCAATTAGGAGCACATGTGTAAATAATCTAAAGATGGTTAGTTCAGTCTGCTGAGGTTTATGCATGCACAAGTCATGTTCATTTGTGATTCTCTGATACAATTTAGTAAAGAAGCATCCACACCTAGTTTATCTATTACTTTGGGGATTAGTAACCAAGTTCATTCTCAACTCCTGGAGCAGTAAAATCCGATTCTTTTTCTAGAGAGAGAAAAAAATATGTGAATACTTGAGACAAAAGCCAGAATTCAAATAACTGCAAATATCTAGGTGAAAATGGATTCATTACTTTCTCCTCTGGATACCTAATTAGTTAAGAAGATCTCCTTCTGTAGAATAAAGTATTTTAAAAGTTCATGAATTCCTGGGGGAAAGAAGAGAAACAGGCATTAAGTGTCTGACCACCCATGTCTCAACACGCTAGGCAGTTATCCTTCTTGTAGCCCTCACAACAGCCCTGCGAGGACTGGTTATTTTATCTCCTTATAGATGAAGAAACTTAGGCTCGAGAATGCTGGAACATCTCAGGGCACAAAGATGGGGGCAGAGAGAAGGTCTGAGTCCGGGGCAGATAGGCCTTCCACTCCAACAGTGTTTACCAGACCAGAATCACCTGGGAGTACTTGCGGAAAATACAAAATCCAGCAAGCCCCATTCTCTCCACGCCGCTCATCAACAGGAAAGCTTGGGAAAGACAATACTACTTCACGACCCAGTCAGGAGACCCGAACTTGTTCCATTCCTACATTCGTGACTTCTCCACCCAAGGACACTCCCCGCACCCGCGCCCCAACGCCTTCACAAAACCCAACATATCCGCGATCAAACCTTCAACTCTCCCAGTGGCCCCCAGAGGTCCAGAGCTTGGAATCTTCTTCTGCCTCCTCACCTCTGAATCCCGCCATTCTTCTCCCTCCTGTAGAATTTCATTTCCTGGCTGGGACCAGGCTCTAACCATCAGGCTTCCAGCCGGGCCCCGGAACTTGCAGCCCGCTCTAGCCTGTCTGGCTCCTGCCCGAGCCCCTCGGCTCCAGCCTGCTCTCATCCCAACCCTGCCTCTTCCGTCGGTCACGTTGTTTCCTCCGCTTGGAAGGACCTCTTTCCTCTCCGGGCCCTTCCCAGTGCTCGGGGAACTCCTACACAGCCTGCGCTCCTCCGCTTCCAGCCACCCTCGCCTCCCACCACCCTGGCTTTGGAGCTGAACCGGCCGCGCAGCCGGGCGGCGACCATCCGTCCCCCGGCCGCTGACCCCAGCGCTCCGGCCTCGCCGCAGTCCCTGGCCCCTCGGCGTTCGTTTCCCCACCCGCCACCTGGCTTTCGCCGCCGCCGCCCGGGAAGCCCTCGGCACTTCCCAGAATAGAGAGCAGCTGCCAACGTCAGGCTGCCGCCTGCCGCGGGGTTCCGGACACGCGGGGTCTGGGCGGAGAGGACGTGACTCCGCGCTGGCCTTCCGCCTTCCCTCCCCGGTCGGGAAACTGAGGCCCGGGACCGGGAACCACTTCCCCGCGAGCACGGTCCGCGAGGGCCCGGCCAACCCCGGTCCTAGGCGTCCCGACTCCCGCGCGCGATCCTTCGACCACACGCGCCGCTCGGTCACCTCAGAGAGCGTGGCGGGGAGCGGGTCTCAGAGCGAGCGCACGGCCCGGGAACGCGCAGGGCGCCAGCCCCGGCCAAGTCGCTGCGAAAGTTGTTGTCTCCCAGCCTGCCCTCGCCTCTCACCTCCGGGACACACCTTCCCGCTTGCCCTGGCAGCAGCGCACTCACATCCGGTCCACCTTGCGCACACCCCTCTCCGCGCTCACTCGCAGCCCCTCTCCCTCCCACGCCCGCGGCTCCCCGTCGCCCCCTCGCGCGCTCCCACCCGCGCCCGGGGCGCGCCTTCCCCGCCCCGCCGCTCGCCCGGCCTCGGCGCCGCGCCCGCCCGGGGTTCCGGCGCCCGGAGCCCCAGCCCGGGGCCGCGACCCGCTTCCGCCCGCCTGGCGCGGGGCCGGAGCCCGAGCAGCCACTGCCGAGCGCGGTGGGCGCGAGGCGAGGGGCGCAGCGGCGCGGGGCGGGGAGGGGGCGCTCGCTCGCTCCCTCTCGGCTGCGCACACGCCCGTACAAACTCTCACACAGACACACGCGGGGTGCGCTGCCGCCGCCCGCCGCTGCTCCTCCTCCCGCCACCGCCTTGAGAGGGAGAGAGAGGGAGGCAGAGAGAGCGCTTTGTCCGCGCGCCGCCGCCCGGCCCGGGACTCTGCCCCGAGGAGGCAGCCGCGCCGAGTCCCCGCCTCCGCCTCTGCCCCCGGGCGGGCCGGGCCGGCCGCGGTGGGGGGAGCCAGGCTGAGGGTGGGGGTGGGTGGCGGGCGGGCGGAGGGCGGGGAGGGGGGGCGGAGGAGGAGGAGAGACGAGGGCAGCGGAGGAGGCGAGGAGCGCCGGGTACCGGGCCGGGGGAGCCGCGGGCTCTCGGGGAAGAGACGGATGATGAACAAGCTTTACATCGGGAACCTGAGCCCCGCCGTCACCGCCGACGACCTCCGGCAGCTCTTTGGGGACAGGAAGCTGCCCCTGGCGGGACAGGTCCTGCTGAAGTCCGGCTACGCCTTCGTGGACTACCCCGACCAGAACTGGGCCATCCGCGCCATCGAGACCCTCTCGGGTGAGCACTCAGCGCGGCCCCCTCCCCCCGCCTCGCCCCGCTCAGGCCGGGACGGCGCCGGGAGGGAGGCCGAGTCCGGCGGGCGGCGCC
The DNA here is from genome assembly GCF_000001405.40 of Homo sapiens. Taxonomy (NCBI): domain Eukaryota; kingdom Metazoa; phylum Chordata; class Mammalia; order Primates; family Hominidae; genus Homo; species Homo sapiens. The sequence continues at coordinate 185,824,692 of NC_000003.12, read as the reverse complement.
CGGCGGCGGCTCCCGCGCCCGCACGCTCACTTCCACGCACCAGACCCTCAACTCTCGCCGCCGGCCCGCTCCTGGGACGGCCCGCTCCCCTCCCCCCACAGCTCTGGACTCTGCCCTCGCCCTCGGGGCCGCAGCCTTGGGGCGCCCCCCGTGCCGCTCCGAAGGCTCCCGAGGCTCGCCGGCTCCTTAGGGGCACCCCTCGTTCGCCTGGCGCCCCGGGCTGCTCTGAGCTTCCCCGCCCCCCACCCTTTGAGCGTCCCCTGTCTCACTTCTCCCCTGACCTTCCTGTCACCCCCTTTGTCAGGGTCCCCCCTTCCCCAAATCCAGCGTCTCTTCCTCCTCCCCCGGCCGGACCTTCTCTCTTCCAGTGCCTCGTGCCCAGAACCTCTCGCCCTCTGGCGTCTCCTGAGCCGCACTCTCCTTTCGAGCCCCCTCCCCACCTCGCCCCACGGCCCCCCACTTTTGGCACCCCCTCGGCGCCACCCTGGTGACCCCCTTCGAGATCTCGGGGCTCCCCCAGCCCCAGCCCTCGCACGACGGCACATCCCCTCGGTCCTTTCCCGAACCTCAGTCCCCTCTCGCTTGCTCTCTCAAGCGCTCCTATTTTTCTCTGAATTTTTTGTCCGATTTTATTGAGAAGAACTCGGGGCTGGGGGCTTTCCGCCGCCCGTCCCCCCGCCTCCCGCTCGGCCAGAAGCACCTTTTTACGAGGTGCCCTGTCTCAACTCGGTGGGGGCCAGGGTTGAGAACCGGGAAAGAGGCGACCGGGGGGCCCGCGAGCGCGCTGGAGCCCAGACAGGAGACGGAGAGCGACACACACACACACTCGCGCGCGCGCACTCCCCAACTCTCCCCAGCACACGCTCCGCTCCCAGCCGCGCGGGCCCCCGGGCCCCGGCCGGCGCCCCCCGAACCCCGGCCCGGCGGGAGCCCCTTCCCCACCGGCGTGTGGAGTGGGGGCGGGGCGGCGGCGAGGCCAAGGTGACACCCAGGAGCGGGCAGGGACAGGGCTGTCGCTGCGGCGGACTCCGGGGGGCTTCGGCTCGTTTTCTCGGGGCCACCGGGAGGAGAGGGCAGGGAGGGGAGCCCGGTGGAGCCTTCGGGCCCCGGATTAGCGGAATGGAGAGGTGGGGGCCGGGAGAGCAGCGGGGCCGCGCCAGCCCTGCAGCTTGAGTTTCAAATGAGCTCATCCTTTCAAATTGGCGCCGCTCTTTATTAAATTTGTTTTTCCGGTAATGCCACCCACGGCTATACCTGGGGTCCGACCCGGGCTCGCACCCTCCTCGCCTTGTCCCGAGACACGGGGCGCCCACCTTTCTTTCTACTGGGAACCAAGTTCGCCCAGCTCGATCCGGGTAGGAGACCCCTTGGGGGCGCCCGAAGGCGGAGCCCGAGCGTGGAGTTCCGTGCGTGCCCCCCCTAGACCCCCGCGGGCTTGATCTAAGCAAGGTTCTGAGTGCTTTAATTTCTGTTTTAAAGGTAAAGTGGAATTGCATGGGAAAATCATGGAAGTTGATTACTCAGTCTCTAAAAAGCTAAGGTAAATATACTTTGCTTAGTTTTTTTTTTGCGATTGGCCTTACGTATAAGTAAAAAACGTACACACAGCTTTAAAAAACGTGCTCTTGGTAGTTTTTAAAGGGGCTTTTGTTTGTTTTGTTAGTGGAGATACATAGTTTAGAAAGCTACTTTTTTTTTTTTTACTTTCATTATATAAGGTGTTTACTGTTCTTGGAAAATATCTGGTGCCTAATTGGGGGTCGGGGTGGCGAACACCAGCTATGTTCAGTTCGCTGGGACCCTGTAACTTGTTTATCAAAAATTGCCTCCCACCCCCACCTCCCGCCCCTACCCCCAGCAGAATAGCAGCAAATGCTTGTCAAGACTTCCTGTGAGATGTGAAGAGTAAATATTTACTATGTCAGCTAAATTGCTTAACTAAACTTAGCGATTAATTACTTTTCTCTTTTAGATAGTTTAATGTTGAATAGTAAAATAATTCAGTAAGGGGTCAATATTTTGCATAGCTTTCTAAAGAAGTGGGTTGTTTGGATTGGATGGCAGTTAAAAGCCGGACTTTTTCAGTCACTGAGACTACTGAGTATAGCTTCTGAGCATTTTGTTGTTGTTGCTTGTAAGAAATGTTTGCGGCTAAAATAAATACCCTTGTGAAATCTATAGTTATATTTAAGTGCACTGTTGTTAATGACGGAGTAACAAGTTTTGTGGAGGTTGGATTTCTCCACAGTGATTTGCTAACATGAGAAGAGAAGAGAAAACATCTTTGTTTAAAGTTTATTGTGGACTTTAAATTTGGGCCCTTTATTACTCATTCTAAATTTTTTTCTTCTGCTGTGTGTCGAAACTTAGTTTATATCCCATTCACATACATTTCTTCACCATTAGTCATTAAGTAGCTGGACTGGAGCTGTTCAATGAAGTTTTTGATGACCACCTTTACAGTTTATCAGTCAATAGTTTAACCACCTGATTTTTGTCAGGATTGAGTAGATTTTAAAACAAACTACCCTAATTTTATAAATACTTAGATGTGTTGCTGAAGGGATTTTTAAAAATTGTGTGCCACATTTCCAGATATGTTTTATTTTAAGTAAGCAACAGAATAACTTTTGTTTGCAAATAATCTCTGTGGCATATGAGAAAATTACTTAAATCCTGTTTTTTTTTTAATTTAAAAAAGGTGAGTTATGATTTGCAGTTTCATGTGTAATATTAAGCTAGTTCTTTCCTCTATTGGGAAAGATGTAACGTGTAACCAATTGGTTTTCAATAAGGTATTCTAAATTTGTATACTTTTCTTTAAAATAATATTTTTTGCTTGAGAAATCCAAGTTGAAGCTTTCTGATATATTAACTATTTACAACAAATATAAATTACTATCTCACAACACTTGAAAATTTGCAGAATGAATATATTGAACAGTGAAATAACTACCCCAAGTATTTGATACAGTATGTTTCTATAAATGTCTAATTCTGTTGGCTGTTTGCGGTTGTGAATACTTTTGGGGGTTATAATTAGTAAAAAAAAAAATTACTAGAATTTTATCTTAGTTGGTGTCTCATTTCATGTTGCAGTGTGCATTATTTAATTTTGTGGTATATGTGAAATACTGGTTTATCTAAAGTTATTAACAGCTCCTAAAACTTCTCACAAATGTACTACTTTTTATCTTTTTTCTTTCAAAATGCAGATTATTTGCTGTTAGCCGGAGTGTCATTTAAGTAATTTTGTTCTGTTTAAGAGTTCAGAATTGAAGGCATGTCCCCAGTTTTTAGTATAAGTTAAATAAAGAGCAATCTAGGATTTATACAGCCCTATTAGTTGATGATTTCTTTGAACATGTGGGCGATGTGAAATACCCAGGAGGTAGATTAAAATGCGCTGTGTATGATTCACTACACTGAAAATGTTTAACATTCCAAATGTATGCATAAGCTGCTGCTCTAGAGGAGTTACATCATTTCTGATTGGATGGTTTTAATTTTTTTTTCCTTTCCTTTATTAGTTTAAATGCAGAAATTAGCTACTTGTACTGCAGGCTAAGGGAGAGATAGCTAATGACCGGTATTGTGTACTGAGATCAGACTTCAGGGATGAAGCAGCTGTATGTTCTCATGTCCTGGACACTACCACGTTGATGGCTTTCTAAATCCAGGGTACTGTGACATTTGAAACCAAAGCTTTTATGTTATATGGAGACTATTTTGGTGTTCTTGTGTTGCATTTCTGTGAATATTAACAAGTTAGAAGTAAATTTGGCAGTGTTAAGTCAATTCTATATGTGGTTTTTGTGTTAGTTGAAATGAAAATGGGAAGAAAATAGTTCATCCTCATTGCTTGCTTACTTAAAAATCATTCAACAATTGAGTGCATTTTCTTTGTATTGTAGTGATTTCTTTGATTTCTCAAGAATTAGTTTGATTATCTGTATCTCAAATAGATTTTTTAAGGTTAATGATAGTTTGGGAGGAGATGTTTTTATCTTATGAAATTATTGGCATGCCATTTGCTTACCAGTTGTATCTTTTGTTAAATATTCTGGCATCATTTTATAATAGCATAATAGACTAGATGCCATTATTTTCTCAGGGTCACTTAGAAATAGAAAACTCTTTTCTTTTTGCAGCGTATGTTTTATTCTTATTAAATGCAAATTATTCTAATGTCAACCGCACATAAAGCATTTATTTCTCTTTGTAAGTTGGTTTCAGGCTCTGTTGAATAAAAGTGTTTGAATCTTTTTTTCTCTATTAATATTTCTTGGTAGTACATATGGTCAAATGTTTATTAAAGAGGAAAAAACTGGTAAGCTTTAAAATGCTGTTAAAAGTTTTGGAAACTTCCTTGACAGAAATTTCATTTTTGGTGTTGTTGAAGGTTAACTTAAAAATTATGTGTGTGTGTGTGTGTGTGTGTGTGTGTGTGTGTGTGTATGTGTATATATACACATACACACACACACATACTGCATGCCTTGTTTTGAACTAAGACATGCTAACTTGAATGTGCTTTTGTACCTCAAGTTGAATGATTCTGTGAGAAACAAAACTTTGAAAAATGCAGTTTCTGCCCACCTCTAGGAAGTAACTAAGTGGTTCTAGACATTCTTTCACTGAGATGGTGTGAATAGTATGAGATAGTGTAGGAAAAAGCTATGAATTTGTCTTTCATGAGTTAAAAATCAGTAATTGTGTTCACTCCAATGCAAATGAATTTGGTCTCCTATAGGAATGTTAAAGAAAACAGTATCTCAATTGTATTTTGCTTGTATGTACTACATTGTGTATGGTTGAATTAAATACCAAAAAGAAGAAAAAAACATCCAATCTCAGGCCCTCCCTGCTGCAGTCTTTTGCTGCATCAATTTTTAATTTTCTAGAAACAGAAATGACTTTTATTAGGTTAAAATTGTGTGGTACCTTCCTACTTCAAGAATTTGTTGACTTAGAAATTAATACCTGCATTTACTTACATAGATTCCATGTGTAGATATAACATATATTAACACAGAATATATATTAAACTGTAAGGTTACTTTTGATTTGGCTTTGGAGTTAAACTTTTAGTTTCCCAGGAAAAAAAAAAGTTAGTAATTTTTTCACATGGTGCTAGGTAATACCCTAGAGAGTTGCATATTGTAACCTCAAAGAGATAAGTATTAGAGTTAAAATAGAAGCAATACAGAAAAAAGTGAACTTGGTGATATTGGTTAAAAATTCTAGTTTACATTTTTAAAAGACTGGTTATTTGATGCTTTTAAATCATTTAATTAAATATTAGAAACCAATGAGATTTATACATCAAAATAGATTTTATGGTTTGCTTGCTTTTTTTCAATTCACCAAATACATAAAAATTTTAAATTGTAATATAACAATTTATAAAACTGTTTAATGGCTAAACACCTAAACATTAATTCCAAAAGGTGATTTGTGATATGTAGTGCAGCTGTCAAATGGTGCTTTTCATGTGTTTCCTTATACTTATGGCCAGGTATAAGATGACCAGTAAGAGATGTTCTAAGCATTTTGTTTTTTATTATGTTAACCTGAGATTATCGTTTGGTAGACAGAAGATGAGAGGATATTAGTAATATTTGTACAAAGCCTTTTATACTTGATGATCTAAAGTGCAATATGTTTTCTTTAAGAGAAAAAGCATTTAACTTTTAAAATATTTTTAAAAGAAGATTTAGAACAAATTGCATATCAGAATTATCATTTCACAATTATTTTGAGTAAACACATGGTTTTTGTGTTTTTTTAATGTGTGGAGGTTGCTCCAGATTTTCAAGTACTGTGTTGAGGAAATGTAAATGATTTTGAATTATGCATAAAAGGATAGTGACTTAGGCACATTTATTAAAAGTCAGAAAAGCTATGAAAACCAGATTTCTACAGGAACTGTTTATATATTTGATACTTTCAAGCTTTTCTAAATATTTGCTGTCTGTAGCTGAATCACTCTTCCAAGTCCTCTATGAAACCCTCAAAAGTAGATGAGCAATTGGTCAGAATTGTTAGAGGATATTATTTGAGCTAAATGTTTCCTCTCTCTGTTTCAGTGGTGTATGTGCAAGTGTGTGTATATGTTTTTTGTTGGGGACAGTTTCAGGTAGATGGTATGAAGAGGCAGCAGGAGATCTTTAATTGAACAACAGTTGCTCTGGAATTCAGTCTTGACAAGGCTCAAGAAAGTTGCTTGGTGATTGAAACCTGTGGCAAAGGGAATCCAGTGCAGTGATATTTGCCTTGAGTGATGAATAACTCTTGTAGGTGGTTAACCTTGTGAAAGCCAAGTCACAGGTACCTGGAGTAGGTTTTACAGTGAGCATGCTACTGAAAGGACCATCAGTGCAGCATCTTCCCTCCTTCCTTTTCACTTGGCTATCCCCTGTCACAAAAGATTCTGTGAAGGCTTTGATGATGTTATAAGCCATTTTTTTAAGTGTCAGAAAATTCAAGATTTGAATATGCACTTCCATTTAGAAATTCTATACTTTGAAAAGCAATATGGTATTTTGCATAACACAAGTGCTCTCAGTGAGTAAACTTCATTAGAAGAAGCGTTATATTGAAATAGTTTCTTTGGAGACTTAAAAATGTTGAATTATACATTTCAAAATATATTTTTAAAAATTATATTTAAACATCACAAAAGTCTTCAGTGTTCTTTTCAGTGTTAGAAATTAGTGGGCTTGGCTAAGCTAATTTTTAAAGAGTTCATGCTCTAAAACTTTCAGTCAAAAGCATTATCTCTCAAAAGCTATGATTAACTTCTTAAATTGAGAGATGGGAGTGTTCTGTTTAACAAAACATGCCCCCAGAATTTATTAGTAAAGTTTTATCCTTCTTATATTCAAATTCATGTTCAAATTATTTTGGGTATTCATTCAAAAGCAGTATCATTGAACAAATAATAGCAAATAAACAGCAAACACCTACCAATGAAGATAAGTCTTTCCTCCCATTTATCATCACCATTAAAACATTTTAAATCTTTTACTTTATAATTTGACTTCATGCTTACAAACTTATAATTTTCATTTGGTGGCATGGACTCTATGGGTTCTATTTTAGGCAGCAAAATTGCAGAGTGCTCAGAGCATTATTTTTAAGGTTTTACTTTTCCTGTTTTGATCATGGACTTTAGTCTGGTCTCTCCATAAAATAGTGAAGAAAAATTATTTTCTTTTGTAGAAAACTTCAGATTCTGTTGCTTGGCTGCCAAAGGGAAGAAGGAATACAATAATTATTTCTTTAATTTGGTTTAGAGTTTGATGGTATATTGAGATAGAATAAGTACAACAGTGAAAATGGATGCTTTTGCATTAATAGGAGGCATTCAAGCCCAAAAGCTAGCCCTGTTCCATCATTTGATAGTTATGTCTCCTCCCCAAGCCTCTGCTTTTCACTAAATAATATCTGTATTTTTGAGATACATTTTGTTTATTCCTCATTATTTATCTGTTCTACACTTTATTTCTTAAAATGTGAACATTCAGATAGGATTTTCCCATTCTGTTTAGTGTCAAGGACATTTCATAAATAAAGCAGATATTTTAATAAGTCTGATAAATGAAAATTAAGAGTTCTGATGTATGTTTTGAGCTTTCTCTTATTTACCCATATCAAAATAAATGTTGCATCTAATGACCAGAAAAATTTGTATGGGAACATTGCAATAAGAATTATATTTTCAGTTTTTCTTATTGTCATGTAATTAATGTGTCTCAAAGTAAGGATTTGCTGTAGTGGGAAGCTTGAATTTTTAAATTTTTGTTTTAAATGTGATCAGAAAGGTTGATGATTTCATGTATTGATATTTAAACAATGGTAGTAGTATTATCTCAGGGAGGAGTATTTTTTGCCTGCATCTTAATATTCATACAGTACTGATGCTGTTCCAGCCTCTTTGACACATTATTTCATTTATTCCAAATAATAATTTTGTGAAAAATAGGACAATTGATACTATCTCTTTTTTTGGATGAGGAAACTCAGCCCCAGACAAGCTTAATAATTTGTTTAGGCCACATGACTGTTAATTAAGTAGTAGGGCTAGAACCCAGGTCTTTTGAGGTCCCTGAGTCTCGCTCCACTGTACTTCCTCCCCATTTAACGTTTTACATTAAAGAAGTCAGCTGAATGTGTTGTAAAGTTCGAAGAATGCTGTTCGAGGGTGGTAGAAATATATGAAAATACATTTGTGAATTGAACCTTTGCAATGATGCTACATCAGTCTGAGTGATCTGTACTTTGCTATAGTTTTTAGAAAAAAATAGTTAGAAATAGAGGTAATTTTAAAGGTAGCATTGCACGTCTTCCCATCTCTGTGCTTGCCCACAGACAGAAGTGGGGAATATACCTAAGCAGGTTGTGGGGTTGTTGTTGTTGTTATGTTGCTTTTTTCGGCAGTTGTGTTCCTGACATAACAAGACAAACATTTCTTTCAACATCTGAGCCACACAGATTAGACAGCGAACTGTCACCCGGGTCAAGACTATGTGCCATGTGGTGAATGAAAGTCTAGCTCAAGGAATCTCCTGGGTGGGTTCTTCACGGGGTTCAGACAGCCTGTTGCAAAGGTCAGGGCTGTGTTGTGGTTTACGTGTTTCCCTGGTAGGAACTGCCAGGTCTTTCCCAGAGGTGGTATCTTTCTCTACGTCACTTTCTGTACTGAATAAGGCCTTGGGCCTCTCATACTGTCTTGACTATGGGGTGAGTGTTAATAGGGATAGTATCCATAAAGTTCTGAGTTCTTTATTAATTTTATAATCGCACAAAAAAATATGCTAAATAATGAAGCATGTGAAGTACAGTTCATTTCCCCTCAACTGTAAACTTTTCCTGCATTTATCTTCGTTTCCTTTAACTCTTATGGACTGTTTATGGTGCTGGTGGGAGGGAGAGAGGAATTATCAAGGAAAAAAAAATAGGTGAAAGAAGGTTATTTCCAACTCCCCATGCATTTCTTTGAGTTAGTACAGTCCAGAGTGGGATATGGCATTTTCCGTGGAATTCTGACTCAGGAGATGGGGGAGAGGAAGAGAGTTAACTAATACTGGGTGGCTGCTACGTGCTAGGCACTGGACTAGGCTTCCTGTTTTATCCTCCCCACAGCCTGAAGAGATCCGTCTTTATCCTTCTTACACAAAGGGCTCTAAAGCTTCAGACTCTAAAATAACTCCTTGCTCCTGACCAGAACTTCAGAAGGCAGTGGCTTGTTGTCCATCTCATTTGAATACTGCAACAGAACCTTAGCAATGAAGTAGAAAGTTGTGATAATATGTATACAGGCTATAAAGTAACTTTGTATATTATTCCTAACTTAGAATAAGAGAAAATTTCCATATATAAAACCTATGCTGAGAAAGATTAGGAACTCAAGTTCAGTATATTTTTAATTTAATATAATTGAAAAGAATTAAAAGTGTTAGTCATAATTTGAAAGAACTTCCTTGAAGTAGTCCTATAGTAGAAGCATTTATAATTATATAAAGAGAAAGAGGTTTTTTTAAAAATCATTGTGGTTGACAGTTAAGTGTAAAAAACATACATGTATGCAGTGTGGGAGGAGGGCCTGTTCCATGCCTTTGACCCAGATATATATATTTTTTCAAATCCTGAAAAAAAACTTGAGGTTTTTTTGTTTAGGATACAGAATGTTGCACAAAGATTGGCATGCTTTCATTTTTATATGTATTTTTAAAAATATCTGTGTCTTAGAGAAGGAAAATAATGGAATTTTTGTAAATTGCTTTTTAGAAAATGGTTCACCTTATTAACAGAACATTTTAAACCTCTTTGACACGTGAAAAAGTCAGTGAAAGCACTTTTTGATACAATACTTAAGTATCTTATGCATTTGTTACTTTTATCTCATGCATTTTGTTACTTTTTTGGTTTAGTAACATAGGACTTAAGATACAGTTAAACCACCAATGAAATGAGATATATAAGAGGTTTTCTTCTAGATAGACGCCATGCTTTTTGACAAGAACATAATTTTATATAATTTATGAGATAAAATAATTACTTTCCTCAGTCAAGAACCTCTAATAGAGCTTTAAAAATTACCAGGAAAGACATTTTTATTACTATATCTTTTCTTTCTCTTTGAAAAATGAAACAAAAAATCGAGTGGTGATTCTTTGGACAGGTTAACCTCATACCAATTCATTAAATAGAGGGTGTTTTTGAAAAAGCTCATGTGAGGATAGGCTATATAGTATTTTTGGATTACATGGAGACCTTTTACTTTGGTCCCTACTGATCCTTGTGATTTTTAACAATGCATACTTCGAAATTTCAGTGGATGTTTTTCTTTATCATTGTATGAATAAGGTTTTGAAGTACAATGTTTTGTGCCCCTTTATTTAAGAGAGTCAGAGGTAGATGATAAAAGCAGTTTAACACTGAAAAAATGCAGTTGAGCCTCTTAAATTATTAAGAAAGAAGGAAGGGAGGAGGGAAAGGGAGGGAGGAGAGGAGAAAGGAGGAGACCATAGAAGTGTAGGTGACTAAACCATGTGTACATCTTCTGCATTTTCTTTCTATACTTCCAGAGCACGTGGCAAAGACTGGTCCTCACTGATAGTGTGTGGAAGATAGTAAGTGATTCCAACGGTGACAGCAGGACTGGGAGTCTCACACAACATATTCTTTTCTTTGACACTTAAAAACTCTGAGTATGTGGTTGCCCTGCCCCAAAAAAGGTTTTGCATTTCTTTCTCTAAGGCCTCACACCGGCCACTTCCTCTCTCATTCTCCTTCTCCTTTGCATTTCCTTGGGGATGGCTGGAAAGGGCTGGCAGTGTGGTGCCTGGTGTGTAGGCCTGCCTGCAGCCCCATTGCCCCCTGGTTGGCCGAGGGTTGGGGAAGCTGGGGAGGCATGTGTGTGCTTGCTCAATGTGTTGGAATGTATGGGTTCTGTGGCATACACTTACTTGGAATGTGCAGCAGACACATGAGCTTCGATGGTTGTAGGGGTCTAACGTTGTAGGCTTTTGTAAGTGGTTGAAAATTTGGGTTACTTTTTTCCCCTGAAGTGCAGTTGTATTTATTCTTTGGAAAGGGAAAACATCTTTATTTTTTGTTTTTCAACCATTGACGGATAGAAAATAATGTTGTGGATACATAAATAATCTGGCCTGTCTCCTGGATCCAGCTGTACTACTGTTTACCCCTTTCTTTTCGAGCTGATAGTGATGTCTTCAAGTCATGGACACTGAATTTGTAAACTAAGCCTTGTAAAACTCCCTGAGTTGTGCCACCACTAAAGATGATGAAATCAAGGATCTGAGAAACCAAATTTTAAGCTCAGATATTGAAAAATGTGGAATTGATTCTCCCTTTTAAGGAATAGAGAACAAGATACTAGTTGCTTAATATTTAAAATTTTTGGCTGTTTATTATTTTTTAAAATGTTTATATATTTTTCTTCTTAAAATATTTGAGATGACAAAGGTACTGGTTACTCAATTATTTGAATTAAAGAAGACAGAGATTTAGATTTGTAAAGTAGGTAAGTCGAAAAGGCATTTTAAGAGTTACAAAGGGCCCAGGAACAGGTGATTGGTTCTAATATAATTATTTCTACATCACGAGAGTGTTGCCAGGGAAGAGTTAGCTCTTTGTTCACTGATTTGCATATTAATGGTATGTTGTGTCTATTTCAATAATGGTTTCAAGAAAATGATTTAGATATTGAAATTGATCAGTGGCTTTAGTTCACAAGTATCGATTGTGGTCACGGTGTTAATACCTGCCTTATAAATTTCTAGGCCAACATTGTATCTTTTATTCTCTATGGCAGTTTTTATTAAACACTGTTCCATAGAGCCTTAGGATTCCAAGGAGATGCCAAATTTATGGGAAGGACGAATGGATGTACGTACATGGGAATCCTGGCTTCTTACCCACTGCCCAATACGAAGACAACTGCATTTGTTGCTGTTTTATATACAGAATTGGAGTTGAGTCTAAGATTTGGTTTAGAAAAGGGGTTTGCTGCTTTAAAACACAGTTTGTAAGCACCCACCCTACAGTGTGTAAAGTGTGTAATTCTGAGTCTTCAGTTCATTCCTTGATTTGACCCAAAGCCCTTTCTTGAGGAAAGTTTAGACCCTGCCCTTGTTACTCCTACATCTGCTTTCCATGGAATAGCCCTCTATTTCCTGTCACTTTCATTTTGGTAACAAGTATCTGCTTTGCCAGCTGCATGCCAGACTACTAAATCTATGGATTTTTCTATAGTCAACAACATAGAATGCGTGCCCTTCAGGAACTTTCCAGGGAGCTCCTTGGCCAGTGATTGCGCTCTGGCTCTTGGCAGAGCCATTAGAGTCAACTGCCTTTGAAGAGTGATGGGCATGGTGACACGGGACCCATTCATTCATCGAAAACAAGTTTTTGCTTCAGGAGGTGGAAGCAGGGTTGGCTTGCTAATCCTTCTTGAGGCAGAGCAGCCCTCCTCTTATCTGTTGTGTAAGGTGGGGCTCCACGAACACAGGAGTGATCTTCAAAACATTTTCAGTTGGTTAGAACGAACAAATGTGCTAGGTCACAAGCCATGATACTTTAATACACACCCCCTCAGTATCAGTCCTACATACATGATTTTTGTTCAAAAACAGGATATTACTTTAAAACAGTAAAAATACTGTTTTCTCAGTGATTTCTTCCCCTATGGCCAAGGACTCTTGGAAAGTCCTGAAAGTCCTTGGAATTTAGCTACGTGTTGTTAAAGATCCCCTGAGAGGTTCTGATGCCCAGGCAGGGAGAGGGGGAGAGAGAGAGAGAGAGAGAGAGAGAGAGAGAGAGAGAGAGAGAGAGACACCCTACTCTGAGCACCGTCCCCTGCCATGTGCTCCATCACTGTAGCCTCCCACAGACTGGCCTTCAGAGACCCATGGTTTCGTATTTTGCACACAACTTTTGTAGTAAGATTTTTGTAAGAGATCACCGTATGTTTACAGGGGTAGATGATGTAAGTGGTGGCAAGGGTGTTCTGGATAGTGCAGGAGGGACAGCTATTAGTTAGCTCCAGCCAACTGCTGCCATTTGGAAATGTAGGGCCAGTGTTCCCAAATCTGATTTTTCAAGAGGAGGTGGAAGTCAGAGTTCTTATGTTAAATATCTGAAGTTTTAAATATTGGCAACAATTCAAAATTTTTTATGGACACTGAAGGTCAAAAAAAGACAGCTGTGGGTTGAATCTGGCCCACGGGTTGCCAGTTTGCAGTCTCTGCCACATGAAAATCTGTATCTTCTATAAAACATTGTTGAAGACACTGTCCTTTATGTTTAGTATCCCTTACACATAGGCTTGTCTATGAGTGAGAGGGAAAAGTCCTTTTCTTGATAGGCAGGATTAACTCGTATGGATCTTATCTAATGATGATAGCTGTTTGGAAACTCAAAATCAAATTAGGTCTTAGTTGCAGTAGCCATTTTTCATCAGTTATTATTTTACCTATTAATAAAATAATAATTATTTTTTCCATTATAAAGTACCCTACATTTTTATCTTTATGTGATGATCTTATTGTGTTTCTGTTATATCAAACCATCTGAAATTCTTTTGTAAATGTAGAATATGTATATATATGCTGAATATGTGACTGTCCTATAAGTTTATGTAGTATTTCATAATACATGTTTATGAAAAAAATAAGCCTCTATTTTCATATAATTGGAGGAGCAGGTTTCCACATCAATCTAAATTATACCCTCTCCAATTAAACACTAAGCCAACTATAGATAATGTTTTAAGCCACTTTCTAAGAAAATTTGATTCTCATATGTCCAGAAAACATGTTGTAAAGTAAAAACTTGAGTAGTTCTGTTTTTTTTGTTTGTTTTTTAGTTTTTGTTTTTTGTTGTTTTTTTTTTTGAGACAGAGTCTCGCTGTTGCCTAGGCTGGAGTGCAGTGGCACGATCTTGGCTCACTGCAACCTCCGCCTCCTGGGTTCAAGCAATTCTCCTGCCTCAGCCTCCTGAGTAACTGGGCTTACAGGTGTCCGCCACCACGCTTGGCTAATTTTTGTATTTTTAGTAGAGATGGGGTTTCGCCATGTTGGCCAGGCTGATCTTGAACTCCTGACCTCAGGTGATCTGCCTGCCTTGGCCCCCTAAAGTGCTGGGATTACAGGCATGAGCCATTGCACCTGGCCATTCTGCCTGTTAAATGTCTGATATAAGGCAAATGGTTTTAAAAGCACACAGTGTGCCATAGGAAAATATAGTGGTGAAAAGTGGTGCTTTTAAATAGTTTGAAAAGTGTTTTGGTTACTGCTGCACTTTTCTGTATTTAAGTTAAGGAAATTGAAGGCCATATGGACTCTGCTTCTGTTCCCTGGGTGCAGAAAATAATCATTAAGGCTAAACGAAAGGAAACTTCGAGTTGCCTAAGGGACCTTTTTATAAAACAAAACAAAACAAAACAAAAAGCCTCAGACTACTCTGATAGTTGGCATTAGCATTTAAAAAAATGTGTAACTTACATGCAGAATGAAATAACTCATTAGTAATCACTTTATAATGGTCAGGTAAAGCGCATGTCTTAGAAAACTTAGGTTAGCAAATCATAGATGGTAGGGCATAGAAGAGTGGCACACAGGAGCCTGGGAATTCAGGATTTTATTAATATTTGGCTCCCCTCATTTGTGATGGATCTTAACGCTTCTGCAAAAATAGCCAACTCTATTTTCTGGACTGGTCTTTTGAATTTAAAAAATTTGAAGTTCCATGAGAGCTGGGTCTTGTTTTTTCTTTGGACAGGTGCACCTTGAGTGCCTTGAATAGTGGAAATGGCTGTTCATGAAATATTTTTGGATAAATTAAGATTGAAGCTGTAATATCAATAAAAATTTACTTTTATTTCTTCTTCCCTTTTCCTCTTATTTTTCGTCTGTATTTTCAGAATGGAGGGGGAAAATTGTGGTTAAAAGATTTTGCTTTTTTGTGAATGGGTTTTTAAAACTTTTTACTTTATTAAAAAATTTTTTTTCTTTTTTCTTTCTTTCCTTTCTTTCTGACAGGGGGTCTCACTCTGTTACCCAGGCTAGGGTGCAATGATGCTATCATGGCTCACTGCAGCCTCATCTTCCAGTGCTCAGGTGATCCTCCCACCTCAGGCTCCTGAGTCGCTGGGACTACAGGCATGAGCCACTGTACCCAGCCTTTTAAAACTTGCGAGTGAATCTTTGGCCTTAGTGGAATAACATTTCTTCATGGGCATTTTAGGTATGAAGGTTCTTTAAACCTTCATAAGGCTGGCTGCAAAGAACAATTGCACAGGGCTTCAAAATGAACATTGGAAAGCAAAATTTTAGAGTTGGTGGAACCAGAATAGGTTTTGCAAATCAGTCTTTCTTTTCTTTCTTTTTTTAACAAATAAGGTAAGAATGGGTTAGTTTTAGAATAAGATTCAGTGTGATTACATGAAAATATAATTTTCCTTATAGGTATTTCTCCCTGAAAGTCAAATTCCATTAAAAATTTACTGGGAATCACAGAAGAAAAACCTATTTGAAAAAAAAAAGAAAGAAAAGAAAAACAAAAAACAAAAAACCCAACTAGCTATTCGCTTATTGCAATATAATAGGTGGATACAAGAATCGGATTTAAGATATGTTTGTTTATAATAAATTAAGCAGACAGCATCTAAAGTTACTGTGAAAAAACCAGACAAGTCTAACAATACCTACCAATGGACAAAGTAATTCATATATAACCAAGGAAGTGACTGACTAAATTTTAAATGCAAAGCAGAATGTTGTCAAATGCTCTCTATTAGGTT
Organism: Homo sapiens; assembly: GCF_000001405.40. Classification (NCBI taxonomy): domain Eukaryota; kingdom Metazoa; phylum Chordata; class Mammalia; order Primates; family Hominidae; genus Homo; species Homo sapiens. The sequence continues at coordinate 185,808,863 of NC_000003.12, read as the reverse complement.
GGGTGCGGTGGCTCATGCCTGTAATCCCAGCACTTTGAGAGGCTGAGGCAGGTGGATTGCTTGAGGCCAGGAATTTGAGACCAGCCTGGCCAACATGGCAAAACCCCATCTCTACTAAAATGATAAAAAAAAAAAAAATAGCCAGGTGTGGTGGCATGCACCTGTGGTCCCAGCTACTTAGGAGGCTGAGGCATGAGAATCACTTGAGCCTGGGAGGCAGAGATTGCAGTGAGCTGAGATTGCACCACTGCACTCCAGCCTGGGTAATAGAGAGAGAGAGAGAGACCCTGTCTCAGAAGAAAAAAAGTAAAAATTAAAAAAAGCTCTGTGTTAGTAATCTATTAGCAATTTAATTTTTAAAATTATTATTATTTAGTATTTTTGAGACGGAGTTTAGCTCTTGTTGCCCAGGCTGGAGTGCAATGGTGTGATGTTGGCTCACTACAGCCTCTGCCTCCCAGGTTCAAGCAGTTCTCCTGCATCAGCCTCCCTGGTAGCTGCGATTGCAGGTGCCTGCCACCACACTCAGCTAATTTTTTTTTTGTATTTTTAGTAGAGACAGTGTTTCACCATGTTGGCAGGCTGGTCTTGAACTCCTGACCTCAGGTGATCCACCCGCCTCGGCCTTCCAAAGTCCTGGGATTACAGGTGTGAGCCACCATGCCCGGCCTCTATTAGCAATTTAAAACATTTTTGTTTGTTTGTTTGTTTCTTTCTTTCTTTCTTTCTTTTTTTTTTTTTTTTTTAAAAGAAACGAGGTCTTGGCATCTTGTCCAGGCTGGACTCGAACTCCCAGGCTCAAGCTATTCTCCTACCTCAGCCTTCTGAATAGCTGGGACTGTAGGCATGCACCACTACACCCAGCTAATTAAAACAAAAACATTTATTATCTCACATGTTTCCTGAGGATCAGGACAATGTCAGCACTTTAGCTGGATTGTTCTGACTCATCATCTTTCAGGAGATGGCAGTCAAGCTGCCATCTGTGGCTACAGTCATCCGATGGCTCAGCTGGGGCTGGAAGGTTGGCTACTAAGCTTACTCATGTGGTTGTTGGCTGGAGGCCTTAGTTCTTCACAGCATGACAATAGTCTTCCCCCAGAGTGAATAAAACAAGAAAGCCAAGGAGAGTGACATCACCTTTTCTTTTATGATGCAGTCACTGAGTCTGCCTTATTTTGTTCATTAAACATGAGACATGAAGTCCAGCCCATACTCTATGGGAAAGGATTACTCAATAAGTTGAATACCAGGAGATGAGAATCTTCGGGAGCCATCTTGGTTTTTAATAATTAGGAAAAGTCAACAAATTGAAACGATACTTAATTTGGGGCATATACTGAAAAGTAATAATCCCCTTACATTTATAATTAACCTCTTTTGGAGTAAAACTGGAATTTCTTATAACAGTAGTAATAATTACTGATTACTGAATTCTTTTATGATCCTTACTGAATTTTCACAACATTTTGTAGAATGAGGAAGGAAGATACTGTTATCCCCATTTCATAAATTAGAGAACTAAGGCCTAAATTGTTCTCAGTGCTTTAGGTGGGGTCACATTTTTAGCATTCAACCTCAGGTTTTTTTTCTTTTTCTTCACCTTTCTTTCCCCTGAAGAGTGATTCAATTACTTCACCTTTTATAAAATACAGTTTAATTGTTCCCTTTCTGTATTATCTCAGAAACCTGATTTTTTTCAGTGCCTAATTGAAAATTTTAAAACACTGCCCTTCTAGTATCAATAAAGTTGTTTGTTACTTTTCTGCCAGCAGCAAAAGTCCTTTTTGCTATTTTTGTATCTGGGTGAGGTCCGATTGCTCCAGAATTGTGCCATACTGTGGTTAGCCATGATCTACAAGAGGAAAATAAATTTATCCTTCTTTAAAATCATTGGTTTTCTAAGAAATGCGCCATTTACTATACCAAATATGAGTAAATCTTAGGCAAAATAAGTGTTCATATTGATATCAAATATGTCCAGTTCTCTCCCCTGCTAAAACTACAACGCATCAGGCCCTCAGATCTTTTGCACTTACCTTTATTATATATTAGAAAAATATTGCAAATATTTATAATGGTACTTGAAACTCTTTTCTTGAAGAAATTTGATAGTGTTTTGTGTTGTTTTTGATGTCAAGCATATCCATGTTGATGTTAAATGATTCATTCTGTGTGAGCATTTTGCCAAACTTAGGCAAACCTCTGAATTTTGCCTATAGAATGTCCTACATTGTTTTGACTTCAGTCAAGTATAGTGTATAATAGTCAAGTTTTTAAATTTTTTGAATCTCAGTGCTTGCTTTATTTGCATTACATATTCCCATAGCCCATGTAACCTTTTCTTTGAAAGGTTCTGATAACATGATAGTTATGTGAAGTGAAAAGTTATTTTGGTTGTTTCCTTTCGAATGTGTAGACTGAGGCTTAGAAAATATTAGAGTCCCTTAGGAGTGCTTACTCTTTAGGATAGATAGATGCTTTTTTATGAGTTAAAAAACACTACGGGTAAATATAATTTTCTATATAGTCTATATATTTTAGTCAACCAGAATAGATGCTAAGTTATCTTTTTCCCACCTCTTTTGTGTGCTCTTAAGTGACTTCCTGACCTCTCTGTAGTTTAAAATCTTGAAATATTTTTTCACAAAACAGTCAAATGATAATAGTTAAACTTTTTTTTTCTGCTTCAGGGAGTTTAGAGAGAACTCCCTGACTGTCTTCAGTGGGCAGACTGAGTTTAAGATTTACTTCACATTTGGCCGGGCACAGTGGCTCATGCCTGTAATCCCAGCACTCTGGGAGGCTGAGGCGGGTGGATCACCTGAGATCAGGCTGAGGCGGGTGGATCACCTGAGATCAGGCATTTGAGACCAGCCTGGCCAACATGGTGAAACCCTGTCTGTACTAAAAATACAAAAATTAGCTGGGGGTGGGGGGTGGTGGGCACCTGTAATCCCAGCTACTTGGGAGGCTGAGGCAGGAGAATCAGTTGAACCAGGAGGCGGACACTGCAGTGAGCCGAGATCACGCCACTGCACTCCAGCCTGGGTGACAAGAGTGAAGCTCCGTCTCAAAAAAAAAAAAAAAAAAGATTTACTTCACATTTTTGTAATCTTCCCGAGTTAAGAGGTTAAAAGTGAGCCTGAACAGGGAATTCCGTGAGCACAGAGGATCAAATGTGATCTATAACTCTATGTCCTTGTTGGTTTTTAAAATATTTTGGCTGCCTGTGGATATGCACCCAAAGAAATGTATTTTTTTCTCAGTTTTCCTCAACAACTTTTTTTCTTTGTATAATCTCGGCCTTGGGGAAAGGGAGCAGGGAAAATCAGAAGCCTTATCGTGGGCCAAACCACCTCCAGTGACCGGTTCAGGTCTCACACAGTCTTGATTATTCCTCCTTAATTTGCCCTTCATTTGATTTGTTTTTGAAGTCAAGAACAGCACCATTTGGGGTAAAAAGAGAACATTTCTTACTTGGTAACCAGGCAGTCTTTCCCAGCCCTCCTGAGAAAGCCTCATAGGTCTCTCTACCTACAAAAGCTCATCACAGAGTCTTTCCACAGCTCAAGTTAGCACCACACTCCTCTGAGGGTCCCTGGATATGTGCTAACTCTAGTTGTATGGTTGTCAGCCTTTGGTTTACTGGATTTTCAGAAATCCAGTAAAACCTGTGTTTACTGGATTTTCAGAAATACTTCTGGGCCAGTACAATTGATACTTGAACCTCAGACATTCACTGTGTGTGCCTAAGAGCCTAGGATCTACGTAAAGTGGAATGAAAATGGTTGAGCATTTTCCATCACATTGGTGGATGTTGTTCAGTTCGTGGCCTGAGGTTATGACTGTAATTTTTTTTTTTTTTTTTGAGACGGAGTCTTGCTCTGTCACCCAGGCTGGAGTGCAGTGGCGCCATCTTGGCTCACTGCAAGCTCCGCCTCCCTGGTTTGCGCCATTCTCCTGCCTCAGCCTCCCGAGTAGCTGGGACTACAGGCACCCGCCACCCACTCCCAGCTAATTTTTTTTTATATTTTTGGTAGAGACGGGGTTTCACTGTGTTAGCCAGGATGGTCTCGATGTCCTGACCTCATGATCCGCCCACCTCCGCCTCCCAAAGTGCTGGGATTACAGGCGTGAGCCACCGTGCCTGGCCTATGATTGTAATTAAATACATTGAGGCCTCATTGATTCAAGCTAGTTGCGGTAAAGGGAAGAGCAGTGATAATTAGTAGAATGCCTGAATGGGCAGATTTTAAAAAATTTATATTGTTTTCAATTAAATATTGTAACCTGAGGAAACTAACAAAATGTTACTAAAAAACAATCCTACTGGACCTTCTCATTGAATAGAAAAAATGACTTATATTCAGCTTATCAGTTATATATCAATACTTCTGAAATCTGTGTTTTTTTGTTTTTTTTTTGTTTGAGACAAAGTCTCGCTCTTGTCGCCTAGGCTGGAGTGCAGTGGCGCGATCTCAGCTCACTGCAACCTCTGCCTCCCGGGTTCAAGCAATTCTCCTGCCTCAGCCTCCCGAGTAGCTGGGATTACAGGCGTGCACCACCACACCTGGCTAATTTTTGTATTTTTTTTTTTTTTTTTTTGAGACGTAGTCTTGCTCTGTTGTCCAGGCTGGAGTACAATGGCGCCATCTCGGCTCACCGCAACCTCTGCCTCCTGGGTTCAAGTGATTCTCTGCCTCAGTCTCCCGAGTAGCTGGGATTACAGGCACATGCCACCACGCCTGGCTAATTTTTGTATTTTTAGTAGACACGGGGTTTCACCATCTCAGCCAGGCTGGTCTTGAGCTCCTGACCTCGTGATCCACCCGCCTCAGCCTCCCAAAGTGCTGGGATTATAGGCGTGAGCCGCTGCACCTGGCCAATTTTTGTACTTTTAGTAGAGATAGGGTTTCACCATGTTGGCCAGGCTGGTCTCAAACTCCTGACCTCAGGTGATCCACCCGCCTCGGCCTCCTAAAGTGCTGGGATTACAGGCATGAGCCACTGCGTCCAGCCTGAAATGTGTTTAAATAGCTTATTTCCCTTTTATGATCTTGTTTATATTGATTCCTTTGTTGAATGAGTACCCCTACCCCCCTTTAAAGGAAAGATTAATTTCAGTTCTGTCCTATTACAATTAGAATTAATAATATTTCACTATTCAGTGAACTACAATCTTGATTCATTTTAGGTTTCTGGTGCCATTGAGACACAAATATCTGGGTGCCACCCTATGCTAGAAGAAGTTAGGATGATGTCTTAATTACTTTCATGTGACAGAAAGTGGTTAAAAAATCCATCCATTCAAAAACGTTTAATTTAAATCATGGCAATACAGTATTCTTTAATCAACAGAAAGTGAAAATAACTTTGATCAGAATACTTACAATTAAAGAAAATGGAAATACTTCTTTTTTCAGTACTTTTATTTGGGAAATATTTACCAGGAAGAATCCAGTAACCAGTAATACTGTAATTTAGGGCTATTTTATTTTGTTTATTTTTTTGAGATGGAGTCTTGCTCTGCTGTCCAGACTGGAGTGCAGTAGCATGATCTCGGCTCACTGCAACCTCTGCCTCCCAGGTTCAAGTGATTATCCTGCCTCAGCCTCCTAAGTAGCTGGTATTACAGGCACCTGCCACCACACCCGGCTACTTTTTGTATTTTTATTAGAGACAGGGTTTCACCATGTTAGCTAGGCTGGTCTTGAACTCCTGACCTCAAGCAATCCACCTGCCTAGGCCTCAAAGTGCTGGGATTACAGGCGTGAGCCACCACGCCCAGCCTGATTTGGGGCTATTTTAATGTTTGATCACTTGACATTTCATTCAGCCCTCTAAAAATAAAATTGAGATACATTTTAGTTTAAAAAGAAGTGCTGTGGGTAACCTCTGAGATTGAGTCTAGCAAACTACATTTGTCAGAAATAGGATAACTGGCCGGGCGGGTGGCTTACCCCTGCTACATTAGCACTCCAAAGGCTACTCTCAGCACTTCTGCATTTATTTAAGTCTTTCTAACAACAGGAAAGTGTTTGTGGATGTTCTCATCTTGAGAAAAGCTTTTTCTTCTGAATATTTTCTCTCTCAAGGGTTTTTAGAGACCTAAACTTTCTTGATGGTGCTTTGGCTGGCTGGTGGGTGTGTAAGAGAAATTTTATACCTAGTTGGTAATGCTGCATTGGGTTTTGAAATTAACTGCCTACCAGCTCTCAGTTTCCTCAGCTGTATTAATTGCTGAATGCTAAATTATGTGTGAATAATTTAAAAAATGTTCTCAAGACCCAGTAATGAATTCAACAAATTATTTCAACTTGGAAGAGCATGACTTCAGCACCCACTACGATGCATTAGCCAGAGTGGAGCTAGAGTACAGGTTACAGAAGAGGCCAACCCTCTGTCCCTGCATTCATGAACTCGGCTCTGAGGAATCTTCTGTTATTTCCAAATTTGCAGAAAGAAACCTTGGGCAAACTGCTTCTTTTCCACCTTACCATTCCAACACCAGCCTTAGGTATTACCGTAATTAGTCAAGAACATGTCTTGGTTAGTCAAGAACACTTCATGTGTTAAGCTGGAATGAGGATGCTACTTAGCAAAGGACTAGTGATCAGAACCTCTCTACCTGTGTGCTCCTCTGGGATGCATTAGGTTTACCTTCCAGATTTCTTTTTTTTTTCTAATTTTAAGTTCTGGGATACATGTGCAGAACATGCAGGTTTGTTACATAGGTATACATGTGCCATGGTGGTTTGCTGCACCTATCAACCCGTCATCTAGGTTTTAATCCCCACATGGATTAGGTATTTGTCTTAATGCTCTCCCTCCCCTTGCCCCCTACTGCTTGACAGGCCCTGGTGTGTGATGGTCCCCTCCCTGTGTCCACGTGTTCTCATTCAACTCCCACTTATGAGTGAGAACAGGTGGTGTTTGGTTTTCTGGTCCTGTGTTAGTTTGCCGAGAATGATGGCTTCCAGCTTCATCCATGTCCCTGCAAAGGATATGAACTCACTCTTTTTATGGCTACATAGTATTCCATGCTGTATGTGTGCCACATTTTCTTTATCCAGTCTATCATTGATGGGCATTTGGGTTGGTTCCAAGTCTTTGCTGTTGTAAATAGTGCTGCAGTAAACATAAGTGTGCATGTGTTTATAGTAGCATGATTTATAATCCTTTGGGTATACACTCAGTAATGGGATTGCTGGGTCAAATGGTATTTCTGGTTCTAGATCCTTGAGGCATTGCCACACTGTCTTCCACAATAGTTGAACTAATTTGCACTCCCAACAGCGTAAAAGTGTTCCTATTTCTCCACAGCCTCGCCAGCATCTGTTGTTTCCTGACTTTTTTTTTTTTTTTTTTTTTGAGATGGAGTTTTGCTCTTGTTGCCCAGGCTGGGGTGCAATGACGCCATCTCGGCTCACCACAACCTCCGCCTCCTGGGTTCAAGCAATTCTCCTGCCTCAGCCTCCTGAGTAGCTGGGATTACAGGCATGTGCCACCACGCCTGGCTAATTTTGTATTTTTAGTAGAGACGGGGTTTCTCCATGTTGGTTAGGCTGGTCTTGAACTCCTGACCTCAAGTGATCCACCTGCCTCGGCCTCCCAAAGTGCTGGGATTACTGGCGTGAGCCACCGTGCCCAGCTGTTTCCTGACTTTTTAATAATCGCTATTCTAACTGCCTTGATATGGTATCTCATTGTGGTTTTGATTTGCATTTCTTTAATGACCCGTGATGATGAGCTTTTTTTCATATGTTTGTTGGCTGCATGAATGTCTTCTTTTGAGAAGTGTCTGTTCATATCCTTCACCCACTCTTTTATGGAGTTGTTTTTTTTTCTTATAAGTTTGTTTAAGTTCCTTGTAGATTCTGGATATTAGACCTTTGTCAGGTGGTTAGATTGCAAAATTTTTCTCCCATTCTGTAGATTGCCTGTTCACTCTGATGATCGTTTCCTTTGCTGTGCAGAAGCTCTTTAATTAGATCCCATTTGTCAAATTTGGCTTTTGTTACGATTGCTTTTGGTGTTTTAGTCATGAAATCTTTGCACATGCCTATGTCCTACCTTCCAGATTTCTTTTATCATTTACTCCCAGGTATTCAGCAAGTACTTTCTTTCTTTCTTTCTTTCTTTTTTTTTGGCTCAGTCACCAAGTGGCAACTTCTCAGCTCACTGCAACCTCCGCCTCCTGGGTTCAAGTGATTCTCTGGCCTCAACCTCCTGAGTAGCTGGGATTATAGGCATGTGCCACTATGCCTGGCCAAGTTTTGTATTTTTGGTAAAGATGGGATTTCACCATATTGGCCAGGCTGGTCTTGAACTCCTGACCTCAAATGATCCTTGCCTCAGCCTTGCAAAGTGCAGGGATTACAGGTGTGAGCCACGACATCAGCAAGTACTTTTTTTTATTTTTATTATTGTATTTTATTATTATACTTCTAGGGTACATGTGCACAATGTGCAGGTTTGTTACATGGGTATACATGTGCCATATGTTGGTTTGCTGAACCCATCAACTTGTCATTTACATTAGGTGTTTCTCCTAATGCTATACCTCCCCCAGTCCCCCACTCTCCGACAGGCCCCGGTCTATGACGTTCCCCGCTTTGTGTCCAAGTGTTCTCATTGTTCATTTCCCACCTATGAGTGAGAACATGCAGTGTTTGGTTTTCTCTCCTAGTGATAGTTTACTGAGAGTGATGGTTTCCAGCTTCATCCATGTCCCTGCAAAGGACATGGACTCATTCTTTTTATGGTTGCATAGTATTCCATGGTGTATATGTGCCACATTTTCTTAATCCAGTCTATCATTGATGGACATTTGGGTTGGTTCCAAGTCTTTGCTATTGTGAATAGTGCCACAGTAAAGATACGTGTGCATGTGCCTTTATAGTAGCATGATTTATAATCCTTTGGGTATATACCCAGTAATGGGATTGCTGGGTCAAATGGCATTTCTAGTTCTAGATCCTTGAGGAATTGCTACACTGTCTTCCACAATGGTTGAACTAATTTACACTCCCACCAACAGTGTAAAAGTGTTCCTATTTCTCCACATCCTCTCCAGCATCTGTTGTTTCCTGACTTTTTTTTTTTTTTTGAGACGGAGTCTCGCTCTGTCTCCCAGGCTGGAGTGCAGTTGTGCAATCTCAGCTCACTGCAAGCTCTGCCTCCTGGGTTCAAGCAATTCTCCTGCCTCAGCCTCCCGAGTAGCTGGGACTACAGTCACCCGCCACCACGCCCAGCTAATTTTTTTTGTATTTTTTTAGTAGAGACGGGGTTTCACCGTGTTAGCCAGGATGGTCTCGGTCTCCTGACCTCGTGATCCGCCCGCCTCGGCCTCCCAAAGTGCTGGGATTACAGGCGTGAGCCACCGTGCCTGGCATTTCCTGACTTTTTAATGATCACCATTCTAACTGGCGTGAGATGGTATGTCATTGTGGTTTTGTCTCTGTGACAGTCTTGCTCTGTTGCCCAGGGATGGAAGGCAGTGGTGCAGTGGAGCTGCTCACTGCAGCCTCCGCCTTCTGGGCTCAAGCGATTCTCCCACCTTAGCTTCCCAAGTAGCTGCGACTACAGGCACATGACACCACACCTTGGCTTATTTTTGTTTTTGTAGATATGGGGTTTTGCTATTTTACCTGGGCTGGTCTCATACTCCTGGGCTCAAGTGATCTGCCTGACTTGACCTCCCAATATGTTGAGATTACAGGCGTGAGCCACTGTGCCCGGCCTGCAGCTTCTTTCTCCTAAATGTTGAGTAAAGAAAAACTTAGAGCCAGGCACAGTGGCTCACGCCTGTAATCTCAGCACTTTGGGAGGCTGAGGCGGGAAGATCACTTGAGCCTAGGAATTCGAGACCAGCCTGGACAACATGGTGAAACCCGTTGCTACAAAAAATACAAGAATTAGCCAGGCGTGGTGGTGTGTGCCTGTAGTCTCAGCTACTTGTAAGGCTAAGGTGGGAGGGTTGCTTGAGCCTGGGAGCCAAGACCGCACCACTGCATTCCATCCAGCCTGGATGACAGAGTAAGATTCTGTCTCAAAAAAAAAAAAGAAAAAAAGAAAAAAGAAAAACTTAGTTATATTTTGCTTACTCAGGGTTTTCTTGAACAGGTACTGTCTGCTTCTTATGATGTTGCATTAATAAAAAACTCCCTCGTAAAAGCAGGTGTTTTAAAGCAAATGGTGTTTTCCCACAGGAAAAATGTTATATTTGGGTGTTAACGTCCTGATCAAGGCCTTGGCATCAAATAAATCATGAATGGGACCAATAATGTGTCATAAAATCAACAATACAATAATTACAAACCTCCATAGTCATTTAAAATAATATACTCCAAGTCCAATAAAATTGGCATGAATGTTGTGTAAGAAAAATTCATGTGGTCATAGAAACACAGTTTCCTGAATCTATTATGTAATAAATATTAACACTATTTGTACTCGTAGAATTTGGAGAGGAAAGATCTGGATAGCCTAAGTCTCTAAAAATGTTGAAGGAAGTCTTTAGTGGATGCCTTTTTCCACTGTAGATTTCCTGGGAGTAAACCTGGAGGTGAATAAAACACCGGGGCCCAGTCACTGTCTGTCATTATTGGAGGTGGTGAGAATGTGGGCGTGTTTTTCCCTGAAAAGCAATTTTTTTTTCTCTTGAGGCAGAGTCTTGCTCTTCTGCCCAGGAGTGCAGTGGCGCAATCTCAGCTCACTGCAACATCCATGTCCTGGGTTCAAGCGATTCTCTTGCCTCAACCTCATGAGTAGCTGGGATTACAGGTGGGCACCACCACCCCTGGCTAATTTTATATTCTTAATAGAGATGGGATTTCACCATGTTGGCCAGGCTGGTCTCGAACTCCTGACCTCAGGTGATCCACCTGCCTCGGCCTCCCAAAGTGTTGAGATTACAGGCATGAGCCACCACGCCCGGCTTTTTTTTTTTTTTTTTTTTTTTAAGAGACAGGGTCTCACTCTGTCACTCAGGCTGGAGTGATCTTGGCTTACCGGAGCCTTGACCTCGCCAGGCTCACGTGGTTCTCCCACCTCAGCCTCCTCAGTAGCTAGGACTACAGGCATGCACCTCCACGCTTGGCTAATTTTTTTGTTTTTTTTGTAGAGAGAGAGTTTTGCCATGTTGCCAGGCTGGTCTCGAACTCCTGGGCCCAGCTGATCCGCCTGCATTGGCCTCCCACAGTGCTGGGATTACAGGCATGAGCCACTGCTCCTGGCCTGTGAAAAGCATTTTTAAGTGAAGGGACTGATGCACAGTTTCTCCTTGAGTTTCTTCAAAGCTCTGCCTGTCAGCTGAAATAAAGGTGAAAGAGTGAAGCCAGCAAACTCTGCTCTTAACTGAAAAACCAGGCATTAGTTGTTAGATCATTAGTCCTGCTTTCTAGGAGAGGATCTTCAGATGTTCTCTTTGGGGTGTCCAAATTAGCATAGGCTTGTAAGAGTGTAAACAAATGATATGGCCAAAAGAGTACCGGACATGGGATCAGAAGACCTGGTCCAGCCTAGCTGTACTCCTTACTGCTTGTGTGGCTCTGGATAGGACACTCCTGAGCGTCCACCTCACTTTCCTACATTGTGAGCACAAACACACCTACCTGGAAGAATTGTAAGGGCTGAGTAGGTTCATGTGTATCATTGTACCCAGCATAGGAAGCTTTTTATAAGTAGTTGAAATAATTGATTGGTGAAGTGAACATAGAGAATTCTGTCTCTTATCCTTCTTGTCCCTGGAGTAGAAAGCCTGCTTTTGGTAGATACCTAAGCAGAAATAGTTCTGGGGAAGTGGGGAGAAACAGGGTGGGGCAGTGCGTTTCTCACTTTGCAGATCTTCCTGGGAGGCCTGAGAGTGGATGGGGTTTGGAGTGTGTTGTTGGTTTCGTACCTGGAATCTGATGTGCATTTTGACTCAGAATGCATTGTCAGGAATCTTGATGACAACGGTATGTTGCTCAGTAACTGAAAGATTGTTTGAACCAAACTATTGTAGCAAAATTTTCTTGGCAGGTATGCCCTGTTGATACTGAGCCCAGTGTGCATTGATAGTTTTATAGTGACTACTACAAAGTAAACAGAAGTTCACAGTGACTCAGAGTAAACCGTGACTCAGAGTATACAGGTACTACACTCTGGACATCCTAAAGCAATTAACAAATAAATGTGCTGGTAGGAAAATTGTTGTCTATTGTATTACCTTAGTCTCTCTCTCTTTTTTTTTTTTTTTTTCCTAGCTCAGGAATTGTTCTTGTCCCTGGAATTTTTTTTTTTTTTTTTTTTTTGAGACGGAATGTCACTCTGTCACCCAGGCTGGAGTGCAGTGGTGTGATCTCTGCTCACTACAACCTCTGCCTCTCGGGAGTTCAAGTGATTCTCCTACCTCAGGCCCCTGAGTAGCTGGGATTACAGGCGTATGCCACCATGACCAGCTAATTTTTGTATTTTCAGTGGAGACAGGGTTTCACCATGTTTGCCAGGCTGGTCTCAAACTCCTGACCTCAAGTGATCCGCCCTCCTCGTCCTCCCAAAGTACTGGGATTACAGGCGTGAGCCACCATGCCCCGCCTATCCCTGGAGCTCTTATTTCAAGAATACACTAGATTCTATAGCCAGAAATGGTTAAGTTCTAATATGCAAACTGGATCTAAGGAAAAGAAAAAATGATTAAAAGACATAGTAATCCTTTAAATAAGTTTTTTCATGGAACCCACAGAATCCATAGACCTTAGGGATTATCTATTCCACTCTCCCCTGCCTGTGGAAATTCATACTCGGACATCAAAAAGTATGTCCTGTGTTAATGTTGGATATTACTAGAAAGTTATCCTCCTCAGTGCTGTGTTTTTTCCTCTACATCATACAATCTCTAAAAATTTTTTCATATAGTTTGTTGTGTTGAAGTAAAGCTAAGTTTAAGAACAAAACAGTATTTTTCATTTTCTTTTTTCTTTTCTTTTTTTTGAGACAGAGTCTCTCTCTGTTGCCCAGCCTGGAGTGTAGTGGTGTGGTCTCATCTCACTGCACCCTCCACCTGCTGGGTTCATGCAGTTCTCCTGTCTCAGCCTCCCTAGTAGTTGGGACTACAGGCTGGGACTGCGCCACCACACCCAGCTAATTTTTGTATTTTTAGTAGATACAGGGTTTCACCATATTGGTCAGGCTGGTCTCGAACTCCTGACCTCAGGTGATCCACATGCTTTGGCCTCCCAAATTGCTGGGATTACAGACTGACCCACTGCTTCTGGCTTCATTTTCTTAAAGAATTCACCAACCCAGATGATTTTGTCTCCTCTTTGTCTCTTTCAAGACACATTTGAAAATAGCACTGATACATTGTGAGATCCAGCAATTTCACTGCCAGGTGTGTGCCCAAAAGAATTGAAAGCAGGGACTAGAACAGATATTTGTACACCCATGTTAAAGCAGTATTGTTTGCATTGGTCAACATGTGGAAGTGGCCCGAGTGTCCATTGCCAGGTGCCTGGAGAAACAAATGTGGTATGGACATACAGTGGAATATTTTCAGCCTTAAGGGAGAAGGGAATTTTGACACATGTTACCACATGGATGAGCCATGAAGACATTTTGCTAATGAAATAAGTCACAAGAGGATAAGCACTATATGATCCCACTTATAGAAGATAACTGGAGGCTGGGCGTGGTGGCTCATGCCTGTAATCCCAGCACTTTGGGAGGCCGAGGTGGGTGGATCACGAGGTCAGGAGATCGAGACCATCCTGGCTAACATGGTGAAACCTCGTCTCTACTAAAAATACAAAAAAGTAGCCGGGCGAGGTGGTGGGCGCCTGTAGTTCCAGCAAGTCAGGAGGCTGAGGCAAGAGAATGGCATGAACCCGGGAGGTGGAGCTTGCAGTGAGCAGAGAGAGCGCCACTGCACTCCAGCCTGGGCGACAGAGTGAGACTCCGCCTCAAAAAAAAAAGAAAAGAAAAGATAACTGGAGTAGTCTAATTCATAGAAACAGAAAGTAAAATGGTAGTTGCCAGGGGCTAGAGAAGGGGGAGGATGGGGAGTTTCTGTTTTATGGGAACAGAGTTTCAGTTTGGCAAGATGAAAGAAGTTCTGGAGATGGATGGTGGTGATGGTTACACAATGGCATGAATGTACTTACCACCACTGAGCTGTTTACCTGAAAATTGTTAAAATAGTAAATTTTATGGGTTTTTTTTTTATCACAATGAAAAAAAAAGATGTGACCTCCAAATAAAGCCAATGTTTTGAAAGGCTTAAAAAGAAGCACTGTTGGGAAGGGAACTCTGGATGTGCATGGACACTTGAATGAGATGGTAAAGTCTAGGGTAAGGAATACTGGCCTGAGTCCTATCTCATCTGGTTCTGTCATTAACCAGCTCTGTGATCCCCCATTGGGCTGTTAGTTTTCTCATCAGTAATGCGAGGATGTAAGTTAGTTGATACTCAACCTTCCTGTCTGTTCTAGAATTCTGTGAGTCTATGATTAAGTCCTTAGCAAAGAAATATTTAGGAACAACTGCCTGTGTGAGGATAAGGAGCCAGACACACCTGTGATATGAGGGCAGCCCGGGTCTCTAGGATCTGCTCTGGGCCAGGTGTGGTGGCTCACACCTGTAATCCTAGCACTTTGGGAGGCCAAGCTGGGAGGATTGCTTGAGCTCAGGAGTTTGAGACCAGCCTTGGCAATGTAGTGAGACTCTACCTCTCCCAAAATATACATATAAAAAAAATTAGCCAGGTGTGGTGGCATGCACCTGTAGTCTCAGCTGCTTGAGAGGCTGAGGCGGGAGGATTGCTTGAGCCCAGGAGGTTGAGACTGCAGTGAGTTTGTTTGTACCACTGCACTCTAGCCTGGGCGACAGAGCAAGACTCCGTCTCAAAAAAAAAAAAAAAAAAAGGAATCTGCTTTGACCATTCCTTATCTGGGGCATGTTTGCAAACACAATCAGTATCTTCAATCTACTGTCCATCCTACCTTACTGCTCCCCAGGCAGGGCCAAAACTCCATAGAGCTGTTAGATTCCAAGACTGGGAATCTTGGAATTCCAGGGTTCCAAACCTGCTTTGACACCAGGCCCAGAGACAGGGCTGTTTCTCTCAGTGCTTTAGACTGAGCAGTTGTGTTATCAGAAGAAATCAGTTTCTTACTGCCTCAGGATGGGCCGTAACTGTTCCTCTCAAGTTTTCCTTGTTTTCAGCAACCCATAGAAAAGAGTCTCTCTTACCTAGGCTGATGTGTCAATTATATCAAAGTTGTTTCTTTTTGGTTTGGAGCGTGTAATTTGGTACCAAGTTAATCTGTCCCCTGAGGTTTCATGTAGGCTCATGTTAGCAGAGTTTTGCTTTTGTTACACACACACACAGACTGTCAGGTTGAAACGCACAGTGCCATTGTGGTCAGCATGTGGATATGTTGGGTGAGAGGAGGTATAGGCAGCTTGGCGTGAAAAGTAGAGACCATTTTACTGGGCTAGGTGCTTTATGTGGGCTATCACTGATCTCCCAACATCCCTGTGTGGCAGCCTTATTCCTCAGAAGAGGAGACTGAGGTTCAGATTGCCACTCTCCCAAGGCCACCAGCGAGAAAGGTGACAAACCTTGGATCTGAATTTAACAACTATCTTAACTGCAAAACTTGTGTTCTTTCTGCCACACCACACCTTTTTTCCCCTGCAGAGTGTGCTGGACTGCAAACACTCCTTAATGTAGGAAGCCATATAATTGCGCAGTAAGATAATTCCAGAAGACTAGAATAGAATCAGTAGCCAACCACATTTGTAACCACCCCTGTAATGTGCTGAGATCTGAATAGTTTGAAGATGTTGAGCCGTGTTTGTGATCACCATGAGCAAAGTGTTGAGTGCCTCTTGTGTGCCCTTGTGTGCTAAGGCAGTAGAATATTCTGGCTGAGATAGAGGAGGAAGAGCTGTGGGCTGCTCATGAGAGGGTCTTGTGTGGTGTGGGAACTGTCATGGGAGTCCAGTGCTACTAGTTCTTCGCAGGTCTCTCTGTGGTACCTTTGGGGAATGATGATGATATGACCAAATATTCTTATTTTGATTGCACCTCTGTATTTTTTTTTTTTTTTTGAGACGGAGTCTTGTTCTCTTGTACAGGCTGGAGTACAGTGGCATGATCTCGGCTCACTGTAACCTCCACCTCCGGGGTTCGAACAATTCTCTGCCTCACTCTCCCGAGTAGCTGGGATTACAGTTGCCCGTCACCAGGCCCGGCTAACTTTTTTGTATTTTTTAGTAGAGATGGGGTTTCACCATGTTGACCAGGCTGGTCTTGAACTCCTGACCTCGTGATCCACCCGCCTTGGCCTCCCAAAGTGCTGGGATTACAGGCATGAGTCACTGCGCCTGTAAAAATTATTTTTTACAAAAAAAAAAATAATTTTTGTATTCTTAGTAGAGACGGGGTTTCGCCATGTTGGCCAGGCTGGTTTCAAACCCTGGGCCTTAAGTGATCCAATTGCCTCAGCCTCCCAAAGTTCTGGGATTATAGGCATGAGCCACCCCGCCCAGCCCTGTTTTTAAACTGTTTGTGTTGAGGAGAAAAGCAGATACTCAATTTCAAAACTAGTTGGACTTTATTCTTTATAGCTGCTTTTTTGGAGGGGCCATAATTTGACGGTACCTGAACCCATTAAGTAATCATCTACTTTTTAACAGGATTTACTGTAACTTGATGATTTGTCTGTGATCATGTATTCAAGCCGATGGTAGCAGTAGTAGTAATATCTTTAGTAAGATGGATTTCAGTATGAGAAGATGCTTCTGGATTTAGTGAGGTTTGGAAATAAAGGAACAGCCCCTCTTGTCTTCAAATACTTGCATGATCCATGCCAAATATGGGAATATTACACCTCCCATCTTTCCTTCCCATATGTTACCGTCCTAGAAGATCCCCCATTGTCACAGTGGCCCTTTATTCCTTCTCCTTCCCTCCAGCTCTGCCTTAGCAGAGGTGTAGTGGAAGAAGTGAAGAATTAGGAATGTGGGGGTTCATCCCTGGAACTGTAGCATTTTTGTTAGAATGTGTTTTTGTGTAGAAACACTGTTAAATGAATAATAGGTTACATGATGCTATAAGCAGTCAGTGGCTGGTTAGGATATTTAAGCATATTTCAAAATCAAAGTATTCCATTGTCTTCTCTCTCTTCTTCCTACTAAAGATGAACCCCCTTGATGAGCAGATAGGCCCTGTGAAAGATGGCCTCCAGGTGATGTCAGCTCACTGTGATGCACACCTGGAGGAAGGGGCTCTCTTATCTTTATCTGGGTGTCAGCAGGTATTATTAGCCTAGTGCCTGGCACAGAGGACACGCCCAGAGATCCTTGTTGAATTTGGTTGAGTTGAAGAAAGAAAAACTTTTACTTTCTCCATTTCCATTCTTGGCAGTTTCTCAAGAAATGTCTTTTTCGAGACAGGCTCTTGTGCCATATTTTACAGGCTGGGCGCAAGCTCCTGGGCTTAAGCAGTCCTCGTGCCTCAGCCTCCCAAGTAGCTGGGATTACAGCTAGAACTTATGTGAAACTCAAGAATTTATGTCGAACTCTTCGTCAGAGCTGGAAGTAGGACATACAGTTGGATTTATTTATTGATCTTTTTATGTACTTATTCATCAAAGGTTTGTTAATCACCTATGTGTGATACACCAGGCACTGTCAGACACTAAAAACACAGCAGTGGACCAATACAGTTCCAGTGCCTACCCTTTAGACAGCCTGGTGGGAGAATATGGACCATAATTAGACTAGCCAGGTCTGGGGTCAATTGTCATCTAGAAACTCCTGCTATTTTAGAAATGCATAAGCTGACCTTGAATAAGCCATTTCTGGGGGCAGAATATCTTTTTCTTTCCTTAAATGCTAGTGATGAAAAAGTACTTTTAAAATTATTCAGAATTGTCCTTAACAATAAACTAATGAAAAACATGATGTGGGCAGTTTACCATTACGTAGTCTTTGATTAGACAGTAATTCTTACTTCTCTTCCTTTCAAATAAAGTCTTATAGTAACTTGAGATATTTTTGAAAGGTAACACTCTTTTTTGAATATTCTGCTACTAAATTATTAATTTTCTGAGTTTTCTATTAAGGCAAACATCAAGTTTCCTTGTGGCTGGTGACTAATTCAGATGCATACTGTTTCTATTCATAGCTCCCCAATCTTAGGTAGAATTGAGCAGATTTAACATGAATAGCTTCCTCTAGTTTCACACGGAAAAAACAATTTTAGGAAGGAAAGGTAGGAACATGATAATACAGAAATCAGCGAAGTAAAGGGTGATTGGCTGGTGGCTGGGGTTGGAAGAAAGTGAAATTTTTCTTGTTATTCTCTTTGTGATGGAAGATTTCTTTCCATAGATTAGTATAATTTACGTGGGCTGTTTGAAGAGATTACCTTCTTAGTGGTTCCCTTAAAGCTCTTTGTTATGTATATCCTGAAGCCCAGTCACTTCTTCCCACTTGTTTTTGAGTGTTTGATCTAGACAATGTAAAGGCACTTTTAAGATAAAAATTATTGTATTTGGGGGACTTTGGGAGACTCACTTCCCAATCATTTTGTTTAGAAGCAAAAATGATTAAACAGTACTTTATGTCAGATCTGCCTGTTTAAGGGATTTGAGCACACCTGGTAGCAAAGAGGTTTAACCTAGTTTCTCAGATGAAAACTAGAGGTGGAGGAAGGACGAGGAAGCAGTCCAGGGTGAGCTGAGGAGCTGGTTACCTTTAGCCTACTTCTGGGATGATGCACATTGTCGTCTAGGTCAGTCAGCCTCCTCAGCCCATGCATTAAGATTCCTGGTTGCAGCTGGGCACAGTGGCTCACACCTGTAATCTCAGCACTTTGGGAAGCTGAGGTGGGCAGGTAACCTGAGTTCAGGAGTTCAAGACTGGCCTGGCCAACATGGTGAAACCTCATCTCTACTAGAAATACAAAAATTAGCCAGATGTGGTGGCGGACGCCTGTAATCCCAGCTACTTGGGAGGCTGAGGCAGGAGAATCACTCGAACCTGGGTGTTGGAGGTTGCAGTGAGCCAGGATTGTGCCACTGCATTACAGCCTGGGTGACAAAGTGAGATTCTGTCTCAAAAAAAAAAAAAAAAAAAAAAAATTCCTGGTTGTTAGTAACAGAAACTCACATAGTCTAGCTGAAGCAAAAGGGGTTTTTTTTTTTGCTTACTTAACTAGATTTCAGGAAGAGCTGGAATGAGGTGGGTTTTAAGGACATTCATAACCAGGGACTTGAAACACAGCTGTGTGCCCTATGTGGCTCCGTGCTCTCCTCACCTTTTATCTCTTAGTGTTGCGTTAATTTTTGTCTTGCTGCTGGTGGGCTTCCTCTACATGGAAGGGGATATGACTGTGGTCATTGCCCATCTATAGACATCTTTATTGCTGTGATCTGAGAGAAAACAGGCTTCTTTTCCCCCAGCTTAAGTTTGACAAATCCCAGGGAAGAATGGTCACTGGCCTAGCCTAGGTCATGTGTTTGTGACAGTTCTAAGGGGTGCGTGATAGGCTCAGCTTGTGTCACATGCCCAGGGAGGTCACACAGATGATACCCTGAGGGAACTGCTGTAAACAGTTAAGATACAGCAGTTTTCATGCATTTTTAGTCCATATGGAACTCAGCTCAAACAACTAGTTAAGATTCTTTCCTTGATTCATTGAAAATCTTTTACAGTCTTTGTTGATGCTGGTGCCTGTAATCCCGGCTACTCAAGAGGCTGAGGCGGGAGGATCGAATATTCGCAGTGGCCTGTGAATAGACACTTCACTCCAGCCTAGGCAACATAGTGAGACCCTGTCTCAAAAAAATAGAATGAGGCTGGGCACAGTGGCTCACACCTGTAATCCCAGCACTTTGGGAAGCAAAGGCAGGCAGATCACCTGAGGTCAGGAGTTTGAGACCAGCCTGGGCAACATGGTGAACACCCTGTCTCTACTAAAAATACCAAAATTAGCTGGGTGTGGTGGCAGTGCCTGTAATCCCAGCTACTCGGGAGGCTGAGGCAGAATTACTTTGAACCCAGGAGGTGGAGGCTGCAGCGAGCTGAGATCGCGCCACTGCGCTCCAGCCTGGGCAGAGTGAGACTCTATCAAAAAAAAAAAAAAAAAAAAAAAAAAAGTCGTTTGTCAGTTTTGGACTTTACAACCAGTAGACTTGAGATTACATTTCTATTTTACTCTGTTTGTTTTTCCACAGGAACCCAGACTAGCACTTATGCTGTAGTGTGTTCTCAAAAACTATGGTTGACTGACTGAACTAGTGAAATAAACATATCAAGGCATTGAAACATACAACTTTATTATTATTATTACTTTTAGAGATGGGGTCTTGCTCTGTTGCCCAGGCTGAGAGTGCAGTGGCGCAATCATAGCTCTCTGCAGCTTCTAGCTCCTAGGCTCAAGTGGTCCTTCCACATCAGCCTCCTGAGTAGCTGGGACAACAGGTGTGTGCCCAGCTAATTTTTTATTATTTATAGAGACAAAGTCTCCCTATATTGCTCAGGTTGGTCTTGAACTCCTAGGCTCAAGCGATCAGCCCACCTCGGCCTCCCAAAGTGTTGGGATTACAGGTATAAGCCACTGTACCTGGCTGAAACATACAACTTTAGAGATGACAGGGATCCTAGAATCCACCTGCCTTCAGTAGTTTCAGTTATAATGTGGGGTCTCCCAAATACTAAGGACCCAGCAGTAAAAGAGGGTAAACACTTTTTTCACATTTCTAAATACAGAGCCCTGTTGTAGGAACAGAGGGTACTTTGATGAAACAGACAGATAAGGAAAGTCCTTGCTTTCATGCAACTTAGATTTACATGAAGAAAATCTTGACGTGCTAACTAGAATGCCTAATTTCTTTTTGATTTTTGCCACGAATGAATCTGAAGCTCTGATTGTCTATATTACCTTTAAGTAATTGTTTAAAAAAACAAAACAAATTATTAACAAATGATGTTGATCTGTTGGAGAAAATAAGTGAAAGGAGTTCTTGGTGCTGAGAAAACAGCATCCATCCTGGCTAAGAGCTCAGTCTTTACAGCTTCCCATCTCAGCACTCCACTTGCAGCTTTGTAACTCGTGCAAACTGTTTTTTTTTTTTGAGACAGAGTCTCACTCTGTTGCCCAGGCGGGAGTGCAGTGGTGTGATCTTAGCTCACTGAAGCCTCTGCCTCCTGAGTTCAAGTGATTCTCGGGCCACGGCCTCCTGAGTAGCAGAAATTACAGGCTCCCACTACCACGCCCAGCTAATTTTTGTATCTTTAGTAGAGGTGGGGTTTCACCACGTTGGCCAGGCTGGTCTCGAACTCCTGACCTCAAGTGATCTGCCCACCTCGGCCTCCCAAAGTGCAGGGATTACAGGCGTGAGCCGCCGCGCCCGGCCTGTCAGAGCTCTTTTAGCCTCAAATTCTTCAGTTATAAAATGAAAATATCTACTCATTTTTTTTTAGTGGGTATTGAACAAACGTTAAATATTTTTTAAATGACATATTTTTTATTTCTTTAAGTGATTTTTTTCATTGTGGTAAAATACATATAACATCGCCTTTACCACCCTAACCATTTTTAAGTGTGCAACTCAGGAGCGTTAACTACATTCACGTTGTTTATGCAGCCATCGCCACTATCTATCTCCAGAACTGTCTTTGTCTTGTAAAACAGAAACTCTATACCCATTAAACAGTAACTCGCCATTGCCCCCCTTCCAGCCTCCGGCCATCACCATTCTACAAATGGTTACTTTTTTATAAATGTTAAGATTTCAAAAAATGTTAGCTATTATTCCTCTGGATCAGGAGTCAGCAGACTCCAGCCCACAGGACAGATTTGGGCAGTAATTTGTTTTGGTGGGGTCCTTGAACTAAGAAAGGCTTTTACATTTCGAAAGGTTGTGAAAACAAAACAAAAAATAAAGAAGAATATGCCTTAGAGGCAGTATGTGGCCCACAAAACCTAAAATACATTTATTATCCAGTCCTTTACAGAACAGGTTTTCTGACCCCTGCTGTAGATCTAATCTTTTTTGATCAGGGAGTCCTTTCAGATTTTGATGAAAAAAAATGTATATGTAGGTTTCCACGTATCTTAAGAGGGTTCTGTCACGCGCGTCCATGTGAAGAGACCACCAAACAGGCTTTGTGTGAGCAACAAGGCTGTTTATTTCACCTGGGTGCAGGTGGGCTGAGTCCGAAAAGAGAGTCAGCGAAGGGACCTAGGGTGGGGCTGTTTTATAGGATTTGGGTGGGTAGTGGAAAATTACAATCAAAGGGGGTTTTTCTCTTACGGGCAGGGGCGGGTCACAAGGTGCTCAGTGGGGGAGCTTCTGAGCCAGGAGAAGGAATTTAACAAGGTTAATTGCTCAGTTAAGGTGGGGCAGGAACAAATCACAGTGGTGGAATGTCATCAGTGAAGGCAGGAACCGGCCATTTTCACTTCTTTTGTGATTCTTTACTTGCTTCAGGCCATGTGGACATATACGTGCAGGTCACAGGGGATACGATGGCTTAGCTTGGGCTCAGAGGCCTGACAGGTTCTACGAACATTTTCTCTACACCAGGATTTCTCAGTGGGGCCATGTTGCCTCCAGGGGAGTGAACATTGATTCTTGGGGGGAGTGAAATCTTAGCTGTTGTAATGACTTGCAGCCTTTCAAAGGGACGCAGTACATCAACAGATACATAGTTTATCTTTGGTATTAAAATTTCTTGGCGGGGGTAGTGGGTGGTAATGGAGCGATTTGAAAAAAAAAAAGTTTAATTAGCTCATTAGGGGAGCGATAATGAAAGATAAGTTTGAAAAACACTGCTTAAAACTGAATTCTGGAAGACAGGACATGTATCTTATCAACCTCTGAATATACCTGCATTTAGCAGAGACTTGAGAACATTTTCTTCAGTCTATTTAATTTGTTATCTTGTAGTTGAATGAAAGAATCCTTAGATCTACTTTTAATGACCAATTCAGTCTAGAAATGGTTTACACAGTGAACTCTATGCCCTGGAATTAATTAATTAATTTATAAAGAGGCGGGTCTCCCTTTGTTACCCAGGCTGGGGTGCAATGGCCCCATTGTAGCTCACTGTAGTCTCAAACTTCTGGGTTCAAGTGATCCTCCTGAGTAGCTAGGACTACAGGTATATGCCATCAGGCCCAGCTAATTATTATTATTTTTTTTATTTTTAGAGGCAGAGTCTTGATATGTTGCCCAGGCTGGTCTCAAACTCCAGGCCTCAAGTGATCCTTCTACCTTGGTCTCCCAAGTTGCTGGAATTACAGGCACAAGCCACCATGCTGTGGACATTTTAATTTCAAAACATCTTTTAAATCCTTTAGAAGTTTGTCAAATGCTTAAGTCTCCCTGATATATCAGACAGATGCTTCTTGCCTATTAGACCAGAATTCCATTTTTTTTTTTTTTAACACTCGTTATTGACACAGTAAAATGAGTGTCTAAATGCTGGGGCATAACGGTCTCTACCCCGAAAGCTCCATATAAGCTCTTCGCAATCATGTCGTTTCTTTTTTTTTTTTTTTGAGAAGGAGTCTCACTCTGTTGCCCAGGCTGGAGTGCAGTGGCGTGATCTCGGCTCACTACAGTCTCCATCTCCCAGGTTCAAGCGATTCTCCTGCCTCAACCTCCCGAGTAGCTGGGATTACAGGTGTGCGTCACCATACCCAGCTAATTTTTGTATTTTTAGTAGAGGCTGGGTGTCTCCATGTTGGACAGGCTGGTCTGGAACTCCTGACCTCAAGTGATCTGCCTGCCCCTGCCTCCCAAAATGCTGGGATTACAGGCATGAGCCACCGTGCCTGTCCCACGTCAGCTGTTAATTGAAAAGAAAACACAGGCATTTCATTATTTTCCCTGAAAAAATTAAGTCTGATTTAGAATATATAAATTTTGACAGCACACCACTGAAATGTCAGGAATTTAGGTCATCCTGACTTGCCTCACAGGCAAAGACTGTCTTAGGCATCTCTGTATCCCCATTGCCTTGCACATAGTAGGTGGTTAGTGAATGAGCTTCTGGGACTGGCTGTACTGGTGATACTTCTGCAAATGCCCATTGTACCCTTGAGTTCTCCTTACAATTTTTCTTTGGCCCAGCTTGCCCTCTCACAGACCCATCTCTGTACATACAGTTTGACTTGGTTTCTACTACCAGTTGACCTTTTTGCTGCCGTTGCAGGGTTTGATGATGATGAATAGCAGGGGATCGCTGGAACAGCATTCATTGCATGGGGAAAGTGTTCATAGCATGAGCAGTGCTGATGCAGTAGTACCCAGCTCTGTAGCTGCTCAGAGGGTAGTGTGTGGAGGGCCCCTAAAGAGCAGTGTAAAGGATTGGTGCCTCCTGCTGTGCTGTGCTGGAGGTGGCCTTTGACGGGTGGGATGAGCCATTCCATTCTGAGTGCTGAGGGAACTTCCTAGAGATCCAGCAGGTCAGTGTTCCTCAAATATCTCTACTGAAATTCTCTTCAGAGCAGGATGCCCGAGGGGATGGAGGATGTTTCGATCAAAGTGACCTCTGTAAACACAAAACTTTGTCTGTCTGTCTGTCTGTCTATCTATCTATCTATCTACTTGTTTATTTATTTAGAGACAAAGTCTCACTCTGTCGCCCAGGCTGGAGTGGAGTGGTGCGATCTCAGCTCACTATAACCTCTGTCTCCCGGGTTCAAGCAATTCTTCTGCCTCAGCCTCCCAAGTATCTGGGACTACAGGCATGCGCCACCACACCTGGCTAATTTTTTGTATTTTCAGTAGAGACGAAGTTCACCATGTTGGCTAGGCTGGTCTTGAACTCCTGACCTCAGGTGATCTGCCTGCCTTGGCCTCCCAAAGGGCTGGGATTACTGACGTGAGCCACCTCGCCAGGCTGTTGTTTATTTAATTTTGTTTTTTATTTTAAAATATTAACAAAGATTGTGTATATTTTTCGTATGTATGTATAATAACTTTCTGTCAAGGTACTCTACTATATGTTTGCTTTAACGTAAAAATATCAAAAAATATTTTAAAACTTCACAAGGGGTTGATATTCCACAAAAATGTGATATCCTTTATAATAAACTGGGGAAAATATGGACTACACCCATTCTGTATCCCCACCCCATCACTCTGAATCCCTGGGAAGATTTACATCATAGATGGGGAAGCATAGCTGAGCTACTGGTTATGCACAAATAGGTATTAACCACTTCGGCCAGTCAGGTCTTGGAAGTAGAGGTCTGTTTTTACATAAGGTGATAAAGACAATGAGGTACAGAGGCAATGACCTTTGGCTGGTGACCAAGTAACGGCTCTCATAGACTTTCCCTGGTTTATGTCCCTAAGTTTGTAAACACCTCCTGGGTTGGAATCTTGGGAACTCTTTGTCCTGCCCTCAGGGGTGAGAACTCCACTTTTGCTGACCTTGGCAATCACAGTGGCTTTCTACCACCTTAAGTCCTTCTTCCCCTGTGCAGAGCTCCCTGTAACCCTGGAGGGCCTAGCCCACTCTCCCACCTGAGGGCCATTGTGCAGTTAGGCCTTCCATGACCTTCTCAGAGCAGAGGCTTCAATCTATTTTCAGTAAGAGTCCAGATGTTTAGAAATCTGTATAGGTGAGGGGCACATTTACTTTTATTGCTGTTCGTAGAACAAGAAGGACCACTCTTGGTTTGCAAGTATCTTGTGTGTCTCAACTGTGAATCATATATATGATAACCTTTAATCTTATCACTATCCTTTTATCCATAAACCTTCATAATTGGTCTAGCTTCACCATGACACTTTAGTGGAATTAAACTTGAACTAAAAACTATGTAATTAGAACTATTAATTGTGTTAGTAACTTGATAACACAAGGCCCACAGCTGACAGGTGGTTAATCCCAACTACATAACTTCTTCATATGTGCTCTTAAAGATGGAGTTGAAAACAATAACCACCACAAGACTTTGGGAGAACATCTCAGGTGGGTGTTACTTGGTGACCATGCCAGAAAGCCAGCGACTTCCACCTCCCAGTCCCCACCCTGGGATCCTGGTGAACTTCATGCCGGCTCTTCTCTGTGTAAGAGCCTTGTACCCTGTGAGTTTCATGCTTTGACTTATTCTAGTCACTGTGTGGACACAGTTATGTAGCTATTTTCAGGTAAGACCAGTGTAGGTATGCCTGTTAATTGACAGTCTGCGCTCCCAGTGATGGAATAAAATTACTAGGAATAATTATTTTTTGGTGACCACCTTGTAAGTGCCATGGTATAGTGGAAAGCCCTTTTCAAAGGGTCTCAAAATTAGTGGATGGTAATATAACTTTCTATGTAAACGAATGTGAGTTTCTTGAACATGGTAAATTAGAGAACACCATGCCCAAAAGGTTAATTCCAAGCAGAGATAGTCGGTGAAACGTTTCAAGACTATTTGAAGCAAACACATGATGCTTCTAGTCTAGTTGAATATCAATGTGATACAGAGGAAAAGGGGTAGATTTTGGAGTCAAATGGACCAATATTAGAAATTAGCCGTGTGATTTTAAGCGAGTTTTAAATACCTTCAACCTGTTGTTTTCTCATCTAAGAAAAGGGAGTTGGGGGCTAATAATTCTCTACATCATTAAAATTTTCCTGGCACATTAAGTTCCTGGCACAAAGAGGGTGTTTTTAGCAGTACTCACTACTAGGGCCATCTCTTCACTCTTTTCTTTCTGAACGAAGAAGGAAGGAGTTGTCTTACTCTACTGAGTCACGGTTTAAATTTAGCAAGATCTCAGAACCAGTACATATGTTTTAAATGGTTATGGGAAATATGCCTTCTATTTGAAGTGAGCTGTGCTTGATTCATATTTTTTAAACAATATATATATTCTGCCCAATTCTAAAAAAAAATATTTCAAGTAGCTAATTCACTTCTTAGTCATACTATGAACTCCCAGGACCTTATCCCACAAATGCAGCCCTGGTTAGAACTATTCAAAGAGCCTTTGATGCTTCAAACCCACTAACCCCATTTTGCACATTTCCCCAAAGCAAACGCACTCATGCATACACACACACACACACACACAAACACAAACAACTTATGACCCAACTTTTGGGAACAATGTTAAAGCAAACAAACAAAATTCTTAGAAAGTTGTGAGGTGCTTAAAATAGTTTGATTTTTAAATGATTGAGGAGCTTTTCCCATAAGACTTGGTGCTTGCTGCTATAAATAAAGGCATGCATATATGTCCAGAGTTGTATCTCTCTAGTCACAATGCTTAAACCGACTTCAAGAAGTCAGTTGTATTATTTTAATATTATTATTTAATATCCAGGATCCACTGTAACCTTTTAACCCTGTTAACGCCAAACCTTTAAAAAGAGTTTAACTTCACAAAGCCTATAAGTCAGATTGAGAATATTTCACATGAAAAGCTTCCAGGTGTCACTTACCTTTAGAAATGGAATTTTTCAGCCTATTATTCGGGACAGACAACTAGATTCTTCCTTTCCTCCCAGCTCCTCAAACACTGTTGACATTCTCACTATGACATTTCTAATGGATTATCATTGCTGAAGCTGGGAGATGGATACATAGTATTTGTCTGCTTTTGTATTTGTTGAGTTTTTTCCACAATAAAAACAGACAATTTTTTTAAAAATGCAGAATAGCTGGAATTCATCCTTAATCTACTTTATGTTGAGGATAGGGTAGTAGTATTTTTTTGCAGCCTTATTTCCTTGGGTTGTTCAAGGCAAGGTATTGGAAAAGTTAAAAAACTCAAATAACTAGATTTGAGAGCCCCAAAGTGTACATATTATTTGAATTCTAATGTTTCTCCTGAGAATTTCCAACCTGAAGCTGCCAAAAAACTGCCTTAAAATGTGGATAGGTATTATATTTAAATATGACAGTGTGGCAAATGTGGTGTAATTGAAATGATAGAGGACTTGGAATCACAAGATGTGAGCCAAGGTCTAGCTTTGCCACTTACTGGTTAGATAGTCCGTAGACATATCATGCAACCTTTCTGAGCTGGTTTCTTCGGCTATAAAATGGGGACGATATGTGCTCTGTGCACTTCTTAGGGATCTTAAAAATATATTATTATGATTATACATAGCCTGGTGAGTAATTCATTTAGGTAGAATTCATATCATCCGTGGGAATGTGCAGTAGCAGAAGGAATCACGTATATAACATGTTTTCAGGTAGCTCACAGACAAATGAAAAAAGCTACCTTTCTGTGTATACACAGAAAAACCAACATCATACCACTTTTGAAGACCTTTTTAAATAGCGCAGAATATACGCAGTAGCAGCTGAATGTGTATGTGGGAGAAAACGCGAGAAAAAATGGTCTGTGCCAGTGTACCAAATACCCGCAGTTTGCTGAAGATCTTTAAATTTTCTGTCCATCTTTCTGCAGCCTTATCCTGAACATATGTTCTCTCCATAAACTCATTTGGCCAAGGAACTATATAGCTACTTGAAAAATATTTGTCCCACAGGTGATAAGTGATGTATTCTCCTTTCAATTAATAAGCAAATAGAACATCATAATCCTCTTTTAACCTCCCATCCCTAATCCTGGTCCCTTTCCTCCTTTCCCAGTTGTAACCACTATTTCCTTTCATTATCTGTCTTTCCAGACCTTTTCTCTTCCTTTACATATGCGTATATGTATCCAGAGAGAATATATAATGAGGCATTTGTGTTTCTTTTCTTTTACTTTAAACAACTGTCATACTAAGTGGAACATTCCACAACTGGCTTTTTTCACGCAACATGTCTAGAACTTTCCATGATCTGGCTCATTCACTTTAGCCTCCGTTTACTGTCTGTACTGGTTTGTTTTGCCATTTGCCTATGGTTAGGCTGTTTCCAATTCCAAACATGCTGCAATAAACATCTTTGTAATATCCTGTTATTTACGCTTATATACAAGTATTTCTCTAGGGTAGGGATTGAGAAGTGGAATTGCTAAGTCTTAAATCATATACCTTTACATTTTATTGTTTAATGGCAAATAACTCTCCCAAGTAAAATGAACACTGTATTTTATACTTTGGTTTCTTGCCCAGCTTTTCAGAATGGCAATAGGAGAAGCTTTCAGAGGACAGTTACGGTGGTCTAGAGTAGACCAGTGCTTTTGTAAACCTTAGCGTGCAGACTCATTACCTGGGGATTTTGTTAAAATGTAAATTGTGACTCAGTAAGTTTGGAATGAGGCCTGGGGGTCTGTAGTTTTAACAAGCTCCCAGTTGGTGATCAGGGACCACACTTGGAATAGCAAGAATCTTGCTCCAGTTCATTTTTTAGCATTGTGTGGAAGTTATTTTATGGGTGTGTGTGCCCATGTATTAACTCATGGACACAAGCATGTTTCCTAGGAAGCTATGTTTTGCCAGAATTTGGACCATAGCCCCCAGTCATCTTGACCTTTAAAGTTAGATACTGTGAACATTTATGGCAAAATGTTGATGGTGATTGAAACTGGGTGAAGGGTGCTGTAGATCTGTTGTATGTCTCTACTTTTGTGCAGAGAATTCTGTGGAAATGCTCACAATACACTTTGAAAATAGAAGAAAGATCCCTTTAAAGTTTGAGTTATTCCTAAAGATTTTCAGCTTGGTACATGCTGCCATGCCTTTCCTAGATTTCCTGTGGTAGATGATTTGGAAGTGTTTTATTTTAATCAGTAGTGTATTTTGACTCATGAGTTTTAATTTTAGCATATCAAAGTATTTTTAGAAGTTTAAAAATAACTGCAAAAAAAAAAAAAGCTTTGTTCCATATCTGCCTACCTTAGCAGCTCAGTCAAATCACCCTCAGCCTTCCTTTTTCAAGAGAGGATGCCATAGAGCGGCATACACCATGATCACTGCATGGTAGTGTGTTAGCTCTGGAGGCACTTTAGAGAAGGAACCTCTAAGGCCAGAGTGCCCATGTTGACTTATTGGTGATCACCTGAACACTGTTATGTAAGGTTTTGAGGTCTCATCTGGGTTCAACAGAAAAGATTTCTGTGATTAACTAGCAATGTTGGTCAGAGTGTGCTGGATTGGAGAATTGTAGCACAAATAGCATGTATTGGTTGACTCTGGTTCAGTGAAAGTAGTTATTTTATAGTTGAGAAAACAAGACACCAAAAATGTAAATGACCTGTCTTGGGTTCATGGTTAGCAGAAGAGCTAGTCCTGTAGAACCAGGTGTCCAGATTCCGAGTCTAGTTCCCTTCCTGCTGTGCCATCCTGATAATGAGACTGTGACTAGCTGTAGAGTACTTGCATGTTGAAGCAACTTGGTAGAGGGGAAGGCATTATTCGCCTTTTAACTAGGTGATCTTGGGCAAATCAGTTAATCCTGAGAGGGAATATACAGCAGGTCCCAAATAATGTCATTCAGTTTTATGTTGCTTTATTATAATGTTGATGAGAAAAAAGTTGACTCCTGGCTAGGCCGCTGTGTAGAATTTGCACATTCTCCCTGTCTGTGTGGCTTTTCTCTGAGTACTCCAGTTTCCTCCCATATTCTAAAGTTGCACACATTAGGTTAATTGGCGTGTCTAAGTTGTCCCTGTCTGAGTGAGTGTGGGGGTGTGTGTGAGTGCCGTGAGATGGAATGGTGTCCTGTCCAGGGTTGCTTCTGGCCTTGTGCCCTGAGCTGCCAAGACGTGCTCCAGCTACTCTCAACTTTGTATTGGAATAAGCAGGTTGGAAAATGAATGAATGAATGAATATAAATTACTGTAAAATGAAAGTAGATGGTAGTACAAATGCATGACAGTAAGTGATACAGCACAACAATGCTCAGCGAGCCTCCACATTTGTGATTTTTTTTTTTTTGACGGAGTCTCACTCTTGCAATCTCGGCTCACTGCAACCTCCACCTCCTGGGTTCAAGAGATTCTCCTGCCTCAGCCTCCCAAGTAGCTGGGATTACAGATGTGCATCACTGTGCCGGGCTAATTTTTTTGTATATTTAGTAGAAACAGGATTTCACCATGTTGACCGGGTTGGTCTCGACCTCCTGACCTCAGGAGATCTGCCTGCCTTGGCCTCCCAAAGTGCTGGGATTACAGGTGTGAGCCACTGTGCCCAGCCCTTGTGATGGTTTTTGAACTGTGTGGTGATAGGAGATGCTCCTTACAATTTTAGCTTTGCAAACATTTATTCCTTGATTTAACCCACCACCATTATGACTGACATCACTCACTGATTCACTGAAAATTGGGTAAATAATGATCTTACTTGTTTTTATGAATATTTCTTAGATGTGTGCATAGCTCATTTATTTAAATGTTTAAAATTGAAAGTGTTTTGGGGTTTTTCTTTTAGAAGTTTGGTGATTTTGTTATTGTTGTTGTTTTTTTGAGACAGGGTCTTGCTCTGTCACCCAGGCTAGAGGCTAGTGGTGCGATCTTGGCTCACTGCAGCTTCGACTTCCTGGGCCCAAGCCATCCTCCTGAATAGCTGGGACTACAGGCATGAGCCACCATGCTTAGCTAATTTTTTTTGTTTTGTTTTGGTTTTGGTTTTGGCTAATCTTTTATTTTTTTAGAGACAAGGTTTTGCCATGTTGCCCAGGCTGGTGGTTTTGTGACCAGAAATATACCTTAAAAACTTAACTCTTCTTTATATTAACTAGCCTATGGTAAAATTGGTTTTGTTACACATCATTTTGCTTAAAGTTGCAGTTTCCAAGAAGCTATTGACAACATTAAGTGAGGACTTCCTGTAGTTTCTTCTTTTGGAGGCAACTATCTCTCTTTTCACTTTGGCCACTAGGAAGCTCAGAGCCAAACTCATAGCTCTAATGTAGCAACTCTTTAGTACCCTTTTGAACTGAATAATTGTATTTTAACCCTACTTTCTTTCTGAGTCTGCTTCTGTCTTGACCTCCTAATCTAATTTCCTATTTTCTTACCCTGATGTATTCATTTCATTTATATTGCACTGTTTTATTGTATGTCTTTACCATAAGCTGCCTCAAATATTTGTGAAACAGATGGTATATAAATAAAGAACATTGGAATGTTTGAGAAAGTTGTTGTTGACAAGACCGATGAAGATGAAAATAGTGTAGTTCTGAGAAAATGTTGGTTGCTGTGGCATCTGCTCTTTTTTTCTCCCTTGCACTCTTATCTCCTGGGGTGGTCCATCTTCGTTACCTTCAACTCCCATGACACCCCTGCTGTGGCTTTGGCTGCATTCTGGAGTCTTCTCTATCTCCGCCCTCACCCTGGATTCACAAATGCAGATCTGTATTTCTGACTTCCTTCCTATTGGATAGCTCCATCTGAATGTCCCTAAGTCCCTCAACTCAACACGTTCAAAACGAGGCTCAGCATCCTTTCCCCCAGATCCTCTCTGCCTGGATCTCAGTTGCACCACCATCAACTTCATTTCTCCAGTCAGTAACCCGGTCCTCACTTTTTACTTTTTCCATTTTCTGATCCTTCACATCCAATCCACAACTAAGACCTGTCACTTTAAATTATAAACATGTTGTGGATCTGTTCTCTCTACTCCATACTACCTATAAGGCTCTTTGGAGTTTTTAATCTATCCTTGCCTACCTTGGGGTTTTTATTTTATTTTTATTTATTATTTTTTTAGAGGCAGAGTCTCACTTCTTTCACACAGGCTGGAGTACAGTGGCATGATCGTAGCTTACTACAGCCTTGAATTCCTGGGCTCAAGTGATCTTCCCACCTCAGCTGCCCAGGTAGCTGGGACTACAGGTGTGCACTACCACACCCAGCTAATTTGTTAAGTTTTTTATAAAGACGTGACCTCACTGTGTTGTCCAGGTTCGTCTCAAACTCCTGGGCTCAAGTGATTATCCCGCCTTGGCCACCCAAAGTGCTGGGATTGCAGGCTTGAGCCACCTTGCCATTTGCCTATTGCTAGGCTGTTTCCAATTCCAAACATGCTGCAATAAACATTTTTGTAATATCCTATTATTCACGCTTATATATAAGTATTTCTCTAGGGTAGGGATTGAGAAGTGGAATTGCTAGTTCTTAAATTATACCTTTACATTTTATTAGTGCTTGGACTGGCGTTTTTATTATTGCAGTAATCTTCACTCAGCCATCTTCTTTTATTTCCCTAACCCAGCCCATCCTTTGTCCTACAGTCAGTGATCTCCATTTCTCTTCAAGCTAAAGTTCAAATATCTTAGACCTTTCATACATTGCTTTTGCTAAGCTTATTAGTCTTATGTTTTGCCATTCCCCAACCTTGCTCAGAATGATGTTCCCTCTCCTATTCTGTTGGTGCACTCCAGTTCACCTTTCTCCTTGCTCTGGATCATTCTCCTTCCTTGGAACTCTCAGGCTGCTTCTTTGGCTTGTCAAGATCCTATGTACATCTCTGTTCTAGCTCTTACCATTGTGTGATGTGTTGTTTAAATGATCATCTTCCACTTGATTGGATGCTGTTTGGAGGGTCCAGATTGCGGCTTCTGAGTCTCTGTCTCCAGAGTTTAGCCACATATAAGATATCATAAGTGTTCATTGAAATGTTTGCTGAATGAAGGCACTGCAATTCTTGGAACAACTCCTTTACAAAACAACACCAGTAATATGGGTATTAATCACACATCAACAGTTATTACTGCCATCATTTACTGAGCTCTCACAAGGCAGGTATTGTTGTAAATGCTTTGCATGTTTTTCTCATATAACTTCTGAACAGTCCTATGAGGTCAGTGCTGTTATTATTCTTTTACAAATAAAGAAACTGAGACCATAGAGCTTAAGTAACTTGCTAGAGTTCATCCAGACAAGTGTTGGAGCCAAAATCTGAACCCAGCTCCCTCTTTTTTTTTTTTTCTTTTTAGACGGAGTCTGACTCTGTTGCCCAGGCTGGAGTGCAGTGGCACAATCTGGGCTCACTGCAAGCCCCGCCTCCCAGGTTCAAGAGATTCTCCTGCCTCAGCCTCCCAAGTAGCTGGGACTACAGGAGCCCACCAGCATCCCCGGCTAATTTTTGTATTTTTAGTAGAGACGGGGTTTCATCATATTGGCCAGGCTGGTCTGATACTCCTGACCTTGTGATCTGCCGTGACCTTGTGATCTGCCCACCTTGGTCTCCCAAAGTGCTGGGATTACAGGTGTGAGCCACCACGCCCGTCCCCAGCCGCCTCTTAACTGTCACATATACTGTCTGTGAGACTTATTTATCAATGGGAAAGCAGGAGTTGGCCCCACTGGTGTTTCTTGAAGTTGTTTTTACTTTCTTTTCTTTTCTTTTTTTTTTTTTGAGACAGAGTCTCGCTCTGTTGCCCAGGCTGGAGTGCAGTGGCGCGATCTCAGCTCACTGCAAGCTCTGCCTCCAGGGTTCACTCCATTCTCCTGCCTCAGCCTCCTGAGTAGCTGGGACTATAGGTGCCTGCCACCATGCCTGGCTAATTTTTTGTATTTTTAGTAGAGACAGGGTTTCAATGTGTTAGTCAAGATGGTCTCTATCTCCTGACCTCGTGATCCGCCCACCTCGGCCTCCCAAAGTGCAGGCCTTACAGGCGGGAACCACCATGCCCGGCCTGTTTTTACTTTCTTAGTCCGTGATTTAGCAGTAGTAGAGGAAAACAAGCAGACATCTGAAACCTGGTGAAAGTCATTGAAACCATGCAAGCCCTGTGTAACCGTCTCCCTCCTGCTTGCTTGTGCTCTAGACTGTCCATACCCGCCTCAATTGTATGAACTGGAGTAAGGATGAGGCCATAATTATTTGCCCTTCCAGAAAGGCACACATTCTGGCACTCCTCCAGAAAATTGTGTTCAGCACTGTGTTAAGGAGAGGTAGAGAACAGCAGGCAGCTCTCACTCCAGCCAGAGATCAAAAGAGATTTGTTTCTCCTCTCAGTCAGTGAAGTCAGGACTTCCAGGAAGGGAGGGCCAGAAGTGAGAAGATCTCCGCGAAGGAGCTGAGAAAGTATTTGTCTTTGTTAGATCACTTGCATGAGTGTGCTCAGCACGTTAAAAATGTGGCACAAGGGCTTTTAGAGCACTTGTTTTTAAACGAGTATTCAGACTGCAAGTAAAATTGAGCTAATGAAAAGAAAATTGTGAGAATTTAAGCCTAAGAAGTTACACTGAGAAATTTCAGCAAGAAAAAGAAAGTGGCATGAGAAGATGAGTTGATCAAAGGAATTGTAAAGTACTGTAGGGATAAGGCCAGTTGCTCATTTTTCTATGAGCAACTGATCATGTTTCTTTTGACCTTATAAATAAACCCCTCCTTGGCCTTCCTAACTTAGTTTTTATGTAGGAAATTTAAACTTACCTAAAGTCTATTTTGTTCTGTTTTTAACTAAGTAGTTTTAAGCATAAACACTGAATTTTAAAACCATATATCTGGGGAAAATTTCCTACTTCTAAAAATTATCTATTCATGTATATTTCCATTTGAATGTGTAATCTGCACTCAAACTTTGTATGGGAACAATTTATATTTATTTAGTACTTCCGCCTGTTAAATTATTTGAAGGTCTAATAGATCATTCTGTCTTAGCCAAAAGCTCAAGTTCTATAGTCTATAGTGTTATAATAGTGATTATTCCTCCTTAACAATATAGACAAGTAGGAATTATCTGTTTTACTAATCAACACACAGAGCAGGTAAATGGCTCAGTAATAGGAGTTAGAATAGCACCTAGGAGGTATAAAAATGTGGCCAGCTATCTTTTTGGTTTGTCTGCTTACCTGGTCCTTAGTGAAGAGATTTGGAATGGTATTGTGCTATTTAGCCTCCTGGGTAGCAGTCACGTGCTTTGCTGCTCTTGGGAACCTAATTGGTACCCTGATGGGGTTAGTTATCAGGCCTCCTGGAGCACCTCTATATTCCCTTGCAGACACCATTTAAATCCTGGAGCTTGGGAAGCAGGGATGAAGTCTTCTGCCCATTCATTAATAGATGGCCCAGGCTATGACATTATTGAGAGCAGACATTTAGAAGGGCGAAAGAGAAGGAAAGGGCCGGGCACGGTGGCTCACGCCTGTAATCCCAGCACTTTGGGAGGCTGAGGTGGGTGGATCACCTGAGGTCAGGAGTTTAAGACTAGCCTGGCTAACATGGTGAAACCCCGTCTGTACTAAAAATACAAAAATTAGCTGGGCATGGTGGCGCATGCCTGTAGTCCCAGCTACTTGGGAGGCTGAGACAGGAGAATCGCTTGAATCTGGGAGGCAGAGTTTGCAGTGAGCTGAGGTTGCACCACTGCACTCCAGCCTGGGCGACACAGCGAGACTTTGTCTCAAAAAAAAAAAAAAAAAAAAAAGAGAGAGAAGGGAAGAAAAGGAGTTGTATAGGGATTATCCCATTGTAATGATTGATGATGATATAGTGATATAATACACTATGTACAGCCGTTGTAGTACTGAATTGCTAACTTGTGAAGGAGAGATGAGAATCTTTCAGATACAGAAGCATGAGGAGTAGATATTTGGGAAAAGATAAATTTGAAAATATTTAGATATCGTGTGGAAGGTTGGTAAAGACCAAGCTCTACAGAGCCTAGCGTTTTCTCTTCAGCAAATAGAACAGCCCACTGAATAAAACTTACAGTAGGGAAAACTCTTTAAGGAAGGCTCACAGTATTCATTATTCAGCAAACATTTTTGAGTATCTAAACATTTTTGTAGTATCGGCCAGGCATTATTCTAGGCACTTGAGCTAGAACAGTGAACAAAACAGACAGAAATCCTTGCCCTTGTAGAGCAAACAATTTAGTGTGGACAAGCAGAAAAGAAACCAAATAAATACATAAAATGTATTATCTAGAGCCTTTTGGTTCTGAGTAATAGAAACAGAATCAAGCTAGCTTAAGCAAAAGGAGTTGCTGTGAAGGAGTTTCTGACTGGCTCTGTTTGGGGCAGAGATGCCTACTTCTGACCTAACCAGATATGGCCACAGTGACAGGGTTCCAGGATATAAACACCGCCTCCAGAAGCCCACCTCTGTGACAAAGAGGCCGTGTGAGCTGCATAGCCTCAAAAATGGGTCTGTTATAGACCCCAGACCTTTCCAGTTCCATTGTTTTCTTTCATTACCAAGACTAAGTGTTGCAATGCAAGTAAGCTCATAGTATTTGAAATGTACCATTAAAAAAAACTCAGAGGACAAGACTACTTATTCAAACTGTAAGGAAAAATGAGACCATAGGAAGAAGAGAAAGAGATTCACTAATTTATTGAAATTGTTGAGAAGCGACGGCAGCCAGAGCCTTGGTTATCTAGAAAGTTTTTGGAAAGTGGAAAGTTTACCTCCTTAAGCAAATGTTTTAGGAGTTTTGGATATCAGTCTTTCTAAAATGGATTTCTCATTACCTACATGTTTTAGCAGAGTCTCATAAACATATTTTAATTGTAAAACAGTTAAAACAGTGATTATATTTAGATTCTTTTTTTTTTTTTTTTGAGACGAAGTCTTACTCTTTCGCCCAGGCTGGAGTGCAGTGGCTCAATCTCAGCCCACTGCAACTCCACCTCCCAGGTTCACGTGATTCTCCTGCCTCAGCCACCCAAGTAGCTGGGATTATAGGCGTGCACCACCACACCTGGCTATTTTTTATATTTTTAGTAGAGACAGGGGTTTCACCATCTTGGCCAGGCTGGTCTCGAACTCCTGGCCTCAAGTGATCGGCCCAACTCGCCCTCCCAAAGTGCTGAGGTTACAGGCGTGAGCCACCATGCCTGGCCCATTTAGGCTCTTTTCAAGTTTTGTAGGCCTCCTTGTCCCTCTTCTAGTCTTAGGCTTGTTTACTTTTTAAGTTCTGTGACTGTTCTTTGGATTTTTAAAAGCCGTTTGCTGGGTGCCATGGCTCATGCCTATAATTTCAGCATTTTGGGTAGCCAAGGTGGGAAGATTGCTTGAGGCCAAGAGTTCAAGACCAGTCTGGGCAACATAGTGAGTCTCCCTCTCTACCAAAAAAGGATAAATTAGCCAGATGTGGTCATGCACATCTGTAGTCCTAGCTGCTAGAGAGGCTGAGGTGGGAGGATTACTTCAGCCCAGGAGTTTGAAGCTGCAGTGAGCTATAATTGTGCCACTGCACTCCAGCCTGGGCAACAGTGAGACCCTGTCTCTAACTAAAAGACAAATAGAACAGAAACCTTTCCACAAGATCATCTATTACAGTCTCTTTGTGCTGCTCTGACTGTGACTGCCTAGAGGGGCTCCTCCTCTCATAATTTGTATGTGCTGGTAATTAAGGCACCTCCACCTTGGGTGTCACAGGTGCTATGGGAAACATAACAGACTCTGGGTGAGTCTTGAGTCTGTTACCAATTTTCCAGATTACACAGGCAAGCCATTTAACTTCTCAGTCTTTTTAAAATCTGGTGCCTTGGAATAAAGGCCTATGGGGTCATAACCAAAGGAGCAAATAAGATGCTTGTGAAAATACTTTCCAATGTATAAAATCCTTTTTAAATATAACCCACTACTCTTTCTCACTCTGACATGGTGAATCTCTGTTCGTTGGTTTTGCTTTTCCTATCACATCCCATTTTCCTTGAGAGAACTGGAGTTTCCCGTAAATCACCAGATATGCTCCCTCGGGTTGGCCGGTCCTGCTCGACCAGTCCTGAGTCCTAACTATGTGGTGTGCTATGACAGAGCAAGGGTAGAGACTTCATTTTTCTGATGTAAATTACACGCCCGCCACCACATCCCTTCTTATGAGACGTAGATTCTGTTGACATAGGAGCCTAAGAGAGAGACCATCCCCCAGTTCTGCTTCCTTGAGGACATAGAGAGAAGGCTCAGGATTCGTTTCCCTTCCAGGGGTTCCCAGATCTTATTGGGTTTGTGTGGGCCTCTGGTCCCCAGGGGCCGAACTTTGGGAAGAGGGATACAGTGGCTGCTGCTATAGGCAGTTGGCACTTCTTTAGAGATAAAATGTGAAAAGATGGTTTGTGGATTTTGCCTAATAGATAGTAAGCATGACAGAAACACAGACCTCTTGGTTCATGTGGTTTTGTGACTGAGATGAAATTGTTTCTTTTTTTTTTTTTTTTTTTTTTTGGAGACAGGGTCTCATTCTATCATCCAGGCGGGAGTGCAGTGGCAGTGACCACAGTTCACTGCAGCATTGACCTCCTGGGCTCAATCGATCCTTCCACCTCAGCCTCCTGAGTAGCTGGGACCACAGGTGTGCATCACCATTAATTAAAATTTTTTGTAGAAATAGGATCTTGGTATGTTGCCCAGGATGGTCTTGAACTCCTGGGCTCAAGCTATCCTTCTGCCTCAAACCTCCAAAAGTGTTGGGATTACAAGCGTGAGCCACCGTGCCAGGCCATTTCTAATCTTTGGAGACCATGATTTCTCTGTCTGTAAAATGCACTTGAGAGCAAATTGAAGAGTGGCCTTTGAGCTGAATACCTTTACTTGGTTATGGCATTCACTATTTAAGAGTTACAGGTTCTTCTGAGTGTTTGCTGTCTCTTTATAACTTCCGTTTTAAACAATAGATTCACCTTTTTTTTAAAAAAAATTTGGAGACAGGGTGTCATTCTGTCTCTTAGGCTGGAGTGCAGTGGCATGATCATGGATGTCTCATTGCAACCTCAAACTCGAGGGGCCAAGTCCTCCTTCCACCTCAACTCCTTGGCCTAATCCATCCTCCCATCCTCCTCAGCCTCCCCATGCTCAGCTAATTTTTAAAAATTTTTATAGAGGTGGGGGTTTTGCTGTGTTGCCCAGGCTGATCTCAAATGCCTGGCCTCAAGTGATTCTCCCACCTTGGTCTCTCAAAATGTTGGGATTACAGGCGTGGACCACCGCGCCCCGCCCAGGTTCAACCTTTTTTTTGTTTTGATTTGTTTTGAGACGGAGTCTCACTCTGTCGCCCAGGCTGGAGTGCAGTGGCGTAATCTCAGCTCACTGCAATCTCCACCTCCCAGGTTCAAGCAATTCTCCTGTCTCAGCCTCCTGAGTAGCTGGGACTACAGGCGCATGCCACCACATCTGGCTAATTTCTGTATTTTTAGAAGAGATGGAGTTTCACCATATTGGTCAGGCTAGTCTCCCTGACCTCAGGTGATCCACCCGCCTCAGCCTCCCAAAGTGCTGGGATGACAGGCGTAAAAGCCACCACGCCTGGCTTAGATTCAACCTTTTAAAGGTGCTTATTGATCTATCAGAAGCTTCAAAGTGAAAGCATGATACTCCACCACTAGAGGGCAGTGCTGTCCTAGTCACATGATCTGAATCTACAAATTGCTGAATTTGAAGCTTCCTTCAGTCCTCCACAGAATTAGACAGAAAATTTATATCATTTTTATATGTATTAAGTATATACATATTCAAAATATAATTTAAATATTTAAGTAGTATTAAAGGACCTTTTAAAAATACTTAGATTGACTTAAAAGGGTTAACATGCAGTTCTTTATCATTATCATATTCTTTACCAAGTTAAACTG
Source organism: Homo sapiens (assembly GCF_000001405.40). NCBI lineage: Eukaryota > Metazoa > Chordata > Mammalia > Primates > Hominidae > Homo > Homo sapiens. Next base: position 185,768,427 of record NC_000003.12, on the reverse strand, counting down.
AATCCCACAGAAAAAAATCTATCCTGAAGGTTTGTAGTTCATCATCAGCCCTCGGGTTAGCTCAGCATCGTGACACCTCTAACTACATACTCATGTCGCCCAGGTTCTTCACTGTTTCACTTACAGGGATGCCATGCATCTGGCTGAGGATGTTTTAATTAACAATAGAGATACTCTTGGGAAAGTTCTCAACTTTCCTTTTTCCTTTTTCTGTAGGAGGTAAAGAGCTAAATAAATGTTTATATAGTGTCATGATGCCACTAAGAAAATAACAGCCCCTTTGTCTCTTTTCCCTCAATCATAAGGAAGTTATGACCTGAATAGAAAGACAAAGCAGTACCCTTCTGTGTTTTTCTCAAGTGAGAACATTTTTTTCTTTTGCATAAAGTCACAAAAGTGTATATAAGGGCTGAGGATCTGGTAATTGTCCACATTTCAGATTTTTTTAAGGAAATATTCCTAGAAGTATAATTGGATTAAAGAGTAATATAAGGATTAAGACACTTGCTATTTAGGTTGGTGTGAAAGTAATTGCTGTTTTTGCCATTACTTTCAGTGGCAAAAACTGCAATTACTTTTGCATTAACCTAAAATAATCATTGCCAATGCTTTCCAAAATGGCTGCACTAAAATATATCCCCTGAACAGTACATGAAATCATTTTCAACCCTAATACATTCCATAATTTCACCCAACATATTCCAGAATTGTATTCCTCATTTCAGCAGCCTTATTTTAAAATATTTTATAATTATAAACTTTTTTTTCCAAGTAGAAGGTATGTTGATCAATATTTCCCCAAATATATTACTGTACTGGTAAGACATATTAAAAAATGGTTCAGTGGTCAAATACATTTTTCAAATGTTGTATACTTGTCCCTTTCTTGGAGATTTGTGAAGCACACATGCATTTTAAGGCTCTGAGAAGTCCTGTAGTAAAGAAATCTGTTTAACTTGATGTTTTATAATTTATTTACATAACTACAGAATCCTTTAACATCTTATGGAAATGGGATTGGATTTTAGAAGATAGTAATGATGGTGGGAAGTTGTTCTGGAAGGTTTTAGGAAACACTGTAGTATTATAAGGATTTCTTCTGAACTTGTGTTGGTCTCTGGTCATCGTTGTGGAGAACAGAATCCACAGAGTAGCTAGATTAAGCACAAAAGAATGCATTGAGGTATATAGATAGATCACAGAATTGTCGGACAGGCTGAAGAAACAGGCTGCAGGTGGAGCTTCTTGATAGTCTGCAGAACTGGTCTGCCAAGAGAGCTGTTGCCTATGCCACCATCGAGAAGCTTCTCCCACAACTGCCTCTGCCAGATTGGGAAGCCACTGGGTCCACAGTTGTGTGTCTCTATCCTAGCAGGAAGTGGGGCTGGGCAGTTTGTTTTCAGTCCTATTTTAGGAAGGAGGGACTTTACACTAAGGTGAACTATCAAATGTGGAGAGAATGTCTAAAAGACGGCAGCTACAATTAGCAGGCATCCAAGAAGACAGCTGTGTGTTGTGAACACCTTGGGATATAGGTCAGAAAACTGGGGTGTAGCCCTGGCCTTGCCTCTTAACTGCTGCATGACCTTGGGCAAGTCCACTTTCAAACTTGCGATCTCATCTCTAAACAGGATATAACTCACTGACTTGGAGTGAAGATAAAATGAAAGTAATAGGTGTGAATATACCAGGGAAAACTATAAAGTATTAAATGAAATCAGTAAAAAGTATTTTTCACAACCCAGGTTTGTCTCTAGACCAGGGGTTGGCAAACTTTTTCTGTAAAGCACTAGCTAGTAAATATTTTTGGCTTGTTAGATGATACTATCCCTTTAGTACCTATTCAACTCTGCAAGAGCAGCCATAGACAATATGTAAATGGATGAGCATGGCTGTGTTCCAATAAAACTTTATTTATGGACACTGAGATTTGAATTTTGTATAATTTTCACATGTCACGGAATATTCTTTTTATTTTTTTTCCAACCATTTAAAAAAAGGGAAAAACATTCTTAGCTTGTAGACTATACAAAAACAGGTGGCTGGCTGGATTTGACCTATCAACCGTAGTTTGTTGGTCCACGTTCTAGATCATTATACTTAAAATATTTTAAAATGTATTTAAATTTAAATTTAAAATATTTTAAATTGTTTTGCCTTAATGTAGTGGCAAATAAATTTGGGGCTTTGATGATATTGTCTAAATAGTTTTATTGCTATTCACTGGACCTGGTAGTAGCTTCCTCTTTGATAGTAGAATTAAATATGCTTAGTGGCCGTGTATAGCACCTTGGGCTTTATTTAGGTGAAAGCATCCCGAGAAGGATGAGTTTGCTACCCAGCCATCGGGTTCTTAGAACCTCCACATTTTCTCCCATCTTCATGTGTGCCTTTGGTTTTGGAAAAGGGATGGGGCAGTCAGATACTTCTTTTATGGGAAAAGTTGCATTTGGAGACATTCCCATACCCATGCCCACAAACTCTCCTCCGTAAACCTGCCTCATTCCCTTCTTTGGCATGTTCCGTATTTAGCTTTACAGCTTTGCTGCCTTGTGGACAAGAATTTTCCCCCCAAAATCTTGTTACCATTATAATATCTTCATCCCTATTAGAAAACCAGAATCAGAGTGTCTTCCTTGCACCCAAGTCCCATAGAATTTCTTTCAGCCAATGAAAGTCAAAGATAAGTTTGACATCAGTCACTGGAGATGAAGATGTGGGGTGAAGCTGCTGCAGTGGTGTGCTTTGGAGCAGCCTGGTCTACACTCCCTTGGTCCTCGAGCACTTCTGCGTGCCTTTCATGTATTAATAGATGGACCTTTCTCAATTCTCCTCTTTTCCCTCTAGGTGCAGGTGGAGTGTAGAGTGTGATGTAGGTACACTGGCATCTAGAAATGGAGAGCATAGAGGTGGGGGTGGCACTGAAGGAGGGCAGTGTGGGATCAAGGGGGGAAGGAGTGGTCTGAGATTAAGGAGGGGAGGTGGTGTGTTTGCCTTTCTAGGCGCACCTGCTACTTGGTGTGAGACAGGTGAGGCTGTGAGCTGTCTTTGGAGGAGGAGAGTACTTCTTAGTATATGAATGTTTGTATGAGCTTTAACTCAGGTTTACTGATTGAAAGAAACTATATTTAATTTTGCTTTGTATGTATCCCTTTTATTTGGGCTTTACTAAATATAGCTGGATGGGAGGGACGGAGGGGGAAACAGTGTGTAGAGCAGAAGTTAAAACACGCCAGAGCTTTGGCAGCTTTGGGACAGAAAAATAAAACTTTAAACTTGCTTTCTATTTTGAGGCCATCACAAGATGTTTTGTGCTTACATTCATTCCTAAGTCATAAACGGGTAGGAGGGGCTGGGAATTAAGTAAATTATCTCTTGAAAAATACTAATTTGAAATTGAGATAAAATTAGCAAAGGGAAGAAGGGGGAAGAAAGTAAAACACTGGACCCAGCCTGTTTGCAAGCAAAATAATAAACACCTCGTGGGGGTAGAAGAGGCGTGCCAGTGTCCTTCCAGATTTTGGCCTCTGCTCCTACACAGAGCCCCATTGTCTCAGAGCTGGGGGCAAGGCTGAGTGCTGTGAGAACTGACTTGACAAATAAAGCCTGTCAGGGGATTTTGACACAGGTCAACCCCTTCTTGAAGCTGTGATCTCAGAGGCAACACGATTTCTTACTCACAGGCAGTAGCTGTCATACTATGAGCTGTTTTATCGTAATATAATTATCACATACAAGATGTGGTAATTGCCTATTTTTAGGAATCTCCCCACTGGGAATCATGGTGAAGATGATCTCTAGAAAAGCTCTCTGCGGTCCTGTGAAACAACCTCCCTTCTCAAGACAAGACTCCCCTTCCTGATAACCTGTTGCTGCTCTGCAGATTGGTCTCTTCACCTCCATCAAGGGCTTCTTGTCTGTTTCACTGAATATTAGGAATGCTTCTCCCTAGGCTTCAGCCTTGGGCTTTCCCCTCAGGTTCTGCTTGCCCCTTGGGACCTATTTGTGGATCTGCAGCAAAAACATAAGCAGAAGAAGTAGAGAATGTGTGTGAGGAAGCCACTTTGTGCTTCGGACATCTCATAACCCAGCCTCCTAAAGCATAGCCCTGATGAGGTCACATTCCTGCTTAAAAAATCTTTCATGACTGCAGACAGAAAAGACTGAAAGGAAATGTGCCAAAATATTAGCAATTTTTTTTTTCTGAGTGATGAGCTTTCTGGTGATAATTTTTATTTACTTTATGGATTTTACTCCTTTCCAATTACTTATATAATAGACATATAATAGTATTTTTTAAGAAAAGTGTTATTTTTATAATAAGGAAAAGTACCATTTAAAAACCTTTAGTGGCTCCCATTTGCCAATTAAAAATCCTCTCTATGACATTCAAGGTTTTGGCAATACTGCTACAATCCTTCTGACCTCACCCTCTTCTCTCTCTGCCCTCACTCCAAGAAACAGCAGCAGAACGGAGTTACCCACTGTCACCAAATACATTTGGTGCTTTGCCTTTGCTCATGCCCCTTCTCCACCCGTCAACTTTCCATCCTTCAAACAGATTTCTCCTTCTTTAGAGACTGTTTCCCATAACATACATCCTGTAAAAGACTTAAAAAAAACACGCAAAAACAAAGAACATTCTTAATCCCACTTCCTGGAGATAACCACTGTTAGCATTTTGATATATGTCTTTGTTCTGCAGCTGAGAGTAGTCTAGTATACCTTGGCTGTCTGTTACAGATTTTATATTCTATATGGTGGTGTTATTTATTTCTGTCTTATCTCCATTCTGGATTTTAAGTTCCTTGACAGCTACAAGAATGGCTTTACATTTTTGTAGCCTCCACAGGCCTTGAGCACAGTGACATTCACATAATATGCATTCCAAAATCATCTGCTGAATCAAACAAGGGAGATAAGACAAGCTTGTAACTTAAGCACAAACCATAGTAACAAACATAAACATGCTGGTTACATTATGAATATAATGCTGAGTATATCCATAAATGCTTAAGTCGCAGGAGAAATACAAATGCTTTAACCTTGGAGTGTCAGGAACAATTACATGACCAGGGACCTACTAAGGTAGGGTAATTTTGGTACAGTACATGGAGGAGATTCAGCCTTGAAGAGAGAAAAAGCTTGTTTTAAAATGGAAAAAACAAAAACAGAAACCCCACAGATAGGACTTGGTGTAGAAAGAGGAGGTGTTTGTACAGACCATTGATTCTCAACCCAGGTTTATGTTGGAATCACTGGGAAGTTTTTTTAAAAAAAATACCAGTGCCTGGATCCAATCCCAGACCAGTTAAATTAGAATCTCTGGGTGGGCTTAGCTGCTTTATTTTTTGTTGTTAAAAACAAAACAAAACAAAAAAACATCTATACAGGTGATTCTAATGAATCCCTGTTTTGGGATCCCCTGTATCCAGGCTTGAGAATCACATTCTAGGCAGATAAACCTTCTTAACAAATAAAAAGTAAGTATTTTGCTCTTCTCATATTGTTGAAAAAACCAGGAGATTGGTTCATCTTGAGGAAGGGAGGTTTTGGTGGGGGTGAGAATAGCTGCTGCAGATTGTTCTGTGTTAAATGTACTTTAAAGCACTTGGATAAAATTCATCCATTTGCTATTATTAAGAAACTCATCTGTGCCTCTTCAATTGCCCAGACTTTTCTCCCCTCTTGAAGGCTGCTTCTTCCTAGAGCAGTAACTGAAGTAGACTGCAGCCAGTATAAGCTCTATTATTGCATTCACCTCTATTATTATATCTAAGCTTCTTCAAGGGATTTGACCTGTATTCAAATACTATCAAAACACACTGTCTCTCAAACATGGTATTTCCCAAATTTGTGTCTCTTTTTCTTTTTCTTTTCTTTTTTTTTTTTTTTGAGACCGAGCTTCCCTCTGTCACCCAGGCTGGAGTGCAGTGGCATGATCTTGTCTCACTGCAACCTCCACCTCCTAGGTTCAAGCGATTCTCCTGCCTCAGCCTCCTGAGTAGTTGGGACTACAGGCGCCTGCCACCACACCCGGCTTTTTTTTTTTTTTTTTTTTAAGTAAAGCCTGGGTTTCACCATGTTGGCCAGGCTGGTCTCGAACTCCTGACCTCAGGTGATCCACTTGTCTTGGCCTCCGGAAGTGCTAGGATTACAGGTGTGAGCCACCGTGCCTGGCTAATTTTTGTATTTTTCTTTTAGTAGAGACAGGGTTTCACCATGTTGGCCAGGCTGCTCTCGAACTCTTGACCTCAGGTGATCTGCCCATATCGGCCTCCCAAAGTGCTGGGATTACAGGCGTGAGCCACCGCATCTGGCCTTGGGTCTCTTTTTCACATGCTAAAACCTAACACCCACACCACCCAACACTAACAAAACAAATACTAACAAGCAAAAAATTTTATGCAAGCTTTTCTAATAGTACAAAGCATGGTAGAATATCTACAGCAGTTTATCACATGGGAAAGGAAATTCGTGTCCCTTGGTCTAGCTGTCAAGTAACCACGGACCCTAGAATAACACGTTTTTCACTCCGTGCCCCCTTGGATCGAATGCAGGGACTGTTATTTTGCTAAATTGTGCTTTCACGTTCTGAAGCACACTTGCATGTTGTTATGCAGTGGTGTTTAAATCCTAACCAAAGTGTTTTTGTTGCAATGGAAATATTTCAATTAATGTTTAGGGTTGGAACATATAAACAAAGCTTGGGTCCAGATTAGTTGATTAATCATTGCATTCCGGGGTGCAGGAAGAGTTTTGTTGAACTCTATCAGGGGAGGAATTAATATCCTCTGCCTGTGAGGTCTTTCCTGGAGAAAGCTTGGGTTTTAATGTTTCTCCTTACAGGATATTTTTCTTTTGGCAAGAGTAAAGCAACCAGTACCCCCAGTAAAATGTCTTAAATAGCACTTGGGATGGGGATGGTTCTTCACACTCCTGGCAGTGAAGCCGTAGTTCTTGTTCTCTGATGCTGACACGTACACTTCACAGTGAATGCAGTAATATTAATGGAGGCATCAGCCCAGGGCCCCGGAGTGATACCTTCCATGTCTGTTTTCTTCCTTTTGTTTATTTCCCCTGACCATCAAGTCTGTTACGTTTAGTTCTCTAAACTAAAGCTGAATCACTAACATTTCCTTCACTGATCCTGCCCCACACATACACCTCTTTTTTTGTGTGTACAGGAGTAAATTTCACACATCCTCACCCAAGTCGTCTTTGAGGCATTTCTTTTTCTTCTGTATCCTTTCGTTGGAGCCTAACACCATGTTTTTGGGAATATCAGCCTAGGTGTCCATCATCAGAAATAATCATAATCAAATGATATTTTCCTGGGCTTTAAGACATGATAAGATAGTACCAGAATGTCTGAAGATAAATGTTATGCATTCATTCTTTACTGGTTCCCCCCCTCAAAAAAAAGTATTTAAGTACAAAATATTTGAAGTATAAGAAAATATAAGAAAAATGCAAATGAACAAAACAAAAGGAAAATTAAGGTTGAATACTAAAGTGAGGACAGAGGGAAATTTGGTGAGAGAAATGTATGTGATAATATGCTACACAGTTATTAAAGTTGGGCAGCAAGTTTAAGCCTGAACTCTCTAACAGCCATAGCAAAAAGAAACAGCTGATCCTCTGCTCCCAGATTAGGGAGGAGCCAGGAGAGCCTGCTAGGGAATCTTACTCCATGAATGCCGGCCAGATATTCCTCGTATCTCCCAGGAAAGTTACTGCCTTACCTGGGGGTTGGAGGACAGACCCCCAAACAAGTTTACACAGTGTGAGAGTGGAGTAAGAATGTCCGGAAAGGCAAAATCCACAGAGGCAGAAAGCCAGCTGGTGGTTGCCAGGGGCCGGGAAGGGGCGAGGCTGGTGAGGGAGAGACTGCTCATGGGTACAGAGTTTCTTTTTGGGTTAATAGAAATGTTCAGAAGTTAAATAGTGGGGATCACTGCACAGCTTTGTGAATATGCTAGAAATCATTGAACTGTACACTTTAAATGGGTGAGTTTTGTGATGTGAATTACATCTCAATAAAGCTGTTAAAAAATCTTAAGTATGCAATTACAAAAGAGAGTAACATACTGAAGGGAAAAAAAAACTGATGAGTCTAATATTCTTGTCTTCCACAAAATGCACACTTCTCAGGGGACGTGTCATAACCGAGGCACTGCTGTGAGGGAGTTTGGGTCATAGTGGGTAGAAACTGAAATGTGCAGTCCCTAAGTTTCTTTCCATTGTGAACATTCAGTTATTGGCTAACTGTAAAAAGAGGATGGGATTATAAGACAATTGGGGACATTTGAACATTGTAAGGACATATTTGCTAGTATAAGGAAATGGCTTTTCATTGTTAATGTTTGGTAATGGTATTGTGATTTTTAAAAAAATCCTTATCTTTTATATACTGAAGTATTTATAAATAAAATACTATGATACCTGGGTTTCAGTTTAAAATAATCCAGTGGGTATGGTATAGATGAAACAAAATTTGTCATATGTTGGTAACTGTTAAAGCCGGGTTCATCACATCTGTCTACTTTTGTGTAAGTTCAAAATCTTCATAATAAAATGTTAAAATGGATATTATCTTTCGCTGTTAACTACAGAAAGATCTAGCAACATAGCCAGAGTCCTTGCTCATGAGAAATTATGCTATTTGCAGCACTTGTCTCATTGGCTGATTTATGGGCGACTTCTGAGAGATTGGAAGCCTGGGTGCTGGCTCTAAGTCACATGTATAAGTAAGCATGAAATTCTAGTAAGGTCATCCACAGCTTTTTCAGCCTTCCGTGTGCTTCTCAGATACTGCTGCATGGGGCTGTGGAAGGGATGGTTGCCACTCTTAACAGAAAGGCAGAGAATGCTGGACTCTTACCTCTTAAGCGTAGTTTCGCCCTTTACAGTTCATTTTCTCCTGATTCTCCTTTCTCTTCAGTAAGATGTGAGTGCTGAATACTTACATTTAGTGTCATCTTACAGAGGCTATATATTTTAGCAAGGTGCTAAAGAATGGCATTTTTCCTTGACTTCCTTTATGAACTTGAAACACATTCAACTAATCTATGCACATACACCTTTAAGACTGGACAGAAATGGGTAGAGCAGACAGTAGTACATGTTTGAGAGTGAATGCCAGCTTCTGGTTCAATACTTTTTTTCCGTTTCTCTTTGTTCTCAGGAGAGATGGAAACTGGGCATTTGTATTTGCTCCATTTCCTTCTCTGATTGTGAAGACTGGCACTCTTATTCATAGTAACATGTATTGCATTGGTATCCCAGGTGTTATATTACATTGGATACAGAGTTCCATTGTAACTGAAACTCATTCTTGTGTTCAGCAAACATTTGTGTGTCTACTAGGTGTGTCCCCCTCACAGTGGCCTGCATGGGAGCTGAATTCTTACACTGGTTTTGGATTCTCAGCATTACCTTACCTAAAGAACAAACATTGGTTTTAAAAGCAGTAGTGGCCTTCTAGGAGTTTACAAGCTGTTTATCTCAAGGTAAAGGACTGCAGTTAAATCTCCTACCGTGGAGCTCTATCACCCCAAGCAGTTTGAATTGCTGAAAGCAACAAGTGACCATGACACGAGGGTGGTTGGAGATGAGTATTGTATTTAAATGCTTTGGGATAATGTTGCTTATGATGTCAGTGAAACATCTGAGTTTCCACATTACCTAGCCTTTAGTGATAGATACGTGTTCTAAGGCATAAGATAGTTTTATGTCTCCCTCTCTTATTTTTCTCTCTCCCGAAAGGTCTGCCTTGAGATTGTCTTGCTGGATATGCAGCAGTGCTAACACAGTGCCCAACATTACAGATATCACTACTGCCTGTTTACCTTCTCCTTCAGCAATAGCAACAGCTTACCACTTACTGAACATCTACTCCGTGCCATGTACTTTACATGCATTATCTCATTTAATCCTCAAAGCAAACCCTGTGAGGTAGGTGGTCCTGTCCTTGTTTTACAGAGAAGGAAACCAAAGCTGAGCAAGATCAGACGTCTCTCCACATAACTAGTGCTAAATCCAGCAGTCAGACCCAGGTTTTCTTAGTTCCGAAGCCTGTGCTTTCTCTTGGGTGTTGTCTCTTCTTGGTGTTTGGTAAATATTTGCTTAATTGATATACACTTTGGATGCTTGACAGGCATTTTGCATACCTCCTAAGGCTATATGAGATGAGATGGTTATAAGTCTCTAAGGCATTAATTGAGTGGGACTCTTTGACAGTACCCATGTTTTGTTGCATGAACGTATGAAGGCAGAGACTGCCTATATCATCTCCTGTTGCCATTCAGAAGTACACCTTGTCCTGTTGTGATCAGAGTTTCACAAAGTGCTCTCAGTGCCTAAGGCAAACTGGCACATTCTCTATGAAAAAGACAATTATTGTTCTTGGTCAGGTGGCCAGTTGGCCCAGTTGATTTTGGAGCATAGTGTTAATAAAGGTTAGTCTCTTCAGATATGAGCCAGTTGACTTGGCTATATAAATAGCTGTTGTCACGGGCAGGTCAGAGGTATGTGTGTGGATAGACTGGATCTGTAACCACCAATCAGAAATCAATCAGCAATCATTTACTGAGCATTTGCTATGTGCCTGGCACTATACTAGGAGTGGAGCTTTGAAAGATTTTTTAAAAATACATGAGCTATAGGCTAGGTACAGTGGCTTATATCTGTAATCTCGGCACTTCGAGAGACCATGGGTGGATCATTTAAGGCTAGGAGTTTGAGACCAGCCTGGGCAACATGGCGAAACCCCATCTCTACAAAAAATACAAAAATTAGCCAGAAGTGGTGGCACACACCTGTAGTCCAGCTACTTGGGAGGATAAAGTGGGAAAAATCACCTGAACCCGGGAAGTCAGGGCTGCAGTGAGCCATGATCGTGCCACTGCACTCCAGGCTGGGTGACAGAGCAAAACTCTGTCTCAAAAAAAAAAAAAAAAAAAAAAAGTATGAGATATAGTCTCTCCAAGGGCTATACTTAATTGGTACAGATATGACTCATGGAGAAAGGAAAATATAAAAACAACAACCCTGTTTGTGTGGAGTTTTTTTCACCATTTTCTACTCAGCAACTAACTTGGTGCCTTGCACATCATAGGAAGTTAGTAGGTAAATACTTTTTGAATGAATGAGAATGCAGAGGCAAGTGCTTAGTAGCTTTTCTGATGGCTTTGTAGAAGAGGTTGGATTTGAGCTGAACACTCAGGTATAAATAGAATTCAAGGAAGAGGAGAAGAGTTGGAAGGTGATTCAAAGTGCAGGAAAAGGTTTCAAGGGTAATTTGGAAACACAAGTGTGCATAATGTGTCCCAGGAGTAGAAAAGACCACTTTTGCTAGGATAGAGATACGGCTAGAACCATGGAGTATCGTGAGTGTTGGAAGAACACATTAAGATTTTATTCTGTAGTCTCCTGAGTTTCTTTTATTTATTTATTTAGAGACAGGATCTCACTCTGTTGCCTAGACTGGAGTTCAGTGGTGTGATCATAGATTAGTAAACTTCAAACTCCTGGGCTCACCTTCCCACCTCAGTCTCTAGACTAGCTAAGACTACAGATGCTCACCACCATGCCTGGCTAATTTTTGTTTTAATTTTGTAGAGATGGAGTTTTGCTGTGTTTCCCAAACTGGTCTCAAACTCCTGGACTCAAGCAATCTTCCCACCTCAGCCTTCTAAAGTGTCGGATTACAGGCATGAGCCACCACGCCCGGCCACCTCCTGAGTTTCTGATCAGCAGAGAAAGATTATCAAAACACGTGGCCATAGATGGAATGGATTGATGTGTATGGGAGGCCAGTTAAGAGCTTATAGATATGTTTAGGTGTTGGGTAATAAGAGCCTGAACTAGGATATTGGTTGAGGAAGCCAAAAAAAAAGAGGCAGATGGGAGAAATATTGTGCAGAGAGAAGAAACATGATTTGTTGAGTTAGTGACTGGATATTGAAGCCTGGCAAAGGTAAGAGGAATAATCAAAGATCATTCAGTGATCCTGTGTTACTCTGTTTTTGTATTGCTATAAAAGAACACCCGAGACTGGGTAATTTATAAGGAAATGAGGTTTAATTGGCTCACGGTTCTGCAGGCCATACAGGAAGTGTGGTGCTAGCATCTGCCTGGCTTCTGGTGAGGCTTCAGGAAGCTTCCAATGATGGCAGAAGGTGAAGGGAGAGCAGGCGTGTCATATGGCAAGAGCATGAGCAAGAGTGAGAAGGGGGAGGTCCCAGACTCCCTTAAACAACCAGATCTTGCATAAACCATATGAGAACTCACTCTTCAGTAAGGGTATGGCACTAAGCCATTCATGAAGGATCCACCTCCATGATCTAGTACTTCCTACCAGGTTCCATTTCCAGCAATGAGGATCACATTTCAACATGAGATTTGGAGGGGCCATCATCCAAACCATGTCATTCTGTCTCTGGCCCCTCCAATCTCATGTCCTTCTCACATTGCAAAATACAATCATCCCTTCCCAATAGTCTCCAAAACGCTTGTTCTAGCATCAACTCAAAGTCCGAAATCTCATCTGAGACTCACAGCCGATTTCCTTCTGCCTCTGAACCTGTAAAATAAAAAACAAGTTATTTACTTCCAAGGTACAATGGTGGTACAGACATTGGGTAAACATTCCCATTCCAAAAGGGAGAAATTGCCCTAAAGGAAAGGGTAATAGGCCCCATGCAAGTCTGAAACCCAGTAGAGCAGGCATTAAATCTTACAGCTCCAATGTAATCCTTAACTCCATGTCCCACATCTTGATTTGAAAGGTGGACTCCCAAGGCCTTGGGCAGCCCTGCCCTCGTGGCTTCCCTGAGCACAGCCCACATGGCTGCTCTCTTAGGTTGGAGCTGAGTACCTGTAGCTTTTTCTTGCTGAGGGTGTAAGCTGCCAGTGGCTCTACCATTTTTAGGTCTGGAGGGCAGTGGCCCTCTTCCCACAGCTCCACTAGGCAGTACCCTGGTGGGGACTCTATGTGGGGGCTCCTATACAAGCTTTCCTGTACATCCTCTGAAATCTACGCAGGGGGTGCCAAGCCTCATTCATTCTTGCACTCTCTGTGCCTGTAAGCTTAACACCATGTGGAAGCTACCAAGGTTTATGGTATCTTGCACTCTCCAAAGCAGCCCGAGCTGTACCTGGGGCCCTGTGAACCGTGGCTGGAGCTGGAGCAGTGGAGATGGGGGTTGCAGCCTCCTGAGGTGGTGCAGGGCATTGGTGCCCCAGGCCTGGCCCACTAAACCGTTCTTTCCTCCTTAGGCCTCTGGGCCTGTGGTGGGAGGGGTAACCTGGAAGATTTCTGAAATGGCTTTGAGGCTTTTTTCCCCCATTGTCTTGGATGTTAGCACTTGGCTCCCTTTTAGTCATGCTAATCTCTGTAACAAGTGGCTGCTCCACAACCTACTTGGATTCTTTCTCTACCATAGGGCCTGGCTGCAAATTTTCCAAACTTTTATACTGTGCTTCCCTTTTAAATATAAGTTCCACTTTAAGTCATTTCTTTGTTCCCAATTCTGATTGTAGTTTGTTAGAAGCAGCCAGGCCACATCTTGATTGCTTTGCCGCTTAGAAATTTCTTCCACCAGATACCCTAAGTGTCATCACTCTTAAATTCAAACTTCCACGTATCCCTAGGACATGAACACAGTGCAGCTCAGTTCTTTGCTAAGATGTAATGCAGGTGACTTTTACTCCAGTTCCCATTAACTTCCTCATTTCCACCTGAGACCTCATCAGCCTGGACTTCACTGTCCATATCTCTATCAGCATTTTAGTCACAACCATTTAACCAGTCTTTAAGAAGTTCCAAACTCTCCCTCATCTTAATGTCTTCTTCTGAGCCTCCAAACTCTTCCATCCTCTGCCCATTACCCAGATCCACAGCCGCTTCCACGTCTTTCTTTATCTTTATAGCAGTGCCCCACTCTTCAGTACTAATTTTCTGTGTTAGTCTGTTTTTGCATTGCTATAAAGGCATACCGGAGACTGGGTAATTTATAAAGAAACGAAGTTTAATTGGCTCACAGTTTTGCAGTCTGTACAGAAATCGTGGTGCTTGCTTCTGCTTGGCTTCTGTTGAGGCCTGTGGAAGCTTCTAGTCATGGCAGAAGGTGAGGGGAAGCAGGCATGTCACATGGCAAGAATGGGAGCAAGAGAGAGATGGGGGAGGTCCCGTATTCTTATTTTATTTATTTTTTGAGACAGGGTCTTGCTCTGTCACCCAGGCTAGAGTGCAATGGCACAATCTCAGCTCACTGCAACCTTTGCCTCCTGGGCTCAAGCAATTCTCCTGCCTCAGCCTCCCAAGTAGCTGGGACTACAGCTACACACCACAACACCCAGCTAATGTTTGTATTTTTTTTTTTGTAGAGATGGGGTTTCAACATGTTGCCCAGGGTGGTCTCGAACTCCTGAGCTCAAGTGATCCATCTGTCTCAGCCTCCCAAAGTGCTGGGATTACAGGTGTGAGCCACTGCACCTGGCATCAGACTCTTTTAAACAACCAGATCTTGCATGCACTAACTGAGTGAGAACTCACTTATCACCAAGGGGATGGTGCCAAGCAATTTGTGAGGGATCCACCCCCATGATCCAATACCTCCCACCAGGCCCCACCTCCAACATTGGGAATCACATTTCAACATGAGCTTTGGAGGGGACACACATCCAAGCCATATCAGATCCTGAAATGCAGATCTTGGGAGAAGGATGCTGCTATTGTTTTATTAAATGTAAATGGAAATCAGAAGGGGGAGGTGGGTTTGAAGAGATTTTAAATTTGAGATACTGGGACATCAAGAGGAAATGTCTACTTAGCCGCAGGAAGTGATGGCTGTGGCCTGCTGGTCTCTTTGGATTGCGCAGTTGCCTTATCTTCGTGTGACACAGAGGCAGACTCGGCCACCCCAGGTATGACTTGTTTTGGGAAGTGATAAATAATATTTCACAGGGATATATGAGTTGATTTTTTCCCTGTATGTCATATATCATCTTTTCTGCATCTTTCCCTGTAACGTTGGTTCTCCCAAGATGAAAGACCACATGCTTTGAGGTGAGAAACGAGAAGCAGAAGACACAGACTTGGAGGGGCTGAGTAGAGGGGGCAGAAGGTTTCCTTACAGGCAGAGAGCACCCCGTTCCGCAAGTACAGTTCCCAGGAGTTATATCACCTCTAACACCAGAGAAAGCAGTGGAGGCCACAATTGTATGTGTTTCTAGAGGTGAATGCTTGGTATTGGAAAGGTAATTCTGACACTCACAGTAGTTGGTTTTATGAGAATCCTTTGAGAAGCACAGCGTAAAATGGAAAGATTTGAACTTGATCTCACACAAGGTCTTTGATTCTTTAACAATATTAACTAATTAAAATGTATCTTGTAAGGCTTAGATTTGTCTCCCCTACTACCACCCTCAGCCCCCTGCATTCTCTCTGTTGTGAATGAAAACATAGTAAATAATTTGTATGTCTTACTTCTCCCTCTTACTTATTTTTTTAAAAGTTTAAAATTGGGCTTGGCATGGTGGCTCATGCCTGTAATCCCAGAACTTTGGGAGGCTGAGGTGGGAGGATCACTTGAGGTTAGGAGTTCGAGACCAGCCTGGCCAACATGGTGAAACCCTGTCTCTACCCAAAATACAAAAATTAGCTGGGTGTGGTGGCACACACATGTAATACCAGCTACTCAGGAGGCTGAGGGCTGAGACAGGAGAATCGCTTGAACCCGGGAGGTGGAGGTTGCAGTGAGCCAAGATCATGCCACTGCACTCCAGCCTGGGTGACAGAGAGAGACACTGTCTCCAAAAAAAAAAAGTTTAAAATTATGCTCTTACTACCTTTAGGCCCTGGGGAATGTGTGTAAAGTGTACTCAGGTTGTATTTAATTTCATTGACAATTAAATTTCCCATTAAAACAAAATTAGGGGGAAATGTTTCAGCTGTATTGGAGTATAAAAGAGAATGGCTTTATGGACCACCTGCTACCTAATATTACAGTGTGAAGAAATGAAGAGAAATGCTTTTTAAGTAATTTAAATGTTTTTTTCTCTGATTAAGAAAGTCTGTTCACAAATTTATTAGGTAATAATTCCTCTAGCTTTATCATCCAATGATTCTACTCCTGCAATGGCCTGTTCCTGCACATGGCCTAGTGATGGAGTGTAGGGGTTGTAAATGGATGTGTCATTGTGCTGGACCCTAAGTAGACATAACATGTGCGAGAGAGGAAAGACTCCAAGGAGTTAAGGAAATTATTGTCCACCTATGCCATGAAACCCTTTGTAGCCACTAAAATTAATGTTGTAGAAGAATATATAAAGACTTGTACAATATACTAAGTGAAGAAGATTGCAGAAGAGTAATAAACAGTATGGTCCCATTTTCATAAATACCTACACAACTAATAGCATTCATCAGATTATTATTGTTATTATTATTATTATTTTTTGAGACAGAGTCTCCCTCGTTGCCCAGGCTGGAGTGCAGTGGCACGATCTCGGCTCACTGCAAACTCTGCCTTGCGGGTTCCTGCCATTCTCCTGCCTCAGCCTCTTGAGTAGCTGGGACTACAGGCGCCCACCACCACGCCCAGCTAATTTTTGTATTTGTAGTAGAGACGAGGTTTTACCATGTTGGCCAGGATGGTCTCAATCTCTTGACCTCGTGATCCGCCCGTCTCGGCCTCCCAAAGTGCTGGGATTACAGGTGTGAACCACTGTGCCTGTCCTCTTCATCAGATTATGTTTCTTTCTTTTCTTTTTTTTGAGATGGAGTTTCCCTCTTGTTGCTCAGGCTGGAGTGCGATGGCGTGATCTTGGCTTACCACAACCTCCGTCTCCTGCCTCAAGCAATTCTCCTGCCTCAGCAGGAGAATACTAGTAGCAATTCTCCTGCCTCAGCAGGAGAATTCTAGTAGCAATTCTCCTGCCTCAGCCTCCTGAGTACCTGGAATTACAGGCGTGCGCCACCATGCCTGGCTAATTTTTATGTTTTTAGTAGAGATGGGGTTTTACCATGTTGGTCAGGCTGGTCTCGAACTCCCGACCTCAGGTGATCTGCCTGCCTCGGCCTCCCAAAGTGCTGGGATTACAGGCATGAGCCACCACACCCGACCCCTTCATTAGATTATTAACAGTGGTTATCATTGGGTGATAGAATCACTAATATCTTAATTTTCTAATTTCTATATGTATGATTTTATAATGTTACTTGAAGCAATTTTTTGGCCGGAGGCAGTGGCGCAGTCTCCACTCACTGCAACCTCTGCCTCCTGGGTTCAAGTGGTTCTTGTGCCTTGGCCTCCCTAGTAGCTGGGAGTACAGGCACACCCCATCACGCCCAGCTAATATATTTTTAATAGAGACGAGGTTTCACTATGTTGGCCAGGCTGTTCTCAAACTCCTAACCTCAGGTGATCTGCCCACATTGGCCTCCCAGAGTGCTGGGATTACAGGTGTGAGCCACCACGCCCAGCCAGGAAGCAATTGTTTTAAAAGAAGAGAATGTGAGTGGACATAAATTTCAGAGGAAACACGTGTTCAAGTGGTGTGACGGTTTGCTTATCTTTGGCTGATTTATGATGGCTGGCACCTATCCTGGTTCTGAAAGACATTTTTGAACTTGAGTAAAAGTACACAGGTGAAGGGGCTATGACAGTATATGAGGGGGGTCTGGATTGGAGCAGAGACAGGGATACAGGAAGACAAAGAAATCCCAGAGGATTGCACGTAATCTTTTCCCAAGAGAAGCCTTTCTGTCTTGTCTTGACATCTTGTTGAGAAATCTTGGATAGGTAGGAGTTTGTGGAGGAAGAGTTCCTGGATTACAAGTGATCTACGTAGAGAACTGTAGAAGTCCTTAGCAAGGACCAGGCATGATAGCCTTGATGTTTACTGAGTTTTCTATGAATTCTGGCTGAGAGCTTTAGATACTCAGGTGTGTCTTACTCTAGAATTTGTACCTCTAGGGGATGGGACAAGTGTTATTCCAGGCGAGATGGTTCCTAGGCTAGGGGAGTTTCTCTCCTTTCTTTGGAAGGTGTCAATGTCTAGAGAGGTTTATAATTTATAGATTAAAGATCAACAGATAATAAATTCCCAGTGTCAAGGCAAAATGGGGCATTTCCTGAAGGATCCTTTCACAATGCGGCTTTCCAGTGCCTTGGAGGGGATGTTCCCCACAGAAAGGTAAGCATTCTCTGACCTTTGTTCACACTACATAATAGATAAGCCAGGACAGTGATTCTCAGTGTGGTCCTCTCACTGTCAATGGGGACCTTGTTAGAAATGCAAATTCTAAGGCCCCACCCCAGATTCACCCAGAAATACTGGAAGTGGTTCCTGCAACTTGCTTGTTAACAAGTCTTCCAGGGACTTCTTAAGTGTGCTAAAGTTCAAAACAACTGAGCTAGGAGATAGTCCTTACCTACAAAGAGCTTCTATTCTTGCAGTAAGTCCGCGTGGGTGATAAATGCCCAGATATCATTGTATTTTTGGTGTACTTTTAATTTTTGTTAAAGATGTGTGTTTGCCTGATTTTTCTCAGGCACAGGCTCATTTCTTTCTGGGCCAACCTAATTCATGCTCTTGGCTTGGTGTCAAGGACGTTTTTTAACACACTGCAACTTTGTTAATTGAAATAGTGCCTTTCAATGAGAGATCATATCCTGGCTAATTCCAAGTCTGATTGCAGGTCCTATTTAACTTTTTACACTGGGTAGTAAAACAAGTTTTTTCTCAAAATTACCCAGCGGAAGAAGTTATGTCCAGAAAAGAGAAGCTTATATTAGTGCTGCTGCACCTGGGAGGAAATGTCATGGGAGTTACCAGAGAGATTCAGGGATAGATTTGGGGATAGACTGACACAGTGTGAGGACTAGAGGCCAGTTCCTACTCAGAAGAGCAATTAGCTCATTCATGAATTGTTTATACTTCTTGTATCAACTTTAATTGCTTGTTTGAACTTGGACTTTAGCATTCATTATAATTGTTACTGTCTAATCAACAATTGATTGTGTATTTTAATTCCTCTAAGTGAGTTGAATCTTCAAGTGATGACCCCAACTTCTCAGTTTTTTTCTGCCTCTAGACATTTATCTTTAAGGCCAGGAGCCTGATAAATAAACTAGTAGACAATTATCCTTTACAACAGAGCCTTGACATGTATATGTGTAGGTTAAATTACTGTTCTCAGTAAAATCAAGCCAGAAAAGAGAGAATTTTTTTTTCTTTTTTTTCTTTTTTCTTTTAGACGGAGTCTCGCTTTTTCACCTAGGCTGGAATGCAATGGCGTGATCTCGGCTCACTGCAACCTCTGCCTCCCAGGTTCAAGCAATTCTCCTGCCTCAGCCTCCCAAGTAGCTGGGATTACAGGCATGTGCCAGCATGCCCAGCTAATTTTTGTATTTTTAGTAGAGATGGGATTTCACCATCTTGGCCAGGCTGGTCTTGAACTCCTGACCTCAAGTGATCAGCCTGCCTCGGCCTCCCAAAGTGGTGGAATTACAGGCATGAGCCACTGCGTCCAGCCAAGAAGTTCTTAGATTACTAAATTTAAGTAAAATGATTTTTACTTTAAAACAATTTTAATGGCTGATAAGGGGACCTTGTAGAATTTCTGAGGTTATCAATGGCATTGGAGTTCTTTGTGTCAGGAACTTGGGGAACAGATTTTGCAAAATGAGACTTACCAGGGTGACTTTTGAATGCTGTGGGGACAGCCAGATTTTCTGGGACAGGGTTGCCACCGTGCAGGCTGTTTGGGTAGGGTGAGATGGCAGTTGGTATATTCTAAATCAAGAGTCGAAGAATTCAGTCTATAATGATTGTTATATATTATGCCTTAGCAGTTTCTACTGCTGGTCTACAATTTGCTGGTTGGGAATTTTTAGAAGTACATTCTAAAACTTGGAGGAGAACTTCTATGTAACCTATTACTGGAGGGAAAGAAAATTGAAGTTTGAAAAGGTTGCTGTTTGACTTCCCACAATAGGAATAGCAGCAGGCTTTGTGGCATATTTTTCTATTTTCCAGTTGCTACTTCTGATATTAAGACACAGTAGTACTTGTTCACTGACACACTGAGTACAGGCAGGCAGTATATCGCATACCTAGTAGTGTATCCATTATGTAACCCCCCAGTTCCTTCCTCTACCTCTTTGCTCCTGTGAAGGTAGTCTAAATGGGAGCCCTTTAAAAAGTGATAGGTGGCCGGGCATGGTGGCTCACGCCTGTAATCCCAGCACTTTGGGAGGCTGAGGCGGGTGGATCACAAGGTCAGGAGATCGAGACCATCCTGGCTAACACGGTGAAATGGATCACAAGGTCAGGAGATTGAGACCATCCTGGCTAACACAGTGAAACCCTGTCTCTACTAAAAATACAAAAAAGTAGCTGGGCATGGTGGCAGGCGCCTGTAGTCGCAGCTACTCGGGAGGCTGAGGCAGGAGAATCGCTTGAACCTGGGAGGTGGAGGTTGCAGTGAGCCGAGATTGCACCACTGCACTCCAGCCGGGGCAACAGAGCGAGACTCCGTCTCAAAATAAAATAAAATAAAATAAAATTGGAGTAGAGTAGAGTAGAATAAAATAAAATAAAATATAAAATCGTGATAGGAAGGCACCTTTGATCACCATGTTTGGGACATTCTCAGTCTACTAAAGAAACCAAATAGTCATTGTTCATATATATATGAACAATATATATGGACTATTTTATTTATTTATTTATTTTTGAGACGGACTCTTGCTCTGTCGCCCAGGCTGGCGTGCAATGGTGTGATCTTAGCTCACTGCAACCTCCACCTCCCAGGTTCAAGTGATTCTTGTGCCTCGGCCTCTCAAGTAGCTGGGATTACAGGCAGGTGCCACCATGCTTGGCTAATTTTTATATTTTTAGTAGAGATGGGGTTTTACCATGTTGGTCAGGCTTGTCTCGAAGTTCTGACCTCAGGTGATCCACCCCTCTTGGCCTCCCAAAGTGTTGGGATTACAGGTGTGAGCCACTGCACCCAGTCTATATTTTTTAAAACCCGTAATAACAGACCATCTAGACCCTAAATACCAAAGACTTTAAAGTCCAGGGTTGGTGACAGTACCATAACATAAGGATAGTGAGAAAAAGTGATAAATCGTAGCGTTACCAGTTTTCAGAGCTTTAAAATATGTTAACATCTTAAAAATCTAAATTTCTTCATAGCAGTAAAACGGTAGCTATTTATAAATTGTTAAGTTAGAAGCTGAAAGTGGATAATTTAGGAAGAACAAAGATCCTAGAAAGTTAAAACATAGTAATTCCATTGATATGTAGATGGATAATTATCCTCAGCTCCTAGTGACTTGGAAATTGTTCGTTTTGGAGTTTTCTAGGTCTCTGGCTTATTTTTCTGTTTTGCCTGGTTTTTGCCTTTGTTTTTGATTTTGCCTCTTGTCCAATCACACTTCCAGAAGAAGGCAGGCCAGGAATGAAAAAGAGCCCACACTCAAAATTTAGCAGGGTCACATTTGCATACCTAGATCTTTACAGACCTACTTTTACAACTTTGCTTAAAGCAGCAAAGAGATCTTTTTCTGGTCCTGCTTCCAAACATAAGAGCATTTTCTCTTTTGCTATATAATAGCTCCGATAACTTCTACAGGAATCCCTAGCTCAAGAATCTACCATTTAAATGGAAGTTTAATAAAAGTTATAAATAGGTATCTTGGTTGCATAATATGATATATGTTTCCTGTTGGCTTTGTCCCCACTTTTGCTCCGCCCTCATATATAATCTTCCTCATAAAGGTACACAAAGCTTATAAGTTAAATGGTGTCTCCTACCTGTTAGTGAGAGCTGGCTTTTTTGATCCAGAAGCGAGAGACATTCAGTTTGGACCCGTGTTCCAGTGATAGAAAGGCCAGTCCTTCTGAATTAGGATGGTGGCCTCCACGGTTTTGCTCATAGGAAAATAATCGTTAAGTAGATCCGTCCCTGCTTTTACTGGGAGAACATGGAGTTGCTCACGTGAATTGCCCTGCCACTGGGAGCCCCTGCCCTTGAGAATGCTGCTGTTTGGAACCAGCTGCTTTTATGTCCATGGTCGCTGTGAGCAGTTAGGTGGTGTCTTGGCTTTAGTGGCGCTGGGACATCACTTCCTATCACTTTGATTGCCCTCCGCCCACTCAAGGTGCCCCCAAGTCAAATTTGTCAAGCCAGGCAGACTGTATAACAGGCTTATTTTTAAAATCAGGGATTAGAATTGAATTTGTATATATGTGTTGGGGAGATTTTCCAGTAAACAGTAACTAAACATTTTTGTTTCTTTTCAGTAGCTTTTGGAATTACTATCTCTGGGGTCCTTATAATAAGGTAGATTCTCTTAAGTCTGGTCTGGTTTACTTGTGGTTTTATCTGAAGAAAGGTTGTCTTCCCAAACCTAGGTTCTTGGCTACTTCAGTTAGCAAGGAGTGTGAAAAAGTGGACATGACCTTGCCAAGAAGAAAACTTTCAGACCACCCACCAAACCAGAGGAAGGTTAGGACTTTTTTTTTTTTTCTTATGTACAACCTTCCCACAGCTCATTATTTTTATTGCCACCCAGTGGCATTCACAATACGAAATGGTGCGAGTGATATTTCAACCTGTTGGGCAGCAGCTATGCTGTGCACTGTGACCAGAGCTGTTTGTTTGGCCAGCTACTGCAGGCGCTCATTGCAGCAGCCAGTGTTTTGTTTGTGAGTGTCTTCTCTATGGTTTCCTGCTTCAGTGAATAGAAGTGGGAGTTGTGGGGGCTGAGGGAAGAGGACAGACAGAAGACGGTTGGACTCATTTCCTGAATCATCTTAGGCATTCTTGCCGTCTCTTGGTTCCATCTTGGCTGGGCAGCATTTCCCACTGGTTTGTCAGACCAACTTTCCCAGCCACCTCTGGGGGTGGGAAGGAAAACCACACCTTGCTCTGTGTCAGCCAGTTAACAGGCAGAGTTTTGTTCAGTAAATATTTATAAAACCTCTCTACTAACCTCGAACCCTGCAACTCTGTACTTTTGAAAAGTTTATTCTCTTTCCCTGGCCTCCCAAGTAACTATTTGGGCCCAGCAGTATACCTCACACGGACAGCACTGGTACCCCTTCATCTGCAGGCCAGGTACCAGAGAAGCTTGTGCTTCCTGATCTTAACCTTGAACTTGGTCGACCATTCCTCTATTTAGGATTGCAGAGAGTTCATGGGAAAGGGTCAGGGGTAGATTGTCTTTCACAGTTTTTCCCTTTAATCTGTCAAGTTAAACCCGTGTGATCAGAGGAAGTGCAAAGCAGCGTGTGGAGGGGAATGAGGCCTCCAAGTGCAGGGAGGCATGTCTCCTCCTGGCTCTGCCGCACACCAGCAGCAAGGGCATGCCTCCACACGATGTTACTTTCTGTGAAATAGAAATAAAGGCCCTCTGGTCCTTTCGGAAATAAATTTAGAAACAACCTAAACATCGAACAGTTGGGAATTGGTTAAAAAAACTAGGTTTATCTTTATTAAGCAGTGTTGAATTTTTAATGCCGTATGAAAACATGATATGCTGAGTTTAAGAAAAAGATACAAAATGTGGAAAATGTGATTCCAATTTTTTCTTTTTTTTGAAAGAGTCTCACTCTGTCTCCCCGCCTGGAGTGCAATGGCACAGTCTCAGCTCACTGCAACTTCCACTTCCAGGGTTCAAGCTATTCTTGTGCCTCAGCCTCCCAAGTAGCTGAGATTACAGGCGCCGGCCACCACGCCCAGCTAATTTTTGTATTTTTTAGTAGAGATGGGGTTTCACCATGTTGGCCAGGCTAGTCTCAAACTCCTGGCCTCAAGTGATCCACCCGCCTTGGCCTCCTACAGTACTGGGATTACAGGTGTGAGCCATGGCACCTGGCTGATAATTCCAATTTTATAAAAACTAAGAAAGGAAGGTGTCAAATTAATAGTAGTTTCCTCTGATGGGATTATGGGAGATTTTAAACCTCCTTTTCTGATTTCCTACAATGAACATTTATACCTTTTGTTCTTTTTTTTTGCAGACTATATCATACACAAAAGTACACAAAACACATATATACAGTTTAATGAATGAGTATAAAGTGAATACCCATGTAGCTACTACCCAGATCAATCACATAAAAGCAGCATTACTTTTTATCACTGGAATACTAACAATAAAAATTTTATTGAAAAATACTTTTCCTGAGTTCCTCACTTGGCTATGGTAGGAATAAAATAAGACTGTATAGGAAAGTGCTTTATTTTTCAAACCTTAAAATTTCCATCAAACATTAGAAGTTATCTCTCGTCTCTCAGGTGCCAAAGATGACAGGTGCACATAAGCAGTAAGTCATTGCCAGAGTCTGGGGCTGCTTGTGTCATACAGAGATTTGCACTAAAAAATGTATCAATTGTGCCACTTGCACTATCTGCAGTTTTTCCCTCCCAGGAAACCCTTTAGGTGTAGACTTAGACACTGGGAGAACTGCTAGGACTGACTGGGTGTTAAAAACCTCTTTCCTACATTTTGTGCGGATTACCTTTGATTTTCTATGATCCCTGGATTGTTGCGTGTGGTGGAAGGAGGTTGTGTTAATTCGTTGATTTCACCAAAGCCAGAATTCCAAGCAGGAGTTTTTGTTTGCTTTGTTATTGAATTATCTAGTCTTTTACATCGTGATTTGAGGTTTGGTTCAAAAGAGGCAATGGATTGGTCATAATTTAATAATTTTATCTGATACTATAACTAAAGCCAGCTGTTTAATTTGCTGGACCAAGTGCAGAATGAAAATGTGGGGTCCCTTGTTCAAAAAACAGGAAAAGTATCATTAAATAATTAAAATATAGGCCAGACGTGGTGGCTCACACCTGTAATCCCAACACTTTGGAAGGCCAAGGTGGGAGGATCACCTGAGGTCAGGAGTTTGAGACCAGCCTGGCCAATATGGTGAAACCCCATTTCTACTAAAAATACAAAAATTAGCCAGGCGTGGTGACACGCACCTGTAATCCCAGCTGGTCTGGAGGCTGAAACAGGAGAACCACTTGAACCTGGAAGATGGAGGTTGCAGTGAGCCAAAATCGTGTTACTGCACTCCAGCCTGGGCAACAGAGCAAGACTCTGTCTCAAAAAATAAACAAAAATAAAAAAATTAAAATATAAAGTTTTCCTTTCTTCCATCGTCTCTCTCCTGACTTGTCATGGTGTGTTTTATTTGTTACTTAAAGTCACTCTAAGTAAAAAAAAAAATGTAATTATTAGTATGAATTTTATTGTTTGCCTTTATATTGTGCAATGCAGTTTGTTTGTTTGTTTATTTATTAAGACGGAGTCTCACTCTGTCGCCCAGGCTGGAGTGCAGTGGCACGATCTTGGCTCACTGCAACCTCCGCCTCCCAGATTCAAGCAATTCTTCTGTCTCAGCCTCCCTAGTAGCTGGGACTACAGGTGCACACCACCATGCTCAGCTAATTTTTGC
This sequence comes from Homo sapiens, assembly GCF_000001405.40. NCBI lineage: Eukaryota > Metazoa > Chordata > Mammalia > Primates > Hominidae > Homo > Homo sapiens. The sequence continues at coordinate 185,742,942 of NC_000003.12, read as the reverse complement.
ATTTTTAGTAGAGACGGGGTTTCACCATATTGGCCAGGCTGGTCTCGAACTCCTGACCTCGTGATCTGCCCGCCTCAGCCGCCCAAAGTGCTGGGATTACAGGCATGAGCCGCTGTGCCTGGCCGCAATGCAGTTTAAAATGCAAATATGAGAGCATTTAGCTTGTTATCACTGAAATCATGCAGTTCATATTTTGTACTTCACACATTGTTCTAACCAAAATTGTGGAAATGCTGCATTAAACTAACTCAGCTGTTTTTGTTTCACTTTTATTTTTATTTTTTTTGAGATGAGATCTCACTCTGTCATCCAGGCTGGAGTGCAGTGGGGTGATCATAGCTCACCGTAACCTCAAACTCCTGGGCTCGAGTGATCCTCCCACCTCAGCCTCCCAAGTAGCTGGGATCACAGGTGTGCACCACTACGCTTGGCTAATATTTTTTTTTCGAAATGGAGTCTCACTCTGTTGCCCAGGCTGGAGTGCAGTGGCGCAATCTCGGCTCACTGCAACCTCCACCTCCTGGATTCAAGCAGTTCTCCTACCTCAGCCTCCCAAGTAGCTGGGATTACGGGCACCCGGCACCATGCCTGGCTAATTTTTTTGTATTTTTAGTAGAGATGGGGTTTCACCATGTTGGCCTGGCTGGTCTCGAACCCCTGACCTCAAGTAATCCACTTGCCTTGGCCTCTGAAAGTGCTAGGATTACAGGCGTGAGCCACTGTGCCTGGCCGGCTAATTTTTTTTTTTTTTTTTTTAAGAGGTGGGCTCTCACTGTGTTGCCCAGACTGGTCTCAAACTTATTTCACTTTTTAAAAAAATTTATCATTTATTATTTCACTTCTTAATATATGCACATTTTACCAATATTCTCCACCTTCAGCTTACTAATGAATAATGGAGCTATGGAAAACTAATGGAAAAGAAACTATGAATTATCTCTTCTTTTCCTTCTATAACATACAACACCATTTTTAGTGTAAGTGGTTGGCTAACATGAAGAAGTAACATGAGTAAGAGGGGTTGTTCATGTTTCTCAGAGTGCCATTGCCTTCTTTCTACATTCAAGGCAAATTCTAGTTCCAGTAGAAAGTGTGGTCTCTTGGGCTGCACCCACACATACTCAGTCATAGATATAACATGCTTACCTCGTGCTTGCTCTGCATCTTGTGGAACTCCCACTCATGGTGGGTCTACCAAAATCCCGTACTCATTGGGCATCAAATGAGCTCACCCATGAAGCCAGCCCTGACTGTTGTAATTTTTGTAATGACAGTGGCCAGTTACTGTTGTCACCCTTTCCATGGCTTTTTGTTCTGGGTTGAGTTCTCCTTATCTGTAATCCCATGGGACCTGGAATTTTTCTCTGTTCAGAGCGAATTCCAGGTTTTTGACAATGACAAATAGCAGTTATTCATGGGACAGGGTGCCACTCACCACTGATACCCATTCATTCTTTTATCTTGTGTCTATTGGTCAAATTAGCCCATGGATCCTGAATAGGAAAGAAATGAATCTGAAAGGTCAGCTTTGAGATTTATGAAGTTCAATAAAAATCAAAATTGACAACCAGTAGCTTCAAAATTGTACTTCTGCTTGCAGCAAGGTATTCTGCATATGGTTCTGTTGGATTTATAAAATTATCGGTAGGCTGGCAAGAGGTTTGAAAATCAATAACTCGCTGAACTTATCTCTGAGAGGATTTTTATATGCTATTGGAGTATTTTACCCTTGTGCCTTTGACAGAACAATTTCTCAAGAAGGAAATATGCGGCCGGGCACAGTGGCTCATTCCTGTAATCCCAGCACTTTGGGAGGCCGAGGCTGGTGGATCACGAGGTCAGGAGATCGAGACATCCTGGCTAACACAGTGAAACCCCGTCTCTACTAAAAATACAAAATTAGCCGGGCATGGTGGCATGTGCCTATAATCCCAGCTACTCAGGAGGCTGAGCAGGAGAATTGCTTGAACCTGGGAGGCGGAGGTTGCAGTGAGCCGAGATCGCGCCACCGCACTCCAGCCTGGGCGACAGAGCGAGACTCCGTCTCAAAATAAATAAGTAAAATAAAATAAAAAAAGAAAATATGCAAACATTTCCTCAACTTGCAGCTACTCTTGACAGTCCCTTGAGTGAGTATAGACCACAAAGCTTGGTAATTAAGAGCATAAGTCCAGTTTGGGCAGACTCAAGCTTACATCCTGGCTCTAACCTTTACTAGGTATATGGCTATGAGTAAGACACCTATGGTTCTGAGCTTGGTTTCCTCACCTGTGAAGAAGCAATGATAAGAGTAGCTCAAAGGATTACTCTTGATAACATTAAGAAAATAGGTTAGTTTGACCTTTGACATAGAGTAGGTATTCAATCAGTTTTAACTATTATGATTATTAGCATAACACAGAACAAAAAGACTTCAAATGACTATACTTCTAAGGTTGGGAGGTGAGTAAATCTGATACTCTTGGCTAGTTCTGTTGGAAACTCAGCAGGTAGACATTTAATATGAAGGAGAAAATAGTACTGGTCTGTATTAGACTGTGAATGTTTTGAGAATGGGAAACTGTGTGTTATTGATTTCAGTGTCCTCAGCCCAGCACAGTGCTTGGCACATAGTAGGTGCTGTTGATTAAATGGTAAATGAATGGTTTAGTGTTTTATTCTTCACCTTGTATGATATGTATCTTTCTAAATATGCAAACAAACATTTATTTTTCATGCCAGTCCAATTGTGTGGACATACATGGTTTTGTGTAAAGATCCCCTTTGCTTTTCAACAATTGAGAAGGAAATAAAAAGGCCGGGTATGGTGGCTCACACCTTTAATCCCAGCAGTTTGGGATGCTGAGGCGGGTGGATTGCTTGAGCCCAGGAGTTAGAGACTAGCCTGGCCAACATGGCACAACCCCGTCTGTACTAAAAATTAGACAGGTATGGTGGTGTACGCCTGTAGTACCAGCTACTCAGGAGGGTGAGGTGGGAGAATCACCTGAACTTGGGAAGTCAGGGCTGCAGTGACCTGCATTTGTGCCACTGCACTGCAGCCTGGGCAATGGGAGTGAGACCTTGTCTCGGGGTGGGGGGTAGGGGGGGTGGGGGGGAGGGAAAAAAAGGACATAATTTGATGGTATATTTATTTTTAATAAAGATGGAGATAAATGGTAATTTTCAATATCTGAACGTAGGCTGACCTGAGTCTTAAGCACGGTGGCAGATGGTCTGGAACCTCCGCCGAGATCTGGGTTGCATTGTGGGGCTAGACAGAAAGAGAAGCTTCGCGTGTCTGGGTACCTGGACTCCTGGTCATAGCCTTCCCTTAGAGCTCCCTGACTAGAGAATCTGTCCTCATCACGGGACAGCATCAGTGTGTCTGCTCCTGGCCAAATTCAGCTGCATTCCGGCAGGTGGTAGTGATTCCTGAGGAGCCAGGAGAAAGCCAGGCTGTCATTTAGATTCAAGGGAAGATCTATTTGCCTTTTGATAACAGAAGGGTTTAGGAAGACATTTGAGCCATACGGCACAATTTGAAGGACTTAGTTTAAAAGAAAATAATTGACAGAGTAATTGGAATGCTATCTTTTTACAGTTTATAAAGAGGCCCCTTTGTATGTGTTTTTCTGCCAATTCTGTTTAAATGCCCTGCAATTTAAACACACTGAGGATTAGAGACCAGCAGTGATGTTTGGGCTTTGAAAATTCCAGGACAGGTTAGAGGCTTGTAACCTAGTACAGTTGCAATGGCCGTTTCGTTTTGTTTTAAGTCCACCGTTGTAATCCCTATTCCACAAGAGTATATTTTTCAGAACGCTGCTAAATCCCAGACATGGATATTTATATATGCCACCAAAGATATGTGAAAACACATATAAAAGGGCAGCTTTTAGGAATATTTTTATTATTTGAAAATTGATCTGATGTCATTAATCATTTCTTGTGCTATTTTTTAAACTGGGTTTTGTGACTTTTTTTGTAGCTCCAATTGATTTAATTTTGTAGGAGTGGAAAGGAAAGTTATTCATCTTAACTTATAGATATTCCCACTTTACCTGAGAAAGTATTTAAGGATCTTTAAGGATTAAAGGTCCTCTTCAAGCTTGACAATCTAAGTTTTAAAGTTTGTATTTAGCAAAATTATTGTTTAATACTTGTTTTTATAAAACAGCATTCTCTGTGAAGGAAGCAGCAGTGATCTTGTGCCCTTTGTTGGATGAAGTACCAGGAATATTTTCTGATTGCTTTCTCCAGGGACAGAAATGCAACTGTAAATGATAGAGATTAAAACAATAAAACTGCCCAGTGAGGCTTAGCCCTGAATTGCTAAACCTTCATATAATAAAACATTTTCTGAGAGAGGATGGTAGTGGCTGCAAAGACCAACAACTGGTTCCTCTGCCTGGATTCATCTCTTTCGTTCTCCCCTCTCTGGTTAAGACTTGCTCATCCTTCAAAACCCAGCTCGGATATTGCCACCTCCCTGAAGCCCTTCCTGACTCCCCTAGGCTGTTCCTGCCTCCGTCTTCTGTGTTGCTTTTATACTTTTCATGTTCTCAAGGAAGGACCTCTGCCCACAGTGCTCTATAATTAGTTCTGTAATTATTAGTGTTTATCTTTTACACTAGATTATGAGCCCTTTAAAGGCAGGATCTGGGACTATTTCATCTTTGTGGTTTAACCCCCAGTTTTATTGCCTGGAAAATAATAGGCACTCAGTTAATGTCTTTTGAAGTACTAAAGATTCTGTTGAATACTTACCACAAGGCGACATCAAAATAGATAGCAAGTGAGGATACTTAATCTTGGTAGAAATGAATTTATTTTAGATTTTTTCATGCCTTTATTTATGAATTCTAAAAGCAATTCATTAGATTTGGAATAAAGATAATATCCAGTGTTGGCAATGGCCTGGTAATACACTGTTAAACATTGGCAGTGAGGGTAGAAATTGGCACACTCTTTCTGGGAAACTATTTGGAAATTTGAGGCCTAAATATGGTCACACCCTTTGACCTAGTAATTCTGTTTCTCAGAATCTACTCTAAAGAAATAATAAGAGATCACCACAATGTTATAAAGCATAATCCAAGAGACAGCAGGAACAGCTTCCTGATATTCTGTGATCCAAACCAAGTACTGAGTGTCTAAGAACTGGGGATGACCATCATAACTTCTCGAGGTCTTTGCTTCATGTTCTCCCACATTGTCTAGTCTGTCTTCTTGTGTAGAGTAGAAGTTAAGTAAATACTTGTAGTAAATGGATAAATAATTCTTTGAAGTTGAAATGTAAAGCACTCAATGTATAGAATAATGTAACTGTTACTGCGAATGCCACTATCAGATTTAACAAGTTATTTGACATACTTGTTTCCAATTTTTTTGTTTATGTTTTTAATATTGTGCAAATACTATATGCACACATTCTTTGTGCACATTTACTTTATAATCTGCAAAGTGATTTTATATTTTATACTCTCTTTTGATCAAGCCAAAAAAGGTGTTACTCCCATGTTATAAAAGGGAAAACTGAGGCTTGGAGCAGATCCAGGACTAGAACTACCACTTTTGACTCCCAGTCCAATATTTTTTCACAGTAGGAGTCTTTGGAGAACTCTTAGGAAACAAGGAGCACCTAGAATGTTTATTAAGGGAGGGTGTACATCAGCTCCAGAAAGATGTTGACAGATTGGAAGGAATTTAAAGAGGAGCCAACGCTGCTGGAAGGAAGGACATAGGAGAGATGAAAGGAATTTAATATGTATAGCTTGGCCAACGGATGATTAAAGGGGATATGATAACAGTCCCTAGGAATGTGAAGGATGTAAACATCATGGAAAGAGAAAATGTATTTAGAATCAATCAAAGCAGTATATAAAAAGAAATACAAATTAATGCGAAACATCACAAAAAGCCATTTTCATGGTGACACTTGTTAGCTTGTAAATTAGAGTCCCAAGACAAGTATCAAAAGCCCTTCTAAGACATTTAGGACTAAGTTATTCTGCCTAGATTTGGGGAGGGCTGTTCCATTTCTAATTTTGATGGCTGAGATCATGTCCCTTCCTAGCATAGATTTGCCACCCAGTACTGATGGCACAGTTTTGCGTATCAGGGTCAAAAGGAAAACTCTTGTTACAATCTGTGGAAGCCAAATTCAGGCATGTCCCCAACATTGTGCAGTCCGACATCGCAGAGACTGCCCGTGAAGCCTAACTTGAAACCCTAAGTGTTGAGCTCATTAACTCTGCCATCAGATGACTGATTCCCCACCTGCATGGTGTCCCCTGCTGGGAATTTCAGGTTGTGAGCAAGATGCAGAGATGTTCTCTTATTGTTTAATTCACGGCCACATTGGGTAAGCAAGTGGGCCTATTCCAGTGGAGGAAATGTCATCCCCAAGATGTTGCCATCGCATGGGTAGGGAATGATGGTGCACATATTGTGTGTGTGAAGCCATGTCCCCAAGAAGGGGAGCCGAACCCATGGCAGTGTCAAAATCTGAGGTCAAAGCTGTAAAAAGTGTTCACCTTGGATTGAGATGTGGCCATGGAATTATCTCTACCCCATAGGAGTTAGGCAACAGAGATGTCCTTCAAACTAAATCAGAATTTAGAGGGCAGTCTTAAAAGGAGGAGTGTGGTGTTTGGAATGGAAGGGTTTGTTGGGGCCCTTGGAAGGAGCTGGAAGGCACTCAGACCCTGTGAAAGAGTGGCCCCCCCACCTCCGAGTCCCCGTGACCTTGGCCCAGTACCCCCTTAGACCTAGAGGTGCCAAGGCAGCTTCAACCAGGTGCAGGAGCTGCTGGCCTTAAGGATCTGATGGATTTGATCCAACAAACTGGACTGAAACGGTGATCTGGGGGACCCCTTGGGGCCTGTGACACTACCACTAAGAAAAAACTCTGAGAGGGAGGGTGGATTCCTTCTGGTTAGCCTTACTGGAGTGGTCCAGCATTCTGTGAAATCAGAGCTGAGCTAGGACTTGAGATAACAAAGTGTATGCATATAGTTTATAAACTAATCTTCTCCCCCGTTTTCTGTGGTCTTCTTTGGTGTCACTATCCCACCCCCCATTCATTCACTCATTCAACAAACTTAATGAGCTCCACTTCTGTGGCTAGTTAGGAGTCCATGCTGTTAAGGATATGAATTAAGATCATGGTGATGGAAATGAAAAGGTATATTTTTAGAAATATTTAAGAGTTATGGATGTGGGATTAGGAGATGCTATTTAGTGGCAGAGCTGTAAGTACAGCCTGGGTCTTCAGGTTCCTGGGGTAAGGAGCCTTCCCCTCTGCTGTGTAAAGCTTATTATCTCCTCCCGGAGGAACTCTGTAATTTAGCTCTTTTTTCTTGACCAAGGACTTGGCATGAGACTGACCATCGATAATGCCAAACACTGTCATAAAAGCAAAGATATGAGAGCTTTGTTCTTAGCTATTTATATTTATGCTGTAAATCCTTTAAGATAGACATAATTGCTGTGCACATAGATTAAGGGATGTAAGGCCAGGCACAGTGGCTCATGCCTGTAATCCCAGCACTTTGGGAGGCCGAGGCAGGTGGATCACCTGAAGTCAGGAGTTCAAGACCAGCCTGGCCAACACAGCGAAACCCCATCTCTACTAAAAATACAAAAATTAGCCTGGTGTGGTGGCTAATGCCTGTAGTCCCAGCTACTCGGGAGGCTGAGGGACGAGAATCACTTGAACCCGGAAGGCGGAGGTTGCAGTGAGCTGAGTTCATGCCGCTGCACTCCAGCCTGGGCGACAGAGCGAGACTTGGTCTCAAAAAAAAAAAAAAAAGGATTTAAATGTATTTTCAAGCATTGATATTGTCATAAAATGTAATTCACTGATAAAATGCACATAAAATTAATATATTTTCTTTAGTCTGTAACATTAATAATCTCATCTGCCTTTTAGAGTAAGGACTGCCTTTTGTAGCTTGAGCACTTATGTGTGCTTTCATGTTACAACGCTGTCTTCGCTATTACAGTGTGAGGGAGCTGCTGCTCTTATCTCCACTCTGCAGAGGGGAGATTGAGGCACGTCGGAGTTGAGTAATTGGCCAAGGTCAAATGGTAAGTGGGAAAACCTGGATTTGAACCCAGGCAGCCTGGCATCCAACTCCAAAATCCTTGACCTCTATACTCTAGTGTTTCTGACAGGAGGAGGGTTTTGGAGTTAGGTTTTAGCCTGAGTCTCATAAGATCTGTCCAAAGAAAGTTGAGCTTACAATTAATTTCCCTGCTGTAAGCAGGAAAATTAAAATTATTTTTTTCCACGTTACTGCTGCCTTAAATACTGTAGACAAGTTTCAGCGTACTTCTCACTTCATTGGAAACCTATAAAGATAATTGCCAGGTGCTAACACACACTTGTTAAAAACCAGCTTTCACTCGTTTTTAACAATGCAAAAGTGAGCAGTTTCTCATCTGCCCAGTGTATGATTCTTTGCTCAGAAGAAGTAGAATGGATGAACAGAGACGCTGAACGATTGTGGAATTTTTGATTATGCTTTAATAGGGAGGTAAGGAAAATGTATACAGGATTTGGGAACTAGACAACGTGAGTTTGCATTTGGGCTCTAGCATTATGATCTCTCTGACCTTGGGCAAGTCACTTCACCTCTGAGTGTGTTTCCTCTTCTATAAAATGGGGTTGATAAGTTGCCCAACCCGCCCTCACAGAGCTGTTGTTGGAATTGAATGAGATAAAGTATGTGAACACGTTTCACCTATGTAACTATGTGCAGATGCTCATTACTGCCATGGCTAGGGAGAGAGGTGCCGGAGCAGAGGTGAGCAGCTGCCTAGAGGAACTTGAGCAGGTTTCCCTGGGTTACTGTATTCCTAAGGAAATGTGCACCCTCTTGTGGCGAAGTAAGGGGGTTAAGGGTTCTTGTGAAAAATACTTCAGTGTTGTTACTGTGGGATTTTTTTGGTCACCAGAAATACTTTCCCAGTAATGAATGTACACACTCTTTCTAAACAAATCCTTAAATTGCAAGGTGAGTGAATTATTTAGTCCTTACCCAGTTTTTAATTTTTCTTCATGTCTTTCCTGTTCCATTCATAGAGAGACTTGCTAAACTTTTCATTTTCCTAAACTACTGTTTGTTTGTTTTTAATGTGCTTGTTGCATTTACTTTATTTTTGGCTCTAATTTATTTATTTATTATTATTATTATTATTGAGGCGGAGTTTCGCTCTTGTTGCCCAGGCTGGAGTGCAATGGTGCAATCTTGGCTCACCACAACCTCCGCCTCCCGGGTTCAAGCGATTCTCCTTCCTCACCCTCCTGAGTAGCTGGGATTACAGGCATGCGCCACCACACCCAGCTAGTTTTGTATTTTTAGTAGACATGGGGTTTCTCCATGTTGGTCAGGCTGGTCTCGAACTCCCGACCTCAGGTGATCCGCCTGCCTCGGCCTCCCAAAGTGTTGGGATTACAGGCGTGAGCCACCGCGCCCAGTCTGGCTCTGATTTATTATCTGTTAAATTTTAAACACATAGGGCTTTCTTTGTCTGCCTTTGCTAACATAGGACTTCTGGTGCTTAGCATCTAGTAAATGCTCAGTAAATGATGATGAGTGGGTACTGACAGTCTTAACCATTCCTCAGTTTCCTTCTCCCTTTGACTGTGGAGCACCCTCTTTTCCTTGGGATCAAGCTTCCTGAAATATACGGAAATGGATTGAGAAAATATGGCTTATCAATCACTTTACATTTTCTCAGGTTCCTCTTTAGTAAAATAAGAATGAGAATAGATGATTTCCAAGATTCTTACTTTGTAGGGACAAGGGAATCAGATGATTGTGTTCTTTGGCAGAGCCTAGTCTGTGAAATGTCTTATGACTATCAGCTTTATTGTATCCTCCCCTAGTTCCTAGATGAATAGGGTGGGGAAGCAGGAGAATGCAGTATAGTGGAAGGAAGGGAAGTGGGGTGATGAACAACAGGATAAGAGAACATTGTGGTGGGCAGGTTGGGGGAGGGATTAACAGGACAGTAGCAACATTCCAGAAAGAAGCTGTAACATCCTGAGGTATGTGAACATTTTTCAAAACGTATACACATGGTATTATCTGTGAGGCCTACAGGGGATTATCTAACTCAACATCCTTTATTCCCACACATTGCTTACATTAAATTTGGGGAAAAAATATTTTCTCTAATTGAGTTATGAAGTCCTTGGTCATGTAGCAGTTCAAGCTACAGCAGTGACTTTATAATTGTCTTCATATACTCTTCATTTTATTAAAAATTTCTCTTTCCAACCTGGTTGCTTAAAAGCATTGTTTTGATTTTAGAGAGCTTGAGACATGGGTCTTGCAGAAGGAGGCCAGCCGTCTCCCTAGGGAGGGTCCTTGTAGTATGTTGGGGGCTGGGCAAGGGGTGCTTGCCTTAGAGGGTTTTGAAGTCCCAGATTTGGATCTCAGTTTTACAGTTTCAGGTTTCACACCAGTCTTAACTATATCAAGACTTGCTAGTGAGTCAAAATGTCAGTTGTTTATCATACTGAGAAATACTAAAAATCCTGTACTGTTTCTCCCAGCTGGTCAACATAGTCTTCCCTGGAGAAGCCACATTGCTGCTGAAAGATTGGTTGGTGCATGTTAGGGAGTTGCTTGGTTTTATTAATCCAACAGATCTTTTCTGAGTTTCGCTCTGCATGCCAAGTACTGAGGAAGGTACCAGGATTAAGAAAAAATTCTAGCTTTCAAGGCCTCACACTCCCAATAGAGAAAAAGCCACATAAACAAACATCAGAGCCATGTGCTTAGTGTATAGAAAAGGGATATACAGGGTTCCCGGGGGCAGAGAGGAGAGGCTGGCACTATATGTTTTGAAGGAGGGTTGGAGTTTCCCAGATGGACCAGAGAGAACAACGAGTGCACAAGACTAGAGGCAGGAGCTGAACGTGCTCCGGAAACCACAAGAAGTCCGGAATGATCTTTTTTTTTTTTGAGACGGAGTCTCGCTCTGTCGCCCAGGCTGGAGTGCAGTGGCATGATCTCAGCTCACTGCAAACTCTGCCTCCCGGATTCACGCCATTCTCCTGCCTCAGCCTCCTGAGTAGCTGGGACTACAGGCACCCGCCCCGACGCCCGGCTAATTATTTTTTTGTGTGTATTTTAGTAGAGATGGGGTTTCACCATGTTAGCCAGGATGGTCTCAAATCTCCTGACCTCGTGATCCGCCCGCCTCGGCCTCCCAAAGTGCTGGGATTACAGGCATGAGCCACTGCGCCTGGCCAAGACTGATCTTTAAAATTTATTGTCATTAAGCCTTAAAGACCGATAAGAAATTGGGTCCTTGAAACTTACTTGCCGAGAAGTCTGTAAAATTCATAGTGACTAGGCATGGCTCCCCTCCGTCACCTAGAAAGTGATGCAGACCTGGTGCAGCGGCTCACGCCTGTTATCTTAGCACTTTGGGAGGCTGAGGTGAGCGGATCACCTGAGGTCAGGAGTTCAAGACCAGCCTGGCCAACATGGTGAAACCTCATCTCTAGTCTCTATTAAAAATACAAAAATTAGCTGGAGTGGTGGCACATGCCTGTAATCCCAGCTACTAGGGAGGCTGAGGCGGGAGAATCACTGGAACCCAGGAGGCGGAGGCCGCAGTGAACCAAGATTGCACCATTGCGCTCCAGCCTGGGTAATACAGCAAGACTCCATCTCAAAAAAAAAAAAAAAAAAGAAAGTGATGCAGCTACACAGCCTGCTCTTTGTCTTCTCTCCTTCTAGGTTCCATTCTGTACAGCAGTGATTTTCAAATTTTGGTCTCTGTATCCCTTTATACTCTTAAAAATTACTGAGGAATCCAAAGAGCTTTTGATATTTACCACATCTGGAGTTAAAACCGAGGAAGTTTTAAAGTATTTATTCATTCATTTTTTTAAAAAATTACATTTTAATGTAAACATCAGTTTATTTAAAATAACTATATTTTCTGAATACTAAACATTACTAACCATCAGAGAAATGTGAATTAAAACCACATTGAGGTATTATCTTATACCAGTCAGAATGGCTATTATTAAAAACTCAAAAAAAACAACAGATGTTGGGGTGGATGCAGAGAAAAAGGAATCCTTATACCCTGTTAGTGTAAGTGTAAATTAGTACAACCTCTATGGAAAACAGTACGGAGATTTCTTGAAGAACTAAAAATAGAACTACCATCATCTCACTCCTGGGCATCTACCCAAAGGGAACCATTGTATAAAAAAGACACCTGGGCTGGTGTCTTGGGAAGCCAAGGTGGGCAGATCACCTGAGGTCGGGAGCTCGAGACGAGCCTGACCAACATGGAGAAACCCGGTCTCTACTAAAAATACAAAATTAGCCGGGCGTGGTGGCGCATGCTTGTAATCCCAGCTACTCAGGAGGCTGAGGTATGAGAACTGTTTGAACCCTGGAGGTGGAGGTTGTGGTGAGCCGAGACTGTGCCATTGCACTCCAGCCTGGGAAACAAGAGTCAAACTCCGTCTCAAAAAAAAAAAAAAAAAAAAAAAGACACCTGCGCTTGTATGTTTATCATCGTACCGTTCACCATAGCAAAGTCGTGGAATCAACCTGGGTGCCCATCAACTGATGATTGGATAAAGAAAAGGTGGTATAAATATACCACGGAATACTATGCAGCCATACAAAGGAATGAAATTATTTCTCTTGCAGCACCATTTGTATTTCACATTATCTTATGTGAAATAACTCAAATACTGCATGTTCTCACTCATAGTGGGAGCTAAGCAGTGGCTACACATAGACATAAAGATGAAAATAGCAGACACTGGGAACACAAAGGGGAAAGGGTGGGAGTGGGGTGAGGGCTAAAAATTAACTATTGTGTACAGTGTTCACTATTTGAGTGATGGGTTCAGTAGAAACCCAAACTTCATTATGCAGTATATCCACGTAACAAACCTGCACACATACCCCTGGAGACATGAAAACCAAAACAATATTTTTTCTAAAGTCTAAAAATCTTAGCGAGAATGGATACATTGTTTTACCTTTTTGTTTTTACAAATCTCTCTGATGCCTTGCTTAAGAGAAGATACATATATTCGCATGTCTGCCTCTGCACTCAATCTGATGCAATACATTATTTTGGTTGAAAAATATGAAGGAAATCTGGGTTCATCCAGATATGTAATTGGCAAAGAGTATTTTAATAGCCTTTTCAGATAATTATGGATATTCTTCTTTGATACTACAACAAAATTTGACAAGCAGTAGTTTCTTAAAGGTTAGTTGCCATGTAGTATCTGAAAGCATATGAACGTTAATATTCTGTTACATTAAAATTTTTTACTAATGCAGGGTTTTGTAGCATTATACATTAGTCATTTGGAAAATATTGAGTCACTGGGTTATTCAGATCTTCCGGATGTTGATGTTGCACCATACAATACCAAAAAATTACATTCATCACTATCATGACGAGTATTGGGAAGCTGCAAGCTCATAATAGTAAATAAAAGTATTCCAAAATTCTAGTTCTTAAGAGGTCAAATTTTATCATTGGCAACAAATACTGTGAGTTGTTTTATTTGCAGTGACAGGCGGACTTTATTCATTTCAAGAAAAATGTGTGAGAGCTACCCAGATCTGAATGGTCATCACTGTCTGTCTGTTCTGTCAAGTACAAATGACATACCCAGGAAGAAAGTGGCCATTTCAGCTCCCAATTCAAATGATCACACAGTTGCCTTTCCTGAGACATCTTACTTCAGGATGCAGCAATAGTGTTTTCTGCATACTTTCCATTTTGTCACACCAAATATTTTAAAAGATCTGCATTCCAGGGTCAAAATTTTTGTGGAAAAAAAAAAAGCAGTAATCTTTACTGCTTTGTCAAGGACAGTTTTAAGTGAAGCTGGCTTTCCCTCCTCCACTAAGAGTACACAACAGTGAGCGTACGACTTGGTGCAGTGTGGAGCCACTGCCTTCATGCAGCCTCAGGCACTGGCAGTTTTACCCGCCATTGCTTTTGCACCATGAGTGAAAATACTAACACGATAAACAAGGCAAATAACATCTTGGTATGATTAGGAAAATGGGTTTTACCTAATAACCCCTGAAAGGGTCTTGAGGATTCCAAGGGTGTGCAGGTCACGCTTTGAGAACTCGTGGCGTAGTGGTTAAGAGCATGACTCGGGGTTTTGATTGCCTGCGTTTGAATCCTGCTCCTGCTGCTTATGAGCTGTGAGCCTTTGGGAGGTTATTGGACCTTTTCGTGACTGTGTACTCTCTGTAAAATGGATGTCATAATAGTACCTACCTCACTAAGCAAATCTGTTCAATAGTTAAACCATAAATATTAATTAGTATTTTGAAAATTATAAGACTCACCTAGTTTTTTGATTTTGTGATTGGCTGGTTGATGGGCTGGGGAAATGGCCAAAGCCCTGCTTGCCTTGAAGCTGTCTCCTCTGTCAGTCTTCCAGGATGAATGAGACGTCCACCATTGTCATTTTACCTTTATGGTGGTAAAGTACATGTTAACTGAGTTAAAAAACAAAAACACAAAAAGCCCATATCCTAGAAGGGTAACATGTGAGTGAGCGACTTAACAGGGATTGGTGAATCTGGTTAACCTACCAACTCTTGCCACCCGAGTCAAGGCGCTGATGGGCTGGAGGAGCGGAGAGCGCCTGATGAAGGGAGCAAGGGGAAGGGGCCCAGGAGCAGCAAGGGTCTGGCGCCGTGGGAAAGCTGGAAGGCAGTGTGAGAGTGTGGATCAGAGGGCGCTCTAGGGTGGGGTAAAGCGGGCAGCAGTAACTTTGCCTCTCATAGGCTGGGGTTGGTCCTGGTCAATTCTTTATTTTGTGTGAATCGCAAACATAGTTCAGGTATACGTAACGGAAGTGCCCCTCCCTATGCATTCTCCAGCTGTAGGGTACAGTCATCTCCGGGGCATTATAGTAAATCTCATTAGTTCAGACCTGATTAATGTTGAACTCACGACTGTTGAGATGTAGGTAGTGCAGTATACAGAAAAGAACAAGAGCTCTGGAATGAGGCATGTCAGGGCTGGAATCCTGGCTCCATCATAGACTAGCTGCATGGCCTTGGGTAAAAGATTTATCCTTTCTAAGTCTCTGTTTAGTCTGTGTAAAATGGGCTGCCAGTATCTCATGAGGGGATTCTAAATATTGAGAGGGCATATGATAGACATTCAGTAAATGCCTCTTGCCTTCCCTGTGCCAACTTTGTTTATCCTCCACTCCATCTAATTTATAATATTCAAACAGTGTCATGATTGCATTTTTAGTTTTATTAAGAAATTGAATTTTTAGGAAAAAAGTAAATATAGGAAGAGGAAGGATTATGATGCTACTGCTTCTCCAGGGATTTCAAGTAAAGTCTTTTTCACAAAACCATTACTCTTCCTCTTCACTGTTTCTGGGGCCCCCTGAGGTGTTCTCATCCACAGCACTACCTTTTTGTTCACCTGTTCAACCTGTGAGTAATCCAATTACTGTTCTGTCTTTGAGGCCAAGAGCCTCAGTCCAAGCCAGCCATGTTCATGCTGTGTCTGCCCCAAGTGAGGAGGCTAAGGCTGGTGCATAGCCCGCTCTGTGAGGCCCCTCCCCACAGCCTCTGGATCTGCCCAGACTAACCTTCCGGAGGGCTCTGCGTCTCCCTTGCTGTTCTTAACGATCTCCATTGCTCCTGTGATTTCTTTTTCTTTTTCTTTTACTTTTTTTTTTTTTTTTTGAGACGGAGTCTCTCTCTGTCGCCCAGGCTGGAGTTCAGTGGCATGATCTCAGCTCACTGCAACCTCTGCCTCCCAGGTTCAAGCGATTCTCCTGCCTCAGCCTCCTGAGTAGCTGGGATTACAGGTGCCTGCCACCACACCCAGCTAGTTTTGTATTTTTAGTAGAGATGGGGTTTCACGATGTTGGCCAGGCTGGTTTCAAACTCCTGACCTCCGGTGATCCACCCGCCTTGGCCTCCCAAAGTGCTGGGATTACAGGCGTGAGCCACCGTGCTCGGCCTCCTGTAATTTCTTCTGTTGTTTCCAGAATCTGGCTGGCTGCACCTTTTTTTCCCACAACCCCCTTGGTAAGTTTCAGAGAACCTTGTGGTCATTAATGTATCTATTTTCACAGCCTCCCCAGAAACAAGCCTCTTCTGTATTACAGATCAAAGAACCTGTTACTGACACAAAAGGAATCTAGCCAACTGGACTTCCCCACACAGAAGGCAGGCCCTGTTCTAATCTTGCCTTGGCTTTTGACTTGCTGTGTGGCCTTTGTTTCCTCATCCAACGATAATATCTACCTCCCAGGAATGCTGGAGAGTTCAGCAAATGTTAAGAACTGTTCTCTGAAGGCTGAAAGATAGGTATTGGGTCTATTACAATGGCAGAGAACTCAAAGCACTTTATAGGAATCTAATTTGTGTTTTATCTTTGTGAGGTAGATAAGTGGCAGGTGTTCCTGTGCCCACTTTATACCTTTAGGAATGTGCATTTCACCATCTCATTTTAGCAGTTCCTACTGCTTCCCGCTTCCAGACCCACAGGAAATTTCCATCTGAATGGAGACTGAAAACATTCTGATGTGTACCCAGCAGGGTTTGTAATTTCATTCATTCCCCAGTTTGTGTGTCTTGTTTCATTTTTGGTCAGGGATGGAGAGGCCCTCCTCTGACCGTGGGTCCATTCCTCCTCTGACCCTGGGTCCATTCCTTATTACCTGTTGGGTTCCAGTCCCTTTTCTCAATCTTTCTTCTCTTTCACCTCTCTGTAGCATTTGGCACTAATGATGATCGCACCTTTCCAAAACTTGTTCGTGAAATTATACTCTCAGAATTCTGCATCTGTGACTGGCTAACCCTGGTCCCGCTCACCTGTTCTCCTAAATACAGGCATGATCTGAGAGGTGATCTCATCCATTTTCAAGGTTTTAACCAACACCAGTGTTCAGCTTCTAGTCCTGGATTAAGTAATTAATTTATTAATTTATTTTTTGACAGTTTCACCCTGATGTGCAGGCTGTAGTGCAGTGGCATGTTCATGGCTTACTGTAGCTTCAACTTCCTGGGCTCAGGTGATCCTCAGCCTCCCAAGTAACTGGGACTACAAGCACACATGCCCGACTAATTTTTTAAAAAAATTTTTATAGAGATTGGGGTCTCAATATGTTGCCAAGGCTGGTCTAGAACTCCTGGCCTCAAGCAGTCCTCCTGCTTTGGCCTCCCAAAGTGTTGGGATTACGGATGTGAGTCACCACAGCCAGCCTAGTCCTGAATTTGTAACTTCTCATTTGATACTTCTTAGATTATACTGACATCATGCAAATTCCATGTATTTAGAATGGAATTTACCTCCTCTCCTCTACCCCGACTATCCACCAGAAAAAAACAATATTAGTCCCTTCTGGATGAACCTAATTATGTCAAGTTCCGCTAGTAGTTCAAACCTTGGTGTCATTTGAAGTTCTTTCTTTTTGTCGACCCCCCACATCTAATTTGTGACCTTTAACACCCTCCACCTGCCCTAATATTCAGGTTTGCATCACATAGTATCAGTGCTCTCCTACTGAGTCCCCTGCCGACAACCTCAGCCCACTGCAATCAGGTTAGCCTTCTGGAAGCGTACATCTTGCTTTTTCACCACTTTCAAACCTTTCCATGGCCATCTGTTGCCTTAAAACAATTATATTGATTATCTGTTGCTATGTAACAAACCCAAACAAAGTGGCATAAAATAACCACCATATTATCAGACTCACAGATTCTGTGGGTCAGGAATTTGGAAAGGGTACAGTGGGATGGTTTGTCTTGGCCCTGTTATGTCTGAGGCCTCTGCTGGGAATATTCAAAAGCTGGGGTGAATTGACATCTAAAGGCTTACTTGTTCACATCCTTGGCGATTTGATGCGGCCTGTCAGCTGGGACCTCAGCTGGGGCTGTTGGCTGGAACAGTGGCCTCTCCATGTGTTGCTTGCTCTTCCTCACAGCATGGTGGCTGGCTTCCAAGAGCAAGCATTCCTAAGAAAGGCATGCTATGATCTGGTTTCAGCAGTCACAAACTATCACTGTCACCATGTTCAGAAGCATGACTATCAAGGGGGAGGAAATACAGAATTCCGTCTTTCAATGGGAGGAGTGTCAAAGTCACACCATAAGGAAAGCATATAGGCAAGATTCTGATGCATTCCTTTTTGGGAAATACAATGCACCAAACAAAGTCCAGACTGTGATATGGGGATTCCTTTAAAATCTGGCCTACCTTGCCTTTTAATTAGAACACTAGAACACTGTCACTCACAGAACCCTTCCTAGTGCCAGGTGCCATGTTGAAAGCAACTTCTGCATTCTTACCTGATCTAACAATTCTGAGAGTTTAGATGAAGGAGCTGAATCAGGAAAGTTAAAGCAACTTCGCTAAGGGTCATTCAGTTAATAAGTAGCTGGGTGGGCTTTGAACTCGGAACCTTTGACTCCAGTCTGAACTTCTGGGCTATATCGTCTCCACCTCTACCAGGGCAAAAACCTAGGTGCAGGGAGAGAGGGAAAAAAGGGATAGCAGTTATAAAACCTATTAGGAATTAGTTGTAATTTAGACTCTGACCTCCCCACTTGTCTAGTTGCAGTCCTAGAAAGCTTACAACTCAACAGAAACAAGACTGTTGTTGGCTGATTGATAGATCAAGCTACCTTAGTCTTCAGACCACATGTCGCTCCAGTGGACAAGAAGAGCCCAGGGAATGATCTCAGTGACTGTGTCTGCCTCTTCAGATCTTAGCCGGGCAATTTTGCTCACGTGCTGTCTGGAAGGCTCTCTTCTTCTGGTTCTCTCCTTATCTGTTCATTCCTGCCTGGGTCCTGGTGCCACTTAGGACTTTTTGGCCCAAGCATGTGTTTGCTGTGACCGCATGCTCATTGCAGCCCCACGTAGAGTTACCGAAATTTGTCTCTGCATAGTCTGGCGCTGGATTTGTCTCCTTCGGCTTCCCTGGGATTGCCCAGACCGAACCTGCTTACCCGCTTCGGTTGCCTCCCAACTTTGCTCGATGGTGTTTTCTCTGCAGGATCACTGTCTTTTGTCCTCTTCTTTACTTGGATGATGCCTACTTTTCCTTCTGGTTCCTACACCCTCCCTCAAGGCTAGGTATAGCCTTTCCTCTGAGCTCCCATCGTATGCTGTCTGTTCTTCTGGAATGATTTCACCCCATTCCATACTCACCTGTTGTTTAGTTCCATGGGACCCTCACTAGCCTGGGAGCTCCAGTAAGGAAGAAACTGTGTGTCATACACAAGTTTGGAGCTCTCAGCGCCTGTTCAGAGCTAGACATCAAAAACACTCGGTCCTCCTGAGGGGCTTGGCCCAGTGCTGGAACACCTGTGCTAGTTCCTGTCTGTTAATGGATTGACTGGGGTGGATGCCACCAACAGAGACACTGGGGTGGGAAGAAGGTTCAGGGATCTGGAGACTCAGAAGATGTGGCTTCTCATCCTAAATACTGTTGTTTGCCTTTGAACAAATCACTTCTCTGGGATGCAGCATCCTTGTTTATGAAGTGAAGGGATTGGCCTAACCATCTTCCCAGCCCTAATACCCTGTGAAAATGACTTTATCTGATAAGCTTTTGACTGTAGGCTGCTGTGGACCCAAGCAGTGAGTTCTAAGTATTGGAAATATGATCATTTCCAAGGGATAGAAATCAATATCATGATTTCCAAGGGATAGAAACTTAGCTGTTTGCGTAATTTTGATTGTGCCCCTAATGTGGAGCTGTGGCCGACTGGATTTGATGGAATCATAAACATGTTCACAAACCTTTCCCACTTCCCACATAAACCTCAGCAGATCTCAATTCTGAAGACGTAAAAGTCTCTGTTGATTTGTATTGGTTCTCTCCAGCTTAGCCAACGAGAAACGTTTCAACAGTTTTCAACTCTTATTTAGCAAAGGCAGAACAAAATGACATACCCCTTTGGGAACAAAACAAAGCATGTTTTTATGGCCAAGAGTTTTCTCTATATTAAAATGAAGGCTGATTTTGAAAACACTCTATCATAGTGGGTTCTTGTAACTCAATTATAATTACATAATTATGTATCATTTGTGCATTTATATGTTTATAGCACATATATATGTGTACTGTGTATATGTATATGTGTGTTTGTGTATTTGTTTATATAATTATAAAACTATATAAAAACATAGCATCAGGCCAGAGTTCTCTACCCGCCAGCCCTGACGTAGAAAGGGCTGTTCCTACAGTTTTCCAGTGAGCTGTGAGCAGCTGAGGTGTCATTTCCCAGAGTCTCTGTGTAACCTCCACCAGATTGATTTTTCTTAGTTTGATTATCCCAGGTCTGGATCCTACAAGCCTCTCATTTTACCTTCCCTGTTTCCACCTTCCCACCTTCCCACCATATCACTTACTTCCAAGCTCACTGTACCGCCTCCAGAAAGCACAAAATGACATAAAATTGAAAACTTAAATCCATCAATACTGCTCCTCATAAAAGTTCATCTCCCAGTTGGCTGGTGGAGGAAGTAGAAGGCAATGCTGTAGTAAAGCGTGATTCAGTTCTTGTTGCAGTTTCTTCCTTACTTTTTGAAAATAACCCATGAAGCTGAATTACTCTCATCTTATATCTCTCTGCAGTGGCATATCCTGATGGTGATTTCCTCTTTTTGTGCCTCAGTTTCACCCCCTATGGAATGGGGATAAACACTTGCGGCTGGGCATGGTGGCATGTGCCTGTAGTCCCAGCACTTTGGGAGGCTGAAGTGGGAAGATTGCTTGAGGCCAGGAATTTGAGACCAGCCTGGGCAACATAGTGAGACACTCTCTCTACAAAAAAAAAAAAGAAAAAAAAAATCAGATGTGGTTGGTGCATGCTACTTAGGCGACTAAGGCAGGAAGATCCCGTGATCTTATATCAATAAAATTAAAAAAAAAAACAAGTACTTGCCACCTGAAAGTTTCTAAGAACTGCCAAGGATGCTGGTTAGTGATAAGTGAATGGTTGGTAAATAGAAGACATATCTGCCACCCAGAAGAAAAGCACCTCATAAACAGAAAACACTGCCCTGACTTGCTGAAAGAGACTTCTTTTCAAGCAGAAAAAGCCAGGAAGAAAGCCAACATTGCTGAAGTTTACCCAGGCCGTGTTAGCCCTGATGTCAAAGGAACTCACTAGGTGGGCTGGTTCATGACTTTTCAGATGAGAGTGAGGGAGGTGGTAGACAGAGAAGAGGAAGACAGGTACATGAGAGACCTACTTGAGGCTTAGACTGATAAACAGTGTTTTATTAGTCTGGAGGAAACCAGCATGAAAGTACAGTTTTTAGACAAAGACTTGATTTCCAATTAAATACATAATTCACTTGCTGAGATGAGGAGGTAGCAAAATTAAAAGTTTTAACCATTAAAAAGAGAAAAGAAAAAAAACTGCTTGAAAGAAGAGTGGGCCTGGTGCAGTGGCTATGCCTGTAATCCCAGCACTTTGGGAGGCCGAGGCGGGCGGATCACTTGAGGTCAGGAGTTCGAGAGCAGCCTGGCCAACATGGTAAAACCCCGTCTCTACTAGAAATACAAAAATTAGCTGGGCATTGTGGTGGGTACCTGTAATCTCAGCTACTCGGGAGGCTGAGGCACGAGAATTGTTTGAGGCAGAGGTTGCAGTGAGCTGAGATTGCACCACTGCACTCCAGCCTGGGTGACAGATCGAGACACCATCTCACAAAAAACAAATAATAATAATAATAAACAAAAACAAAAAAAGAAGAAGAAGAGTATGAGCCTCTCCTTCATGTGTGTCATTCATTAATTGGTTAAAATCCACACACTAATTTTTTGTTCCTTTAATTAAGACGCCTGGGGCTTCTTACTCTATTGACAGTACACAGGAGGTGGCATTTATGAGTGCTTCCTGACATCTGCCCACTCACATGTGTGCAAGCGTGTGCACACACAACTTGTAGGCATCCAGATGTCTTTTCTGTCTTTCCTTTGACCACATTACCCTTGAAGGACGTTTCCCTGTGTCTGCTGCACTGTAATGGAGTTGACTGTTTTCGACTACCTTCTCACACAGCAGTTACTGTCTGGTTTCAGAATTTCTTACTGATTATGTAAAGCATAATGACACCAGCCCTCACATGCAGCTCAAGGAGAACAGCTCTGGACCTCAGTTTCCTAATCTGCAAAATGAGTTTCTTCCAAAGCCTGAAGCTGAGGTTCTTCTTTGAAGAATGTCAGCTGTAAGATCTGCCTCTGAATAACTGGGTGAGTGGAGTGGGTTCAGCAGCATGCCTTCGTAGTGGCCTGTCAGTGTCCTTAGATATCACAACAGACCAACATCCAGTTAAGAGCTGCTACAAGCAACAAGCTTCATTTCCAGTGCTGTGCTAGAGGGCTCCCCTGGCTCACCAGAGCCAATTGTGTGCATCCTTTCCAATTTCCGTTTTGGTGATATCATGTTAGTAGCTTTAAATAGGCTTTGGGGGCCGGGCGCGGTGGCTCCCAAAGGGGCCGGGCGCAGTTGTGGTGAGTCGAGATCGCACCATTACACTCCAGCCTGGGCAGCAAGAGCAACACTCCATCTAAAAAATAAATTAATTAATTAATTAAATAAAATAAATAGGCTTTGGTGAGAGTATTTACACCACAGAAATTGGCAAAAACTACAGATTGCTTTATCTCCCCCTGCAAGAGCCGTTTTTTAAATATTTACCAGCATAGCACTGGATATATCTGTTATTCTAGTGCTCTCACTTAGCTGGTAGCCCTTTCTTATAGACCACGGCCAGAGACTGAAGACTCCTGGAAGGCAGGGCACAGGTTCAATGCACTGCTTTACGCTCAGTGCCCACAAGCTCCTTGTTGATGGAAGGTTGCCTGGGGGAGAATATTTTCCCACTTTCCGGGGGATTTCACTTTAGAAGGGACAGTCACAATTGTACATCTGCAGCTGTTTCCACACCAGAGTTTGAGTTTGTATTTATTCATGGCCCTTGGATTCAGTGTGGCTTGCTTTTCTCATTTGAGTTTGTTTCTATCAAGGCTCACTTCTTTATACTCCAACTTTTCTTCCTTCCTTCCTTTCCTTCCTTTCCTTCCTTCCTTTCTTTTTTGAGACAGAGTCTCGCTCTGTCACCCAGGCTGGAGTGCAGTGGCGTGATCTCGGCTCACTGCAACCTCCACCTCCCAGGTTCAAGTGATTCTCTTGCCTCAGCCTTCCAAGAAGCTGAGATTACAGGTGTGCACCACCACGTCCAGCTAATTTTTGTACTTTTAGTAGAGACAGGGTTTCGCCACGTTGGCCAGGCTGGTCTGGAACTCCTGACCTCAGGTGATCCACCTGCCTCGGCCTCCCAAAGTGCTGGGATTACGGGCGTGAGCCACCACACCCAGCCTGTACTCCAATATTCACTCCCCAGTCAACACTCCTGGTCATTTTCCAAGCTCATCCCTGCCTTTTTTCTGCTTAACTCCTAGGAATGTTCATGCAAATAAGATGAAGCACATGAAGGAAGAGCTCTGCGTAGGGGTGTTTGAGCCTGTTGCTGCAGCAGATTGCTAGTGACAGCCATCTTGTTAGCACCTTTATTCTAGCAAATCCAATCTGTTTTGTCTTTCATACTACTGTTCATCAAAGATATGCAGTGTCTTACAGTTTTGTAGAGCTTTGTCATGCCCCACTATCCTTATCTCACAAATAACTGGAATCACAAATGACTGCCCTGTGCAAATCCCTGCAGTGATCTCCCATAGCCTACTGTATCAGTGCAAACTCTTCACCTTATTAAATAAGGCCTCTGCAGTTATCCCCACTTAGTATTCATCTGTCTCTCCATTAGATGTACCCTATTTTCTCTTGTCCAAACACAGTCTGTTTCTTCCTCTGTCTGCTTCCTCTCCCCACCCAAGGTCATCTCTGACCATCATAGTCCTACCGCGGTCCACACTGAATAACACCTGGCAAGGCATGATTTGGGTCTGTGGCTTCCCAAGAATGTGGTCCTGTAAGCTGTAAGGAGCAGCTTCTTGGGAAGGTCTGGGAAGCCCAGAATAGCCCATCAAAATGGTGGTTCTTGACTCCAAAAGATACAGGATCTTACCTTGGTGTCACTTCTGCGCTGTGTTCATCCTCTCAGTTTCTCAGGTTTTGATCGTGGCTTTGCTCTTCCCTGCTTCCATTTTCCACTCAGATTTAACCCTACCCATCTGCCAGTTCCAGGAGGGAGTTTCTGACTTTCTTTTTTTTTTTTTTTTTTTTTTTTGAGACAGAGTCTCGCTCTGTTGTCCAGGCTGGAGTGCGGTGGTGTGATCTCAGCTCACCACAACCTCCACCTCCTGGGTTCAAGCGATTCTCCTGCCTCAGCCTCCTGAGTAGCTGAGACCATAGGCACGTGCCACCACGCCTGGCTAATTTTTTGTATTTTTAGTAGAGAGGATTTCACTATGTTAGCCACGATGGTCTCAATCTCCTGACCTCGTGATCTGCCCGCCTCGGCCTCCCAAAGTGCTGGAATTACAGGCGCGAGCCACCGCCCCCGAGCCTGACTTGCTTTCTGATAGAGTTACTGCTTTAGCCCTGGAACCACATCCCACTACTCCCTTGGTCTTAATCTTCTCAGCTTCACTATCTGCCCCACTAGTCCAAGGTTCAGCACATTTTTTCTGTACAGGGCCAGATTACAGATATATTAGGCCCTGTGGCCCATATGGTTTGTGTCACAACTACCCAGCGCTGCCAATGCAGCATGAAAAAAGCTGTGTACAATAGGGAAACAAATTGGGTGTTTTGATAAAACTTTATTTACAGAAACAGGCTTTAGGCTGGATGTAGCGCAGGGGCCGTAGTTTGCCCAGCCCTGCCCTAGTCAGATGCCTATTAATGTGCACTCCTGACACCGGTTCATGTAACTGGTTGCCAGCCTGAATATTTGATGTTCGTTAGTACAGCCCATGCAAGAGATCATGTCTGGGACATGCCCAGCTGGGAATGCACAGTGCAAAGCTGTCAGTGAAGTGAACAGAATATGCCATTCCTGTTCATTCTCACTTCCTTCCCTCCTTCTCCGCATCCCAAGACTGGGGTTTTTAGCCTTATAAACTCTCAGTGGTACCTACTTCCCACCTGGTGGACTTTCCTCATTAGTGCAGCCTGGGACATAGATGTGTCTACTTGTCCTCTGTTGAATCCAGGTGCGTTTGTGTCACCTCCTGCATTTGTGTACTGCACCATTTATTTGCCCCTTAGACAATTAATTTTGTATCGTTTCAAAGCTCGCTCTCCAGCTCCTGTGGGCCTGCTGTTTCACAGTCTTTCTCTTGGAACTCTTGTTTGCTGTAGATGTTTTTACAAGTTCTTAGCCATGGGCTTCTTTTCTTCTAGCCTTTACAAACCTTTTTTCTTGGCTCACAGATTACAGTCGCTCTATCTCTGACATTGAACAAAGATTTCTAAAACTTGAGTCCTATTCTCAGAGTAAACCACTCACAGCACAGAAATTCTTCCTTCAAAGGTTTTTTTTTGCTTGGACAGCTCAGTTCTTGCATCATATCTATGGGAGGAAGAGGCATCTGTTCTGTCCTGGAGGGAAGTCAGCAGGCAGGACTGAAGAACTCTCAGCACTGAGGAGAATCTTAGGAAGAGGCCATCTGGCCCCAGAGAAGTGAAATACATGCCAGAGTCACGTATCTGGGTGGTGGCCATGTGCCCGTTGGTCCTGATGCCCACTCTTTCTGTTTGTGGCCTCCCAATAAATAGACCGGGGTGCCCAGCCCTCAGGAAACCAGTCTCTCTCAGAGCTCCACGGCTGCCAAAGGCCTGCAAGAAGCCTGGTCAGAGACAGAGAGGACCCTTTACATTCAGATGATCTGAAATGACCAACATGAGCTGAATTGAGAGGCCCAGTTCCATGGGCATAAGGGCAGCCACTCCTGCTGTCTGTTCACTTGTTTATAGTCATCCATTGAGCATGTACAGTACTGGGTGGTGGGATGAGAAAATCACAGAAGGCGGAGTCTGGCTGGGCAGCAGAGATGTAAACAGAGCGTTACAACAGGATGTGATAAATTCCACGAACAAGCCACCAGGTAAGGGCTGTCGGAGCTCTGATCCAGGCTGCGTAGCCTCTCTTTGGCCCCTCAGTTAAGGTGAAATGTTAACCAGGCATGACCTGGAAATGAAGGATGTCCTCCCACTTCCATTCTGATGACCAGCCAGCGCTGACAGGGTTGGCTTCCTCCATGCACCACCATGGCCCTGAGTAAATACACTCTCCTTAACCAGATCAGGGAGCCCAAGACAGCTGAGGGCTGGTGCTGTGCTTCCCTACCTGCCCCCGAAGAAAAGTAGGAGGTAAATTCCTTACTGAGGACGTGAGTCTGGTGGCCAGCCCAGCAGTCTTGGCATCTGAGGAGGGCTACAGGATAAAGCAGCCCACTTCCCCAAAAGCTGTTCTTTTTATTGTTAGCAGAGACATAAGAAGAGACCTCTGAGATTTTCTTTGTTTCTGCTGAATATGGAAAGAGGGAGGGGAAAGAAAAGAGGGATATTCTGTTTTAACACAGAGCATATTTATAAGATTGTATTGTAGACCAAAAGGCAAATCAGTTACGTCAGTGTTTATTGGATAAATGCTGCAGAAAATATCATTAAAAGAATTCCAAAAATATGCTGGGCAGAGGAATCATTGTCGGAATAAGTAAATACTTTTCTAAGAGCATTACTTTGATGGAGGCCTTATTCGTGTGTACTAAAAAAATAAAAGTTCTGGTGTTTTTTTTTTTAATCATGTTATTCAATCATACCCTCTACTAACCTAAAACATTCCTAATATATTTAATGGATCTATTTGTTATGCTTTCAAGAAGTGTGCTAAATACCTGTTAAAAACAGAAGAGTATTAGAATAGTAATTGTGGAGATGCTTTTATTTTGAGATAAAGAGGCATTTAATTTGTTGGTTAAGTGGACCTGGCAGCCACATGTCAAAAAGAAGTGAGGAATCAGGCTGGGCGTGGTGGCTCACAGCTATAATCCCAGCACTTTGGGAGGCTGAGGCAGGTGGATCACCTGAGGTCAGGAGTTCAAGACCAGCCTGGCCAACATGGCAAAACCCCGTCTCTACTAAAAATACAAAAAAATTAGCTGGGTGTGGTGACGGGTGCTGGTAATCCCAGCTACTTGGGAGGTTAAGGCAGGGGAATCTCTTGAACCTGGAAGGTGGAGGTTGCAGTGAGCCGAGACCATGCCATTGCACTCCAGCCTGGGCAACAAGAATGAAACTCCATCTCAAAAAAAAAGAAAGAAAGAAAGAAAAAAAGAAATGACGTATCATCAGAAGACTGTCCTGATGGTGGGATATAGACAGCCACAGAACAGGGTCGAATTACACTTGCACCGCACATTTCAGAGCTGTAGAGTTCTCTTTTCTGAGGATGAAAAGTCAATAAGAAGAAAATATCTTCTGAGAAGAAAGTTAGTGCTGCTGGCTGTGCTTACCTGCCTCCCGGTGTTTACCTGGCGTGTACTGACTCTGTGTGGGGCGTGATGATTCGTGTCTGAGTCTTGGTGAAAGGTTTATCACCCTCGTGGTTTAACTCAGGAAATAGGAAGTCTTTGCCATGGGTTCTTGCCAGCCTGTCCAGCCTGCTCTCTTGCCTTTCCTTGGAAGCATTCTCTGCTCCTCTCAAATCAGAGGACTTGAGATTCCTCAAATTCCTGTTCTGGCTGCCATGCCTTTGTGTGCCTCATTCCCTTAGAATATCTTTCCCGACCCCTCTATGCTCTCACTTTTCCCATTGGCGTATTCTGCCTTCCATTCCTCAGAGCGTTGCTAAGGTGTTGCCTCCCCCTGGTTCCTTGCCAGGTTTCCCCTCCTGTCTGTCTTGCCCCTCAGGCACCCTCCATCATGGTGCAGGCTTGTCCCTTGGCAGTGCGGCATGTGAGGTGCACTCCCTGCCCACTAGCCTCCTGGTTGGGAGCAGGTGGTTCATGCTGTCTTTCTGGTATCTAACATAGTAAATGCTTGGTAAGGGTCTGTGGAATAAGTGAAATGAAATTAAGAAAGCCAATAGTCACCTGCCTGAATACTGAGAAAAAGCAAGGAAGAATTCTGTGAAGTTTCCCAGAGTGAATGGGATGGGATAGGTTGGTTGCTTTGCTTTTTGATAGGGATGGAGTCTTGCTACGTTGCCTAGGCTGGGCTCAAACTTCTGGGCTCAAGCAATCCTCTCGACTTGGCCTCCCAAAGTGCTGGGATTAGAGGTGTGAGCCACTGCACCTAACCATAGGTTCTTTAATATATGAAAAATGATCACCCTCATTTGTAATTAAAATGCAAACAAGATAGTATTTTTCACCTATGGATGGGCAGAAATCAAAAGTTTGATAGCTCCATGTTTTCAGCTCCCATGTTTCAGATACATGGGGAAATCAGCATTGCACTGTGTGTTGATGTTACAAATGCACAGCCCAATAACTGTTCCACTTTTAGGATTTCACTTCTAGGAGTTTATCTTCCAAGATATGCTCACACGTGCAAAGTGAGATGGATGGATGGATGGATAGCTAGATGATAGATGAATAGATATTCATTGCAGCATTTACTTACTTTTTGGAAACAGCAAAAGATTAGAAACATCTTGTGTCCATCAGTAGAAGACCAGTTTAATTATGGTACATTCATAAAACTGAATATTATACAGCTGTCAAAAAGAATAATACTACCCTATACTAAGTGAAAAAATGCATATACAGAGCATTAATGTTTGTGTTTGGGTAAAAAAAAAAAGGAATGTATTCATATATGCTTATGTATAGACTACACGGGAAGGATTTTTAAAAAATGAGTAATGGGACCTGGAGGACTGAAGTATAGATGTAGAAGAGAGAATTTTTCTATTCTATTCTTTGGTACATTTTGAATTTTGTGCAAAGAATATACAGTACTTGGGCTAGACGTGGTGGCTCACGCCTGTAATCCCAGCACTTTGGGAGGCCAAGATGGGCGGATCACCTGAGGTCAGGAGTTCAAGACCAGCCTGGCCAACATGGTGAAACCCCATCTCTACTAAAAACACAAAAATTAGCCGGGTGTGGTGGTGGGTGCCTGTAATCCCAGCTACTCAGGAGGCTGAGGCAGGAGAATCACTTGAACCCAGGAGGTGGAGGTTTCAGTGAGCTGAGATTGCGCCACTGCACTCCAGCCTGGGCAACAGAGCAGGAGTCCATCTCAAAAGAAAATGAAAAAGAGTATGTAGCACTTACTTCTAAAATATAAATTTATTTCAAATATACCAGTTGAGTGGTAGATATAGCTGTTCAGATTTGCTGAGATCCACAGAATCGCAATGTTAAAAATAACGAGAAAGAGCTCCATGTGAAATAAACAATTTTCATTCTGATGTCTCACCAGCACTCCCCACTCCCCTCAAACCCCTGCCTTTGGAGTCTATCTTACTTACCTGTTACCTTGACCATTGGATCTGGAAAGGGCCTTAGACAGTTATCTAGTGGTGTTGCCATTAAACCAAGCCGCCCACTGCTGCTTTTCCAATAAATGTGCCATGCCTTAAGTTTTCCTCACCTGCTGCTAAAGCATATTATTTTAAAAATGTGAAAATGGGCTTTACAGAGCTGTTTAGATCAAAGTCGCAATAACAAGTGGAGTATCCCTATATTACTAATTAACCAACATCTGAGTTATGGGCCAGAGTTCTGTTTCTATGCAGTGAAAATGTGAACTTTGACCTGGTGGTTTATGACAGTGGTACAGTTCCTTGGGTGCAGTTCTGGTCTTCTCATTCACAGTATTACACCAAGACACACACACACACATATATGTCTCTTGCACACACACACACACACACACACACACATACATATCTGTAGGGCAGGCTATGCAACACCCTCTATTCTGTTCATAGTAAATTTCATGAAATAACCTTATACTTTCAAAATCTGGACACCAGATATTGTACAAGAGTATCCTGGCAGTAATGAAAGTGTAAGCGTAAAGCTTCCTGTTTTAGGAGAGGGAAGAAATGGGTAAATGGAGGCTGTAGGGTCATGACACAAGTAGAGTCACAAACCCATTGTTTTTTGATTTGTAAGCCATCCAATTATAAAATACAGTGGAGTTTGTCACCTAACTTATTTATTGGGATGTTAAAAATTGTGACCCAAACAAAATTCAAGATTTGTTGAGATTATTGTTTTTTTTTTTCCAAAATTCAGCATCTATTTGTAGCCTAAGGTCCATGTGGGATACCTCTTCTTTCTGCTCCTTACCTTCTCCTTGCAACAGTTCTGTTTTGCTGTCAAAATGAGGTAAATCATAGATTTAGAAAGAATCTTCTCTGTCTCATGGCTGAGGCATTAGAGAGGTTGAATGACTGACTCAGCATCGTGGTAGAGCTGGGATTCAAATTCGTATCTCCAGTTCCCACTTGGCATATCTCTCACTCTGCTTCTCTATTGTGTTGGAATAATGGCAGCCTTTGGTAACAATAAAATGTTTTATTAGGAGTGGGGAGAATTATGGTGTTAGAAAATCTAGGGAATATATTTAAAATTTGTATTTTTTCTTACGTCATTGTTCCCTAGGAAATCAAGGCTTTTTCTTTGCTTATAGACACTAGTAAATAAAAATGTTTGCATTTTCATAAGTATTTATGATTGATTATTGCAAATTTTACATTTCACACCAAGGAAAAAAGGTATTCTTAGTAAGTATGGTAATCAGGGTGCTATTAAATAAAAAATAAGCATAATCTGTTGGTTTGACAGTTGCACTTCTCAGCTTCTGAAACCATCCTGAACTAGGTCTTTAGCTGAATCTACAGGTGACTCTGTATAACTTTAATAGTTTC
Organism: Homo sapiens; assembly: GCF_000001405.40. Classification (NCBI taxonomy): domain Eukaryota; kingdom Metazoa; phylum Chordata; class Mammalia; order Primates; family Hominidae; genus Homo; species Homo sapiens. The sequence goes on along the minus strand of NC_000003.12, from coordinate 185,712,081 downwards.
TCTCCTGATTCAGTGCTGGCTCCAGGTCATGCCTTCTAATTAGTTGCCAGATTCATTCACATTTCATGGGAAAACCAGGCACCAACTCTCCTGAGCACATCAGGACCAAAGCTGGGAAAGGGGAGTTTGGTGTTTGTAGAGTTTGCAGTTTGTGGAGTACTTTCTCATAATCCTGGGGCTTGATGAAAGCCAAGTGAGAGGAGAGGGCAGGAGCTTATCTACCATGGTGACTGGGACCCTGTGAACAGCAAAGGAGAGGGCACCTACTCAGCTCTCTTCCTTCTCTCAATCATGCTGCTAAGGACAAGGCTCTAGGCAAGGAAAGGTCCTGAAAGTAGGAGGCACTCCTGGGCTGCGTCCAGGGAAGGAAAAAGAGGTAGGAAAAGGAATTTGAAGCTGTGGTAGCGGGGACTGCCTGTGGCCACCTGCTGAGCCAGGTAGGTCGTTCACCGTTATTCACTTCAGGTATTGACTCCCATGTGCACCTCTCTGCTGGTGGGTCCTGCTGGAGCCTGCTCAGCTAATGGTGCTGTCTTGAGAGGAAGCGATGAAAACTCAGGAAGTGATGAAAACTCAGGAACCGAGACAGATGCTGTTCATTGTCTTTGTAGGACACAGAACTCAGAAGATAGTGTGAATCAGCCGCTGGAAGGAATTCTGTGTTTAAGCACCAGAGATGTTAACCCTGTCATGTTCATTCATTCATCAGGTTCACTGAGAGACTGCGGTGCACATGTCACTAGCCTAGAAGCTGTGGGTGTGCAGGGATAGGAATAGGATTTGCATAGTTCAGGAAAGATACAGGTCAGAAATCTTGGATTTCTATCAGCACCACTGGAACAATTATTTGTGCAAAAGTCTAGTCTCCCAAAATTGGTTATAAATCAAATTTGCATATTTAAAGTTATCTCTGCCCTAATTTTCCCCCTTTACAGAACTGATTCAAAGGGATCCTCAGATGAATCCTTGATAAGATGATAAGTTCTTTTAATAATAAGAATAATTTATATGCTCCTTTTCCCTAGTTTGTTCATCTGTTTTTAAAGTTGGCTATTCAAGGTTTTAAAAAGTAGTTTTTATTGTATTTAAATCACGTGACATTAGGTTTGAGAGCTAATAATATTCTTCAGCATTTTATGATGATGTTCACTGATTTGTTTTTCACTGTATCCTACGAAGTGGTTTTTTTTTTTATTGGTATTATGTAAGAAGCTATTTTTCTGGCTACCCTCACCTTGTTGATAAATAACTTTTCCTATAGCGTAAAAAATTTCCTTTTCCTCCTCCTCTCTGGAGCAAGTAACCAGAATCACTCGAGGTTTTTTGTTTTGTTCTTTTTTTTTTATTTTGAGACTGAGTCTCGCTCTATTGCCCAGGCTTGAGTGGAGTGGCGCGATCTTGGCTCACTGCAACCTCTGCCTCCTGGGTTCAAGGGATTCTTGTGCCTCAGCCTCCCAAGTAGCTGGGACTACAGGCGCCCTCCACCACGCCCAGCTAATTTTTGTATTTTTAGTAGAGACGGGGTTTCACCATGTTGGCCAGGCTGGTCTTGAATTCCTGATCTCAAGTGATCCGCCCGCCTCGGCCTCCCAAAGTGCTGGGAATACAGGCGTGAGCCATCGCTCCTGGCCAGTCTTTTTTTACTTTCTTCAGCATATCCCTTCCTGTAACAGAGGAAACTTCAGGGGCCAAGGGGCAGACTCTGCGTGTTGGGAAAAGCTGTTCTGACACCCTTCTGGGGCAATGGAGGTGTCCCATGCTGTTATGCACACAATACCTACCCCATCTTTAACTTGCCCACAGTCTGTGGAAACAGTGACTCTATGATACCATTTCCTAGCTGCTATTACATTATAAAGGTACTGTGCAGAAATAGGCATTTAAAGATATTAGGTTCACTTTTAGCAAAAAAAAAAAAAAAAAAAAAAATCTAAAACTACGAGCTAGGAAAAGGCAAGGAGTTGGATTGAGTAACCAACTCTAATTTTATTGTTTTATTGAAATTAAGTTCTCAGAATTGCTGAGATCAATATTGTCCTATTTTTGTTCTGTTCACTACTGTACCCCAACACCTAACATAAGTGCTTAGCCTATAATGGGTCCTTAGTAAACATTTATTGAATGAATTTGGAAAAGCTTTTAGTTTAATCTTAGAGATCATCCCATTCTCCAGAATCCAGGTGAAATGTCTGTTAACCTCCAGTCGAAAAATTTGGGTAGAGGGGGTTTGGATTGTTCATTCCACCTGACCCTCAGTTAGGTGAGATGGTGCTCTCTTGTGTGAAATGGGAGATACTCTTTGATTTACATGGAAAGAGGGAGGAGTTCCTCTTTGAGGGAGGAGCAAGTGATTTGGCCAACCCTCTCCTGTGTTTCCTGCTCTCTTGGTAGATTTAGGGCTATATTATAGATGAATTTAATTTTCCTTCATCACCATGACGATCATGAATAAGATCAACATCTGTTATAACTGGTGGGAATAGTTTCTTCTTTTCAGAAGTAAACTGCTGTCACTTTAACACTCATAAACTGGAAATGAAAGAAATTGGCTTGTTTGAAGACCAGTGTCTTTAGTAAGCACGTGTTCCTCTTACAGTCGAAAGACAGAATGTGGGATGGAGTGGGCCAGGAAAAAGAAGCCAGCGCCCAGCAGCAAGTGCCCCTGGGGAGCTTGCTGATTGCTGCGCACATGCTGTGCTCCAGACACTGCTTGGGCTGAAGAGGAAGGAAAAAACAGACACAGGTAGTAGGGGAGGAAGGAAAGGGACAGATTCAAGTGCTGTTTGGAGAACCAAAGAGAACAATTTTTTGGAAACTAATTGACAAGATGCTGAAAGGATGGCACAGTTGGTGTTTGGGCATGTGACCCTCTTGGCCTTTACAAAGATGGTTTTGTATTTACCATGTGCCACACAAAGCAAACATTTATATACTTGGATTATAACTTGTGTTGTATCATGTTTGTACATGTTATTTATCTGAGCTCAAATGATGATGTGTAAATATTTGTTTTTACCCTCGTTAGTCTTAATTACAGATAATGAGTTGAGGACCATGTAAGGGTGACTAATCACTTCTCTAAAAACACAATTTGGTTTTGTTAACCGGAATCTTCATCACAGCAGAATTAAAACATTAAGGAAAATGCTTTTGGTTTTTACTCTGTTTAGACCTTGAAAAACTGAAAGCAGGCATGCAGATGTTTGGCTCATAACAACTCAGCCTTACATCTCAAAGTCTCACCTTCCTGAATCCAAATGCATGTTTGTACTCAAGCACACGTGAATGTTCTTGCTCTTCTGAGGACTTTGTCTAGCTGTCTGGGATTCACTCTGCCCTTCCCTGTAGAGCAATCCATGCTTTGAGGAAGGTTCTCAAACTTGATCTGGCCCCATGAGGCTGGGCACTGCCCTGATTGGAGCCAGGGATAAGCAGATATTTCTTGTGTCACCATTCCACCCTCAGGCCCTTCCATGTATGTGCTGCACCCCGCCGTGCGCCAGGGGAGCCTGACCATCAACCAGAAGTCGGCTAATTCATGAAGGAGTTTACAGTTAATACCTTTATCACCCCTCTAAAGGGCATTTATATTTAAGTAAATCCTTTTGAGGAGCAAAGAGTGAGCTATCACAGTGAAGTTTCCAAAATAACCCTTCCTGGAGATGTTTTTGGTCAGTGACTCTACGTTGCGGTTGATGCTGAGAAGGAAAAGCTGGACATCCTTCCGAAGGCACGTTTTCTTAAGGTTTGCCAGTGGAGGGGGACATCTTGACCAAAATTCATTGAACTAAAATACATGCCTGAAATGTAAATTTTGTTTTTGGTGAATTAATAATTCCAGTGACATTTGAAGAGCAAAACTTTAAATATATAGAGACCACAAGTCAAAAATACCACTCCCTAACCATGATCCCTAACTGTGAGACTCAGACAAGGGACTCATCAGCTCCTCAGTGTATTTCTCTGAAAAATGGGAATAACAACACCTAGTTCAAAAGGGTAAGGCTTAAATGAGATACTTAGCATCCATGAATGTCAGTAGTAATGGTGATTTGGGAAAACCTTCATGCCAAACACGCTGTGAAGAATGTTTTGGGTTTACCTCAGAAACATTAGACTTCATCAAATAAAATAAATTGAGAAACGGGGAAAAGATAGTGTTCAGCGAAGCCCTTGGAGAAGTTCTAGTAAAACTTGAGCTAAAACTACGTTTCTTTCTCTACATTGCACAGAATGAGTTGAGGAGAGGGATGGTGGAAGGGAGAGATGGTATTATCGTAGGGAATTGTATACAAACCTTGATAAGGATAATCACCATTTTTTTGTGTTAGGGTTTTTGTTTTTGTTTGATTTCCGAAAGAGGTCCTTGACCCCCTCCTCCCAAAAAATTATCATGTTTCTTGGAATAATTATATAGATTTTTAGTCTTCCTTCAGTTCACATAGTTGAGCTATTCACCACTATTCCAGTAAAAGTAGGCTCTTCGGTGGCTCACGCCTGTAATCCCAGCACTTTGGGAAGCCAAGGAGGGTGGATCACAAAGTCAGGAGTTCGAGAACATCCTGGCCAACTTGGTGAAACCCCGTCTCTACTAAATATACAAAAATTAGCCGGGCATGGTAGTGGGCGCCTGTAGTCCCAGCTACTCAGGAGGCTGAGGCAGGAAAATAGCTTGAACCTGGGAGGCGGGAAGTTGTGATTAGCCAAGATTGCGCCAGTGCCCTCTAGCCTGGGTGACAGAGTGAGACTCCATCTCAAAAAAAAAAAAAAAAAAAAAAAAAAAAAAGCCCCTTCGTTACACACTGAATATAAATTTAAAAAAGCAGAATTTTAGATAGTGATGTCTTTTTTTTTTTTGAGATGGAGTTTCACTCTTGTTGCCAGGCTGGAGTGCAGTGATGCGATCTTGGCTCACCGCAGCCTCCACCTCCTGGGTTCAAGCAATTCTTCTGCCTCAGCCTCTCGAGTAACTGGGATTACAGGCGTGTGCCACCACATCTGACTAAGTGATGTCCTTTTTAAAGAACTAAAATACTGAATCTCTGGGCACAGTGGCTTATGCCTGTAATCCCAGCACCTTGGGAGACTGAGGCAGGTGTATCTCTTGAGCCCAAGAGTTTGAGATCAGCCTAGGCAACATGGAGAAACCCTGTCTCTAATAAAAATATAAAAATATAGCCAGGCGTGGTGGTGCGCTCCTGTCATCCCAGCTACTCGGGAGGCTGAGGTGGAAGAATCACCAGAGCCCAGGACACCAAGGCTGCAGTAAGCCAAGATCACACCATTGCACTCCAGCCTGGGTGACTGGAGTGAGACCTTGTCTCAAAAAAAAAAAAAAAAGAAGGAATCTCTGAGAAATCTGATAATCTATTTCACTAGAACAGTGCGTGATGGTTTCAATCTGTAAACAAGCATGCTAATTTCTTTTTAATGGGAAATGGTTTTAACCTTCCTGTTACAATTCTGTCCAAAAGATTTATAGAATCCTGAAGGTGGAATGAAACATAATGGTCATTTCATGCAAGTTCTACTCTAACCCAATAGAGGAATTCCTTCACCATCTTGTCCAAGAGTAACCGTCAAACCAGTCTTCTCACAGACATCTAAACATCATCTAATGATCCGTTGACTCACTGACTTTTCTCCTTCCACTTCTTTTTTATTTTTGCTAGAGAGAGAGGGTCTCACTCGGTACTCGGTTGCCCAGGCTTGAGTGCAGTGGCACAGTCACAGCTTTCAGCAGCCTTGACCTCCCAGGCTCAAGTGATCCTCACACCTCAGCCTCCCAAGTAGCTAGGACTACAGGCATGTGCTACCACACCTGGCTAATAATTAAAAAATGAATAGTATTATGGAATTATCCACCATCTCTTTTTGTAGAGATGAGGTCTTGCCATGTTGCCCAGGATGGTGCCAAACTCCTGGACTCAAGCCATCCTCCCACCTTGGCCTCCCCAAATGCTGGGATTACAAGTGTGAGCCACGACGTCCGGCTCCACTCCTTTCAACAGGAAACAATTAAGAATCTTTGATGGCTTCCTCAAAAGAGAAATCTAGAATTGTGTTAGGTCTTTTTGTGAGCTAGTAGGCTCTGAGAGGGCTGTGGGGAGATAAATGAATTAATCTCAGACTATTGCTTTTTGCTGTGGTCTAAAAGTTTGTGTCTCCCCCAAATTCTTATGTTGAAATCCTTACCCCCAAGGTGGTGATATTTAGGGGCCTTGGAGAGTTGATTAGATCATAAGGTGGAACCCTCATGAAGGGGATTAGTACCTCTATAAAATAGACCCCAGAGAGATATCTAGTCCTTCCTCCATCCAGAGACACAGCTAGACAGTGCCTTCTATGAGGAACAGACCCTCAGCAGACAGCAAATCTGCTGGTGCCTTGATCTTGGACTTCCCAGCCTCCAGAACTGTGAGAAATAAATTTCTGTTTATAACCTCAGTCTATGGAGTTTTGTTATAGTAGTCCAAACAGACCAAGATACATCATATTAAGTGATTTTTTTTTTTTCCTGTTTCATTCAAGCAGTGAACTTCCATGAGTTTCTGTCTCTGAATTGCCCAGGAAGCATGAGTTATGAGGGCTGTTCTGGGGCTTATGGTTTTGTGAACATGAGTTTATAGAGCCAGGGAAGTTACTGGGTTCATAACTGCAGTTCTCCTGGCTCAAAACCCTTTGCAGGGCTGGGCACAGTGGCTCATGCCTGTAATCCCAGCACTTTGGGAAGCTGAGGCAGGCGGATCACGAGGTCAGGAGATCGAGACCACCCTGGCCAACATGGTGAAACCCTGTCTCTACTAAAAATACAAAAATTAGCCAGGTGTGGTGGTACGCACCTGTAGTCCCAGCTACTCAGGAGGCTGAGGCAGGAAAATCACTTGAACCTGGGAGGCGGAGGTTGCAGTGAGCCAAGATCGCACCACTGCACTCTAGCCTGGGCAACAGAGCAAGACTGCGTCTTGCGGGGGAGCCCTTTGCAGCAGGTCACCACAGTATTTAATTTAATCCTCTTATGATTTGGCTCATAACACTACCAATATTCATAGGGATTTGTGCTTATCATTTGTTTTTTCTCTTAAAAAATACCCCAAACTGCTTTTTGTTCATTGTGTTCATTTTCAACAGTTTATTTATGTTGAACACATTTCGTTTCCTAATGCATTTATTTTATTTTGGATTCCATAGAGGCGGAGGCAATTGTTCTTAGTCATTTTGCAACAAAGAAAGTGACTAAACAATTTTTTTTCATTGACTCTTAATCAGTCTCTGTGATCCTCCCGTGTGGTGTCTGGGTTTGAGAGAAAGAGAGAACTTTAAGAGACAGTTGGGCTGGCGTGGTGGCTCATGCCTGTAATCCCAGCACTTTGGGAGGACAAGGTGGGCTGATTGCTTGAGCCCAGGAATTCAAAACCAGCCTAGGCAATATGTCAAAACCCCATCTCTACAAAAACTACAAAAAATAGCTGGGCATGGTGGCTTGGGCCTGTAGCCCCAGCTGCTCAGGAAGCTGAGGTGGGAGGGTCACTTGGGCCGGGGAGGTCAAGGCTGCAGTGAGCTGAGATCACGCCACTGCACTGCAGCATGGGTGACAGAGCAAGACCGTGTCTCAAAAAAAAGAGACAGTTGGGTAGAGGGTTGGACTTGGCTATCACTGGTGATTTATTTGCTTCCTTGAGCAGCCCTAGGTCCTAGTTCAGTTTAGCACAGGATGTCCCTTGTACAGAGTGACCAGAAGTTTTTAGGGGAACTTTCAAACTAATGAGGAATAGGAAAGACACACTAATGAGCGCGTGCAATAGACTGGAATCTGACTGCAGCGCTAAAGGGGAGGAGGGCTGGGAGCGCTGGTGGTTTCTGTCCCAGCTCGGGGCCGGTTAGCATACCTGCCTCTCTTTACAGGTAATGCACATGAGGAAATCCCTTTTATCATCTGATGGAGCTCAGAAATGTTGTGGAAACAGATGGGACGTATTTGGGTAGAATCCCGCATGGAGCCCCAAAGGACGCTCTCACAAGGCCCTCTATGTTGCCTCTCTTGCCCAAAAGTTACCTGGGAATCCTCCAGTTCCTAGTTGGCCTAATTCTCCAATGGAAGCTGGAATCCTACAAGCTGGGTTCTCACAATTCATGTTAATTTGTTCTCTAGTCAGACCCACAGCATAACCAAGGCTTGGTTTAGAGTTCTCAAGGTAGCTGATAGACTTGTGGCTAATAGACCATATGCCTGAAAACTATGGCATTATCCTCCTCACACCAAAGCAGGTGTTTTGCTTTCTTTCTTTCTCTCTTTCTTTCTTTCTTTTGAGACAGTTTCTCTCTTGTCCCCCAGGCTGGAGTGCAGTGGCTCAGTCTCGGCTCACTGCAGCCTCCACCTCCCAGGTTCAAGTGATTCTCCTGCTTCAGCCTCCTGAGTAACTGGGACAATAGGTGCACACCATCCACCATGCCCGGCTAATTTTTATGTTTTTGATAGAGATAGGGTTTCACCATGTTGGCCAGGCTGGTCTCGAACTCCTGACCTCAAGTGATCCATCTGCCTCAGCCTCCCAACTTTTTTTTTTAATAATACAGATGAAATGGTTCTTCAGTTTCACGAGGTTCCTCAATAGTTAAATATGATTTTATTTCCCCAGCTGATTGCCTCCTTACTTTAAGCAACAAATTCTACCGTAACTAAATAATTTCTGCCAGGCCCTTGAAATTCATAACAATGGACATCTAGCTTATCTGAAATTCACTCAGTTGGAACCTTCTGTTACCTCTGGGTATCTACAGCCAAAGATAACGTATTATAAATATAACAGATTATAAAATGTATGCTGAGGCATTTATATGTTGAAAGTCCTTGGAACCCGTCAACTATAAATTAGTTAGATGAGCTGGGATTACATATATTTTATTCTGTAGTTCTTTACAGTTTGATAGTCCACACATGTGTGCTATAATCAATTGACCAGAGTCCAGAATCGGTGAAGGTAGCCAGTTCCCTAGCAAAGCAGGGTGGCTCCAGGGCTGCATTACTCGTTTCCTGGTAGGTGGCCCTTTCCCACACACTTAGTTTACTTGAATTTGAGAGTGGGAAGTTCTAACTTCCTGAATCCGAAAGCCACAGGGAAAGAGCCTATATATTTGTATTAAAGAGCACCCTTCGCTTGACTTCAGGTCTTATTCTGCTTCCAGTTAAAATGAAGGTGAAATAAAGACATGTTCCTGCTGCTCTTTTTACTTCTGTTTGAGGGTGAGCTGAGGGAGTTGAAGGCTCATTCTGGCACACTTGTGAACTGCAGGTGGAGGGGCTTGGTGTGAAGGAGTGTTTAAAGATAGAGATGGGGAGGAGGCAGCAGCAGGGAGTCAAGGAAGGCAGGAGTAGCCCTCTCCGTGTGTGGAAAAAGTGACTGGCAGCCAGGTGAGGAGTGGATGGGAGAGGGGGAGGTGCAGGCCAAAGATGGAGGGACCAGCTGGGAGACGGCTGTAATAGTTCTGTGGCTCTGTGAGTGAGGATGAAAAATGCCTTTTACCTGTAATTAGAGAAGCTTGGTTTCATCTTTAACATATTGGAACTGTGAAATTATTATTTTAAAGGACAAAGAATTATTTTCCTATTACCAATCACTTTCCTAAGTTACTGTGTGTTTGGTTTTTTTAAAGCAGGGCACAGTTTCAGGGAGAAAGATCGATACTCTCATTTGAGACTGAGCCAGATACTTTCCTTTCTTGTCTAAAGGAAGGAGGGAAACGAACACCTCCTTCCCTCTCCTGTTGACTTCCTGGCAAAGAAAAAATAGACAATTCGTTTTCCTGGGTGGGGTCAGGAGGATCTTCATCATGAACAGACTGCAGCCAGCAGCAGGAGTGCTCTTCTCAGCCCCTGTGTATGAGACCCCGTGCTAGATGGTGGAATAGTAAACAAGGAACCTGTCCTTGATGAAATCACCGCGGGGGTTGAGGGGACACAGCACTAGCAGATAAGTAATTATGGCGAAGAGTGAGCTACCAGAACAACCGAAAAGTGCAGAGGAAACAGTTCTTTCTGGAGACATTCTGGAAAGCTCAGCAGGGATTATGTGTGAGCTGCGTTTTGAAGGACATGCCAGAGTCCCTCCCGGGGAAGGAGGGGACAGGCCTCCTGGGTACCCTGATGAGAAGGCATACTGTCCAGATGATGCCACAGGAGTCAGCAGATCTCAGAGATCCTAATTGCTCATGACCCCAAAAGATAATCCCTCAGGATAGTCTCCCAAATGACCGGCTGAACTCCAGGTTAGTTGGTTCTACCGTAGTGATCTCCATTTCTCTTTTTAGCTCTCAGTTCCTTCCTTTCCATCCTGATCTGAGATCAGAGGTGCGACAGTCCAGCTTTTAAGAGATTATTCCTCCAAGTGTCTGGCTTAACAAAGCAGGACATTCCCAGTTACTGAACTTATGTGTAGTGTTTACTTGAACTATTACAGGGAAATGCCATTGTTTTAGATGCATTCAGTTAGTATTTGGGGTAATCAGCATTGGGCGGAGTTTTCCTACTTTTGCACCGTGAAGTGTTTGCCACATACATTAATAGTTCTGTGGCAGTGAGGATGAGAAACGACTTTTACTTGTATTAGATTTCAAGAATAAGAAATAAGATTTCAAGAATACCTAGTGTAATTATGGAGAAAATGAGGCTTGGTTTTTTCTTCTTTCTTTCTTTCTTTCTTTTTTTTTTTTTTTTACTTAGCAGGTTCCAGTATACTTTAAAAAAAATAAGTCTTGTATATTAAGGCAACCCTAATAGAAGTTTTCATTGTTCGTTTTTTAAAGCCTGTAGGATAAGACATGAATATATTCTCAATTTTAAAAAGTAAACAAGGGGTGGGCATGGTGGCTCATGCCTTTAATCTTAGCACTTTGGGAGGCCAACGTGGGAGGATCACTAGAGCCCAGGAGTTCAAGACCAGCAGGCAATATATCAAGACCCCATCTCTATTAAAAATTTAATAATTTAAAAAAATATAAAAAAGTTAGTAGCTAAAAGTATTCTTTTACCAACTAAATCTGCTTGGTGCAGCCTTTTTCTGTGCATTTACACACATACACATTGAATAACAGGTAGTTTGGTTTTGTGCTTTTTAAAAGCAGGATCAATTTAATCTGTAATTACCTCTTTTCTTGTAACAGCATACCTTGGAGAGTTTTCTATGACAGTGCATGCTTGTCAACTTCATTTTTAAGAGCTGTATAATATTCTATATTCAGCTGTATTATGATATATGTATTCATCTCTCGTTGGTAAATATTTAGATTGTATGCACTCTGTTACAAATAATGTTACAGTTGCTGTCTTTGTTCACATCTCTCTGTGCTCATTCGTGAGTTTCTTCCAATAGAATATCTACCAGTAAATTGTTGGTTAGCAGTTGGAGTCAATGTTTGTATTTGGAAATAACAAAAATATTTTTCTTTAGAAATATTTTATTTTCTTGAGAATTCTGATGCCCTTTCTACAGACTGTTAGGCTTGGTGACATCTTCCATAGAGAATTTCCATGTAGCCACTGTATGGGATGGTGCTGGCAGTTTTATTCTGAACTATTGCCAAAGGCCATGTCGGGAATTAGCCTTCACAGCATAGAGGTAGAAATTAGTTCTTGATTCTTTTTCCGTCCTGATACACAATTAGTGATTCTGTATAGTCATTAAAGCAGCCCTAGTAAGGCACGAATACATTAATATTTAAAAAAAGATAGACAAGACTGAAGTAGTATATGGGAGCTAGAATGGTGGGGTTGCCCCTGTGACATTTCATAAAAAGGAGCTGAGAAAACTAGAGCCCCTCATTTAATTCATTATTTCCCCATTTGTTTCCATCTCTGTACCTCTGTGTGTGTGTCTCTCCTTTTCTCTTTCTGCTTGAGTTGTAACATTTCTCTCTGGGGCTGTTGCCCAGATTAAAGCCCTGGAGAAACATGTGACTGTGTATAGCCACTGTTTAGTACCTCTGACCCCGCAAGGTGGTACACCACATCTCTTTTCTGGCAACCCCCCAAAATGAGTATTTATAGGATTTCAGTGTCAAGCTCTTCTATTAAAACAACGTCTCTAACATTTAAATGCTTTATTTCCAGGATATCCAGCATGTTCTCAAAGATAAAAAAAAATTACATAACTTATACTGTTCTTTTTTCTGTCTAATTTTAATTGCTTAAGTAAAAACAAGAAACAATCTAAGTCATTCAAAGCTTTCAGACCAGCAGGATGTCTTGGGGAAAGCCTCTGAATGAAAAGGCCCAAATGTCCATTAGTAGGGGATGGATTAAATATACTTCAGGATACCTATGTAGTTATGAAATAGAGTGAGGAAGCTCTCTAACTCTACCTTGAGGAAGATCTCAAGAATATGACTGTCAGGTGAAAAAAGCAAGATGCAGAGAATGTGTAGAATATGCAGATACTTCTCTAAGAAAAGGGTGAAAATATGAATATATATTCACATTTGCTATTATTTGCATAAAGAATCTGAAGGATACGCAAATAACATGTAGAAAGTATTTCTGGTGAAAGAGGGGGTGGTGAGACTTTTCACAGTATAACTTTTTATAGTGTTTTAACTTTTGAATTAGGACTGTAGTACCTATTCAGAAATAAAAATATTTTTAAATGGCATTTTGCCTTGTTAGGTAAGGGGGCAACTAAATCTGATCTTGTTGAAGCCCACTATATGACCTCACCTGTCCTGTTTGAGCCTAGGTACACTTTGGGGTCAGGTCAGTTGCAGGCCAATATATTTTGAGGAAGAAGGGGATAATTGTATAAATAGAATCTGTATGATGACTTAAATTCTAACTACTTTGGTAGGAAATTGAAAAGATGAGTCTGTATTTAAATTATTATTATTATTATTATTTTAGCTTGTTGGGATTTCTTGGGTTTTTCATTTGTTTTTTGTTTTTTTCCAAAGTAATTGAAAACCTTAAAACATGCTCATGAGGCCAGTGTGGTGGCTCACGCCTGTAATCCCAAAACTTTGGGAGGCCGAGGCAGGCGGATCACTTGAGGTCAGGAGTTCGAGACCAGCCTGGCCAACATGTTGAACTCCCATCTCTACTAAAAATGCAAAAATTAGCCAAGTGTGGTGGCACATGCCTGTAATCCCAGCTACTTGGGAGGCTGAGGCAGGAGAATCACTTGAGCCTGGGAGGCAGAGGTTGCAGTGCGCCAAGGTCACACCACTGCACTCCAGCCTGGATGACAGAGTGAGACCCCTTCTTAAAAAACAAACAAACAAACAACAACAAAAAACCCACAAAAATTAGGTGTGGTGGTGGGCACCTGTAATCCCAGCTATTCGGGAGGCTGAAGCAGGAGAATCGCTTGAACCCGGGAGGCAGAGGTTGCAGTGAGCCAAGATCGTGCCACTGCACTCCAGCCTGGATGACAGAGCAGGACTCTGTCTTAAAAATCCCAGCTATTTGGGAGGCTGAGGCAGGAGAATCGCTTGAACCTGGGAGGCAGAGGTTGCAGTGAGCCGAGACCGCACCACCTATACTCCAGCCTTGGCGACAGAGCGAGACTCTGGCTCGAAAAAAAACAACAAAAAAACTATGCTCATGATTCACAGTAGGAATTTTTTGTTGATGCCATGGTGAACACAGTGAGAAAACAAATTCAAATGACGGGTTTAAGCCGGTTTTTATTATTTGCTGTAGTTTGTGTCCTGGAGAAAGTGTTATAGTCTGTGGTTTTATCTTTACAGGAGCAGGAAAATTCAGATTCGAAACATCCCTCCTCACCTGCAGTGGGAGGTAAGCCAGTGTCAATTTTTAATGGGTTGATGAGACATTTCTCCCTTCTTTAGTTCCATTTTACATTTAGGAATTAGAGGGCCTCAGTGTTTCCCACAAAGCTTCTGGGTCCTGCCTCTTTCTTTTCAGTACCCTAATGTATGTGATCTGTAATGAGTTTGGGGTCGTATTTGTTTCTTTCATAGAATGTGTACTTTGATCCCTCATGTTCTGTCTTTTCAAGTACCATGCTACCAAGCACCAGCAAATAAGCCAAGAAACAAAATATATACCTGGTTGTGATTTGTATCTCATGGTTTGTTGGTTTGTATGTTTGAGACAGTGTCTCACTTTGTCACCCAGGCTGGAGTGCAGTGGCCCAATCATGGCTCACTGCAGCCGGGTCCAGGGATCTTCCTACCTCATCTTCCCACCCCAGCCTCCTGAGTAGCTGGGACTCGATGCATGCCACCATGCCCGGCTAATTTTTGTATTTTTTTAGAGATGAGGTTTTGCTATGTTGTCCAGGCTGGCCTCGAACTCTTAGGTTCAAGCAATCCACCTGCCTTGTATCTCATGATTTTTAAAAAGATTTTTATCTTTCCAGATTATAATTTGGAAAAAAAAGTGAATGAAAAGGCAACAAAAGTAGAAAGGTCTTTGTTGGTTTTAGCAGAATTTTTTGTTTGTTTTGAATTAGTTGCTGTGACAGTTAAGGTATGTTTTCAGAGTTGTAAAGCTTATAAGATTTCTACCTTAAAATAAAGTAAGAATATGAGGAGTGGCCTTATTGTGATTTAAAAACAAACTGCCTCATATTTTATTCCCCACCCAAAGAAAACACCGTGCCTTAAAGGAAACAATGTTTTATCTAATGTTTTTATTACTTTAAAAAAAAAAAACACACGATTATTGCCTGGGCGTGATGGCTCACGCCTGTAAATCCCAGCACTTCGGAGGCCAAGGCAGGAGGATCACTTGAGGTCAGGAGTTTGAGACCAGCATGACCAACATGGTGAAACCACGTCTCTACTAAAAATACAAAAATTAGCCAGGCATGGTGACAGGCATCTGTAGTCCCAGCTACTCGGGAGGCTGAGGCAGGAGAGTGGCTGCACTGGAACCCAGGAGATGGAGGTTGCTGTGAGCCGAGATGGTGCCACTGCACTCCAGCATGGGTGACAGAGGGAGACTCCATCTCAAACAAAACAAAACAAAACAAAAAACCTGATTATTATGGAACATTTCAAACATACACATCCTATTACCTTGTAAAATGAAGAGATCCTTGTAAAAGAATTGTTAAATATTTCAAGAAAGTGGAGTGAGTCTTGTACTTTATTCTGCTTCTCATTGTAAGAGTAGTGTGTTCCAACCATCATGACGAATGTGATTGTTAACAGTTACTAAGAGTCTGAAATTCTGCTGTGTAACCTTAGTGAACAGATTAATTGGGAGCCAATAAGCCAATGTAGGTCCCATATATTTGTTCAGTTCTAACTGTTTTTATGGAAGACCTGAGATATCAATTTAATTAGATTATTCCTATAACCATCTTTTTTTTCCTTTAATTTGTTTGCTGGGGTATATCACTGTAGTATTTTTTGTACATATGATCTTGCCTTCCCATTCTGACATGGAAGCTTTCTCTTTTAGGTGTTGGATGGACTTTTGGCTCAATATGGGACAGTGGAGAATGTGGAACAAGGTAATAAGTGAGGAAGCCTTTTGGGTTTTGGAGAGAGATATTATCTGTTATTTCTTATAGGTTAGGTCAACTCCAGGGAGAAATAGTAAGTTCATATTTCTTTGAAATAAGCTTCCTAGAGTATATGTATTTACATCTATGTAAGATGTATCTTACATAGATGTGAGAGATATCTGTCTCTTTCTATGTATGTCTATGTAGTTTGCCTTTTCGAGGAATATTATTTACAAGCTGTTTCTCATATACTGTGCAGTGTGCTCAAGCACTGACAAACGCTGTCAGGCTAGGGTAAGCTTAATTCACTTAGGAGTAATTGGATTTACACGGTTGCTACTTTCCTTTCCCTGGATAAGAAAAACAGATCCCTAATGTCTTGGACTGAGTGTTACCCAATGAATAGGACTCCTATACCAATAATCCCTTGAAGTGCTTGTGAATTGCAGACTCCTAGGGCTTACTGTAGACCTGCTGAGTAAGAGTCTTGCAGGGAAGAGCTCGTGAATCTATATTTAAAAAAGCACCCGAGGCCAGGTGTGGTGGCTCATACCTGTAATCCCAGCACTTTGTGACGCCCAGGTGGGCAGATCACATGAGGCCAGGAGTTCAAGACCAGCCTGGCCAACATGGCAAAACCCCATCTCTACTAAAAATACAAAATTAGCCAGGTATGGTGACGCATGCCTGTAATCCCAGCTACTTGGAAGGCTGAGGCACGAGAATCGCTTGAGCCTGGGAGGTGGTTGCAGTGAACCGAGATTACACCACTGAACTCCAGCCTGGGTGACAGAGTGAGACTTTGTCTCAAAACAAACAAACAAAAACCCTGAAGTGATTTTTGTGTACACTCAAGTTTGAGAACACCTGTCTCAGGAGCAGTGCTGCAAATGCCCAGAAGATACTTTTCTTCCTGCCAACCTCTTTTTTATCTTCTAAAGCATGAAATACTATGATTTTTAAAAGGAAAACAGTGGTACCTAAAGCTGATATCTTATCTAGCTCTTTAAGAGTCCCAGAAAAGTAGATTCCAAACTCCTGATGTGACAGGCAATAATACATGATAAAGATTATTTTTGCCTTGACCTAGAAAACAGAATGTAAATTCAGTCATTTACTGACTGCGAACCCTTGAAAAAGTCAAATAACCTCACTGACTCAGTATGCACAAGTGTCAAATTGAGAGAGAAATTTCTACCCTTCCTCTGTCACTGGATAGTTGTGTTACCCAAAGAGAACCTGTATAAGGCATTTGTAGACAGCAGAGTCATACGTAAGCTGAAGGGATTGTTCAAGTTCACTTAGGAAAAATTGCAAACAACCCATTTTCTTGTATATGATCTATTCTGCTAGTTTAATTAATAGTTTTAAAGCAGTAATTATTCAGATATTATTCAGTTTATGCTGCTGCCTGCCCATGCCCAAAGGTGAAGGGAAAGAGCTCAGAAAGAAGACATGATTTATAAGGATTCTATTTCTTAGTTCTTATTTCCTTCGACATGGAAAGAAGACTCCCCCTGCTTTTTTTTTTGAGGCGGAGTCTCACTCTGTCGCCCAGGCTGGAGTGCAGGAGCATGATCTCTACTCCCTGCAACCTCCACCTCCCGGGTTCAAGCAATTCTTGTGCCTCAGCCTCCCTAGTAGCTGGGATTATAGGTGAGCGCCACCATGCCTGGCTAATTTTTGTAGTTTTAGTAGAGACAGGGTTTCACCGTGTTGGCCAGGCTGGCATCAAACTCCCGGCCTCAAGTGATCCACCCACCTTGGCCTCCCAGAGTGCTGGGATCACAGGTGTGAGCCACCGTGCCCGGCAGAAAAGAAGACATTCTAATGATTGGGTGTTGTAGGCAAGATGGTCTTGCAGACATGAACCTGTAAAAGTTACTAGTTAAGATTATATTATAAACTGAGGACAATGCTACGCAAGAAAAATATATTCCAGGTCCCTGGGGCAGTTTATAGGTCCTAGGGCAGCTGTGTGCTGGAGACCCCCCAGTTTCCAGCTGCCTAACAACAACAGGATAGAACTGTTGGGCTATTGTTTTGTCCTGTTACATGAGTGATTCCTGATTCAGCAGGAAAATATTTTCAGTAGAGTTTTAGGCAACTTTATAGAACTTTCATGCCCAGTGAAATAAATTATTTGAATGGAGCTTAGCTCGTCACAGAATCAAAGAACTGCCTGATTTCCTGAAGACTAACATCTTTGAAGAACAGAGCATATGACTAAGAAGTGAGCACAGAATCTGAGAATCCTAATGGATAGCTTTATTCAGGAGGTTCAAACCCAGCCCTTTCTGGGAGTCTACAGCCTTATCTGTAGCACTAGAAAGCAGCAAATATGAAACCTTTTTAGCATTCTCTGTGTCAGCACTGAGAGAGGACAGTAATGTGCTACACCTCCCCTGTTTTGCACTGTGAGGACTTCTGTGGGTTAAGTGTGAATTAAAGCGTGCTATGAACACTCCAGGCCAAGGCCAGAGCTGGGCTCGGGTTTATTACATGTAATTCTCAGTGGCAGCTCTTTCTGAGCATTACATACAACTCCCTGCAACCCATAAAGGCTGCAGCTGCTTTAAAGTTATTTAACAAACAGTATTTTTAACAGTAGTCCTTAAGCTTTTCGGGGTCTCAGGTCCCTTTGCAAATCTTGTAAAATAACAAGAAAAATTCACATTTCTACAAGTTTGAATCATTTTGGAGGGGTTTATAGAATTCTTGAAGCTCAAGCATGGGTCCAGTGTAAAGAATCGTATATTATAGAGTTTTATTATTACTTTGGACAGCAGGTTTATCATAATTTTCTTGAATTATCTTTAACTTAATGTTGTTGTTAACTCCAAACTCCCAACAGCTTAAATCTTTTAAAGGGAAGAATTGATCTAGTCACCTTTGTTTTGGGAAACATATATTTTTGGTGTTTAAGTTTACTGGCTTGGATTGAGAAAGTTTTCTCTGGCATTTGAATTTATTTTTAATTTCTAACTATAGAAGAAGAGGCAAGAAATTATGATCTAAGACAAGACAACTCACAAGAGTAATCCCTTATTAGCCAATCATAGAGTTTATACTTTCTCTTTTAGCCAAGTAATTAGAATTGTCAGTTTTATTTATTAGATTTAACCCACACAGTCAAAGAGTTCAGTCAAAGGGAAACAAAAATAGTGATGGTTCAACCTTGTCAGTGAATGAATAATTTAAATTAAAATATTTTCTTATTGTTTTATATGTATATCCAATTATTTAAGAATTAATGCAAATTATAATTAAAACTCATACCTTGATAGTGATGTAATAAATTGATACAAACTTCTAGGAGACCAGTCTGAAAATATGCATTAAAAAGCATCATGTTCTTTTACTGCATTACTTTTCTTCTGTGATTTTAGCCTAAAGAAGTAATTCAGAAGAACACACAATCCAGTGATGTTTGCAACAAAGGTGATTTTTAGCAACACTATTTAGACTAGCAAATAGTGGGAACAGCCTACTTACCAACAATTGGGGAATGGTTAGGCAAGTCATGGTACATTTGACTCACTGCAATTTTATATAGACATTAAAAATGAAAAATACAAAGAAAATGTACTGATACAAAATACTCATATAAAAGTGTTTATAAAATATGTGGAAAATATAGTTCTGAGTTGTTCATACGATTGATTACAAACGTGTTATATACAATTGATTACAAATTACTGTGAACTCAGATGAATAAACGTAGAGATGCAGATAACTGTGGAGCCAGTGTGATGAGGGTTTTATGCATTTTTCTCTAAAGTTTGTCTGTTTACATTAAGCCAGAGGGTGACAGCACTTTTTCCTATGACAGTGTAGTTTTTGCCTTTTCCCTAGTCAACACAGACACAGAAACCGCCGTTGTCAACGTCACATATGCAACAAGAGAAGAAGCAAAAATGTAAGCAGATTTGGGCTTATTTCTGTTTAAATTTATTTGTTTTTATATTTGAATTCCATTGAGTTCTGTGTTTTTAAATGTTTTCTAAAAAGATGCAGATCTTTGAGCTGGATATGTGCCACCTTTGACATACCCATGGAGCTCCACGGCATCTGAGCCACCTTTGACATATTGGTAGAGCTCCAGGGTGTTCCTGCCATCTTTGACATGTCAGTGGAGCTCCAGGACATTCACACCGGGATATTTGTGGATTGTGTAGAGACTTGAAAAATGTTGAGCCTTGGCATCAAAACCAAGATGGGAGCTGTGTCTTGACATGATCGGGAATAGAGGGCACCATACCTGTGACACTGTGTCTCCTAGACTCTGCTTTGCCAAACACTTGGGACCACTTTTACCTAGAGCTTCCTCCATGCACTGTGAAGAGGCAGCACAAGCCTATACCAAAACATCAATTTTGTGTGTGTAACATTAGGAGGGAATCCACCTCAGTGAGAGCAGCAGCCGAGAGAATTGTCTGAGAGTGGTTACTCAATAGCACCTGGTTTGGGTTCTTTTCTCCAATCCCCATCCTCTTTCCAGTGCCCATTCATTACTTCAGGGATGGTTAATTTTGAGCTTAGCTGTTAATGGACATGAGATCAAGTCTCTTAAAAAACAATGAGGCCAGGCATGGTGGCTCATGCCTGTAATCCCAGCATTTTGGGCAAGGCCGGAGGATTGCTTGAGCCCAGGAGTTTGAGACCAACCTGGACAACATAGGGAGACCCAGTCTCTACAAAAAAACAATTTAAAAATTAGCTGGGAATGGTGGCTTGCACCTGTAGTTCCAGCTACTTGGGAGGCTGAGGCAGGAGGATCACTTGAGCCCAGGATGGTAAGGCTGCAGTAAGCTGTGATTGCACCACTACCATCCAGCCTGGGCAACAGAGCAAGACCCTGCCTCTCAAAACAACAACAGCCGGATGTGGTGGCACATGCTTATAATCCCAGCTACTTGGGAGGGTGAGGATTACTTGAAGCCAGGAGTTTGAGACCAGCCTGGGCAAAATAATGAGACCCCCATCTTTAAAAGAACAACAAAAACAAGTTCCTTTTTTGTAGGAGGTCCTTAAAGTGCCTGTCAGGTCATTATAACTAGAATTATGGTCACATTTGGTCTTGCTTTATGGGTGTGGCATAACCTTGGCTATATATCCCAGGATTATAGTGTTCTTTTTCAACATACAAAGATATTTAACCCATTTTCATACTGCTAGTTTTCAAAATGTTAATTTTGCATTGAAAAAGATAATGGTTCAGGCCAGGCGTGGTGGCTCATGCCTGTAATCCCAGCCCTTTGGGAGGCCGAGGTGGGCAGATCACCTGAGGCTGGGAGATCGAGACCAGCCTGACCAACATGGAGAAACCCCATCTCTACTAAAAATACAAAATTAGCCAGGCGTGGTGGCGCATGCCTGTAATCCCAGCTACTCGGGAGGCTGAGGCAAGAGAATCACTTGAACTTGGGAGGCAGAGGTTGCAGTGAGCTGAGATCGCGCCATTGCACTCCAGCCTGGTCAATAAGGGCGAAACTCTGTCTCGAAAAAAATAAAAAAAAAGAAAAAGGTAATAGTTCATTTAGTGTTAACTTTACCTTGTACACATTTGTAAGTGGAGATACACCAACAACTCAACTCCACAGCCCTTATCTAGCTGCTGCTTGGGTGGACCTCTCTACATGATATTACTCTATTGCTTTTATTAAATTCAAAAGGTGCTGCTTTGTAATAAATTTACAAGTCCTAGACATTAACCTAGTAAAATTGGGTTAATGCTACTAAAAATATGTGAAAAGGATAGTGTATTTCGTGTGTCATTTTAAGAATATAATAGTGGTATATCATTTATCCCCTATCAAATTGATAAATATCTTTAAATAACAGCGCTCTGTGCATTTGAAGATTCAAGGACACAAATGCTCTCTCCTAAACTGCTATGGGATCATAAATGTTGAAACCATTCCAGGGGCCCACTGGGCAATAGTTAACAATTCTACTAGGAATTTGTCCTGTGTGCAAAGTTGTAGTTGCAAAGATGCCAATGGTGACAGTGTGTGTAACTGTAAAAGGTTGGATACAACAGATATCTAACTATAAAGGATCAGTTGCAAAAACTATGGTAAATCAATAGAATGTTAAACAGTCATTAAAAATTATACTGATACTGCAGTTGAGTCATGTGTAAATTATACTGAAAGGTACTTAGTGACATTGAAAAATGTTTTAGAATATTAACTGTTTTTTTAAAGGTTAGAACATAGTATGTACAATATTAACCCATTTTTATAAGCAATAATATGTTTATATTTAAGAAAGACAGTAAAGATAGTGGATTAGGATTTTATTTGCACTTACATATTTCTGAATTTTCAATAATATGTATGATGATTAAAATGAGAAAAAAATGAGTCATAATTTTATACTGATATTTATAAGAGTTTTTGATAAGGGGGAAATGGCCTTGAGTGGTGGAGAAACCAGGCTGTAATGTTGGATATGAAGCCTGACCAGGCTGATGCGTTGTGATTACTTGTTTAACTGTTAACCGTAAGCCCTGAGGGAGCAGAGATGGTGTCTGTCTTGCTCACCACTGTATGTTCAGTGCCTGGCATGGCACCATATAGGCACCTATTAAATGGGAGTGAATGAACCAGTCTTGCGGGAGGGTCTTTCTTTTTTTTTTTTTTTTTGAGACGGAGTCTCGCTCTGTCGCCCAGGCTGGAGTGCAGTGGCAGGATCTCGGCTCACTGCAAGCTCCGCCTCCCGGGTTCACGCCATTCTCCTGCCTCAGCCTCCCAAGTAGCTGGGACTACAGGCGCCCGCCACTACGCCCGGCTAATTTTTTGTATTTTTAGTAGAGACGGGGTTTCACCGTTTTAGCCGGGATGGTCTCGATCTCCTGACCTCGTGATCCACCCGCCTCGGCCTCCCAAAGTGCTGGGATTACAGGCGTGAGCCACCGCGCCCGGCCGGGAGGGTCTTTCTTGATGTTGGTTTCTGACGAAGCTCCCCTGTCCTGCTGCATTTCAGAGCCATGGAGAAGCTAAGCGGGCATCAGTTTGAGAACTACTCCTTCAAGATTTCCTACATCCCGGATGAAGAGGTGAGCTCCCCTTCGCCCCCTCAGCGAGCCCAGCGTGGGGACCACTCTTCCCGGGAGCAAGGCCACGCCCCTGGGGGCACTTCTCAGGCCAGACAGATTGATTTCCCGCTGCGGATCCTGGTCCCCACCCAGTTTGTTGGTGCCATCATCGGAAAGGAGGGCTTGACCATAAAGAACATCACTAAGCAGACCCAGTCCCGGTACGTGCCTGTGGGGCTTCCTTTGCTTCCTTCTGAGGGGTCCCCTGCGTGCTGGTGGGTCTCAGCCACTCTTAGGTCACAATTGCTTACATCAGCAGTGGGGGGCTGTGCTGTAAGAGACAGTGGCTTCTTTCAACAGGACTACTAACAGACTAACATCAAGCTGGGGGCTGTGACAAGCTTTCATGCTGAGAGGCTAAAAGTTCATAAAGAGGGTACTGATAACCTCACAGCCAGGACTGTTCCTGTAAGCGAACTAATGCTTATGGATGCATTGATTTCTACAAAAGCAGAGGTTTGGAGCTCTGCGGGATCCTAGAACCCACTCATCATAGCTCTTCCTCTTCCCCTGAGTCAGAGCCCTGGGGGTGGCCATTCTTGTGACAACATAGGTAGTCTCACAAAGAAGTGGGTGAGTCACTGCCACGTCAAGCAAGAAATAAAGCACACTGGCCTTCTGTTTAGTTTCCTCCCTGTTCAAGGAGACTGAACTGATTGTAAGAGTTGGTGAATAAAACGTCTTATGGAATTGTTGATTTTTGTATCTTCCTAAGACTGTAGCATGATGTAATAAAGCAAGCTCGGGACTTGAAAACAAAGACTTACGTTCAAGTTGTAGCACTTTAAATGGTTTTGTGATCTTGGAAAAGATGTTAACCTCTCTGAGCATCAGTTGCCTCTTCTATAAAAAGAGGGTTCTGGCTGGGCACCCTCTGTATTACAGAGACTCATCCCTGTAATCCCAGCACTTTGGGAGGCTGAAGCAGGGGGATCATCTGAGGTCAGGAGTTCGAGACCAGCCTGGCTAACATGGTGAAACCCTGTCTCTACTAAAAATACAAAAATCAGCCAGTTGTGGTGGCTCACGCCTGTAATCCCAGCTACTCTGGAGGCTGAGGCAGGAGAATCACTTGAACCCAGGAGGCGGAGGTTGCAGTGAGCCGAGATGGCGCCACTGCACTCCAGCCTGGGCAACAGAGTGAAACTCCATCTCTAAATAAATAAATAAATAGAGGGTTCCTGTCTGTTTTGCCAGGATTATTATGACAATTAGCACAATCAGGGAGATTGAGTGAAATAATTAATATGAAAGTACTTAAATTGCAAAGCACCCAATTACTGACACATAATAATTATTTACATGGGCTGGTACACTTTATTCAGGTCATTCAGTGGGTGTCTTGTAACCTGAAAGAGAAATGCTATTTTCTTCAGAATGTCTTATTTATCCCCAAATAATAGACACTGATATGGATGAGTCTGGAGTGCCACATCTTAGAAGTGAGGAAATAGAGAGGGAAGTTACTGTTTGGTATCCTTTTATTTTAAAATCAGCCCTGGCTTTTCCTCCAAGTTCACTGCGAAAGTGACTTTTATTTGTGTCTTTTTGTGCAAAAATTGTGTAAGGTGGCTTGAAAAAAAAATGTAACAAGTTTAAATAGAAGTGGGGTTAGCTCTCAAAGTGTGTGCCCATTTTTTAGACGTCAACCAAAGACTTGGCTCTAGGCTTTCTAACAACCAAAGTAAAAAGGATATAATCAGTTATGTAATTTTGAAAGTTAACAAAAACAGGTAGGACCACAACTACCCAAAGAAGTCTGATAAAGTCATCAAGCTTTTGAGCCATTAGTCTTAATGGCAGGCTGCCAATGGAAAGGAAACCAAAAACTTAGGCAGAGAGAGGGCATGCCTCTGTTTTCTATCCACACTCAAATATATAAAGCTTGCTTGAATTTGGTGTTCGGATTTGGATTAACATATGGCTTTTAAAAGCTGCAATCAGTTCAGAGACCGGCACTGTGCCAATGTGCAGTATTATCCTTCTCACTTTACTCTTCACTTCTGCAGTCATTTGAAAGACTACACAAAATACTTCATTTACCAAACTGGCTTCATTACTGAGTTGGCTTAGTGCCTTTGTCCTACAGCACTCCTGTAAGAACCGTTCCCTTCTAAATGAAGCTGCAAATAATTAAAATTTGGCACAAGACCCCCTGCACTGCTTGCCTCCTTCTTGGAGAATGGCACTGATTGCAAACGTGCTGATGACGCCTCCTTGTCTGTCTGTGTCCTTGCTGTACATGGGTTGGTGTGACGCTTTCTTGGGGCTAGGGTCCTATCCAGATGACCTTGTAATCATGGCTCCTGATTCTTTTCCTACAGGGTAGATATCCATAGAAAAGAGAACTCTGGAGCTGCAGAGAAGCCTGTCACCATCCATGCCACCCCAGAGGGGACTTCTGAAGCATGCCGCATGATTCTTGAAATCATGCAGAAAGAGGCAGATGAGACCAAACTGTAAGTTTGCATGCAATGCCCAGATCACTCAACAGAGAAAAAGAGTAGATTCTCCCTCATTTAACCCAAGAGGTTTTTTTTAAAAACTCCAAATCTGTTACTCAGTAACAGAGGCAGGGAGGGATTGTGTTTAAGAAATTTGTTCCCAAGTAGAATACAGTGGGAAGTAGATCTTTTGCATTTACATATGGCTGTCTCTTCACTTGCATGTCTCTCGGTGATTTTGATGCTTCTATCACCCATTGATAGTAATTATTGGGAGGAACATACAGACTCATGCTGTCCAATAGAACTTTCTGCAATGATAGAAATGTTCTATATCTGCACTGTTCAATAGCCACATGTTGCTATTGAGTATTTGAAATGTGGCTAGTACAGTGGAAGAACTGAGTGTTTTATTTTTTTACTCAGAGTTTGGTAGCCATGTGTATAGCTAATGCCCATTGAATTGGACAGTGCAAGTGTAGAAAGTATGTTGTCACCAAAGCTATCATTTATTGTCCTGGAAAAGATTTCTCCCACCATGCTTCTAAATTGTTTGCACTCTTAACATTGGATTACATTTCCTTAAGTAGTAGAAACTAGTTTACACATGGCTGCTTTATTCTTCTTCCACTTTTTTCTTCTATCTGTCCTTCCTCCTCACTACCCCCCTCTCCTTTTTTTTTTTTTAAGACAGAGTCTCACTCTGTTGCCCTAGGCTGGAGTGCAGTAGTGCAATCTTGTCTCACGGCAACCTCCGCCTCTTGGGTTCAAGTGATTCTCCTGCCTCAGCCTCCCGAATAGCTGGGATTACAGGCGTGCGCCACCATGCCCAGCTAATTTTTGTACTTTTAGAAGAGACAAGGTTTCACCATGTTGGCCAGGCTAGTCTCGAACTCCTGACTTCAAATGATCTGCCCACCTCGTCCTCCCAAAGTGCTGGGATTACAGGCATGAGCCACCATGTCCAGCCCTTTCCCCTTATTTTATGAAGTAATTATAGGATTCCACAGTGTAATGAGGGTTGTCCCAGTTTGAATGACAAATACAGTTCTTACCAAACAAATTAACTTTGTATTATAAATGAATGAGTGGTGATGGAATAGATAATACAATAAAAATAGACTTTCATGCTGGGTGCAGTGGCTCATACCTATAATCTCAGTGCTTTGGGAGGCCAAGGTAGGAAGATCGCCGGAGGCTAGGAGTTTGAGACCAGGCTGGGCAACATAGTGAGACCTCCATCTCTACAAAAAATTTAAAAAATTAGTTAGACATGGTGGTGTATACCTGTAGTCTCGGCTACTCAGGAGGCTGAGGCAGAATTGCTTGAGCCTAAGAATTTGAGCAATGAGCTATGATTGCATCACCACACTCCAGCTTGGGTGACAGAGCACCACCCTGTCCCTAAAAAAAGAAAAAGTAGATTTTCAGTTTGGCAAAATCTGTTTGTGGGTAGCGGTGGCAGTTTTATAGAGAAGTAGTGAGGGGTGAATCAAATAATGTCAAACATGAGTGTTCCAAAACCAAGATGAAAATGGTCCTTAAAAGAAGAACATTACAAATCTATTCTTAGATTTCATAAGAGACTCTATCCTTTCTATTATGAATTATTTATTCTACTTGGGCTTTTGAAATCCCCCAAATGCCACAGTTTAATTTGAAAAAGACATTTCTCATCCAAGTTCCTGGGAACTTAGTAAATAATACTTTTCTGGATTCCTTTTTTTTTTTTGAGACGGAGTTTCACTCTTGTCGAGTACAATGGCATGATCTTGGCTCACTGCAACCTCCCGTCTCCCGGGTTCAAGCAATTCTCCTGCCTCAGCCTCCCGAGCAGCTGGAATTACAGGTGCCTGCCACCACATCTGGCTAATTTTTGTAATTTTAGTAGAGACAGGGTTTAACCACGTTGCCCAGGCTGGTCTCGAACTCCTGACCTCAGGTGATCCACCCGCCTTGGCCTCCCAATGTGCTGGGATTACAGGTGTGAGCCACTGCGCCCAGCCACCTTCCTTGATTCTTCAACCTAGGTGCAAACAACTTAATAAAATTCTAAATTAGTCAAAAAGACTAATTTACAACTTGGGCTTTTATGTTTTCATGTAGAGCCAAGATAGAGTTTGAATATCTTAGAAAAAAAATTTTTCAGTGCCTACACTGTGCTAATCACTGCTGGAGGTTGAGGCTACAACCATGAGCAGGACTTGGTTCCTGCTTTTTTTTTTTTCCTTCCCCACATACCATTTTTTCACCCATTGGTTCCTGCTTTGATGGAGCAGTCCAGTGGGAGAGACACTCATTAAACAAATAATGAGTAATTACACCAATAAGTAATTAAGTGCAGCTATAAGAAATGCTACAGTGAGGCTGGATGTGGTGACTCACGCCTGTAATCCCAGCACTTTGGGAGGCTGAAGCGGGCGGATCACTTGAGGCCAGGAGTTCGAGACCAGCCTGTCCAACATATAGTGAAACCCTGTCTCTACTAAAAATACAAAAATTAGCTGGGCGTGGTGGCACACGCCTGAAGTCCCAGCTACTTGGGAAGCTGAGGCAGGGGAATCTCTTGAACCTGGGAGGTGGAGGTTGCAGTGAGCCGAGATCGCGCCACTGCACTCCAGCCTGGGCGACAGAGCGAGACTCCATTTCAAAACAAGAAAAGAAAAAAAAAAAAGAAATTCTACAGTGGAAAAATGTAGTATCCAATGATGACATGTAACTGAAGGTCCTAATGAGGGTTTTAGGGGGACAAGGATTTGGGGGTTTCAGAGAATGCCTCCCTGTGTAGGTGACAGAGCCCTGAAGGGACTGAATAAGAGGTAGAAGATATAGGAGAACAGAGATCCTAAACTTTCTTTTTGTTCATTTACCAAATATTTATTGAGCAGTCACTATGTGCCAGACACTATTCTATGTGCCAGGAACTCAGCAGTGAACAAAGCTGACAAAAATGCCCATCCTCTGAAAGTTACATTCTAATGCAGCTTCTTCAAGCACCCTCTTTATTTTGAGGCAGTAGTAATGCATCTGTTAGATGCTTTTGGTCTTCAAGCAACAGAAAATACAAGTGGTATAACCAATAAGAAAAGGATGTCATGTCACATAACAAGAAGTCCTAAGGCACACGGCTCCAAGGTCAGTTGAATCATGGGCCCAGAGACCCAGAACATTTTTCTGCTCTACGTTCCTCAGCATGTCTCACGTTCCCTTGGTTATAATAGGATGACTATAGTGATTTCAGATGTGCATTCCCACAAAAAAGTTACAAATTGAGGGAGAGGGCATCCCTTCCTTGTGTCCTTTTTTCAGAAAACTTCTTTAAAAGTTGTGGTTAAACAACCATAACATAAAATGTACTGTCTTGGCTGGGCATGGTGTCTCATGCCTGTAATCCCAGCACTTTGGGAGGCTGAGACAAGGTGGATCACTTGAGTCAGGAGTTTGAGATTGGCCTGGCCAACATGGTGAAACCTCGTCTCTACTAAAAATACAGAAATTAGCCAGGTGTTGGGGTGGACACCTGTAGTCCCAGCTACTTGGGAGGCTGAGGCATGAGAACCGCTTGAACCCAGGAGGCGGAGGTTGCAGGGAGCCGAGAGTGCACCACTGCACTCCAGCCTGGGTGACAGAGCAAGACTCCATCTCAGAAAAAAAAAAAAATTATTGATCATTTTTAAGTGTACTTTTCAGTAGTCTTAAGTATATTCACATTGCTGTGAAACAGATCTCCAGAACCTTTTCATCTTGTAAATCTGGAACTCTGTACCTATTAAACAACTCTCTTTTCCCTCTCCCGTCAGCCTCTGGTAATCACCACTTCTTTCTATGAATTTGACTACTCTACATACCTCATATAGGTAGAATCATATACTATTATTCTTTTGTGACTGGCTTATTTTACTTTGCATAGTGTCCTCAAGGTTCATGTTATAGCATGTAACAGGCTTTCCTTCCTTTTTATGGCCAAATAACATTCCAGTGTATGTATATAGCACATTTTGTTTATCTGTTCATCTGGTGATGGACATTTTGAGGTCTTCTGCTTCTTGGCTATTGTGAATAATGCTGCTATGAACATGGGTTTTCAAATAGCTCTTCAAGACCCTCTTTTCAATTCTTGTGGATATGTGCCAAGAAGTGAGATTGCTGGGTCATATGGTAGTTCTACTCTTAATTTTTGGGGGAGCCTTCATACTTTTTCCCATAGCAGTTGCTCCATTTTCCAACCCCACCAACAGTGCACAGGGGTTTCAGTTTCTCCACATTCTCTCCAACACATGTTATTTTCTGTTATTTCGATAACAGCTATCTTAATAGGTATGAGGTGACAGCTCATTGTGGTCTTGATTTGTATTTCTCTGATGATTAGCGATTGGTGATATTGAGCATCTTTTTATATATTTATTGGCCATTTGTATATCATCTTTAGAGAAATGTCTATTCAAATCCTTTGTTCATTCTCTAATTGAGATATTTGATTCTTTCGTTATGGGAGTTGCAGGAGTCCTTTATGTATTCTTGATCATTAACTATATATTAGTCCAGTTGGTGCTACTGTAACAGAATACTAAAGACCGGATAATTTATAAGGAACAAAAGTTTATTTGGCTCACAGTTCTGGGAAGTCCAAGAGCGTGATGTCAGCATCTGGTGAGGGTTATCCTATGGTGGAAGGCCTGAGGCAGAAGCAAGTGCAAGAGACAGAGAGAAGAAATAGGTCCAAACTATCCCTCAACCCACTAATTCACTCTGTGATAACTGCATTAATCCATTCATGATTAATTAATTAATTAATGCAGGTGATTAACTCATCACCTCCTAAAAGTCCTATCTTTCAACACTGTTCCAGTGGCAGTTAAATTTCAACATGAGTTTTGAGGGGAATTTGAAACCATAGCAAACCCCTTATCAAATAAATAATTGGTGAATATTTCTCCCATCCCATGGGTTGACCTTTCACTCTGTTGATTATATCCTTTGATGCACAAAAGTTTTTAAGTTGATGTACTCCCACTGGTCTAATTTTGCTTTTGTTGCCTATGCTTTTGGTATCATGGTGAAACCAAGAAGTCTTTGCCATGTCCAATATCATAAAGCTTTCTCCTGTGTTTTAGGAGTTTGATAGTTTTAGGTCTGTTTAGGTCCTTAACCTATTTTGAGTTAATCTTTGTATATGGTGTAAAATAATGGTTCAACTTCATTCTTCTATGTGTGTGTCCAGTTTCCCCAGCACCATCTGCTGAATAGACTGCTCTTTCCCCATCTAGTGGTCTCAGCACCTTATCAAAAATCATCGGAGACTATACGCAGGATTTATTTCTGGGCTCTATTCTATTTCATTGGTCTATTTATCTGTTTTTATGCCAGTACTACACTGTTTTGATTATGTAGCTTTGTAATATATTTTGAAAGCAGGAAGTCTGAGCCCTTCAACTTCCTTATTTTTTGAAATCATTTTGGCTATTCAAGGTCCCTTGAGATTCCATATGAATTTTTCTATTTCTTCAAACAATGCCCACTGTGATTTTGATAGAGCTCATATTGAATCTGTAGATCACTTTCGGTAGTATAAACATCTTCACAATATTAAGTATTCCAATCCATGAACACAGGATGTCTTTCCATTTATTTGTGCCTTTAAATTTCTTTCAGGAACCTTTTGTGGTTTTCAGTGTACAAGTCTTTTACCTCCTTGGTTAGGTTTATTCTTAAGTATTCTATACTTTTTGATGCTATTGTAAGTGGCAGTGTTTTCTTAACTTCTTTTTCAGATTGTTTATTGTTGTGTATAGAAATGTAAATGATTTTTGCATGTTGATTGATTTTTGTATCCTGCAATTTTGCTGAATTTATTCTAACCTTTTTTGTAAAATCTTTAAGGCTTTCTACATATAAAATCGTGTCATCTGTGAATAGAGATCATTTTATGTCTTTCTTTCCAATTCGAATGCCTTTTATTTCTTTTTTGTACCTAATTGCTCTGGCTAGGACTTCCAGTACTATGTTGAATAGAAATGGGCAGGAGTGGGCATCCTTGCCTTGTTCCTGGTCTTAGAGGAAAAGCCTTGCATTCAGTCTTTCATCGTTGAGTGTGATGTTAGCTGTGGGCTTTTCATAAATGGTCTTATGTTGAAGTAATTTCCTTTTATTCCTAATTTTGTTGGGTGTTTTTTATCATGAAAGGGTGTTAAGTTTGTCAAATGCTTTTTCTAATGACATGATCATGTAGTTCCCCCCCCTTCTTTCTGTTAATGTGATTTATTGTATTGATTGATTTTTTAAAAAATGTTTATAGTAATGGGGTCTCACTACGTTTCCCAGCCTGGTCTTGAACCCCTGGCCTCAAGCAATCCTCTTTCCTCAGCCTCCCAAAGTGATGGGATTACAGGCATAAGCCACTGCGCCCAGCTCCCCATTAATTGTATGCTGAACAAACCTTCCATTCCAGGAACAAATCCCACTTGGTCGTGGCTTATAATCCTTTTCATATGCTGAATTTGATTTGCTAGTATTTTGTTGAGGATTTTTGCATCAATATTCATCGGAGATAATGGTCTGAAGTTTTCTTTTTTTGTGGTGTCTTTGTCTGGCTTTGGAATCAGGGTAAAGCTGGCCTCATGGAATGAGCTTGGAAATGTTCCCTCCTCTTCATTTTTTTGGAAGAGTTTCAGGAGGATTGGCGATAATTCTTCTTTAAATGTTTGGTAGCATTCTCCGATGAAGCCATCTGGTCCTGGGCTTTTCTGTGTTGGGAGGTTTTTGATTACTGATTCAATCTCTCTCATTATTGGTCTGATCAGACTTTCCATTTCTTCATGATTCAATCTTGGTAGGTTGTGTGTTTCCTCTAGAAATTGGTCCATTTCTTCTAGGTTATTAAATTTGTAGGCATACAATTCTTCATAATATTCTCTTATAATCCTTTTTATCTCTGTCGTATTGGTAGTAATGTTCCCTCTTTCATTTCTGATTGTAGTTATTGAATGTTCTTTTTTTTTCTTAATCTAGCTAAGGATTTGTCAGTTTGGTTGATCTTTTCAAAGAACCAACTCTTAGTTTTGTTGGTTGTATTTGTTTATCTCTGCTCTGATTTTTATTATTGCCGTTTTTATGCTGGTTTTGGGTTTAGTTCTTTTCAAGTTGAAATAAAAGGATGGGGCCGGGTGAAGTGGCTCATGCCTATAAATCCCAACACTTTGGGAGGCCGAGGTGGGTGGATCACAAGGTCAGGAGTTGAAGACCAGCCTGGCCAACATGGTGAAACCTCATCTCTACTAAAAATACAAAATTAGCCGGGTGTGGTGGCACACACCTGTAATCCCAGCTACTCAGGAGGCTGAGGCAGGAGAATCACTTTAGCCTGGGAGGTGGAGGTTACAGTGAGCTGAGATCATGCCATTGCACTCCAGCCTGGGCAAAAAGAGTGAAACTCCATCTCAAAAAAAGAAAGAAAACGAAAAAACGTTAAAATAAAACATAAAATAAAAGAATGATAGACAGCAACACAAAGCCATATGAAAATATATAGTTATCTGGTAAGGGTAAATATTAACAAATATAGTAACCTGTACTGTAGTAATTTTGGTACATAGAATTTAAATGACAAAAACTTTTTTTAACTATAAATCTATGTTAATGGGTATAAAAACATATAAAGATGTTAATTTGTGATATTTGGGGATGGGGTAAAAAAGTAGAGTTTTTTATGCAATTGAAGTGAAGTTGTTATCAGTTCAAAATAGGATGCTATGACTTTAAGATGTTTTATGTAATTGCAATAGTATCCACCAAGAAAAAATCTATGAGAACGCACAAAAGAAAATCAAAGCACATCACTATAATAAAAATCAACAACACATAAAGGAAGACAGGAAGAAAGGAAAGAAGGGACAAAAAAGCTACTAGACATACAGAAAACAATGAAAATGACAAAAGTAAGTCCTTCCCTATCAGTAATTACTTTTAAGTGCAAATGAATTAAACTCCCCATTCTTGGCTAAATGGATTAAAAACAGGATCTAACTGTATGTGGCCTACAAGAGACTCCTTTTAGATATAAGGACACATATAGGCTGAAAGTAAAAAGATGGAAAAAGATACTCCATGCAAATGGTAACCACAAGAGAGGAGGAGTAGCTATACTATTATCAGATGAATAGACTAAAAACAAAACTGTTACGAGAGACAAAGAGGGACGTTATACAATGTTAAAGGAACAATTCACCAAGGAGATACAACAATTATAAATATGTACACACCAAACCTCAGAGTTCTAAACATGTGAAGTCAACTTTGAAAGAGCTGAAGGGAGAAATAATTAGCAACATGATAACAGTAGGAAACTTAAGTGCCCTACTTTCAATAATGGATAAAACTACTAGACAGAAGAACAATAAGGAAATAGAATTGGAACAACACTATAGACCAACAGACATACAAGAACATTCCACCCAACAATGGCAGAATATACGTTCTTCTCAAATGCATGTGGAACTCTCCAGGAGAGAGAACATACAAAACAAATCTTAAAAAATTCAAGAAGATTGAAATTATACTACAAAGTATCTTTTCTGATCACAATGGAATGAAACCAGAAATCAGCAGCACAAGGAAAATTAAGAGAATTCAGCATTTTTTGTAGAGCTTGTCAAGTGGTAATAAAGTCCCTCAGTTTTTATTTATCTGGGAATCTTAATTTCTCCTTTGTTTTTGAAGGACAGTTTTACCACACATGGTGTCCTTGGTTGGCAGTTTCTTTCAGCACTTCAAATATATCATCCCACTCCCTTCTGGCCTGCAAAGTTTCTGCTAAGAAATCTGCAGATAGTGTTACGGAAGCTCCTTTGTATGTCACAATTGCTTTTCTCTTGCCACTTTGAAGATACTCTATCTTTGACTTTAGACAGTTTGATTATAATGTGTGTCAGTGTGGTTTTCTGTGGATTTGTCCCAGTTGGAGTTCTTTAAATTTTTTGATTTGTATGTACATTTTGTTCCTCATATTTGGGAACCTTTCAGCCATTACTTCTTCAAATAAAGCTCTATGCCCCTTTGTTCCCTCTTCTCTTTCTGGGATTCCCATTATGCTTATATTGATCTACTTGGCATGTCTCATAGGTCCCTAGGCTCTCTTCACTGTATTTATTTATTTTAATCCTCTAACTTGAAGATTTCAAATGATCTACATTCAAATTTGCTGGTCCTTTCCTCTGTCTGGTCAAATCTGCTGTTGAACTCCTTTAACAAATTTTTCTGTTCAATTGTATTTTTCAGCTCCAGAATTTGTTAGGTTCTTTCTTATAGTTTCTGTCTCTTTGTTGATATTCTCATTTTGTTCATGCATAATTTTTCTGACTTTATTTAGTTGTCTGTCTGTGTTCTTGTTTAGTTCATTGAGCATCTTTACAATTATTTTTAATTACTGGTCAGGGAGCATGTAGATCTGTGTTCTTTAGAGTCAGTATTTGGAGTTTTATTTTGGTCCCTTGATTGGGTCATGCTTCTCTGTTTCTTTGTATGCCTAGTAAGTTTTTTTGTTGGGATTTGGGCATTTGAAAAAACAACCACCTCTCACAGTCTCTGTGTACTGGCTTTGGGCAGTGGAAGACCTGAAATCAGCCTAGCTAGAGGTTCTAGGACCTCTCAAACCTTTTCTAATCTCTTGATCCCTCTGGTGTCTGACTGTAGAACTGCAGTTCTTAAATGCTGCTTGCCTCTGTTTTCAGCAGCTTCTGAACTCTAATGCTGATCCTTCAGTGCTCTGAGTCAGTGACACAAAAACCAGTTTTTCTGGCACCTTCCAGACAAGCCAAAATGTTGTATGCATAATCCAGTCTTTGTTTCTGTCCCAAAGGAGGAGCCCAGCCTTTAGGGTTTCCTCCCCTTTGCTCTTCAGTATGCCATGTAGCGGGTGGGGCCTTGAAAACACTGAATGTTCTTACCTTTTTTACTGGATATATATACATCTCTCTCTCTCTCTCTCTCTCTCTCTCTCTCTCTCTCTATATATATATATATATATATATATCTCCATATATATATATATCTCTCTCCATATATATAATCTCTCCATATATATATATCTCCATATATATGTATCTCCATATGTATATATATCTCCATATATATATGTCTCTCTCTCCAGTAAATATATATCTCATATATATATCTCCAGTAAATATATATACATCTCCATATATATATATCCAGTAAATATATATATATATCTCCAGTAAGTGTATATCTCCATATATATATATCTCCAGTAAATATATATATATTTCCAGTAAATATATATCTCCATATATATATATATCTCCAGTAAATATATATATATATACATCTCCATATATATATATCTCCAGTAAATATATATATATATATATAGTTGTTGTTTTTAGACAGGGTCTTGCTCTGTAGCCCAGGCTGGAGTGCAGAAGTGTGTGATCATGGTTCACTGTAGCTTTGGCCTCCCTGGCTCAAGCAGTCCCACCTCAGCCTCCCAAGTAGCTAGGACTACAGGTATGCACCACTATGCCTGGCTAATTTTGTGTTTTTAGTAAGGACAGTGTTTCAGTATGTTGCCGAGGCTGGTCTTGAACTCTCGGGCTTAGGCGATTGCCCACCTTGGCCTCCCAAAGTGCTGAAATTACAGGCGTGAACCACGGCGCCCGGCCTGGAATTCCTCTTTAGTTTACAGCGGACTTCATATTATAGCTTCTCAGCTGATCTTTAGAGTTCTCACAGAGGTGTTCTGGTCTATCTCTTGTTAATTTGAGGTGTGTGTGAGGGGGAAAGAGACCTGTGGCTTCCTAGTCTGCCATCTTGCTAACGTCACTCTCCCTTGTACCTTTTTTTAAGAGCAAGGAGAACATTCTTCACCCAATAGAGTTCTTGTAATACCCTCATTGGCCAGATCAGCCTCATGGATCCACTTCCAACCAGCTACTACGAGGGAGTAGAATTACCATGGTTTGGCTTATGTTAATCAAAATTCATGAACTGGGGTCGGTGAGGGACCTGACCTCTCCCAAATCCCATCATCACTTGGTACCTGAACAAAATGACTTCCATTTATAAGAAAAAAGCAAGGTAATGGTTTTTGGGAGACAACCGTTATACGTATCTGAAGTGTTAACTTGCTGCTTGTCTCTTTTAGAGCCGAAGAGATTCCTCTGAAAATCTTGGCACACAATGGCTTGGTTGGAAGACTGATTGGAAAAGAAGGCAGAAATTTGAAGAAAATTGAACATGAAACAGGGACCAAGATAACAATCTCATCGTAAGCCACTTACTCAGATTACTCATGCCCAATAATGGAACACCTGAGCATTTCGATACGTCTAGTTCATTCATCTACTTTTCCCTAAAATGGGAATATAATCATAAGTGATGCAATTATCTCCATCATCTTTTAAAAAAATACATAAATACTTACCAGGTAGACATTTTTCACTATGGATGTGATCTAAATCACTGGTAAGATTTGAAATAAGATGGCAGGGATTCTCCACCACAGTGTGTTGGGAGGGAATTGAGTCTTCTCTCTCTCCGCCAAAACTTGTTTGTGATTTTTTTATTTTTTGGGCATTTTATTTTTCCCGTTGAAAACAAAATTTCTCTTTTCTTCTCATGGGTCAGTTTGCAGGATTTGAGCATATACAACCCGGAAAGAACCATCACTGTGAAGGGCACAGTTGAGGCCTGTGCCAGTGCTGAGATAGAGATTATGAAGAAGCTGCGTGAGGCCTTTGAAAATGATATGCTGGCTGTTAACGTAAGTCCCTAATGCTTTCTTCTCCGCTGGTTTTCACTAGGCTAAAAATACTTGCCATTCAGCTAATGAGGAAGTGCCTTAGGATAGGTATGCAGAGTTTTTCCTGACTTCCTAGGATAAAAGCATTAAAATAATCAGGAAACCAACTAGTAAATTATGATAAGTGCGCTGGACAACATCACGTGAAGACATTAAAATTATAACTTTGAAGACTGAAATAAGGAAAAGCTTATGATATAGTGTTTATTAAGAAAAGCAAGAATAAAAAAAAAAAAAAAAAAAAAAAGAAAAGCAAGAATAACTGGGTGTGGTGGCATGCATCTATAGTCCCAGCTACTCAAGAGGCTGAGGCAGGAGGAGCACTTGAGCCCAGGAGGTTGAGACTACAGTGAGCTGGCATTACACCACTGCACTCCAGCCTGGGCAACAGAGTGAGACCCCATCTCTAAATAAGAAAAGCAAGATATAAAAGTATATAAGTAAATTTACAATTATGTAAAACAGCATGGATCAGAATGACTGGAAGGCTACATACAAAAATGAAAATAGCTGGCACATTAGAAAAGTGGGATTTTTTCCATGTATGTAGCCTTCTGAACCTTACATAATATTGTCCTGTTACTTTTTAAATTTTAAAAATGCATGCTTTAAAGTTAACTTCTGATTTTCCTCCCTTGCTTGCTGATCTGCACTTTTAGATTGCCTGATAAATGTTGTCAACCAGTTGAGCCTTTACTGTATATTTGTAGCAGACTCATTAGGTTTGTCCTTCCTGTGATTGCTACCTAATTTTTACTCTTAATGGGGAGACACTGATCCGGCATTCAAAAAACAAACAAACAAACAAAAACCTTTAAAATAATTGGCCATCAGCAAAAGTCCAGCTCAGCTCAGAGGAGTAAATTTTTTTCACTTTTTAATTAGATTTTTTTGGATGTATACAAAAGTGAATGGATGCTCCAATAAGTCCTCATATACCCATAATCCACCTTTTGCAGTTATCAACTCACCACCTGTTTTGTTTCCTCTAAACCCTCATCCACATCCACTTTCCATACCTGTTGGATGACCTTGAAGCAAATCTCAGACCTGATAATATTTCTTAGAGAAATAAATGTCGACAAAGCACTCTTTAGATTAAACCCAGGTCCCTCACTGCAGCACTTTCTGTTGTACCCTCTATACTCCAGGCAGTAATCTGTCCCCATCTCACCCCGACCCCCACCTTAGCAGCCCACGTCACATGACAATTATGAGGTGTGATGAGAAGAGCTAGAGCAGGAGACTGCAGTGGTGTCTTCTCCCCATGTTTGGATATATTTGTGGAAGTATCATCTGACAATCTCATTTTCTTCCTGTGGGTTCTTGACATCTTGTGGTAAACATCTCTTTCTGTGAACACCTGGAAAAGCTACAGAAGGGCCTGAGTGATTCATACATCTTCACCTGAGCTTACCACTTAGGTTCATTCATGTCTGTGCCAAAGTCACGCACTGGTAGGTGAATAACAAAATTACTACATCTTATAGACAAAATGAGGTAAAGATGAAGGATACGAGCACTGCTATTCCAAAAGTTCTAAAAAAAAGAAAAAGGCAAGTTACAGTGTGAATGTAGACAAAGATTAGAAAATGTTAGGAAATTGCTTCATGTTCAGGGAGACAAAGATGGAAGCAGGTTGGACACAGCCTGGAATGGGTGACCACGTTCCTCTGCCTCTGAAGAGCTGTGTGGCTAAACCCACCCCCAGTCTGTGTGACCATCCCCATGTAGAAATGTAAGATAAGCAAGCAAGCAAGATGATCACAAAGCCGACAACTAAATAGTAAAGAGACAAAGTTGTAAACCATCCCGAACCTGGCTAATGGAGTTTACGTATGTGGGAATTTACATCATGTGAAGAATCTGATCTCTCCATGGATAGAGTTGGAAAACACTGTTAATCCAATTTGTTTTAAACAGTCATTCAACAAATATTTATTGAGTACTTACTATATACCAGGCACTGAGAACACGACACTAAGTAAGACATTCTCTGTTTGCAAGGAAATTCTAGTCTGAAAGGGGAAGAGGTAACTAAACAGGCTATTCACATACCATGTAATGAGTGCTGTCTTAGGGAAACAGGAATGCTGGAGAGCACAGACAGGGCATTTGAGCTGATCTTTGGGATGAAAGAAAGCTTCCTGCATGAGGGGTAATCTATGCTCAGGTGAAACCCACAGGTCAGTAGGACTTAGCCAGGTGAGAAGGGAGAAAAGCACTTCCTTGCCTAGGAAATAAATAGCATGTGAAGGGGCTCAGAGGTATTTAGGAAACAGGACTGGCCAGGTTGGAGATGAAGGGTTAGCAGGAGTGAGGCTGGCAAGGTGGCTGCCATCCCCAGGAAGAGCCTCATTTTCCATGACAAGATATGTAGACATGCCCAAGTGTGGCAGAGAAGCCTTGAAGGAACACCATGGTCAGGTTAAGATGTGGCACCCACCTCTGATACAGGGTAGGAAGAGCCTGGGCAGAGCTGATTAGGAGACGCTGGTGCCATTAAGACAAGAGAGGGAGGTTGACCCAGGCGTGCGGGCCTCTCTGGTCTCCTCCCTTCATCTTTTTTCTCCATTTCTATTCCCAGCAACAAGCCAATCTGATCCCAGGGTTGAACCTCAGCGCACTTGGCATCTTTTCAACAGGACTGTCCGTGCTATCTCCACCAGCAGGGCCCCGCGGAGCTCCCCCCGCTGCCCCCTACCACCCCTTCACTGTAAGTAGCTCAGCTTGTGGAGGTTTGCTTATGCGCTGGGCACCTCCAGGCAGCAGCATGCCTCTGCTGTGTGGAATCAGAACGGAAGCTTTCATTTAAAGGCCATGCTCGAGTAGAGATGAATCCAATGTAGGTTGAACTCAACATTTCTTAGGACTTCTTCCTAATGGGCAACTTAATATTAAACCAATCCTCTAAACACGTGTTCTTAAATATAGTATGTCATAACTAGCAAAGAAAGAAACTCATAGCAAATTCATCAACTAGAAGCTAATTTATTATAGAAAAGAACTTGTTAGCTCAAATAAGAACATTTCATGAGTGATGGTAATTTATTAAAATATATAGGGTACCTGGATGATTCTTGAAGAGAGATATATATCTACATACATACATGTGCAGTTTCTACCTATGTTTACAAGTCAAATGTATTGTCTTATTAATAGGCAATTTTTAAAAGAAAATATTACATACATTGTTTATGTCTAAACACTTAGCACAATGCCTGGTATTTAGTAAGTTCTCAATAAGTATTTGTTCACAACAGAAGAAGAAATGTGAATTTTGTGAGTGTTTTACTTATTGCTTTCATTCACAAGCATTATTCAAGATCAGTACATTACCAAATTGGGGGCTCAGGATACTTGACAGCTTTTTTTCATTCCTAATTTTTCTCTACGCAGACTGCTTATTTTTAAAAGCAAACTTTCCCCCAATGTTTATGCTGTTTAAATGGGAAGAATCAGGTGGGTGAACATTGCCTCAGCCATTCTGTTCTTTTGAGAAGTGCTTTCTGGGGTAGGCTTCACATTGTGTGAATTCCCAGTAGCTTTTTGGGTTATCTGTAGAGAGACAGGATGAATCCCCTGTGCCATCCTGCCAACAAAATGCAGACACAAACTGGCACCCACATGCTGAGTCACATATATGCACACATTCTGCATTCTTGCTTATATATGGCTCTTCTGAATCTTTTCTTTTTCTTTTTCTTTTTTTTTTTTTTTTGAGATGGAGTCTTGCTCTGTCGCCAGGCTGGAGTGCAGTGGCGCGATCTTGTCTCACTGCAACCTCCACCTCCTGGGTTCGAGCTATTCTCGTGCCTCAGCATCCCAAGTAGCTGGGATTACAGGCATGCATCACCACACCCAGCTAATTTTAGTAGAGAAGGGGTTTCACCATGTTGGCCAGGATGGTCTCCATCTCCTGACCTCGTGATCTGCCTGCCTCGGCCTTCCAAAGTGCTGGGATTATAGGCAGGAGCCACTACGCCCAGCCCCCTGAGTCATTTCTAAATCTCTTCATACCACCTCTTTAGTTATATCATTTCCCCTTAAACTGAAGGAGGGGACTGACACTGAGCCTTGTGTGTTGAGTAGCCTGAAGATGCAGTATGAGGGATTGTGGCAGCTGTCAGTCACATGGCTGCGCCAAGCAGTAAGAATAGCTTGGGAGTTTCACATCTCTGTATTTTTGCTGTCAGATCTGAGAATGGCCCAATGAGGTACAACCAAGTGGCATTGAGGCACATCATCATTTCTTGGGAGAGAGGCTGTACATACAGCCCCACAGAAGATAACCTCAAACGTTAGGCTACCCTCTTAGTATAGGTAATATAAGTGGGGAGAGAAAAAGGGCATAATAAATTAGACCAATTCTAAAATCGGTAATCTAGGCCGGGCATGATGGCTCACGCCTGTAATCCCAGCACTTTGGGAGGCTGAAGCAGGTGGATCTCCTGAGGTCAGGAGTTCAAGACTGACCTAGCCAGCATGGTGAAACCCCGTCTCTACTAAAACTACAAGAATTAGCCAGGTGTGGTGGTGCACGCCTGTAATCCCAGCTACTTGGGAGGCTGAGGCAAGGAGAATCACTTGAACCCTGGAGGCGGAGGTTACGGTGAGCTGAGATCGTGGCACTGCACTCCAGCCTGGGCAACAGAGTGAGACTTT
Organism: Homo sapiens; assembly: GCF_000001405.40. Taxonomy (NCBI): domain Eukaryota; kingdom Metazoa; phylum Chordata; class Mammalia; order Primates; family Hominidae; genus Homo; species Homo sapiens. The sequence goes on along the minus strand of NC_000003.12, from coordinate 185,670,591 downwards.
GTCTCAAAATAAATAAATAAATAAATAAATTGGTAATCTCAAATATAGGAGTCAGCATGCTACAACCTGAGGGCCAAATCTAGCTCACCATTTATTTTCATTAATAAAGTTTTTTAGGGGACACAGCCATGGCTGTTTATATACATATTATCTATTCCTGCTTTCCCCCTGTAGTGGCAGAGCTGAGTAGATACATACAGATCACATGAGCCACAAAGCCTAAAATATTTATGATTTGCTCCTTTGCAGAAAAAGTTTGCTGACCCCTGAACTAAATTTAACAAGGAGAGAATTTTTCTTTTAATAGCAGAATATTTTCTAAACTTGAAAATAGGTTTTGCTAGTTGGAAAGCTTCCTTTATATCTCAGATTTTTACTAAAATAGTAGAATAACCATTTTGCTAAAATATGTGTTTCCTGTTATTTGTAAAATAGGTTTTAAATAAAAAATTGTTAAACTAAAAACAAAACAAAAACAACCAGGTAATTCTGATCTTGATTCCATGGGTCAATATTAGAGTAGCTTCTAATCCAGTACACTGACTGACTGAGACATGATGGCTTCTGCAGACATCTCCTTCATGCAGCTGCAGAAGTGCAGGTCCAATGGCATGGAGGCGGCCCTCACTGCCCACCTGTGCAGGACCTAGGCTATTCCTGGAGTGATACCTGGAGAGTCCACACCGCAGACCTGTGGGCTTCCCTGGTGGGCCCAGCAGACCTGTGGGCTTCCCTGGTGGGCCCAGGACTCCTGAGAACAGCAGCATAGGGTGGTGGAGATACTTTAAATACTTAAAGTATTGTTTTCCTGTCACATAGGCATTCAAATTTCAAGGAACTAAGATATTTCTTGGTTGCTTTTGTATATCACAAAGTTCTGATGCTTTTGCTTTTAGCATCCAAAGGTCAGGGAGTCTGTGTCCCTCCTTATAACTGGCTCATCCACACCTAGGTTGGTTTCCGAACTCTGGAATTTTTAATGCATATGTGTGTGTAGGAAAACTTTACCCCCCCCCCTTTTTTTTTTTTTTTACTGTTTTTCTGGTTATAATAGTAATATGTGCATAGTGTTTAAGAAGCAGGGAGTATGTACTTTTGAATTTCCCAAAAAACACATTTCTCTGATCCTAAAAAAGAAGCAGCAAATAATACAGAAATGCAGAACGTGCAAGTTTTTCCTTAACCTAGATATAACCAGTGTTTCTGTGTAGGTATGTGCGTGTGTGTGTGTGTATATTTATATATGATTTATATTTTTCCCCCAAATTTTCACTCTTGGAATGGAAATCCTTGTGTGTATACATCTTGATTCATTTATCCAATTATTTCCTCAGAATAATTTCCTGGAAGTAGAATCAAAGAATCTGTACATTTTCTATGCTGATACATAGTATATAATTTTGATACAAAAAAAGGTATATTACTTTTCATTCCCATCAAGAGTGTGTGTAACGGAGCAAGATTTTTTCTTCCATACCACCACTACCAATTCCTCGCAGTCTGATGTTTTAAAATATATGCTTTTTTAAATTATATGACTAAACAATTTCATATTAGCCATTTTTGTTCTCTCTGATAAGTTGCTTTCTGTATTTTTGGCCCCTCAGTTATAGCTTAGGTTCTAGAGCAGACTGCGTGCATTTGAATTTCTACACTGTCACTTGCTATTTTTAACTTTGAGCAAGTGACTTAAGCTCTTCAGGTCTGGGATTAATAATAGTACCTACATTAGGGGATTGTTATAACGGTAATTAAGTTAAAACCTACATACAGTAACTGCTATGTAAATCATAGCTGCTGTTATCATCTTTTTATTTCATCTTTTTCTTAATGATTTGTCATAGCTAATTACATATTAAGGCTGCTAACCACTTGTCATGTTGTAAATATTTTCAACAGATATTCTCTTTGCTTTATTTGTGGTGTCTTATGTCATAAATAATTATATGTATATAATTATATATATGTTCATTTATAGTGAACAATAGTTCATAGTTCAACTTAAAATGCCAACTTTGTCATACACAGAATTCCCACTTAACTATATATGTAGTACACTATATATATATATATATATATATATCTCTCTCTCTCTCTCTCTCTCGAACAAATGAACTTTTGTTTGAAGTTAAATGTAAACATTTCCCTTCAGCCTTTCTTCTTTTATCCAAATTTCACCCAATACCCCCGCCCTAGAAGTGTAGTAGTTATGTTTACACATTAAAAAAAGTTTTCTCGGCATATATACAATCATATTATTCAAAAATACAAATGAAATTATGCTGTACACAGTGAATTACAAATTTTGTTTTTACTTATTATGGGCATCTTTCTATAACTAGACCTAGTTTGATTTAATGGCTGCATAATATTCCATTAAATGAGTTTATCATAATTTTTGTAACCAGCACACTAGTTTTACGCATTTGGGTTGATTCCAAGTTTTTTGTATTATAGACAATGTCAAAATGAATATCTTTACAGGCATATCTTGAAGATATTGTGGATTATATTCCAGACCTCCATAGTAAAGTGAATAACATGATAAAACAAGTTACACTTTTTTTCTGTTTCCCAGTGCATATAAAAGCTGTGTTTACACTATACTGTAGTCTAAGTGTGCAATAGCATTATGTCTGAGAAAACAATATCCATGTCTTAATTTAAAAATATTTTATTGCTAAAAAATGCAGACACAGAAACACAAAGTGAGCACGCGCATTTGGACAAATGATACCAATAGACTTGTGTGACATAGGGTTGCCACAAGCCTTCCAGTTTGTAAAAAACACGATTATCTGCAAAGTTCAATAAAGCCAAACGCAATAAAATGAGGTGTGCCTCTACATAAATCTTTGCACAAGTGTGTGAGTATATCTGTAAGTAAATTCTCTAAGACTGGAATTATTATGTCAAAGGGTATATGCATTTTAAATATTCACAGATTTCTCTCCACCAGAATTCATGCAGAAAACTTAAAAATTAAGGTAGTTAAATAATTGATATTTTCCTTTGGAGTTTCTGACCTTTGACGTCATGCTAAGGAAAAAAGCCTTCTTCCATCCAAGACTGTAAAATAAAATATCCTCCCCTATTTTCTTTTTCTTTAAGAGACCGTGCTATGTTGCCCAGGCTGGAGTGCAGTAGCTGTTCACAGGCACAATTATAGCACACTACAGCCTCAAATTCCTGGGCTCAAGCAATCCTCCCACCTCAGCCTCCTCAATAACTGGGACTACAAGCACTTGCTACCGCACCTGGCCCGTGTTTTCTTACACTAATTTTTAGTTGTTGGTTTTGGGGGATTGTGTATGTCTGCAATTCATGGAGAATTTATCTTGACTTATACTGAGATACAGATCTAACTTTATTTTTTTTGAAATGGATATTCAATTTTCCCAAAATCATTTATTGAGTAATCCACCATTTTATCGTTGAACTTAAAATGCTAACTTTGAATCTCATCGAATGCCAACATAGAATCTCATTCACTAAATCAAATTTCTGGCCTCTATTCCCTTCCGTTTGTCTCTGTCTACACAGCAGATTCTGTGTGTTTTATACTATTTGACAGTTTTAACAGCAATGTTATTTTTTCCTCAAAGAATGAACTGGAAAGGTGGCCAACTTTTACTATGCTTGGGAAAATCAAAGAAAAGATTGGAATTTTCTCTTCCTTGAAGAATTGGTAAAAATTCAATCAAAAAACATGTGGGCCTACCAACTTTTGTTTGGAGAAAGACTGATTATTACCTTTTCAATTTCTTATAAGTTTTTAACTTCATTTTGTTGATTTATATTTTCCTATGAAAATACACATTTTTTTCCACTTAATTTTTCTTTTTATGTGTATTGATATAAAGTGATACAAAACAGACTATTATTGCCTTTTAAATATCCAAACTTGTGGTTATTTCTCTCAATTTCTTTTTTTAAAAATATTTATTTATTTATTTATTTATTGAGTTGGAGTCTTGCTCTGTCGCCCAGGCTGGAGTGCAGTGGCACAATCTCGGCTCACTGTAACCTCTGCCTCCGGGTTCAAGTAATTCTCCTGCCTCAGCCTCCCAGCTGGGATTACAGATGCCCACCACCACGTTCGGCTAATTTTTGTATTTTTAGTAGAGACGGGGTTTCACCATGTTACCCAGGCTGGCCTTGAACTCCTGACCTCAGGTGATCCACCTGCCTCGGCCTCTCAAAGTGCTGGGATTATAGGCGTGAGCCACCATGCCCGGCCTAAGCTTGTGTTCTTAATAAATACACAACCGCATAATCCAGTTGTTTAGAATTAACTAAACTTTTACTGGTTTCATTGCTCACTACAAACAGCTTCTTGTGTTCCACACCCTATCAATTTTTGAGTTACTTATTTGAATTTTTTGTTGTTGTTTGTCTGGAGTATTTTCTCAAACAAGTTTTAACAGAAATAGCACGAGTATAATTTCTAAGCCTTTCTGTATCTGAAAGTGTCCTTTTTCCTTCACACGTGAATGAATTCTGGGTGTCTAGAAATTCTAGGGTCATAGTTCCTCTATCTATCTATCTATCTATCTATCTATCTATCTATCTATCTATCTATCTATCTATGTACCTATCTACCTATCTATCTATCTGTCTATCTAGAGACAGAGTCTCGCTCTGTCACCCAGGCTAAAGTGCACTGGTGCAATTTTGGCTCACTGCAACCTCCGCCTCCCAGGTTCAAGCGATTCTCATGCCTCAGCCTCCCAAGTAGCTGGGACTACAGGCATGTGCCACCACACCTGGCTAATTTTTCTATTTTTGGTAGAGACGGGATTTTGCCATGTTGGCCAGGCTGATCTCGAACTCCTGACCTCAAGTAATCTGCCCGCCTTGGCCTCCCAAAGTGCTGGGATTACAGGTGTGAGCCGCCGTGCCCAGCCCATAGCTCCTTTAGAACTCTAAAAATGTTACTTCTAGAATTGTTTCTTTTGTAGATATCCTCCTCCTCCTCCTCCTTCTTCTTCCTTTTCTTCTTCTTCCTTTTCTCCTTCTTCTCCTTCTCCTTCTCCTCCTCCTTCTCCTCCTCCTCCTTCTCCTCCTCCTCCTTCTCCTCCTCCTCCTTCTCCTCCTCCTTCTCCTCCTTCTTCTCCTTCTTCTTCTTCTTCTTCTCCTCCTCCTCCTCCTTCTCCTCCTCCTCCTTCTCCTTCTCCTCCTTTTCCTTCTCCTCCTCCTCCTTCTCCTCCTCCTCCTTCTCCTCCTCCTCCTTCTCCTCCTCCTCCTTCTCCTCCTCCTCCTCCTCCTCCTTCTCCTTCTGCTCCTTCTCCTTCTCCTCCTTCTTCTTCTTCTCCTTCTCCTCCTCCTCCTCCTCCTTCTCCTTCTTCTCCTTCTCCTCCTCCTCCTCCTCCTCTTCCTTCTCCTTCTTCTCCTTCTTCTCCTCTTTTTTTTTTTTTTTTTTAAGAAACAGGGTCCTGCTCTGTCACCTAGTAGGCTGGAGTGCAGTGGTGTGATCCCAGCTCACTGCCATCTCGAACTCCTGGGCTCAAGTGATGCTCCCTCCTCAGCTTCTTGAGTAGCAGGGACTACAGGTGCACACCAACACGCCTGTCTGTTTTTCCCCCCCGGTATCTATAAGTTTTTTTGCCTTTTATAATAATTTGCCTTTACCCTTGGAATTCAGGAATCTGAATCTGAGTGCTTTGATCTAAAGATCCGTGTTTTTCTTTGGCTCAGGAGAATGTTTTCCTTCCATAATTAATTTTAGCGTTGCTTCTCTCCCATCCACTTTATTTTCTCCTTCTGGAGTTCCCACTCCAGAAGAGGAAAGTTATAGCAAACCTCACTCTACTCTTTGTGTCTGTCCACTTCCCACTCTTTGTCTTGGTTTTGTGTGGTTTAACAGTCTCGTGCATTGATGGGCTTTTCAGCAGTGTCTTCCCTACTATTTGTACATCCTCTACTGAGTTTTTACTTAACCATGTTTTTCATATCCAGGGTCACTCTGGTTCTCTGATTGTTCATTTCTCATAGCAGTCTATATACAAATTATTGAAGCACTGTCCTGCTGAATCTCACTAGGAGATCAAATCACAATTTTGTAAAAAGCTCTCCCTTCTCCCTCCATTAATTCACTCGGGTCATTTGCTTGTCTTGTGCAGCTGGGCTTCTCTCCTTCATGCTGGTGATTCTTTATATATGTCTAATGGATTTTAATTGTCCATTTATATATTTAAATGCATTCAACAGAGAGCATAATTACAATCCTTAGGGGAGCTTTTTCTTAGCATGCTCCCCAGACCCCACCTGAACCAGTGAGTTCAGAATGTCCCAGGTGAGCGCAGCAGTGAGTGCAGTGGTTTAGATCTTGGGCTGCAGAGGCAGACACAGAGATCTGTGTTAGCATCTCAGCTCTACCTCTTGCTGGCTCACGAGTTCCTAGCTCCCTCCAGCTTCTAAGGTTGTCCCATGAGAACACACAGAGCAGGACAGGCAGCTCCATGTAAAGAGACACTTTGACAAGCTGGCATAGAGCAGTGCACCTTCTGCATCTTAGAAAGCTATGTCCACAACACTGAACCCTCCGGCCAAGTCGTCGCCCCTTCCTAAGGCCCATGTCCCTGGTGCCCAGAGGGAGCACCTGCCAGCTTTGCAGTCTGGTATCACTCTATCATCACACTAAAACTATTTAAATATTTGAACATAATTCATATATATGCCTTAAAATACCAGCAAACCAAATTCAGCAGTACATTAGAAAGACCATTCATCATGACCAAGTGGGATTTATCCCTGGGATGCAAGGATGGTTTGACATATGCAAATCAATCATTGTAATACATCATATCAACAGCAAAATTAGTAGAAGAAAATAAGTAATAAAGATCAGGGTGGAAATAAATGAAATTGGAATGAAAAATACAGTACAAAAGATCAATTAAACATAATTCCTATGCCTGGTCCTTGCGCTTTGCACTCACCTTTCCCACCCTTCACTCCTCCCACCCCCTGATTTCTTCATGCTTCAGAATATCACCTAAATTGTGTATCAGATGGTCACACATCGCAGCTTGAACCCTGCAGTTCTCCCAGGAAAAGGAGGCCCTGCTGTTTATAACTCCATTTTTTAATTTTCACAAGTGTGTTTTATATATGCTCCTCTACCTACCCCCCAGAAGAGTCAAACTCAGAGAAAAGGCAGACACCAGTGTTCCTGAAGTTGAGAGTTTGAAACAAGCCTGTGGATAACAATTACCCATCTCCCTCTGCCTCTCAGTTAGTGGGTGGGAGGTGAGGGAGTGAGGACACACCTGGCAGGAGTGCCTTCACCACACCTCCTTTCCCCCTCCCCACTGCCAAAATGATTTTGAAACACTCAAAAATAAAGTAGCTTCTCCGTCATAAAATAGGTGGGACTCTCCAACTGGGACAGTGAGTCTAATGGCCACATTGGGGTCAGGGTTCCCTACCAACCTCCCTATCCCTCAGGGACTTGAACCAGATGTCAGATGACTACAACCTGCTTTCCCATTAAAATAGTTATTTGAGTCATTGCCAAGTTACTTTTTCTGACCATTATAAATAAGCAAGATTTGAAAGCCCCCTTCCATTTGAGGCTGTAGACATCACCTAACAGAAAGTATGGGAATGGGGCTGGGTGTGGTGGCTCACTCGTGTAATCCCAGCACTCTGGGAGGCCGAGGCAGATGGATCATTTGAAGTCAGGAGTTCAAGACTAGCCTGACCAACATGGTGAAACCCTGTCTCTACTAAAAATGCAAAAAAATTAGCCAGCTGCAGTGGCTCAAGCCTGTAATTCCAGCACTTTGGGAGGCCGTGGTGGGAGGATCACCTGAGGTCAGGAGTTTGAGACCAGCCTGACCAACATGGTGAAACCCCATCTCTACTAAAAATATAAAAATTAGCTATGCGTGGTGGTGGGTACCTGTAATCCCAGCTTCTCAGGAGGCTGAGGCAGAAGAATCACTTGAACCCAGAGGCAGAGTTTGCAGTGGGCCAAGATCATGCCACTGCACTCCAGCCTGGGCAACAGAGCTAGTCCATCTTAAAAAAAAAAAAAAAAAAAAGTATGGGAAGGGGAAATAGTATGCTCTGATAAGACACTTTTTTTTTTTTTGTCTTTTTTTCTTTTTGAGATGGAGTCTCACTCTGTCACCCAGGCTGGAGTGCAGTGGCATGATCTCGGCTCACTGCAACCTCCGCCTCCCGGGTTCAAGCAGTTCCCCTGCCTCAGCCTCCCAAGTAGCTGGAACTACAGATGTGCACCACCATGCCTGGCTAATTTTTGTATTTTGGGTAGAAGTGGGGTTTCACCATGTTGGCCAGGCTGGTCTTGAACTCCTGACCTCAAGCGATCTGCCTACCTCGGCCTCCCAAAGTGCTGGGATTACAGGCTTGAGCCACCACGTCTGGCCAGACCTTTCATTATACATAAGCACTCATTTATCACTAATTAATTTAGCTCATCCAGTGCCCAGTGATCTTTCATTCCTGTGACCTCACTGAATGCCACATAGCACCCGTCAAGGGCGTCTGTCCTGCTGAGTGTCAAGTCTGTAGCCCACTGGTGCTGCCTCCCCCGCCACATCCTGCTAACCCTCATTCACATTCACCACACTGCCCTCCTTTCTGTTTTCCAGTAGGCCAACCCCTTTTCTAGCTCTGGACCTCCTAGAACCCTGCTTAGAATGCTCCGTCCCAGTGCCTTTTCTGGGGCTCCATCTCCTCCCTGGGTCTTGACTGCAGCAGTCTTTTCCAGACCACTCACCTCCACACCTGCTCCTTGCCTGTTCTTGTTCATTTCTTTCACAGTACTTGAAGTTCTCTTTTGTGCCTGCCTCCCCGGTAGAACACAAGCTCCATGCTGACAGTGACCATTACTGTCTTAATAACTGTGTCCCCAGCACCCGGGACCCGGGTCAATGCCTCCCACAGAGTAGGTGCTCAGATGCCTTTTTTTTTTTTTTTTTTTTTTGAGACAGTCTTGTTCTGTCACCCAGGCTGGAGTGCAGTGGCATGATCTCGGCTCACTGAAACCTCTTGTCTCCCGGGTTCAAGCGATTCTCCCACCTCAGCCTCCTGAATAGCTGGAATTGCAGGTGTCCACCACCACGCCCGGCTAATTTTTGTATTTTTGCTAGCGATGGGGTTTCGCCATGTTGGACAGGCTGGTCTTGAACTGCTGACCTCAAATAATCCGCCTGCCTCAGCCTCCCAAAGTGCTAGGATTACAGGCATGAGCCACCGTGCCCAGCCTCAAATGCCTTTTGAATGAATGAATGAACAAACCCTCACAACAGTACTATAAGAACTAGATATTATTTGAGTCTGTTTGTGGATAAGGCTCAGAAAGATTAAATAATTTTTTCCAACTTGTAGAGGTAGTGATTCAGAGACTCAGATCTTCTGACACCAGAAACTAACTTCTATATACAGGGGCTAATGGCAGAGCCTCCGCTAGAAACAAGCTCCTGATTGCAAGTTCAAGATTCTTTCCCTGTGACAATTTTTCAGCTGTTACTCATGAATAAAAGAGAATTTGTCCTTTTTATCCTTTGACAGCTAATTTTAAAAATCTCTTTCTTACCCTGAGTTCCTAGGAAGTCTAAATTTGATAGTATTTATGTGAGAAGTATTTGAACCCAGAATAGGAGCCACACTGTGGCTTGTCTATTCCCGGCCTCACATGAGTTTTGTAAGGAAATGGCAAATCATAGTTCAAAGGAATTATTTCTGCCATGAGACCTGAAGGAACGATTCTTCAGGCGGGAGGAGGGCTGAAGTGCTCTTTTCCCAGACTAGAGTTTTGTGCAGAAGAGTTGCATGAATTCTCCCCCAGCTCTTCATGGCCCAGGACACGGACCTGCAGAGAAAGCTCTGGAGCTGATGTTCTTTCCAGGGGGTCCTTAGAAGCAGAGCCAAGAGAGAGAAACTGCTTCACCCACCTTCCTGCAAAACTTGAGCTTGCCAAGAGACTGCTGATCTCATAGCGCCCTCTTGTGGGCATGAGGGGCTGCTGCAGCCCCTTTCCAAGTCAAAGCAAGGCTCTCACTACAGCCGTGTTAAGTGGAGCTCTGTCGCCGGCAGGCGTGGCTGGTAACCTACAGCAGCCCTGGAGCAGCTCCTCAAGTTGTTCACATCTCTGCCTTCTCATTCCAAGCTCAAAAAGGGCAACGGTTTCATTTTGTCCCTAATGGGTCATAAGGCAAAATCCTAACCTTCAGGAGATTCGGGGGATGGAGGGCATTGCCTGTCACTGTGAGATTTGCTCAGGGATCCTCAAGTGAAAGCTGGGTCACCAGACTCCAAACCTCAGCCACGTCTGACCACTGTTGGAATCGTCTTCCTGGAGGACTATCTTGCAGGGTGGGCCTGTGGGAATTGGTTCCATGGTGCCCAGAGCTGTTCACTTCCTTTCCTGGAACAGCAATGTCAGTGTTGACCCAGCCTTGTGTAAAGCACAGCTAGCAATTCTGCTGACTCAGGTCAGCGTTCTGCCTGTAAGAATATATCAGACCGGGCGCGGTGGTTCACGCCTGTAACCTCAGCACTTTAAAGGGAGGCTGAGGCGGGTGGATCACTTGAGGTCAGGAGTTCAAGACCAGCCTTACCAACATGGTGAAACCCTGTCTCTACTAACAATACAAAATTAGCTGAGCTTGGTGGCACATGCCTGTAATCCCAGCTATTTGGGAGGCTGAGGCAGGAGAATCGCTTGAACCCGGGAGGTGGAGGATGCAGTGAGCCGAGATTGCGCCACTGCACTCCAGCCTAGTCAACGAGTGAAACACCATCTCAAAAAAAAAAAAGTATCAAATCAGACATAGTTCCTTCTCATAGGACTGTTGTGAGGATTAAAAGAGTTTATGAATAGACACAAAATATCTATGTTAGTATCTAGTACACAGTACCTATTCAGTAAAAAGCAGCTACTTGGCAGGGTGCAGTGGCTCACACTTATAATCATATCACTTTGGGAGGCTAAGGCGGGTAGATCACCTGAGGTCAGGAGTACGAGACCAGCCTGGCCAACATGGTGAAACCCCATCTCTACTAAAAATACAAAAAATTAACCAGGCGTGGTGGGGGGTGCCTGTAATCCCAGCCACTTGGGAGGCTGAGGCAGGAGAATCGCTTGAACCTGCGGGGGCGGAGGTTGCAGTGAGCCGAGATCGCGCCACTTCACTCCAGCCTGGGCGAAAGAGTGAAATGCCGTCTCAAAAATAAAGAAATAAAATAAAAGCAGCTACTTTCTAAATTTCTATTTTCTTAATAGCTCTACTTTTTTTCTGTCCATATCTGCCCTCCTGTTCCCTGCTCCTCTCTCTCCACATTCATTTTCTTTCTCTCCTCTCTCAGTCACTCTCTCTCTTTTTTTTTTCTTATGGAGACAGGGCCTTGCTCTGTCGCCCAGGCATAGCACCAGTGCAGTGGTGCAATCATAGCTCACTGCAGCCTCAAATTCCTAGGCTCAAGTGATCCTCCCACTTCAGCCTCCTGAGTAACTGGGACCAGAGTGCACACTACCACACCCAGCTAATTTTTTATTTTTATTTTTTATACAGATGGGATCTCTCTGTGTCACCCAGGCTAGTCTCAAGTTCCTGAACCCAAGTGATCCTCCCATTTCAGATTCCCAAAGCTCAGTCTCCTTTGACATTTCTCCCTTCTCAGGATTCTTTCCATTCCTTCTAGAATTCTCTGATGGAGCTGACTGATCTATCTGCCCAGGAACACATTTGCTTGTTCTGAATAACTCTTGGGTATTGTCCAGCACACTCTGTTCTTTTTCATCTACGACTCATCATTCTCCAGAAAACGGAAGGCACTGGCCCCGCCTCTCCACCCGAGGGCAGGTTAAGAGTGTATGGGTGCAAGTGCCAGTGGGTGTATGTGTGTATGTGTGTGTTCACACCCATGGTATGTTCCTAGGACGCCTCAGGCATGACTCAGCTTAGAAATGATGAACATTTAGCCCAGAGAGCTACTGCAACCAGGGGACATCTTGCCAAGCATTCCGTGGTCTGAGTGGGAGAAGTGGAGCAGAGATCTGAGACACAGAGGGACAGGCGTGTAGACACGACAGTGGAGCCAGCTGATGCCACAGAGAGCCTGTGTCGCATGTTGGGAATCTGGCCTCCCTGAGGCCAGTGACAGTCCCTGAGAGCACCCGCCCACTGACTCTTTCTCTCATGCTGCAGACCCACTCCGGATACTTCTCCAGCCTGTACCCCCATCACCAGTTTGGCCCGTTCCCGCATCATCACTCTGTAAGTGCCCCCTCAGTTCAGCCGCACCTGCCACTTCTCCTGGGGCTAGGCCCACTTGGCCCTTGGTGGCCAGTGAATGTTCACAATGCAGATCTTGTCTCCTGTGGTTCTGGTTTGTCCTGGGAGTGACACACCTCAAAGCCTGAGCACGCCAAACTCCCCAGCACCCGAGTGCTCTTGAGGTTCTGCAGAGGCCTAGGCCGTTGCTGTTGCACCTGTGGATGCTCGCACACCTCACAGGTCGCAGGAACTGCTGCAGATGGGCAAGCAGAAGGCCAGATGAGCACGTGCTGTTGGCACTGAATAGCAGAGTTTCCAAAGATCTTTGAACAAAGTCTAGCAAATGAGAATGTCATTTGCACAGACCCCACTTGCAAGGACCCCTGGCAGCCTTGCCCAAGAGCCTCTGCCTTTTGTCACAGGGTCCCAGGAGGGATGGTTCACCCCATCTTCCTGGAGCCAGTCACCGTGCAGCTGGGTCAGGTCAAGTTTAGTTGTGAAAATGCTTCTCCGGATACCAGATGTGTTGGGCAGCTTTCCATTCCCTCTAACAGAATGCCTTGGGGCCGTCTTCAGGCCAGGTATGTTTAATAGCTGTTTTCATTTCTTGGGTGAAGACACAGGAGAGATACAGATCACATTTGTATAAGACAGAAAACCTGCGATCAGACAGCTTTTGGAATCCAACAAATTGAGAAGCTCAAGAGGAGGATGCCCTTGATTATCACTAGCGCTGCCTGTGCTCAGGTCCCTTCCTCAGGCTTCACACCTGCAGAGCCGCAGGCCGCAGAAGGATCCTGTGCACCATTTTGGCCATTTCCTTGGGTGGCGGGGCCTTCCCACCATGGGGTTCATGGTAAGGTGCTTGGTACCTGTTGAGTGCCTGGAGGAGAAAGCCTGGTTGGAATGATGTCTTCTTTCTTGTCTCGCCCTCCCAGTATCCAGAGCAGGAGATTGTGAATCTCTTCATCCCAACCCAGGCTGTGGGCGCCATCATCGGGAAGAAGGGGGCACACATCAAACAGCTGGCGAGATTCGCCGGAGCCTCTATCAAGGTGAGGCTGCTCCTGACGGCCCTGTGGCCCTTCTACCACCTCCTCTCATCCCACGGCCCTTGTTCCCTCTCAGTCCCAGGCAGCGCCACACCATGCAGAGACAGAGTCCCACAGAGATCTAGAACATTTGCCCCATGACTATTCCCGTCCGCTCTCATCTTTCCTTTTCTTATTCCTTTACTGTTCAGCTAACCACTGAATTAGAAAAAAATAGTAGCAGACAACCCAACCCAGTCCTTTTTGTTTTATCATTGTTGTCCTCAAGAAGATAAAGAAAGGTTGAGGATTTTCCCAAGCTAAGGGAAGGGACTGCGGTGAAGTGATAACTTAGCAGGTACCAGTATGCGGTGCTTTAATGAGTCTCCACTTCACAGGCCCTGAACTACCAGAAAATAATGTGGATAAAAAACTCTTTGAAAAGCAATGATAAAATCATAAACAAAAGCTGAGGGTCTAACCCGATATGCAACCCAGCCTGAGCATAGCAACTCAGGAAGGACGGTCCTTGACTTATGGAAAGGCTGCGAATGCAGACGTGGCTGCAGCTCCAGGCCCACATCCTGCCTCCTTGAGCACAGTGTGGAGAATCATCAGAGAAGCTGAAAGGGGAGGATTATTTGCCCCTGGTCCTGCTCCAAGACCAGCTATCAGCTCTGACTCACGGGCAGAATGCTGAGCACGTCCCAAGCCTCATGAAACATTTTCGGAAACAGAGTTTTTGTTGTTACGCAAAATAATTTGCTACCATGGGACAACCCAGAATTCCAAATGAGAAGTCTCATGACTTGGAGAGAAAGAATGCTTACACTTTCTCCCCAGGAAGAGCTGGAATTTCTCCCACAGCAAGTGTGCTAGAGGAAAAACAAAAACAAAATATTCTGAGTAGTACAGAACAAGGGTTGCACTGAGACCATCAGAGAATTTCACTTTGGTGAATCATTTTCCCTCTCAGACCTCATTTATCTTATCTGCAGAGTGGACAGACAGGATGAGAGCCCTGAGGTGTGGGGGCCCTTGTGCCCAGCAGTCCTGCTGCAGGTGAGACCCCGGCCTAGGCACTGATAGGCAGGTGCTGGCCTGACCCCTGAGGGTGGGCTGAGTAAAGTGTGGAAGACCCCCTGGCTGGCTGCAGCCCTTGGGCCTTGCCCAGCTTTCAGTCCTGCAGTCTGAGATGCCGGCAGGAGAAAGGACCGTTTCAACTAAAAGGGGCTTGAGGGACCATCTCATCCAATCCCCGTCTTGTTCAGCAGAGAAAAGTGAGGCTCAGAGAGTGCCGGGACATGGGCAAGGCACACATGTGGCAGGGCTGCCTCTGAGATGGAAATTCTGCTGACTTCTGGGATATCCAGCACCTCCTGGGGCTCACCACTACAGCGCCTCTTCATTTACTATTGCCCATGAGGAGCTGGGGCCTAGGGAGTTTTCACTGGCTTGTCCAAGGCCACAAAGCTGAAGAATGAGAGAGCCAAGATTTGCCCAGGTTATCCTGTTTCTGGTCTAGTGTGTTTTTCCACCATATCAACCTAACTGTGATGCCAGAATCATTCCCAGCAGGGCCTTTAGGAAAAGAAGAGATCAGTCGCATGGGCTGCATCCCACAGTCCCAGGTCCCAGCAAGGTCGAATGGTGACGTGTCACTGTGCTCCTGGCCTCTGTGATGGGCAAAGACAGCAGTGCTGCGTCAGGAGGACAGAATGGACTCTACAGCTTAGGAAGGTCCAGACAATGTTTTTTATGCTGGGCCAACAATCTTTTCCAGCAACCTTCTACTTCCCCAGCCCCTGCCTCGCTCCATAGCATAAACCAGGGAGGCCAAATATTTGTGAAGGAAATTTCCAAATTTTTAAAATCAGTCAGCCGGGCGTGGTGACTTATACCTGTAATCCCAGCACTTTGGGAGGCTGAGGCAGGTGGATCACCTGAGGTCAGGAGTTGGAGACCAGCCTGGGCAATAGGGTGAAACCCCATCTCTACAAAAATATAAAAATTAGCCATGCATGATGGCGGGTGCCTGTAATCCCAGCTACTTGGGAGGCTGAGGCAGGAGAATCACTTGAACCTGGGAGGCGGAGGTTGCAGTGAGCCGAGATCACGCCATTGCACTCCAGCCTTGGTGACAGGGCAAGACTCTGTCTCAAAAAAATAAAAGTAAAAAAATCAATCTGGTTTTTGCTAGATTCCCTTTGTCTCAACAGGTCCCTGAAAACATCTGTCTCTAAAGCAAGATGGATGATCTCACTAACTCCAGAGATTCTCCCACCCCTAGTTTCTACTTTGCCAGTCTTTGGGGGCCACAATGAGGGGCACATTTGATGCTGCTGGGCAGGGAGAGAGCCTCACACTCATCCATGGGAGGAGAGCGCCCAGAGGAGGTGGGCTGAGCTAAGATCTGGGTGATGCACTCCAAGAGATGCTTTGGCTGCAGGTGAGAGCTGAGCTCCCGTCACCTGCCTTTCCTGTAGAACAGGCTTCCAGATGCTGCACAAAATTCATTCAGCCAGTGACACCTAATTCCAGATCCTGACTCCAGCCCTGCTTACCCTGTGATCTTGGCAGTTATCTCTGGGTCCCATCTGCTTCAGTCATAAGATGGGGTCCTCATTCCTGCCCCTTTAGAGGGAGTGTGTGCATGGAATGACATTCCAAAACTGCACAAGTGCACAAGTAGCCCTCCGACTTCTGGACTAGGCTGGCCAGTGCCAGGCAGTAGAGCCCTCGGAGGTTTCTTTCAGAATCTGAGCAAAGCAGCCACAAGTCATTACGAAGTGGACGGTGATGGCAGAACTGATTTGGTCAGCGTGAATCATGAATCAGCCATTCGCCCTTCTCGGTTTGGGTGGTGGTAGGAGCTGGGAACCACACAGCCATGATCTGCTCTCTCTTGCTTACTCAGAGATAAGGACCAGGTTTAATGCCAGGTATGGATCTCAAAGTAGAGTCAAGGGATCCTGCCAGAAGTCTCAATGGCCAGGCTCTGTGTGATCTGCCAGAGGGTGTCAGACCCCTGGACACACTCAGATCCGTGTTTTTCGGCCGAGGCCCTGCCAAGAAATGGCTGCCCACAGCAAAGGAAGTCCCCCAGGAAGCTCAGCTGTTGATCACCTGAGTCTCACATTTATCCGCATCCACCAAGGAGTCACAGCCAGAGAACTCTTTGCAGATCCCATGAAGGGGCCCCTCCTTCCAGAGCGGGACAGGGTCTGAGCATGTCTTGGCTATGTACTCACAATAAAGCAGGGGCAGCCACCCTGGATCCTGAGGCCCATGGATGGAAGCTGGCTTATAGCACACACTGAGAGGAAACAAAATTGAACCTTCTGGAGGTGGAGGTCTTCCCGGAGGATCTCAAGTGACACAGTGGTCCAGAGGTGATCCATGCACAAATGCAACACCGAGGGTAAATCCCATTTCACTAAACAGATCTTTCTCGAGACCTAGACTCAGGATTGGTGCCTCCCTTGAATCCCTACTTTGGTTTTGCCTTAGAACATGATGTCCCTGTCATTGACCATGTTTCTTGTTTCGTATTTGCTCTTAGCTTAGAACTGCATCTGTGGCCAACCTGGGGCAGGTGTGTAGGACCTTATGAGATGTGTGTGTTCTGACCTCGGTCTTGGCTCATCCTTACAATCCTAAATGCCTGATGTGCACTCATTTTACTTTTTTTTTTTTTAAGACGGAGTCTCGCTCTGTCACCCAGGCAGTGGTTTGATCTCGGCTCATTGCAACCTCCACCTTCTGGGTTCAAGTGATTCTCCTGCCTCAGCCTCCCAAGTAGCTGGGACTGCAGGCACGCGCCACCACTCCTGGCTGATTTTTGTGTTTTTAGTAGAGATGGGATTTCACCATGTTGGCCAGGCTGGTCTCGAACTCCTGACCCCAGGTGATCTGTCCATCTCGGTCTCCCAAAGTGCTGGGATTACAGGTGTGAGCCACTGCACGCCTGGCCTCATTTTACTTTTAATGACATTTAATTTTGCTACAATGTGTTAATAAGTTTTAATTTTGTATTTATTTTTAGCTGAAGTTTTTTTTAATAAAGCAGGGCATGCAGAAACAAATATGTAACAAAGATCTCTCTAACAAAAATGCCTGCTCAGCCCAGGGTTTGAGTCGTGTTACAAGAGAACCTGAACTCACAGAAACTGAGAGAAGGAAGCTGGGCGCAGTGGCTCACACCTGTAATCCCAGCACTTTGGAAGGCCAAGGTGGGCGGATCACTTGAGGTCACTTGAGCTCTTCTTTGGAGGACTTTGAGACCAGCCTGGCCAACATGGTGAAACCCCATCTCACTAAAAATGCAAAAATTAGCTGGGTGTGGTGGCAGATACCTGTAGTCCTAGCTACTTGGGAGGCTGTGGCAGGAGACTCGCTTGAACCCAGGAGGTAGAGGTTGTAGTGAGCTGAGATCGCGCCACTGCACTCCAGCCTGGGCAAGAAAGTGAGAGGAGATTTGGAGCTTGGTGGGCCCAGCCCCTATGTTTCACAGATGAGGGAATGGAGGCACAGCGAGGGGAGGAATTTTCAGAGCCAGGACTAGAACCAACGTGCCTCCATTTCTGCTCTGCTGCTGTTTTACTTATGACCCACTTGCCGTGGAGGAAGCGGTCTTGACCACACATACTCTAACTCAATTGTCACTTCCAGCTGACTACCCTTGTGAGCTGAGAATTAGAACCAGAGATACCTTTGCTGCAAGCTCGACTCCAATTTAACACCTTGGTGGACCTGCCCTTCCTTCCCTTTGGGCCCTAGGTGGGTTGGCAGAGCCTACACATCCCTCTTCCTAGAGCTTTTGACTCCCTGGTTATTTCCTAAAACTTGGCTCAATGAGAGGAGGCCCATCACAGCTGGTGCTCAGGACAGGGACAGGCAGTAACTACTGGCCTGTGTCTGACTGTCCCTGGGTGGCCAAAAACCCAAATTTGATACTGGGCATTACAGTCATGACTTCCTAAGACCAGGGTGGAGGCAGCATGGCATCAGACAGAACCAGGGGTAACGGCAGAAGCAAGACCTGGAACCTCCTGCTGGTATGCTTGCCGTCCACTTAGACAAGAAAGAGGGGCTGGGGAATGCAGCCGAGCATCAGCGTTTTCCTCTCCTGTGAACCACAGATTGCCCCTGCGGAAGGCCCAGACGTCAGCGAAAGGATGGTCATCATCACCGGGCCACCGGAAGCCCAGTTCAAGGTTAGTGCCAAGGGACACCTCAGCCCTGCAGGCTCTGGGCACAGAGCAGCCACCTCAGAGGCACATTCAAGGCTCTTCTTTGGAGGCCCAGCCTCCATTTCCCTCCCTGCTGCTGCCCACCAAGCTCAGGCTCACCCTGTCATCCCTGGCTGTTCTTCTGCATGTTTGCCCTCTGCTGGGAAGCCCTCTTTCCCTTCCCTCTCATGGAAAAGTAGATCATCTGTTGGTGCCCAGTTCGAGTGGCCCCTGCTCTGGCACCTCTGATCCCTTAGCCCTGGTTTTGAGGATGGATGTCTCCGGCTCATTTAGTCATGTCTACCCTTCAAGCTATGGAGGACTAACACAGGTGTAAGGGGAAGTAGCATGGTTTGTTGGAAGGTTTTTTGGTGAGGTGTGTTTTGCTTTGTTTTGTTTTTGCCTTTTTTTCTTCCCTAGGAAAAT
Source organism: Homo sapiens (assembly GCF_000001405.40). Classification (NCBI taxonomy): domain Eukaryota; kingdom Metazoa; phylum Chordata; class Mammalia; order Primates; family Hominidae; genus Homo; species Homo sapiens. Next base: position 185,651,652 of record NC_000003.12, on the reverse strand, counting down.
TATAACTCGAGCTTTCTAAAAGTGAGAAACACATATTTATTTATTTATAAAAGTACAATCCTTATCATTAAAAATATTTAAAATTTAGCTGAGAAGAGGAAATTCACACATGTGGAACCACTCAAAAGCAATAGCCTCAGCCAGGGGCAGCAGGTGGTGGTATGCTCCTGTAGCTCTAGCTACTGGGGAGGCAGAGGCAGGAGGATCCCTTGAGCCCAGGAGTTTGAGAACAGGCTGGGCAATAGAGCAAGACCTCATCTCTAACGAAAAGGAAAAGATAACAAAAAACAGTAACCCTTCAACTCAGTATTGGACAACATGTGGAATATCCATTTAACAGAATGTTATTCAGCCACAGAAAGGAATGAAGTACTGATGCATGGTGCAACATGGGTGACCATCACACGAAGTAAAAGAAGTCAAACACCAAAAGCCTCATATAGGCCAGGTGTGGAGGCTCATTCCTGTAATCCCAACACTTTAGGAGGCCAAGGCAGGAAGGCTGCTTGAGCCCAGGAGTTTGAGACCAGCCTGGGCAACACAGTGAGACCCCCATCTCTACAAAAAAAATTTTAAAGTAGCTGGGTGTGGTAGCATGTACCTGTAGTCCCAGCTACTTGGGAGGCTGAGGCAGGAGGATCACTTGAACCCAGAAGTTCAAGGCTGCAGTGAGCTGTGATCATGCCACTGCACTCTAGCCTGGGTGACAGAGCAAGACTGTCTCAAAATAAATAAAGGCCACGTGTGAAGTGATTTCGTTCATATGAAATGTCCAGAATAGGCCAGTCCCTAGAGACAGAAAGTAGATTGGCAGTTGCCAGAGAATAGGAGGAGTTGGAACTAACTCCCAATAGTTATGAGGTTTTTATCTGGGGGAATAGTGTGGAAATGTTCTGAATAGATAATGGTGATGATTGCACAACATACTGACCACTGAAATTGATATATTTTTTTTTTTTTCAGTTTTTATTTTTTTGAGACGGAGTCTCCCTCTGTCACCCATGCTGGAGTGCAGTGGTGCGATCTCGGCTCACTGCAACCTCCATCTCTCGGGTTCAAGTGATTGTCGTGCTTCAACCTCCTGAGTAGCTGGAATTACAGGGGCATGCCCCCACACCTGGCTAATTTTTGTATTTTTAGTAGAGATGGGTTTTCACCATGATGACCAGGCTGATCTTGAACTCCTGGCCTCAAACAATCTGTCCACCTCGACCTTCCAAAGTGCTGGGATTAGAGGTGTGAGCCACCACGCCTGGACTGAAGTGTATACTTTAAAACGGTGACTCTCAGATTATGTAAGTTATATCTCAGTATTTTAAGTAAAGAAAAAAAAAGAACATTGTAAGCTGTGGTTCTTTTTCACTAAAAAAAAAAAAGAAAGATAGGTTCTTGGCTCCTCTGCCTTTGGAGTTAGACATCAAAAAGAAAGATTATGTTGAATGTAGTGGCTTACACCAGTAATCCCAGCATTTTGGGAGGCCAAGGTGGGAGGATCACTTGAGGCCGTGAGTTCAAGACCAACCTGGGCAACATAGACCTCATCTCTAAAAAAAAAAAAAAAAAAGAATGAAAACATGAGCTATGATCGTGCCACTGCACTCCAACCTGGGCACAGAGCAAGACCCTGTTCTCCATTAGAAATTTTTTTAATTAAAACAATATCAGGCTCCTCAAATCCCATTACCACCACCATCACCTCCATCCTTACTAACCAGGGGTATGACCCTGTGGTGATGGGATAAGAATCCCCTGAACAAATTCAGTCAATCAAGCAAATCTTTATAGGTGATAATATGGAAATAAGACATAGAGTTGCATCCCCTCACCCATCCCCTTAGCCCTGACACACAGAAAGCTCCCTAGAGGAGGCAGTCTTGTGCAAACCACCAAAACATGAATGCCCATCCACATTTTTCAAAGTGCAGCCATCTGACGTGGCGGGAGCAGCGCCCCCCAGGTCTGTGAGCGGAGGCTGGGGCACGCAGCTTCCTGTGTGTCCCAGGGAGTGTGGGAATGGGACTGACCCATTGTCTGGACTCTCCAGTGCCCTTCGCAGCACTGATGAAGTGGCCGGCTGCTGGCTGACTGAGAGTCATTAGTCATGTCTTGCTCTCTCAGGCCCAGGGACGGATCTTTGGGAAACTGAAAGAGGAAAACTTCTTTAACCCCAAAGAAGAAGTGAAGCTGGAAGCGCATATCAGAGTGCCCTCTTCCACAGCTGGCCGGGTGATTGGCAAAGGTGGCAAGACCGTAAGTGTGCTCCGGGCTCGCTTCATCACCTGGGTCAGATTCCCCGCTCTGGCCTTGCCTGAGTTCCCTCAGTCTCCCCTTGGCGCCTTCTGTCCCAATGTACAGTCAGGGTCTTTGGCAGATAAACTAAGGCTCTCCTGGCATCTGAGCCCTTTGAGGCATGAGGATCCCAAGGACAAAAATGTCATCGGCTTCACTCCACAACTTAGGGCCCCCAATCCGTGGTGCTGTAAGCCCAGCACCAAAAATACCACAGTCCTGTGCCCAGTAATACCCATCTTGACTCCATGGTCAGTGAAGGCCTCCACTCCCTGAAAACAGAGAGGCTGTCTTCTGCCCCCTTTATACCCACATGTAGCAGCCATTAAAATTGGAAAGGGGGGATTCCCACCGAGAGAGATGCTAACCCACTTGGCAGACCACCACCTTCCCTGGATTTCACTCAGGCCTGTGCCCTGCACTCTCTTCTGACTCTCAGCCCTCCTGACAGATGCCTCCAGTCCCTAACTCCCCCTCCACAGGCTCTATCTTCTGGCTGTTTCCCAAACATGGCTCTAGGGGAGCTAGTTTAGCAGTAGGAGGGTGGGCAAGGAGGAGATTGTTTTTTGAAAGATCATCTGCATTTTCTACTGGAAGGTGCAGGAACAAACACAGTGTAGTTTGAAAAGTGCCAGAGCGTTAACTTTGAAGCTTGTTGGAATGAGCCAGGTGGTCTGTAGACCCAGGTATGTTCTGGAATGTGACTTACTGACCTGGGTGGGGAGATGACCACTGAGAAGTTCCAGTAGAGCCTAGTGCAGGCTTGCTGGCAAAGTAGCAGTGTTGGGTGGCAGGAACTTGGCGGGGAGGCGGGGGTCTCTTGAGTCCTGAGTGTGTATGTGTATATATGTATATGTGTGTTATTTGCTGTTTTTGTAAAGCTTTTTTTTTTTTTTTTTTGAGACAGAGTTTCGCTCTTGTCACCCAGGCTGGAGTGCAGTGGTGCCATCTGTGCTCACTGCAACCTCCACCTCCCTGGTTCAGGTGATTCTCCTTCCTCGGCCTCCTGAGTAGCTGGGACTGCAGGCGCCCGCCACCATGCCCAGCTAATTTTTTATATTTTTAGTATAGACGGGGTTTCACCATTTTGGTCAGGTCAGGCTGGTCTCGAACTCCCGACCTCAGGTGATCCGCCCGCCTCGGCCTCCCAAAGTGCTGGGATTACAGGCGTGAGCCACCACACCCAGCTGTTGTAAAGCTCTTTACATAGAAACTCTTAAACGGAATTCAAAACCAAGTTCTAGATGTAATGAGTCAGCTTTATACGAAAGAACGAAGCGGTGTGGAATCAAAGGATTCCCCGTCTCCAGAATGCAGTCGGCGCTCCAGGGCACACACTGCGCTTTAGGCGGAGCTGGAATGTAGGAGGCAAAAGAAAGCAGATGGATCAGCAGGGAGTAGAATCCTGAGCCCCTGGGTGTCCTGTTTAGCTATTTCAGAACCAGTCACTGAATTCTCTGCATCCTCCAGACTTTCAGGTTTCCCCTAAAGCACATGCTGAACCCGCCTGTGAGCTCGGCATCAGGCCAGAGGGCCAGAGGACGGGGTCTGAGCCCTCAGGAAGCGTGCAGTCCTGTTGGGAAGCAGGCCCAGTGAGGCAGCGGGGAGGATGAACAATGCAGGCAGTGGTTGGAGACACGAGGAGCTCAGCATGGGCTGGAGGCTTCATGGAGGTGGGCCTGGGGTGGGATCCAGTGGCCGGGAGAGAGGACAACAATCCAAGGGTAGGAACAGCATGAGCAAGTCTTGGCGGCAGGAGTGAAAACGAGGAGGAGGGAACAGCAGGGCTGATTCGCAGGGAAAGTTAACCAAGAGGAGGTTTGGGCTCGTGGTCAGCACCCAGGACAGCATGTCCAGGAGGAATGATCTTACAGGGTAGGGGTGGGGAGTGGGGGGGTATGGGAAAGCCTGGGGTCTCTGTGAGCATGTGCAGGCCTGCGTTGATGGGAACTCCAGAATAAGAGAACTTCGCCTCAGAAGCAGCCCCAGGAATCTGTGGCTGGACTCCCTCTCCCTGTCATTGAGCCTGTCAGGGCCCAACCAACATGGCCCCATGTGCTCAGGGGCAGAGGAGCCCCCGGGGTGTCCTTGATAAAAGGAAAGGAGAGCAGAGTCCAGCCCCCCTCCTTCCCCTGCTCCACCTCTTGGCCCCTCACTCCGTCCTGAGCCCACCACGTTGACGGGGAGGGAACCTATCCAACCCGTTGCCGTTTCTCCCTTCACAGGTGAACGAACTGCAGAACTTAACCAGTGCAGAAGTCATCGTGCCTCGTGACCAAACGCCAGATGAAAATGAGGAAGTGATCGTCAGAATTATCGGGCACTTCTTTGCTAGCCAGGTACTGTGCTGTGAGGGCCCTGTCTCTCCTGCAAGTCTCTTTTCAATTCTCTGCTAAGCTGCTGGTGGCCTGTCAGGTGGCCACAGGCCCTGAGCATCAATCCACGCCAAGATGGAACCTCTCCCTGGTTCTTCCTGGCTCTTTAGGGATGGCCCCCGGGGCAGGGGACATTGTTTCACACTTCTCTCCACTGTCATCCCCGAGGTATGTATGCTAGGAGCTTGGGGAAGAGTGAAGAGTTAAGCGCTTAAGCAAAGCCATGTGGTTCCAAGCCCCCTGCAGTGTTTAAGGGCATGGCCTCAGCTTCCCTCACCCTCTCTCCTCAGGCCTCAGTCCCAGCCTCCCCACTGGGAGCCAGGCAAGCCCACCCTCTGGATTCCTCCCTGAAAGCCTGAGCACTCCCTGTGAAAGACTACATGCTCACGGCATTTCTCTCTCCTCCTCCTCTTCGGTCTCACCACAACCCACCCTATCAAAATACTGCACCTCCACACAGCCGCTTCTCTTTCATTGGGAAAGGCCAGCACCTGGCCTCTTTCTCTTTGATGCTTTTGTAAATTGAGTTTTGGGGAGAGCGTTCCTGGTCTTTGTCCTAAACCAGTGAAGACAAACAGTGTACTTGGTGTAAGCAGACACTGAAGGTTTGTCTAAGCTGTCAGCCTGCTCTCCCAACACCTGTGCCTGTGCTGAGACCTGATGGTCCAGGAAAGGGCAGCTGCCACACTGTGGATCCCCCGCCACCCACACACGCACCCCCCGCCCAGTGCCCTTTGAAATTCTCACTTGAGTCTTCTGCAGTCAGAGTCCCTGGCCACGCCCCTGTCTGCTGTCTCCCAGCTCAGCTCCTCAGGGCCCTGGGAATGTGTCTGAACAGCCTGTTCCTACAGGAGTTCAGTCTGCAGGGAGCTGCCTGCAGGGACAGTGCTAGGCTGGGTGAGGGGACAGGTGGGGGTTCATGTGTGTGCTCCAGCTGTTCAGGGTAGAGCATCTGGGCTCAGTTCCTCCCTCCCTCCCCTGTCCCTCACACTCATGCCCTCCTAGCCGCTGTAGAACGGGGGCGGGAGCAGCACGGGAGCCCAAGTGTAGCATCTGACTCTGCACGGCCCCCAGTTGCTGGCGCCCTGCTTCTGCTTCCTGGCCTGTCCGTCCAGCAGTGAACTGGAAGCTGCCGGAGTCCCATCCCCTTACCCTGGACCTTGGGGTGGGAGTGGAGGGGGGACCTCTGCCACTTACTTCCAGGCAGAAAAGGGCCTGGAGTAACGTGCGGGGGTGGGTAGATGATGCTTGTCTGAGCATTCCACCCTTCATCCCCAAGCCCCAGAGCCTCCCCTGCCGTTTGTCCTCAGAACTGGGTTCCTTTTTTCCCCTGTCCCTTCCTCTCCCTTCTCTCCCTTGCTGCAGACTGCACAGCGCAAGATCAGGGAAATTGTACAACAGGTGAAGCAGCAGGAGCAGAAATACCCTCAGGGAGTCGCCTCACAGCGCAGCAAGTGAGGCTCCCACAGGCACCAGCAAAACAACGGATGAATGTAGCCCTTCCAACACCTGACAGAATGAGACCAAACGCAGCCAGCCAGATCGGGAGCAAACCAAAGACCATCTGAGGAATGAGAAGTCTGCGGAGGCGGCCAGGGACTCTGCCGAGGCCCTGAGAACCCCAGGGGCCGAGGAGGGGCGGGGAAGGTCAGCCAGGTTTGCCAGAACCACCGAGCCCCGCCTCCCGCCCCCCAGGGCTTCTGCAGGCTTCAGCCATCCACTTCACCATCCACTCGGATCTCTCCTGAACTCCCACGACGCTATCCCTTTTAGTTGAACTAACATAGGTGAACGTGTTCAAAGCCAAGCAAAATGCACACCCTTTTTCTGTGGCAAATCGTCTCTGTACATGTGTGTACATATTAGAAAGGGAAGATGTTAAGATATGTGGCCTGTGGGTTACACAGGGTGCCTGCAGCGGTAATATATTTTAGAAATAATATATCAAATAACTCAACTAACTCCAATTTTTAATCAATTATTAATTTTTTTTTCTTTTTAAAGAGAAAGCAGGCTTTTCTAGACTTTAAAGAATAAAGTCTTTGGGAGGTCTCACGGTGTAGAGAGGAGCTTTGAGGCCACCCGCACAAAATTCACCCAGAGGGAAATCTCGTCGGAAGGACACTCACGGCAGTTCTGGATCACCTGTGTATGTCAACAGAAGGGATACCGTCTCCTTGAAGAGGAAACTCTGTCACTCCTCATGCCTGTCTAGCTCATACACCCATTTCTCTTTGCTTCACAGGTTTTAAACTGGTTTTTTGCATACTGCTATATAATTCTCTGTCTCTCTCTGTTTATCTCTCCCCTCCCTCCCCTCCCCTTCTTCTCCATCTCCATTCTTTTGAATTTCCTCATCCCTCCATCTCAATCCCGTATCTACGCACCCCCCCCCCCCCAGGCAAAGCAGTGCTCTGAGTATCACATCACACAAAAGGAACAAAAGCGAAACACACAAACCAGCCTCAACTTACACTTGGTTACTCAAAAGAACAAGAGTCAATGGTACTTGTCCTAGCGTTTTGGAAGAGGAAAACAGGAACCCACCAAACCAACCAATCAACCAAACAAAGAAAAAATTCCACAATGAAAGAATGTATTTTGTCTTTTTGCATTTTGGTGTATAAGCCATCAATATTCAGCAAAATGATTCCTTTCTTTAAAAAAAAAAAATGTGGAGGAAAGTAGAAATTTACCAAGGTTGTTGGCCCAGGGCGTTAAATTCACAGATTTTTTTAACGAGAAAAACACACAGAAGAAGCTACCTCAGGTGTTTTTACCTCAGCACCTTGCTCTTGTGTTTCCCTTAGAGATTTTGTAAAGCTGATAGTTGGAGCATTTTTTTATTTTTTTAATAAAAATGAGTTGGAAAAAAAATAAGATATCAACTGCCAGCCTGGAGAAGGTGACAGTCCAAGTGTGCAACAGCTGTTCTGAATTGTCTTCCGCTAGCCAAGAACCTATATGGCCTTCTTTTGGACAAACCTTGAAAATGTTTATTTAAAAAAAAAAAAGATGACAAAGAAAAACAGAGAGAGAGAATATTGGAGATGTCCTGAATTTTAATAGGGTACGCGCCATTAGGGCTTTTTGCGCTAAAGGATGAACATGTACTGGTTTATGTGGACAAGCCATTATACCACCAGACTGCAATGCCAGTTTCCTCTACTGCAAACAGTGTTCTGTGACAAAAAAAAAAAAAAAAAAAAGAAAAAAAAAGAAAAAACAGAAATATATCCAGCTAACAAGATCCTGGTGTCTTGGTGTTTTATTTTACTAGGCATTGCCTCATCCCAGGTGTCAGCTGAGTCCTAGCTCTGAGGGACCTGGGCAGACAGGCGGTAGGTGTGACCTGGATCCACACAGCTACTCTGAGAAAGCTGGTTTTGCCCAGGAAAGTCTTTGGGAGAAGCTAAACTAGATCGGTGGTCAAAGTGTAGTCCCCAGACCAGCAGCATCAGCTATCATCTGGGAACTTGTTAGAAATGTAGATTCTTGGGGTCCACCTTGAATCAGAAATCCTGGGGGTGAGGCCCAGCAACCTTTTCAGCAAGGCCTCTGGGTGATTGCTGTGCGCACTGAAGTTTCCGAACCTCGGAGCTAGAGGGATGGATCGACTGCATGTCAAGCTAGAGAAGACCAGTCTATCCTTAAGGAACTGCAAGCCTGGCCAGGCAAAGCTGCTTTTTAAGTGGAGGAAAGGGGGAGGATAATATGCCCGGCAGTTCCGGGAAGAGGCACTTCACGCCTCCACGGGAAGCTCACTAGTAAGTGCAGGCATACCTCAGGAACGTCGCAGGTTCAGTTCCAGACCACCACAGTAAAGCGAACTTTGCAATAAAATGAGTCATACACGTTTTAGTGTCTCACTGCATGTGAGTTATGTTTACACTGTATTAAGTGTACAATAGCATTATGTCTAAAACAGTGGGTTTTTTTTGTTTTTTTTTTTTTGACACAGAGTCTCGCTCTGTCGCCCAGGCTGGAGTGCAGTGGCACGATCTCAGCTCACTGCAACCTCTGCCTCGTGTATTCAAGCAATTCTCCTGCCTCAGTCTCCCGAGTAGTTGGGACTACAGGCATGTGCCACCCCACATGGCCATTTTTTGTATTTTTACTAGAGACGGGGCTTCACTGTGTTAGCCAGGACGGTCTCAATCTCCTGACCCCGTGATCTGCTTGCCTCAGCCTCCCAAAGGGCTGGGATTACAGGCGTGAGCCACTGTGCCCGGCCCAACAGTGTACATATCTTAATTAAAAATAATTTATTGCTAAAGAATGCTAACGATCATCCGAGCCTTAGGCAAGTTGTACTCTTGGCTAGTGAAGAGTTTTGCCTCAATGTTGATGGCTGCTGACTGATGAGGGTGGTGGTTGCTGAAGGTATGGGTGGCTGTGACACTTCCTTCAAATAAGACAATAATGAAGTTTGGGGCATCAATTGACTTCCTTTCACAAGATATTTCTCTGTAGCATGCGATGCTGTTTGATGTAGCACTTTATCCACAGAACTTCTCCCAAAATTGGAGTCAGTTCTCTCAAACCCTGCTGCTGCTTCATCAGCTAAGTTTCTGTAATAATCTAAATCCTTTGTTGTCCTTTCAACAATGTTCACAGCATCTTCACCAGGAGTAGATTCCATCTCAAGAAACCACTTTCTTTGCTCATCCTTAAGAAGCGGCTCCGCCCATCTGTTCAAGTTTGATCATGAGATTGTACAATTCGGTCACAGCTTCAGCCTCCACTTCTAGTTCTCTTGCTGTTTCCAGCACATGTGCAGTTCCTTCCTCCACTGAAGCCTTGAACCCTCAGTACCATCCGTGAGGGTTGGAATCAACTTCTTCCAAGCTCCTGTTAACGTTGATATTTTCACTTCCTTCCATGAATCACAAATGTTCTTCATGACACCGAGAATGGTGAATCCTTTCCAGCTTTAAAATTTACTTTGCCCAGATCCATCAGAAGAATCATTATCTGTGGTAGCTATAGCCTTATGAAATTTAATTTTTTTTTTTTTTAATTTTTGAGATGGACTCTTGCTCTGTCACCCAGGCTGGAGTGTAGTGGCCTGATCTCTACTCACTGCAGCCTCCACTCCCAGGTTCAAGCAATTCTCCGGCCTCAACCTCCCAAGTAGCTGGGATTACAGGTGCCTGTCACCACGCCCAGCTACTTTTTTTGTATTTTTAGTAGAGACAGGGTTTCACCATGTTGGCCAGGCTGGTTTTGAACTCCTGACCTCAAGTGATCCTCCTGCCTCGGTCTCCCAAAGTGCTAGGATTACAGGCATGAGCCACCATGCCCGGCCAATTTTTTTAAAAATGTATATCTTAAAAAGATTTGAGGCTGGGTGCTGTGGCTCACGCCTGTAATCTCAGTACTTTGGCAGGCAGATTACCTTAGGTCAGGAGTTCGAGACCAGCCCGGGCAACATGGTGAAACCCTGTCTCCACTAAAAATACAAAAATTAGCCAGGCGTGGTGGTGCGTGCCTGTAATCCCAGCTGCTTGGGAGGCTGAGGCAGGAGAATTGCTTGGACCTGGGAGGTGGAGGTTGCAGTGAGCCGAAATTGTGCCAGTGCACTCCAGTCTGGGCAAGAAAGTGAGATTCTGTCTCAAAAAAAAAAAAAAAGATTTGAAGGTTGAAATTATTCCTTGATACATGGGCTACAGGATGGATGTTGTTAGCAGACATGAAAACATTCATCTCCTTGTACAGTTCTTGGGTGACCAGGTGCGTTGTCAGCAGTAATAATTTGAATCTCAATAGGGGGCTTAAAATATTCAGTAAACTATGCTGTAAACAGATGTGCTGCCACCAAGGCTTTGTTGTTCTATTTCTAGGGCACAAGCAGAGTAGATTTAGCCTCATTCTTAGGGGTCCTAGGATTTTTAGAATGGTAAATGAGCATTGCCTTCAGCAAAGTTACCAGTTGTATTAGCCCCTAAGAGTCAGCCTTCCTTTGAAGCTCTGAAGCCAAACATTGACTTTTCCGCGTTAGCTATAAAAGTCCTAGATGACATCTTCTTATAGAAGGCTGTTCGATCAACATTGAACATCTGTTGTTTGGTGTAGCCACCTTCATCCAGGATCTTACATCTTTCAGATAACTTGCTGCAGTTTCTCCAACAGCTCCTGCTGCTTCACCTTGCACTTCTGTATTACAGGCACAGCTTCTGTCCTTAAACCTCATGAACCAACCATTGCTAGCTTCCAATTTTTCTTCTGCAGCTTCCTCACCTCTCTCAGCCTTTATAAAATTGAAGAGAGTTAGGGCCTTGCTCTGGACTAGGCTTTGGCTTAAAGGAATCTTGTGATTGGTTTTATTTTTTATCCAGATCACTCAAACTTTCTCCCTATCAGCAGTAAGGGTGTTTGACTTTGTCACTGTTCCTTTGTTCCCTGGAGTAGCACTTTTAATTTCCATCAAGAACTTTTCCTTTGTATTCACTTGGCTGTTTGGCACAGAAGGCCCAGCTTTCAGCCTGTCGTAACTGTCAACATGCTTTCCTCACTAAGCTTAATCATTTTTCTTGCTTTCGACTTAAAACAAAAGATGTGTAACCCTTCCTTTCACTTGAACACTTAGAGGCCATTACAAGGTTATTAAGTGGCCTGTTTCAATATTGTTTCTTAGAGAATAGGAAGGCCAGAGGAAAGGGAAAGAGATAGGGAATGGCAGGTCAATGAAGCAGTCGGAACACACACAACCTTTATAGATTGTTTGCCACGTGGGCATGGTTTGTGGTGCCGAATTACAAAAGTGATATCAGAGATCACTGATCACAGATCACCATAATAGATAATATCATAATGAAAAAGTTTGAAATAAATATTGCAAGAATTACCAAAATGTGACAGAGATACAAAGTGAGCACACTGTTGGAAACATGCCAGTAGACTTGCTTGACCCAAGGTTGTCACAAATGTGCGATTTGTAAAAAACGAGTATCTTCAAGTGCAATAAAACAAAGTTCAGTAAACAGGGTATGCCTGTGTTCTGAGAATTCAGGAGGGCAGGATCAGCCTTGGACTGAGGAGTGGGTGCTGGACCTGGCCCTCCCACCAACGTGCTGTGCAAAGGTTGGACAAGAAAAGCCATGCTCCATTTCTAAGCTTGTGTTCATAGACTTGGGGAGCCTATGAGAGATGGCTGCCAAGCGTCCAAGCGATCTTAGGAATAAAGAGTTAACACTGACTGCCAGAGGTAGCCAGTTAGGTTTTTGGGATAACAGTTCATAGCACGGCGGGGGCAGTTGATGGTGAACTGTTGGGATTCCAGAGCAGCCACATTCCCCCTGTACCATGTAAAATGTGTTCCTCACTGATGTCCTCACTCATTTTCTCATTTCCAATTTCAGTGATGCTGACTTGACTTTTGAAGTTTTACGGCATGGAGCTGTCCAGCTGTCCCCCCTACTGTTATTCTCACTGCTGTGGTTGGCATGAATATGGACAGGGACAGGCTGGCCCTTCGTGTGGCCAGTAGAAGCCCCTGCACCTGTGGCTTCACCTTTGCCCTCCCCCATTTAGGACTCAAGCCCACTGCCCTCACAAAGGTAGAAACAAGCCATAGGTGCCAGCCAGCCCAAGAGAAGCTGGGGGATTCTTGGCAACCACCGTCATTACTGAAAGCTGTTCCCTAATTGAGGTATCCATGGCAAATGAGCAAGAACACATTTTTTTTGAGATAGTGTCTCGCTCTGTTGTCCAGGCTGGAGTGCAGTGGTGCGATCTTGGCTCACTGCAGCCTCCGTTTCCCCGGTTCAAGTGATTCTCCTGCCTCAGCTTCCCGAGTAGCTGGGATTACAGGCGCATGCCATCATGCCTGGCTAATTTTTGTATTTTTAGTAGAAACAGGGTTTCACCATGTTGGCCAGGCTGGTCTCCAACTCCTGATCTCAGGTGATCCACCTGACTCAGTCTCCTAAAGTGCTGGGATTACAGGCGTGAGCCACCGCCCCTGGTAGGACAGCACTTTTTTTTTTTTTTTTTTTTTTTTTGAGTGGAGTTGCGCTCTTTTTGCCCTGGCTGGAGTGCAATGGTGCGATCTGGGTTCACTGCAACCCCTGCCTCCCGGGTTGAAGTGATTCTTCTGCTTCAGACTCCGGAGTAGCTGGGATTACAGGCATGTGCCACCACGCCCGGCTAATTTTGTATTTTTAGTAGAGACAGGGTTCCACCATGTTGGCCAAACTGGTCTCAAACACCTGACCTCAGGTGATCCTCCCGCCTCGACCTCCCAAAGTAGTGGGATTACAGGTGTGAGCCACTGTGCCCGGCCTAGAACAGCAGATCTTTGAAGGAAGGGCTTTAAGTACAGGCCCAAGAACTTGGTGATGACACTCAGGATGAGGAGACATCTGGGAGGGGGAGAAGTGACACAGGAACCTCCAAAAGTGGACCCCTTTGACTCCACCTATCAGATTTCATTGCTTGGCCTGTATTACAGGTGGCAGAATTCCAGGTTTAGCTTCTAAAGTGCCCATTTCCAAACTATTTGTCTATGAATATGTGCAAGAAAGACAAGAGAAAAGGGTGCTGACATGATGTCTGACTTGCCCTGGTACAAAGCACCCATAAAGTGTCTGGGCTGCAAAAATGAAGAGGAGACCACGTGAAGAGGGAGAAGACAGGAACAAGACCAGCTAGCTTTGTTCCTAAGCAAGGACTTTTCTCCCAGCAGCCCATTTCCAGGAAACCCAAGTACTGGATTATTTTGCAACTGGGCTCAACTCTCTTGAGTTTTCTGAGGGCAGCACCAGCATGAGACCATCCTTTACGGGATGGCGTCCTGTTCCACCTTACAGTGAGGAAGAACAGTTTCATGCGTGTGAACTGGGCTCTGATGAACTGTTCACATGTGGGCTCAGACCACTACAATCGTCGTATTAATTTCTTCAACTATAAATCCCAGTCTTGACAAGACAGTCTGACATCCCAGAAAGTCCTAACTGCACATGATTTTACACTAAAATAGTAGTTGTTAAATGGAGATTTAGCTTAACCACAAAGGTTTTATTCATTAGCCAACATCACTCCAAAAGCCCCTTCCTACCGCCTTAGATGGAACCCCTTGCAGATCTGTGATGCGTGGCGGTCTGTTAATCTAAGCCTGAACATCCCTTTTGTCCTGTTTGTCCCCCCACCCTCTAGCTCTGACCCGTGCCATTCTTGGTTCCTCGAACATGGAGAAGGTGTGGAAAGGAAGGTCTGATACAGGCTGGCTGCAGATCAGAAGAGGATTCCAGCGTAGAGGGAGAATTTAGAACAGGAGAAAAGGAGAACTGATAGAAGTTTAGAGGAGTTTCAACAAAGAACCAAAGGAAAGGATTAGCCGTAGACAGGAAGACAGCATCTTGACAGTGACGGGAGGCAAGGGTGAGAGAGAACACTGGGCTGCTAGGGACAGGCAGAGAAGATCAATAACCTTGCACCAATTGGGATCCAAATGGCTGAGTAGACAGAGAAGGGAGAAAGACTTGAAGAATATGAAAAGTATCTGGCCTAGTCTTACCCCTGCATCCCTGGGGAAGGATGTGGGCCACAGAGGTATCTCCATGTTTCTGTTATGAAAGGAGCCCACAACTCCAGATGGCTAGAAACTAGCCCAAGTCATATGTGCATCCAAACTTCTGTGTCTTGGGGCCTGCTGGAGACTTTTTGACCTACTACCACGACGACTAACAACACTGCTAGCAAATTCCCCGGATGGTCACTGTCAATTCCTGCTGCTGCCCTTTATTTCCTCCGCTTAAGGCACTGAGGAACAGAAATTGAAGATGCATCCCATACAGGTTAATTTTCTGTTTTTTTTTTTGTTGTTGTTGTTGTTTTGTTTTGTTTTGTTTTTCTCTTGAGACGGAATCTCGCTGTCACTGGGGATGGAGTGCAGTGGTGTGATCGCTGCTCACTGCAACGTCTGCCTCTCAAGTTCAATGATTCTTCTGCCTCAGCCTCCCGAGTAGCTGGGATTACAGGTGCCCGCCACCACACCCGGTTAATTTTTGTATTATTAGTAGAGACGGAGTTTCACCATGTTGGCCAGGCTGGTCTCGAATTCCTGACCTCAAGTGATCTGCCTGCCTTGACCTCCCAAAGTGCTGGGATTACAGGCGTGAGCCACCGTGCCCGGCCCATTCTTCTAATCTAACTCATATCAGCCACATAAAGTCATTGTCTCTAGAAACCCTAATTGAGTGTTCTTAACAGCTCTTGCTCTCTCAGAAACAGCTGGCACGAGGGAAAAACCTCATAGACAAAATTATATTCTTTTTATTTTCCCTTTGGACAAAGGGTCTTCCTCTGTTGCCCAGGCTGGAGTGCAGTGGCACAGTCGTGGCTCACTGCAGCCTCAACCTCCTGGGCTCAAGCAGTCCTCCAACCTCTGCCTCCTGAGTAGCTGGGACTACAGGCATGCACCACCACACCTGGCTAATTTTTCAAATAATTATTTTTATTTCAATAGTTTTTTGGGGGGCCTGGTGGCTCACACCTGTAATCCCAGCACTTTGGGAGGCCGAGGTGGGTGGATCACTTGAGGTCAGGAGTTTGTGGCCACCCTGGCCAACATGGTGAAACCCCGTCTCTACTAAAAATACAAAAATTAGCCAGATGTGGTGGTGTGCGCCTGTAATCCCAGCTACTTGGGGGGCAGAGGTGGGAGGATTGCCTGAGCCCAGGAAGTCAAGGCTGCAGTGACCTGAAGTCACGCCGCCACGCTCCAGCACAGGCAAGAGTGAGCCCGTCTCCAAAAAAAAAAGGGGGAAAGGTTGTAGGTGAATAAGACATTACCTACACAGGGCAAGAAACAGGGTGAAGCCAGCAAAACTACTGTGAATGCATTTGTGTAGTTTTTGCTCTTGGACTGGTGTTTATTTTACAGAACTACAAAACAAAAGCAAAAAGCAAGTCCCTAAACACTAAGAAAAAATGAATCCAACTGTGTATCAAGTTGACAGCATAATCAGAGAAAAAATTATTTTAATTTTAAAACTATTTTCATTGCGGGTCTCTAGTGGGATATATTCTAAGAATAAAAATAATTGCAGGCCAGGCGCGGTGGCTCACACCTGTAATCCCAGCACTTTGGGAGGCCAAGGTGGGCAGATCACGAGGTCAGGAGTTCAAGACCAGCCTGGCCAACATGGTGAAACCCCCATCTCTACTAAAAATACAAAAATTAGCCGAGTGTGGTGGCAGGCACCTGTAGTCCCAGCTACTCAGGAGGCTGAGGCAAGAGACTCGCTTGAATCCCGGAGGCAGAGGCTGCAGTGAGCCAAGATTGCACCATTGCACTCCAGCCTGGGTGAGACAGAGCCAGACTGTGTCTCAAAAATAAAATAAAAATAAAGGGATGATTCATGTCCCACCCAGGACAGAGCAGAACAGTGAGAGATTTTATCATGTTACTCAGAATGGTGTACAATTTAAAACTTCAAAGTGTTTATTTCTGTTATTTTCATTTAATGTTTTCAAACCACAGTTGATCAAGAGTAACTGAAACAAGGAAAGCAAAACCACAGGTAGGGGGGTTTCTGTACTGTTCCATTTTGCCTAAGTCTTGAAATCCCCACAAGAAAAGTTTTTTTTGTAAAGTAGTTGAAAGAAAGAATTGTTGACTAAAATGATATTAAATCCCCTCAAATGAACTGAAGGCCTACACATGAAAAATGTTATAAAACTTAAATCAGTGGAGACGCAATCATCCCATGCTGGAAGAAATGTCAAAATACCAATGGGTAATTATCTTTTTCCTGATTTTTAAAAATATACATAATTTTTAACCCAGAAATTGTAATGCTAAGAGTTTCTTAGAATAAACCAAACATTGTGCAAGATGTTATATTCAGTAATACTGGATTAAATAAATGTTATAGCCATATAGTGGAATACTGTGCCATTAAAATGATATATTTATTGATGTGAAAATGTTCCAGTGGAAAAGGAGTTATATAACCGTTTATATAATTCTGTATTTGTTGTTAATAACAAGTTATATACACACACAAGCCTGTACATGTATTCACACACCCATGAAGGGGGAAGGCCAGGATATATACCCACTTTTTTTTTTTTTTTTGAGACAGAGTCTCAGGCTGGAATGCAGTGGTGTGCTCTCGGCTCACTGCAACCTCCGCCTCCCGGGCTGAAGCGATTCTCCTGCCTCAACCTCGCCAGTAGCTGGGATTACAGGTGCCCACCACCACACCCAGCTAATTTTTGTATTTCTAGTAGAGATGGGGTGTCATCATGTTGGTCAGGCTGGTCTTGAACTCCTGACCTCGTCACTGGCCCAACTCCGCCTCCCAAAGTGCTGGGATTACATGTGTGAGCCACCGCGCCCGCCCCAAATGTTAATGTTAAGAGGTATTAACTCTGGTTGTGAATTTGCAGAATTAACTTTCTTTACCTTATCGGTATTTTCTATGAACCCCTATTACTGATATAATTAAATAAAAATAAAAGGAGACAGGGTGGTAGTGTGGGATCAGACTTTATGATCACCATGAGGAGGGGGGTGTTGCTGGGAGGCCGTGGAAGGGGAGTGGTAAGGTTGCCCAGTGTGTTCTTAAAGTACATACTGCCAAGAACTCTCTCTGTTGCTTCTCCTGGCACTTTCCTAAGAAGTGTATTCCAAAAAATAGTTCCACAGGTGTCTCATAGAAAAGGGTTCAATGTCCAAGTTTTGGGAAATGCTAGGTTAAGACATAACTCGTTCATATCAAACTTCTTATGATGTTTGTTATACATCCCCAGGAGGAAAGGACATGGTACACATATTCATTGGCCCACAGACCCTTTGCTTTATATCCTTTAAAAACAAACAAACAAAAAAAAACAACAACAAAAAAAAACTGAGGTCTTGCTATCTTGCCCAGGCTAGTCTCAAACTCCTGGGCTCAAGCAATTCTCCTGCCTCAATGGCCCCCAAAGTGCTGGGATTTCATATTTTTTATACAAGTTACAAGACTTCTACTTAACACATTTTAGGAAATGCCCATCTGAGAACCTAAAGATTGTTTCCACCACATATTTCCATCAAAAGTCTCAAAGCTGCTAGTCTGTTTTCCTAGATTTAGATGGAGTCATCTCAAAACAGCCTCACATTTATAATATATATGGTATTTTTTGGTCTCAGGCTTTATGGTTTTAAACATCATTTGCCTCGCGGTCAGGTCACTTAGAGCAGTATTTTCCTTCTCTGCATTATCTGTCCATTAGTGGGCAGAGAAATCAACTTGGTGGTTACAACCTAAATGTTTTTAAAAACTGAAATAAAACTATCATCATAGTAAGGATATGTATTACTTCACAAAAGTGTATGTGCAATGTTGTTTGTGTCCATATACAATCACACTGTGTGTGTGTGTGTGTGTGGTCACAACATAAAATACTTATTCCTATGAGTTGCAATAAAAAACAAGTGAAAGCCACTGAATTAAAGAGATGAATTTATTGGTAAATAGATAAAATTAACACCTATTTTAATATATCCAAACCCCTTCCTTATATATATTAGGTAAATTAAAAGAAAAAAATTATCAAAGCAATACTACAGCCAGCTACATCGCCAATTTACAAATGAGTTAGTAAGTACCATAAGTTTGTTTGAATATCAGGTGCTTCAGAGTTTTTCTCAAACAGTTACAAAAGAGATTAGGTTCCCAATCAGTTCACAAAAGCTAATTTAAAGAATGTAGCTTAACTACAGTACTGAGGTTGTCACACACTTAACTTTCGGTCTCTTGCTTATTTATTCATATCTGAGGTTCACTGTTTCTACTAGGATACATTCCGCCCACACCCACACCTTGGTCCCCACATCAAGCAGCTCCTCACAGCAGGAAGACATCCGCTATCAGACATGGTTTTCTGAAGTTGTGCTTAGGATTTCAGAGGAGGAAAAATTCAGAGGTTCTAATAGCCTTCGGTAACTGAGGTAGAATATGGGGCTCCCAAGAATATCTTCCATATGCCCCAAATCTGTTTCCCTCCCACCCCCATCCAGCTCTGTTCAAGGTCAAGTTTGAGAAAGATACGTGTTCTCAATGGTATATTTTTAAAATCCACATCAATTTTTAAGAGACTACCTGCTAAAGGAGAATAATGGCTCACTGCATCTTTTCTCAACCCCCTAAACTATTTTAAAAACACACTGGCAGGGACAGGTGCAATGGCTCACGCCTGTAATCCCAGCACTTTGGGAGGCCGAGGCGGGCAGATCACTTGAGGTCGGGAGTTTAAGACCAGCCTGACCAACATGGAGAAACCCCGTCTCCACTAAAAATACAAAATTAGCCAGGGGTGGTGGCACATGCCTGTAATCCCAGCTACTCGGGAGGCTGAGGCAGGAGAATCGCTTGAACCTGGGAGGTGGGGGTTGCAGTGAGCTGAGATAGCGCCATTGCACTCCAGCCTGGGCGACAAAAGTGAAACTCCGTCTCAAAAACAGGCTGGGTGAGGTGGCTCATGACTGTAATACCAGCACTTTGGGAGGCCGAGGCGGGTGGATCACCTGAGGTCAGCAGTTCAAGACCAGCCTGGCCAACATGGCGAAACCCCATCTCTACTAAAAGTACAAAAATTAGCAGGGTGTGGTGGTGGGCACCTGTAATCCCAGCTACGCAGGAGGCTGAGGCAGGAGAATCGCTTGAACCTGGGAGGCGGAGGTTGCAGTGAGCTGAGATCACACCATTGTACTCCAGCCTGGGCGACAAGAGACTCTGTCGCAAAAAAAAAAAAAAAAAACAAAAAAAAAAAACAAAAAAAAAACCACTGGCTTTAATGGTGATAATTTGCTACTAATAAAATCAATAGCTGTTTTTCAACTGAACACTTAAACTTTTAGATCCAAATAAACTGTTTGGATCTAAAAAACTATATTACTAACATGTTTCCTTATGCCAAGGGAGACATGTGAGTGCCTAGAGAAGTATGGCCTGTGGTCTCCCACATTCAATTCAGGAACTCAGGGTCAAGCAGAAGGCCATGCTATAGACTTCAACACTCTGCTCTTCCCAATTTCATTATGTCCTGCAAGTTTTAAGAGCCGTCCGGAAGAGTGTAGGTTAATGGAAAGCTCAGTGAGAACTGCTCTGAAGAAGCCCCTCAAAATAATACATTAAGCTCAGCATCATTCACGTGGGCGGAATACAAACTGACATTCCTAACAGGACTTACCTAGCATGGACTCGATCTTAACCATGGTACCAAACTCTCAAGTGAAGCACACTGATGCCTGGTGAAAGCCAGGCGTTTGGTATGATGCTGACCTAGTGAACCTCTGGCCTTTTTGGCTGTGCTCATTACCTGGTCCCAGCACTCACTGGCACAATGCCAGGAGCCCAGAGAAAGGAGCAGGGGCTGCGGGGGGGGGGGGGGGAGGGGGAAGGGGGGAGGGAGGGTGGGGAAAGGGGAGAAGGGGGGAGGGTGGGGGAAAGGGGGAGGGTGGGTGTTAGGGAGAGAGGGAGGGGGAGGGAGGGGGAGGGGGGGGAGGGAGGGAGGGGGGAGGGAGGGAGGGGGAGGGGAGAGGGAGGGAGGGGGAGTGGGAGGGGGGGGGGAGAGGTGTGGTACAACCTGCTCCCGCTTCAGTCATCACCCACCACATGGCCTCTGGCTGACCATCCAGTAGGCCCAGCATTTTCCATCCACACCACAGGCCCCATGTCCTAAACCAGGAGTTTTACAAGTCTCAGGGAACTGGCTGCAATAGCTGTAACCAGTATACCTCTGGGACCAGCAGCCGGAGCACTGCAAATGGCAGGCGTGTAGATTCATAGGTAACACGTGCACAATTTTTCCAGTTTTACCTCTTGCTTTTATGAACCAGAACAAGTCTGGGAGGTTTAAGTAGGGAGAGGGTTAGAAATCATTTCAGCATATACTTTTTTAGGTTCTGCCAGACCACCTTTTATTACATCAGAAAAGCAACACTAGGCACTAGATCTTGCAAAATATGTTCTGACCAACTCTAAACTGTCTGAAGTTATAACCATATCAGTAAGGTTTTTAATGAACAAAAAAGTTAAATACAAACTTTCATATGCAAAATAGATTATTGTATAACTGGCAACCTCAGAGCCAAGTACTAAATTTTCTTCCACAAATTTCAGTGGGGATGGAGTGGGGAGATGTTAGTCTTAATGAGTAGAAAACTTAATTTAGACTTAATATATAGAAAACAAAAACTCTGAGGAAAAATAGCTTTAAATTGAATAGTATCTTTTGAAATAAACAGCTCAGGCCAGCCCCTACAATTCTGAGGTTTATACTCAACCAGATCTGGGATGAAAATGAAGATTTAGGGTTTACAGTTACTTCAAATCCATGAATCCAGTTTGAAGACTAAGCCAAGTCACCACATTTCCAGAAGGGGAAGTCTCTTTAAGGTGACCACAACACTCTTCGGAAGATGCTTGGATAATCAGAGTCCCTTGGGCACAGTTCCACTGTTCACGGCACTGTGCCAACGCTGTAGTGTCAGACTTCCTCTGAAAGGCAACAGGAGCCCTATCCCACAGCATTTTCATTTCTCCCAGCATTTTTTGAGCCTCAAAAAAACAAAAACAAAAAAAATCCCAAACCCTCCAGCTTCATGTTGGCAGTTACTGCTCCAGCTCCACTTCCTTCCGCCCCCAGTGAGAGTTCCCTCCTGCTCTTCAGCAGGGAGTGGCAGCTTGAGTAACATTCCTTTCAGAAATAAATAGTTCAAACAAGTAATTTAGAGCTAACTGTAAAAGAGCAGCAGTAAATGACCACTGCCCATTATGTTTGCAAACGAGTGAGTGAATGAATACGCTGAACAAACACACAGAAACAAACAATTCACAGAATAAATCCTGCATTTCCCACATTCATAGGGAAAAGAATCTCTTAAAAAAAATATTAGTTAGCGTTTGTTCTTGTGTGGGTTGAACAGTCCAAAGCTCTGAGCAGGCACAGCCTTACAAACAGGATTGCAAGCAGCCCTCTGCACCCCAAGTCAGGACTAGAGTACAGTGAGAGGCCTTCATGCACTTTTGACAGCTCAGTACCTGTGAGAACAGAAGTGATGCAGGGACTTTTTAACCCACAATGCATGAGGTATATGGAAATGTCTGTGAAAGAACCACCAGCAGCTAGAGGGACCAGGCAAAGTTTTCTCACAGCAACTGCTGATGAAGGATTTCCCACACCATCTTCTTCCGGAAGAGAGGCATCTGGTGCTGCAAAGAACCCCATAAACAACGCCCGCATTACATATTAATGTGCATGGCAGCACAACCTTCAGGTGTAATCATGTAATAAAGCAGGATGTCCATGTGCTTTTTCTAAGTGTTGACATTTTTACATCATGGAACATACTTATAAAACCATTTTTAACAGTTCATAATTACATGATATGTACCATAAGCACTTTTTTTTTTTTTTTGAGATGGAGTCTTGCTGTGTCACCCAGGCTGGAGTGCAGTGGCGCGATCTGCTCACTGCAACCTCTGCCTCCTGGGTTCGAGCGATTCTTGTCCCTCAGTCTCCAGCGTAGCTGGGACTACAGGTATGTGCCAGCACACCCGGCTTATTTTTTATATTTTTAGTAGAGACAGGGTTTCACCATGTTGGCCAGGCTGGTCTTGACCTCCTAACTGCAGGTGATCCGCCCGCCTCAGCATCCCAAAGTGCTGAGATTATTTATAGGCAAAAGCCACCACAGGCGGCCTACCATAAGCATTTTTATATGTTAAGGAAAACCAAAGCAGGATGTAGAATTATACAGTATAGTACAACTTCACAGTCCTGCAAATATCCACGTGGTGGCACAATAGGCAACTTTTCTACTTATATGAATTTTCAAAACATTCTAAAATGAACATATTCTGTTTTTTTATGAGAAAAACGTATTTATTTAAATAAAAAACAACAAAATCTACAAGTTTCTTTCTGCTCTACCAGGCGTTGTACATTGCCAATTCTGTTCAAACAGCAACTTCTCCCTTTAAAATCTCATCTTATTAGGTTCAGAGAACAGCCAACTGCTTTGCTATTTGGCAACATGAAACAATGAGATGTTTTGCTTAATAAATGATTCTGCTTTAACTGAGAATCACTACATGGGCAATTTGCAAAGCAGCAACACAAAAAGCAACTCCAAAATTACCCGTAGTACAACTAGTCCTTCTAGTGTATACGGAAGTTCACATTCTTGGCCAGGCGCGGTGGCTCACGCCTGTAATCCCAGCACTTTGGGAGGCCAAGGTGGGCATATCACCTGAGGCCAGGAGTTCGAAACCAGCCTGACCAACATGGAGAAACCCCGTCTCTACTAAAAATACAAAATTAGCCAGGGGTGGTGGCGCATTCCTGTAATCACGGTTACTTGGGAGGCTGAAGCGGAAGACTTGCTTGAACCCGGGAGGCGGAGGTTGCAGTGAGCTGAGATTGCGCCATTGCACTCCAGCCTGGGCAACAAGAACGAAACTCCGTCTCAAACAAAAAAAGAAGTTCACATTATTGAGGCACTCCTGATGTATCATTATAAATAGTTGGATGTCCCTTACTATAAACTAGTGATGTCACCGGGCGTGGTGGCACATGCCTGTAATCCCAGCACTTTGGAAGGCCAAGGCAGGTGGATCACCTGAGGTCAGGAGTTCAAGACCAGCCTGGCCAATATGGTGAAACCCTGTCTCTACTAAAAATACAAAAATTAGCCAGGCATGGTGGTACATGCCTGTAGTCCCAGCTACTGGGGAGGCTGAGGCAGAAGAATCGCTTGAACCTGAGAGGGAGGTTGCAGTGAGCCAAGATCACACCACACTGCACTCCAGCCTGGGCAACAGAGCAAGACTCCATCTCAAAATAATAATAATAATAATAATAAACTAGTGATGTCCTCCCTAGGGGTGGGGGCTAAAAAGTCTTAACACATGATTCTTAAATTATTTTAAATAGTTCAAAACATCTAGTAAAAACTGCACATTTGCTCTTAGTAAAACTGCTGAGACTAAGCAATAAATGCCTTTATTTTTTACTGGAATTATATTAATTCAGCACGGGAGTCCTAGTTACTTCACGTAATAGAGTTTGTATTACAGTTTGTATTCATGGAATACATACAGTTTGCTTGGTAGACAACATCTATCAAAATAAGGTCTGTGGATGAAAAATATTCTTTAATGAGGTTGTCCTCAGTTGTAAAAAGGTTGAGAATCCACTGTTACAAATTCTCAAGAATTCCCAACATACTTGAGTTTCCAATCAAATGCAAAGCCATGGAGAATTAAACAAAAGAGCAGAACAGGCCAGGCGCGGTGGCTCACGCCTGTAATCCCAGCACTTTGGGAGGCTGAGGCAGGTGGATCACGAGGTCAGGAGTTCGAGACCAGCCTGGCCAACACGGTGAAACCCCATCTCTGCTAAAAATACAAAAATTAGCTGGGCATGGTGGCGCATGCCTGTAGTCCCAGCTACTGGGGAGGCTGAGGCAGGAGTATTGCTTGAACCCAGAAGGCAGAGGTTGTAGTGAGCTGAGATCGTGCCACTGCACTCCAGCCTGGGCAACAAAGCGAGACTCCATCTCAAAAACAAAACAAAACAAAACAAACACAAAAGAGCAGAACAGAAAGGAAAAGCAGTATTCACAAGTTACATCTTAGACCTGTGGCTTCAGTTCTCACAGGCCGATTTTTCCCTTGCTATTAAACACTGACATACCTCTTTCTTTGGCTAGAAATAATAATACACAGGAACCAATGAATGCCACAGTTCAGAGATTTGCAAATTGTGCCCATTGTGTCACCAAAGACTAGGATAAACCTGAGAGCAGATAAAATAACCCTGATTCTGGCAGGAGTAGGGCTAAAACCAAGATTTACAGCAATAAGAATAGCACAGCTACTACTATTTTTTTTTTTTTTTTTTTTTTTTGAGACAGGGTTTCTCTCCTGTTGCCCCAGGCGGCTGAAGTGCAATGGCACGATCTCGGCTCACCACAACCTCCACCTCCCGGGTTCAAGCAATTCTCCTGCCTCAGCCTGCCTCCCTAGTAGCTGGGATTACAGGCATGCACCACCACGTGGCTAATTTTTTGTATTTTTAGTAGAGACATGGTTTCTCCATGTTGGTCAGGCTGGTCTCGAACTCCTGACCTCAGGTGATCCACCTGCCTCGGCCTCCCAAAGTGCTGGGATTACAGGCATGAGCCCAGCTACTACTATTTATTTTATTTATTTATTTTTGAGACAGAGTCTCGCTCTGTCACCCAGGCTGGAGTGCACTGGTGCGACCTCGGCTCACTGCAACCTCCACCTCCTGGGTTCAAGTGATTCTCCTGCCTCAGTCTCCTGAGTAGCTGGGATTATAGGCATGCACCACCACGCCTGGCTAATTTTTGTATTTTTAGTAGAGATGGGGTTTCACCATGTTGGCCAGGCTGGTCTTGAACTCCTGACCTCAGGTGGTCCACCCGCCTCGGCCTCCCAAAGTGCTGGGATTACAGGTGTGAGCCACCACGCCTGGCCAGCTACTACTATTGAGAGCTGAATGTGTGCCAGGCACTGGCCAAGTGCCTTATCTTGCTTAGTAACAAGTAAATGGATGAAGAGGGTCTTCACTCACCTGAGTAAATGTGATAGGTTTGTCCCTAGAAATATAATCTGCATATTTACAAGTAAACATTCCACAATCACTCCCATTCAGCTGTTGAGGAATCTCCTAAAATTACAAAGAAAAAAGAAGAGAGGAAAGGGTAAAACATCATTAAATACAAATTCCTTGGACTTTTTCTAAATATTGCTGTAAACAATATTATAAAGGTAAATATTAAATCAGGTATTACCTAAACACACAGTCATATACAAAAAACACAATTATTCTTACTCTATGTGGTATAAAACATAGATCATAGCAAGGGAAAAACAGGCCTTGTGAGAACTGAAGCCACAGGTCTAAGATGTAACTTGTGAATACTGCTTTTCCTTTCTGTTCTGTTCTTCTGTTTAATTCTCCATGGCTCTGCATTTGATTGGAAACCCTAACTATGAGATGGAGTGCATGACCCGACCCCACAGGAAATGCTTTTCAGAAGAGAAAAACACAAAGTGAGAGTTGCATCTCTCAGCTCCCATTCCAAGAAACCAAACTGAAAGGAGGTTTACTACCAGGGATGCTAGTCAGAATTATTTCAGAAGCATTTATCAATTTTAAAAAGGGCCAAGTGTGGTCAATCGGAAATGTAACTTCTCTAGCTAAGAAAATAAGACTACTGCTTTGGACCCTACAGCTTCAAGGTGGACAGAGAGAAGTTCTGGATAGGCTTTAACCAATTAGGATCTTGCCTTGATGGATCAGTTCTGCCGTAAGGCAAAAACACTTGGTACAAGCAGCACTAAGAGCATAATAAGCCAAAGGTGGTGGATTCTAACCCCACTGAGCTCACACCTTCTCCAGGCCTGTGTTGCCCTAATCTTGGCAGTCCCTGACACACTCTGGCTGTCAGTCACAATTAGCGCAAGTTATTGCTGGAAAACACACTAGATGACAATAGCTCAATTTTTACTCAAAGAAATGAAGTTGATTATGATTTTTAAAGTTTGCCTAGTGGCCGGGTACGGTGGCTCACGCCTGTAATCCCAGCACTTTGGGAGGCAGAGGCGGGCGGATCACGAGGTCAGGAGATCAAGACCATCCTGGCTAACATGGTGAAACTCCGTCTCTACTAAAAATACAAAAAATTAGCCAGGCGTGGTGGCAGGCGCCTGTGGTCCCAGCTACTCGGGAGGCTGAGGCAGGAGAATGGTATGAACCCGGGAGGCGGAGCTTGCAGTGAGCCAAGATTGCGCCACTGCACTCCAGCCTAGGCGACAGAGCGAGACTCCGTCTCAAAAAAAAAAAAAAAATTTGCTTAAATACATACCACCCATACATACGCATATACCTCACACTTTTCTCTCAAGCCTAGCATCTCTCACAGAATGGACAAAACTAGAGACTACAATATACAAAGAAAGGCAGTTTGTTTTCTTTATTCCATTTCCCATACCAGAACACAGTATTCATCCTAACAGACTCTTCCTTGTATCTGTGCTCTCCTTAGGAAATTTCAAAGCTTATCCTTCAAATTTTTCTTTTTCTTTTTTTTTTTTTTGAGACAGTCTCGCTCTGTTGCCCAGGCTGGAGTGCAGTGGTGCGATCTCGGCTCACTGCAACCTCTGCCTACCGGGTTCAAGTGATTCTCCTGCTTCAGCCTCCTGAATAGCTAGGATTATAAGCACGTGCCACCAGACCCAGTTAATTTTTAGTGGTGACAAGGTTTTGTCATGTTGGCCAGGCTGGTCTCAAATTCCTGACCTCAGGTGATCTGCCCACCTCGGCCTCCCAAAGTGCTGGGATTACAAGTGTGAGCCACCGCGCCTGGCCCAAACTTTTCAGTTTAGAAATTAAAATGCTTTTTTTGGCATGGGATCCTAAGACTTAAACAAACTCCCAAATTTTGGAAAAGAAATGTAAACTTTCATTAGCACCAACCGGGAAATTAGCCAACTTCAATGTATTGGGTTTCTTCCCAATTCTGTGAGAGACATGCAAGCATATGTTAATATTTACATTTAGACAAGAAGATGAAAGCTAAGCACCCATTTTAGTTAGATTAATTGCTAGAGATTTAGAAGCAGATCATTCTTAAGATGTAGACTCTGGCCAGGCATGGTGGCTCACACCTGTAATCCCAGCACTTTGTTTTGGGAGGCCCGAGACTAGCCTGGGCAACAAAGCAAGATCCCATCTCTACAAAAAAGAAAGAAAGAAAAAAAAAGATGTGTACTTTAAAAGCATGCAGGGAGGGAGGAAGGGCAGGAAGGGAGCCAAATCTAGATAATATACTATTAGTAAATGCAACCAAGTATGTCACATGTAGATGATCGTCACTCACGTGTGGTTTCATGCTGTGATGGGTCCACTCTAAAAGATTCAGATCACTATTTCTTTTGGTCTTACTTTCATCCTGTAAATACTGACTAAAAAGCAAAACAAAGAAGGAATACATCAATAAATCCCTAAAGAAATTAACCATTATGGTTACATAGGGCTTTCTGATGTTAAACAGATATGCCATTCTCAAATCCATATTCATTAGCTTTTTAAAAACGTGACTGCTTTCTGGATTTTTTTTTTTTTTTTTTTTTTTTGAGACAGAGTCTCGCTCTGTCGCCCAGGCTGGAGTGCAGTGGCGCGATCTCGGCTCACTGCAACCTCTGCCTCCCGGGTTCACGCCATTCTCCTGACTTAGCCTCCCAAGTAGCTGGGACCACAGGAGCACGCCACCACGCCCTGCTAATTTTTTGTATTTTTCTTAGTAGAGATGGGGTTTCACCGTGTTAGCCAGGATGGTCTCGATCTCCTGAGCCTGTGATCCCGCCTGCCTCAGCCTCCCAAAGTGGCTTTCTGGATTTTTTATTTAATTTGGGGAGGTCTGCTTATAAAAATTGTACATGCTTGTTTTTAAAAGTTGAAATATATATCAGGTTGATAAGCATTAGATGCCCCCACCAAAATTAAGATACAAAAAATAACATAGGCCGGGTGCGGTGGCTCACGCCTGTATATCAACACTTTGGGAGGCCAAGGCGGATGGATCACCTGAGGTCGGGAGTTTGCGACCAGCCTGACCAAAATGGAGAAACCTCATCTCTACTAAAAATACAAAATTAGCCGGGCGTGGTGGCACAAGCCTTTAATACCAGCTACTTGGGAGCTGAGGCAGGAGAATCTCTTGAACCCGGGAGACAGAGGTTGCGGTGAGCCGAGATCACGCCATTGCACTCCAGCCTGGGCAGCAAGAGTGAAACTCCATCTCAAAAAACAAACAAATAAATAAATAACATAAAAAGCCAAAGACCACCGGGCACGGTGGCTCACGCCTGTAATCCCAGCACTTTGGGAGGCTGGGGCGGGCGGATCACCTGAGGTTGGGAGTTCAAGACCAGCATGATCAACATGGAGAAACCCTGTCTCTACTAAAAATTCAAAAATTAGCCGGGCATAGTGACGGAAGCCTGTACTCCCAGCTTCTTGGGAGGCCGAGGAACGAGCATCACTTGAACCCAGGAGGCAGAGGTTGCAGTGAGCTGAGACTGCACCACTGCATGGGGTGACACAATGAGACTCCATCTCAAAAAAAAAAAAAAAAAAAAAAAAGCATGAATGTAATAAAGTATGAATTTTCAAATCCTGGTATAAGCAGCACATCAAACTATACTGTATGATCCCAGTAAGAACATTTCTATACATGGGATAATATATGTATACATATGAATGCAAATGTATGTGCGCACAATTTATACACATCTTACAAAGAAAAGACTAGAAGAGAACCATTTTATAAACAATTGGTGTATCTTATGATTTTTAGAATTTTCTTCTCTATGCTTTTTATTCAAGATAAACAACCATAAATAAAAATAATATTTTATACTAAAACAATATTATTGTTAGCAACAACTTTTCTTCACAAGATTCATTTGTCCTTAGTAAAGTTAAAAGAAGGAACTTCATTGCTTCTAGTGAGCAGAAAAGGAAAAATGGACCCATCTTACTGATGCGTTTTCTCACTCAACTCATGTCACTACTTTACCTAGCTAAGAAGTAGGTATGCTTTAAAGATTGGTTTCTATTATAGCAATTACTATTTGAAACAGTCTCCTCAAACCACACACTTTAAACACTGCCCCTGGGTTCTGAGATAAACCCAACTCTCATGGAAAGCATAAAGATACAAATGGGCTTAAGAATTGAGAGGACTAGCACTCCCCAACTAACAGTTCCTAAGAACATTCAGAATAACGTATCGATGCCAAAGAAATCTAATGCAAGTCACAGGATTCTAATAAGATCTATTTTACATCATAATACATGACAAACTTGTTTCCAGTGATGCTACTAAACACGTTTTCTCAGTTGAAATCAGCTATTATTTTAAAAATAAAATGCATGCTAAGTCCTGAAATAGCCTTAACTACACATTAGACTACCATCCACACAGCTTCCTAGGATGAGATAAAAGAGAGATCACCTCAACAGGGGGTAGTGAGGTTTTCAACCTTTACTTACAGGAGAATCTCACAGATCCTGTGGCCCTTTTGTCCCATAGAATCCAGATATTTAAGACACTTTTTTCTTAGGTCAATCACCTATAATGGAAAAAGATAACATCCAGAAACATCTTAAATGTAAGAGGAGTGAGAATTTTACTTCCAAAAATAAAAGCATCTTTTAAAAAATACATGTACCAATATAAATTTTTTATGTATCTTAGAAATCCATTTATGGGCCATGCATGGTGGCTCACACCTGTAATCCCAGCACTTTGGGAGGCTGAGGCGGGCGGATCATGAGGTCAGGAGTTCGAGACCAGCCTGACCAACATGGCGAAACCCCGTCTCTACTAAAAATACAAAAATTAGTCGGGCATGATGGCACGCGCCTGTAATCCTAGCTGCTCAGGAGGCTGAGGCAGAAGAATCACTTGAACCCGGGAGGCAGAGGTTGCAGTGAGCCGAGATTGTGTCACTGCACTCTAGCCTGGGTGATAGCGAGACTCTGTCTCAAAAAAAAAAAAAAAAAAAAAAAGAAAAAAAAGAAAAACGATATCCACTTATATTGGTACATGTATTTTTTTTTTTTTAGTTAAAAATGTGTCTTACGTATCTTTAGTAAAAAAAGTGTGTTTTTAAGTTAAAAAATTAGTGGTCCTCTCAGAGTGATGAGACTTTTTTTTTTTTTTTTGCTTTCTTTATATCTGTATCTTTCTTTCCTTCTTTTCTTTCTTTCTCTCTCTCTTTTTTTTTTTTTTTTTTTTTGAGACAAGATCTCACTCTGTGACCCAGGCTGGAGTGCAGTGGTGTGATCACGGCTCACTGCAGCCTCGACCTCCTGGGCTCAGGGAATCTTCCACCTCAGCCTCTCACAGGTGTGCACCACCATGCCCACAAAGCTGGGACCACAGGTGTGCACCACCACGCCCAGCAAATTTTTAAATTTGTATAGACAGGGTCTTTCCATGTTGCCCAGGCTGGTCTCAAACTCTTGGGCTCAAGCAACCCCTCCTGCCTCAGCCTCCCAAAGTCTGGGATTATAGGCATGAGCCACCACACCTGGCCTTATAAATGCATTTTTCTGCAATAAACCTGTACTATCTTGTAAACAAAACTAAATAAATATAAATAACCCTTATGCATACTAAGACTCTTTCCTGTTAAAAATGAAAGCTCCTCGGCCAGGTGCGGTGGCTCCCGCCTATAATCCCAGCACTTTGGGAGGCTGAGGTGGCGGATCACGAGGTCAGGAGTTCAAGACGAGCCTGACCAACATGGTAAAACCCCATTTCTACTGAAAATACAAAAATTAGCCAGGTATGGTGGTGGCACGTGCCTGTAATCCCAGCTACTCAGGAGGCTGATGCAGGAGAATTGCTTGAACCCAGGAGGCGGAGGCTGCAGTGAGCCGAGATCGTGCCATTGCACTCCAGCCTGGGAAACAGAGCAAGACTCCATCTCAAAAACATACAAACAAACAAAAAAAAGCTCCTCAAGTACAAGGACTTCGTCCTGTAGCCTTCTAAAAGTTGTTCAACTCAAGAACTAAAAAGGAGGCCAGGTGCGGCATCTCACCCATCATTCTGAGAGGCTGAGGTGGGAGGACTGCTTAAAGCCAGGAGCTCAAGACTAGCTTGGGCAAAAAAACAAGACTCTTGTCTCTACAAAAAAATTAAAATAAATTAAAAAAAATTAGCCAGGCATAGTGGTGCATGTCTGTAGTCCCAGCTACCTGGGAGGCTAAAGTGAAAGGATCACTTGTGCCCAGGAGGTGGAGGTTACAGTGAGCTATGGTTGTGCCACTGCATGCCAGCTTGGGTGGCAGAATGAGACCCTGTCTCTAAAAATAAAAATTTAAAAAAAAAAAAGAAAAAGAAAAAGAAAAAAAGGCCAGGCATGGTGGCTCACACCTGTAATACCAACACTTTGAAAAACTGAGGCAGGAGAACCACTTGAGGCCAGGCGTTGGATACCAACCAGGGCAACATAGCAAGACTCCATCTTTCCAAATATATAAATAAATAAAATTAGGCAAGCATGGTGGACCATGCCTGTAGTCCTAGTCACTCAGGAGGCTGAGGCAGGAGGATCACCTGAGTCCAGGACTTCCAGGCTGCAATGAGCTATGATCACACCAGTTCACTCCAGCCTGGGCAACAGAGCGAGACCTGGTCTGTAATTTTAAAAAATAGTAAAATAAAATAAACATAAAATTTTTTAAAGAATAAATAAATAAAAAGAACTAAAAGGGTTGGGTGAAGGATGGGACATTAAAAAAAAAACTAAAAAGAGACTCTGCAGAGTATGCTTATAATATATACTATTGGCCTCTATACACAGGGCAGAAAAAGGCAGCATTATTTTTAAAAAATGGCCTTTATCCAAGTCCAACAATTAACCATTAACCCTCTCTACTCACCACCAGGCTCCAATGTACCTTCCGATGAATAGGCACCAGAATAATTTCTTGTTCAAAGAGATTTACCCCTTTGGTCCATCGTTTCACTGCTTGGTAACCCCCAGACTTTAATTTAGGATAGAAGAAAGTACTGAATACATGAAGTGCTGGATAGCCTTGCTTTTTATTTCTTTCCACCAGAAGATTCATGTAAAAATTAATGACCTACAAAATACCAAGGGAGCAAAAGCTGGAACATGGCAAACATATTATCAAAACTAAATTTCTACCTGAATAAGGATGAATTCGAAGGTAAGGTACTAAAGAAGAGGATAAAAAGACTGTCTATAGTAGAAGACAGGGAAAAAAGTGATCAGTGCAAAATGGGACACATGAAAATGAAATGAAACTGTACTTTTAAGGCATGTGAGTAACACTTAACAGCCAGAAGAAGGAATCCAGGAAGAAAGTCTGTGCAATAATGGAAAGATCTACATAACTG
Source organism: Homo sapiens (assembly GCF_000001405.40). Classification (NCBI taxonomy): domain Eukaryota; kingdom Metazoa; phylum Chordata; class Mammalia; order Primates; family Hominidae; genus Homo; species Homo sapiens. Next base: position 185,619,021 of record NC_000003.12, on the reverse strand, counting down.
TATCACACCAAAAATACGCAGAAATATTAACAGTAAGTGAATTTTACTACATATAAATTAGACTTCAATTTTAAAATATTAACTTGAAGGACATACACCAAAATAATATTTTATTTATCTCTGAGTGGTGATACTTTTTTTTTGAGACGGAGTCTTGCCCTGTCGCCCAGGCTGGAGTCCACTGGCGTGATCTCGGCTCACTGCAAGCTCTGCCTCCCGGGTTCACACCATTCTCCTGCCTCAGCCTCCCGAGTAGCTGGGACTACAGGTACCCGCCACCATGCCTGGCTAATTTTTTTGTATTTTTAGTAGAGACGGGGTTTCACCGTGTTAGTCAGGGTGGTCTCGGTCTCCTGACCTCGTGATCCGCCCGCCTCAGCCTTCCAAAGTGCTGGGATTACAGGCGTGAGCCACCGCGCCCGGCCGAGTGGTGGTACTTTTGAACAGTAATATTTTTTACTTTTCCTGTATTTTCCAAATATTCTACGATAAACAAATTACATTTATAATGTAAAACAAAACATTCCTGTTTTCAAAGAATGTGTTTATAAGTAACTAGTCATAGGGGACTTCCCTCAAAGAGAGAACATGCAGGGGCTAAGCAGTTCGGGGAAGAACCCACCAGAAAATTGTCAAAGAACTTAAGAGTTAGCTTTTGCTAAATGTATTAAGGATACAAGATGACAAGTTAGGCAAAATTTTTCAGCTATCACTCAAAGAAAAATACACATAGTATATAGTGATCAATATATCCCTTTATTACTCAAAAAATAAAACAGGCCAGGCACGGTGGCTCACGCCTGTAATCCCAGCACTTTGGGAGGCCAAGGCGGGCGGATCACCTGAGGTCCAGAGTTTGAGACCAACCTGACCAACATGGAGAAACCCTGTCTCTACTAAAAATACAAAATTAGCCGGGCATGGTGGCGCATGCCTGTAATCCCAGCTACTTGGGAGGCTGAGGTAGGAGAATTGCTTGAACCCAGGAGGTGGAGGTTGCGCTGAGCCAAGATTGCGCCATTGCACTCCAGCCTGGACAACAAGAGCAAAACTCTGTCTCAAAAACAAAACCAAAAAACAAAAACAAAAAAATAGCTACTATAAGAATTCACCTAAAATACAGTATCACTTGCTGCTTCCTCCCGTTTATCAGCTGTACCCAGGGTTTATTGAAGACCAGTAAATGAAGTGGTGGATGCAATAAAATACAGACGCAGAAAAGGGAAACATCGCTAATCAAAGGCAGAAAATCAGAACTAACCATCTTTTTAAGATTTAAAATGTTTTTGTTTTAATTATAACTAAGAGTTGCATTACCAACCCATTATAACTGGGTAGGAGTCACTTTGATTATAGATAATAAATAAATAAACTTAATGATAGCCAAAAGGGGGAGGGAATACAACTTACTTCATCATTGAGCCAGTGATAGTTCTTTAATGTCTGAATATCTCCTCGAGTAATTCGCAATTTGAAAGCACTACTTAGGATTTCATCCTGTGGGCCATGGCCTAGGGCATTACTGATTTCCTTTTCCATGTCCTGAATTAGAAAGTTCAGAAGTTGCTATTTTAATATAGAACCATTCATTATCAGTTATTGAAAACTCCGAGACTGAAAAAAGTTTTTCATCTCGGCAACACCTGACTCTTGAGAAAAATATACTATCAAAGACCTACTAAACTACAGTAGGAAAACATTTTTTTCTTATTTTTAGTGATAGAGATGGGGCCTCATTATATTGCCCAAGTTGGTTGCAAACTCCTGGGCTCAAGCAATACCTGCCTTGGCCTCCCAAAGTGCTGAGATTATAGGCATGAGCCACTGCACCAGCCCTGAAAATATTTTAACTTATAACTACAAAGCAGCCTTACTTAATTGTTGTAAGTAATACTTACAACAAATCCTGGTTCACTTATTAGCTTGTGGAAACAATAATTTAATAATAATATTTACATCTAAAGTATAGTCTCAATTTTCCTACTACTACGTATTAACCACTATGAGTCAAACATGGTGTTAGATGCTTGAAGCACATCATTGATCCATATTAGTGAGGAAGACATTATTATCATTTTATAGAGAAGAAAATTGAAACCCAGAGAATTTATTTTACATATTCAAAGTCATATAATTATTAAAAGGTAGAAGAAGATTTGAACCCAGGTGCATCTAATTTCCTGGACTTTGCTCCCTTCATAATAGTAAACTCCTGATTTCCACTTTAAACGTTTTTTTTTTTTTTTGGAGACGGAGTCTCGCTCAGTCTCCCAGGCCGGAGTGCAGTGGCGCCATCTCGGCTTACTGCAAGCTCCGCCTCCCGGGGTCACGCCATTCTCCTGCCTCAGCCTCCCGAGTAGCTGGGATGACAGGCGCCCGCCACCACGCCCGGCTAATTTTTTGTATTTTTAGTAGAGACGGGGTTTCACTGTGTTAGCCAGGATGGTCTCGATCTCCTGACCTCGTGATCTGCCCATCTCGGCCTCCCAAAGTGCTGGGATTACAGGTGTGAGCCACCAGCCTGGCCCTTCTTTTTTTTTTTTTTTTGAGACAGATTCTCACTTTGTCACCCAGGCTGGAGTGCATGCAGCTGCATGATCTCAGTTCACTGCAACCTCTGCCTCCCAGGTTCAAGCAATTTTCATGCCTCAGTCTCCTGATTAGCTGGAATTACAGGTGCACACCACCATGCCAGCTATTTTTTTGTATTTTTGGTAGAGACGGGGTTTCACCATGCTGGCCAGGCTGGTCTCGAACTCCTGACTTCATGATCCGCCCATCTTGGCTTCCCAAAGTGCTGGGATTACAGGCGTGAGCCACCACGCCCATTCTCGCCTTTAAACTTTTAAAACATCAAAAAAGGCTGGGTGTGGTGGCTCACGCCTGTAATCCCAGCACTTTGGGAAGCCAAGACGGGCGGATCATGAGGTCAGGAGTTCGAGACCAGCCTGGCCAGCATGGTGAAACCCCATCTCTACTAAAAATACAAAAATTAGCTGGGCGTGGTGGCACGCGCCTGTAGTCCCAGCTACGCAGGAGGCTGAGGCAGAAGAATCACTTGAACCTGGGAGGCAGAGGTTGCAGTAAGCTGAGATTGTGCCACTGCACTCCAGCCTGCCAACAGAGCGAGACTCTATCTCAAAAATAAATAAATAAATAAAACATCAAAATAAGATTAGGACATCTAAGGGGTCACACCATCCTTTTTGACATGAAGAGAATAAGCAAACAGGCAGAAACTTGGAAACCACCCAGCAGTCTAGCAATTGACTCCTTATGGAATAAATGGCTTCATCATACTAAAGAATTATGCAGATAAATGCATTATTTAAGATACAAAACTAAATCTATAAACCCAATAGAAATTATTTTCCTCTAGGCCGGGGGCAGTGGCTTGCGCCTATAATCCCAGCACTTTGGGAGGCCGAGGTGGGTAGATCATCTAAGGTCAGGAGTTCGAGACCAGCCTAGCCAACATGGTGAAACCCGGTCTCTACTAAAAATACAAAAATTAGCTGGGCATGGTGGCAGGTGCCTGTAATCCCAGCTACTAGGGAGGCTGAGCCAGGAGAATCACTTGAACCCAGGATGCAGAGGTTGCAGTGAGCCAAGATCGCGCCATTGCACTCCAGCCTGGGCAACAAGAGCGAAACTCTGTCTCAAAAAAAAGAAATTATTTTCTTCTAAATATATGCTGCTTCCCACTGCACACAGCTTCACCATTTTATGGATCTCTCTCTCCACCTACATGCCCAATATAACAGTAAGTATTCAAGAGATTTGCCTACTAGGGCAACATTGTGGAGGAAGCCAAGATGTGGGCACATCTTTAAAATAAGAATTTTAACTACCTTCATTCTTTATGTTCTGTAAGTTTTTACTATTTTCAAATGCAATAATCAACAAAGGGGGCATTTTAGTAAACTATAATAACTTTCAAAAAAAAAATGCAATGAACTTATTCTTAATGCCAAACCCATACTATATAACTCAACATATTTGAAGGTTAGAATTTACAAAGAATCTGTTGTATTCCAAGATATGAGATGACTGTGTCGACTCCCCATTTGCTGAATATCAATCTGATCCCTTAGGCCACTAATGATCATGCCTCACTAAAGATCAATGTAGTCAAAGTGAATCAACAGACCATGGACCTGACATGTTTTCATATATTCACCCCTAGCCTGGAGAAAGTCCTCAAAACAAAACATTCAAGTTAGAATAACTGAGGTTATTTAAAGACATGCCTCTTTTTAGGATCAATACAAAGAACAATACCTCTGTAAGTTCAAGGAGATCGTCCGTTCTTCTGTCCCTCTCTTTGCCTGAGCAATTCTTTTCCTTTGTCTCAATTATTGACACTTTCCTCCTGAGTAAGCCATTGCTTCCACTGCCCAGGCGGAGTCGGGCCGACACTTCTTCTGATAGGTCAGGCTCCAGTTGGTATCCCCTCCTCTGATCAAAAAATTATCTAAATTCTACTGACATGTTTGATACTTGCAAATATAAACACAGATTACACATGAAATATAAAACTGCCACTAATGTGAAAGAAAAGAGAATTAGCAAATCCCCCAAGTGAGTAGATTTACCCTATCTGTCTGTCCCTGCAAGGGGGAGCAAAAAAAGCTCCAGACCTAGGCCTCACAGGACCCTCAGTTATGAACCATCAAACAGAACACTCACCACCTTCCCTGGAAGTAGCAAGAAAAGTATTTTCAGTTCTCCTATCACAATTAAAATTAGTATGTTTAAAAGATATTATGAAAGTTTTAAACAGCAAAAAATATGACCCACAATCCCATCACTCAGAATAAATCCCTACTATCTTTATAGTAACTCAACTTGGTTCTAGTTTATCCTTGAAAAAAGTCATTTGATATTACAGAAAATGCACAAAACATTAATGTACCACTTAATTTGAATGAACACCTATATAACCACAATTGTAGTAAACAAATAGAATTCTGCCAGCAACCCAGAACATATCATCTCTTTCCAGAGATGTATGATTTTTAAGAAATTCTCCCTAAGAAGCCATAAAATGTAGGTAACATGTTGGTATGGAGGCAGATTGGTCTCTCATAAACAAAGGTGGCTACTGTACAGAGGCAAAACTCCAACAACTCAGAAGGAAGAAAAAAGTTGTGTATTTTCAATGCTTCCTGCCTTTTTTTTTTTTTTTTTTTTTGAGACAGAGTCTCATTCTGTCACCTAGGCTGGAGTGCTATGGTGTGATCACAGCTCACTGCAGCCTTGACCTCCTGGGCTCAAGCAATCCTCCCACCTTAGCTTCCCAAGTAGCTGGGACTACAGACATGCCACCATGCCTGGCTAACTTTTAAATTTTTTTGTGGAGACAGTCTCACTATGTTGCCCAGGCTGGTCTCAAACTCCTGGGCTCAAGTGATCCTTCTGCCTTGGCCTCCTAAAGTTCTGGGATTACAGGCATGAGCCACTGTGACTGGCTGGCTTGCTGCTTTTTTAAAGAAAAACAACAGAATTAACAATCAAAGTTATATATATATACTTTTTCTTGCTTTTCATGGGCACCAAAACATAAGTTACATAAGTAAACAGGTATCAAATGTAACTAGGATTTTTACTTACACTTTCATTTTCAAATCTGATTCCGACCATCGTCTCTGTATCAGTAATTTTCCCCTTTGAACACCTAAGGAAAAAAATTGAGAGATGATAGACTTCTGCTAGATGATTCAAACCTAGTACATCCTAGTTTTAGAAATAAGATTTCGTAATTTGTACATAAAAATTGTGTTGAGTTTACATAATACTCTAAACCAGGAGTCAACGAACTTTTCTGAAAAGGAACAGACAGTATTTTAGGCTTTGCAGGTTTTATGGTCTTGGGCACATCGTGGCAACTCTGCCACTGTAATTTAAAAGCAGCCAGACAGTATGTAAATGAATTCGCATGTTCCAATAGAAATTTACTATACAAAAATAGGCAAGTAGACCAGATTTGGCCCATGGGCCATAGTTTACAAACTCTGCTATAAACCATCATCCCAAAATCCTAAAGCATGCAGAGCTGCCTTTACTGTTCCTATCCTAAAGACACTGACACTAGACATCCCCACTCCAACCAAACTCCCATCTAAGAAGCATGTGTTTCTCCCAACCCCTGACGCCTGGGAGATAAGGGGCACCCCCCTCAACCCACCAGGCTAGGGTGGGCATCTGACACAACAGCTAGCTACCTATCTACCCTATATGCTGACCAACTACCAGAACTCAAGAGAGTTCACAATTCCTCAGAACTGCTTACTCATAAATACAGCTTATAAAGTAAGAAAATATATATTAAAAGAAAGTGTAGAATGAACTGAATGTACGTACCTCTTTTCACTTCTCAATGAACATAGAGGTCCCCTTGTTTCAACAAGTCTATCTGTGAGGATGGTAAAGAAAAGATTAAATGTTTCCTTCATCGATGAATAATATAGTTAGAATTTCAGCTTACAGAGTTTCCACAACATCAAGACATTCCTCTACATTGAAATGCTACAGTGAATTCCAAAGACACTAGCCTCCCTATATACTAAGTTGCCTAAAAAAATGCATACATATCTTTGCTGTTTAAATATAATCTTTACTATAAACTGAGTGATATCTGCTTATCTGGTAAGCTGTCATTTAGTGGACAGTAAGTGGAGAAGTATAAGGAAATTGTTATATAAGGAATATAATAAAATTTCAGCTCACAAAATAGTTGCTACTATCTAGCAGCTTAGGAATAATAATCCAGAGCCATGTTATGAATCTACTTCACCCTGAAACAGCTTTTCTACTAAATTCCTAGATAAGCCCCAGTCAATGCTGTGAGGTTTTTTTTTTTTTTTTGAGACAGAGTCTCACTGTCACCCAGGCTGGAGTGCAGTGGCGTGATCTTGGCTCACTGCAACCTCCACCTCCCAGGTTCAGGCAATTCTACTTCCTCAGCCTCCTGAGTAGCTGGGATTACAGGCAAGTGCCACCATGCCTGGCTAATTTTTGTATTTTTAGTAGAGATGGGGTTTTACCATGTTCGCCAGGCTGGTCTTGAACTCCTGACCTCAGGTGATCCATCTGCCTTGGCCTCCCAAAGTGCTGGGATTGCAGGCGTAAGCCACCGCGCCCGGCCCAATGCTGTGAGATTTGACAGTATTTTGGTACACCATCTACACTTGAATGTCAATTTTCTACCTCATATGAACACTGTAGCATGAACTAAGGTCAATATATTAAGACAAGGCTAAATCTGGGAACTCACATTGTTTTGGAACAAACTGAGTTGTTTTGACTCCGTGATTTTGCTCTTCCCCCCAGCCTTTGGTCTTTAATGTGTCCATCTGACTTCTTTGAGAACTTAGAAACACAAAAAGTGAGGGAGATCAGATACAAAAGCAAAGTCTACCATTAATATGCATTATCTCTGTCCAGCAAGCTTCTCCAAATAGGGGTGATTGATTACACTATTATATCAAATTACAACAGAAAGGAAGCAACTATGTGGGACTAGGATAAAAGGAGTCTAATCATGATTCTAATAATATTTCAGCCAGGTCACCTAACCTCCAGTTTCTCTGTTTGTAAAATCAGAGGTTCTGAATCCCCAGTGATGCACTAACTGAAAAATCTCAGTGTGATAAAACTCAGATTAAAAGATAAAAAACTTTTTAAGCTATGTATTTAAATGGATCCTGAAACAATACATTAAAAGCAAGAACTTTTTGTTTTTTGAGACGGAGTCTCGCACTGTCGCCCAGGCTGGAGTGCAGTGGTGTGATCATGGCCTCACTGAAATCTCTACCTCTCAGGTTCAAGTGGTTCTCCTGCCTCAGCCTCCCAAGTAGCTGGGATTACTGGCACACGCCACTACACCTGGTTAATTTTTGTATTTTTAGTAGACATGGGGTTTCGCCATGTTGGTCAGGCTGGTCTCGAAGTCCTGACCTCCAGTGACCCACCTGCCTCGGCCTCCCAAAGCGCTGGGATTACAGGTGTGAGCCACCACACCCAGCCAGAAGCAGGAACTTTAATTATTTATTTATTTATTTTGAGACGGAGTCTCGATCTGTAGCTCAGGCTGGAGTGCAGTGGCACAATCTCTGCTCACTGCAAGCTCCGCCTCCCGGGTTCACGCCATTCTCCTGCCTCAGCCTCCCGAGTAGGTGGGACTACAGGTGCCAGCCACCATGCCCAGCTAATTTTTTGTATTTTTTAGTAGAGATGGGGTTTCACCGTGTTAGCCAGGATGATCTTGATCTCCTGACCTCGTGATCCGTCCACCTCGGCCTCCCAAAGTGCTGGGATTACAGGTGTGAGCCACTGTGCCCAGCCAAAGCAGCAACTTTAAAAAGCAAAAATAGTTTGAGGGTTTCGCCAACATGACAAAGTTAAGAGTTCGTTAAACATACTGCTGTTTCCAACATATGGCTGGTCAAAATGGAGAAAATACTGACATTCTGACTAAACCAAAAGAATTTTTTTTTAAAGTTCACAACTGATTATTCGCAAACAATCTGTTATTTCTGCATTCAAAAGCTAGATAGTAGGCCGGGTGCGGTGGCTCACGCCTGTAATCCCAGCACTCTGGGAGGCTGAGGCTGGTGGACTACCTGAGATCAGGTGTTCGAGACCGGCCTGGCCAACATGGTGAAGCCCCATCTCTACCAAAAATACAAAAAATTAGCTGGGCGTGGCGGTGGACGCCTGTAATCCCAGCTACTCAGGAGGCTGAGGCAGGATAATCGCTTGAACCCAGGAAGCGGAGATTGCAGTGAGCTGAGATTGCATCACTGCACTCCAGCCTGGGCAACAATAGTGAAACTCCATCTCAAAAAAAAAAAAAAAAAAAAAAAGCTAGATAATATTCTGTGACTTTTTAATCTTCGATTTGCTATTATATAATTTCTGGGATCCCTGTGTTTTCTCACACCACTTGTTAGAATTACCTAGTGTACCTCAATCCTGAGCTCACACATTTTTTGTCCTCCTTTCACAGGCAAATACAAGGCCAAATATCACTTCCTTCTGCCACTCTCATCTATTAATATTTGCTTAAATCATTATTTAATTAACAAGCTGTCCTATAAGGAAAATTGTTATGACCTGGGAGACTTTAATCTTGTCTCTAGTGGGTTTCCAAATGTGCTAAGATTCAATCTCTATGATGCCGCAGGGACTAGGTATGTCTCATGGGGTAGGGGTGAGGCAGGGGGAAGGAAAAAAGACAAAAAGAAAGACCAGGAGGAGGTGAAGGAGAAAGGAAGGAAGGAAGGGAGATGGGAGAAATGGAGAGAGGGGCAGGAGTGGGGTGGGGAAGGGAGGTAGAGAGAGAGATTGTGGGAAATGTATGCTGGGGAGGTTGAAGAAACTCTCTGCCTCTTGGGAGCCCTACTTCAACCAGTGATCCACTTTTTTAATATAAGAGTTTCAAGTAAAAGTTTACTTGAACAAAAGGTCCTAAAGGTAACATAAAATTTTACTTTGCAAAACCACTGTTACATATTATCCATTACTAGATAAATATCCAGGCAAATGACAGAGCTAGTTCTCTCAGGGTTAACCTCTTCTTTCAGTAAAGCCCTTCCCACCAATACTTTCTCCAAAAACAAACAAACAAAAGATGCCTAGCAAAGCATTATCTGTTAGCTCACTGTCACCTGTGATAATTTGAAGTTACAGGACAGACAGAGTTTCCATGACCACTTTCTTTAAGTCGTTCCAATAACTTTCGGTACTTCTCTCTTTCCTCTTTTTGAACACCCTAAATAAAAGAAAGCATGTTAGATAAGTACCAGCACATTAAATTTATAATTAAAAGGCCAAATGTAAACCATAGGTGTGTTTTATTTGCCAGCACTATGTTTTTAATATTTCTTTGAATTAATTACTAACTTTATACATTTTTTAAAAATAATCTAGCCTCCTTTGATCAACTGAATCCACAATCTATATGTAGGGCTATCCCATTTAGATGGGCCACTGCTCTCCAGCCCACTTTATTCATGTTATCTGCTAAATTCTGATGGCATCTAGGTTTTTGACAGAACTGGGTTGAACAGAATTAGGTTAACTACAAAAAAACTCAGCAGAAATCATCTGCTTGCATAACGAGAATATACAGTTTCCAAAATGAATTGGCCTCACCAACATCACCAGTAACCTCTATGGCTACATTTAATAGACACTTTTCCAGTCCTTATGTTACTTGATCTCTCTTCAGCATTTCACCCTGCTGACCTGCCTTGCTTTCCTAGACAATAAGCTCTTCTGATTCTTTTTTCTCTGTCTCCACTGGAGATTATTCCTTCTGCCTACATCATACTGATGGTTTGCCCGTATCTCTTCTTGCACTACATTCCTTCCCTGAATAATCTCATCAGCTCCCTTGATTTAAATAACACCAACAGGTTAAAGATTCAGAAATGTGTCTCCTCAAAATTTCCATCACATATATCCACGAGCTTCCAGGAGAGGTTTTCTTGTGGGTTTCACAGGGAGTTTAAACAATGTCCAAGACTGGAGTCATCATCTTCCCCATAAACATAGGGTTATCTTTGTAAGTGACACATAGTGATTCCCAAAACTGAAATCTGGGACTCAGACCCTTCTATCTACTTTAGATCACACTTAATCAACAGATAACGTCCTTGCTAATACTACCTACCAATATTTCTAGAGTATATCTTCTGCATATTCCCCTGTAGATACTGGCTCAGTCCCATTTCTGATTTCTCATCTAAGAGACTGAAATATTTAACACCTCATCTTAAAACCCCTTTCAGGGATATGGTCCATTACTCTCTGCCTCCTTATCAAATAGCAACTATTTATGTATAAGCTCGTAGAGGGCAGAAACCACATTTCATTTAATCTTGAATTGCTAGCACAGTACAACTAGCACAGTACCTGGGACCCCAATAAATATTTCTTTGATGAACTAAATTAAACAAGTGGCTCAGAAAACTGTTGGCAAGTGAAATAGCAGATGGTCCTCGGGAGTGCCAGGTACAGGAATAATTCTAAATTTTCCTGGAATAAAAGAAAACCTCAAAAGGAAAGTAAAAAGATTGACTCTTCATCATGCTGAGTGTTCTGAAAGGTGAAGGAAAAAGCAGAGATGCACACCATTTACTTCCCTTCCTTAGTCACAGTTACTAAAGTTTATAAAAAGAAACAAGTTATGACTGGACGCGGTGGCTCACGCCTGTAATCCCAGCACTCTGGGAGGCTGACGCTGGAGGATCGCTTGAGCCCACGAGTTTGAAACTAGCCTGGACAACATAGCGAGATCCCATCTCTATATATAAAAAAAAACTTGGTAAATTTTTTTAAAAAAGCAAGTTAGACTAATTCAGGTACCCAAAAAGAATCTAATCTTGGCCAGGCTCAGTGGCTCATGCCTGTAATCCCAGCACTTTGGGAGGCTGAGGTAGGTGGATCACCTGAGGTCGGGAGTTTGAGACCAGACTGGCCAACGTGGTGAAAACTCATCTCTACTAAAAATACAAAAAATTAGCCAGGCGTGGTGGCACATGCCTGTAATCCCAGCTACTTGGGAGGCTGAGGCAGGAGAATCACTTGAACCTGGCAGGTGGAGGCTGCAGTGAGCCAAGATCGCGCCATTGCACTCTAGCCTGGGCAACAAGAGCAAAACTCTGTCTCAAAAAAAAAAAAAAAAAAAAAAAAAAGAATCTAATCTTATCTCTTCCTAATATGACTCTTTCTTCTTCCTTATAATAAAAATAACCACATCTAAAAATTGACTAAATTATATGTATATAGAATATCTATAGAAGAATACATATAGGTATCAGAGGTTACTTGCTTAGAAGTAAACATGGTGGTGGAAGCCAGGTATGGAAGGGAGTCTGAGAAATTTAGTTACCGTACATACTTTAGTACCTTTTGAAATATGTAACATATGCTGGAACGTGGGAGACAGAGGTTGCAGTGAGCCAAGACGGCACCACTGCACTCCAGCATGGGTGACAAGAGTCTCACTCTGTCTCAAAAAAAAAAAAGGAAAAAAGAAATATATAACATAGTAGATATATTATTTGCTCCCAAAAATATTCATTAAAAATTCTTTTTAGTCTTTTAATTTTTATTTCTGAAAAAAGTTTCATTTTTAAATTTAGCTGTCTGACTCTGTGTCTGTGCCTTCAATACTTTCACAACGATTTTCTGCTCCTCGATAAGCAACATGCTTGATCCTGTCACAGACTCACTGAGCACACGTGGCCGCTATAGGCCTTGCTAATGTGATCTGGACAATCTCATAAGAACTTTAGGTCTCATAGCATGAACCCCTCAAAGTCTGCCTGGGCACATGCTGCATGCAGATTTTTGGTGCATCTGGGTTTAAGACAGCCTCATTTTGTTGGAGGCTGTATTGTAGGAAAACCTACAATGGTATGTCAAACGTTGAACCATTCTGAGTGTCTCTAGGCAGCATCCTTGGGAAGAGCTGTAAAATTTTTTTTAAAGAAATCAAGCTGAAAAGGCTTACCTCCTCCACAGTACAATGGGGACGCCTCAGACCCTTGCCACTCTCTTCAGAAATCATCTCTGTTACAGCCTGTTCCTGAGGTTTCCACATTAAAGAACTCTCTGGATTACCTTTGCTATGGCGACGGCCACCTGGTCTTCTATTACAGCCTTCTGAGTTCAAAGTAAAACTGAGCAACAGAAAAAAAAAGAAAAAAAGTATCACCAAGCTGCTTAAATTGCTGGAATCTAAGCTCCCAGACCATCCTGTGATTAAGTTGCTTTAGGTCAAGCTTACTCCTGGCAAGTCAGACAAGTACAATTATGCAAAAGTTAGATCTATCCCTAGAGCACAGGGCACCGCAGCATTCCACTATGGAATGTCTGTTTCTAAACTAGAGCTGCCACACAAAGAGAGTCTCTGCCTTCCTCTTCATGCCCATTTCCAACCCCAACTCTAGATTTAGCTCTCCTATTGCATATACCCCTTCTGATACTGCATTTTTCCTTTAGTCACCTGGAACCACTGAAATTCATTACTGGTATGATTATTTGTTTAATGTCTATATTCCACACTAAACTTTAAATTCCATGAAAAGAGATTACATCCTTTCACCACTGTTATCTTAGTACAGGGTCTAAGCCAAAAGGCCCTCAATAAATATCTGCTGAATGCTAAATTAATAAACACTAAAGGAACTGAAGCCTGGAATTCCCACCCAGTCACAGCTGCTGGTGACAAATCTGCCTTTCCTGCCATTACCAACAATGCAACAAACTGACATCATGCCCCTCCTTCCTTGGGTGATGCTTTTGAAATGAATATCACTTATGTGGTGTTTCAAAAAAAAAAAAAAAGGCATAATCTGAAACAAATCATCAGTAAATATCAGACAAAATTACAATATTAATGCCAATGAACACAAAGAAAGGGCAAGGAGTTGTTGCAGAATAAAGTAGATCAAAGAGACATGAAAACTATGTGCAATACACAATCCTGCACTGGATCCTGTATTAGGAAAAAGAAAAAGCTATAAGAGAAAAATTTAAATAAGACCTGTAGATTACATAATAGTATTATATCAGTGTTAATTTCCTGATGTTGGTAATCCATGATCATGTAAGTGAATGCCCTTATTCTTTTTTTTTTCGACGAAGTTTCACTCTTGTCCTCCAGGCAGGAGTGCAATGGCACGATCTCGGCTCACTGCAACCTCCACCTCCCAGGTTCAAGCAATTCTCCTGCCTCAGCCTCCCGTGTAGCTGGGGTTACAGGCGCCTGCCACCACGCCCGGCTAATTTTTTGTATTTTAAGTAGAGATGGGGTTTCACCATGTTGGCCAGGCTGGTCTCAAACTCCTGACCTCAGGTGATCCACGCGCTTCAGCCTCCCAAAGTGCTGGGATACAGGCGTGAGCCACCACGCCCAGTCTTGAATGCCCTTATTCTTAAGAAATAAACAGATTCGGCCAGGCGCGGTGGCTCACGCCTGTAATCCCAGTACTTTGGGAGGCTGAGGCGGGTGGATCACGAGGTCAGGAGTTCAAGACCAGCCTGGCCAACATGGTGGAACCCCAACTCTACCAAAAATACAAAAATTAGCTGGGCGTGGTGGTGCATGCCTGTAGTCCCAGCTACTCGAGAGACTGAGGCAGGAGAATTGCTCGAACCCAGGAGGCGGAGGTTGCAGGGAGCCGAGATTGCGGCACTGCACTCCAGCCTGGGAGACAGAGCAAGGCTCCATCTCAAAAAAAAAAGAAAAGAAAAAAAATAAACAGACTCAAGTATTTAGGATTAAAGGGACATGAATCAAAGACTCTTAAATGGTTCAAAACAATATGTATATATGAGAGAATGAGAAAGCAAATGTAACAGAATGACAACTGGTGAATCTAGGTCAGGTTATTTGCCTAATAGAGCTTCAAAATATATGGAGACAAAAAAACATGGAGCAAAGACTAGCAAAGCTGAAGGAGAAATAGAGAAATCCACAATTGTGGTAGAAAACTCAATTCCTGACTCATCAATCAATAAAGAAGTTGACAGAAAAATCACTAACACCTGTAAAATATTATCAACCAACCTGACCTGACATTTAGGTCATTCTACCCAACAACAGCAGAATATGCATTCTTTTCAAGTGTACATGGAACATCATCCAACTGGACCATACTCTAGGCCAGAAAACAAACATTAAAAAACTTAAAAGAAACGAAATCATACAAAGCATATTCTCTAACCATAATAGAATTAAACTAGAAATCAATAACAGATATCTGCAAAGTCCCAAATATTTGGAAATTAAACAACATATTTCTATCCTTCTAAATCACAGGTCAAAGAGGAAGTAAAATAGAAATTAGAAAATATTTATTTACTTATTTATTTATTTATTTTTTTGAGACGGTGTCTCACTGTGTCGCCCAGGCTGGAGCGCAGTGGCCCAATCTCAGCTCATTACAACCTCCGCCTTCCGGGTTGAAGCGATTCTCCTCCCTCAGCCTCTCAAGTAGCTGGGATTACAGGTGTGTGCCACCATGGCCAGCTAATTTTTGTATTTTAGTAGAGATGGGGTTTCACCATGTTGGCCAGGCTGGTCTCAAACTCCTGGCCTCAAGTGATCTGCCCACCTCAGCCTCCCAAAGTGCTGGGATTACAGGTGTGAGCCACCACACCCAGCCTAGAAAATATTTTAAATTGAATGAAAATGAAAACCAACATTTCAAAATGTGGACAATGCACCTAAGCAGTGCTTACAGGGAAACAGCATTAAATGCTTAGAAAATAAGTTCACCCCTGACTAACTGTGTATCTCCTAAGAACAAGGGCATCTCTTATATAACCACAATATAATCACCAAATTCAGGAACTTTTGCAATAGTACAATGTAATATGTAGCCCGTATTCAAATATCTCTGAAGCTATTAAAAAATAACCTTCATAGCAATTTTGTCCCATCTAAAATCTAATCCAGGATCTCACATTGCATGCATTTAGTTACCAGGTATCTTTCATCTCCTTCAGTCTGAAACAATTTTTCAGCTTTTCTTTATCTTTTTAATGAATACAGGCCTATGGTTTTGTAGAATGGACCTTAATTTCAGTTTAACCAGCTTTCTCATGATTAGAGTCTATCGTTTTTGCAGGAATGCTGCATTTAGTTATGATGTCTTTCTCAGTGCAATACATTTGAATGCCATGATGTCAGTTTGTCCAACTGCTGGCAACTTCACTTTGATCTTTTGGTTAAGGTGGTGTCAGTCGTGCTTCTCCACTTTATTTTTCCTTTTGTAAGTAATAAGTAATGTGGGCTGGGCGTGGTGGCTCACGCCTGTAATTCCAGCACTTTGGGAGGCCGAGGCGGTTGGATCACCTGAGGTCAGGAGTTCGAGACCAGCCTGGCCAACATAGTGAAACCCCATCTCTACCAAAAATACAAAATTAGCTGGGCGTGGTGGCATGTCCCTGTAGTCCCTGCTACTCAGGAGGCTAAGGCAGGAGAATCGCTTGAACCCAGGAGGCAGAGGTTGCAGTGAGCCGAGATCATGCCACTGAACTCCAGCCTGGGTGACAGAGCAAGACTCCATCCCAAAAAAAAAAAAAAAAAAAGTAACGTGTAAGGAGATATTTTGAGTTTATGTAAATACCAGTGCCTCATCAAACTTTTTTTTTTTTTTTTTTTTTTTTTAAGACAGAGTCTCACTCTGTCACCCAGGCTGGAGTGCAGTGGTGTAATCTTAGCTCACTGCACCCTCTGCTTCCGGGTTCAAGCAATTCTACTGCCTCAGCCTCCCAAGTAGCAGGGACTACAGGTGTGTGCCACCACACCTAGCTAATTTTTCTATTTTTAGTAGAAACGGGATTTCTCGCCATGTTGGCCAGGCTGCAAACTTGTATTTACTAGTTTTGGCTCAATTGATGATTCCTGCCCATATCAGTTATTACCATGACAGTTACAAAATGGTGATTTTCTAATTTTATCATTCCTTCCACACTTACTAGTTGGCATTCTACTATAAAGATCTTTCCCTCCTCGACACTATATATTTATTTATTAGCATCTGAGTCCCTGTCTTTATTCATTTTGATGTTTAAATTATCCCATCTGGCCAGTGAAAGCCCCTTTGAAATCTCCTCCTCTGTCAGGGTGGCATGCCCAGTTTTTGAACACTCCTTTACTTTCTGGCACAAGATGTTCAGACTCACTTTATACTTTCTTTCCTAGCCCTACAATCAGCCATTTATTCAATTCCAGAGGGCGCTAGTTTTTAGTTTCTCATTCCTAAATATAAGTGGATAGCCAAGGAGTACCAAGTACTTGAATAAAGACTCTAACTTCAAAGATCAGACCAAAATAAACAAACATGGAGGGAGACGGCATAAACCAGAAGGGAGCACTCAAAACATATTTTAAAATAATAAACAGCTTTAGAGAGATAAGGAAAGATTTTGCATCCTTATAAGAACAAGATGCTTAGAGAAAGAAAAAAAACACTGGGAATAGGCAGGGGGAGAACTTTTCTAACTTAAAAACTGACAGTCAAAAAAGAATTAGTAAAAAATGTTTTTAAAAAGAGCAAGAAGGCCGCACGCAGTGGCTCACGCCTGTAATCCCAGCACTTTGAGAGGCTGAGGTGGGTGGATTACCTGAGGTCAGGAGTTTGAGACTGGCCTGGCCAACATGGTGAAACCTTGTGTCTACTAAAAATGCAAAAAATAGCTGGGCATGGTGGCACGCCCCTGTAAGCCCAGCTACTCAAGAGGCTGAGGTGGGAAAATTGCTTGAACCCAGGAGGCGGAGGCTGCAGTGAGCCAAGACTGTGCCACCAAACTGCCTGGGTGACAGAGCAAGACCCCATCTCAAAAAAAAAAAAAAAAAAAGCAAGAACAACAAAAGGAGAGAATGTATGGGAAAATTAGATCAATCTAGAAGGTCTAATGTCCAAGCAATAAAAATTCTACAAAGGAAAGTAAGAAAACTATTAATAATAACATTTTACAACTGATGGATATGACCAGTGTATGAAAATTAACCAGGCCACGTACACTTATAATTTCAGCACTTTTCTGTATGCATAATTATATTTTTAAGTTGAGAATAAAGTAAGTGGCAATTCTTTCTAAAACAATTTTCAAAATCAGATGCTATGGGCATATAATACAGTAGAAAATGTAAGGCCAGGTGCGGTGGCTCATGCCTGTAATCCCAGCACTTTGGGAGGCCAAGGTGGGTGGATTACCTGAGGTCAGGAGTTCGAGACCAGCCTGGCCAACATAGCGAAACCCCATATCTACTAAAAATACAAAAATTAGCCGGGCATGGTGTGGGGGTGCCTGTAATCCCAGCTACTCAGGAGGCTGAGGCAGGAGAATTGCTTGAACCTGGAAGGCAGAGGTCACAGTGAGCCAAGATCGCACCAATGCACTCCAGCCTGGGAAACAGAGCAAAACTCCATCGCAAAAAAAAAAAAAAAAAAAAGACAAGAAAAGAAAATATAACACACCCCTAAGTTCAAGTCTCTCACTGGCTGCATGACATTCAGCAAGTTACTAACCTCAGAGCGCTTAGCAGGACTACATAATACAACAAAAGTGAGACTGCCTAGCAAGAGTGAGCACCTAATAAATGCTAAGTTTCCATTTACAGAAAGAATTTAACACTTACCCAAAGGAAGGCAGGACTCTGCGTGGCTGATCTCGGGTAACTGTCACTCTGATCTTTGGATAGTCACTTATTCCATTAGGAGATTTATTACCTATTTAAAAAATGCATTTGTAATTGTAAAATGAAAAATCACTTGCAAACAGTCTGCATAAGGAAAGAAAAAAAATCTGTGAGCAACCTACATCATAGAGCTAAATCAACATCTTGTTTTTCAATTTCTATTAATAGCACAGGAGTCTAGCACAAATTTTGTAGACGTTAAAGGAAAGCAATAGGGCTTAGTTTGTTTTTGATCTCAGATAGGTAATAACAGAATTCACTGGCAGGCTTTGCTTGTTTTGCTTGATGGGACTGTTAAGAGGCCATGAAGAACTCAAAGATTATAACTCTCTGTAATCTAATCAATTGGAGTAAATTATTCAAATTCAAACCAGCCGTATGTTTGGCCGGTAACATACCTAAAATATGAAAAATTCTGAATTCCTAAACACATCTGGCTCCCAGGGGTTGCAGATAACCGATTATGGACCTCTTTACACAAGAAACCTGCCCTAGGAATACCTGGGCTTCTCTGACTAGACTACACAAAACTCACAGAAACACAGTAGTGCCAGCATCTCAGGCACAAATCTACCATCCTTCATATGTGTCAATCTTAACGGTAAACAATTCTAAACAAATATTCCAAACAGATGATGAAATTCAATTTATATTAACTTTTTAAATGAAATAAAAGGCTTCAAAGTAATATCATCTTTGGGCTGGGCGCAGTGGCTCACGCCTGTAATCCCAGCACTTTGGGAGGCCGAGGTGGGCGGATCACCTGAGGTCGGGAGTTCAAGACCAGCCTGACCAACACGGAGAAACCCAGTCTCTACTAAAAATACAAAATTAGCCAGGGTGGTGGCGCATGCCTGTAATCCCAGCTCCTCGGGAGGCTGAGGCAGGAGAATCACTTGAACCCAGGAGCTGGAGCCGAGATCGCCCTATTGCACTCCAGCCTGGGCAACAAGGGCGAAACTCCATCTCAAAAAAAAAAAAAAAAAGAAAGAAAGAAATATCAAGTTTTTAGGAACTAGCTTCTCAGACACAGGGGTATGTATTTATTCTCCTTTGCTCTTCTCTACTCCTAGAGGTACTTTTTAAAACAGTTTGAAAAGCACAACTCTAAGGCTTTTATCATTTCCTTATCTTCTTCCACTTTTGAATTTTAAACCTACAACTTCTCTAAGCTCATTTTCCTTAACTTCCTTCCCCCCCAACTTTACAAGCCTTCCTGAGTGGCAGACATCACAACTATTTCGCAGGATTCTGGCTTCTTCCTACTTTTCCCCACCATAGCATTTTGTATAGTGCATATATATAATAATGACAATTCCACTTCAGGATCTAAGGATGACATGGAAGTCCCTAGTCCATAAAACTGTGATAACTGGGAACCTAAGGCTGCTCCCCAACTAGATGATGAACTCCTAAAGGACATGAATAAGGTTTTATTATTTTGTTATTCTTGATAACTTAAGCACAGCACCCGGCACAGAGTAAGTTCTCAGGAAATGTTTTTGCTTTTTTGTTTTTTTTTAAATGAATGAACCTTTTTAATATGACCTTGATCTAAGTCACATTGAGGACACTGATAATACAAACAAAAAACAACAGTAAATTCAAAGACAACAATTCTGAAGAAAAGCTATTTGCTTTTTAGAACGGTAGAAAGAATGTCTTTCTCATCCCAATTCAAATCAGTGTTTTCCTTTCATATTTTCAAAATGTAGGAAAAAAATGGGCAGAAGGAGGTAGCGGGAAACAGAAATATTTTTGACCACCTCACCCAGTTTCAGCATGTTGTTCCAGGATCCAGAACCTGTCAGTTCACAAGATGAAGAGTTCGAAAATACCTTAAAATCAAACAGAATCACTTCTGTAGCATCTAAATTTTGTCACCTAAATAACTTTCTATTATGAAAAGATAACTTTTTCTTAGGTAGCTCACAGAAGAGATACCATCAATAAGACCTAAGGTTTAACTTGTCAAGACTCACAAAATGATGTAGAAATAACAATTCTAGTTTCTTTGTACATCCTTAAATAAGAAAGCATATGTAATAATATTTAGCTCTTTGTAAACATGTTTTAAATGTTCATTTTATTAACCTTTAATTTCTTGGCCTTTATAGCACAGCTAATAAAGATACAGATATTTCTGGAAAAAAGTAATTATACACATTAACTCTCGAAGAGAGAATTTTCTAAAATATAATGATTAAGTATAAAGATCAGTATTCCTAATGGAGTCTCATCCCCACTGACCTCTCCTGAAGGGGCCACATTCCGTGTTCCATTACAAGCAGAAGTTACCATGGGCTTTGTGGTCAGCTGGAATGGGAATCCAAATAAGCTGGCAGCATTGTAGAGACTGTTTTTCACTTGGTGAATAAAGCAATCTAGAAAGTGTCAACAAACTGTAAATATAAAGTAATAAACTTCCAGCTAAAAAATAAAATGATATCTTGGAAAGAGCCTCTCTCAATTTTTATCAAAAGTTCTATTTGCTGGGTGTGGTGGCTCACACCTGTAATCCCAACACTTTGGGAGGCTGAGGTGGGAGGATTGCTTGAGCCCAGGAGCTCGAGACCAGCTTGGGCCACCATGGAGAAACCCCATTTGTACAAAAAATTAGCTGCGGATGGTATCACACGCCTGTAGTCCCAGCTACCTGGGAGGCTGAGGTGGGAGGATCACCTGAGCCCAGAAGATTGAGGCTACAGTGAGCTGTGATTGTGCTACTGCACTCCAGCCTGGGCAACAGAGTGAGACTCTGTCTCTGAAAAACAAAAATTTAAAAAAGTCCTATTTTCAACCATTGAAATAAAAAGGTATTTATCAATATAATCCTTTCCTAGGTCTGGTGTGGTGGCTCACGCCTGTAATCCCAGCACTTTGGGAGGCCAAGGTGGGCAGATCACCTGAGGTCAGGAGTTGGAGACCAGCCTGACTAACATGGAGAAACCCCATCTCTACTAAAATACAAAGAATTAGCTGGGCGTGGTGGCGCATCCCTATAATCCCACCTATTCAGGAGGCTGAGGCAGGAGAATCGCTTGAACCCAGGAGGCAGAGGTTGTGGTGAGCCAAGATCGCGCCATTACACTCCAGCCTGGGCAACAAGGGCAAAACTCCATCTCAAAAAAAAAAAACTGGGCCAGACTTGTGGCTCTTGACTGTAATCCCAGCACTTTGGTGGGAGGCCGAGGTGGGTGGATCACTTGAGGTCAGGAGATCGAGAACATCCTGGCCAACACAGTGAAACCCCGTCCCTACTGAAAATACAAAAAATTAGCTGGGCATGGTGGTGCACGACTATAGTCCCAGCTACTCAGGAGGCTGATGCAGGAGAATCGCTGGAACCTGGGAGGCGGAGGTTGCAGTGAGCCAAGATCACGCCACTCCACTCCAGCCGGGGCGACAGAGTGAGACTCCATCTCAAAATAAATAAATAAATAAACAAATAAATAATATTTTTCTAGCTGAATAACTGGAATACCAGTATTGTAATTGTGTTTTTTAAATAAAACATCTGAATATAAAAACATAAAACCATCACTTTAGCAAATCCATACTGATTCACACACACACACACACTCAAAATGTTCTGAAATGACAACTTTTAAGCAGAGTTCTCCAGGATATATAAAATAAATTTTTGCTGGGCGTGGTTGCTCACGCCTGTAATCCCAACGCTTTGGGAGGCCGAGGCAGGCAGATCACGAGGTCAGGAGTTCAAGACCAGCCTGGCAAACATGGTGAAATCCCGTCTCTAAAAAAAATACAAAAATTAGCTGGGCTCAGTGGTGTGCGCCTTTAGTCCCAGCTACTTGGCAGGCTGAGGCAGGAGAATTGCTTGAACCTGGAAAGCAGAGGTTGCAGTGAGCTGAGATCGTGCCATTGCACTCCAGCCTGGATGACAGAATGAGACTCCGTCTCACAAAAAATAAACAAATAAATAAATAAATAAACTTTTACCACAGAGGTGAGGGCATGATTAAACAACAAGGAGCATATAGCCACCGAGTACGGCAGAATTCTACAGGAAGCACTGTCATAGTCTCACTAGCTTGTCCTTACTTCCCAGGCAGGTAACAATATACTGTAGTTGCCCTAAACAACTATTTACTAAGCCCGTATTATAGCTTGGCTAAGTAAAGTATAAAATATGCAGCTTTTTTTTTTTTTTTGAGACAGGGTCTTACTCTGTCACCCAGACTGGAGTGCAGTGGCATGATCACTACTCACTGCAGCCTCAACCTCCCAGGCTCAAGTGATCCTCCTACCTCAGTCTCCTGAGTAGCTGGGATCACAGGCATGCACCACCATGTCTGGCTAATTTTTTTGATTTTTTGGTAGAGGCAGGTCTCACTATGTTGCCCAGGCTGGTCTGGAACTCCTGGGCTCAAGTGATCCTTCTGCCTCAGCCTCCCAAAGTGCTGAGATTACAGGTGTATGCCACTGCACCTGGCCTAAAATATGCAGCTTTTAAACATCTAAGATAGAACAAGACTATCCCTCTAGTGGAGATGTGTTAGAAGATCTTAGGCTGGGCACGGTGGCTCAAGCCTGTAATCCCAGCACTTTGGGAGGCAAAGGCGGGCAGATCACTTGATGTCAGGAGTTCAAGACCAGCCTGACCATCATGGCGAAACCGTCTCTACTAAAAATACAAAAATTAGCTGGGCGTCATGGCACACACCTATAATCCCAGCTACTCTGGAGGCTGAGGCAGCAGAATCGTTTGAATCCAGGAAGCGGAGGTTGCAGTGAACCAAGATGGCACCACTGTACTCCAGTCTGGGCAACAGCGTGAGACTCCATCTCAAAATAAATAAATAAATTAGCTGGGCCTGGTGGCACATGCCTGTAATTCCAGCTACTTGGGAGGCTAAAGCAGAAGAATCGTTGGAACCCGGGAGGTAGAGGTTGCAGTGAGGTGAGATCACGGCACTGCACTCCAGTCTGGGTGACAGAGGGAGATCCTGTCTCAAAAAAAAAAAAAAAAAAAAATCTCAGGCTCACCCTTCCTTGCCACCAAAAATAAAAGGAAAGGGTAGGTTTCAGTGCTTTCCTCACTTCCTCCTTTTATTACACTACCTCTTTCTCACTTTCTATATATCTGATGTAAGCTTTCTACAATATCCTATGTCCTAATTAAGGGTATTTGAAGACGCTAGTTTGAGAAAAACAGAACATCACATTAGCCATTCTGCTTTAGAGAAAGATAGACTGCAATGGTAGCTTTTAAGCAGTGCTCCAGAACATGTAAACTACTTTCCAGAAACATAGGGGAATAACAAACAAAAGGGAAAAAGTAATGGCCAGGTAAAGCACAATCCAATTTGAGAAATTTGCTAATAGTTATAAGTACCAAACTATGCAAATGAGTTGTTTTTCATTTTAGGAATCAGAGAATTCCAGGTTATCCCCTTCTAATAGTGCTGAGGGATAGTACACACTCTGCTGCACTTTCTAAGGAGGAGAAGAAGAGCTTTAGCGATTGATGCTTAACCCACAGTCTGTCATCCAGACTCTAGAGGACAAGAAGCCTCTTGGTAACATAGCAAATTGTGGCTACTAAACAATATCATAATATTTATTTTCCTACGAATGTTATCAAAATCTCGGTATGCCCCTGAGATTATGTCAAAAGATCTCACTGATTTTTTTAAAAAACAGAAGGCCTGCCTCATCTGTAAAATGGGGAAAAGATCACCTTACTTCCCTGAAACTAGACTACATAGATCTCTTAAAATCTCTTTCACCTTTAAGGTCATGAGCCTGAGCCAGGTACGGTGGCTCACACCTGTAATCCCAGCACTTTGGGAGGCCAAGGTGGGTGGATCACTTGAGGTCAGGAGTTCAAGACCAGCCTGGCCAACACGGTGAAACCCTGTCTCTACTAAAATACAAAAATTAGCTGCACTTTGGGAGGCCAAGGAGGGTGGATCACTTGAGGTCAGGAGTTCGAGACCAGCCTGGCCAATATGGTGAAACTCCGTCTCTACTAAAATATAAAAATTAGCTGGGCATGGTGGTGCACACCTGTAATCCCAGCTACTCAGGAGACTGAGGCAGGAGAATCGCTTGAACCTGGGAGGTGGAGGTTGCAGTGAACCGAGATTGTGCCACTGCACTCCAGCCTGGGTGACACAGCGAGACTCTGTCCCAAAAAAAAAAAAAAAAAGATCATGAGCCTGAAATTCTGAGGTCTTCTTTCTTTTCTTTTACCCTTGCTTTGCTTTTTTTTCTCTCAAAAGCAACCAATGGAGTTGTACTGTCCAACACAGTAGCTAGTAGCCAGATATGGTTACCTAACTTAAAGTTTTATTAGAATCAAATAAAGTTTAAAATTCAGTTCCTCAGTTGAACTAGCCACATTTCGAGTGCTCAACAGTTATCACTGCAGGAAGTTCTCTTGGGCAGCACTTTACAGGCCTTTACAAACTCTGCTACCCACCGCTTACCCTTTGGTTTAGATTCCCTTCTACAATTTGCCATTCAGAAAATCATACTACATATTTAATGGGAATGATGCAATAAGTGATCCTTAACATAGAATCCATAAAACAGATGATTGTCCTAAATAATTAAGTCAGAAACCTTCTGTAATACCAACGTTTGTGTGTGTTTTTTTTTTTTAACCACATCCAAGTACAAGCTATTTATATTTTTCTTTAAAACTGACTTCCTTTTTTGGCTTAAAAAAAAAAGATAATTTTAAATTACTACTGTATATGTAAAGCCAACATCACCTGCCTTATAAAGAAATGAAAACACAGCCGGGTGAGGTGGCTCACGCCTGTAATACCAACACTTTGGGAAGCCGAGGCGGGCGATCACTTGAGGTCAGGAATTCGAGACCAGTCTGGCCAACATGGTGAAACCCTGTCTCTATTAAAAACACAAAAATTAGCCGGGCATAGTGGTGGGCGCCTGTAATCCCAGCTACTCGGGAGGCTGAGGCAGGAGAATCACTTGAACCTGGGAGGTGGAGGTTGCAACAAGCCAAGATCGCACCATTGCACTGCAGCTTGGGCAACGAGAAAGAAACTCCGTCTCAAAAAAAAAAAAAAAAAGAAATGAAAACACAATAATACTAAGTTCTAGTTGGGCCTGTTAAAAAATGGGAGATTAGCATATATTAGACAAGTATTGAAGATATACTAGCATTAAATCAAGATTTTCTGTGTGAAATAAACAGGATGTGAGCACCTCAAATAAA
The DNA here is from genome assembly GCF_000001405.40 of Homo sapiens. NCBI lineage: Eukaryota > Metazoa > Chordata > Mammalia > Primates > Hominidae > Homo > Homo sapiens. The sequence goes on along the minus strand of NC_000003.12, from coordinate 185,593,582 downwards.
TAACTGAAAAGGATACACCTTTCTTAGTACATAATCATCATTCAAATGTTACATAATGCTGTGAATGTTGAATCCCCTAAAATCATTTCCTAAATTGGTATCTATCCTGTGCTTTGGGAAATACTGTTCTAATGAATTTAGTATAAATTCCTGTCATTTGAAAATCCTTGGCCGGGGATGGTGGTTCACGCCTGTAATCCCAACATTTTGGAAAGCCAAGGTGAGAGGATCACTTAATTAAGCCCAGGAGTTCGAGATCAGCCTGAGCAATATAGCAAGACCCTGTCTCTATTAAAAAACTAAACAAAACAAAACAGAACGATAATTTGATCTACCTGTCTTCAGCCATTTTTTTTCCCTGAGCTCTATTCACTATTTCTTGAATTTACACAACTTTCCCATACTATTCCCTCTGCCTAGAATATTTTTCCTTCCTATTGCTCTCCTTTGATATCCTATCCATCCTTCAAGACCTGGGCTAACATACTAACTCATACTAACTCCCGCAAACATTTACTGAGACTCGATGAGCTGAAAATTGGATAGGATTTTGTTACTATCTTTGTTTTTTTATTTTTTATATTTTCATTGACATTAGCATTATTATGTGATTGTCTTATACCCCCTACCATATTATCATATAAGGTCCTTAAAAATGGAGACCCAGGCCGGGCACGGTGGCTCACGCCTGTAATTCCAGCACTTTGGGAGGCCAAGGCAGGTGGATCACTTGAGGTCAGGAGCTTGAGACCAGCCTGGCCAACATGGCGAAACCCTGTCTCTACTAAAAATACAAAAATTAGCCGGGTGTGGTGGTGGGCACCTGTAGTCCCAGCTACTTGGGAAGCTGAGGCAGGGGAATCACTTGAACCTGGGAGGCGGAGGTTGCAGTGGGCCGAGAATGTGCCATTGCACTCCAGCCTGAGCAACAGAGCAAGACTCCATCTCAAAAAAAAAAAAAAAGGAGACCCTGTCTTACTAATTTTTGTATTTTCTGTAAAACCTAACACATTGGTTAGCACTGAGACATGCTCAATAAGTACTCACTGAATTTAAACGAAATATTAACACAAATATGTCCACACTCAATTACCACATCTGGAGGTAGACCCAAATTTATAATCATTTTTGAGAAAGAGGAATATATTATTATAGCATTTTACTATGCCTTTTTCCTTTAATCTACTTTTATTTTCTTTATCCATTCAGATATACTGAAGTAAAAGACTTGGCTGGGCACAGTGGCTCATATCCATAATCCCGGCACTTTGGAAGGGCAGGAGTTCCAAGATCAGCCTGGGCAACATATGGAGACTCAGTATCCACATACAAAATAATTTGCCAGGTGTGGTGGTATGGGCCTATAGTCCCAGCTACTCAGGAGACTGAGGCAGGAGGATTGTGTGAGCCCAGGAGTTTGAGACTGCAGTGAGCTACGATCGTGCCACTGCACTGAAGCCTGGGCAACACAGTGATACCCTTGCCTCTTACAAAATTAAAAAAAAAAATTGTTGATGACAAGATCAAGACAGAGCAAGATCCTGTCTCAAAAAAAAAAAAAAAAAAAAAAAGAAATATTACCGGTTCTTAAAGACAGGAGTATTCTTTCAAAATGCCACTGCTGCCTATTTTCAGCCTGGACAATGTGGCAAGACCCTGTTTCTACAAAAAAAATACAAAAATCAGCTAGGTGTGATAACGTGCCTGTAGGCCCAACCAACTACTTGGGAGGCTGAGATGGAAGGATCACCTGGGCCCAGGGAGGTGGAGGCTGCAGTGAGCCATGATTATGCCACTGCATCCCAGCCTGGGTGACAGAATGAGACCCTGTCTCGAAAAAAAAAAATAGAAAAGATGGGTTCCCTCAGCCATCTGAACTAGAGTCACCTCAGTTTGAAACATTTACAACATTTCCTCCTTAAAAATAAGTAGGGCCAGGCGCGGGGGCTCACGCCTGTAATCCCAGCACTTTGGGAGGCTGAGGCAGGTGGATCACGAAGTCAGGAGACTGAGACTATCCTGGCTAACATGGTGAAACCCCGTCTCTACTAAAAATACAAAAAATTAGCCGGGCATGATGGCGGGCGCCTGTAGTCCCAGCTACTCAGGAGGCTGAGGCAGGAGAATGGTGTGAACCCGGGAGGTGGAGGTTGCAGTGAGTCGAGATTGCACCACTACACTCCAGCCTGGGTGACAGAGCGAGACTCCATCTCAAAAAATAAATAAATAAGAAGTATCTTTTCTTTGTAGAATGATTTAGAATTTTAAAATGCACAGTCTACACCTAGGCTTATTTACCTGCAAGGATTAGACAAGTCCCTGGTAACAGTAGTTACCTCTAGAAAAGATAAGAAAGGGATAGGAAAGAGACTTTCTTGGGTTGGGTGCGGTGGCTCACGCCTGTAACCCCAGCACTTTGGGAGGCCGAGGCGGGCAGATCACGAGGTCAGGAGATGGAGACCATCCTGGCTAACACGGTGAAACCCCATCTCTACTAAAAATACAAAAAAACTAGCCAGGTGTGGTGGTGGGTGCCTGTAATCCCAGCTACTCGGGAGGCTGAGGCAGGAGAATGGCGTGAACCTGGGAGGCAGAGCTTGCAGTGAGCCGAGATTGCGCCACTGCACTCCAGCCTGCGACAGAGCAAGACTCTGTCTCAAAAAAAAAAAAAAAAAAAAAAAGGAGACTTTCTTTTTTTTTTTTTTTTTTTTTTTTGAGATGGAGTGTCGCTCTGTCGCCCAGGCTGGAGTGCAGAGTGCAGTAGCAGATTCTTGGCTCACTGCAACCTCCGCCTCCCAGGTTCACGCGATTCTCGTGCCTCAGCCTCCCGAGTAGCTGTGACTATAGGCGTGCACCACTTGGCTAATTTTTTAATGTTTAGTAGAGATGGGGTTTCACCATGTTGGCCAGGCTGGTCTCAAACTCCTGACCTCAAGTGATCCTCCCACCTCAGCCTCTGAAGTGCTGGAATTAAAGGTTTGAGCCACCACGTCGGGCCAGGAAAGAGACTTAAGTTTTTTTGTTTTTTTTTTTCCTGACACAGTCCTGCTCTGTCGCCCCAGGCTGAAGTGCAATGGCACCATCTTGGCTCACAGCAACCTCCACCTCCCAGGTTCAAGCGATTCTCCTGCCTCAGCCTCCCGAGTAGCTGGGATTACAAGCTCCTGCCACCACAGCAAGCTAATTTTTGTATTTTTAGTAGAGACAGGGTTTTGCCATGTTGGCCAGGCTGGTCTCAAACTCCTGACCTCAGGTGATCCGCCTGCCTTGGCCTCCCAAAGTGCTAGGATTACAGCCACTGCGCCCGGCCAAGACTTACTTTTTACCAGATACTTTTTACCTTTTGAATTTTGTTCCATGCATATATTTTTCCTATTTAAAAACTAAAAATTTTTAAAATTTATATTCAGTACCTAATCTTGGTCTTTTGGCTGGTATTTCATCAGTGTCCACTGTAGAAAACAGAGTGCTGAAAAAGAGAAAGAAAAAAATATATATATATAGATTTACACACACATTCATTTCTGTAAGTAAACTTACTATTCATATAACACATCCCCCTTCTATCACTTTGTCATAAAATGAGATCCAACTGATGTTTTAAAAGAGAATGCTGGTGGGACACAGTGGCTCGTGCCTGTAATCCCAGCACTTTGGGAGGCCAAGGGGGAGGATCGCTTGAGCCTTGGAGTTTGACATCAGCCTGGGCAACAAAGTAAGACCTCATCTCTACGATAAAAAAATAAATAAAAAATTAGCCAGCCTTGGTGGTAAGTGAGTGTGGTCCCAGCTACACTAAGGCAGGAGGATCACTTGAGCCCAGGAAGTAAGGCTGCAGTGAGCCCAGGTCATGCCACTGCACTCCAGCCTAATCAAAAGAGTGAGACCTTGTTTTAAAAAGAAATAAAACTAAAAATAAAAGCAAAACAAAAGAGAGAATGCTATTCTATAGTAGGCTTTTCACATGCGAAGACTTACTGCTACAGTTTCAACTATTTGAGAGAGAAACAAACTTCTTACCAAATAATAATTTGCCATCTGGTTAAAGTACAAACTTAAAACTGGCCAAAGTCACTTAGCTAGTAAATGAACCCAGGTAAGAGTTTAGGACAGTATTTTCTCTTTCGCTCCAGAAATGATTTAAAAACAACAAACAAGCAATTTCCTTTTGAAAATGATCCCCAAAGAAAGCCATCTTTTACTTTAGGTGACAGTATTAATATGAACAGCCTTAAAAGACAATTCTTTTTTACTGTTTTTTCTTTTGTGTGTGTGTAAGGGAGTTAAAAAAAACTGTTCTACAACTTAAAAAAGACAAATCTTAATCAAGTGTTATATTTAACTTCATTTTTATCACGCAAACTACATTATGATGGTAATAAAGAACTTTGGAATTGAGGAAAGTTTCAGGACCCAGATGTCAAGAATGCTAAAGGGTCATAGTATATTACTCATCATCTCTCTGAACCCTTATGATCAATTATATTCACACATGCAAAAAAAAAAAATGAATAGAATGAGATCCCAGGATTCCATTCAGCTCATAACTTTATACATTCCAACAAGCCCTGCCGGGCTTCATTTTGACTGAAAATTGGTTTACACTGAGAAGTGTTGTTTTGGATTAAGGATGTGAACACCTAAAGTATAGTAAAGATCAAGGTTTTGATCGCCAAACCATGTTCCACTGACTAGCAGGGATTCACATCAAGGAGAGGACAAGGGAGAGGAAATTAGCTTTCCCTTATTCCATAAATAGGGACCAAGTGCTTATCATGCACCAGACTCTGCAAAAGGCCCCAGAGTAGGACAGACAAATACTACCCTTATATACATTAAGCATCAGTTTAGGCACTTTACACCACGTTCTCAAATGATCCTTATATCAACCCAACGGAAAGATAGGAGAGAAAAATAAGGCAAAACCATGTATCTCTGGAACACACGATGCAATTTAGCCAACAACCAATCTCATCAATAACCTGCATTCTCAGACTAATGTATTAGACATCTTGTTCTCTCAAGCTCCCACAAATGAACACTTCTTCCACTTTTCTTGATATTGAGGCTTAATTTAAAAAATGAAATTAACGGCCGGGCCCGGTGGCTCACGTCTGTAGTCCCAGCATTTTGGGAGGCCGAGGCGGGTGGATCACGAGGTCAGGAGATCCAGACCATCCTGGCTAACACGGTGAAACCCCGTCTCTACTAAAAAATACAAAAAATTAGTCGGGCGAGGGCCGGGCGCGGTGGCTCACGCCTGTAATCCCAGCACTCTGGGAGACCGAGACGGGCGGATCCTGAGGTCAGGAGATCGAGACCACGGTGAAACCCCGTCTCTACTAAAAATACAAAAAATTAGCTGGGCGTGGTGGCGGGCGCCTGTAGTCCCAGCTACTCGGGAGGCTGAGGCAGGAGAAAGGCGTGAACCTGGAAGGCGGAGGTTGCAGTGAGCCGAGATCGCGCCATTGCACTCCAGCCTGGGCGACAGAGCGAGACTCCGCCTCAAAAAAAAAAAAAAAAAAAAAAAAATTAGCCGGTAGTGGCCGGGCGCTGTGGCTCAGGCCTGTAATCCCAGCACTTTGGGAGGCTGAGGCGGGTGGATCACGAGGTCAGGAGTTCAAGACTAGCCTGGCCAAGATGGTGAAACCCCGTCTCTACTAAAAAAAATACAAAAAATATAAGCCGGGTGCAGTGGCAGGCGCCTGTAATCCCAGCTATTCCGGAGGCTGAGGCAGAAGAATCGCCTGAACCCAGTGGGCAGAGGTTGCAGTGAGCTGAGATCGTGCCACCGCACTTCAGCCTGGGCAACAAAATGAGACTCTGTCTCAAAAAAAAAAAAAAAAAAAATAGCCGGGCATGGTGGCGGGCGCCTGTAGTCCCAGCTACTGGGGAGGCTGAGGCAGGAGAATGGCGTGACTCCCGGAGGCAGAGCTTGCAGTGAGCCGAGATTGCGCCACTGCACTCCAGCCTGGGGGACAGAGCGAGACTCCTTCTCAAAAAAAAAAAAAATTAACACTTGATCACTAAAGTTGAAGAGGGGGCATAGAATTTGTATAGTATTTTATTTTCCAGATTTTTAGGTAAGGAGGTCGATACAATAAAATGGGACACTCCAAAGAGTAGATGCTAAATAAGAATAGCTTTTGGGGCTGAGTGCAGTGGCTCATGCCTGCAGTCCCAGCACTTCCAAAGGCTGGGGTGGGCGGATCACTTGAGGTCAGGAGTTCAAGGCCAGCCTAGCCAATATAGTGAAACCCCATCTCTACTAAAAACACAAAAATTAGCCAGGCGTGGTGGTGCACACCTGCAATCCCAGCTACTTGGGAGGCTGAGGCAGGGGAATCGCTTGAACCCAGGAGGCGGAGGTTGCGGTAAGCCGAGATCGCACCACTGCACTCCAGCCTGGGCGACAGAGCAAGACTCCGTCTCAACCAAAAGAAAAAGAAAAAAAGAAAAGAATAGCTTTGCGTTTCCCCCAAATTTTAACCGAATTTAAGAGTACAGACTAGTGATTGTTTTAAAGGAGTGAGGCACCTAAGCCTTTTTACTCATTCACTAATTCTAAAGCACAAAACCCTTCTGGCCCCAAACACACAGACTGTTTGACAGCTGTTTTGGAACAAAACAGGTGCTGTTTCTTGCTGCAAGGACAGTACTTGCAGTCAAAACGGCTTTGGGCAAGCTATGAATCTCACTTCAACTGCACTTAATGTCTGCAGATGACACTTGCGAGGGTGCTTTGTAAACAGTGAGCCACAACAAAGACAGTATTCCTTCAATGTTAGTGTTCAGCCTAAGAGCGGCAAAGCCCCATTTGTTATCAGCAACCAGCTTGGCCTCTGACAAGAATGTCAAAGACCCTGCCATCACCGGCCGCTACGAAGACGACCAGCTCCTCCTTCATCAGGAGCTGCCTCCCTACAGCCTGGCGGGAGCGACTACGTCACTAGGATCCCGGCGACCTGTTTCGGGTGAGCCTGGCTGAATCAAAGCTATCACGGCCGAGGAGCCCGCTGTGGGGGAGGGGGTAAGGCCAGGCTGGCGCTCAGCCCCCTCTCGTCTCACCTGTCTGAGCGCCGCCTCTTCAGGAGGGCCCGGGCAGGGGGCACCGACCGGTCGCAGAAACGGAAAATGGTGCCGAGAATCCTAACCAGCCATCTGTACATACCAGGCCCAAGCAGCAGCGGCGGCCGACACACCCCGAGACGCAAACCCCAGAGCTGTCGCCGCCGCTGCCGCCTTCGCCGTCTTAACCACCACCGCCAGAGTTCGGTCGCTGATTTGTGACGCGATTCAAGAGCCCACAGATACAGCGTCCCCAGGGCTACCAGAGGCCCCCGCCCGCCACCACTCCTGACGTCACCTCCTCCCGCCCGACCGGAAAGCTCCATTCTCAATCTGCGCACGCGCAACCTAGCACCGCTCCCTATTTCCGAGCCCAGCAACAAGAGTAATTGTGGGACGGTCCCGGCCCAATCGCTGACGAGATCGGAAGGGCTGTCGGCAGGGTTTTCTCTTCGGCGGAGCCAATCCGGAGCCGGCCCGTGGGACAAGGCCCACAGGCCACATGTGAGGCTGCTCCACTCCGGAGGAGGCGTTCCGGGGTCCCAGAGGACATTAGGTGCTCAGTGTTTGCTGAATGCACATGTAAAGGTAGATCAGGTTAATTAACACACGTTTACCGTTTTAGGCGCCCTTTATTTTGCACTTACCTTTTGCCTCGTACTTTTCACGCATTGTCACCTTAATATGCCCAGCAATGGCGTGTGACAGAGAGTCTTAAGCCAGTTTTATAAGTCAAGGAAATTGAGGCATAGAGCGATTAAGTTATTTGTCTAAGATCACAAAACTAGCTAGAGACGTGGCTGGAACTTGAACCCGGGGTCTGAGTACCAGCGCCAGTCCCTCGCCCTTGAGGTCAGTCTACTTGGAGACATGTACATAGATAATTACAAATTACAATACACCGTAAGTGGTTGCTGTGATAAAGGTATGTGCAGAGTGCAGTGGGAGCCAGAGAAAGGAAAACCACACACTGAGGGAGAGAAGGAAAGGGCAGATGTCCTCAAGAAAGGCTTCACAGAAATTTAAGGATGAAACCTGCGGCCCACTAATGTCTCCTACCCTGGGCTAGTAAGTAATGAGTCTCGTTACTCTCCCTCTATAATTCCAATGTCACACTTCTAGTTAATTGTCAACTATAGGCCGGGCGCGGTGGCTCCTGCCTTTAATCCCAGCACTTTGGGAGGCTGAGGTGGGCAGATAGCTTGAGCCCAGGAGTTTGAGACCAGTCTGTGCAACATAGTAAAACCCCATCTTTACAAAAAATACAAAAATTAGCCGGGTGTGGTGGCACGCACCTGTAGTCCCAACTACTTGGTAGGCTGAGGTGAGACGATCACTTGAGCCCAGGAGGTTGAGACTGCAGTGAGTCGTGATCACGCCACTGCACTCCAGCCAGGGTGACAGAGTGGGACCCTGACGCACCCCATCAAAAAATTATCAACTGTAAAACAAATCCCACCCTATTTAGTGATAGAAAATCCAGTCCCCTCTTCCAAACAATCCTAAGAATCCTCAAAGGTTTTCATGCCCCACAAATCCATTCCTGATTAACTTGTTTCCTACTTGTGATTCAGTTAAGGCCAGAGTTTTACACTTGCTTGAACTTCAACGCTGGCACTCCCCAGTACAGCCTCTTCCTTTCCTCAATAGACAGCATTCCAGGCCGGGTGTGGTGGCACACGCCTGTAATCCCAGCATTTTGGGATGCCAAGGCAGGCGGATCACTTGAGGACAGGAGTTCAAGACCAGCCTGGCCAACATGGTGAGACAACCCCATCTCTACTAAAAAAAAAAATACAAAAATTAGCCAGGCATGGTAGTACACTCCTGTAATCCCAGCTACTTGGAAGGCTGAGGCAGGAGAATCGCTTGAACCTGGGAGGTGGAGGTTGCAGTAAGCGGAGATTGCACCACTGCACTCCAGCCTAGGCAACAGAGCAAGACTCTGTCTCAAAAAATAAATAAATAAAATAAATACATGTGTGTGTGTATGTGTGTGTGTGTGTGTGTATGTGTGTATATATATATATATATATATATATATATATATATATATATATATGTAGCATTCCAGAATTGTGCTGCAAGCCACCCCCTAGAGCTTCAGAATCACCAGCCACACACCTGAAGCTACCACCACTCTGGCCTCGGGGGCTGGGGTCATATCCTAGAGGATGGAAGCAAATCCTAAGTGTGGACACACCCGCCTCCCTTATTCCCCTAAGCATAGCAAACACCAACCAGGCTGTTGCTGAAAGTTTGGGGCATTACAAAGCTGAGAAGACTTAGAAGTGGCTATTAGATTATGTAGCATCTATAGTCCCTGGCCTATTGTCTCGCAAAGGAATTCCCTTCACCTCAAGGCCATCCCTTTACTCGTAACACCTTTGGCAAGCTGCCAACAGAAGGGACTTTTCCCTCTACCTCTACCCCGACTATTTCAGGCTGGACTCCCCGTAAATGTAATCAAGAGTCAGGACTCCTATTAACAAAAGACAGTCATTGGCATTATTGTGCAAAGCAGTTCAGTTACGTCTGTCCCTTCCACTCACTATTGAGAGTTGGGCTTTGCCTTTGCCAAACCAAGAAGCCCGCTCAAGTACTGGGAGAGGATTCTCCCAAATAAAAGAGCAGTCTTCATTTAAACACGAATCATACATCCTAAGAGAACAATTTTTTTTTCCAAGTTAAAAAACACACACACACATAAATCAGAAAACTACAAGCTCTGCCAGGCACGGTGGTTCATGCCTGTAATCCCAGCACTTTGGGAGGCCGCGGCAGGCGGATCACGAGGTCAAGAGATCGAGACCATCCTGGCCAACATGGTGAAACCCCATCTCTACTAAAAATTAACTGGGCGTGGTGGCGCGTGCCCGTAATCCCAGCTACTTGGGAGGCTGAGGCAGGAGAATCACTTGAACCCGGGAGGCGGAGGTTGCAGTAAGCCGAGATCACGCCACTGCACTCCAGCCTGGCGACAGAGCGAGACTCTGTCTCAAAAACAAAACAAAACAAAACAAAAAACCTACAAGCTGCTTTTGAATAGCAACTTATCCCAGGTCTGGCCACTGAGATTTAAGAAATACTGTGGTAAGCTAGGTGTGGTGACTCACACCTGTAATCCCAGCACTTCGGGAGGTCCAGGCAGAATGATCACTTGAGCCAGGGAGTTTGAGACCAGCCTGGGCAACACAGGGAGACCTGTCTCTAAAAAAAATTTTTTTTTAATTGGCCAAGAGTGGTGGCATGTGCCTGTAGTCCCAGCTACTTGGGAGGCTGAGGTGGGAGTCAAGGCTGCAGTGAGTTGTGATTTCACCACTGCACTCCAGCCTAAGTGACAGAGTGAGATTTATAGTCTCAAAAAAAAAAAAAAAAAGAAAAAGAAAGAAATATATTGGGGTCACACTTGATAGCCCTGCGGTGCAACACAACAACACATTTTTTTTTTTCTTTTCCTGCCTCATAAATAGCACCCTTACAAACTCAATACTGAAACATTGGCCATCTGCCAGGAAGAGTGAGAAGGCTTCAGAATTACAGATCTCAGTCAGAATCTCAGGACCCCATCAGCAAACAATAACTCATGAATCGAATGTGGCAATCCTCAGCCTCCCACCGTGCATGCTCCCTCCATATCCCCCTAGTTACCCTCTAGAAGGAAGAAAAGGAGACGCATCCTTATACTCGCTCCCACCTGGGACTTGTCTGCCAGTTGGTGCCTTCGCTGTCCTGTGGTCCACAGTAGAGACATGGGTGACTGTCCATCCACTGGCCAAGGAGTGGGATTATCCTTAACCCCAACCCCACCACTGCCACAGCCTTTCCGGGACCTAGCAGCGCTTTACTGGAGGGCCATGGGAGAATCCCAAGGCCATATGGAGTAACAAGGACATTGAGATTTCTGCCCTTGGCTTGGATAATTTGCAGCCTTGTACTGCAAGAGGGGCACAACCTCATCGCTTAAGCTTTCGCAGGTGTTCCAATCAGATGCCCCAGTTCTCCAAGAAGATCCTTATCCCCTTTCAGCTCAGAGCAGCTCCTTGAAGCCTTTTCAGGGCCCCACCCCCTTCTTCCTCCAAACCTACCTCCCCTCCAATCCATTCTTTAGTCTTGCAAATTTCCCCTTTTAAAGCATTCAGAGAACTTTAACAAACTTCTTCTCAACTTTGTTTTTCCTGACCCCTGGACAGAAAAGAATTCTAGGCCATTTGTTGGAAAGGGTAAGGGCCCCTAGAGGAGGTTGTGTCGGGTTAGGCCTAATGTGCCTAAAATCCAACATAATTCACCACTCTGTAGATTAATTTCTTTCTAGGTACCAACTCTTCTGGTACTTTTTTTTTTTTTTTTTTTTTTTTTGGAGACGGAGTCTCATTCTGTCACCCAGGCTGGAGTGCAGTGGCACGATCTTGGCTCACTGCAACCTCCGCCTCCCGGGTTCACACGATTCCCCTGCCTCAGCCTCCTGAATAGCTGGGATTACAGGTTTTTCTTAAGTACCAGACGAGGGCTGGGCGCGGTAGCTCACGCCTGTAATCCCAGCACTCTGGGAGGCCGAGGCGGGTGGATCACGAGGTCAGGCGTTCGAGACCAGTCTGGCCAACATAGTGAAACCCTGTCTCTACTAAAAATACACAAAAATTTAGCCAGGCATTGTGGTGGGTGCCTGTAATCCCGCCTACTCAGAAGGCTGAGGCATGAGAATTGCTTGTACCCAGGAGGCCGATGTTGTAGTGAGCCGAGATCGCACCACGATGCTCCAGACTGGGCGACAGAGGGAGACTGTCGCAAAAAAAAAAAAAGAAAAAAGAAAAAGAAAAAGAAAAGATGATGGATGCGGTGGCTCACGCCTGTAATCCCAGCACTTTGGGACGCCGAGGCGGGCTAATCACGAGGTCAGGAGTTTGAGACCAGCCTGGCCAATATGGTGAAACTCCGTCTCTACTAAAAAAATACAAAAATTAGCCAGGCGTGGTGATGCACGCCTATAGTCCCAGATACTCTGGAGGCTGAGACAGGAGAATCGCTTGAATCCAGGAGGCGGAGGTTGCAGTGAGCTGAGATCGTGCCACTGCACTCTAGCCTGGGCATCAGAGCAAGACTCCCTCTCAAAAAAAAAAAAAAAAGAAAAGAAAAGAAAAGAAAAAGAAAAGTGTTTATGTAGATGAAGGGCCTATTCAGTGCCCAGCACAGCTAACTGTTGCTTAACATTTCTCTTGCCTCTCCTTCCTTCTCATATCTAATAAATCTTAACTTGCCTGGTCTGTATCCTACATTTTTCACAGATCTGTTCATTCCTCTTTCCAAACCTATCAGAACTACAGTCCTTCCTTTTTGTTTTTGAGACAGAATCTCCCTCTGTCACCCAGGCTGGAGTGCAGTGGCGCGATCTTGGCCCACTGCAATCTCTGCCTCCTGGGTTCAAGCAATTCTCTTGCCTCAACCTCCCGAGTAGCTGGGATTACAGGTGCCCGCCACCACATCCAGCTAATTTTTGTATTTTTTGTAGAGACAGGGTTTCACCATATTGGACAGGCTGGTCATGAACTCCTGGCCTCAAGTGGTCCACCCGCCTCAGCCTCCCAAAGTGCTGAGATTACAAGTGTGAGCCACCTACCGCACTACAGTCTTTTATAGGGGCTGATCATTTCTCACGGTTGCAATAGACATTTCTGCTTCTACCTTTCATCTTGTTAACTTATGCTGTTTGCAGGATGATCTCTCTTGTTGTCTTTTGTCTTTTGTTCTTCTGTTGTTGTTAAGAAACTAAATTTTATATTCTTATTTATTAAGAAAGGTAAATTTATAAATTAAGTTTCTATCTTTTTCTATTATCGAATGACTAAAAATGGTTGGATTGATTTTCACCAAATTTGGGAGGTTTGTTTGGAGTGGTCTGACTTAAAATATAGAGCATATGGCAACCTTAAAAATTTTTTTTTCTTCTTTTGAGACAGGGTCTTGCTCTGTCACCTAGGTTAGAGTGCAATGGAGTGATCTTGGCTCACTGCATCCTCGACTTCCCCGGACTTGAGCGTTCCTTCCTCCTCAGCCTCCCAAGTAGCTGAAGTAGCTAGGACTACAGGCACCCTCACCACCATGCCCTGCTAATTTTTGTATATTTAGTAAAGACGGGGTTTTGCCACGTTGCCCAGGCTGGTCTGGAACTTCTGAGCTCAGCCCATCTACCCACCTCAGCCTCCCGAAGTGCTGGGATTACGGGTATGAGCGAGCGCGCCCGGCCAACCCTAAAATTAACTTCGGATGGCCCTGGGGAGAGCCTAGAAAAAAGAGACAGGCATCTCTGCAAGCAGCTGCAATTTAGGAGCAGCCGTAAGACAGGGATTCCTCAAAGTGAGAAATGCCCTACAGAGTGAAACAGCATGAACCCCTTAAATGGTTCATGAAGGTTCTAAATGATGGCCCAAGAAAGGTGACAAGGATCAACCTTCCAGATTACAGAAATTTCCGTAGAGTTGCTTCTCACATGGAGAGACAACTCTTCATGCATGCTACAGGAAACAACTGTCTGATAAAGGCTCCCAGTTTCATGACCAATGCTTGGGAAGCCAGTTAAGTAAAAATAAAAACAGAAATCTGGCCCCAAGAATAATATTTTAAAATAACAGTTTAAGATCTAAGTACATTTAAAATTATGTGGTACCAATGGAAAGTTATGGAAATATTGCACACTTCCCTCAAATTTTTATTTATTTATGTATTTAAACTTTTTCAGGGTGGGCGTGGTGGCTCACGTCTGTAATCCCAGCACTTTGAGAGGCCAAGGTGGGAGGATCACTTGAGGTCAGGAGTTCAAGACCTGCCTGGCCAACATGGTGAAACCCCATCTCTACCAAAAATATATAAATTAGCCAGGCATGGTGGTGTGTGCCTGTAATCCCAGCTACTTGGGAGGCTGAGGCAGGAGAATTGCTTGAACCCGGGAGGCGGAGGTTGCGGTGAGCCGAAATCGCGTCACTGCACTCCAGCTTGGGTGACAGAGTGAGACTCCACCTCAAAATAAAAATTATGGCTGGGTGAGGTGGCTCACACCTGTAATCCCAGCACTTTGGGAGGCTGAGGCAGGTGGATCATCTGAGGTTAGTAGCTTGATACCAGCCTGACCAACATGGTGAAACCCAGTCTCTACTAAAAATACAAAAATTAGCAGCCGGGCACAGTGGCTCACACCTATAATCCCAGCACTCTGGGAGGGCAAGGCGGGTGGATCACCTGACCTCAGGAGTTCAAGATCACCCTGGGCAACATGGTGAAACCCATCTCTACTAAAATACAAAAAGAAAAATTAGCCTGGCATGGTGGTGCACACCTGTAGTCCCAGCTACTCAGGAGGCTGCGGCATGAGAATCGCTTGAGCCATGGAGGTGGAGGTTGCAGTGAGCCGAGATTGCGCCACTGCACTCCCGCCTGGGCTACAGAGTAAGATACCATCTCAAAAAAAAAAGAAAAAAAAATTAGCTGGGCATGGTGGTTCGGGCCTGTAGTCCCAGCTACTGAGGAGGCTGAGGTGGGAGGATCACTTGAGCCTGGGAGGCGGAGGTTGCAGTAAACCGAGATTGTGCCACTGCACTCCAGCCTAGGTGACAGAGTGAGACCCTATCTCAAAACAAAAACAAAAACAAACAAATTACAAAACCAAAAAAAAACTTTTTTCAGTGGGATGCATTAAATTAAAAAAAATAACTATTAGTAGGCTGGACGTAGTGGCTCACACCTATAATTCCAACATTTTGGGAGGTGAAGGCAGGAGGACTGCTTGAGCCCAGGTGTTCAAGACCATCCTGGACAACATTGTGAGACCCCATCTCTACTTTAAAATTTTAGGCCAGGCATGGTGGCTCACACTTGTAATTCCAGCACTTTGGGAGGCTGAGGCGGGAGGATCACCTGAGGTCAGGAGTTTAAGAATAGCCTGGCCAACATGGTGAAAACCCATCTCCATTAAAAATACAAAAAATAAGATGGGCGTGGTGGCAGGCGCCTGTAATCCCAGCTACTTGGGAGGCTGAGGCAGGAGAATCGCTTGAACCCAGGAGGCGGAGGTGCGGTGAGTGGAGATCGCGGTGAGCGGAGATCACGCCATTGCACTCCAGCCTGGGCGACAGAGCAAGACTCCGTCTCAAAAAAAAAAAAAAAGGTCGGGCGCGGTGGCTCATGCCTGTGATCCTAGCACTTTGGGAGGCCGAGGCAGGTGGATCATCTGAGGTCCAGAGTTCGAGACCAGCCTGACCAACATGGAGAAAACTCATCTCTACTAAAAATACAAAATTAACCGGGTGTGGTGGCACATGCCTGTAATCCCAGCTGCTCCGGAGGCTGAGGCAGGAGAATGGCTTGAGCCCGGGAGTTGGAGGTTGTGGTGAGCCGAGATCGCGCCATTGCACTCCAGTCTGGGCAACAAGAGTAAGACTCCATCTCAAAAAATAAATAAATAAATAAAAATAAAAAATAAATTTTCAATAAGAGAAAGTGTTTTGTCTCTGTCTTATTAGTGTGCATACTGGCCTTGTTAGAGCCATCTCTCCTTGAAATGTTCTGTGCAGCACTCTGAATACAAGCAGTAAGTGACAGGGTGGACTTGCATTGATTGTGTTTGATACACTGTCTGTAAAGAAGTCATGGTAGCTCTATGCCATGAACAATACTTTTTAAGCAGATTTTAATCTTTTTTCTTTTTCTCTTCCTTTTTTTTTTTTTTTTTGAGAAGTAGTTTGCTCTTGTTGCCCGGGCTGTAGGGCAATGGCGCAATCTCGGCTCACCACAACCTCCGCCTCCCGGGTTCAAGCGATTCTCCTGCCTCAGCCTCCCAAGTAGCTGGGATTACAGGCATGGCCACCAGGCCCGGCTAATTTTGTATTTTTAATAGAGACGGGGTTTCTCCATGTTGGTCAGGCTGGTCTCAAACTCCCGACCTCAGGTGATCCGCCCGCCTTGGCCTCCCAAAGTACTGGGATTACAGGCATGAGCCACCATGCCTAGCTGATCTTTTTTTCTTTTTTTTTTTGAGAGGAAGTCTCGTTCTGTCACCCAGGCTAGAGTGCAATGGCATGATCTCAGCTCACTGCAACCTCTGCCTCCCAGGTTCAAATGATTCTCCTGTCTCAGCCTCCCTAGTATCTGGGATTACAGGCGTACACCACCACAGCCAGCTAATTTTTTGTATTTTTAGTAGAGATGGGGTTTCACCATGTTGGCCAGGCTGGTCTTGAACTCCCGACCTCAAGTGATCCATCTGCCTTGGCCTCCCAAAGTGCTGGGATTACAAGCGTGAGCCACCACGTCCAGCCAGATTTTAATTTTAAATAGATTTTTCCTTCGGTTTTTTCTTTTTTTTTTTTTTTTTTTTTTTTTTTGAGACAGAGTCTCTCTCTGTCGCCCAGACTGGAGTGCAGTGGCGCGATCTGGGCTCACTGCAAGCTCCGCCTCCCAGGTTCACGCCATTCTCCTGCCTCAGCCTCTCGAGTAGCTGGGACTACAGGCGCCCGCCACCACGCCCGGCTAATTTTTTATATTTTTAGTAGAGACGGGGTTTCACCGTGTTAGCCAGGATGGTGTCTCGATCTCCTGACCTCGTGATCCGCCTGCCTCGGCCTCCCAAAGTGCTGAGATTACAGGCGTGAGCCACCGTGCCTGGCCTCTTTTGTTTTGTTTTGTTTTGTTTTGTTTTTTTGGGACAGAGTCTCCCTTTGTTGCCCAGGCAGGAGTGCAGTGGCGCCGTCTGGGCTCACTGTAACCTCTACCTCCTGGGTTCAAGCAATTCTCCTGCCTCAGTGCCCCCTAGTAGCTGGGATTACAGGCACACGCCACCATGCCAGGCTAATTTTTGTATTTTTTGAAGAGACGAGGTTTCGCCATGTTGGCCAAGCTGGTCTCGAACTCTTGACCTCAGGTGATCCACCCACCTCGGCCTCCCGAAGTGCTGGGATTACAGGCATGAGCCACCATGCCCAGCCTTTCCTTCTTGTTTTGTAATAAATGACCAAAATTTCTGTGTGTGTAATAATGTTAATAAGTTAACATATAGATATATTTATTATGTAGTATAGTATATATTATGTATTATTATATTCATTTGTATTATTATATAATAAAACATATTAACTTATAAATGAGTTAACAAGAAGATGGTCAGGTTCCTACCACCTTGAAGGTAAAATCCAATATCTTAAGCATGGCTATGAAGTTCTTCACAGCTTATCTTCAAATTACTTTATCATTTCCCTGTTCATACACACCAATCCCTTAAGCTGCACTTCTTTCATGCCTTCATGTCTCCTGGTCTTTTCACTTTGCCTGGAATGCCCTTCCCCCACCTTCTGTACCTCATGAACACTTACCTAGTTTTTGGAACCCAGACCAAAGGGCACCTCCTCCGTGAGGCTTTTGCAATGCTTCCAGGGTCTGGGATTCCCTGTATCTCATTGCTTTCCCCCCTGTTCTCCTATAGAATTTGTGTCCATGTCTCTATATTCACTTTTTTTTTCTTTACTTTTTTTTTTTTTTTTTTTTTTTTGAGATGGGGTCTCAGTTGTCCAGGCTGGAATGCAGTGGCACAATCTCGGCTCACTGCAGCCTCTGCCTCCCAGGTTCAAGCAATTCTCCTGCCTCAGCTTCTCAAGCAGCTGGGATTACAGGCACCTGCCTCCACGCCCGGCTAATTTTTGTATTTTTGGTAGAGAGGGGGTTTCACCTTGTTGGCCAGGTTGGTCTCAAACTCCTGACCTCAGGTGACCCACCTGCTTCGGTCTTCCAAAGTATTGGTGCGGAGCTTATAGCTTGCAGTGAACGCCAAGAATGAGTTCTCAGACAATTCCAGCTGAGCAGGGCGGGGGGCAGCTCTCCTAAGAGAGTCAACCTTAGCATCCGTCTGTCATTTATTGAAAGGGCTTGTTAAACCACAAATATCCACTAGATGGCGTTTTTGAGGTCGGGTCGTGAGGCACCTGTGGCCTTGTAAAAGCACTCAAACTGCATTCTCAGGAGGCTGTTTTCAGCGTTCCTTATCACACCACACACTCCACTCCCTGCCCTGTTTTCAGGGTCGAGTTTCATTCTCATGCACAAATAAAACATACACACAGCGCCTCAGTATTTTTCCATGCCCCAACCTCAAATGCCTTGTACATAAGCTTGAATATGTGGCCATGTGCCTCCCACATCTCCCCCTTCTTTAATTCTTAGAGCTTGCTGGTCATCCCATGCAATGTAATTCTTCCCTGGTATCATTCTTCCCTGGTCATAGATGCATCGGGTGGCAGCACAGAACCTTCTGCAAATGCCTAGCAAACAGATACAAAAAAGAATAAGTACAGCGGCCATCATCCAAATGCGTATATTTAACCCAGACAACCAAGTGTTCGGGTTTAACCATTGAAAGCCTTCTTGTAATTGTTGAAGGGTACTTGTTTGTAATTACTGCGACCATTCTTCAAGTCGTTTCTTTAATTCACACTCAAGAGTGGAAATCTGAGAAGACAAATGGTCGTGATAAGCCCCTTGCAGATGTGCTTTCACTCTCTCCCAATTATATTGGAAGCTATTATATGGCAGGGGTATGATACAGATAGAATTATATTGCCAATCACAGTGTAAATTTTGACGGGTAATGAATGCCTGCTGCAGATTCCCCAGCTACATAACAGAAGCTTCAAGAGCCTTCAGGCGAGACAGAATAGTTTTATCAATATTCACCTGTTCTTGAAATTCATGGGTTACATTATATACCATGTGGTTCACCACTGAGGCGGTGTGAATAGATTCTGCCAGAGAAACAGCTGCAGTAGCAGCAGTTGCTAATATAATAATAGCTGAGACTAAAAAGGTAATTAAAGTGGCCAGAAATCTCTTTTTTTTCGAGTATGAGAAGCGCTTTTCTAAATAGCTGCAGGGTGGAATCTACTTCCCAGCTCGGGGTTAAATTTACAGGCAGCCACAATTCCACAATTGTGGATCCAATTTAAGATCCAATGGATCTTAAAATCCATTTTAAGATCATGACAGGTTGTATTCAACTGTGTAACGTTTCGGTGAGACAAGCATGCAGCATACCAACTACTGGAAGAGACTTTAATACTATAAAATGATTGATTCTGCTCTATGTTAGGAACACCCTGCCTAAACAAAAGTATATAAGGGTGCATAGTACAAATCAGGACTGTGTCAGTAACATTATTATGCAAAGAGAGGGTATAGTTGCCACGGCTAGTAATATACTCACCAAGTGAAATAACCGGTTCAAAAAGAGAAATCCTAATCTCCAAATTTGGGTATGAGCAGGGCTTAAAGATTGTTTCCCTTTCAGTTGTAATATTGGTCCTGAAAGCCCACATTCTGACTAGGTAATAGAACTATTGGAGGGACTCCTAAGTCTAATAGCCTGATTTGCAGACATAAGATTTCCATGGGGACCCCAATCAAGTAAGGTGCCATTATCAAACAGAGGCCCTTGACACGGTGTAGGCTGTCTCCACGGCAACCACTGGATGGCCTCAAACTTATGTCTCCAGTCCCTACTCGGATGGCATATAGGAAGATCAGGCACTTGTGAAGCTTCATTAGAGACCTTGATAAGATTAGTGGTAATAGTAGAAATAAAGGTCAAGTTTGCAAGCTTAGCATCCCTTTTAGGCTGATAGTAAAGATACTCCTGAGGGATGAGAGTAACACATTTATGTGCTATTGTGGAAAAACAAAGAAGGGAATTACTAGACAATAAAATCAAGGAGTCATTCAGTTTAATCCATCCCAAATTTTCAGTTAAGGGGTAACACAGGGGCATCCATCGGCCTCCTGTCCAAGAAATATCATTAGATGACAAAGGCAGGTCAGCATCCCACCATGTAATAACATTAAAAACGGGGATTTAGAACATGACTCAAATAAACATGTTCTTGAGCTGATCCCACTTAACAAAGGACAAGAATTACCAGCCACCCCAACATCCATGTCTGTCTTACTTTCTCAGAAGTTTCCCCAATTACCGCCAGATACATAAGAAACCGATTTTCTGCAGTTGCAGGGGCTTCCATGGCTGCAAGCCGAATAGATGCCTGTTGATCCAATTTCTTTAGCTGTCCCCAGGTAATGTCAGGTGCTTCCGAATCATCACCATCATTATCAGTTTGTTCTCCAACAACAGGTCTTGTTCTCAAGAAGAGAGTCCCATATTCCCCCTTTTTTGTTTATTAAGATATACTTTAAGAGTTTGATGAGCTCATTTAACAATGGCCTGACTGGTTGAGTTATAAGGAATACCAGTTTTGTGTTGAGTTATAAGGAATACCAGTTTTGTGTTGTATATGCCAAAGTTGCAATGCATATGCAAATCAAGCACTAAGATAGCAAGGTCCATTATTAATTATAATTTTTTTTTTTTTTTTGGTGAGACAGAGATTCACTCTTGTTGCCCAGGTTGGAATGCAATGGTGCCATCTCGGCTCACCACATCCTCTCCCTCCCAGGTTCAAACGATTCTCCTGCCTCAGCCTCCTGAGTAGCTGGGATTACAAGCATTTGCCACCACACCCAGCTAATTTTGTATTTTTAGTAGAGACGGGATTTCACCGTGTTGCCCAGGCTGATCTCGAACTCCTGACCTCAGGTGATCCGCCCGCCTCGGCCTCCCAAAGTACTGGGATTACAGGCCACTGCGCCTGGCCCATTCTTAGTTTTTCTAGTGTGTGGAAGGCTTAGAGCTATAATAGATTTAAACAAATGAGCAACTGCATCTTTAGTTTTTTCTCTGGTCTGGAGGGTAGCATGTATCAGGCCTGTATACGTGTCTACGGTAACGTGGAGAAATTTGAAACGTCCAAAGGGTGGATACTGAGTAGCATCAGTTTGCCAAATAGCATTAGGCAGACCTCGTGGGTTGGCACCAAGGCCTAAGGAAAAAGGGGAAAGAGAATGCCATTGGCAATCAGGACAAGTTTTAATAATCAGGCGAGTTTGAATAAATGTCAAATGAAACTGTTGTTTAAGACTGCGGGCATTCTAATGAAAAAAAGCATGATCAGCCTGAGCTCGCAAAAAGCAGGAGAATTTGCAAACCACATCTGTGGTCATACCAGAGTAGCAGCTCGAGTGTTCCCTTCTGATAAGGGACCAGGTAGCCCAGAATAGAATGACAGTGGGTATCTGTGATGTAAAGGGGGTGACGACAGGCACAGAGGAGCTCTTGCACCACAAGAAACAAAGCTAATAATGGTTTATTAGTAATGCCCTTCACATGTGCAAGATGTAAATGAATAATACTATACACCACATAAGTGGAATCACTAACTCTATGTCTTGGTGAGGAAAAGTTTGTAAGGCCAATATCAGGGCACCTAACTCTGCCTGTTGTGTAGTTTTTAAAATGCTCCTGGATTTTGTGCTGCCAGTTCTGCATGGCATCTTGCCACACTATAGCTGCTTTTTCCATTTTTTTTTTTTTTTTGAGCCATCTGTAAAGACAGTGGTGGCATGAAGTAAAAGGCTCAGAGACAACAATAGATACAAATTTAACAGGCACAGTTTGTAAAAAGTTCAGGAGCTTAGAAGCTGGTAAATGAAAGCTGATATTACCAATAAAGTCAGTCATTGCTACTTGCCAATCAAGATCACAAACTAAGAGAGTATGAGATTGTTCCTCGCTTAAAGGTAGGAAAAGAATAGCAGGGTCATATCCTGACAGCTGGACGCAACGTTGGCATCCCTTTATGAGAAGAGAAGCTATTAAATCTGTAGTCTTTTGCATATGTTTAAGGGGATTATGAGACAGGTACATGTGGGGAAAAGCAAGAGAGATCAGATTGTTACTGTGTCTGTGTAGAAAGAAGTAGACATAGGAGACTCCATTTTGTTATGTACTAAGAAAAATTCTTCTGCCTTGAGATTCTGTTAATCTATAACCTTACCCCCAACCCTGTGCTCTCTGAAACATGTGCTCTGTCAACTCAGAGTTAAATGGATTAAGGGCGGTGCAAGATGTGCTTTGTTAAACAGATGCTTGAAGGCAGCATGCTCCTTAAGAGTCATCACCACTCCCTAATCTCAAGTACCCAGGGACACAAAAACTGCGGAAGGCCGCAGGGACCTCTGCCTAGGAAAGCCAGGTATTGTCCAAGGTTTCTCCCCATGTGATAGTCTGAAATATGGCCTCGTGGGAAGGGAAAGACCTGACCGTCCCCCAGCCCGACACCCGTAAAGGGTCTGTGCTGAGGAGGATTAGTATAAGAAGAAGGCATGCCTCTTGCAGTTGAGACAAGAGGAAGGCATCTGTCTCCTGCCTGTCCCTGGGCAATGGAATGTCTCGGTATAAAACCCGATTGTATGCTCCATCTACTGAGATAGGGAAAAACCGCCTTAGGGCTGGAGGTGGGACCTGCGGGCAGCAATACTGCTTTGTAAAGCATTGAAATGTTTATGTGTATGCATATCTAAAAGCACAGCACTTAATCCTTTACCTTGTCTATGATGCAAAGACCTTTGTTCACGTGTTTGTCTGCTGACCCTCTCCCCACAATTGTCTTGTGACCCTGACACATCCCCCTCTTCGAGAAACACCCACAGATGATCAATAAATACTAAGGGAACTCAGAGGCTGGCGGGATCCTCCATATGCTGAACGCTGGTTCCCCGGGTCCCCTTCTTTCTTTCTCTATACTTTGTCTCTGTGTCTTTTTCTTTTCCAAATCTCTCGTTCCACCTTACGAGAAACACCCACAGGTGTGTAGGGGCAACCCACCCCTACATCTGGCGCCCAACGTGGGGCTTTTCTCTAGGGTGAAGGTACGCTCGAGCGTGGTCATTGAGGACAAGTCGACGAGAGATCCCGAGTACTTCTACAGTCAGCCTTACGGTAAGCTTGTGCACTCGGAAGAAGCTAGGGTGATAATGGGGCAAACTAAAAGTAAAGTTAAAAGTAAATATGCCTCTTATCTCAGCTTTATTAAAATTCTTTTAAAAAGAGGGGGAGTTAAAGTATCTACAAAAAATCTAATCAAGCTATTTCAAATAATAGAACAATTTTGCCCATGGTTTCCAGAACAAGAAACTTTAGATCTAAAAGATTGGAAAAGAATTGGTAAGGAACTAAAACAAGCAGGTAGGAAGGGTAATATCATTCCACTTACAGTATGGAATGATTGGGCCATTATTAAAGCAGCTTTAGAACCATTTCAAACAGAAGATAGCGTTTCAGTTTCTGATGCCACTGGAAGCTGTATAATAGATTGTAATGAAAAGACAAGGAAAAAATCCCAGAAAGAAACCGAAAGTTTACATTGCGAATATGTAGCAGAGCCGGTAATGACTCAGTCAACGCAAAATGTTGACTATAATCAATTACAGGAGGTGATATATCCTGAAACGTTAAAATTAGAAGGAAAAGGTCCAGAATTAGTGGGGCCATCAGAGTCTAAACCACGAGGCACAAGTCCTCTTCCAGCAGGTCAGGTGCCTGTAACATTACAACCTCAAACGCAGGTTAAAGAAAATAAGACCCAACCGCCAGTAGCCTATCAATACTGGCCACCGGCTGAACTTCAGTATCGGCCACCCCCAGAAAGTCAGTATGGATATCCAGGAATGCCCCCAGCACCACAGGGCAGGGCGCCATACCCTCAGCCGCCCACTAGGAGACTTAATCCTACGGCACCACCTAGTAGACAGGGTAGTGAATTACATGAAATTATTGATAAATCAAGAAAGGAAGGAGATACTGAGGCATGGCAATTCCCAGTAACGTTAGAACCGATGCCACCTGGAGAAGGAGCCCAAGAGGGAGAGCCTCTCACAGTTGAGGCCAGATACAAGTCTTTTTCGATAAAAATGCTAAAAGATATGAAAGAGGGAGTAAAACAGTATGGACCCAACTCCCCTTATATGAGGACATTATTAGATTCCATTGCTCATGGACATAGACTCATTCCTTATGATTGGGAGATTCTGGCAAAATCGTCTCTCTCACCCTCTCAATTTTTACAATTTAAGACTTGGTGGATTGATGGGGTACAAGAACAGGTCCGAAGAAATAGGGCTGCCAATCCTCCAGTTAACATAGATGCAGATCAACTATTAGGAATAGGTCAAAATTGGAGTACTATTAGTCAACAAGCATTAATGCAAAATGAGGCCATTGAGCAAGTTAGAGCTATCTGCCTTAGAGCCTGGGAAAAAATCCAAGACCCAGGAAGTACCTGCCCCTCATTTAATACAGTAAGACAAGGTTCGAAAGAGCCCTACCCTGATTTTGTGGCAAGGCTCCAAGATGTTGCTCAAAAGTCAATTGCCGATGAAAAAGCCCGTAAGGTCATAGTGGAGTTGATGGCATATGAAAACGCCAATCCTGAGTGTCAATCAGCCATTAAGCCATTAAAAGGAAAGGTTCCTGCAGGATCAGATGTAATCTCAGAATATGTAAAAGCCTGTGATGGAATCGGAGGAGCTATGCATAAAGCTATGCTTATGGCTCAAGCAATAACAGGAGTTGTTTTAGGAGGACAAGTTAGAACATTTGGAGGAAAATGTTATAATTGTGGTCAAATTGGTCACTTAAAAAAGAATTGCCCAGTCTTAAATAAACAGAATATAACTATTCAAGCTACTACCACAACAGGTAGAGAGCCACCTGACTTATGTCCAAGATGTAAAAAAGGAAAACATTGGGCTAGTCAATGTCGTTCTAAATTTGATAAAAATGGGCAACCATTGTCGGGAAACGAGCAAAGGGGCCAGCCTCAGGCCCCACAACAAACTGGGGCATTCCCAATTCAGCCATTTGTTCCTCAGGGTTTTCAGGGACAAAAACCCCCCCTCCCTGTCCCAAGTGTTTCAGGGAATAAGCCAGTTACCACAATACAACAATTGTCCCCCGCCACAAGCGGCAGTGCAGCAGTAGATTTATGTACTATACAAGCAGTCTCTCTGCTTCCAGGGGAGCCCCCACAAAAAATCCCCACAGGGGTATATGGCCCCCTGCCTGAGGGGACTGTAGGACTAATCTTGGGAAAATCAAGTCTAAATCTAAAAGGAGTTCAAATTCATACTGGTGTGGTTGATTCAGACTATAAAGGCGAAATTCAGTTGGTTATTAGCTCTTCAATTCCTTGGAGTGCCAGTCCAGGAGACAGGATTGCTCAATTATTACTCCTGCCATATATTAAGGGTGGAAATAGTGAGATAAAAAGAACAGGAGGGT
Source organism: Homo sapiens (assembly GCF_000001405.40). Classification (NCBI taxonomy): domain Eukaryota; kingdom Metazoa; phylum Chordata; class Mammalia; order Primates; family Hominidae; genus Homo; species Homo sapiens. The sequence goes on along the minus strand of NC_000003.12, from coordinate 185,568,312 downwards.
TTGGAAGCACTGATCCAACAGGAAAGGCTGCATATTGGGCAAGTCAGGTCTCAGAGAACAGACCTGTGTGTAAGGCCATTATTCAAGGAAAACAGTTTGAAGGGTTAGTAGACACTGGAGCAGATGTCTCTATCATTGCTTTAAATCAGTGGCCAAAAAATTGGCCTAAACAAAAGGCTGTTACAGGACTTGTCGGCATAGGCACAGCCTCAGAAGTGTATCAAAGTACGGAGATTTTATATTGCTTAGGGCCAGATAATCAAGAAAGTACTGTTCAGCCAATGATTACTTCAATTCCTCTTAATCTGTGGGGTCGAGATTTATTACAACAATGGGGTGCGGAAATCATGCCCGCTCCATTATATAGCCCCACGAGTCAAAAAATCATGACCAAGATGGGATATATACCAGGAAAGGGACTAGGGAAAAATGAAGATGGCATTAAAGTTCCAGTTGAGGCTAAAATAAATCAAGAAAGAGAAGGAATAGGGTATCCTTTTTAGGGGCGGCCACTGTAGAGCCTCCTAAACCCATACCATTAACTTGGAAAACAGAAAAACCGGTGTGGGTAAATCAGTGGCCGCTACCAAAACAAAAACTGGAGGCTTTACATTTATTAGCAAATGAACAGTTAGAAAAGGGTCATATTGAGCCTTCATTCTCGCCTTGGAATTCTCCTGTGTTTGTAATTCAGAAGAAATCAGGCAAATGGCGTATGTTAACTGACTTAAGGGCCGTAAACGCCGTAATTCAACCCATGGGGCCTCTCCAACCCGGGTTGCCCTCTCCGGCCATGATCCCAAAAGATTGGCCTTTAATTATAATTGATCTAAAGGATTGCTTTTTTACCATCCCTCTGGCAGAGCAGGATTGTGAAAAATTTGCCTTTACTATACCAGCCATAAATAATAAAGAACCAGCCACCAGGTTTCAGTGGAAAGTGTTACCTCAGGGAATGCTTAATAGTCCAACTATTTGTCAGACTTTTGTAGGTCGAGCTCTTCAACCAGTTAGAGAAAAGTTTTCAGACTGTTATATTATTCATTATATTGATGATATTTTATGTGCTGCAGAAACGAAAGATAAATTAATTGACTGTTATACATTTCTGCAAGCAGAGGTTGCCAATGCTGGACTGGCAATAGCATCTGATAAGATCCAAACCTCTACTCCTTTTCATTATTTAGGGATGCAGATAGAAAATAGAAAAATTAAGCCACAAAAAATAGAAATAAGAAAAGACACATTAAAAACACTAAATGATTTTCAAAAATTACTAGGAGATATTAATTGGATTCGGCCAACTCTAGGCATTCCTACTTATGCCATGTCAAATTTGTTCTCTATATTAAGAGGAGACTCAGACTTAAATAGTAAAAGAATATTAACCCCAGAGGCAACAAAAGAAATTAAATTAGTGGAAGAAAAAATTCAGTCAGCGCAAATAAATAGAATAGATCCCTTAGCCCCACTCCAACTTTTGATTTTTGCCACTGCACATTCTCCAACAGGCATCATTATTCAAAATACTGATCTTGTGGAGTGGTCATTCCTTCCTCACAGTACAGTTAAGACTTTTACATTGTACTTGGATCAAATAGCTACATTAATCGGTCAGACAAGATTACGAATAATAAAATTATGTGGAAATGACCCAGACAAAATAGTTGTCCCTTTAACCAAGGAACAAGTTAGACAAGCCTTTATCAATTCTGGTGCATGGCAGATTGGTCTTGCTAATTTTGTGGGAATTATTGATAATCATTACCCAAAAACAAAGATCTTCCAGTTCTTAAAAATGACTACTTGGATTCTACCTAAAATTACCAGACGTGAACCTTTAGAAAATGCTCTAACAGTATTTACTGATGGTTCCAGCAATGGAAAAGCAGCTTACACAGGGCCGAAAGAACGAGTAATCAAAACTCCATATCAATCTGCTCAAAGAGCAGAGTTGGTTGCAGTCATTACAGTGTTACAAGATTTTGACCAACCTATCAATATTATATCAGATTCTGCCTATGTAGTACAGGCTACAAGGGATGTTGAGACAGCTCTAATTAAATATAGCATGGATGATCAGTTAAACCAGCTATTCAATTTATTACAACAAACTGTAAGAAAAAGAAATTTCCCATTTTATATTACTCATATTCGAGCACACACTAATTTACCAGGGCCTTTGACTAAAGCAAATGAAGAAGCTGACTTACTGGTATCATCTGCACTCATAAAAGCACAAGAACTTCATGCTTTGACTCATGTAAATGCAGCAGGATTAAAAAACAAATTTGATGTCACATGGAAACAGGCAAAAGATATTGTACAACATTGCACCCAGTGTCAAGTCTTACACCTGCCCACTCAAGAGGCAGGAGTTAATCCCAGAGGTCTGTGTCCTAATGCATTATGGCAAATGGATGTCACGCATGTACCTTCATTTGGAAGATTATCGTATGTTCATGTAACAGTTGATACTTATTCACATTTCATATGGGCAACTTGCCAAACAGGAGAAAGTACTTCCCATGTTAAAAAACATTTATTGTCTTGTTTTGCTGTAATGGGAGTTCCAGAAAAAATCAAAACTGACAATGGACCAGGATATTGTAGTAAAGCTTTCCAAAAATTCTTAAGTCAGTGGAAAATTTCACATACAACAGGAATTCCTTATAATTCCCAAGGACAGGCCATAGTTGAAAGAACTAATAGAACACTCAAAACTCAATTAGTTAAACAAAAAGAAGGGGGAGACAGTAAGGAGTGTACCACTCCTCAGATGCAACTTAATCTAGCACTCTATACTTTAAATTTTTTAAACATTTATAGAAATCAGACTACTACTTCTGCAGAACAACATCTTACTGGTAAAAAGAACAGCCCACATGAAGGAAAACTAATTTGGTGGAAAGATAATAAAAATAAGACATGGGAAATAGGGAAGGTGATAACGTGGGGGAGAGGTTTTGCTTGTGTTTCACCAGGAGAAAATCAGCTTCCTGTTTGGATACCCACTAGACATTTGAAGTTCTACAATGAACCCATCGGAGATGCAAAGAAAAGGGCCTCCACGGAGATGGTAACACCAGTCACATGGATGGATAATCCTATAGAAGTATATGTTAATGATAGTGTATGGGTACCTGGCCCCACAGATGATCGCTGCCCTGCCAAACCTGAGGAAGAAGGGATGATGATAAATATTTCCATTGGGTATCGTTATCCTCCTATTTGCCTAGGGAGAGCACCAGGATGTTTAATGCCCACAGTCCAAAATTGGTTGGTAGAAGTACCTATTGTCAGTCCCATCTGTAGATTCACTTATCACATGGTAAGCGGGATGTCACTCAGGCCACGGGTAAATTATTTATAAGACTTTTCTTATCAAAGATCATTAAAATTTAGACCTAAAGGGAAACCTTGCCCCAAGGAAATTCCCAAAGAATCAAAAAATACAGAAGTTTTAGTTTGGGAAGAATGTGTGGCCAATAGTGCGGTGATATTACAAAACAATGAATTCGGAACTATTATAGATTGGGTACCTCGAGGTCAATTCTACCACAATTGCTCAGGACAAACTCAGTCGTGTCCAAGTGCACAAGTGAGTCCAGCTGTTGATAGCGACTTAACAGAAAGTTTAGACAAACATAAGCATAAAAAATTGCAGTCTTTCTACCCTTGGGAATGGGGAGAAAAAGGAATCTCTACCCCAAGACCAAAAATAATAAGTCCTGTTTCTGGTCCTGAACATCCAGAATTATGGAGGCTTACTGTGGCCTCACACCACATTAGAATTTGGTCTGGAAATCAAACTTTAGAAACAAGAGATCGTAAGCCATTTTATACTGTCGACCTAAATTCCAGTCTAACAGTTCCTTTACAAAGTTGCGTAAAGCCCCCTTATATGCTAGTTGTAGGAAATATAGTTATTAAACCAGACTCTCAAACTATAACCTGTGAAAATTGTAGATTGCTTACTTGCATTGATTCAACTTTTAATTGGCAACACCGTATTCTGCTGGTGAGAGCAAGAGAGGGCGTGTGGATCCCTGTGTCCATGGACCGACCGTGGGAGGCCTCACCATCCGTCCATATTTTGACTGAAGTATTAAAAGGTGTTTTAAATAGATCCAAAAGATTCATTTTTACTTTAATTGCAGTGATTATGGGATTAATTGCAGTCACAGCTACGGCTGCTGTAGCAGGAGTTGCATTGCACTCTTCTGTTCAGTCAGTAAACTTTGTTAATCATTGGCAAAAAAATTCTACAAGATTGTGGAATTCACAATCTAGTATTGATCAAAAATTGGCAAATCAAATTAATGATCTTAGACAAACTGTCATTTGGATGGGAGACAGGCTCATGAGCTTAGAACATCGTTTCCAGTTACAGTGTGACTGGAATACATCAGATTTTTGTATTACACCCCAAATTTATAATGAGTCTGAGCATCACTGGGACATGGTTAGACACCATCTACAGGGAAGAGAAGATAATCTCACTTTAGACATTTCCAAATTAAAAGAACAAATTTTCGAAGCATCAAAAGCCCATTTAAATTTGGTGCCAGGAACTGAGGCAATTGCAGGAGTTGCTGATGGCCTCGAAAATCTTAACCCTGTCACTTGGGTTAAGACCATTGGAAGTACTACGATTATAAATCTCATATTAATCCCTGTGTGCCTGTTTTGTCTGTTGTTAGTCTGCAGGTGTACCCAACAGCTCCAAAGAGACAGCGACCATCGAGAACGGGCCATGATGATGATGGTGGTTTTGTCGAAAAGAAAAGGGGGAAATGTGGGGAAAAGCAAGAGAGATCAGATTGTTACTGTGTCTGTGTAGAAAGAAGTAGACATAGGAGACTCCATTTTGTTATGTACTAAGAAAAATTCTTCTGCCTTGAGATTCTGTTAATCTATAACCTTACCCCCAACCCTGTGCTCTCTGAAACATGTGCTCTGTCAACTCAGAGTTAAATGGATTAAGGGCGGTGCAAGATGTGCTTTGTTAAACAGATGCTTGAAGGCAGCATGCTCCTTAAGAGTCATCACCACTCCCTAATCTCAAGTACCCAGGGACACAAAAACTGCGGAAGGCCGCAGGGACCTCTGCCTAGGAAAGCCAGGTATTGTCCAAGGTTTCTCCCCATGTGATAGTCTGAAATATGGCCTCGTGGGAAGGGAAAGACCTGACCGTCCCCCAGCCCGACACCCGTAAAGGGTCTGTGCTGAGGAGGATTAGTATAAGAGGAAGGCATGCCTCTTGCAGTTGAGACAAGAGGAAGGCATCTGTCTCCTGCCCGTCCCTGGGCAATGGAATGTCTCGGTATAAAACCCGATTGTATGCTCCATCTACTGAGATAGGGAAAAACCGCCTTAGGGCTGGAGGTGGGACCTGCGGGCAGCAATACTGCTTTGTAAAGCATTGAAATGTTTATGTGTATGCATATCTAAAAGCACAGCACTTAATCCTTTACCTTGTCTATGATGCAAAGACCTTTGTTCACGTGTTTGTCTGCTGACCCTCTCCCCACAATTGTCTTGTGACCCTGACACATCCCCCTCTTCGAGAAACACCCACAGATGATCAATAAATACTAAGGGAACTCAGAGGCTGGCGGGATCCTCCATATGCTGAACGCTGGTTCCCCGGGTCCCCTTCTTTCTTTCTCTATACTTTGTCTCTGTGTCTTTTTCTTTTCCAAATCTCTCGTCCCACCTTACGAGAAACACCCACAGGTGTGTAGGGGCAACCCACCCCTACAGGTACATAACATAAAATACAGAAATGGCAAAAGATAAAGCCTACCTGTTAAACTAAGGCATGGAAGGGATGGATATTTTAAGTGATTTTTACTATATTTTGGCCCTTGAAAGTCATTAGAATGTGACTGCAAGTCGCCAGGATAATAAACCTGCATTGAGTTAGCTTAAGTGTGTAGAAAACAGAAAAAAAAAAAAAAAACTTTAAAAAATGTCCTTTGGTGTTGGCCATTTTCCTGCATCAGCCTTTAGCTGGAATGTCTTAGAAGTGAGCTCGGGAAAGTAGGGTTGTGGCTGGTTTCTTTTTATTCGTTCTGGGCTCCTTAGGCAGCTTCTATTTTTAATAGCCTGCCACTTGTTGCTGTCCTTACCCTAAGAGGAAGGAAGGAAGACTACAAGTGGCAGTAAGAGGCTAGAGAATGACAGGGTGGTAAAGTGTGTGTGTAAGCGCGGAGGCTGGAGGCAAGAGAGTAACAGGCTGGGAGAAAACCACTCCCCTTATCTTCTAGGCCACCTACGCCTGGAGCCAACCCTGTTAGGTAAGGTACTGAAAATGTTCTTTTTATTATTTTTACCACCCCCAAGCAGAGGGGCTTAGGGGAGGAGCACACATGCAGCACAGGGTCTGCTTTGAAGTTTCTTAGCCACAGTGTTTTTAAACATTTTATAAAAAAGCAAAACAAACATTCCTTACTGCTGTGTCTGTCTTCTGAAGATGACAGCAGCTGGCAGAGCTCCTCCACCTTAGCCTAGTTAGCATTTAATATATGGCTACAGGAGAGCGCCCCTTATTAGCGGGCTCCTCCCCCAGGGCTCTGTACTCTAGGCTGCTTCACACTCCTTTGCCCACCTTAGGCTAGTAAGGTTGGGGTGCACATGGACTGTTTTTTACCGCTTTCCCTAGGGGGCCAGGGAAGACAACAAATTGCTTGTCAACTGAGACATGCGAGGGGTGGCAGGGAAGGGCAGAAGTAGGAAAAGCAGCAGCAGGCCACTTCCTGGGCACAGTTACTAAGGCACGTGACCGTGGTGAGGCGGATCCTCAGGACCTGGCTGGAGCTGCCTGCTCTGTGCCTTTTGGCCTCCCCTCCGTCACCATAAACCCAGAAAGGGGTAACCTGCCCAGACTGCCAGTGACCAAATGGGCACTCCCTGGCATCTTAGCAACTCTCCTGCCCCAGGCCTCTGTAGGCAGCAAGAAAGCTACAGCTAGCTGGAATAAAACCCAGGAGGCAGCATGCAAACTCCCCTCGTACTCCAGAAAAACAGAAAAAAGACAAGGCCAGAAAGGCTGATGCTGGAAATAGGAAATGGGAACTTGCATATTAGGAGGACAATCATAATCAGCCACTTTCCTTCCCTCCTGGAGGCACCCCTCCAGCAGGGAAGTTGGTTGAGAGACGTGGTCACCCGATCATACCGATGTTCGCTGACCAGGGGGTCTTATCTAAGAACTGTCCCTTGGGCGGCCTCTAGTCTCCTTAAGGGGGATGGGAGGTGCTGTTGGCCGAACGAACGGGGCCAACAAACGCAGGTCCCTTGAAGGGTGGAGGAAAGGAGGGCAATGGGTTTTCTATAGGGGGAGGAAAAGGCTCCGGTCGCCTTATCCTTACTAGAAAAAATGTCCTCCTTAGGCCTCTCTACAGAAGGGAATGAAGTAGAGAGAGGAGCACTGCCCCGCCCCCGCTGTTCTGGTTCCTGTCTTTCCTCACTAGAAAAAATCTCTTCCTTATTCCCCATAGAAGGGAATGAAGTGGAGAGAGGAATCCCTCCCTTTAAATCTTCTGAATTATTTTCAGGTGGAGATAATGGGCCGTCTAACCGCGATCTGGCAGATAAAGAGGATACAACGCAGAGTGTACCAGCGCCCAGGTGGTCAAAATAGTAAAATTAGTAAAATGACCTTGCTCATATCCTCTTTTCAGGCAGCGACCTACCTGCTCCCATAGCTCTAAATCTAAGGTTCCTTGATCAGGAAACCAAGGACATTCCTGCCGAATTAAAAGCATGAGCTTGTGTAGAGCTCCAGGCTCTACAGTGCACTGGACAGCCTTAAATAGCTGTTGCACTGTTTTAAAAATACTTTCTGGGCCGGGCGCAGTGGTTCACACCTGTAATCCCAGCACTTTGGGAGGCGGAGGCGGGCGGATCACGAGGTCGGGAGGTCGAGATCACTCTGGCTAACGCGGTGAAACCCCGTCTCTACTAGGCTGGCAGGCGCCTGTAGTCCCAGCTACTCGGGAGGCTGAGGCAGGAGAATGGTGTGAACCCGGGAGGCGGAGCTTGCAGTGAGCGGAGATCGCGCCACTGCACTCCAGCCTGGGCGGCAGAGCGAGACTCCATATCAAAACAAACAAACAAACAAAAAAAACTTTCTGTTCTTTGGTCATTTCCTGACCCATGATAACTCAACACCTGATATTTTACGTGTGGGTCGTGTCCTCCTGATAGGAGTCAGGAATCTCTCCCTTTAAATCTTCTGAATTCTTTTCAGGTGGAGATTCACCGAAAATTGATGAGCTCTCCTCCTTCACACGTAACTTTAAGGCGATCATGTCGGGGACACCACTTGCAGAGCTTATAGTTTACAATGAATGCCACGAAATGGGTTCTCAGACAATTCCAGCTGAGCGGGGCGGGGGGCAGCTCTTATTTATTTTTTAACTATACTTTAAGTTTTGGGTTACATGTGCAGAACGTGCAGTTTTGTTACACAGGTATACACGTGCCCTGGTTTGCTGCACCCATCAACCCGTCACCTACATTAGGTATTTCTCCTAATGTTATCCCTCCCCTAGCCCCCCACTCCACCACAGGCCCCGATGTGTGAACAGACGCTTCTCAAAAGAAGACATTTATGCAGCCAACAGACACGAGAAAAGATCATCACTGGTCATTAGAGAAATGCAAATCAAAACCACGATGAGATACCATCTCACGCCAGTTAGAATGGGGGGTGGCTCTTCTTTTTTTTTTTTTTTTTTTGAGACGGAGTCGCTCTGTTGCCCAGGCTGGAGTGCAGTGGCATGATCTCGGCTCACTGCAACCTCTGCCTCCTGGGTTCAAGCAATTCTCTGCCTCAGCCTCCCGAGTAGCTGGGATTACAGGCACCTGCCACCACGCCCGGCTAATTTTTTTGTATTTTTAGTAGAGACGGGGTTTCATCATCTTGACCAGGCTGGTCTTGAATCGTGATCCACCCCTCTCCGTCTCCCAAAGTGCTAGGATTACAGGCGTGAGCCACCGCGCCCGGCATTGCGGGGTAGCTCTTCTAAGAGAGTCCGCCCCGGCATCCGTCCGCCAAGTATTTATTGAAAGGGCTTGTTAAACCACAAACATCCACTAGATGGCGTTTTTGAGGTCGGGTCGTGAGGCACCTGTGGCCTTGTAAAAGCACTCAAACTGCATTCTCAGGAGGCTGTTTTCAGCGTTCCTTATCACACCACACACTCCACTCCCTGTCCTGTTTTCAGGGTCGAGTTTCATTCTCATGCACAAATAACATACACACAGCGCCTCAGTATTTTTCCATGCCCCGACCTCAAATGCCTTGTACATAAGCTTGACTATGTTGCCTTGCGCCCCCCACAGTTGGCATCACAGGCATGAGCCACCATGCTGGCCTATATTAGCATTATTATTACCATTTTCATTGTTAATGTGTCTATCTTCTTGAGGGAAGGAGCATGTTCTATTTCTTCCTTATTTCTTGTACTGAGAGCTCCAGAAATGTTCCATAAATGAGGGAATGATGAAATGAAACAAATAAATGGAATTGGGGAAAGTTACCCTTATCTCTTTGCAGGATATGAATTGAAGAAACCCACTTATCTTTCCAAACTTGGACTGCAAGTGAGAAATGGCAGGGTCACTGATGTGGAAGGGAAGACCAAAGGGTGTTATAGTGAGTCATATACCAGCTTGGAGCCCTAGACCTGGGCGGGTGGGGACGTAGGTCACCTTTCTTGGCTGTTGAAACAAATGAGAGTTATAAAATCTCCACCCCTTAGTTCCATTACACTTCATACCTGTTTTTCCTGTCCATGCGTTTGGAAGCTTGCCTGTACCTTTTAAATATGTTCTCTGTAGCAAGTGACTTCTAGGTTTAATAAAGAAGAAGAAAAACCCATAGGTTTCTAGATTGGAAACTAGGAAAACTGTGGTATTCTTGAGTTGTAATCAGGAGGTCATAGAATTGAGAAAATAGTAATTAACTGATTGGAAATGAAGAAATGCTTTTTCTTAGAATACTTTTGAATAAATTATTTCAAATGATTATGAGTTGACTCATCTTTTAAAATTGTGGAAAAGTTCTTTTTTTTTTTTTTTGAGACTGAGTCTTGCTCTGTTGTGCAGACTGGAATGCAGTGGCGCAATCTCGGTTCACTGCAACCTCCACCTCCCGGGTTCAAGCGATTCTCCTGCCTCAGCCTCCCGAGTAGCTGGGATTACAGGCGCCTGCCACGATGCCCAGCTAATTTGTGTGTGTGTGTGTGTGTGTGTGTGTGTGTGTGTGTATATTTGAGACGGAGTTTCACTCTTGTTTCCCAGGCTGGAGTGCAATGGCACAACCTCAGCTCACCACAACCTCTGCCTCCCAACCTCTACCTCCTGGGTTCAAGCAATTCTCCTGTCTCAGCCTCCCAAGTAGCTGGGATTATAGGCATAAGCCACCACACCTGGTGAATTTTTTTGTATTTTTAGTAGAGACGGGATTTCATCATATTGGTGAGGCTGGTCTCGAACTCCTGACCTCAGGTGATCCACCCACCTCAGCCTCCCAAAGTGCTGGGATTACAGACATAAGCCACCACGCCCAGCCTGGAAAACTTTATTTTGAAATAATTTTTGGGTCGGGCCTGGTGGCATACACCTGTAATCCCAGGACTTTGGGAGGCCGAGGAGAGTGGATCACCTGAGTCCAGGAGTTTGAGACCAGCCTGGCCAACATGGCAAAACGCTGTCTCTACTAAAAAATACAAAAATTAGCTCTGCGTGGTGGCACATGCCTGTAATCCCAGCTACTCAGGAGGCTGAGGGGCAGGAGGATAGCTAGAAACTGGGAGGCGGAGGTTGTGGTGAACCGAGGTTGCACCACTACACTCTAGCCTGGGCTACAGAGCAAGACTGTCACAAAAAAAAAAAAAAGAAAACTAAAAGAAAATAAAAATAATTATTGGTTCTCAGAAAGTTACAAAAATAGGTGCAGTGGCTTGTGCCTATGGTCCCAGCTACTCAGGAGGCTGAGGTGGAGGATCAGTTGAGCCCAAGAGTTGGAGGTTGTGGTGGGTGACAGGGTGAGACCTTGTCTCAAAAAAATAAAAAATCAATATAAAAATAAGCAAAACAAAAAAATTGACCCTGGTTGACAATCCACAGATCTCATTTAGAGTTTCACATGTAAATGTGTGTAGTTCTGTGCTATTTTATCACCTGTCCACCACCACATAGCCACTACCACAATTAAGATACACAATTATTTCATCACTAAAAGATGATTTTTTTTTTTTTAAGATGGAGTCTTGCTCTTGTCACCCAGGCTGGAGTGCAATGGCACAATATCGGCTCACTGCAACCTCTACCTCCTGGGTTCAAGCAATTCTTCTGCCTCAGCCTTCCGAGTAGTTGGGATTACAGGCACCTGCCACCACACCCAGCTAACTTTTGTATTTTTAGTAGAGTCGGGGTTTCACCATGTTGGCCAGGCTCGTCTCCAACTCCTGACAAAGGTGATCCACCTGCCTCGGCCTTCCAAAGTGCTGGGATTACAGGCATGAGCCTGGCCAACTAAAAGATTCTTCTACAGTCAAACCCATTCTCCTCTCCTCCCTGCCTCTCCTCTCCCCATTCTCGGGAATGTTTTATGTTTTCTTATATTTGATATTTCTCACTATTGCAAAAAAATAAGGGACAGATTCTCCCATCGATTTTTGTGCTGTTCTGAAAGCCTAAAATAGAAAGGAGCACGTTAAGAAGTTAGAGACCTTCTGTGCCCACCAGCAGGAAAATCGTTAATAGTAACACAAAGAGGCCAGGCACGGTGGCTCATGCCTGTAATCCCAGCACTTTGAGAGGCTAAGGCGGGAGGACTGCTTGAGTCCAGGGGTTTGAGACCAGCCTGGGCAACACTGTGAGACACCATCTCTACAAAAACATTAAAAAATTAGCAGGGCATGGTGACATGTGCCTGTGACCCCAGCTCCTCAGGAGGCTGAGGTGGGAGAATCCCTTAAGCCCAGGAGGTCAAGACCAGTGAGCTGTGATGGAGTCACTGCACTCAAGTCTGGATGACAGAGTGAGACCCTGTTTCAAAAACAACAACAACAACAAAAAGTAACACAAAGAATCCTCCCAACAGAAATGATTCCCTTTCCTATAATTGGATAGTTTCCAGGAAAATGTACATTAGCTCTGTGTAGATAAGCACTTGGCATGGTACTTAAAACTCACAGGACCTAACAAATATTTATCAGGCAAGTACACTGATTGAACAGGGAGCAAGGAATTCCCTAACAGGTTCCTAAAAGAGATGTGAAACAAGTCTCCATTTGTTCCAGAGGGCAGTTGTTTTCAAATTAGTAAAGCTTACAGCAATAAAAGCAAATTTTTCTCTAAACTAAACAAAAGCTGAGCGAAAAATAGACAGGCTAACAGGCCATCTATTTGGTTTTTCTTTTTTTTTTGTTGTCAAGACAGAGTCTCACTCTGTCGCCCAGGCTGGAGTGCAGTGGCGCGATCTTGGCTCACTGCAACCTCCACCTCCCAGATTCAAGCGATTCTCCTGCCTCAGCCTTCCAAGTAGCTGGGATTATAGGCGTTTGCCACCACGCCTGGCTCACTTTTGTATTTTTAGTAAAGATGAGGTTTCACCATGTTGGCCAGGCTGGTGTCGAACTCCTGACCTCAGGTGATCCGCCCGCCTTGGCCTCCCAAAGTGTTGGAATTACAGGCCTGGGCCATCACACCCGACCTATTTGGTTTCACTTATTCACAGTTCCTTAATTTATTTCTCCAAGCAGGAGACAAAACCAAAACCAAAAACAGGCTGAAGTGGTGACTGAAGTCTCTCACCTGAAGACCCAAGACTTAGGGTGCCCCCAGTCCTAAAAGTCCTGTCTAAGTCTCTCTTCTCAACATTGTGCAGCCTGCCTTCTGCTGGATAGGAAAGGTACAGATGTGTGGCCAGCTAGATAATAACAACAGTTATCAAGCTGCCAGAGCGCTCACCTTAGCGCAGTGCTAAGGACTTTAGCTGTAATATCTCATTTAGTCCGTATAACAACCCTGTGAAATGTGTGATTTTATTATCTTCATTTTACAGCTAAGAAAACAGACTTTAAGTACCTAAATGTTGGGTCAGGCACGGTGACTCATGCCTGTAATCTCAACACTTTGGGAGGCTGAGGTGGGAATATCACTTGAATCCAGAAGTTCTGAGACCAGCCTGGGCAATGTAGCAAGTATCCCACCTCTACAATCACAAAATTAGCCGTGCGTGGTGGCATACACCTGTAGTTCTAGGGAAGCTGAGGCAGGGGGATCACTTGAGCCTAGGAGTTCGAGGTTACAGTGAGCTTGCACCACTGCACTCCAGCCTGGGTGGTAGAGTGAGACTTTGTCTGAAAAAAAAAAAAAAAGAAAAGAAAAGAAAGCGGCGGGCCGGGCGCGGTGGCTGACGCCTGTAATCCCAGCACTTTGGGAGGCCGAGGCGGGCGGATCACGAGGTCAGGAGATGAGACCATCCTGGCTAACACGGTGAAACCTCGTCTCTACTAAAAATACAAAAAAATCAGCCGGGCGTGGTGGCGGGCGCCTGTAGCCCCAGCTACTCGGGAGGCTGAGGCGGGAGAATGGCGTGAACCCGGGAGGTGGAGCCTGCAGTGAGCCGAGATCGCGCCACTGCATTCCAGCGTGTGCGACAGTGAGACTCCGTCTCACAAAAAAAAAAAAAAAAAAAAAAAAAAAAAAGAACTTAAATGTTTTGCCTAAGTCTACACAACTAAGCTAGTGGAAGACAAGGGATTTGAACTCAGGTTAGTATAATAAGTCAGCCCTAGGCAGTCTTGGTATTCATTAGGTCTGATGTGTGACACAGAAATCTGCACACAGTACTTTTAAAAGCCCCCAGGTGATTCTGACTTACTGACTTCTTGGGAAGCATTGCTAGAATCTACTTCCTGCAAAGGAATCTCCTGCTACTCAAATGGGGTGGGAACATGAAGAGAACTAATAGATAAACTTATATGAGCGGTACTATTACTTCACAAACCCATACTTCAGGTAGACAATGCTAAATGACTAATTGCTTTTGCCTGATGCTTTGGATGAAATGTTTTCTTAAGTTGCGTCTTTATTATTTATTTATTTATTTATTTAGAGACGGGGTCTCACTCTGTCACCCAGGCTGGAGTGCAGTGGTATGATTTTGGCTCATGGCAACTTCCTGCTTCCTGGGCTCAGGTGATCCTCCCACTTCAGCCTCCTTAGTAGCTGGGACCACAGGTGCACTAAAGAATGTCTGTATTTTTTTTCAGAGATGGGTTTTTGCCATGTTGCCCAAGCTGGACTGGAACTCCTGGGCTCAAGCGATCCACCCCCTTCAGCCTCCCAAAGTGCTGAGATTACAGGCATGAGCCACCGCGCCCAGCATATTAATGTTTTTTATTATTTTTTATTTATTTATTTTTTTTGAGACGGAGTCTCGCTCGGTTGCACAGGCTGGAGTGCAGTGGAGCGATCTTGGCTCACTGCAAGCTCCGCCTCCCAGGTTCACGCCATTCTCCCGCTTCAGCCTCCCGAGTAGCTGGCAGGCGCCCGCCACCACGCCCGGCTAATTGTATTTTTAGTAGAGAGGGGGTTTCACCGTGTTAGCCAGGATGGTCTCGATCTCCTGACCTCGTGATCCGCCCGCCTCGGCCTCCCAAAGTGCTGGGATTACAGGTTTGAGCCACCGCGCCCGGCTTATTAATTGATTTTTAAGCTCATCAGACCACTAGAAGCCTGAGTTAGTGTTGCAAGCACTCTCGCCAGAAAGGGAATTAAATTACCTTGGAGCTATGAAGCACAAGTTTAGTTACCTCTATCCCTGAGATACATAGATTCTGGCATGGGGTTCTATTTGAAAGTTTTTCATTTATTTTTCCTTTTTATTTATGTATTTATTGTTTGAGACAGTCACTCTGTCGCCCAGGCTGAAGTGCAGTGATGTGACCTGGACTCATTGCAACCTCTGCCTCCCGGGTTCAAGCAATTCTTGTGCCTCAGCCTCCTGAGGTAGCTGGGATTACAGGTGCGTGTCACCACACCCGGCTAATTTTTGTAATTTTAGTAGAGACGGTTTCGCCATGTTGGCCAGGCTGGTCTCAAACTCCTGACCTCAAGCAGTCCACCCGCCTCAGCCTCCCAAAGTGTTGGGATTACAGGCGTGAGCCACCGTGCCGGCCTGTTTTTCTTTTTTAAAAAAGACCTATTAGAGCTGTAGAAATTCTCGGTAGGAAGAAATACAAATAAAGATATATAATACCAAAAAAAGTTTCTTTTAATCTGAAGCATACATATATTTTGGCAAATGTAGATGTATAATTGGACCTAATGAAATGTTCTTAAAATCTAAAGACTGCCCTATGATGAATGAGTGTATGAATTAACATAAAAACTGGTTTTGTATATACAGGCCAACAGATACAAACTGGATTTGTTATTTCATTCACAAGAACCAAGGGGAAAAGATCTCAAGTCACACTTGGTTTCAACACACCAAGCCAAACAACTAATAAACCGCCCACGAAGAATGAAACTATTCTGAACTCGTCATTCTGCAGATGCAGATTATAATATTAAGATATGCACAAAATTGTATAAAGTAGACAATGAGTGACCTTTTATTGAAAAGAGGAGGAGTCAAAGATCCTGAAAGGGTTGGGACTGCCTGCAGTCAGTCCCTAGGGAACTTCCTGTTGTCACCACACCTCTGAGTCGTCTGAGCTCACTGTGAGCAAAATCCCACAGTGGAAACTCTTAAGCCTCTGCGAAGTAAATCATTCTTGTGAATGTGACACACGATCTCTCCAGTTTCCATATGTTGAGATTCTACTTATTCATCAGTTTGTTGTGCTTGTCAAGATCAGGTAGGTTATTTACAAACTGGTTTTCTTAACTGCTTAAAAAATAGAATTAGTTGTGTTGTCATTTTGCATGTCATCATTCCACTTCCTTCGGTGAACTTAAGTCCATAGAGTCGTTTTTAAGGAAAAAGATATAGGAAGCCTGTATCATTTCCTTAACATTTCCTTAAAAAAAAAAAAAAAAGATACAGGTTAGATGAACTTTCTCATCCTGAAAAAAATTTCTCAATAATAAAAGAAGCTATTATGTCTTTGAATTAATTTCTTCTTATTTACAACAATCAAATATGCTGAAAAATCTAGAAGTCTTATTTTCTTTCTTAGCCTATTTATCTGTGCCTTTCTAGTTCTGTGAAATGAGATGATTTATTTTCTGGAAATATAAAAATCTATCTTATATTTAATATATCAAGGGTTGGTTTTTATATTTTCATGCATTGAGAGTTTATTTAAATTATTCTTAGAGAAAACATAATTTTATATAGATAAACTCCTTGGAATGGTTCCTGGCATTCTTATAACTTAAAAATTATTAATCATAATGAAGAAATCAAAATTAAAACCCTAATGTACCAGATAATGTAACAAAAATAAAGTGAAATGCTTAAAAAAATAAAATTCAACACTTTGCAACCTTTTTAGGTATTCAGTTTTGTTTCAGATAGCTGTGGTAATGAAGGTTGATATAATTTTTTTGAAGGGCAAAGGGTAAATATGTTATATATTAAGACTTGTAAAAATGTTCATATACTTTAAGCTAGTAAAACCATTGCTGGGAATTTATTCTAAATGCATAACTTTTAAAAGAAAAAAGCCTCCTATGCAGAGATAAGTCTAACTATATTACTTGCAATAACTTGAAACTAGATATAACCAAAATGTTTCTACATACAGGAATGGATAAAAGACAGTATATCAACTTAATTTTTTTAAAGTAGCCTTTCAACTGATTCTGATGATATGCAGAAATAAGCAAACATTTTTAAAGTAATGCAAAGTAGAAAAAGTAGAACTTAAATTTGTTGGTAAACTATAATTACAACTATGTTAAAATCATGTATGTATGCATATGTGAATGAAGTTTAGAAGGGAAATGGAAAAATAGTATTAGGATTTCTGGCCTATAAATTTTTCTTTATATATGGTTTTGAAGTTGATTTTCTAGTAAGTTAAAATCATACCAATGATGATATTTTTAACTGAGAACTCGATATTTTAAAGTATATGTTTATTATTTTTTTTGTTTGTTTTTGAGATGGAGTCTTGCTCTGTCATCCAGGCTGGAGTGCAGTGGCGTGATCTCGGCTCACTACAACCTCCCCCTCCCTGGTTCACGCGATTCTCCTGCCTCAGCCTCCCAAATAGCTGGGACTACAGGAGTGCGCCACTGCGCCTGGCTAATTTTGTATTTTTAGTAGAGATGAGGTTTCACCACGTTGGCCAGGATGGTCTCAATCCTGTGATCCACCCGCCTTGGCCTTCCAAAGTCTGGGATTACAGGTGTGAGCCACCGCGCCCGGCCTATTATCATTTTTAAATTAAAAAAATTAAGATAAATGGTCAGGCGCAGTGGCTCATGCCTATAATCCCAGCACTCTGAAAGGCCAAGGCGCGTGGATCACCTGAGGTCAGGAGTTCAAGACCAGCCTGGCCAACATGGTGAACCCCATCTCTACTGAAAATACAAAATTAGCCAGGCCTGGTGGCATGCACCTGTTATCCCAGCTACTCGGGAGGCTGAGACAGGAGAATCTCTTGAACCTGGGAGGCAGAGGTTGCAGTGAGCCAAGATCGTGCCTCTGCATTCCAGCCTGGGCAACAAAGTGAGACTCCATCTCAAAAAAAATATATAATAATATAAATGTAGAGGTATCTTAAATGGGTCAGGGACAACCCTAACACAAAAACACAAGATGGCTTGTGGGTACCTTCTTCCAGTCTTTCATTATGTATCTCCATTTATAAAGTTGAAAAAAATGGCAACTTAATTTTTTTGTGACCTTCCTTTTCCTTAGCATCTTCTCAGAAGTAAAGTCTTGTTTTACTGCTAGATTCTAGAAGACTGTCACTGCTGCATGATAGAATCTCAGCAGACAGAGACACACAAGAATAAACTTCTGTAGGTAGAAGGAAAAAAAATAGTATAGCTGTAAGCTAATTCTAGTCTTCTCAGTGTCTAGGAAACCATAAACTTGGAACTTTCATTAGGGAGGGTGTTGAATAATATTCATCTGGTAGCAGACATTATTAATCTCAAATACATGGACTTCTTGTTTTTCCCTTCTGCTTGCAGTTCAAAAATTAACAAGCATTAAAATGGGCTTCAGAAATCCCAAGGATACAAGTCATTCAGTTTCAGAAATGTTTGTTTTGTTTTCTAATCTTTGTGAAATAATGTTAGGAATGTTTGCCATAATCTTACCAGTGAACAAAGCAATGGCTAACAAACTAAAGTACACTAGAATCCCCTGAGGGCTTGATTAAAATGCAGACTCCACCTCCAAAAATCCAAACTTAGTAGATCTGGGAGTGAGATCCTGGAATCTACATCTTAAAAAATTTTTTTGGTTGGTCCTAGGGGCTCACATCTGTAGTCCCAGCACTTGGGGAGGCCGAGGTGGGAGGATCGCTTGAGCCCAGGAGTTGGAGGCTGCAGTGAGCTATGACTGTGCCTCTGAGTAGCCACTGCACTTCAGCCTGGCTGAACAAGACCCTGTCTCAAAAATTTTCCCGCCCTGTCTGTATCTGGAACTTACAGGCACATACCATTGTGCCTGGCCTAGAATCTGCATTTTTAACAATTCCTCAGGGTTTTTCAGCTGCAGGTGGTGAAACAAACATAGGTTTTAAAATATTGTTCTAAATTAAGACTGCTTGACATAAGTATTTTTAAAAGTTACTCTGCTATCGATATTTTGGCCCATAGCAACTGTAAAACTAGATAGATATTTTCCCAGAAAAAATTGTTTAATGCCAAAACCAGAATTATTTCCTCAGATATTTGCAATCCTCTAGAATGATTTGGAACTGTGCCTGTGTGGTGACTCATCTTTCTCTAACAAGTTGGCAAAGGTGAATGAGGGGGTGTGAATGTGCATATTTATGCACATGATTCAGAAATGAGAATGAGAAAATCTGGCATCTCATTTATTTTCTCGGTTGCATCCTAAAGAAACACAGCCAGTGGTTAAAAGCAGGCATGTCCTTCCAATCAAGAGGGCATCCTGCCCATATGCTTCTTGCCTGTCTCCGCCCAGGGTAAAAAAGAAACAAATATTTTCTTTTTTTTTTTTTTTGAGATGGAGTCTCGCTCTGTTGCCAGGCTGGACTGCAGTGGTGCGATCTCGGCTCACTGCAACCTCTGCCTCCCGGGTTCAAGCAATTCTCTGCCTCAGCCTCCCAAGTAGCTGGGATTACAGGCACCCACCACCACGCCCAGCTAATTTTTGTATTTTTAGGAGAGACGGAGTTTCGCCATCTTGGCCAGGCTGGTCTTGAACTCTTGACCTCGTGATCCCCCTGCCTCGGCCTCCCAAAGTGCTGTGATTACGGGTGTGAGCCACCATGCCTGGCAAAACAAATGCTTCACCAGGTTTGACCCTGTCCAACTGTAATCCTTTCACAGCCTGGCTCAGGATGCGGTTTGTTTTGTTTTGTTTTGTTTTGTTTTGTTTTGTTTTTGTTTTGTTTTGTTTCTGAGATGGAGTCTTGCTCTGTCTCGCCCAGGCTAGAGTGCAGTGGCACGATCTTGGCTCACTGTAGCCTCTGCCTCCCAGGTTCAAGTGATTCTCCTGCCTCAGCCTCCCAAGTAGCTGGGACTAAAGGCATGTGCCACCACACCCAGCTAATTTTGTATTTTTAGTGGAGATGGGGTTTCACCATATTGGCCAGGCTGGTCTCGAACTCCTGACCTCAGGTGATCCACCTACCTCGGCCTCCCAAAGTGCTAGGATTACAGGTGTGAGCCACCGTGCTTGACCTAGGATGAGTTTTTTTTTGTTGTTTTTTTTTTCCTTTTATGTGAGACAGAGTCTCGCTCTGTCACCAGGCTGGAGTGCAGTGGCGCGATCTTGGCTCATTGCAACCTCCGCCTCCCTGGTTCTAGCAATTCTCCTGCCTCAGCCTCCCAAGTAGCTGGGACTACCGGTGCCCACCACCACGCCCAGCTAATTTTTGTATTTTTAGTAGAGACAGGGTTTCACCAGGTTGGCCAGGATGGTCTCGATCTCTTGACCTGGTGATTCGCCCGCCTCGGCCTCCCAACATGCTGGGATTACAGGCTTGAGCCACTGCGCCCGGCCCCAACTCATTTTCTAATACGAGGAAGGCAAAGTTTCTGGCCTAAAAAAACTTCAGATTTTTATTTCTTGGACTTTTGGAAATTCCTTCAGAACAGTGTCTTCAGGCAAGCATAAGAGTGTGCTCAAGCATAGGTTACTGTGAACATTTTGGCATCAACGGCATCAACGTGTAATGAGCTTGTATCCCAGACAGTAACATCCATTGCCAAGCATGCAGAATACTTGAAAATGTATCTGTTAATCTTTATCTGGGTCTCAGTAAATACTTTCTTTCTTTCTTCTTCTTTTTTTTTTTTTTGGAGATGGAGTTTTGCTCTTGTTGCCCAGGCTGGAGTGCAGTGGCGCGATCTCGGCTCATTGCAACCTCTGCCTCCCAGATTCAAGCAATTCTCCTGCCTCAGCCTCCCAAGTAACTGGGGATTACAGGTGCCTGCCACCATGCCCGGCTAATTTTTTGTATTTTTAGTAGAGACGGGGTTTCGCCATGTTGGCCAGGCTGGCCAGGCTGGTCTCAAACTCCTGAACTCAGGCAATCCACCCTCCTCAGCCTCCCAAAGTTCTGGGATTACAGGCGTGAGCCACCGTGCCCTGCCTTCAGTAAATACTTTCAGGCAGCATCAAGTCAGTAAACCTGACTGTGGACCTCTGTTCTAAAGAAGTTATTAATATACATCTATGTCACGTTTGGGGATGGGGTGGAGGGGAAGAAAGCTCAAGCACACCTTAGAAACCAAAACTCGAGATAAAAAAGCAGTATGAGTCAGGGCTGTTTTACTTCCTGACTGGGCACTACACGTCAAGGTTAATTTCATGTAGGACGTGAAATTGACATGAAATTCTGTCATGTCCTACATGAATTTCACTTCTACATGTCCTACAGAATTTCACTTCTGTAATGTAGGTTTGGAGGTCAGTGGACCAAAGGGTCCAAGGCACCTTCATCAAGGTCTGAGATGGGTCTGAGATACCTTCTTTTTTTTTTTTTTGAGACGGAGTCTTTCTGTCACCCAGGCTGGAGTGCAGTGGTGTGATCTCGGCTCACTGCAACCTCCGCCTCCCGGGTTCAAACAATTCCCACCTTTGCTTATTGACTATCGTAGAATCTCAGAATTTCCTCGCCTCTGTCCATAATTCTGTCTTCTTTTTTCACAGATGCCTCTTTGGATATGAATGAGGAGTCTCCTCTCTTTGAAGAGGGTTTTCTCCAGTCAGAAATATGGGAAATAAAATTAATTCCTCCAAAATGAGGTAGAAGAAGCCAGAGCTGAGTGTGTAGCTGAGACAGCACAGGCTTTTTTTGTTTTGTTTTTTGTTTGTTTTTAGACAAGTTCTTACTCTGTTGCCCAGGCTGGAGTGCAGTAGTGTGATCGCAGCTCACAGCTCACTGCAGCCTTGATTTCCTGGGTGCAAGCCACCTTCTGCCACAGGCTCAGTGTAGCTGGGACCACCAGCATGTGCAACCACGCCCAGCTAACTTTTTGATTTTTTCTAGAGACAGGGTCTCACCTTATTGTTCCAGGCGGGTCTCGAACTCTTGGGCTCAAGTGATCCTCCTACCTTGGCCTCCAAAAGTGTTGGGATTACAGGCGTGAGCCACAGCACCCAGTGGGAAATTTTTTTTTTTTTTAAAGAGATGGGTGTTGCCATATTGCCCAGGCAGGCTTTGAACCCTGGACTCAAGTGGTTTTCCTGCCTCAGCCTCCCAAGTAGCTGGGACTATATAGGCCTGCACCACCATGCCCAGCTTTAGAATTTTTTTTTTTTTTTTTTTTGAGACGGAGTCTTACTCTGTCGTCCAGGCTAAGAGTGCAGTGGCACAATCCTGGCCCACCACAACTGCCACCTGCTGGGTTCGAGCGATTCTCCTGCCTCAGCCTCCCGAGTAGCTGGGATTACAGGTGTGCGCTACCACACCCGGCTAATTTTTGTATTTTTATTTATTTTTATTTATTTATTTTTGAGACAGAGTCTCACTCTGTCACCCAGCCTGGAGTGCAGTGGCTGGGTCTCGACTCACTGCAAACTCTGCCTCCTGGGTTCAAGAAATCCTCCTGCCTCAGCCTCCCAAGTAGCTGGGATTACAGGCATGTGCCACCACACCCAGCTAATTTTTTTTTTTTTTTGTATTTTTAGTAGAGATGGGGTTTCACCATGTAGGCCAGGCTGGTCTCAAACTCCTGACCTCAGGTGATCTGCCTGCGTCAGCCTCCCAAAGTGCTGGGATTACAGGCGTAAGCCACTGTGCCTGGCCTATTATGATTATTTTACAGATGCAAAGCTGAGGCCCAGAGAGGTTAGGCAATTAATTACCAGGGGTCACATAGCTAATAGGCAGTGGAGTTGGACATCAAACCTAGGTCTGACTCCAAAACTCATGCTGTTTCCAAAGACGTGTTTTTTTGTTTTTTTGTTTTATGGAGATGGGATCTCACTATGTTGCCCAGGGTGGTCTCCCACTCCTCACGTCAAGGGACCCTCCCAAAGTGCTGGGATTACAGGTGTGAGCCACCCGCACTTGGCCTGTATTTGTATTTAGGACATTAGACTAGGGTTGGCAAACATTTTCTGTAAAGAGCCAGAGAGTAAATATTTTCAGCTTTATGGGCCATTAGTCATAGCCATTCAGCTCTGCCTTTAGAGCAGGAAAGTAGCCGTGGACAATATATAAATGGGCATGACCAGGTTTGACCTGCAGGCGACCATGCATTAAATTGCAAGAAAACATCTCAGGCACAATTATGCTAAAGAAGTTACAGTGAGATTGCCCTGGTATCCTACTTGGATATGTTTCTTTTCTTTTAAGAGATAGAAGGGAATACATGATAATCATGCCTGCTCTAAATAGGAGTCTGAATTCCTTATCAAAGGATATTGGAAACACCACTCATCCAACTGTAATTTTCCAACTGTCAACAGGAAATGGCATTTCAGAGTAATTGAATTTCAGAGTAGTCTGAAAAGGACAGGCAAAATTTCTCCTGTTTCAGATAAACTCAAATAGAAGAAGTTAAGCTTTAAAAACCAGTTTAACATGTTCTGTGGTCACTGGTTATATGTGCTCTGTTGCTCTACCTCTGAACAACCTTGACTTTGTACCATAACAATAACATAACTCAAAAGGATTTTGCTTTCTGAAGGCATACAAGTATCTGATGCCTTTAGAAATACCAACAGAAATGAATATTTAAAGAATGAGGCCGGGTGTGGTGGCTTGCACCTGTAATCCCAACACTTTGGAGGATCTGATGTCTGCAGAACATGCTAGCAGGTTGATATTCATTTGTTCAAGCAACATTTATTGATGCTAACTCTGAACCAGGCCCTGTTCTTGGCACTGAGAATACAACGGGTGGAACAGATGAATTATCCTGGAGCTTCTACATCAGTGGGGAGTTTTTCTGGAAAAAGGAAATAATGCTTCAGGTATGTTGCAGAAAAAATGCAAGTGACATAAAAAGGAGAAAATTCTCGCCCAGGCTCAGTAACTCATGCCTGTAATCCCAGCACCTTGGGCAGCTGAGGCAGGAGGATCACCTGAGGTCAGGAGTTCAAGACCAGCCTGGCCAACATGGCGAAAAGCCATATCTACTAAAAATACAAAAATTAGCCAGGTGTGGTGGTGGGCGCCTGTAATCCTAGCTACTTGGGGAGGTTGAGGCAGGAGAATCACTTGAACTTGGGAGGCAGAGTTTGCAGTGAGCGGAGATCACACCATTGCACTTCAGCCTGGGTGACAAGAGCGAAACTCCATCTCAAAAAACAAAACAAAACAAAACAAAAAAAAACAACAGAGGAAAATTCTCCATTCTCCAGGGTAGAATTCAGTACAAGAAAATAGTAGAATATTGATTTTTCCTGAAGGAAAGAGTATGGTTCAAAGCCAGGTCATTATTTAGGCTAAGGAATTTATTCCCAGATACAAATGAATTTAGGCATTATATGAACCATGAGCCCTCCTTGAAAGACAGCAAGAGCGCCAGGCATGCTGGCTCAAGCTTGTAATCCTAGTACTTTGGGAGGCGGAGGCAGGTGGATTACCTGAGGTCAGGAGTTCGAGACCAGCCTGGTCAACACAGTGAAACCCTGTCTCTACTAAAAATATAAAAATTAGCTGGGCGTGGTGGCATGCACCTATAATCTCAGCTACATGGGAGGCTGAGGCAGGAGAATCACTTGAACCCGGGAGGTGGAGGTTACAGTGAGCCGAGACCATGCCATTGCACTCCAGCCTGGGGGACAAGAGTGAGAAACCGTGCATCAAAAAAAAAAAAAAAAAAAGCAAGAGCCAGTCACCTAGTGGTAAAGGGAGAAGCTTAGGAAAAGGACTCAGTGAGCAATGGACATGTACTTTATAGAACTAAAACTACATAACTGGAGAAGTATGGTTTCAGAAGATAATTACAAAAAAATAGTTATGGAGTCTTGCTATGTTGCCCAGGCTGTCTCAAACTCCTGGGCTTAAGCAATCCTCCTGCCTTGACCTCCCAGAACACTGGGATTACAGGCGTAAGTCCAGAAGATAATTTTTATATCCAGCCTGTTCTCAGTATTTGTGTTAGTTATGTCCCATTAAGTGGCCTCAAACACTGCATTAGCAAATACTGAACCATTGCTCCTAGGGGAAGTCCAAGGTTAGTTTTCTGCAAGCCTCTGGTCACAATATTTTTGTCAGTGGATCAATACATAATTTTCTGTGTGTTTCTGTTTAAAGGCATCTGATTTAATATATACTGTTGATTCATTAACATTGGACTTATGGCCAACAGCACTCTAACTCATGCTTGAATGAAGCTTACCTAACACATGTATTTTCTCTCTAAGGCACATCATAGCCTTCTTCTGCTTAGAAACATTAGACAGCACTTCAGCATTATGCTTGGGCACCATTTTATTTATTTATTTATTTATTTATTTTTGAGATGGAGTCTTGCTCTGTTGCCCAGGCTGGAGTGCAGTGGCATGATCTCAGCTCACTGCGACCTCTGCCTCCCGGGTTCAAGCAATTCTCCTGCCTCAGCCTCCCGAGTAGCGGGGATTACAGGCTTGTACAACCATGCCTAGCTAATTTTTGTATTTTTAGTAGAGACGGGGTTTTGCCATGTTGCCCAGGCTGGTCTCGAACTCCTGACCTCAAAGTGATCTGCCTGCCTTGGCCTCCCAAAGTGCTGGTATTACAGGCGTGAGACACCATGCCCAGCCCTAGATATATTATTTAGCTCTCCTTTATAAGTGAGAACATGCAGTATTTGTGTTTCTGTGTCTGTGTTATTTCACTTAAGATAATGGCCTCAAGTTCTATTCATGTTGCTGCAAAAGAGATGATTTCATCCGTTTTTATGAGCACATAGTATTCCATTGTATATATACATCATATTTTCTTTTTCCAATCATCTGTTGAGAGACACTTAGGTTGATTCCATATCTTTGCTATTGTGAATAGTGCTGCAATAAACCTATGAGTGGACACCATTTTAAACAGTGAAATAACCAAGAAAAAGCACAGGAAGTGGCTGGGTGTGGTGGCTTACGCCTGTAATCCCAGCACTTTGGGAGGCTGAGGTGGGTGGATCACCTGAGGTCAGGAGTTCGAGACCAGCGTGGACAACATGGTGAAACCCTGTCTTTACTAAAAATACAAAAATTAGCAGAACGTGGTGGCAGCCGCCTGTAATCCCAACTACTCGGGAGGCTGAAGCAAGGAGAATCGCTTGAACCTGGGAGGTGGAGGTTGCAGTGAGCCGAGATCTCGCCACTGCACTCCAGCCTGGGCGACGAGCAAAACTCCGTCTCAAAAAAAAAAAGAAAAAAGAAAAAGCACAGGAAGCAAAAAACGTGGCACTAAGTGACTGTCATCTAAGTGTTCATGAAAAGGACACCTGTTTAGAGTATGAGAGCTGAAACAAATAAGAAGGCAGAGTGTTGCTCTCTCTGACCTCAGCTGAGATCATGCATGTCAGGCAACACAAATTTTTCGCCACTCTACACATGTTCATGAATGACTGAAAAGGTTCCTCAAGTATTGATTTTGGGGTGATGAATAAATTTGCACATAAGAAATTCACAAATATGGCCAGGCACGGTGGCTCACGCTTGTAATCCCAGCACTTTGGGAGGCTGAGGCGGGCAGATCACCTGAGGTCGGGAGTTCGAGACCAGCCTGGCCAACATGGCGAAAACCTGTCTCTACTAAAAATACAAAAATTAGCCAGGTGTGGTGGCGCACGTCTGTAATCCCAGCTACTCGGGAGACTGAGGTAGGAGAATTGCTTGAACCTGAGAGGCGGAGGTTGTAGTGAGCCAAGATCATGACCCTGCGCTCCAGCCTGGTTGACAGAGTGAGACTCTGTCTCTAAAAAAAAAAATAATAATAAATAAATAAATAAATAAAACACCAAAAACCAAGAAGAAATCCACAAATATGGCTGGGTGGGGTGGCTCACGCCTATAATCCCACACTTTGGGAGGCTGAGGCAGGAGGATCATTTGAGCTCAGGGGTTCAAGACCAGCCTGGGCAACATAGCAAGACCTCATCTCTACCAAAATTCAAAAAAAATAGCCTGGTGTGGTGGCACTCACCTGTAGTCTCACACAATTTCAGGGCTGAGGCAGGAGGATTGCTTGAGCCTAGGAAGTCAAGGCTGCAGTGAGCTGTGATTGTGCCAGTGCACTCCAGCCTGGGTGACAGAGTGAGACCCTGTCTCAACAAACAATCAAAAAAAAAAAAAAAAAGAAAGAAAGATCCAGAAATAATGAGAATCGACTGTATTTGACAATGGGAAGAGACTGCATGCTTCCAGGGGTGTATGTATATATTCTGAAGGAAGGATCAAGGAGCATTTGAGAGGCAATATAGGTCTATTAACTTTCTCATTTTTCTTGGTAGAGAATGAGTTGATAGAACAGATACAGTAAATAGAACAGAAACTCTGTGACTGATACATCAATACACAGAGGCTTAAACATTTATTTTGAAACTATATAAGGAATCACCAGATGAGCCAAAAATAATTTTATAACTAATAAAAATCAGGAGGTAGAAGTCCAGTTAGTGGGGAGAAGTATTAAGTGTGTTAATGTCCTCGTCACATATAACAAAGAAACATTAGATATTGTCTCAAGGCACTAACGCCAGGACAAGAGTAGAGTCAGGAAAGAGCTGTTCTGACAAAGATCAGCAGCAGAACACATGGCAGAAGTCGGCAGCGCACTCCGAGTCGGAAATCCAGTTTCCAGATGCCCAGAAATCCTTGCCAGGGGTTGCACATTGGTGAATAATTAAGTGTGGATAGATATATTTCAGTATGGAACAGTTCTGCATGTAGTCTACTTCTGGCATAGAGGTCACACATCTACATTCCATGAAAAAGGATTTTAAATATTTCTTTTTTTTTTTTTTTTGGTTCTTTGAGAGGGAGTCTTGCTCTGTCGCCCAGGTTAGAATGCAGTGGTGAGATCTCGGCTCACTGCAACCTCCGCCTCCCTGGTTCAAACAATTCTCCTGTCTCAGCCTCCTGAGTAGCTGGGACTACAGGCGCACGCCACCATGCCTGGCTAATTTTTGTATTTTTAGTAGAGACAGGGTTTCACCATGTTGGTCAGGCTGGTCTTGAACTCCTGACCTCAGGTGATCCACCCGCCTTGGCCTCCCAAAGTGCTGGGATTACAGGAGTGAGCCACCAGGCCCAGCCTTAAATATTTCATATAGAGTTATCAAGGTGTTTACCAGAAGAATTAAAGCAAGCTATAAACTTCCCAATATGAGAAAGAACACATACATACAAAAGAACCCCTGATAAAACAAAAACAAAAAACATGAGGACAATCCATAAAGCAAAAGATAGTGAACCTAGAAGGCACTAACCCTGGAAAACATAGCATTGCCGAATTCAGTTCAGTCGTGTCCATGTGGGACCTCTGAGAAGATGGGGAGGGATGTGCAAGAGATCTATTTCAGGAAGTGTGAAGGATAAAGGAGGAGGGAGTGGGAATAGGCAGAGGGAGGCTTCACACCATCATGCAGGCAGTTTGGCACCTGAGAAAGCAGAGGAGAAAGGAAAAGTTGGGTAGGAAGAGCCTCAGACCCCAGCACAGTTCTGAGAATATTTCAGCCAGACTGATGGGGAGTCCTTGAGCCAAAGTTTCCAATTAGAGAGTGCCACATGGGCAGGAATGACCTGCCTGGTCTGGCTCAGTGATTGGTGGGGAGCAGCATGGGGAGCCATGGCTTCATGTAAATGCTGTGGGGCAGCTGGAGGCTATCGGCCAACTCAGCTGTGCTTCCTCCAGAAGTTTCTCTGAAAGGCAGGTCTTAGGCACTTCTATGGGCACCACACCAAGTATATGTTATGCCAATAAATGTTAATAGATATACTCATTTATCTTTTTTAAAGGATCTGAGAGTGGGTCATAAAATAATACCCAATTTGATCCTATATATAAGATCCGTAAAATGCGGCCGGGCGTGGTGGCTCACACCTGTGATCCCAGCACTTTGGGAGGCTGAGGCGGGTGGATCGCCTGAAGTCTGGAGTTCGAGACCAGCCTGGCCAACAAGGTGAAACCCCGTCTCTACTAAAAATACAAAAATTAGCTTAGCGTGGTGGCGGGCACCTATAATCCCAGCTACTCAAGAGGCTGAGGCAGTAGAATCGCTTGAACCCGGGGGGGCCGATGTTGCAGTCATCCAAGATCACGCCACTGCACTCCAGCCTGGGCAACAGACTGAAACTGTCTCAAAAAAAAAGGAAAAAAAAAAAAGATCTGTAAAATAAAGGGATTCAGAAGGTGAAAAGGATAAAGACACAGTAGGCAAATGCTGACAACAAGAGAGCCCAGTTATGATAAAAATATCATTTGAGGCTGGGCACAGTGGCTCACGCCTGTAATCCCAGCACTTTGGGAGGCTGAGGTGGGAGGATCACAAGGTCAAGAGATTGAGACCATCCTGGCCAACATGGTGAAACCCCGTCTCTACTAAAAATACAAAAATTAGCTGGGCATGATGGCACGCGCCTGTAGTCCCAGCTACTTGGGAGACAGGCAGGGGAATCACTTGAACCTGGGAGGTGAAGGTTGCAGTGAGCCGAGATCACACCACTGCACTCCAGCCTGGCAACAGAGCAAGACTCTGTCTCAAAAAAATAAAATAAAAAAAAATATATATATGTGTATATATATGTATATATATGTATATATGTGTATATGTGTATATATGTGTATATGTGTATATACGTATATATGTATATATATGTGTATATATGTATATATGTATATATATGTGTATATATGTATATATGTATATGTGTGTATATATGTATATATGTGTGTATATATGTATATATGTGTGTATATATGTACATATATATGTATATATATGTACATATATGTATATATATGTACATATATTATTTGGTGGAATATATATTTGGTGGAATTAAAGGTAAAAGGGGCATATTAAAATTAAAAAGGACATAACACCTGAAACATTAAGCATAGGTAATAAAAGAAAAAATCTACAAAAATAAAGCTTAATAGTTTGGGTAACTTGAATTTGCCCAACTGTATTATTATCGTACTTTGATGTTATGTTTTTATTCTTTGAAAAGAATCCCCCATTGTTGGCATTTAGCTACTCATTATTTTCAGATGATGCAAGAGAAAGAAGATTCCTGATCCCCAGACCAGACCAAGCTCCCTATTTAAGTTTTCATCTTACACTCTATCTCTTTTATATGACACATGTCACAGGTAGCAGTTTTATACTTATTTGTGTGCATTATTTCATTACTGACTGATTCTTCCTCTAAAATGCCACCTGACATAGAATCTAGGATAGAGTAGATTCTTTTGGAATGAATTGCACATATTCTCTGAGGATGAGAGATAATATATGTAAAGCTTTTATAATATTTAGTATTTAGAGGAACAAGGAAATCTATTTCACTCAATACTTACGATGGACTTCTCCGGGGGACAGTACCATTACAAAAATAACTAAGACTTAAAAGAAATTATGTAGGGCTGGGCGTGGAGGCTCATGCTGTAATCCCAGCACTCTGGGAGGCCGAGGCAAGTGGATCACTTGAGCCCAGGAGTTCAAGACTAGCCTGGACAACATAGCGAAAGCCTGTCTCTACAAAAAATATAAAAATTAGCCAGACATGGTGATGTGCACCTGTAGCCCCAGCTACTTGGGAGGTTGAGGTGGGAGGACTGCTTGAGCCCAGGAGGAAGAGGTTGCATGAGCTGAGATCGTGCCACTGCACTCCAGCCTGGGTGACAGAGCAAGACCTTGTCTCAAAACAAAACACAAAACCAGACAATTAAACAATCCTCTTCTTGGGAAAGTAATCTCTGTCTTCTCAAGTATGATCTCATTCAGAATTAGTCTCCCCAGGATTCCTCTCTTGGGCAGATAGGCGGCAAGTGAAAGATGACATAATTTCCCCAGGCCACCTGGGGAGTCAGTTGCACAACCAGGAACAAAACCCAGCCTTACTGATAGCTAAGAAGGAGAGGCTCAGCCCTACCCCAAGACACTTCCTGTTCAATAAGAAGATGACTAATTACACAGGCAACTCTTTGCTCTGGGTTTTGCTCTACAAACAACTGGGCAAGTGCATGTTCCCAGGAGCATGCGACTTACAGGAAGAGGAAATGAAAGAGGCCAAGGGATGGAGAAAATACTTAATCACGAGCACGCCTCGCTACACAGGCTACTTGATGAAGCAGAGTAAAAGGAGGAACGCGCGCATTTGAGGTTCAACATTAACCACCTGTTTTCTAGGATGAGGGATTTCAAAGCCTCCTTAACTTTTTTTTTTAAGAGCTAGAGTCTCACTGATTATTTATCTACCTGATTAACCGCAGTTTTGAGCACTAAACAGAGGATGCAGATAAATTTCAGACACCAAGAAAAATTATTTAAAATGGCAGGCTTGGCTGGGCACGATGGCTCACGCCTGTAATCCCAACACTTTGGGAGGCCAAGGCAGGCGGATCACCCGAGGTCAGGAGTTCAAGACCACCTTGGCCAACATGATGAAACCCTGTCTCTACTAAAAATACAAAAATTAGCTGGGCATGGTGGCGGGCGCCTGTAATTCCAGCTACTTGGGAGGCTGAGGCAGGAGAATCGCTTGAATCCCGGAGATGAAGTTTGCAGTGAGCCGAGATTGCACCACTGCACTCCAGCCTGGGCAACAGAGCAAGACTCCATATCAAATAAATAAGTAAATAAAATGGCAAGGTTTTAGTCCTAAATAAGTCTCTTTAACTTCATGAAAGCAGAAATCCTACAGACGGTGTTTTCTGGGAACAAATTTCACTAATTGTTAAGTAACGATAAAAACCATGAATTTAAGTGTAACCAACAAGTAACATCTAGCCACGTGTAAATTTCCTTTAAGTTCATTTAATTTTTATTTATTTATTTATTTACATATTTATTTATTTGGGGGGGTTGGTTTTGTGCTGATTCTATTATGAAACTTCACTCACTCCTGAGTACCAGAGCCTTTTTGAAAAGTTTCAATAAATGCATAACTGAACAGACTCAGGTTATTAAAGATGGGCAAGGACCCCAAGATGAAGGCTACTCTGAGGCTTAGAATGAAGAATACTTCCTGGATGTGCAAATGAAGATTCATTGAGAACAGGGACCCAGAGCAAATGCTTCCTGAATTCCTATTGGAGGAAGTCAGACAGATGTTTCCCAGGGCACTCTTGTCTTCTGTTGGCCCACTGCATGTTAACAGCCTTCCCTTTCTGCTCTTGTCCACCAAGAATGGCCATCGGTAGTGCCTTGCCTCTTCTGAGTATCTTACAGAAGATACTCATCATCTCCCACTTGGAGCTGGGGATGACTTGCTGTTCCACATGTTATTGAGTCCTCTACCATGTGCTGGGCACTGTGAGGGATATACAAGTAATGAGCTGCCATTTCAAAGAGATTGTGTTCTAGCAGGATAGACACATATGTACATAGATATCTATAATGTGTGCCTGAAAGTGGGTTTTCATTGTGTCGTCAACAAGGTGCATAAAGGGAGTTTTGGGAGTTCCAGGGTAAAGGATAGTACTTATAGCTGGGAGGGTCAGAGAAGGCTTCATTAAGGTGGCTTTTGAGTTAAATCTTGAAGGAGGATAAGATTTGGAAGAATGGCTTTCTGCTGAAGCAAGAGGTCACTACTTACAAGCTCTGGATCAAATATGATTTTGTTGGCCGGGCACGGTGGCTCATGCCTGTAATCCCAGCACCTTGGGAGGCCGAGGTGGGCAGATCACCCTAGGTCAGGAGTTCGAGACCAGCCTGGCCAACATGGTGAAACCCCATCTCTTCTAAAAATACAAAAATTAGCCCGGTGTTGTGGTGGATGCCTGTAATCCCAGTTACTTGGGAGGCTGAGGCATGAGAATCACTTGAACCCGGGAGGCGGAGGTTGCAGTGAGCTGAGATTGCACCACTGCACTCCGGCCTGGGCGACAGAGTGAGACTCTGTCTCCAAAACAAAAACAAAAACAAAAAAACAAATATGATTTGGCAGCCAGGTGTGGTGGGCTCAGGCCTGTAATCCTACCACTTTGGGAGGCCAAGGTGAGTGGATCACTTGAGGTCAAAAGAGTTTGAGATCAGCCTGGCCAACATGGTGAAAACCCATCTCTATCAAAAAATACACAAATTAGCGGGCATGATGGCATGCACCTGTAGTCCCAGCTACTCAAGGAGGCTGAGGAGGGAGAATTGCTTGAGCCTGGGAGGTGGAAGTTATAGTGAGCTGATATTGCGCCACTGCACTCCAGCTTGGGTGAGAGTGAAACCCTGTCTCAAAGTATGTATATATGATTTTGCAACTTCATTCAACTGGATCCAGCCCTTAGCCAGGTCCTATCAGGAACATAAGAAGAACTCCTACAAATATAGAACAGCACTCTTGCTTGATGCCCAGCTAAGGAAAGACCTGTCGTGATGCCATCTAATTTTTATTTTCAGACGCAGAAGAAACATGTCCTTCATTCACCAGGCTGAGCTTTCACAGTGCAGTGGTTGGTACGGGACTAAATGTGAGGCTGATGCTCTACACAAGGAAAAACCTGACCTGCGCACAAACCATCAACTCCTCAGCTTTTGGGAACTTGAATGTGACCAAGAAAACCACCTTCATTGTCCATGGATTCAGGCCAACAGGCTCCCCTCCTGTTTGGATGGATGACTTAGTAAAGGGTTTGCTCTCTGTTGAAGACATGAACGTAGTTGTTGTTGATTGGAATCGAGGAGCTACAACTTTAATATATACCCATGCCTCTAGTAAGACCAGAAAAGTAGCCATGGTCTTGAAGGAATTTATTGACCAGATGTTGGTAAGAGAATTCTCTTAGATGATTCAGAGCTAAGTTGAAACTGGCCCATTATCTGAGGGCTTAAAGCCAAGAGATAGCTACAGTGAGCAGGAGGCCTATATTGCAACATTTTGCAAATGTGAATAAGCCCCAGGGAAGGTGGGATGAGGGGCTGTGCAAAATGTCCATAGGTATGTTTGTTAGGCTGTGCACTGCACAGGGCACCCATCTGAGGGAGCACCCTTGTCATTGTGACATTATAGATTTATATATTTATTATGATAAATTTCCACCAGATGATGACAAAGTGTCTTGAGGAAGGGGCATTTTTTTCTAGCTCACAATAAAGGTGTCTTACAGGTAGGAGAGGTTCTGTCTAGGATTTCTTGGTTTAAATGCCTAGAGCTTCCTCAACTTCTTTTTTTTTTTTTGAGACGGAATCTCGTTCTGTCACCAGGCTGGAGTGCAGTGGTGTGATTTCAGCTCACCGCAACCTTTGCCTACCGGGTTCAAGCGATTCTCTTGCCTCAGCCCCCCGAGTAGCTGGGACTACAGGTACACGCCACCATGCCCAGCTAATTTTTGTATTTTTAGTAGAGACGGGGTTTCACCATGTTGGCCAGGATGGTCTTGATCTCCTGACCTCGTGATCCACCTGCCTTGGCCTTCCAAAGTGCTGGGATTACAGGCGTGAGCCACTGCGCCCGGCTAATTTTGTATTTTTAGTAAAGACGGGGTTTCTCCATGTTGGTCAGGCTGGCCTCGAACTCCCGACCTCAGGTGATCTGCCCGCCTCGGCCTCCCACGGGGCTGGGATTACAAGCGTGGGCCACTGGGCCCAGCAGACAGACTATTTTGAATCCTGCTCTGCTCTCTCCCCAGCTGCCTGATCTGGGGCAGATGACTTCAGCTTAGGGCCTCAGTTTCCTCATCTGCATAATCAAAAGAATAGTATTTACTTTGCATGGATGTTGTGACTTTTAAATGAGATAATAGATGTAAGGTGCTTAGAATTACTTCTCCAAAGTCAACAGCCAGGAAATTTCTACAAATGTTAATTCCTTGGCCCCTTACAATTTACAATGATGGACCTCTTGAAATTCCAGGCAGAAGGAGCTTCTCTTGATGACATTTACATGATCGGAGTAAGTCTAGGAGCCCACATATCTGGGTTTGTTGGAGAGATGTACGATGGATGGCTGGGGAGAATTACAGGTAAGTGCCTGTGAATGGGCATGGGTTGGTAGCCTGGGCAGGGTGTTCACTGGGGGAGTATTATGTAGGCCAATCCAACTCCTTGGGTTCAAAGCCAGCTCCAATTACCTAACCTCTCTGAGTGTGGGTCATTGCATGCAAAAGGAAGATCAAAATAATATTGACCTCAGGCTATTATGTAATAAAACATAAGTAAAGCATTTTGTAAATTG
Organism: Homo sapiens; assembly: GCF_000001405.40. Taxonomy (NCBI): domain Eukaryota; kingdom Metazoa; phylum Chordata; class Mammalia; order Primates; family Hominidae; genus Homo; species Homo sapiens. Next base: position 185,533,358 of record NC_000003.12, on the reverse strand, counting down.
TGTATACTATAGAAAAGATGAGTAGTGACTTTATTTCTATTATGGCTGGAAAAACAGCTATGTCCCATTCAAATCTGTGTGCCGCAAACAGTTAGTCCTCTTCCTTTTATTTAATCCAGGAGACCCTGAACTATAAACCTAATACGCTTCAGTCCCCAGGCACAGCTGGAGTCTCATAAGAAAACGAGATGGGAATTTTGATGGCTGGGGCTTATTCTCTAAATATCAGCTTTCGGGCCAACACTGAATGAAAACCTTCAGAAATGCAGTAGGTCAGATCCCAAACAAAGACTCCTTTGCTGGAATCTCCTGCCTAGGGCTTAGTAGCTTTCCACAGCGGCTCTCTCTTTCAGAGTCTCAAAGCCTCTCCCATTTCTCCTTTCCCAGAATCCATCCTCATACCTAGATGGCTATTTTAAATCTATGGAAACTGAAAAGGTAGAAGTGGATGGAAAAAGGGGAGAGGTAAATGATTAAAACTACATTTAGGAGGTAAACTTTTAGGGCCACAAGTTTTTAATTTTATTTTTAATTTAAATTTTATTTTATTTTATTATTTATTTATTTTTGAGAAAGAGTCTCACTCTGTCACCCAGGCTGGAGTGCAGTGGTGCAATCTCGGGTCACTGCAACCTCCACCTCCCGGGTTCAAGCGATTCTCCTGCCTCAGCCTCCTCAGGAGCTGGGATTACAGGCATGCGCCACCACTCTTGGCTAATTTTTGTATTTTTAGTAGAGACATTGTTTCGCCATGTTGGCCAGGCTGGTCTCGAACTCCTGACCTCAGGTGATCCACCCATCTCGGCCTCCCAAAGTGCTGGGATTACAGGCATGAGCCACTGCACATAGCCTTTTTTTTTTTGACAGGGTCTCGCTGTGTTGCCCAGGCTGGCATGCAGCTCACTGCAGCCTCAACGCCCCCCCAGGCACAAGCAGTCCTCCACTCAGCCTCTCAAGTAGCTGGGACTACAGGTGTGTGCCACCACACCTGCTTAATTTTTAATTTTTTTGTAGAGATGGAGTCTTACCATGTTGCCCAGGCTGGTCTTGAACTCCTGGGCTCAAGCAATCCTCTCACTTCAGCCTCCCAAAGTGCTGGGATTACAGGTATGAGCCACTGTGCCCGGCCTCATGTTGTATTTCTGTTGGACAGCACTTCCTTCAAGAGTTTATGTTGATCTCGGGTATGGAAGTAAGAGGCCGTGAAGTTGCATGCAAAATGTTGGGTGTCTGTCCTGGGGAGGGGTCCAGAATTTTCATCAAATTCTCAAACCAGTTAAGGCTGCAGTAAAAGCCAAGGATTCTTATCTGAACATTTTTCTGGTGATCTTAGAGCAATAAGAAAAAGCTCTTTGGCTGGGTGCAGTAGCTCATGCCTGTAATCCCAGCACTTTGGGAGGCCAACGCAGAAGAATCGCTTGAGTCTAGGAGCTTGAGGATGCAGTGAGCTATGATCGTGCCACTGCACTCAAGCCTGGGTGACAGAGTGAGATCCTGTCTCAAAAAAACAGTAAACAAAAACCAAAACAAAACAACAAAAAAGGAAATCTCACTTTTTACATTCTGTTTGTATTCCACAATAATCTCAGAATGTTCTGGATTTAGATTCAGGAGCCATCTATTTATTTTAATTTTTTTAATTTAGTGATGGGATCTCATGTTGTTGCCCAGGTTGGCCTTGGACTCCTGGGCTCAAGCAATCCTCCTGCGGTGGTCCCCCATAGTGCTGGGATTACAGGTGTGAGCCACCAGCTGGCCTTAGGAGTCCTTTTATAAGTCTTCTTCTTTTTTTTTTTTTTTTTGAGACAGAGTCTTACTCTGTCGCCCAGGCTGGAGTGTAGTGGCATGATCATGGCTCACTGCAGCCTGATGCTCCCTGGGCTCAGGTGATCACCTCTGAGGCTCCCATCTCAGCCTCTCAAGCAGCTGGGACTACCGGCGTGCACCACCATGCCTGGCTAATTTTTGAATTTTTCTAGAGATGGAGTTTCGCCATGTTGCCCAGGCTGGTCTTGAACTCCTGTGTTCAAGCGATCTGCCTGCTTCAGCCTCCCAAAGTGCTGGGATTACAGACATGAGCCACCGCACCTGAACTTATGAGTCTTCTGAAGTAGCTATTAATTCTACCTCCATTTTATAAATTAAAGGAACTGAGATTCAGAGAAGTTAAGTAACCTGCCTAAGGGCACACAGCTGGTTAGCGCTAGGTTTGGGGCTCCGTATCTATCCGCTCACACGTAGTATGCAGCTTTTACTATAATTTTTTTCTGACACTGGAAGCTAATCATTTGCTATGGCTTATCACTAAGGAAATCCCAAGTCCAAGCCTGCCTGTGACAGTCTCAGTTTATACCTTTGTCTTGGTGTAATTATTAAGAGCACCGTTATCACTCTGAAAACTGTCCTGCTTCAGATGTTTTATTCATCATGAATCTGGAGGTTGCTATAAACTGAGGCTCTCACCATTAATTTTATTTATTTATTTATTTTTGAGACAGGGTCTTACTTTGTTACCCAGGCTGGAATGCAGTGGTGCAATCACAACTCACTGCAGCCTCAAACTCCCAGGCTTATTAATAGCATCCTTATCACTCTGAAAATTGCCCTGGTTCAGATGTTTTATTCATCATGAATCTAGAGCTCTGAAACTGAAGCTCTGTTAATTTTATTTATTTATTTTTGTTTTTTTGAGACACAGTCTCACTCTGTCACCCAGGCTGTATTACAGTGTCACGATCTTGGCTCACTGCAATCTCTGCCTCCCGGATTCAAGCAATTATCGTGCCTCAGCCTCCCAAGTAGCTGGGATTACAGGCTCCTGCTACCGCACCCAGCTAATTTTTGTATTTTTTAAATTAATTTATTATTATTATTATTATTTGAGACCGAGTCTCACTCTGTCGCCCAGGCTGGAGTACAGTGGCACGATCTCGGCTTATTGCAACCTCCGCCTCCTAGGTTCAAGAGATTCTCATGCCTCAGCCTCCCGAGTAGCTGGGACTACAGGTGCCTGCCACCACGCCTGGCTAATTTTGTATTTTTAGTAGAGATGGAGTTTCATCATGTTGGCCAGGCTGGTCTCAAACTCCTGACCTCAGGTGATCCAACCACCTCAGCCTCCCAAAGTTCTGGGATTACAGGCATGAGCCACTGTGCCCAGCCTATTTACTTATTTATTTTTGAGACAGGGTCTTACTTTGCCACCCAGGCTGGAGTGCAGTGGTGCAATCACAGCACACTGCAGCCTCAAACTCCCGGCCTCAAGCCATCCTCTCAGCTCAGCTTTCTCTCCATCTCCCCACCACCTCAAGTAGCTAGGACTACAGGGACTACAGGCGCATGCCACCGCGCCAGGCACTGCTTATTTTCTCTCTCTCTCTCTTTCTTTCTTTCCTTCTTTCTTTCTTTCTTTCTTTCTTTCTTTCTTTCTTTCTTTCTTTCTTTCTTTCTTTTCTTTCTCTCTTTCTCTCTCTCTCTTGCTTGGTCTGTCGCCTGGGCTGGAGGGCAATGGCACAATCATGGCTCACTGCAACCTGGAACTTCTGGGCTCAAGTGATCCTTCTGTCTCAGTCTCCGGAGTAGCTAAGATTACAAGCATGAGCCACCACACTCAACAAATTTTTAATTTTTTTGTAGAGACAGGGTCTCCGTATGTTGCCCAGGCTGGTCTCGAACTCCTGGTCTCAAGCAATCCTCCCGCCCTGGCCTCCCAAACTCTAGGATTATAGATGTAAGCCACTGCGACCAGCTGAAATGGAGGGATTAAAGCTAGAACCAGGTAGGCTAGGTGTGGTGGCTCACACCTGTAATCCCGGCCTTTTGGGAAACTGAGGCGGGAGGACTGCTTGAGTCCAGGAGTTTGAGACCAGCCTGGGCAACATAGCAAGTGCCCCTACAACCGGCTCTCCTCCCCTACCCCCACAAATTAAAAAAAAAAAAAGAAAAAGAAAAAGGCTAGAACTTAGGAAATAAAGGCAAAGACACTCTTGCATTTTATATGTAACACCAGGGGATAGGAGATATAAAATGACATTCATAGACAAAAACTTCAAGGGAGACTTCCCTTGAAGCCTTCTTCACTCCAGGTAGGGATCTGGTAAACCAGACCTTTTGGAGCTGCTGATTTTTTTTTTCCTTTTTTCTTTCTTTTTCTTTTTCTTTTTTTCTTTTTTTTTTTTTTTTGAGACGGAGTCTCGCTCTGTCACCCAGGCTGGAGTGCAGTGGCACGATCTTGGCTCACTGCAACCTCTGCCTCCCCAGTTCAAACAATTCTCCTGCCTTAGCCTCCCGAGTAGCTGGGACTACAGGCACGTGCCACCACACCCAGCTAATTTTTTTTTTTTTTTTTTTGGTATTTTTAATAGATACGGGGTTTCACCATGTTAGCCAGGATGGTCTCAATCTCCTGTCCTCGTGATCCGCCCACCTCGGCCTCCCAAAGTGCTGGGATTACAGTGGTCAGCCACCACACCCAGCTTTTTCTTGTTGTTGTTTAATCTTTATTTTGTGGTTACAACATCATAGGAGCTTCTCTCCTGTTTTTCCAGCTGCTTCGTAGTGATAGTGAGGAACACCCAAATAACATTGACCAAGGGTGAGAAACCGGTTTAGGCATTTATAGAGCGGGTTAATTCTGCAGGGATTGACACCCACTTGGTTTCCCTCTTCAATACCTAGCCTGATACCTGGCCTGACCAGTGAGTTTCGCCCTCTCCTGCCGAGCTTGCTAAACTCAGGGCAGTGAAACCAAGAGTTCAACAGATAGAAGTGGTTGCATTAAGAGGCTGTGTTCTGATCAAGGCTCTTGATCTTCCTGAATCACAGTTCATTCATCTGGAAAATAATAATAGCTACCCTGCCTCCCTTACAGGTTTGCAACATGGATCAAAGGGGCTAGCATATATGAATAAGAGTGGAAGTTCTTTATTTATTAACAACAAAAAGGAAGGGCTGAGTGAGGTTTCTCGGTCATCTAAAGTGGGATAAAGATGAGTATAGCGCTTTCTTTCTTTCTTTCTTTCTTTCTTTCTTTCTTCTTTCTTTCTTTCTTCCTCATCTAAAGTGGGATAAAGATGAGTATAGCATCTGCTTGCTTTCTTTCTTTTTTTCTTTCTCTCTCTCTCTCTCTCTCTCTCTTTCTTTCTTCGAGACAGAGCCTTGCTCTGCCGCCAGGCTGGAATGATCTTGGCTCACTGTAACCTCTGCCTCCCGGGTTCAAGCGATCCTCCTGCCTCAGCCTCCCGAGTAGCTAGGACTACAGGCACACACCACCACGTCCAGCTAATTTTTTTGTATTTTTGTAGAGACGGGATTTCACCATGTTGGCCAGGATGGTCTTGATCTCTTGACCTCATGATCTGCCTGCCTCGGCCTCCCAAAGTGCTGGGATTACAGGTGTGAGCCACTGCGCCCAGGCTGCTCTTTTCTCTTTAATGTGCCCTTTGGTGCTTTTTTCCTGGGGACCGCCCGTTTATCCCCACCCCTTGAACCTCATACACGTGTACGTTCCCTACTGTTGAGCTCTGCATGACACATGCCCCTGATGGAGTCTGGATGCCATTCTCAGGGGCACAGCCAGGGTAACCGTCTCCACTGTGGGAACAAGCTGCAGAGCCATGGAAAGGAGTCCTGGCCAAGTGGGACGGGAGTGTGAGCGCTCACCCACCTGAGGGTGCCCTGCAGCCTGGGAGCCACCCTCATCCAGAAGGATCAAAGGCCCGGCTGCAGGTGACTCATGGTGTGGGGCTGCCAAGTGACTCTGTTTTCCTTCCAGGCCTCGACCCTGCAGGCCCTTTATTCAACGGGAAACCTCACCAAGACAGATTAGATCCCAGTGATGCGCAGTTTGTTGATGTCATCCATTCCGACACTGATGGTAACGCTCCTTTCCTTGTGGGTCAGTGACACCGCCAGGCTCCTAAAGAGTGTCCCCTGGGGAGAGATAATCATGTAGGAGCAGATCAGGTTCCTCTAGATTCTAACTTTTTTTTCCAGGCAGGGTTCCAAATCCACCGAAATATTGAAGGGAAGCTGGTTTAATGTAGGCACCCAGGACCTTGTGCTAGAGCGTGGATGATTATCCCACGGTCTCTTCATATTTTTATTTTTTTAATTTTTTTTGAGACAGAGTCTCGCTCTGTCGCCCAGGCTGGAGTGCAGTGGCGCAATCTCGACTCACTGCAAGCTCTGCCTCCCAGGTTCTCGCCATCCTCCCGCCTCAGCCTCCCGAGTATCTGGGATTATAGGCACACGCCGCCACGCCTGGCTAATTTTTTGTATTTTTAGTAGAGACGGGGTTTCACCGTGTTAGCCAGGATGGTCTCTATCTCCTGACCTTGTGATCCGCCCGCCTCGGCCTCCCAAAGTGCTGGGATTACAGGCGTGAGCCACCGCGCCCGGCATATTTTTAAAGGAATCATCATGCTCAATGAAGGACAGGCTAATTTTTTCAACATGAAGATAAGTGTTTTCCTATGTGCAACTGGGTTTGCATGCATGATTTCTTAGTGTTGTTGGTTCTTTTTATTTTCTTGAGCTGCAGGTGTTAAATCTCTCCACACAGAGTCACTCTGATGCAACTACAGCTCTCTGGCTCTCTGCAGATCTTCTTGGCCATTGCTGTCTTTATTTTTATTTTATTTTATTTTATTTATTTTATTTTATTTATTTTATATTATATTATATTATATTATATTATTTTTTATTTTATTTTATTTTATTTATTTTATATTTTATTTTATTATTTTATTTTTTATTTTATTTTATTTTATTTTATCTTATTTTTATTTTATTTTATCTTATCTTATCTTATTTTATTTTATTTTATTTTATTATTTTGAGACGGAGTTTCACTCCTGCCACCCAGGCTGGAGTGCAGTGGCGTGATCTTGGCTTGCTGCAACATCTGCCTCCTGGGTTCAAGCAATTCTCCTGCCCCAGCCTCCCAAGTAGCTGGGATTACAGGCACTCACCACCATTCCCAGCTAATTTTTGTATTTTTACTAGAGACAGGGTTTCACTATGTCGGCCAGGCTGGTGTCAAACTCCTGAGGTCAGGTGATCCACCCGCCTTTGCCTCCCAAAGTGCTGGGATTACAGGTGTGAGCCACCGTTCCCAGCCATCTTTATTTTTTTAATTTTTAAATTTATCTTCTTTTTGTAGAGATGGGGGTCTCGCTATGTTGTCCAGGCTGATCAATCGATCCTCCCACTTCAGCCTCCCAAAGTGCTGGGATTACAGGCTTGAGCCACTGTGGCTGGCCCATTTCTGTCTTTCACGGTGCTGTTTTTGTGTCTGGGATTGGATACGTGTCATGTGGGGTTGGGTGATACTCAAGGATGGGTACCTATATCCAGATGTCTGGGAGAAGAGCTGGAGTAGGAACTTGGGGAGGATTGAGGAAACAGCAGAGTGGTCATTTAATCGGACATTCTCTTCATGATACAACCACCTAAAAAAACCCTTGCCATCTCTCATCGGCATTCTGGTGTGGTGTCCAACAATTATTTGCCTTGAAAGAAATTGTCTCTTTGTGAAACAGTGGCATTCTTACTATGAAGTTTGCAAAGTACATTTTAATGCTTGGTGGAGTAGGATAGAGCAATTTATTTTTGGGAAGTGAATTTTGAAGGAAAGGGTATAGTTTTGCCATCAGACAGATGTAGCTTCAGATCCCAGGTTTTGCCCTTTCTAATGATGTCATGTTAGTTCCTTAAGTCCTCTGAGCTTCCTTTTTTTTCACTGATAGAGACAAGGTCTCACTATGTTGCCCAGGCTGGTCTCAAACTCCTGAGCTCAAATGATCCTTCCGCCTTGGCCTCCCAAAGTGCTAGGATTACAGGCGTGAGCCACCATGCCTGGTCCCATATCTTCACTTAAGTTGTTTCATCTGAATTTACCAGTGGCCACTTTGCATTGTGAAACACCTAGTACCATGCCCAGAGACACATGTGGGTTTTCAATATATAATAACTATTATTATTATTACTATGATGCATTATGTATATACATGTGCATATGTATGTACACCTACATTAAATTAATTTATATTAAATCAAGCACTTTACTGATTGGGGGTTTAATAAAGACAGTAAACAGTTATTAAATCTATATATACTTTTAAAAATGTTTATTATTATTATTTTTTAAGACAGGGTCTGTCTCTGTCACCCAGGCTGGAATGCAGTCGCGCTTTTGGCTCACGGCACCCTCCTCCTCCTAGCTCGAGTGATCCTCCCACCTCAACCCCTTGAGTAGCTGGGACTACAGGCACACACCACAATGCCTGGCTAATTTTTGTATATTTTGTAGAGACGGGGTTTCGCCATTTTGCCCAGGCTGGCCTCGATTCTCCCACCTCAGCCTCCCAAAATGCTGGGATTATAGGGGTGAGCCACTGCACCCGACCTATATATACATTTCTAGGTCCTCATTTTCTAGAAGTAGTTCCAATCTTTTTACCATCCTAGCTCTCAAATATTTAAAGATTTTATCTACTAAGTAAACATTCATTTTTTCCTGTATCCTATTTATTAGTTATACAAATGCAAATAGAGGCTCAGAAGCACCAGGCAATTAAAGGGTTGCAGCAAAACATAAGGAAGAAATGGGGCCAGGCGCAATGGCTCATGCCTGTAATACCAGCGCTTTGGGAGGCCGAGGCGGGCAGATCGCGAGGTCAGGAGTTTAAGACCAGCCTGGACAACATGGTGAAACCCCGTCTCTACTAAAAACACAAAAAGTTAGCTGGTCATGGTGGCACATGCCTGTAATTCCAGCTACTCGGGAGGCTGAGGCAGGAAAATCGCTTGAACCCAGGAGGTGGAGGTTGCAGTGAGCAGAGATTGCATCATTGCACTCCAGCCTGGACGACAGAGCAAGACTCCATCTCAAAAAAAAAAAAAAAAAGAGAAGAAATGTATCATTTTATTAGCCTTGCAGTGGATGAGTGACTAAACTCCCTAGGGTTGTTAGAAATATTGGAAGTAAATTCCTTACCATCTTCACAGTTAACCTAGTTGGAAATCATTGCCTTCTAACTAACTAGCTGGGTGACTTTGGGCAAAACTCTTACATAGGTATAACAATAATGATAAACAACAATAATAATACAATTCCTGCTTATACCTGGCAGGCAAATGAGCTGTGAGATAGGAAAAATTCAAAGGAGTATAAAAGCAGAATGTGTTCTCTTTTAGCACTGGGCTACAAGGAGCCATTAGGAAACATAGACTTCTACCCAAATGGAGGATTGGATCAACCTGGCTGCCCCAAAACAATATTGGGAGGTAAGCCTTTATATTTTGTAAAATAGTGGTATAAAAAGGCATATTTGGAGGCTGTGCATGGTGGCTCATGCCTGTAATCCCAGCACTTTGGGAGGCCGAGACGGGTGGATCACCTGAGGTCAGGAGTTTGAGACGAGCCTGGCCAACATAGTGAAACCCCATCTCTACTAAATACAAAAAATTATCCAGGTGTGGTGACGCATGCCTGTAGTCCCAGCTACTCGGGAGGCTGAGGCAAGAGAATCTCTTGAACCTGGGAGACAGAGGTTGCGGTGAGCCGAGTTCACGCCACTGCACTCCAGCCTGGGCAACAAGAGTGATACTCCATCTCAAAAAAATAAAAATTAAAAAAAAGGCATATTTTGGCCAGGTGCAGTGGTGCATACCTGTAATCCCAGCACTTTGGGAGGCCAAGGTGGGAAGATTGCTTGAGCCCAGGAGTTCAAGACCACCCTGGGCAACAGAGGGGAGATGCCATCTCTACAAAAAATAAAAACAAAATTAGCTGGGTGTTGTGGCATGCTTGTGGGCTCAGCTACTCAGAAGGCTGAGGTGGGAGGATTGCTTGAGCCTGGGAAGTAGAGGTTGCAGTGAGCCGTGATCATGCCACTGCACTCTAACCTAGGCAACAGAGTGAGACCTGTCTCAAAAAAGAAAAGAAAAAGGCATATCTTTAAAATCTGACATTATTCTACGTGCAGTAATTTTTAATAGAAAACAAACTTCCTGAGAAGATACAGGTAGTATAAATATAAATTATAAATTATAACTCAAATATACTACTTTTAAAACTATAGCCACATGTTTGAAAGCTATTATGAATTATTTCTCTCTCTTGAAAAGGTATGTCTTTGATCTAGAAATTCCACACCTGGAAATTGCTCCTAGAGAAATAATGGAAAATGCAGACAAGAATTAGAGTGCAAAGATGTTCAACATACATTATTTATAATAATTAGAGCTTTTGAAATAATTTAAATGGCCAGCTTACAAAAAGTATTAAATGAATTATGGTATGCTCACAAAAAATGTAATTCTTAAAAGTCACATTTTCAGAGAGTAATAAAAATTCTTAGTGTGATAAGTGAAAAGACAAAACTATATAATATGATGCCAATTTATTTTTTGAATCTGTATTTGTACAGATGTAAATATAGATAAAAAGACTAAAAGTAAATGCTCCAAGTAATTATTACTGGCAATCTGTTGATATCAGATTTTTAGGTGTTTTTGCATCACTATTTCCTATCATTTTGTGTTTTTCAAATAATTTTATATTACTTTTACAATGAGAAAAAACTCTAAAACATAAATGGGGAGTTAGAGGGCAACATAAAAGTGAGCTGACTGACAGAATATGACGGCCACCTTTCTTTCTTTCTTTCTTTCTTTCTTTCTTTCTTTCTTTCTTTCTTTCTTTTTCTTTCTCTCTTTCTTTTCCTTCTTTCTTTCTCTCTCCCTCCCTTCCTTCTTTTTTCTCTCTCCTTGCTTCCTTCCTTCCCTCATTCCCTTCCTTCCTTTCTTCCTCTCTTCCTTCCTTCCTTTCCCTTCCTTCCTTCCCTCCTTCCTTCCTTTTCCTTCCTTCCTTCTTTCCTTTCCCTTCCCTTTCCTTCTTCCTTCCTTCCTTCCTTTCTCTTCTTTCTTTGCGATCCTCCTGCCTTGGCCTCCCAAAGTGTTAGGATTACAGGTGTGAGCTACACCTGACAGCAATAACGTCAGCATACCCTGAGAATGACCCTTACGGCAGACACAGCTGACAACAACACTTCAGTAATGAGGGTTGCCATGTGGAGGTTGCTGGGTAGGGTGAGGGTGCTAAGTGAAGATGCTGTAACAACTGCATGCTTTTTACAAGTGGTTGCAGTTCTTATGTCCGGCTTGTTGTCACTGGACGGTCCCTGTATGTAAGTTCCTCCAATAAGCTGTAGGTCTTGTTCACTGGCTCTAGGTATCTTCTTTAGCCTTTTGAACCTGGTGTCATCCTTACTGAAGTCAACAGGGGCCCAGCACAAACAACCATTCCTGGCTGTCGATAGTGTTTCTGATGGTTCTATTTCAGCAGTTATAAGTACAATATATACATTACTGGTTTTAAAATATTTGAAAACAACTTTGGGATACTTAATTTGCTGAGTTAGGAAAAAATCCTAAACCACAAAAATACATCTATTTCCATAAAATAAAGGGCATTTTAACACATACACCCAACAAAAGAAAGGATATAAATCCAGAGCATGCAGAACTTTACATTAATTGCAGTTAGCTTAATGAAATAGTCACTGTCTCATCTGTGTGGTTCCCATACTCTACTACAGACTCGTGAACACATTGTCATAAACCAGCACTAGTCCAGAAATGGAACTACTGGACTTTTTGGAACTTACTAGCATTTTGGAACTACTGAGCAGTTGTATTTTCCAATGACCCTCAACATCTGGCAGGTGTCCGCCATGTCTCTCTTGATTGCCTGCCTGGTTTCTGTGCAGTGCCAGGCCCCGTTGCCTTTGACATGAATGAAAAATGTGGCAGGAATCTGAATGACTCTTGCTCTTGAGTTTTTGGCAGTTGTTGGGATTACTGGCACTGAACAGTACCAGACCGAGGAAGCTCATAAGAACCAGGCTTCCAGTTAAACCCTCGAGCAGAAATAAAGCAGAGGGGTTTCAGCAAACAGCGGAACCCACTAGAGGTTGCATTTATTCATTCATCCAACAAATACCTATTAATTTGCCATGTGTCTGGCACTGTGTTATGATCTGGAACTAAAGGAGAACAGTTCAGTATAGTATAACAGTTCAGAACAGCATAATAGTTAAACTACCATGGTGAACTAAATAGGTAAAGTCCATACATTGAGAAAAGCAGAGTCAAAGTTATTCTATTCAAGATAGAAGCTAGTACTCAGTCGGGTATGGTGGCTCATGCCTGAAATCCCAGCACTTTAGGAGGCTGAGGTGGGCAGATCACCTGAGGTCAGGAGTTCAAGGCCAGGTTGGGTAACATGGTGAAACCCTGTATCTACTAAAATACAAAATTAGCCGGAAGTGGTGGTACGAGCCTATAATCTCACCTACTCGGGAGGCTGAGGCAGGAGAATTGCTTGAACCCAGGAGGCAGAGGTTGCAGTGAGCCGGGATCATGCCACTGCACTCCAGCCTGGGCAACAGAGCGAGACTCCATCTCAAAAAAAAAAAAAAAGATAGAAGCTAGTACTTGATTAGATCTAATAGTGATATTTAACAGTGAAAGATTGGTTTTTAAATGCCACAATGCTGGAGAGTAAGTGAAATAAGAATGGGAGAATTTTGATAATTACTCAATTACTGGAGCGGGGATGATATGGGCATGAGGGTTCTTTGTATCCTTCTCTCGATTTTTGTGCCTGGTTTGAAAATTCCCATAATAAATGTGGCAGGGGAGTGAGAGAGCTCCATGACTGAAGCTAGTTGTTTGCATTTTTCAACCTTTCTCTAAGTAAATATATTATATGAAAAGGCAGAATGAAGAGGAATTAGTTAATGATTTGCAATTTGCTTTTTTTTTTCTTTTTTTTTGGGATGGAGTCTTGCTCTATCGCCCAGGCTGGAGTGCAGTGGCTCGATCTCGGCTCACTGCAACCTCCGCCTTCCAGGTTCAAGCGATTCTCCTGCCTCAGCCTCCCAAGTAGCTGGGATTACAGGCGCGCCACCATGCCCGGCTAATTTTTGTATTTTTAGTAGAGACGGGGTTTCACCATGTTGGTCAGGCTGGTCTTGAACTCCTGACCTCATGATCCACCCATCTCAGCCTCCCAAAGTGCTGGGATTATAGGCGTGAGCCACCATGCCCAGCCAGCAATTTACTTTTATGATAACGATTTTGGTAATTCCTTCTGATTCTCCATGACCTGGGGAAAGTTGGCCTTGGACCCAAGCACCCTCACCATGTCAGCTTGATGAGCAGACACAGCAACTTTGTAGTCTGAAGTAGCCCTGCAATGTTAGACCAGGGGCTTTCAAACTTACATGCTTCAGGACCGCATGGAAGACAGGGGACAGTGTTTGTTAAAATACTGATGCCTGCGCCTCCTCTGAATTAGAAATATTTGAGGGTGGACCTGAACTCTGTATTTTAATAAGCACGATTTTGATGCAGGCAATCTATGGATCAAGCATTGGATGACAGTGAAAGATACCTCGATTGCTACGTGAGCAATCAAGGTCTTTTTTTTTTTTTTTTTTTTTTTTTTTTTTTTGAGATGGAGTGTCACTCTGTTGCCCAGGCTGGAGTGCAATGGCACAATCTCGGCTCACTGCAACCTCCGCCTCCCAGGTTCAAGCGATTCTCCCTGCCTTAGCCTCCTGAGTAGTTGGGACTACAGGTGCCCACCACCACGCCCAGCGAATTTTTGTATTTTTAGTAGAGACGGGGTTTCCCCATGTTGGCCAGGCTGGTTTCGAACTCCTGACCTCAGGCAATCCACCTGCTTCGGCCTCCTAAAGTGCTGGGATTACAGGCGTGAGCCACTGCACCTGGCCCTGGGTCTTTCACCAAAGCATATTTGCTCTAATTCTTGCCACAACCTTAATTTGATTTCATCTTTTCTCCTCCCACTTGCCAGCATGAATTCTTATCTATGGGATTTTATAAAGATTAAATGAAATAAAATACACTGAAAGAGCGCAGGGCCAGATGAGAAATTGTGTGTGTATAGAATATGTGATATAGTATTACTAAATGCTTCAACCGCTCTACTCTTTCATCACTTCTTTTACAACCAAGGATTTCAGTATTTTAAATGTGACCACCAGAGGTCTGTATACCTGTACCTGTCTTCCCTGAGAGAGAGCTGCACCATCACTGCGTATCCCTGTGACTCCTACCAGGATTATAGGAATGGCAAGTGTGTCAGCTGCGGCACGTCACAAAAAGAGTCCTGTCCCCTTCTGGGTAAGTCTAACCAGCAGTTTCCTCTCTGATTCACAAAGAACTAATTTTTGGTATGAATCCCAGAACCACTTTATCATGTAAAAACTGGCCCCATAATTGTATTAAAAACTTGTTTTTCTGCTGGGCACAGTGGCTCATGCCTGTAATCCCAGCACTTTGGGAGGTTGAAGCAGCTGGATCACTTGAGGTCAAGAGTTTGAGACCAGCCTGGGCAAAATGGTGAATCCCTGTCTCTACAAAAATACAAAAAGTAGCCGGGTGTGGTGGTGCGTGCCTGTAGTCCCAGCTACTCGAGAGGAGGCTTAGGTGGGAGGATCACTTGAGCCCAGGAGGTTGAGGCTGCAGTCAACTGAGATCATGCCACTGCACTCCAGCCTGGGTCACAGAGCAAGACCCTGTCTCCAAAAATAAATAAATAAAAGGTTAAAATTTAAAAAAAAATTTCTTAAAAAGAAAAAAATTTTAAAAATAGACTTTTTTTTTCTAGTCAGCTTTTTCTAGCCAATTTGTTCTTTGAACTACTCTAGTCTCCTACTAATAAACAGTGTTAGAAAGCAATGTAGACTGGGCATGGTAGCTCACGCCTGTAATCCCAGCACTTTGGGAGGCTGAGGTGGGCGAATCACAAGGTCAGGAGTTTGAGACCAGCCTGGCCAACATGGTGATATCTCATCTCTACTAAAAATACAAAAAAATTAGCTGGGCATGGTGGCGGGCGCCTGAAATCCCAGCTACTTGGGAGGCTGAGGCAGGAGAATCACTTGAACCTGGGAGACGGAGGATACAGTGAGCTGAGACCGCGCCATTGCACTCCAGCCTGGGCAACAAGAGTGAAACTCCGTCTCAAAAAGCAAACAAACAAACAAAAGAAAGAAAAAAGAAAAGAAAAGCAACTGTAGAGTATTCCATCCAGAAGGCAGTACAGCCTCCCTGGACCCTCTATTCTAGCATGGAAAAGAAGGTTACAGAAGAGTTTCCAAGCTTACCCAGGGTACAGTCACTCTACGTAGCCTGCTCCTGTGGGGACAGGAATACCCTTTCTGTGCTTACAACCTCTCTGCTGGGAGAGGGTCCACAATGAGCCCAGAGACTCTCCTGACAAGTGAACTTTTTCACAGACTCATGTCTATGTAAATGCCCTCACTCCACATTCTGGCTCTTGTGTGCACGTACAGCAGGTGGAGTGAGGTAATAGATATTGTGGAGGCTGCTTGGATATTCGCTAGGGATTAGTACAGATATTCTAGGTGGTTAGGACTTTGAAACTGGATGGTCATGAGGATTTTCTATTTTTTTTCCAAAAGGAAAAATCCAAGTTAACAACAGGGCATGGTATAGACAAGGGGTTCTCAACCTTGATTGTGCTTTAGAATCACCTAAGGAGTTTTAACACAATACTGATGCCTGGGTCCCACCCTGGATCAATTAAGGCAGAATGTGAAGGCCATTCTCTAGGGCTAGGGACAGAGGAGAGAAAGAGGGCCCTCTGGACAGCAAAAACAAAGGAGGACACTCACCTGCTTAGTGACACAGTCAGTCATGTGGCAAGCCCAGGTCTATGCAATTTAGGGGCCCCATTGTAGTTCTTCAAGAAAGCATATTGGTTTTCAAGAGTGATGCTATTTTAGGTATGAACTTGAATCTGTTTTAATCTAGAAAATGAATGTATTACTGAAAAATGTCAGTGTTATTTTTAGTCCACACCAGTGTGTGCCACACCCCACACCTCTCCACCCTGCTACTGAGAACCAGTAAAGGGGGAAAACAACTGGAGGGTCCTGTTGCCCTTCAGCTCTTAGGGACAGGGTTGGCCAGCAAGATGGGTCACCCTGCAGGCCCTCACCATGGGGGATGGAGGTGGGATGGAGTTTCTCTCAGAAGTGGTGGATACAGTCAAACTCAATGTTCTTGCTACCTCAGTTGCTTTTATGTTTGTATAATACATATTAATCTTACAATTTTTTAAACTTGTTTCATAGGCTATTATGCTGATAATTGGAAAGACCATCTAAGGGGGAAAGATCCTCCAATGACGAAGGCATTCTTTGACACAGCTGAGGAGAGCCCATTCTGCAGTGAGTGGTGAATGTGGTTGTTGGCTTTTGCCTAACTCTCATTTTGGGGATGGCTGAGTCTCAGCTTCCTGGCTACTTCTTGGCAAATAAGAGCCATGATGAAGCATCAACTTTGGAGCTGGAAGGGCCTCGGTTGACTCCTGAGTCTACCACATAATAGCTGTGGGACCTTGGTGAAGTCATTTGACTTCTCTGAGTCTCAATGTCCTGACTGGTCAAATGGGGGTAATAATGCCTGTATTCTGGGATATTAGGTTTAATCTGATGCCATTTAAAAATATTAATTTAATAAAATCTCAACAAATCAGAGTTGTTAGTTTCACTGGATGACCATTCTAATCACTAAGATCTTCCAGAAAATTGCTTGATTCCCCAAAAGACATAAAATTAAGACTAGGAAAAATCAGGTGTCAGCCATATCTACAGGTCAGTTCCAGCTCTAAAGCAAACATGATGACCCAAAGGCCTCGAGAGGTTGAGTATTCCAGATGGGAATTAAAGGGGGCAGCCAATGATTAGACGCCTTGGGAAGCAACTAGAATTTCCTTGGGCAGATGTGTTTTTCCTACAGTCTTGTACCCATTTTCACTTTCCTTGGGAACAACTATTTTATTTCATTTTATTTATTTTTTTTGAGACAGGGTCTCACTCTGTCACCCAAGTTGAAGTTCAGTGGCGCAATCTCAGCTCACTGCAATCTCTGCCTCCTGGGTTCACGCGATCCTCCTGCCTCAGGATTCCGAGTACCTGAGACTACAGGTGTGCATCACCATGCCTGGCTAATTTTTGTATTTTTAGTAGAGACGGGGTTTTGCCATGTTGGCCAGGCTGGTCTCAAACTCCTGACCTCAGGTGATCTGCCTGCCTTGGCCTCTCAAAGCGCTGGGATTACAGGCATCAGCCACCATGCCCAGGCTATGTTAATTTTTTTTTGAGACAGGGTCTTGTTCTGTCACCCAGGCTGGAGTGCAGTGGCACAATAATGGGGCACTGCAGCCTCAACCTCCTGGACTCAAGCAATCCTCCTGCCTCAGCCTCCCAAGTAGCTGGGACTTCGGGCATGCGCCACCATGCCCAGCTAACTGTTTTTTTTGTTTCTTTTAGAGACAGAATCTCACTATGTTGCATAGGCTGGTCTTGAACTCTTGGGCTCAAGCAATCCTCCTGCCTTAGTGCTGGGATTACAGGTGTGAACTTCCATGCCAGGTGTGAGCAACTCTTTTAAAAGAGCCTGGAGGCTAAGCATGGTGGCTCACGCCTGCATTCCCAGCATTTTGGGAGGCCAAGGCGGGCGGATCACTTGAGGCCAGGAGTTTGAGACCAGCCTGGCCAACATGGTGAAACCCCATCTCTACTAAAAATACAAAAACCCCAAAAACAAAATATAAAAATTAGCTGGGCGTGGTGGTGCTTGCCTGTAATCCCAGCTACCTAGAAGGCTGAGGCTGGAGAATTGCTTGAACCCAGGAGACAGAGGTTGCCGTGAACCGAGATTACGCCACTGCACTCCAGCCTGGGCAACACAGAGAGATTCTTTTAAAAAAAAAAAAAGCCTGCAGATCACTGGGTTTCCCTCTTTCTTTGGAGCCATGTGTGGCAGCCCAGGATTTGGCACCTACCTGGTCTGTATGGGGCAAGCCCCTGAGCAAGTTGGGCCATAAAATGGCAAATCCAGGACTGACCTTATTCCTTCGTGGGACTGTCATCTCCCTGATTAGTTCCTGTTGTAGCGTGTTTTAATTTTATCTTTTTTTTTTTTAAAAAAACCCATAAGACATTATTCAGGTAACATTTGTATAGATGTACCCACATATTCACCACTTTTTTTTTCTCTGAGTCTGCTGGTTAGGGAATGCCACTTTATTTTTATTATCACCCTTTCTTGCATTTTGTAAATACAGGAAAGTGTGCTGAATAATAATGGGGAGAGTCCAGAGTATGGCAGGAACTTCAAGAAAGGAGACCTGACTTAGTCTGGGGGTCAGGAAAAGCCTTCTGGAGGAATGACATTAAGTTGAAACCTAAAAGGTGGATTCACAGAGCTGGCAAAGTAAGCGTGCCCAGGTGGGTGAAGGCCCAGGAGCCTTCACAGTGCAGGGAGTGCAGGTGGTGGAGCATGATTGGGAGAAGGATGAGGAAGGCTGAGTAGGCTGGTGGACTTGGCCCAAACTGTGGAAAACCGTCTCAGCCCTGGAGGGTCTCCGAATGGCCCCTTAGTTGGTTGAGTCTAAAATGGGCAGGAATTGATGTGAACCACACTCAGCCATAAGCCCTAAGACTTCACAATACCTGGAAACACTGGTTCAACGATGATGCCTGACCATGGTGACTGGAAACCAATGAACTCTGCTATCACTCATGCCATCTTTACCAAAGAGAAGAGAAGGGAATATTAGAAACTTCTGCCCTGGATCTTTGCAGAGAAACCAGAGAGAAAGAGAAGAAGAGACTCAGTGATTAGGGAGGTTCAGTTTTTAGGAACCAGCCCTTCAGGGGATCAGTTGGTAGTATCTCTCTCTTACCGTGTTCTCTCTCTGTTTTGCAGTGTATCATTACTTTGTGGATATTATAACATGGAACAAGAATGTAAGAAGAGGGGACATTACCATCAAATTGAGAGACAAAGCTGGAAACACCACAGAATCCAAAATCAATCAGTAAGTTGAGTTACAATTGTTTGCAGTGCGCTATTTCCCTTTTTGCTCAGAGAAATTAAATCACAAATCCACCTACTTTCTTATTTATAGATCTATGCTTTTCCTTGTTCTATAAAAGATATAAGGGGAACTATTGCTTAGTTGCTTCCCTGGTTCTTGATCTCCCAGGGTCTTTACAAATGGGATTGGTGCAAGGGTTTTCTTTCCTTCCCTCCTTCTCTTCTTCCTTTCTTTGCTTCCTCCCTTTTTCCTTCCTTTCCTCCCTCTTTCCCTCTCTTTCTCCCTTTGTTCCTCTCCTCCTTACTTCCTTTGATTAAACATGTAATACAAAAGTTATCCTTGTTTTCGATAAAGGATTTAAACAACAAATGAATATGCTGATTTAATTATCCCACATTGTATACATACATCAAAACATCTCAGCTCACTGCAACCTCCTCCTCCCAGGTTCAAGCGATTCTCCTGCCTCAGCCTCCTGAGTAGCTGGGACTACAGGCACATGCCACCATGCCCAGATAATTTTTTGTATTTTTAGTAGAGACGGGGTTTCACCGTGCTGGCCAGGCTGGTCTCAAACTCCTGACTTCATGATCTGCCCGCCTCGGCTTCCCAAAGTGCTGGGATTACAGGTGTGAGCCACCGCGCCTGGCTGATTTCCTTCATTTTTAAGGCTGAGTAATATTTGATTATATGCATATACCACATTTTGTTTATTCTTCCATCAATGAACACTTGGGTTGCCTCCTCCTCTTGGCTATTGTGACTAGTGCTGCTATGAACATGGGTGTGCAAATGTCTGAGACTCTGCTTTCAATTTTTTTGGACTTGTATCCAGAAGTGGAGTTTCTGGATCATATTGTAGTTCTCTTTTTAATTTTTTGAGACACCACTATACTGTTTTCCTTAATGGTTGCACAATTTTCCAATCCCACTGATGGTGCATACAGGATCCAGTTTCTCCACATCCTCACCAATATTTGTTATGTTCTATTATTTTGATATTAACCATCTGGATGGGTGTGAGATGATTCTGTGTCTTTTGAACATTTACATCTTTTTTTTTTTTTTTTTGAGACAGAGCCTTGCCCTGTCACCAGGCTGGAGTATAGTGGCCTGATCTCGGCTCACTGCAAGCTCCACCTCCTAGGTTCAAGCGAATCTCCTGCTTCAGCCTCCTGAGTAGCTGAGACTACAAGCGTGAGCCACCATGCCCAGCTAATTTTTATATTTTTAGTAGAGACGGGTTTTCACATGTTGGCCAGGATGATCTCGATCTCTTGACCTTGTGATCTGCCTGCCTCAGCCTCCCAAAGTGCTGGGATTATAGGCATGAGCCACCGTGCCCGGCTTCCATCACTGTTT
Source organism: Homo sapiens (assembly GCF_000001405.40). Taxonomy (NCBI): domain Eukaryota; kingdom Metazoa; phylum Chordata; class Mammalia; order Primates; family Hominidae; genus Homo; species Homo sapiens. The sequence goes on along the minus strand of NC_000003.12, from coordinate 185,513,047 downwards.
AAAACACTTACTAACTTTCTGGCACACGGGTTTCCAGGATCACTTTGCACGTTTCCTGCCCCAGCCATGGAATCAACCATTTCTCCAGGGAGCTCTGGTTTCTTTCAGTAGAGATGGTGTTAAGAAAACAAAATCTGGGCACCTCTTAGATTAGTTTTATTTGTGGCACTTCTGTACTCCATGGGACTTAGACATGATCCCAGTGGGGTGACAGATACCTCGTCACGATTACCCCATTCCCAAAGTAAGGATTAATGTTGGGTAGGCTCGGTGGCTCATGCCTGTAATTCCAGCACCTTGGGAGGCCGAGGCAGGCGGATCACCTGAGGTCAGGAGTTCAAGACCAGCCTGGCCAATATGGTGAAACCCTGTCTCCATTAAAAATACAAAAATTAGCCAGGAGGGGTGGCAGGTGCCTGTAATCCCAGCTACTCGCGAGGCTGAGGCAGGAAAATGACTTGAACCCAGGAGGCAGAGGTTGCAGTGAACCGAGATCACACCACTGCACTCCAGCCTGGGCAACAGAGCAAGAATCCATCTCAAAAAAAAAAAAAAAAAAAGGATTAATGTCTAGAGCAAGCCTTCTGTTCCCAAAGCCAGGGGCTCCATGGTTCTTCCACCTCCCCAGAAAGACAGTGAGTGAGCTGAACCTCTCCAGTGATATGCCTTACCTTCAATTTGGTTTTCCACCTATAGAAAACATCTCTATACACTTGGATAACAGGATCAGACTCTGGATTTGCCTTTTTTAAGGTTCATCTTGAGAGGGAGAACTAAAAAAAATACATGCTACAGCACAATTCAGTTAGCATCTATTTTGGCTAAAGATATACTTAGGCATCTAGGGATGCAGTTTAACGGAAAGATCATAACTTTGAACTCAGCCAGAACTGGGTTGGAATCTCTTCACTGCTACATATAAGGCCTGTCACCTGGGGAGCTTGATCTCTGTAAGCATCTATTTCTGTCTATTAAATGAGGAGAATAATGCCCCCCTTGCGGAATGTTCTGGGGAGTTGGAGAGATGAGTCGAGAGACAAGGACATCATCTGGTGTGTACTAGGCAGTCATTAGCATCGTGCCTCTCTAATGTCATTTTGGGTCACTTACATCGCCCTTTGGAGTCAGCAGACTTTGCCCATCAAAGTTGACTAGTTCTTGGGTGGTTACTACACTCCAGCCTGGGCAACAGTGTGAACCCTGTCTCAGAAAAAAAAAAAAAAAAAAAGTCAGCTGGTGCAGGCTATGGGGTGAAATAGTTACCAGCTTACCAGTGACTTGCAGGCTTCAAAACTGCTTTCTCTCATTAGTAGTCTTTATCCATTTTTCAGTATTACTTCTTCCTTCCAGTGAACCCACCACATTTCAGAAATATCACCAAGTGAGTCTACTTGCAAGATTTAATCAAGATCTGGATAAAGTGGCTGCAATTTCCTTGATGTTCTCTACAGGATCTCTAATAGGCCCAAGGTACAAGCTCAGGATTCTCCGAATGAAGTTAAGGTCCCTTGCCCATCCGGAGAGGTGAGCTGAGGGTACGGTTTGACAAAACGCTGTTTTCCAAAGATGTTGCTGGATCCTGTCCAATCTGCTTGGTCTGATGTGTTAATAAGACTCTATTATTCACAATGAGGGACATGATGGGTTTTCCAAAAATAGTTTTTATTATAAACAAGTAGCCCAGGCCAAGTGTAGTGGCTCAAGCCTATAATCTCAGCACTTTGGGAGGCCAAGCTGGGAGGATTGCTTCAGCTCAGGAGTTCTAGCCAGCCTGGGCAACGTATGGAGACCCTGTCTCTACAAAAAAAGAAAAAAAAAACAACCCAAAACAGAAAGCAAGTGGCCCAGCCCACCTGCATTTGATGGTACATGACTGTAATCCCACTACTCAGGAGGCTGAGGTGAGAGGATCACTTGAGCCCAAGAGTTGAAGTCCAGCCTGGGCAACATAGCAAGATTCTATCTCAAAATAAAAACAAAAAATTAAATAAAAAATTTTAAAAATAAAAACAGGTAGCCCAGTAATCCAAGAAAATTATACTGCATGTACTTAAAGGTAGATAAGGTAGATGGCCTAGTAATCCAAGGAAATAATGTTGTTATATGCTTAGAACTATACAGTTCTTCCCTAACTACCACACTGCTTGTAAGCTGGTAATTTGTTGTAGAAAAGAAAGCTTTGGATAATTTGGCAAGCTGATTAAACAGAGCCTAGTATAAAAAAAGGTACAGAAAATTGGAACATTTTATTCCCTTGACCACAGGCACGTCCACCACACCCAGCTAATTTTTGTATTTGTGATTTTGTATTTTTAGTAGAAAAAAATATTTTCGTATTTTTAGTTTCGCCATGTTGGCCAGGCTGGTCTTGAACTCCTGGCCTCAAGTATCCGCCCGCCTTTGTCTCCCAAATTGCTGAGATTACAGGCATGAGCCACTGTACCCTTGACAGTACAAAAGTATTATATTGAATTTCTTAAATTTGATAATGGCACTGAAAATGTCCTTGTTCTTAGGAAATATACAATGAAGTATTAAGGAGTAAACAATCTATTCTCAATTGTGCCAGAAAAAATAAACAATGTATGTTTGGGGAGAGAAAGAGAGAGAAACAGAGAAAGAGGGCGAGAAGGAGAGAAAGAATTATTATTTAAGTACAGAGCTGTGTTGACATGTATGTTTTGTGACAAATGCCAGTCTACCATATAGTCCTAGCATCTAACCTGTGGACAGAGAGGGAGACAGGAAATGATGTGAGTAGTTAGTACTTTGTGAATTCCTTTTTCTTAAAAGTTTAGGGACTGAACACGGTGGCTCATGCCTGTAATCCCAGCACCTTGGGAGGCCAAAGTGGGCGGATCACCTGAGGTCAGGAGTTCTAGACCAGCCTGGCCAATGTGGTGAAACCCCGTCTCTACCAAAAATATAAAAAATTAGCTGGGCAGTGGTGGTGTGCACCTGTAATCCCAGCTACTCGGGAGGCTGAGGCAGGAAAATTGCTCGTATCTGGGAGGCAGAAGTTGTGGTGAGCCGAGATCGTACCACTGCACTCCAGCCTGGGTGACAGAGTGAGACCCTGTCTCAAAAAAAAAAAAAAAAAAGAAAACAAAAAAAGAAAGTTTAGGGTACCTTAAAACATTTAATAGTACAAGTTTCTCCTAAGAGGATAGTCATTACATCCTAAAACTTTTTAATACTTTTTTTGCCCTGAATATCAGACAATATATGTTTATTTGACAAAATCTAGAAAGTACAGAAATTGTCAGGAAACAGAAAAATATCACCCATATTGTCATTATTCAGAGGCAACCACTGCTAATATTTATTGTTATTTCTATATAATCTTCCTTTCTTTTATTGTTTTTAAAGCTGAACTTACATGGTAAATACAATTTTACATCTTTCTTTCTTTTTTGGTACGGAGTCTCGCTCTGTCACCCAGGCTGGAGTACAGTAGTAGCGCGTTCTTGGCTCACTGCAACCTCCACCTCCTGGGTTCAAGCAATTCTCCTGCTTCAGCCTCCGAAGTAGCTGGGATTACAGGCACACGCGACCACGCCCAGCTAATTTTTTGTATTTTTAGTAGAGACAGTGTTTCACCATGTTGGTCAGGCTGGTCTCCAACTCCTGGCCTCAGGTGATCCACCCGCCTTGGCCTCCCAAAGTGCTGGGATTACAAGCGTGAACCACCGTGCCTGGCCATATATCTTGCTTTCTCCTTGGTGTTTTACTTACCATAAGCATTTTCTTTCTTTTTTTTTCTGAGACAGAGTCTCATTCTGTCACCCAGGCCAGAGTGCAATGGCGTGATCTCAGCTCACTGCAACCTCCACCTCCTGGGCTCTAGTACTGCCTTAGCCTCCTGAGTAGCTGGAACCACAGACACGCACTACCACACCCAGCTAATTTTTGTATTTTTAGTAGAGACGGGGTTTAGCCATGTTGGCCAGGCTGGTCTTGAACTCCTGGCCTCAAGTATCTGCCCGCCTCGGCCTCTTAAAATGCTGGGTGGGATTACAGGCATGAGTCACCGTGCCTGGCCACCGTAAGTGTTTTCTATATTAAAAACAATTGCTAAATAATTTTGTATCTTAAGGATATAATATTATTTACTAGACCATTGCATTTTTATAAATTCATTTACAAGGATATTTTGTCTTATTTTCCCAGGCCTCAGCTGTGTCGGTATGATCTTGTCCTGATGGAAAACGTTGAAACAGTCTTCCAACCTATTCTTTGCCCAGAGTTGCAGTTGTAACTGTTGCCAGGACACATGGCCATAAATAATAGAAAGAAAGCTACAACCACAGGCTGTTTGAAAGCTTCACCTCACCTTTCTGCAAGGCAGAAAAAGTATGAAAAAAACCAAGGCTTTTTTCAGTAGCGTCCTATGGATGTCACATTGTACATCAAACAACCTTGTGATTATAAAACGATCCTGGGAAGGAGCCCCTAACTAGGGCAAGTCAGAAATAGCCAGGCTCGCAGCAGCGCAGCGCTGTGTCTGCTGTGTCCTGGGGCCTCCCTTGTTCCGACCTGTCAATTCTGCTGCCTGTCACGCGGGTGGTTCTGCCCATCGCGGCTGCGGGTCAAGCATCTTCAAGGGAAGGACGGACTGGAGGCCTCACCGTGGACTCAACTCTGCATTCTCCGTGCCACATTCCTCCAGTTCCCACACGTAGAAGGGAACGAAACTGACGTCTACCTCATGGGGCTGCTGTGTGGGTTTGGGAGGCAAAAATCTATGAAGGGTTTTTTGAAATCCCATAGGTGCCACATCTATGAGATGTTTGATAAATGTGAATATGCTTTTACATTTGGGCTTATCTAATTTGCAATAAGAGAGCCTCTCTCTATCAACACCAGCTTCTCTCTCGGGCTGTTTGCTCAGGGAAGGCAAGAAAGCCACGTGCTGGCCCTCTGCCTTCTCTAAAGTGCTGTTGGAGCATGGAGGAGCTGGAGGAGATGGGGATGGACTGACAGCTAAGAGGGCGGCTGCTGGGACTAGATAGTGGATGAAGAAAGAAGGACGAGGAAGCCGTGGGGCAGCCTCTTCACATGGGGACAGGGGATGGAGCATGAGGCAAGGGAAGGAAAAGCAGAGCTTATTTTTCACCTAAGGTGGAGAAGGATCACTTTACAGGCAACGCTCATTTTAAGCAACCCTTAAGAAATGTTTATGTTTCTTTATTACCAATGTAATCTATGATTATTGAAGGAAATTTAGAAAATGCGTAGATACAAAATTAAAAAAAAATACTGTCCACGATCCTATTAGAGGTAATTAATGTTAGCCTTTTGGAACAAGGCTGTCACCTATTTTGCCAACACGTGAATTCAAAACATGAACCGGTTTGCTTTTGGAGAATCTGAAGACTCCAGTTTGAGGAATCCTTTGCTTCCCTGGAGGTAGATGCTGTCTGCAAATCTAGAATGACAGCAGGAGTCCAGTCAAGAGGTCCTGTCAGGCCAAGGCCAGAAAGAAGGGAGGACAATCCCTGGGGCCAGATGCCCAGTGTGAGGGGAGGCATGATCTGTCCCATGGCTGTGGCCACTGCAGGAAGGTCTGTGAAAAGGAGGTGACAGGCCCAGTCACCTCCTCTTCACCCAAGTGATTGCTCCTTCAACTGCTATCTGTGAAAATAGCCTTTGTTATGAAGAAATTGACTCTCTCTCTCTTTTTTTTTTTTTGGAGTTGCCTAGGCTGGAGTGCAATGGTACGATCTCAGCTCACTGCAACCTCCACCTCCCAGGTTCAATTGATTCTCCTGCCTCAGCCTCCTGAGTAGCTGGGATTACAGGCATGTGCCACCACACCCGGCTAATTTTTGTATTTTTATTAGAGACAGGGTTTCACCACGTTAGCCAGGCTCGTCTCGAACTCCTGTCCTCAGGTGACTACCCGTCTCGGCCTCCCAAAGTGCTGGGATTACAGGCATGAGCCACCACACCCGGCCAAAAATGGATTCTCTATGTCATAAATTAAAGAAATCTATAAATGTATTCCTGTGTGGCACATCTTCTTACAGATTTACATTTGCAGCAAATACAGAGTCTGTTTTATTTAAGTGAGGGATGACTGAACTCTGAGTGGAACAAGCTCTTGGACATGTTACCATCCTTCCTCCTCCTTCTCACATTTCCTCAGCAATTGTGGATAGAGAGATCAGTGTGCTGTAGGCCCTGGTTTTTTTTTTTTTTTTTTTTTTTTTTTTTTAGATGGAGTCTCCTTCTGTTACCCAGGCTGGAGTGCAGTGGCACGATCTTGGCTCACTGCAACCTCTGCCTCCCGGGTTCAAGCAATTCTCTGCCTCAGCCTCCCAAGTAGCTGGGATTACAGGCGCCCCCACCATGCCTGGCTAATTTTTGTATTTTTAGTAGAGACCTGGTTTCACCATCTTGGCCTTGAACTCCTGACCTTGTGATCCACTGGCCTTGGCCTCTCAAAGTTCTGGGATTACAGGTGTGAGCCATCGTACCCGGCAGCCCTGGTTTCTTCTTAGTTTTATTGGTCTGTGTTTTGATCAGCACAGTCACTTTTTTGTTCTCTTTCCTGGTAAGCAGGGAGTCAAAACAATAGCAAGAAAATGCCAGAAATAGAATTTCTACTACTTTGTAAACTCTAGGCTCGTGGGTCTCCTAGCTCTCAGTACCTGGCTCACTGTAGGATGGGTAGATGGGTGAATGAATGGATAAAGAAAGGAAGTTTGTTCACCGGAGAGGAGATGAATTTCAGTAAGTTTCATGTAACAGTGATCAGGAGAAATAAAGGCAGTTATAACTGTGGCCACTCTGTTCTCAGAATCTTTCTTCCAAGGGCCCCTGGAACTTTTGACTGTCTCTTGTTATCCTTGCTTCTCTTCCCCTCTCTTTCTCAGTACCATATATCTGTCTGAGTGCCAAATTCAAAGCACAATTAAATTACAGTCTACCCTCTTCCCTCCCCTCTTCACTGGTGACCTCCTACTCATCATTTGGATCGTGGCTCAATTGCCACCTCCTCAGGGAGTCTTCTTGGACCTTATTTCCATACAGAGAGGTTCCACACTGTACCTCTCCTTCATAGCACTTTTTAGTTGTATTTTTAAACATTTTTTCTTTTTTTTGAGACGGAATCTCACTCTGTCACCTAGGCTGGAGTGCAGTGGTGCAATCCTGGCTCACTGTAACCTCTGCCTCCTGGGTTCCAATGTTTCTCATGCCTCAGCCTCCCAAGTAGGTGGAACTACAGGCCAGTGCCACCATGCCCAGCTAATTTTTGTATTTTTAGTAGAGACGGGGTTTCACCATATTGGCCAGGCTGATGTCAAACTCCTGACCTCAAGTGATCTGCCTGCTTCGGTCTCCCAAAGTGCTGGGATTACAGGCGTGAGCCACCGCACCCAGCCTGTTTTTTTTATTTTATTTGCCTGATTATTTGATAAATATCTGTCTTCTCCACTAGACTGCTCTGCAAGGCAGGAGCCATGTGCTTACCATATAGTCTGCTTTCAGGAAACATTTATTAAATGAACACTCTTTGTTATTTTCTGAGCCCCATGGAACCATGTTCAGTTGTGAGTAAAGACTTGCCCTCCACCCTAGCCATAGTCTGTTTCCATGAGGGTGCCTAACCTTCTGTGCCTTAGACTTTTCTCCCAGACACCTTCATTACTATTGTCTCCATTATCTTTGGAGGCCAATAGCCCATTTCCCAGACTTCCTGGAAAAGAGAGAAGTTGGCTCCTTTGTCACTTTTTTTTTTTTTTGAGATGGAGTCTTGCTCTGTTGCCCAGCTGGAGTGCAGTGACCTGATCTCAGTTCACTGCAACCTCCACCTCATGGGTTCAAGCTATTCTGCCTCAGCCTCCCGAGTAGCTGGGCTTGCAGGCACATGCCACCATGCCCAGCTAATTTTTGTATTTTTAGTAGAGACAGGGTTTCACCATGTTGGCCAGGCTGGTCTCAAACTCCTGAACTCCGGAGATCTGCCTGCCTTGGCCTCCCAAAGTGCTGGGATTATAGGTGTGAGCCACTACACCCTGCCCCTTTGTCACTTCTTATCACATCTTCCAGGTGGTCCCAACACCTCACAAGCTCACCTGTCGAAAATCTAGGGGATTTTGTCCTTACATCCTCATTTTAGCACCATTGCCAAAATGCTCCAGGACCTTACAACATTAGTGGAGGATGCCAAGCTGTAGTTATAACCCTCCCTTGTTTGCTTTTCCATGACTCTCCTTTCCACCACTCACTTTGCTGCCAACTTCGTATGTTGTATTAGTCCCTTCTCAGGCTGCTATGAAGAAATACCCAAGACTGGGTAATTTATAAAGGAAAGAGATTTAATTGACTCACAGTTCCACATGGCTGAGGAGGCCTCAGGAAACTTACAATCGTGATGGAAGGGAAACCAAACACATCCTTCTTTACATGGTGGCAGGAGAGAGAAGAATGAGAGCTGAGTGAAGGGGGAAGCCCCTTATAAAACCATCAGATCTCATGAGAACTCACTATCACGAGAATAACATGGGGGAAACTACCCTTATGATTCAATTACCTCCGACTGGGCCCCTCCCACCACAAGTGGGGATTATGGGAACTACAATTCAGGATGAGATTTGGTGGGGCCACAGTCAAACCATATCATACGTGCTTCTGTCACTGCTGTTACGCTGTGTTGTAATTTGTTTCCGTGTCTTTAACTCCTCCAAGACTGTGACCTCCACAAGAGCAGCTGCTATTTATTTTTGGCTCTCTAGCACCTAGCACAATGCTAGGCACAGAGTAGGTGCTTGATAAATGTCTGTTGGACAGAATGGAATGGATGATGCTTAGAAACTTGAGGGAATCACCTCCATTCTGACTTAGACATCAACACACTTAACAATGTTATTTCTAAAGTCCTAAACTTAGAACCTCCTACCCTTGGGCTCCTGCCCCTTGCTCTCATTCCTATAGAACTCCATTATAGCCAAGGAGACTTTGGATGCAAGGGACAGGAATCCACTCACACCCCAATTTAATAGGTTATTGAGAGAGAGAGAGAGGACTTGTGGAAACCCAGGAAGAGGTGATCCACCAAATCTCAGGAAGGGCAGGGATGGGGCAGCCCTAGAGCCTTCAGCAACAAGAGTTCGTGGGCCTTTATTAACCCTAGTGCTCTGCCATGAATCTCTTTGACTGAGCTCAGCTCCCTTCATGGGGCAGCCTCATTGGGTTCTTGGCCACTCACTGACTAGGTGGCCCAATTCCAAAGTCCAGGGACAGGAAACAGCCCTTGGCTCCTCCTCCTGAGGAAGACATCTATCCAGTTCCAATCAGTCATGGTTGGGGTGGGGGTGGGGAAGCAAAATCACATGGACTTCAGAGCTATTCTTTTCAAGTGCTCTAGGCAAGTCTGATTAAGCCAGAAAAGGTTGGCTGCTCTTCACAAAGAGGCACAGTAAATGCCAGGCTAACTCACTCCCACAGGAACGTCTTACCTGTTCTTTTCTCCCACCTGTTTCCCAATCCAGCATGTGCCTGGGAAAGGACTGCAGTTGACAGAGGATTGCAGCTGTCCTTTGTCAGACTGTGTGGGCCTGTGCTGTAAATGAGTGGCCTCGATGGGGGCTGCTGCAGCCTGCGGGAGGTGCACTGGGTGGTTAGAGTCAGCTCTGCAGGTACTGGGTTGGGGGCCAGGAGGGTTGGGAATACTGAGATTGGGGAAACACAGTCCAGGGCTTCTTCCCTAGGCAGACAGGTTGAGCGAGAAGAATGACAACATGAGTCCAGGGGGCAGGTCAGAGGAAGCAAGCAGATGCTCCAGTTGTGAGCCTGTAGCAAAGAAGGTTAGCACCACCAAAAATAGCTCCATCAAAGGTCCCTTATCGCCTCGTGTTGGCCAATTGCCATGACCCTCAGGTTTCCCTGCTGGGTTTCTCCATGGACTCTGACACTTGCCCCAGTTCCTTTCCTAACAGTCTTTCTTGGGCTCTCAGGACATTTCTTTTTTTCTGTTTCTCATCTCACAAATGAAACAGTGCATCTTGTTCTCTTTCACTGTTTCCACCATTTCCTTACCAGGCTCCTGATTTCAGTCTTCTTTCTCAAAAGGGTAGTGCATGGTAAGACATTTGGGCTCTGCTGTTTGCGAGGTGTGTGACCTCTGTTGCTCTGTTGACTTCATTCTTCCTAAGCTTCATTTTCCCAGGCTATAAATGTGGGACTGTTAAGAGTTCCTACTTTAGACCGGGCATGGTGGCTGAAGCCTGTAATCTCAGCACTCTGTGGGGCCAAGGCAGGAGGAACACCACAGGCCAGAAGTTCAAGACTAGCCTGGGCAACACAGTAATACCCTGTCCCTCAAAAAAGAGTTCCTACTTAATGAGGGTTGTTATATGGAATAAATAAATATATAATAGAATAAATAAATAAATAAATAAATAAATAAATAAATAAACAAATTGACAAGGCAAAACTTATTCCACTTCAGCAAAGCAAGTGTCAATATTCTACTTATGGATGAGTGGAGGAACACATGTTCAGATGAAATCACTTGTGCAAAGTGATTTCACTTTTACTTTTAAAAGTGTAAAAGGCTTAGTATGGGCCAGGTGCGGTGGCTCACGCCTGTAATCCCAGCACTTTGGGAGACTGAGGCGGGCAGATCATGAGGTCAGGAGATCAAGACCATCCTGACTAACACGATGAAATGCTGGCTCTACTAAAAATACAAAAAATTAGCTGGGCGTGGTGGCACACACCTGTAGTCCCAGCTACTTGGGAGGCTGAGGCAGGAGAATCGCTTGAACCCAAGAGGAGGAGGTTGCAGTGAGCCGAGATTGCACCACTGCACTCCAGCCAGGGCAACAGAGCGAGACTCCATCTCAAAAAAAAAAATGCTTAGTATGGGGTCTGGAGTGTACTAAGTACTCAATGAAAGTCAGCTGCTGTTACTTTCCCTCTCTTGTGGTTTCTAGGAGACCTTCTCCCCTCCCCTCATTTCAACTATCTCCTGTAGAATGACCTCCAAATCTGAATGTTCGGTCCGAGCTCCAGAGTGTCACCTGCATGTCGAATGGCAGTGAAGGGCAGAGGAAAAAGCATGGCCGCACATGATGGCAGACAAAGGCTTGTTCCTGTTCAGCACTAACAGCTGTAAACTTTGCACAAGTGATTTCATCTGAACATGTGTTCATCCACTCATCCATAAGTAGAATATTGACACTCGCTTTGCTGAAGTGGAATAAGTTTTGCCTTGTCTATTTCATCCATGGCACTTACCATGCTCTAGAATGACATCTTTCCATGCTCTTCCCCAGCTGAAATGAAAGTGAGGTCCTTGCCAGCAGGAGCCTTGCCTCCTTTCTCCTCACTCTATTCCTTGCCCCAGCAGTCTCCTAGCACAGGCTCAGTAACATCAGTTCCTCATTCACTTTCTCTCCTCCTATATCCCTTTGACTTCTCAAGGTCAGTATGTATCAAACCAAACAACTAATCATTGTCTTCACTAGACCTGACCCATGAATTTAACAAACAAGTATTAAGTGCCAGGGTTAAGGGTTGAGACAGAAAGAAGATAGTTGAGACATTGTCTCATTGATGGAAATGTTCACTGTCTACTAGGGAGATGGATAATGACACTGGAATATGTATTTGTGACAGGATTAGAGACATTTCTCAGGGGGCCCCAAGCATAGAGAAGGAATGATTCTGACTATAGGGGTTGGAAAAGCCCTCTCAGAGAAGGTGATAATTATCCTGGGTCCTGATGAAAGAGTAGAAATTTGCCAGGCAGAGAAGATTGACAGATGGCTAGAAGAGTGGTGTGATGGGGCATGAACTAACATGGTGTGTTCAGCTGGAATGGAGGGCTGACACCATTTTCCCCCATTTTCTTAAGTGGAAATTTGACACATACACAAGAATAGAAAAAAAAATAGTTTAACACCCAAATAGTATAAAACACCCAGGTGATCACCCAGCTTCAACAACTATCAGCTCATGGACAATCTTGTTCTACCTACATGCTTACTCACTAAACCCCCATACCATTATTTTGACACAAATCTCAGACATTGAATAATTTCATTTGTAAATAATTTTTGGTTCTACATGCTATAACAATTCTGTGAAAAAAATTTTAAATAAATAAATACTTTGGTATCTTAAAAAGTTAAAGTATATCCTCTTTTTGTCCTTAAAAAGGAGTGATACATAGCATACTCTAACACTGCAACTTGTTTGTTTTATTTGTATCTTAGCCATCTATCTGGTGACCACACTGTATCAGGATATGTAGAATTGCTTTCCTCTTTTAGGAGGCTACCTAGTATTCCATTTGTGAATAGTTAACCTAGCCAGTCACCAGCTGATGGGCATTTAGGTTGTTCCCAATCTCCTAACATAAAAACAAAGCTGAGAGAATACCCTTAAATATACATCTTTGCTACCTATGGGGATTCTTGGATGTGGAATTAAATTCCAGTACATTCTTGGATGTAGGTTACATTCTTGGACGTAGAATTGCTGAGATCTTGTGCACATGGATTCTGAAAGGTGCTCCCTATTTGGCCCAACAGGTGCTTTAAATGATAGGACAAGGATGCTTTCTCTCTGTTGTCCAGGCTTTTGACACTTTGGAGTTCTCTTTCTGTCCCTTCCTTCGTTTACTCAGTGACATATCATACCAATCCAACTACCCCCAGCCTCCTCCCTCCATGTCCACTGCTGTGGTCCTGGGTCAGGCCTGAGTGCTTTCTTTCTTTCTTTTTTGAGACAAAATTTCGCTCTTGTCGCCAAGGCTGGAGTGCAGTGGTGCAATGTCGGGAAAGTAACTGCAACCTCTGCCTTCCAGGTTCAAGCGATTCTCGTGCCTCAGCCTCCCGAGTAGCTGGGATTACAGGCACATGCCATCATGCTCGGCTAATTATTGTATTTTTAGTACAGACGGGGTTTCACCATGTTGGACAGGCTGGTCTCGAACTCCTGACATCAAGTGATCCGCCCGCCTGGGCCTCCCAAAATCCTCGGATTACAGGCGTGAGCCACCATGCCCAGCCAGGCCGGCGTACTTTCTTATCAGGACAGTTGTGGCTATCAAGTCAGCACGTATTCTAATCATCTGCCAAAGCGAACATCCTAAAACAGGAACGAAATCATTCTCTTACTTAAACACCTCTGTTGGTGTCTCATCTACATTATTAAAAATCTAACTCCTTAGCCTGCCTTCAGTGCACTCTTGTTTGTCCCCAGATTCTCACTTATTTCTCATATACCTTAGGCTTCACTGAAACTGGATTCTGGTGCCTTACCTGGGACCGTGTTCACCCATTCCCTTCTTTTTCTGCTTGAAGAAAAGTGTTGCTCATCCTTGAAGGTAAACTTAAACTCCATGTCCTCCATAAAGCCACACAGTGTTAAGGGCCACTGGTTTTGGACTCAGGTTGACTTGGATTCTTATACTGTCTCTCTTTTGGGGGGATGTCATTTAATTCTTCTGAAACTCAGAGTTTTCATCTGTTAGAGAAAGACAAAAATACCTACCTTGGAGGATGATTGTGAGGCTCAGGGATGCGGGAATATAGTAGGAGCTGAATTAAAAGCAATTCTGATTATTTCCGTGGTCACTATTGCCGCCCCACCGCACTTGATTGCAGCCCCTGGTGCTACACCAGCTACATTTGCTTTATGTGACAGCAGGTTGTGGACAAGACTGCCTTGATCTCTAGACTGCAAGCTCGCTGTGGGCCGGGCTCACGATTCACCCCCGGATCTCCCAGCCCTGGCACCAAGCCGGCACTGGGGGCGCGCCATGCCTGCAGAATAAGTGGGGAAAGCGACAGGGATAAACGTAGAAAAACAAGCACAGACAGACGGAGAGAGGGCAGACTGGGAGGCAGGTTTTTCCCGGAGTCTCCACCGAAGGACAGAGAGGGCGGAGTCAGAATCGGGGGCGGGGGCCTGGCTCAGGAGGTGGGGCCTGGTTCGGAGGCGGGTCTCGGCGCGGACCCCTCCCTGGTCCGTCAGTGAACGTGCTCCGCGGGCTCAGTCCGCCCGCCGCTGCGTCCCGGAGTGCAAGTGAGCTTCTCGGCTGCCCCGCGGGCCGGGGTGCGGAGCCGACATGCGCCCGCTTCTCGGCCTCCTTCTGGTCTTCGCCGGCTGCACCTTCGCCTTGTACTTGCTGTCGACGCGACTGCCCCGCGGGCGGAGACTGGGCTCCACCGAGGAGGCTGGAGGCAGGTGCGTGGCGGGAATCCGGGTTCGGGTCAGAGGAAGGGAGCCGGGTCCGAGGACCGGGGCTGGGAATCGGAGATTCGGAGATTCGGGTTCCGGTATCGGAGGCGTTGGGAATTGAGGTTCACTTATCGGACTGGAATCCGGGTCTGGTATCCGGGCCCGCGTCCGCACGGTCTCGGACAGAAGGGTGGATGGGAGCCCGGCTCCGGGCCTGACTGGGACCTGTGTGGTGCTGGCTGCAGGGTGTGCAGGGCGTCACGCCGCGGTGCCTTTGGTTGGGTGGATTTGCCGAGGGAGACGCGGCGCTGAGCCTGCCCGCGCCGTTGCTTTCCCAGTCCCAGCCCTGGGCCCCATTTCCAGCCCACCTTCGCCCCCGTGCGGGCCCCCAGCCTCTTCAAGTCCACTTTCAACTGTCTCTCCTCCTCCCCACCCCACTTACGTCAGGTCTGCCCTTGAGACTTTAGACATTAGATCTTCAGGAGAAATATTGCATAGACAACTTTAAATTATTCACGAATTAATTATCGACTCTGCCCGTCTTCCTGGTTGTCTCTACTTTTACCTTTTTTTTTTTTTTTTCTGAGACGGAGTCTTGCTCTGTCACCCAGGCTGGAGTGCAGTGGCGCGATCTCGGCTCACTTTAACCTCCTCCTCCCGGGTTCAAGCGATTCACCTGCCTCAGTTTCCCAAGTAATTGGGACTACAGGCGCGCGCCACCACGGCCGGCTAATTTTTGTATTTTTAGTAGGGACGCGGGGGGGGGGTCTCATTATGTTGGCCAGGCTGGTCTCGAACTCCTGACCTCAGGTAATCCGCCTGCCTCAGCCTCCCAAAGTGTTGGGATTACAGGCGTGAGCCATCGCGCCTGGCCTCCTTTTCCCCTTCTAATGAACGACTGGTCGAGGCAGGAGGCAGAGCAATACTTACCTGGCCGGTTTTTGTGAGTGCTGCATACTCTTTATAAAGTGCATGGAAGTGTGCCTAGTACAGCATTGCGTGGTTAAGGGAATTACTGATATTTGACTATTAAGGCAGCTGTTTTCAGTTACTGTATTCTTTTGCTGTAGCTAAGAAGGCTCTGCTGTGGGTGTCGGACATACCGAGAGAAACTCTCGTGAGAAGTAGGAGGGTTTGCTCATGATTAATCAGTGATGGATTCAAGGACTGTTCAGATGGCAGAGGCAAGATAGCCTTGCTACTATAACCCTTGGGCAGGATTCAAAGTGCATTGAGGACCAGATTAAGAGCAGAGTTAAATAGTAGGCTCTTTGAAAGGGTTCGATTCAAGCCTGACATATTATCAAAAAAGTTACATTTATCCTATGGGATAGATATACTTTCCTGAAGAATCTCTAATTGGCTTTATAGTGAATGCTAAAAAGTCGTTTTACTTGGCACCTCAGGAACAGTTTGAAGTCTGAATTGTTCTTGGTTTGTGGGGGAGGCAGTGTCCTTGAAAGGAAGGCAATTTGAGACATTTAGAACTTGCCTGGAAATGAATCCATTTGCCTCTTAAGAACAGATTCTAAAATCCCAGAGCTAAAGGGGAACTTAATGACTGTTTAGCACCAACCTCTCACTTTTTAGATAAGGAAAGAGACTCAGGGACTAGTCCAAGGACGTAAAACAGAAAGTAGCAGGGTTGGGATGCTAACCCAGGTCTCTTGCTTCCAAACTAGGGCTCTCCTGTCTGTCTCCGCAACGTCGTATCAGGTCATCTGTCATTGGGAGTGTATGTGTTCCCAGCAGATCAGATGATGGGCATATTTATAAACCTACTCTGAAAAGAAGACACAGCGAGTGACTTTCATGGGCACTGGACTGATCTGAACTCATGTTTCCATCTGCTTTTCCAAATCCCCAGGTCGCTGTGGTTCCCCTCCGACCTGGCAGAGCTGCGGGAGCTCTCTGAGGTCCTTCGAGAGTACCGGAAGGAGCACCAGGCCTACGTGTTCCTGCTCTTCTGCGGCGCCTACCTCTACAAACAGGGCTTTGCCATCCCCGGCTCCAGCTTCCTGGTCAGTGTCCTGCCCTCCCTCCAACCCTGTTTCCTTATCTGTAAAATTTGGATACTCCCCTGTAACCTCATGGGATTGTTGTGTGGGGATGATTAAAAGTGACAGTGGGTGTATCGGGGCTGGCACACAGTGGCCCTCAGCACTTACGGAGGGATTGAGCACCGAAGTGGGAGACACTGACAGCTTCCTTTTGTACTGCTTCCCTCTCCCACCCCAGCCTGTTTCTCTCCTCTAGGCTGAGGCTGGACCTGCTCAAACAGTTTCCTTGTCGGAAACTAGAAGAAAAGCAAACATGTCCAAGAGAGGCAGGGGAGGTGTGTGGGGCTCGGGGTCAGGGGCTGACTCCTTGAGGCTGCCCTGTGTCTGTCTTCTGTCTTGAACTGATCCCTCTTCAGGGCAGAGAGCCAGCTGCTGCTTGGTGGGGGCTCCACATCCAGACCTGAGGGTGAACCCTGACTCTGCCTGCTGTGCTCTTGGGGAGGATACTTAATCTCTCACCTGTAGAATGGGGCAAGGATGGCATGACTCAGGGATGTAGTGAGGATTACACAGGACATGTAGTCAAGCACTTAACACAGTGCTTAGCGGCTCCCCAGCTTCCCACTTCCAAGGCTTCCTTTTACTTTCTCTCTTGGATCCCATGTTTTGTCAGGATGATGTCTACCAACCAAAATGCATTTAGGAAGTATTGGTTCACTTTTCCCTTTTTCTTAAACCAAGACATCTTCAAATGTCTGCTAGAGCTCTGGTCAACATGGAACCCCGGTATTAACATACTGCATAGATGTAATTCCAGCAAAAAGCAAAGAAACAAGACATCTTACATAGCTTGTGTGGTCTTACCAAGGGAAAATTCATGGTTTGTGTTCATCTTTTGAAATAGTAAAAATAACTCGTGAGTTTCATTTCTACTTTCTTGGAGCCCCAGTCATTGCAGAATCTACCACAGCCACAGATCCCATTTCATTCTCTCCTGCCCCCTGAGGCTTTTATCCTTATCCTCATTTTCAAGGTGAAGAGACTGACGGCAGGTGTAGTTCCCAGCCTTTTCATAATTTTTCATTCACCTCTTTAAATGGCAATTGGGACCTGGGGCAGTGGCTCACGCCTGTAATCCTAGCACTTTGGGAGGCTGAGGTGGGAGGATCACTTGAGTCCGGGAGTTTGAAACCAGCCTGGGCAACACAGTGAGACCCCATCTCCACAAAAAATTTTAAAAAGTGGGTGAATGTGGTGGTGTGTGCCTACAGTCCTAGCTGCTTGGGAGGCTGAGGCAGGAGGATCGCTTGAGTCCAGGAGTTCGAGGATGCAGTGAGCTATGATCATGTCACTGTACTCCAGCCTGGGTGACAGAGCGAGATCCTGTTTCTTAAAAATAAATAAATAACGCAATTGGGTTTTAGCTGGAAAAAAGCAGTGAAGGAGGAGGGAACCTATGACTCTCAGGCTCCAAGATGACGTGCCTGGTAGCTGCCAGATGTTCACATGCCTGAGGGTTTGTTTTATTTGCAGAATGTTTTAGCTGGTGCCTTGTTTGGGCCATGGCTGGGGCTTCTGCTGTGCTGTGTGTTGACCTCGGTGGGTGCCACATGCTGCTACCTGCTCTCCAGTATTTTTGGCAAACAGTTGGTGGTGTCCTACTTTCCTGATAAAGTGGCCCTGCTGCAGAGAAAGGTAAGGGGAGGGGTCACATCTGAGAGCTGGGACCCCAGACAGTCGCTACGTGCATGGCCTTGAGAGAAGCGAGTGGCAGGGATTTCCCACAGTACTCTTCCACGCTGTTTCAGGAGGTCCTAGGGGTTCTTTTGATGTCTTCAGGAGACATAGACCTGGGATCAAATCCCAGCTCCATCATTACCAGCTCTGTGACTTTGGGCAAGTTCTTGACTTCTCTGATCCTCAGCATGTCTATTTTAAAATGAGGAAAACAGTCTTTCCCTGGAGGGTTGTTGGAAGAATTGGGAACAGATTATGTAAAGTGTCTAGAACAGTGCCTGGCACCAGCAGGTTTTCAACACCTGGAGACCCTTTCTGCTTCTTAACAGCTTTCTTCTCTTTGGCTACAGGTGGAGGAGAACAGAAACAGCTTGTTTTTTTTCTTATTGTTTTTGAGACTTTTCCCCATGACACCAAACTGGTTCTTGAACCTCTCGGCCCCAATTCTGAACATTCCCATCGTGCAGTTCTTCTTCTCAGTTCTTATCGGTAAGATGCTAGTGGGGTAGGTTTGAGTCTTCAGAGCTGTCACGCTGGGGGTCTGCCCTGGGTTATTGGCCACGTGAGCATGTGCCTGCTTCTGAGAACACAGGCTCACAAAGTGTGACTTCAAGCCTTATGATCTAAAGAAATGATTCCTGATTTCAGATCTGCTCAGGCTTCAACATGAAAACCCATAAAAATACTTTTGGACTAAATAAAGATTGTCCATTGCATGGCTGTATGCACTAGGCACTGGGATTAGAAGAGATGGTCTGTGTAAAGTATACAAATTGGCCCATAGTAAGTACTCAGTAAATGCTAGCAGGAAGAGCAGGGTTGGAATGAGGGTGTGTGTCCATGAGTTTTGAGTGGGGACAGAAGAAAGGAGCAGAGCAAGGGACTTCCTGTCTGGTTTTTGGCCCCTGTTTTGATTAAGTTCTGCCTTAGGAATTGCTGGCATCAGTGTGGTTCCTTCCTGCCTTTTGACAATTGCACAACCTGCAGCAAGCTACTTACCCTCAATGGACCACCTGGCTAGGAATAGAGCAGTGTTTCTCAAAGTGTGGGCTTTGGGCCACCTTCATCAGATTGTTAGGGTCAGGGGGCTTGTTGAGAATCTAGATTTGGGGCCTACTCCAGACCTACTGAATCAGAATCTTGGGAGTGGAATCTGGGAATATGCATTTTAATCCAGTTCCTAGTCAGTCATTTTCAAACTGCAAACCCAGTCATTCTCAAACTGCAAACCTATTAAGAATCGCCTGCAAACCTATTAAAAATCACTTGGAGGCCGGGCTGAGTGGCTCACACCTGTAATCCCAGCACTTTGGGAGGTTGAGGCGGGTGGATCACTTGAGGTTGGGAGTTCAAGACCAGCCTGGCCAACATGGTGAAACCCCATCTCTACTAAAAATACAAAAATTAGCCTGACATGGTGGTGTGCGTCTGTAATTCAACTACTTGGGAGGCTGAGGCAGGAGAATGGCTTGAACCTGGGAGGCGGAGGTTGCAGTAAGCTGAGAGGATGACACTTCACTCCAGCCTGGGTGACAGAGTGAGGCTCCATCTCAAGAAAAAAAGCAAAAAAACAAAAACAAACAAAACAACAAAACATCACCTGTGGAGATTTTAATCCCTAAGCTAAGGCTACACCACACATCAACTAAATCATCTCTGGGGTAGGACTCAGGGATCAGGATCTTTTAACATTTTCCAGGTGATGCAAGTAGTTAGTCCCTAAAAGGGATTCCGCTGGATCCTGAGTTTTGCAGTCTACTGAATTAGACGATATCTAAAGTTTCTCCTTGCCTTTGACAATTATATGACCTGCAGCGAGCTACTTAGTCTGAACGGGCTACTCGTCCAGATAAGGGGCTGGGACTAGAGCAGTGTTTCTTGAAGTATGGGCCTTGGACCACCTTTATCAGAGTGGTAAAGTGCTAACATCCTATAAAATCAGTGTTTGCTACTTTCTCCATACTGGAAGAAAACCACCCTCCTTAAGCCTAAGGCAAGGATCTCTTCTCTTAAACCTCCCTTAGATCCTAGAGGGAAAGACGATTCAGGGCTTCTAGGTCAAACAGAGCAAATCTGTGGTTGAGCAGCTGCTATTCATAGGAGATACCTGAGAGAAATGGAGATCTTAAATAGAAGCAAGATCTACCACGGCCAATTTTGGTCATATTGGCTTTCAGACAAAGTGCCTCAGGCCCTCAGCTAGTGGGGGTTTGCTGCTTCTAATTACCTAGGTGGCATGAGGCTTGGCAAGATTCTGGAGACCAGGCTTCCTGTCCTCTGTCTCACAAGCTGTGTGACCCTGAGGGGTCTGGGATCTTCATCTCCTGTATACTTCCTCTCCTATAGAAGAGAAATGGACTATCAGAGTGTTCCAAACCAATCGGAATCTCAGGGTGGGAGTGGAGAAGGGGCTTTTAAAATACAGGTTCCTGGGCACTACCCCAGAACCAAGTACCCAGAATTTCTGGGGTGGAGCCCAAGGATGTGGTTTTTTAACAATGTCACCAGCTGATTGTTCTGCAGCCAGCCTGTTCAGCCAGCCAGACTTTTGGAATCCAGTGGATTTGATGACATCTTTGAGACAGTACAGAATGTGAATAGTACTTCTTTTAAAAAACTGTTTGTCAACAATGGCACTTCTCTCTTTACTTTGGCTGTTGGGTACTCAGAACCAAATTTGGGGCCCACTTTTGGCAAACAGGTGAACCTTATGCATTTTTTTACTAACTGTACTCCCTGATGTCTTGTATTCTTCTGCACGCATTTTGCTTTTCCTATTTAAAATTTTATTTATTTATTTATTTATTTTTGAGACAGAGTCTAGCTCTATCGCCTGGGCTGAAGTGCAGTGGTAAGATCTTGGCTCACTGCCACCTCTGCCTCCCAGGTTCCAGTGATTCTCCTGCCTCAGCCTCCTGAGTAGCTAGGATTACAGGCACATGCCACCACACCCGGCTAATTTTTGTGTTTTTAGTAGAGACGGGGTTTCACCATGTTGGCCAGGCTGATCTCGAACTCCTGACCTCAGGTGATCCACCTCGGCCTCCCAAAGTGCTGGGATTACAAGCATAAGCCACCATTCCTGGCCCTATTTTAAAATTGTCTTATAGTAGCATGTATTATTTGTGTAAATATCTCAAGTTCTTTTGTTGAACAAGACAGGCATATATGGGAAGTGAGGAAAGGAGGGAAAATAATAGAAAAGAAGGAAAGAAGGGAAAGAGTTAATATGTATAAGGGTCAAGAGTCAAGCAAAAAAAAACCGTAGTCACTGTTCCTGGTGACATTCTGAATTATTATTTTCTTAATTTTGCTGCTGCTTGTAACAGGTGCTTTGTCCTTTTCTTCTTCCAGGTTTGATCCCATATAATTTCATCTGTGTGCAGACAGGGTCCATCCTGTCAACCCTAACCTCTCTGGATGCTCTTTTCTCCTGGGACACTGTCTTTAAGCTGTTGGCCATTGCCATGGTGGCATTAATTCCTGGAACCCTCATTAAAAAATTTAGTCAGAAACATCTGCAATTGAATGAAACAAGTACTGCTAATCATATACACAGTAGAAAAGACACATGATCTGGATTTTCTGTTTGCCACATCCCTGGACTCAGTTGCTTATTTGTGTAATGGATGTGGTCCTCTAAAGCCCCTCATTGTTTTTGATTGCCTTCTATAGGTGATGTGGACACTGTGCATCAATGTGCAGTGTCTTTTCAGAAAGGACACTCTGCTCTTGAAGGTGTATTACATCAGGTTTTCAAACCAGCCCTGGTGTAGCAGACACTGCAACAGATGCCTCCTAGAAAATGCTGTTTGTGGCCGGGCGCGGTGGCTCACGCCTGTAATCCCAGCACTTTGGGAGGCCGAGGCCGGTGATTCACAAGGTCAGGAGTTCAAGACCAGCCTGGCCAAGATGGTGAAATCCTGTCTCTAATAAAAATACAAAAATTAGCCAGGCGTGGTGGCAGGCACCTGTAATCCCAGCTACTCGGGAGGCTGAGGCAGGAGAATTGCTTGAACCAAGGTGGCAGAGGTTGCAGTAAGCCAAGATCACACCACTGCACTCCAGCCTGGGTGATAGAGTGAGACACTGTCTTGACAAAAAAAAAAAAAAAAAGAGAAAAAAAGAAAATGCTGTTTGTATTTTGTGGTCTAATAAGGAGTTCGGGATAGCCTGTTGTATTTGCCTCATGCCAGCCCCTGAGCTGCCTTGGGAGAAGATGCTGATTGTCCTTGTCCAGAGTACTGCTTTTGCAGAGTGACAGGCTGCTGGGACAGATGTCCTCCTGTTGCATCTTTGTGGATGTTTAGTACCAATGATGACACGGGAACTCACATCACTGACACCGCTCTTCATCTTCTGTTAGTCTCTTGAAGAGCATTTTTTTGTACTTCTTTGCTGATGACCTACCTCTTCATAAGCCAAGTGAAACAAGTTGACGAACTGCCTAGGACTTCCACGTGTTGCTCACATACATGATGATTTCTGTCACGCTCTTGTGTTCAGACACACTGACATTACCATGTATGTCAGACCTCCTTATGATCGCATGTCCTGACAGTTAAGCTGATTGCAAACAGACTATTAAATATGAATGGAGCAAACGCTGTATGTCATGGATATGTTCTGGAGAAATTCTTACCCATCTGGATGGGGCAGGGCCCTTGACTCACCTGAATCATGACCAGGCAAACATTTTATCTGTCCTTTCTGCAGGAATCCGTTCTGTGTCATGCTAGGAGAATGGGTTCAGTATATGGGGCCATCAGGCAGTATACCCTCTGAATGTTTTTCATTGTTGTATTTGCTTAGAGTAACTAAACAATTGTATCTTTTAATTTATCTTTTAATTCAAAGAGGAAACCTTGGCTTCTGATAACTTTGTTGTGTTGTATCTTAATGGCCTATAGCTGTCATTACTTCCTGTAGCTGCAGTACAGAATTGTTACAGACCTGGATTAATGCTTCCAAAGACAGAAGGACCTTGGCACCTAAACTGACCAGCCCTGTGATCCTGCACCCCACAGGAGTAACTCATCAGGACTTACCAGACTGCTGCTTTTGGGCATCATCTGCTGGGTTGATGATTTGGTTTGGCCAAGAGTCTTGCCAAGACTTTAATCTATGCCTCTTGTTCTACATGAATTCTTGGGAATTACTCACGTTCCATAGGAAGAGTGCATCCCCAGGTGATGGTTTTTGGTTATGGTATGATCCTTTCACACCGAGGATTTCATTGTTTAAAACGTGTTTCTTTAAAAGAAGCCTTGATAACGAGAGTGGGGGAAGGAGGCAGCAGACTTTGAAGACTGTGGCCTTTGGTGTTCTGGAGTAGGGGGAGGGAAGGAGAAACATGTTTTCCACATCATCGCAAGTGTGTGCCCTTTGCCCCTTTTCAGGATCCTTAGAGTTGCCTCCCTCCCTCCACCCCGACAGTTTTGCAATAATGTGCCTTATCAGTTGTGAGTTTACAGGTGAAGCAATTTCCCAAATAAATGGATGTAAGTGTTCTGTGTGGTGCTTGTTTGAACATGTTGCTAACTTTCAACTACCTTTGCCAGTGGGAATTAGGATTGGCTGAAAATTGGACAGTCCAAAATGGTGTTTTAAGCTTTCCACTCTCAATGCTTCTTACCAAAATAATTTCTCAGAAGCCAGATTTTCATCTTCATTTTCTCTCTCTGCTCCCTGTATAGTGGGGTCAGTAGTAACAGGAGTAGCTACCGGATGGGCAGCAGGAAAGCATAGGGAAGAAGCAGAGTGCCAGTCTAGCTTTTACAGAATACTCAAGAAGAGGCTGTCACCAAATAAAATGATGATTGCCCCTTCCTTTCGTGGCTGTGTCAAATACAAGAATCGCAGAAACTAGCTTTCTCCATTACCTGCTTTTTGTGGCTGCAGGAAACCCAGTCATGGAAAGTCTTCCTTTCCCTCAAGTTCTGACAAATGCTGAGATTATTAAGGCAGCTCTCAGGGCACAAACAGTACATTTAGAAAAAGACAGGACTAGAAAACAGTGAAGTACACTTTTTGTTTAATTCCATGCATTTGTTTGCTTTGATAGTCATTCTTGTTCCCATTGCCGTTCAATACAGAGAGGGAGCCGGCATCAGAAAACAACACTGGGAGCTGGGGACTGACAGTACAGGAGACCAGAGGGGAGCCAGGTAAGGAGGTTCATTTGGAGACCTAACCACAAAAGAGAAATTCATTCGCTCCAAGTCGATAGGAGCTCAAATTACTGTAATAAAGCGTCAAAGAGGGTCTTCCCACTTCCAGAGTCTGGGAAGTGGTCACTCTGAAGGTGAAGAGCCACTGGGGTGATATGGGCAAGATGGGACATCTTCCTAATAGCTTGCACATGCTGGCTGGGGTTCCCTTGGCCTGCAGTCACTGGAGGACCCTGTCCACCTGGTCACTGGACAGCAGCCTAGGGCCGGGAGCCAGCGATCCCTGAGTGCTGTGAAGTGGCTCTGGAGAGCAGACCTGGGATGCTGCCGGGAGCTTCCTTACAGTGGCCTTGCCATCTGCTTAGGGCTCTGCTCTGTGAAGTCCTGCCATCGTACCCTGGCCACATGACAGTTAACAAAAGCCTTAACCCACCTCCTGTTTCTCAGAGCAGTGATTTTAGAGCTCCCCTCTTTAGCCACCTGTCCCTGAGAAATGCTCCAGGTTCCACAAGGGTCCTCTGCTTAGCCTAGTTCAGTCCGACTTGAATAGGCTTTTGCAGTATCAGTTGTAACATGCAAACAAGCAGATTAATATGATTCTAATGTGCCAGTCTGTGAGGGTGGGACACTGGTGGTGTGAGTATGCTAGGATATTTGTCCTATGAAATCAGCAAAGAAGAAACATTTTGCTGCCTGGAAAGGCACTAAATTCATACTGACCGTACAAGTCAAAGTCTCGAAAAGAATGTCACATTGTTTTGGTACATGAGTCTCACAGAGTCTAAGAAGCAAGTAACTGGGACTTATATTAATTTTCTGTTTATAAAAGGTGAGGGAGGAACATATTCATTCAACAGAATTAAATGATGTGAATGAAGAGACATTTTGGAATGGGATCCATCAGTGATTGGTGTTCCTTCAATTGGAATTGTTGTCCAAAAGGGCAGTGGGTAGAGGCAAGTGGCCTTTCCCCTTTCTGTGGTACCGCCCCTGACAGCCACAGGTGGACACTAGTGCGAGCCTGTCGTTCTGCCATTGGGGCTAACTCAAGCTCAAATGGCAATTCCAATCAAGCGGCAATTGTTGCTCCAAGTGCTATGTTGAGAGGTTCTGAGGCTGTGTCTAGGCTCAGTAGGAAAGATACGATGCTCAATACATAATGTTGGTCTTGGTCTTGGAGGTGGTAGATGGTGGTAAGTGGTAGTATAATATTTCGGCTTCTGGCTCAGTGGGAAAACAAAACATAGCACACTCTACTGCAGAGCAGGGCAGGAATTCTATGGATTATAAATATTATGTTCTGGAGAATTCAGTTCCAGGAAGTTCAAGTGGGACTGTTTTAAGAAAAGGAAAAAAAAATTGAGACATGAGGACATTGAAGAAAAAAAGAGTAAATCATTTGATCAAAAAGGATGCATTTATTCTTAAAGGATGCCAATGTTCCACAGTGGGAGAGGGCATTTAAAATAGTCTGGAGGCTGGGCATGGCAGCTCACGTTTGTAATCCCAGTACTTTGGGAGGCCAAAGCAGGAGGATCGCTAGAGCCCAGAGTTCGATACCAGCCTGGGCAACACAGGGAGACGCCCATCTCTACAAAAAAAAAAAAAAAATTGTTGTGCATGGTGGCACACACCTGTGGTCCCAGCTACTCAGGAGGCTGAGGTGGGAGGATCACTTGAGCCCAGGAGGTTGAGGCTGCAGTGAGCCATAATCATGCCACTGTACTCCAACCTGGTGACAGAGTGAGATCCTGCGCCCTCACCCCCCCCCAAAAAAAGTCTGGGTTGGTGCCAGGTAAATCCCAAACCCAAGCACATCTATTATTTAGAAAAGGAGAGGGGAATAATTTAGCATGATGAAGCTCTACAGGAGATGTCCAGTACTTACTAAATCCTACTCAAAATGTCTTTACTTCTAGAAGGATAGATTTGTTTGATGCCAACATTTTAAAATATAGTATCTCAACTTCAAGTAGCTAGATGAAGACGCCAGTTTACAATAGAGCTAGCATCTTCATCTTTCTCAGTAGGAGCTCCCCACCATCTTGCAAACAGGTCTAAACTTAAGTGGTGGTAAGGTCCATTATAATTTCAAAGTAGATGCAGGCTTCTCAGCCCCTCTGCAAAGCAATTTTAAAAGGAACTGTTATCCAGAGGATATGATCTTGAAATAGATGAAAATCAGAACCAAATGCTCATCTGCAACCCAAATTAAAACTCATCATCTTGCAGTCAGTTAAAAACAGACGCTAACGGAACATGGACATTCATCCCAAGATGGTGAAACTTTCCATCAATGAAGCAGCTTGAAATCACAGTCTTGTGAGGTTCCTGGAAGCACTGTTGTAACACACTTGTCAGGACTGAAGAATTAGCTCATAACTTCCCTGAGCTCTTGATTCAACACTCTTCAGATGACTGTGGAGTCGTTCTCAAAGAAACATACATCAATTCAAGATTTTCCCGGTTATCACAAGGCAGGCAGCGAAGGACCAGGCTGGGCTAGAGAAGGTATTTCCCTTTTTAACCTCCACTAAGGACCTTATTCTCCTCTGAAACCTCTAGTCAATTCTACTTAAAAAAATGTGTTCAATATGGACTTTATTCAACTCTCGACTATACAATGAATGACTGAGATTCAGCCACTACGTACTACCCTAACATACTCATAACAGTTAATCCACATAAGGTGTATGATGACAATAGCATAACAGATAATCAAGATGAGAATTCAAAAAAAACTGATCAAAATTACGAGGTATCAGGGGTAGGTTTTCTAGGAAGACCATCACTGAAAGATGTAAGATAAAAGCTGACCCTCATGTTTCTCTGTTGCCACTAAAGGTGGGCAAGAATTGGACAAAACTGCCAGTGTTTTATGTTGGATAGAAAGAAGACATAGAGTTGTAGCATCTCTGTTCCAAGGAATAATGAACCAGAGAGATTTACAGTACAGTGAGATCTGAAGTCAAGAGGATGGAAAATATAGCCTTTCAAGAATTTTTTTCCAGTCGTTGGTCCTCTAAGTGACCAGGCCTCCTTCTTAAAGTTCTTTAGTCTTGTTCTAGGATGACATCACAGTTAGGCATTTTATGTCATGCCCTACATGTATATACGGTAGTCCTCCCTTATTTCTGGGGGATACATTCCAAGACCCCCAGTGGATGCCTAAAAACTCTGATAGTACCAAACCCTATATATACTATGTTTTTTTTTCTATACTTACATATCTATGATAAAATTTAATTTGTAAATTAGGCACAGCACTCTTGCCCTTTGGGGCTATTATTAATTAAATAGGGGTACTTGAACACAAGCACTGCGATACAGTCATCTGATAACCGAGACAGTCGATCTGATCACCGAGACTGCTACTAAGTGACTAATGGATGAGCAGCATGAATATGCTGGACAGAGGGAGGATCACCTCCAGGGCAGCAAGGGGCAAGATCTCATCATGCTCCTCAGAATGCTGTGCAATTAAAATTTATGAATTGTTTATTTCTGGAATGTTCCATCAAATATTTTTGGACTGCTGTTGAGCGTAACTGAAACCATGAAAATGAAGCCATGGGTAAGAGGGGACTACTGTATACCATTTCTTTTTTTAGTCTCCCTGCTACTCTCCACTAGGAGAATAAAGGTGGGAGAACAAAGGGGTCTGGCAGGAAGGAGATTGCAAACTATGTTGTCAATTCTTGAAACGAATCCATGAGCCCTGTGCGGAAACCCTCTAGGTCTGTTCCTCTCAGGACATTAAATCATTCTCTTTTTATTTCTAATATAGTCCCATGAATTTATTTCCTAAGAAACTTTAGAAAGTTTACAGCTTTTTAACTATATGTCCATCCACTATTTGACATCCTGGGGGTCATCGGCCCACCCAGGAGCTTTCATGATCAAGTCAAAATCACAATGTATCCATTGGGCTTCAGGGCAGAACATGCGTCCTCAGATGATTGTTGTACACAGAAAATTAGGGAACACAGCTAAGATCAATACCAGGGAGCTCCCAAATGGGAATTCCATTTTCATTCCTTCATTAAAATCATAAAATCCATAATAATTCCTGGTTAGCAATAAACACAACCATTGTGCCACATCATAAATCACACCTTCTGATCGACAGAAAATGAGAATGATAATATTATAAAATAAAATAACAATGATAATAATGCCATAACTTAAGATCTTTCATGTAGTCCAGCTACAGAATTTTTACAAAATGGAATAAATTAATGCAAACAATACTGCTCTTTGTATAAATTAAACATTTTCCTTCATCCTAAGAGCTATAAATCACAGACACTACATTTTAAATCAATGTATCAACATAAAGTGTAAACAAATGGATCAAACAAGCAAAAGGAACTCTAAATTCCCTCCTGCCTTTCCTTTTTGGCTGATGCAATCAGTAAAACCCAGAGGAGCGGCAACATTTTCATGTGCATTGGAAATGGTTTAACAGCTGTCTGTGCAAGTATTTCCTAACGTCCAACATGATGCAGTGTCAAAGAGTCCAGTGAATCTAGAGAGGTTGTTTGACGGTAATCTGTCTTGGAGACAGGGACAGGTACTAGGTCAACACCTATTTGTACATAAAATTCTAAAAAAATTTTTCCTTAAGGCCAAGGCACCATGAAGTACCTTGGAATGCTTTTCAGAGCCCATGACCCTGGAGACAGGCAGGACCTCATGCTTTTGGCAATGTAAAAATCCTTCCTATCCCTGCTCAGCATCCCTTGTTCTTTCCACAAATGTTCAAATCCAGTTATTTAAAACTGCATTGATTTGGAGTGAAGTAAAAGATATTTTACAAGTAGCATTGAACAAAAATGCTATTGTGCTGGGAGAGGAGTTGCCTTTTGCAAGCTGCTTGTTTTTGCTTTTATTCTGACAGTGGTAGCCAGTCATTAAGACTTCTAAGATAGGCCGGGCACAGTGGCTGATGCCTGTAATCCCAGCACTTTGGGAGGCCGAGGCAGGCGGATCACCTGAGGTCAGGAGTTTGAGACAAGCCTGGCCAACATGGTGAAACCCCGTGTCTACTAAAAATACAAAATTAGCCAGGCGTGGTTGCGGGCGCCTGTAATCCCAGCTACTCGGGAGGCTGAGGCAGGAGAATCGCTTGAACCTGGGAGATGGAGGTTGCAGTGAACTGAGATTGTGCCATTGCACTCTAGCCTGGGCAAAAAGAGCAAAACTCTGTCAAAAAAAAAAAAAAAAAAAAGAACTTCTAAGATAGAATGAGTTATTGAATAAAAACAAAGGGATGGTTTGGGCTCAGACATTGTATAGACACACATACATCCTAGCTGCCTTCAAAGTCTGTTCTCCTGCTTGAATCAATATGACTCAAGTAGACAAGCAACCTGGCTCCAGAGAGGGGTGGTTCCATCTTCTCCTCGTAGCTGAACTGAGTGATCCTGAGAATGGAGTTTTATAAATTCCACGTTCGTTTTCCTAACACCACTGTAGATGTTCTTCCTCTCTCACCCTTTTCTCCTCCTCAGTACTGCCCCCCAACCTTTGTTCCTACAGGAAGTGGTCAGCAGGCAGAAAGGAAATGAGCTACAAGGAAATGGCACTTGAGTATGAAAGATCAACACGTTGGGTCAAGGTAGCACATTTGCCAAGGTAATGACAGTGACAGCACTAAAAAGGGACGTATTTGCCAAAAACAAGATTTGACACTATCTGTAAACCTCACTACCAACTGCTGCTTAAACATTTAAAAATGAAACCAGCTTCCACATACACAGGTTTGTTTGTTTGTTTGTTTGTCTGTTTTTCCCTCCTAGAGGAAGCACATGCCCTTGAAGACATTGGGTGCAAGTATCTGGTCACCAGACTTTTCTAGGTCATTTCCGTAAGCCACCTGGACAAGCTGGTTGAAGTGAATATGGTCTGTTCACAAGTTGCCTGGAATTGCTTTTCTTTTGCTGTTCTTTGTGTTCTAAAATGTTCAATGTCTTGCTCTGGCTCTTCTTTAGTCACTTATGGCCAAAAGACCTGGTCCCCTGTTCAAGCAGCAATAATACCTCCCGGCCCCACAAATTCCCAAGGATGTTGCTCTTAAATTCCACTTATTTCTTTTTTTCTGTTCTTTCTTTTATCTCTTTTTTTTTTTGCAAGAAATTATTGTCTCTCTATCTCATATATAGTTCACTCTTTGCAGTACAAAGTGTTAAAATGTCAAACAAAAATAAATATCAATGTTACAGTAGCTAGAATATTCAATAAAATAGATCCCTGCCATTCTTGATTGAAATGTTCAGTGAGACTTAATTTCATTTGGATATTATTTTCCAGAGATTTGCGAAGTCTCATGTTCCTGTTATTGCAGCTCATTTCTAGGGGGTGGTAAAGATGGGGTAGTCTCTCTTCCCAGACAAAATGCTGGGAGAGAGTGGGATGAGTCTGGGGGTGGGGTGGATCTGAAATGCCAGTATAGTCACGAGATCTTCAGGATGTGTATTCCTTCATTACCAGGTAGCAGAGCTGTAGTGTTTATTGGTCCTAACTGTGGCATCAGAACACTCCCCATCTGAAGAGTCACAGTCCGATTCTTCAAACTGCATGGGGTTCTGCAAAGGCAAGACAAAACCTTAATTCATTTCGATAATCACTCAGTAAATATATGTCAAACACCTCCCACACAACAGGCACTGTGCTTGGTAAGGGGGCTACAAAGGTAAACGAGACCAGGTCCTGTCCTTGTGGGACTTATGGAGAAAGAAAACACATGATGATTATGATTGCTACGACAATAAAAACAGTGCCCACCACACAACCACTTATATAGCGTTTACTATGCTCCAGGCACTGTTGTAAGTACTTTACTTATTTATTTATTTAGAGATGGAGTCTCACTCTGTCGCCCAGGCTGGAGTGCAGTGGCACGATCTTGGCTCGCTGCAACCTCCGCCTCCCGGATTCAAGCGATTCTCCTGCCTCAGCCTCCTGAGCGGCTGGGACTACAGGCGCGTGCCACCATGCCCGGATAATTTTTTGTATTTTTAGTAGAGACAGGGTTTCACTGTGTTAGCCAGGATGGTTTTGATCTCCTGACCTTGTGATCCATCTGCCTCGGCCTCCCAAAGTGCTGGGATTACAGGCATGAGCCACTGCGCCCGGTGGTAAGTACTTTATTAATACATCTGTTAATCCATTTAGTCCTCATGATAACACTATGAGACAGATGCTATTATCATCCCCATTTTACAGAGAGGTTAAGTGGCTTGCCAGGTCCCACAGTAAGTGGAATGCTACAATTTGCATTCAGGCAGTCAGATTCCAGGCTTTACACTTAGAACCACTATGCTAGCCTGCCTCTCCAAAGGCAGTCCTGAATATGAAATAAAGTGCTATATGTCCTATGATGGCATCATCCAGGGAAGAGTCAGGGTATGGAGTGGGGAGGCTCAGACCTTTAAAATAATTTTTTTTTTTCAGAGACAGGGTCTCACTGTTGCTCAGGCTGGAGTGCAGTGGTGTGATCATAGCTCACTGCAGCCTCAAACTCCTGGGCTTAAGAGAACCTTCCACCTCAAGCCTCCCGAGTAGCTGGGACTGCAGGCATGTACCATCAAACTCAGCTAATTAAATTTTGTTGTTGTTGTTGTTGTAGAGGCAAGGTCTTGCTATGTTGCTCAGACTGATCTTGAACTCCTGACCCTAAAGTGATCCTCCTGCCTCAGCCTCCCAAAGTGCTGGGATTGCAGGTATGAGCTACCACACCTGACCTGGGCTCAGACCTTTAACCGTGTTGGGAGATAGGAGTGGGAGGAAGTGATGTTTGAGTTAAATCTTGACATGAAGGGTTCCTGAGCAGTTCAATGTGTGTGTGTCATTTGGGAGAAACTGCCCTCATTTCTGGGAGCTCTGTTGATCTCTGTACGTCTACTTACTTCTTGGAGGCCTGATATGGTTTGGCTCTCTGTCCCCACCCAAATCTCATGTTGAATTGCAATTCCCAATGTTGGGGGAGGCACCTGGTGGGAAGTGACTAGATCATGGGAGTGGATTTCCCCCTTGCTATTCTCATGATAGTGAGTGAGTTCTCATGAGATCTGATGGTTTCAAAGTGGGTGGCACTTTCCCCTTTGCTTTCTCTCTCCTACCACCATGTGAAGACATGCTTGCTTCCTCATCACCTTCTGCCATGATTGTGTTTCCTGAGGTCTCCCAGCCGTGCTTCCTGTACAGCTTGTGGAAGTGTGAGTCAATTAAACCTCTTTTCTTCATAAATTACCCAGTCTCAGGTAGTTCTTTATAGCAGTGTGAAAACAGACTAATACAAGGCCACTGTTGTATCTTATTATTAAATGAAAATTGTAAAGGCCCTAGAGACTTGAACCCCAAAGAGCAAAAAAGGGAACAGTGATGGGAGGAGAAGGGAGAAGCCCCCACCTCATAGCCACGTTCCTCCACACACAGCTTGCCCAGAGACATCTGAGTCTTCACACGGCGCACGGCACACTCCTTGTCAGAGAGCCCATCCGAGTGTGAGGATATGTCAATGGGAATCTCTGGCGTCTGGGACAGCAGGTCGTCTAGCTTCTCTGCCAAGCGGTCTTCAAGTTTATCAGCTAACTCATCAGGACTGTTTGAGTGGTCACTGGTATTTCCCTCTTCTCCATCAGACACAGAGAAATTCTCAGAGCTAAAGGTTGAATATGACTGGCAGCTGCTGATACAGCGATGGGGCCTAGAACCAAGAAGAACCAGGAGAACTTAGTCAGAGGAACAACTGCTTTTCTTTCCTTATCTGTCACTCATAGTAGTGGTAGAGATAATCTAGTTTTTTCCCTGCCATCAAGGAGGCCTAAGAAATCAAGATAGGTAGAAACTATTTAACTTTTAACATTAAGGCAATGGACTGAATTTTATCCCCCATGAAATTCCATGTTGAGGCCCTAATACCAGTGCGACTGTATTCGGAGATAGGGCTTTTAGGAAGTAAATAAAGTTAAATGGATCATAAGGGTGAGGTCCTGATCAAATAGGATTGGCAGCCTTATAAAAAGAGGAAGAGATTCTCTCCATTCCTCCCTCCCACCTTTTTTCAACATTCATGTGCGGGGCAAAGACCATGTGAGGAAACAGAGAAGGTGGCTGTCTGCAAGCCAGGAAGAGAGCCCTCACCAGAAACTGAATCTGCTGACACCTTGATCTTGGACTTCCCCAGCTCCAGAACTTGAGAAATAAGTTCCTGTTGTTTAAGCCATCCAATCTGTAGTATTTTGTTATGGCAGCCCAAGGTGACTAACACAAGAAGGAAATTTTAATTTCCCCTTTCATTTGGTTTATATATTTATGTGACTAAACACTACACTCCAAGCTGATGGCTATGACTGGCCTTTGAAAAACATCAGCTTGTCTAATCACGTTATGTACATATATGCATAGTATGGAATGTCCAAATTGAAATTATGCCTCTTATTTAGAGAGTCATAGATTCTCACAGGTGAAAGAGACTTTGGAGAATCTCTGGACTAACTCATTTCCCAGATGAGAAAACTGGAGCCAGAGAAGGGAAGTGACTTGTTTAAGGCCACACCATGAGAAAAGGCAGAGCTGAGGCTTGGGCTGGGTCTACACACACTTTGATCAGTGTCCTTCTCTAACCTCCATCCCTCACCTCCCTGTCAATCCACCCCAGCTTCATTTCCCAGAGCCCAGTGTCCACTGGGCATGGTGGCCCTGGAGGCCCAAGTGCTTTCACTACCTCTGTTGACCAACCTTCAACAGAAATGAGCATGGAAGGAACATTCACTCTGCAGCTGTGGGTACTGCCCAGCTAGTTAGTAGCTCATTCCAGTTAACATCTGAGTTTGGCTCTGATGAGCCAACGCTTCTGGGGAGATAATTTGCAAAAGTTCCTCAGTTCCTTCCCGTTGTTTATAAGCAGCTTAGTAAATAAGGATGTTACTAGCTTACACTGGCTTAAAAAAACATAAGAAAACAAATAATAAAGACTTCCTTTTTCTTTTGCCATTGTCTGATCTTTCTGTATTTCTTAGTCTAAAGAGTTTTGTTTTGTTTTGTTTTTTTCTTTTTTTTTTTTTGAGACAGAGTCTCACTCTGTCGCCCAGGCTGGAGTGCGGTGGTGCCATCTCGCCTCATTGCAACCTGTGCCTCCTGGGTTCAAGCAATTCTCCTGCCTCAGCCTTCTGAGTAGCTGGGACTACAGGCATGCCCCACCATGCCTGGCTAATTTTTGTATTTTTAGTAGAGACGGGGTTTCGCCGTGTTGGCCAGGATGGTCTTGAACTCCTGATTCAGCCTCCCAAAGTGCTGGGTTTAGAGGTGTGAGCCACAGCACCCGGCCTAGTACAAAGAGATTTTATGCCATATGACCTAGGCCTGGCTGATGCCCAGGACAGGTGATGGGGTGAGTTGGTTGGGGGTCAGGGGGGCAGATCATGGATATATAAGAAGAGGTCATAAAGAGTCCAGGAATAGCAGGGAATGAGAACAGATTTCAATTTTGTGTATAATGCAGGGATCCAGGATATAACTTATCAAAGGGCCAGGAGTCCTTTGGTTTGTAGGGAATTCCTGTTTCCAGGCAGGTACACAAACCTTCCTGGGGAGACTTCTTAGAGCATTACTCTTCAAGAACAGAATGTCCATTAGCAGAAAAAGACCTCTTGGTAGGAAAACTATCTTATTCTCTACATTAGAGGCAGCTTTTATTCTAGAAGTAAGGGGAGATGGCCCTTATTGACTCCTAGCAGGAATATTATTATCGCTATCTAAGCAAGAAGCTATTTCTAAGGCTGGGTTGAAGGTGGATTCAACTTATCTAATCATATTTAACTTGAGATATAAAATCTAAGGCATGGGGAATGCTATGGACTGAATTGCCTTCCTCCCAAATCCATCGGTTGAAGCTCTAAACTCCAATATAATTGTATCTAGATAGACCCTCTAGATAGGGTCTTTAGGAGGTAATTAATATTAAATGAGTTCATAAGAGTGGACCCCTAATCCAATAAGACTGTGACCTTTTAAAAGAAGGAAGAGCTCTCTCTGCCATGTGAGGAAACAGCAAGAAGGTGGCTGTCTGCAAGCCAGTAGGAGAGCCCTCATCAGGAACTGAGTCAGCTAGAACCTTGATCTTGAACTTCCCCAGCTCCAGAATTGTGAGAAATCAATTTCTGTTGTTTAAGCATCCAGTTTGTTACAGAAGCCTGAGCAGACCAACACAGGGAGGCACACTAGAAACCAACACAATTACCCATAAAACAGCATGGCCATCTGTCACAAACTGCCCACTGTATTCTCAGTTGTAACCTTGAATCTGTATTCATGCTCCTCATCATGAAGTTGCTGTAAAATGAATGCTAATGAACTAGGATCTGCTGTGCACGAACAACTGCCAAAATGTAGCAACAGGAAAACATGAACACAGTGAGTTCAAAGTTCCCTATAAGGTGGCTGCCAGGGAATCACCTGTGGTTGAAGAGCAGGTGTGGCAAACTTAGGATTTTTTTTCCCCATTCCACTAAAAGCAATCGTGTGCATTTGTTGGTTTTACCTCTGTCTTCGTGGAAATTCAACTTCACTATCTACTTCCCCTTCTTCCTCTTCTGAGGAGTCATCTCCACTCTGAGGAGAACAAGGATTAAGAGTTTTATTTATTTTAGTGTCACTCTGTCTCTCTCACCCCATCCCCACTAACTGTAAAAAATGTAATTATCATCAAAAGTCATTCATTTAGTAGTAGCTTGCTGAATGTCATCTTTAAACATACATGTCCTCATTATTCATTTAGTAACTTTTCCAGGGTACCTATGATGGCGGGCCTGCATGAGATGCTGGAAGACGTGTAGAACTGAGTGAAATTTTCTTTGTCCTCAGAGAGGTGATGGCTCTATTAAAGTGTCCAGAGGTGAGTGATGGAGAGGGAAGTTGGAGAGGAGGTCTTGGATTTGGGGTCAGTCTCTTGTAATCATTGTCACTAGTGGTTCCAGGCTCTGTTATAGAATTGATCTTTGAAATCCTCAAAGCCGAACAATTACTTTTTCCCTTTTTATATACCAATCCCTTTTTCACTAATATTATGTAGTTAGATAGACATTTTTGAGGGTCAGACTATATCCTGTTTGTACTGTATGCCTCACTCCATTAATACAATACTGCATACAAAATTGGTGTTATCCCTATAAATATATATAATTATTGTTTGTCAATTAAAAGAAAGTGCTTAATGCATTTTTATTGAGTCAGCATGTTGGCAGCAATAAGGGAGCTCTGGCTGGGACACCTGAGTCCCCGTGATTGCTGGGGCTCCATGGTTGATCTGGAAGGCGGGGTAAGTGTCCTGACTGAGGTGATCTTCCTTTACAGAGAACTCATCTCACACCAAGGGCATAGGAGCAGCCACACTTAAGATCAACTGTCCTTAACCACAGCATCATGATACGCTGGATTACCCAATCGCTTGTAAGGTGGGTAATTGGGTCCAAGGAACTGTACCAAATATTGAGAATAATTTACCTTTTAAAAAGTCAGTTCTAAAATATCATGAATCTTACTCATTTGTATTCTGATATGCTTTTTTTTTTTTTTTTTTTTAAAATAGGAAAGACAGAGATGAAGTTATCCTGACTGCTGAGATGAGCAGTTTACCCTAGGAGGACCTGTGGGACTATGTTTTGGTAAAGAAAAGTTGAGCTGCTCTGTGGGAGTGAGGTTCCAATGAAGCCAAATGTACAAGGTGTGTGTTCTATGGCCTAAAGACCCGTAGATGGTATCACAATGGCATGAGAAAGGTTCAAAGATACATGTTATTTGGGGGAGCCTGGGGAATGTGGTGACTGCTAAAGGGTGTGGGGTTTCTTTCTGGGGTGATAAAAGTGTTGTAAAATTGGTCGTGGTGATAGTTACACAGCTCTGTGGATAAAAAGCATTGAACTATACACTTTAAATGGGAGGACTGTATGGTATGCAAATTATATCTTAATAAAGAAGTTATCAAAAAATACAAGTTACTGGCCATCGGAGTTGGAAGAGGAGAGAATGGATCGGCCCAAATCAACTGCACCAGCTGAAACACAATTTTATGTATTTATTTATTTATTGAGACAGAGTCTTGCTCTGTTGCCCAGGCTGGAGTGCAGTGGTGCAATCTTGGCTCACTGCAACCTCTGCCTCCTGGGTTCAACTGATTCTCCTGCCTCAGCCTCCCGAGTACCTGGGATTACAGGAGTGCACCACCATGCCCGGCTAATTTTTGTATTTTTAGTAGAGACAGGGTTTCCCATATTGGCCAGGCTGGTCTCGAACTCC
This sequence comes from Homo sapiens, assembly GCF_000001405.40. Lineage (NCBI taxonomy): Eukaryota > Metazoa > Chordata > Mammalia > Primates > Hominidae > Homo > Homo sapiens. The sequence goes on along the minus strand of NC_000003.12, from coordinate 185,475,642 downwards.
TGACCTCAGGTGTTCCACCCGCCTTGGCCTCCCAAAGTGCTGGGATTACAGGTGTGAGCCACCGCGGCCACCCCCTGAAACACAATTTAATCTCTGGGACTGCTTAGTCAGTATAGGAGCAGCAATGTAGGTGGAGGGGGAAATGCAGTTCCCAGATGACAGCCCTCAGCTTCAGCTTCTTTTCTACTCAATGCCTAGTTGACCAAACATACTCATTACATTTTATACCCTTTCATTCCTTCAGCTAAATTCCTGGTGAACAATGATGATGAGATGAAACCATACTTAGAATTGGGTGGGTGTCTACCATGTTGTAAACATTTTTCATACATAATCTTATTTTTTGACTCATAGCAAGAAGAGCTAATACTTTTGGAAAAGTGCTACGTTCCAGGCCCTGTTCTAAATGCTTTATATGTATTTATGCATGTAGTCTTTATAGCAACTGATGAGGCAGAGTCCAATATTAGGCCCATTTTATAGACAAGGAAACTGAGGTCCATAGAGGTACTAAATGGAAGAGCGTGGCTTTTTTTTTTTTTTTTTTTTGAGATGGGGTCTCACACTGTCGCCCAGTCTGGAGTGCAGTGGCGGGATCTCGGCTCACTGCAGCCTCCACCTCCCAGGTTCAAGCTATTCTCTGCCTCAGCCTCCTGAGTAGCTGGGATTACAGGTGCCTGCCACCACGCCTGGCTAATTTTTGTATTTTTGGTAGAGATAGGATTTCACCATGCTGGCCAGGCTGGTCTTGAACTCCTGACCTCATGATCCACCTGCCTCGGCCTTCCAAAGTGCTGGCATTACAAGCATGAGCCACCGTGCCTGGCCAAGAGCCTGGCTTTAAAGTAAGGTCTGTCTGACTCCTAGGCTCATGCTCTTAACTGCTATGGTAGTCTGCTTCCCAGGTAACAAATCCCAGGCAGCCAGTGGATAAGGAGGAGAGAAACAGGTTTCAATGATTAAGAACTATCTGGGTCACGATGCCTGTCAATTAAGGCAATGTTTTCCAAAGTGTGAAGAAAGCTAGTGCCTCAGGGGATTAATAGATGTTAATTTAAAAAGGCTGTATGTTCAAATAGGTGAGGGAAATGCTCGGTTAAACAAGTTTACTGCAGGATTTCTCAAAGCAGAGGACTGTTAATGTGCCCTAGGAATCTGTATGAGGGGATGAGAGAATACTGTGCTTCTTAAACTTACTCTATAACAGGCTCTTTACTTCCCATAACATCCCTCAGGACTAGAGCTGTAGCATAGTAGTTTCCAAACTATTTTGATTACATATCCCCACTATATAGTTTTTTTGTTTGTTTGTTTTTTGAGACAGAGTCTCGCTCTGCCACCCAGGCTGGAGTGCAGTGGTGTGATCTCGGCTCAGTGCAACCTCCGCCTCCCAGGTTCAAGCAATTCTCATGCCTCAGTCTCCTGAGTAGCTCGGATTACAGGTGTGTGCTACCACACCTGGCTAATTTTTGTATTTTTTTTAGTAGAGACAGGGTTTCACCATGTTGGCCAGGATGGTCTCGAACTCTTGACCTCAAGTGATCCTCCTGCCTTGGCCTCCCAAATTGCTGGGATTATAGGCGTGAGCCACCATGTGCAGCCCATATCCCCAGTATATAGTTATCTATAAATAAGTTATTATACATACACTTGACTCAGTCCTCTGGTTCAGTAGTTGCTAAAGTGTATTCCGTAGTTTATCACTTAAACAGTGTGGAAAGAACGAATTTAAAGTAAAATAAATTTCTATTTATGTTTCTGTTATCTTGTCCTTTTACAAAATGTATACTTTTTACATATGCTCTCTAATGTGTATAACATGACAGGCTCTGGCATTCTTTGAAGGCAGTGACGCAGGCCACTCTCATCATTACACTTTACCTTCTGCAGAGGCCTTGTTTTTCGAGGTAGCGCTGGAGGGGTGCCGAGATGAGAGGTGCCGAGGGATGACTCAGACCTACAGCCGCTGAATTCATTTTCTTCCGTTTTCTCAGAACTCTGGGCGTTTTCCAAGAGAGGATTATGTGCTGGTGACTTGGAAAGGTCAGGGCTCCTCCCCACTGGCTCAGCAGAGGGTATGTCTAAGGACCCATACTGTTCTGGCCTGCACTGAAGGCAGGGGTCATAAGCGTCAGCCTGGCAACAGCCCCAGGGACCAGCTTGGCCCTTGTCAGGCTCAGAACTTCTCCAGCAGTCTGCAGCCATGGCTGTGGAGATGAGGTCAGGGCTCGAGCCGGGCAGCTGTCTCTGAGCATGGTTGCTGAGTGGGCTCCGCAGGGCTGCTGCTGGGCCGAAATACCTCAGGTTGTTGGCGCAGGTTGCTATGTCCTGTCCGTGCATATTGAGTCTGGGATGGTGACTCTGGGACATGGCAGGAGGGGGCTGCTGGTATTGCTGCTGCAGAGAATTATGGTGATGAAGAGAAGGGTATTGGGATTGAGCTTGGTGCAGGTAAGTGGGATGGGGTGAATTTTCCTGGGCTGGCTGGTTTTTCAAGATTGCGGCAAAGTCACTATGGCTGCCTCTGCTATTCCCTCGGCGGTGGCGTGGTTTGCTTCGATATCGGCTCTTGCTGCTAGAAGTGGACATTTTGGGACTTCCGGACAAAGGGGATGCAGTGGGAGCCACTTCTGTGGTGGGGATCCCTTCTGATCTCAACAAGTCTGGCCTGGGAGGAAAGAACAGGTTTAATCTGAAACACATGAAAACACATTCAAGTTTGGGGAAATGTATCCTAAGACTTAAAATACACAGAGCCTTTGAATCAGCAGTCATCAGGATTTATCCAATAGAGATAACGTATGAGGGGTCTTCAAAATGTTCATGGAAGATGCATATTATGAAGAAACTATGCATGGATCTCAAAATTTTTTGCATGGAAATAAACTCATACCAACTTATCGGTAACATCTCTAAGCACGATCTAGATTGAGGCACTAAGAACAATCGCTTTGAAAAGAGCCCCTATCAGAGCAACATGAATTCTGCTACGATTAAAGAACAAACATCAAATTTGTGGTGAAGCTTAAGTGGAAGAATGGTGAAAACATTGACGCTTTATGAAACGTTTATGGAACAACGTCCCAAAGAAATCAGCAGTTTACAAATGGGTAACTTCTTTAAGAAGGGATGGGCCGGGTGCGGTGGCTAATGCCTGTAATCCCAGCACTTTGGGAGGCCAAGGAGGGTGGATCACGAGGTCAAGAGATCGAGACCATCCTGGCCAACATGGTGAAACCCCGTCTCTACTAAAAATACAAAAATTAGCCAGGCGTGGTGGTGCATGCCTGTAGTCCCAGCTACTCAGGAGGCTGAGGCAGGAGAATCGCTTGAACCTGGGAGGCGGAGGTTGCAGTGAGCCGAGATGGTGCCACTACACTACTCCAGCCTGGGCAACAGAGTGAGACTCTGTCTCAAAAAAAAAAAAAAAAAAAAAAGAAGAAGGGATGAGATGATGTTGAAGACGAAGCCCACAGGAGCAGACCAACCACATCAATTTGTGAGGAAAAAAATTCATCTTACTCATGCCCTAATTGAAGAGAACTGATGATTAACAGCAGAAACAATAGCCAACTCAATAGACATCTCATTTGGCTCAGCTTACACAATTCTAATAGAAAAATTAAAGTTGAACAAACTTTCCACTCAATGGGAACCAAAACTGTTGCATTCAGATCAGCTGCATACAAGAGCAGAACTTTCAATAGAAATTTTAAACACTTGGGATCAAGATCTTCAAACATCTCTTTGCATAAGTGAAATTGTAACAGGAGATGAAACACAGCTCTACCAGTATGATCCTGAAGACAAAGCACAATTAAAGCAATGGCTACCAAGAGGTGGAACTGGTCCAGTCAAAACAGACTGGTCAGGAGTAAAGGTCGGCCGGGCGTGGTGGCTCACGCCTATAATCCCAGCACTTTGGGAGGCCGAGGCAGGTGGATCACTTGAGGTCAGGAGTTCGAGACTAGCCTGGCCAACATGGTGAAACCCCATTTCTACTAGAAATATAAAAATTAGCCAGGCGTGGTGGTGGGCGCCTGTAATCCCAGCTACTCAGGGGGCTGAGGCAGGAGAATCACTTGAACCCAGGAGGCAGAAGTTGCAGTGAGCTGAGATCGTGCCACTGCACTCCAGCCTGGGTAACAAGAGTGAGACTCCATCTCAAAAAAAAAAAAAAAAAAAAAAAAAGTAAAGGTCGTCCAGGTACAGGCTCACACCTGTAATCCCAGCACTTTGGGGGCCAAGATAGGAGGATTGCTTGAGGCCAGGAGTTTGAGACCAGTCTGAGCAACATAGCAAGACCCTATCTCTACAAAAAAAAAAAAAAAAAAAAGCAAAGGTCATGGCAACAGTTTTTTTGGGATGCTCAAAGCATTTTGCTTGTTGACTTTCTGGAGGGCCAAATAATGACAATATCTGCTTATTATAGGAGTGTTTTAGAAAGTTAGCCAAAACATTAGCAGAAAAAAATCCAGGAAACCTTCACCAGAGAGTCCTCCTCCACCATAACAATGCTCCTGCTCATTCATCTCATCAAACAAGGGCAATTTTTCAAGAGTTTCTATGGGAGATCATTAAGCATCCACCTTACAGTCCCGATTTGGCTCCTTCTCATTTCTTTTTGTTTCCTAATCTGAAAATACCTTTAAAGGGCATCCATTTTTTCTTCAGTTAATAATGTAAAAAGACGGTATTGACATGGATACATTTCCAGGACCCTCAGTTCTTTAGGGATGAATTAAATGGCTGATATCATCACTTACAAAACTATCTTAACCTTGATGGAGCTTATGTTGAGAAGTAAAGTTTATATTTTTAATTGTTATCTTTTATAATTACATTTTCCATGAACTTTTTGAAGTCCCCTCATATGTGCATCAAAATACATGTTTGATGATGTTATGTTACAGTATTTTTTGAAATAGCAAAAAGCTGGAAACAACCTACATGTCCACTTACAGAGGATTTCTGTTATTCCTTCTGTATTATATCCTACACCTCACCCTAGAAAGCAAGGACTCTTGTTTATAGTGAGTACTCAGAGAAGCTTGAAGGAAGGAAAAGGAAGGGAGGGGTCAGAGAAGGAGGAAAGACAGAGCTCAGCAGGAGGTTGAGTAGAAGCAGGAAGAGACGGGCTAGTGCGGAGTGACACTGGCATTTCACTTTGATCCTAAAGGGAGGGAGTTCTTTCACAGTCCTGTTTTCAAGTCTTCACTGGGCCAGTTGTGAAGATTACGTGCAAAAGAAAATCAGAGGCCTGAAGTTACACCTTGCCCACACTGACTCCAAGGCCTGCAGGTGAACAATAAATGGTTTCTAAACTGATGAACTGATTCAGGGCAGAGCCTCTAGGATTACCAGGAAGAACCACTGCTTTCTTCCTACCAGCAAGTAGCCTTACCCTTCTTTGGACCAGAAAGACACAAGTCAGCATGAAATTTTACAGGTGATGGGCCCAGACTTTTTTGTTTTTAACAACAGAATCCTCTCGAATTATTATGAGAAATGCAATAAATAAAAAAGGTATAGTGGAACCGGTTGAAGTGGAGAGCAGCAGCCCTTCTCTGCAGAGTTCCCAGGTTCCCCCTCCTTGTCCTTCCTACCCCTGCAATAGCCTCTGAGAAACCTCTGTACAAGCCCTTGGGTGTTCCAGGCTTTGCTTGGAAACCACAGGTACAGTCCTGTCTTCACCATATGTGACAAAGAGCTCACAGCCCAGCCAAAATGGCTGATGCTCTCATAGCTCATTAGTGGTAGAATCCAGACAAAAAGTCTCTCCTAATTTTCAATCTGGTTTATTGAAGGTCAGAGTTCAAACTTGAAGGCACATACAAATCACCCGGGGAGCTTGTTAAACACGAAGACTTTGATTTAGTAGGTCTGGGGTGGGGCCTAAGAGCCTGCAAGTATAACAAGCTCTCAGATGATGCTAAAGTGAGGCCACACATTGAACAGCCACAGCTCATAAGTAGGCAGCAGGCAGCAGGAGATGGGTTTTTCTTCGTTTACAGGAAAAGTACAGTTAAGGACTTGTCTTAGCATGGAAGTTCCAGGTATTAAGGGTTTATGATAAGGTGGGTAGGGTATTGTCTGCTATTGGCAGCTTCCTGTCCCAGATTCAAAATTCTGTGGTCAGCTGGCCAATTTGTACTGCAGAAAGCACTTTGTTCCTACTATTACAATACCCATTTGATGGAGAAGTGCACTGAGGATCAGAGGTTATGCTGGGTTGTATCCATCACAAAGCCAGCAAGTGGCAGAACTCATAACTTGAACCCAAGTCCGTTGACCCCAAGGCATAGTTCTTCCCCATTTCAAGCCTCTCATTATTACAGGGTATTTAGACTATCTTTTTGGACTGTACTCACTTATGACAGGCTGGAAATGTCCATGACTGAACTTGACACTCTTTTTAGTCTCTAACTAAACATAAACTGAAACCTGGGCTTAAGGATGGTTGAATGGTTTCTCCTCTCTAATTTCCTTCAAGGTCTCCAGACTTCTCACTAGGTAATCATTGGACTGTCCAAATCATCTGAAACGGAAGTCCTTCAAGGGACAATCAGCTGACAGTACAGCTCTTTGCAGGTTGCCTTCCTCGTGTTCAGCTAGCTCATTGACTAAGCATCTACTTGTGTTGTCAAACTCTTTCAAACATTTCTCATAGCCAAAATAAAAGCAAACATGAGCTCATATTTGAAAAAGCTAAATAGTTCTATTTTCTCCCCCAGCGCTCTTAGTTTTAACTGTAGGCAGAAGGCAGGGAGCAGCCATCGGGCAGACTCTGTCCCTAATTAGTACAACAAAAGAAAAGGGGTGTTGGGATTTCCCCCAACCCCAAGGATTGTGTCAGGTGGAATCTGAAAAAAGTTTCTCAGAACTTGACCATTAGATGGTTGGGGCAGAAGGTAAAAGCAAAATTGGAATTAGTCCGTGTAGTTACTCGTTAGAAGTTAGGTACCTATTAGTCCAGCTATGGTAGAATGACTGCCATTCTGATAGAGTCATAATACATTCTTGGTTTGTGTTCTCTCATTAGCTCTATTCTTACTGCATTTAACTCACATCTCACTATTAGGTCTATACCCTAGGTTTAGGGACCTTCCTTCCCTTTACATTAACTTAGCTAGGAGAGAGCCAACCCTCTGTTATTGAGGAATGAGTCTCTACAGAGTTTGGTAAGGAAAAATGAGAGGAAGAGAATTCCAAGATTAAACTAATACAAGGCAAATATGTAGTAAAAAGGGGAAAGGGCAATCTTTTTTTAAACTATCCCAAAATACATTTTTCGAGCACCTATGATTTGATAGATGATTTCACATGTTATACATGTTATCATATTTAAACTTCACAAAACTCCCATGCTAGGGTACAATGAGGGGAACCCATATGGTTAGATATAGGTAATTATCAAAGGCCCTGCTTTTGTTTCCATGATGAGTGATACGGTTTGAGTCTACGTCCCCACCCAAATCTCATGTCGGATTGTAATCCCTACTGTTGGAGGTGGGGCCTGGTGAGGGGGTGATTGGATCATGGGGGCAGTTTCTCATGAATGGTTTCGCATCATCTCCTCGGTGCTGTTCTCATGATAGTGAGTGAGTGAGTTTTCATGAGATTTGGTTATTTAAAGGAATGTAGCACCTCCTGCTTTGCTCTCTCTTCCTCCTATTCCAGCCATGTGAAGCGCTGGCTCCCCCTTTGTTTTTCACCATGATTATAAGTTTCCTGAGGCCTCCCGAGAAGCTGAGCAGAAGCTGTCATGCTTCCTGTGTAGCCTGCAGAACCATGAGCCAATTAAACCTTTTATCTTTATAAATTACCCAGTCTCAGGTATTTCTTTTTTTTTTTTTTTTTTGAGACAGAGTCTCGCTCTGTCACCAGACTGGGGTGCAGTGGCATGATCTCAGCTCACTGCAACCTCCGACTCCCTGGTTCAAGTGATTCTCCTGTCTCAGCCTCCCGAGTAGCTGGGATTACAGGCACGTGCCACCACGCCCAGATAATTTTTGTATTTTTAGTAGAGATGGGGTTTCACCATGTTGGCCAGGATGGTCTTGATCTCCTGACCTCATGATCCACCCACCTCGGCCTCCCAAAGTGCTGGGATTACAGGCGTGAGCCACCGCACCCAGTCAGGTATTTCTTTATGGCAATGCAAGAAGGGACTAATACAGTGAGTTTGCAGGTACTTTCCACATTATTAAAAAGAACGAACTAAATGTGTGAATAAAAGTAAGCCATGCATGGTCTATTGTGTTGTAAATCAAGAATTATGACTAACCCAATTCTGTGTCCTAGAGGTCAGAAAAATAAAAAGAAATCTCATGTGCTGTAATTGTACCATTTTATCCATGAGGACACTGGGGTTGACAGAGGTCAACTCACACAGCTTATAAGGCAGGTCCAGGATTTGCATCCAGGTCTGTCTGGCCCCCAGTTTATTTCTCTTTCCATGCTAAGACAATAAATATTTATGCCACAGATGTAAAAGCTAGATTCCTAAAGTTTGTGATACTCCCTCACCTTCTTACTCTGTTTTACCTAGAGTACTGAGTATCTCTACAGTCATCTGATGAGCTAAAGAAGAGGCCACATCCGCCATCATGTGAGAATGGATTTGTGGGTGGGTCTTTCCCTATTTATCTGAATACTGCGTTTGTACAGGTGTCTCACCGTTTGGTCTGCATCCCAGATTTGTGAGGCACTCCTTTCCTTTTCATGAGTTTCTCCATGGCATTGGGATGGATGATAGGACGAACAGGGTGTCGTTTGTAGGTCCCAGGATACTTCTTTTCCACTGCTTGCTCACGCCTGCAGAATAAAGGCAAAAGCCACACCTCAGTCATTGCAGACAGAAAGGATAGGCAGAATATTTTCACCGGCTAATTCTACCACAGATTCTGCCACATTTAGCTATTTGAATAACAAGACTGCTATTCAGGTTTAAAAAACAAACAAACAGCCGGGCTCGGTGGCTCAGGCATGTAATCCCAGCACTTTGGGAGGCCAAGGTGGGTGGATCACCTGAGGTTGGGAGTTCGAGACCAGCCTGGGCAACATAGTGAAATCCCATTTCTACTAAAAATACAAAAATTAGCTGGGCATGGTGGCATGCACCTGTAGTCTCAGCTACTCAGGAGGCTGAGGCAGGAGAATCACTTGAATCCGGGAGGCGGAGGTTGCAGTGAGCTGAGATCATGTCACTGCACTCCAGCCTGGGTGACAGAGCAAGACTCCATCTCACAAAAAAAAAAAAAAAAAAAAAAAGGAAATACTAAATTCAAATTAACCTGACTTCATTCTGCTCTTCAGCTCATGCACTGAGACACTAATACTCACTTTCATTTCCCCAACATAATACAATGACAGAAGTCCTGCTTGTTTTCAGTAGCTGCTTATTTGGTCAGGATTCCCAGGGTTTTCTTGCCACCATCAGGAGTACCTTACACCACTTTCAGCAGCCAATACATTTCCCCAGGGGGCAATCGGCTCCCCGGTCTTCACCCCGTGCTCTTCTTGAAATGGGGACCCCTTCCCTATGCAGCAAATGACTGCCAAGTGCATGTTCTCCTATAACTTGCTCTGTGGCAACTCCACTTATTTGTATACCTCGCCAGGGGCAGGGACCTGTGCATAGCACATCCCGGAAGGAATGTTGGGTGAATGAATAAAATATCTGCCAGTTCTGAGTAGCAGCAACATGGAAGGGTAGTATGTTTCTGCTGATTGACAGACTCAAATCAGTAAGAACAGACACTAGTCTGGATACATACTTAATGAGCTCCTTCTCCCGCATTTCTAGCTGCAGCATGATGGCACTCAATTCCATGTATAAATTATTCGCCCGCTCAAGCTTCCGCTCATAGTGTTCACGAATATCCAGCGCATGCCTGTCAGAGAAAACACAGGGTCAGCCCAGCCAACCAACTTCGGGAGAAAAAAGTCCGCTTGATGAAATAAGAAACAGGATGATTGATCACAAAAGCATTTGCCCAAGGCCCTCTTACTTTAAGCCTCCCTTGTCCAGTGCAGTAACTCAGACAAAATGGAACGGGAGGTGGGAAATCTAAGCTCTCCACCTGGTTTATCCTAAAGAGCCCATGAGCCATATAGAATAGCCAAGAGGGCCACAGATAAAAATCTGTCTATAATTTGTCACTATCTTAATAAGAATACAGTAGAATAGACTCATATGTTAATGGAAATATGCAGTTAAAGCCAACACCATGATCACTCATTTACACTTAGCCACGGCCCAGACCCTGTGTGATATAGTGGTTGGTATGGTCTGAATGTTTGTGCCCCCCAGATTTATATGTTGAAACCTAACACCCAAGATGATAATGTTAAGAGGTGGGGTTGGCCAGATGCAGTGGCTCATGCCTGTAATCCCAGCATTTTGGGAGGCTGAGGCAGGTGGATCACGAGGTCAGGAGTTCAAGACCAGCCTGTGCAATATGGTGAAACCCTGTCTCTACTAAAAATACAAAAATTAGCCCGGCATGGTTAGCACACCTGCAACAGCTACTCAGGAGGCTGAGGCAGAAGAATCGCTTAAACCTGGGAGGTGGAGGTTGCAGTGAGCTGAGATGGTGCCACTGCACTCCAGCCTAAGCGACAGAGAGAGACTATCTCAAAATAAATAAATAAATAGGTGGGGTCTTTAGGAGGTGATTAGGTCATGAGAGCTCTGCCCTTGTCAATGAGATGAGTCCCCTTATAAAAAAGACTTGAGGGAGCCCTTTTGCCCTTCTTCGGTGTGAGGACACATAGAAGGTGCCATCTATGAAGAATGGGCCCTCACCAGACACTGAATCTGCTGGCACCTTGATTATGGACTTCTCAGCTCCAGAACTGTGACCAATACATTTCTGTTGTTTATATATTATCCAGTCTAAAGTTCGTTATAGCATTCAGAACTGACTCAGCTGTGATTGTCTTAGTCTGTTCTCACACTGCTAGAAGAAATACTGGACACTGGGTAATTTATAAAGGAAAGAGGTTTAATTAACTCACAGTTTTGCATGGCTGGGAAGGCCTCAGGAAATTTACAATCATGGCAGAAGGCAAAGGAGAAGCAGGCACCTTCTTCACAGGGCGGCAGGATGGATTGAGTGCAAGCAGGGGAAATGCCAGATGTTTATAAAACCATCAGATCTCCTGAGAACTCACCCATTATCACAAAAACAGCATGGGGGAAGCCGCCCCCAAGATCCAGTTACCTCCACCTGGTTCTTGACACATGGGGATTATGGGGGTTACAATATGAGGTGAGATTTGGGTGGAGACACAGAGCCAAACCATATCAGTGATTATTCGTGAACATGTCTTATCTCTCTCTCTTTTTTTGAGACAGAATCTCACTCTGTCACCCAGGCTGGGGTGCAGTGGCACAATCTGGGCTCACTGTAGCCTCCATCTCCTGGGTTCACGTGATTCTCATGCCTCTGTCTCCTGCATAGCTGGGATCACAGGCATCGTGCGCCACCACACCCAGCTAATTTTTTGTATTTTTAGTAGAGATGGGGTTTTGCCATGCTGGGCGGGCTGGTCTCAAACTCCTGGGCTCAAGTGACCCGCCTGCCTTGGCCTCCCAAAGTGCTGGGATTACAGGTGTGAGCCACTGCACCTGGCCTTATATCTCTTAATAGATTATAAGCATCTTGAAGCCAGGGACTAAATCTTATAAATTTCTGGAATTGCATGGCACCTAGGACACTGGCTGAATGATTAAATAGCATTGTTTCAAGAATCTTTGTTGCAGAGACCTAATAAAAGAGGATAATGGAGTTGGGAAGAAAGGATAGGAAAGAGATACAAAGGAAGGCTAACTTTTGGGGCAACTTTTAAAGAGCATAACAATAAAAAGCAGAGGTGAAAGGTGTGTGGAAAGTGAAATGGTGGTTATGATAAGGGTGCCTGTTAACATCTGAAGACCTGGGGATGAAGGGAGGTGGGGAAGGAGGGATGAGCTGACCTGAGCTCTTCTCTGCGCCTTCGAATCAGTTCTTCATCTAACCGGTGTATACAAGTTCCTTCACTTTTGATCTTCTCAAAATGTTTTTTCACTTCTTCTCTCCATTCAGCCTGGGTAAGGACAAATTAGATTTTGATAAATTCCAGGAGTTTCAATCCCTGATATATCCATAAAGTCACGTACAAGATTTTTTTTCCCTGCATGCTTCTACTGAAGAGCCTTTTTCAGAATAGATGTTCAATAAATATGATTTGATTAATAGCAAAATATCTCCTGCTACTATATCTCCACGCCCCAGCCCACTTCTATATTTCTACTCCAATATATGATGCTGTGTTTTTCCGAGTTTTCCTCCAGCACTGGCTATGAGGAACATCACAGCCGGCATGCTGGCCATCACTTTTGGAATAAAAGAGTTCACTTTAAGGCAAGATGGTGGCTGAGATCGCCTGGCCAGAAAAAAACAGCTCTGATAACCACATGGAAACGTATGTGTGCATGTGAGATTACGAACATCTTTTTGGGCCCAGAATTCCTCCTAGGCTTTGTTTGGGAAAGTATCTTGAGAAAATACCTAGAGTAGAAGACCCTACAGGCATGAACAGCAGGAAATTAGAATAGAAATATAAGAAGCTATACGGGAATTTGGAGTTGAGGGAAATAACAGAAAGGAGAGAAGGAGGAGGAGGAAAGAGAGAGTATGGCCAAGCAATCTAGTAGTTTGACAAAATTTTTAGAGCAGGGATGGATGTCTAATACATGGTTGAAGTTGTTCAAAATGTAAACTTCTTTAAATTTTCTAAACTTTCAGTGAGGTCTCTGACATTCACCTAGGCTTTGAATGACTGCTTTAAAAAAAATTTGTTTATTTATTTATTATTATTTTTGAGACGGAGTCTCGCTCTGTCACCCAGGCTGGAGTGCAGTGGCGTGATATCGGCTCACTGCAGCCTCTGTCTCCCGGGTTCAAGTGATCCTCCTGCCTCAGCCTCCTGAGTAGCTGGGATTACAGGAACGTGCCACCACACCCGGCTAATTTTTGTATTTTTAGTAGAGGCGGGATTTCACCTTGTTGTCCAGGCTGGTCTTGAACTCCTGACCTCAAATGATCCACCCAGTTTGGCCTCCCAAAGTGCTGGGATTACAGGCATGAGCCACCGCACCCGGCCCTGTTTTGTTTTTTAAAGAAAGGTGCTGAATTGAATGTTTGGTCAATATAGGACAAAGATAAAGGCACAACCACAAGGCAGCAGGGGTGGGGACCAAGAATTTTAGGAAGGCAGAGGCAGAGCAGCCATGAAATTATCACTCTCCCAGAAATGTACAGAAGTATTAGAAAGGACATTGAGCTTTCCACAGGGCATGAAATTTCAAGCTAATTTTACCTAAATTTTAGGGGGTAGAAAAAAACCACTACTGGAATATGGCCTACAGGCAATAGGCCACAGAGAGAAACAAACAGTGAAAATAAGTTTCCTCATATTATGTATAGACTATCTTCCATCTCCAGAAGCCAGTGAGACATAATTTCCAGTGAAGGCTAGATTTGTAACTAAATGTATCTATATAATCTTCTCCTGAAATTATTCTACTACCTTTAGATTCATGTTAAAAAGTATCTCTCCAGATCGTCAGGTAGCTCCATTTTGAATTTGGTGGGAGTCTCCCTATTGTTTTCCATGTTAGCTGCACCATTTTGCATTCTCACCAACAGTGTATAAGGGTTCCAGTTTCTCTACATCCTTGCCTATATATATTTTTAAAATTAAAAAAAATAATAGCAATCCCTAATTGCTATTGTGGGTGTGGTGGCTCATGCCTGGAATTCCAGCACTTTGGGAGGCTGAGGTGAGAGGATTGCTTGAGCCCAGGAGTTCAAGACCAGCCTGGCCAACATGGTGAAACCCTGTCTCTACTAAAAATACAAAAATTAGCTGGGTGTGGTGGCCTGCCCCTGCAATGCCAGCTATTCGGCAGGCTGAGGCAGGAGAACCGCTTGAACCCGGGAGGCAGAGCTTGCAGCGAGCCAAGATCATGCCATTGCACTCCAGCCTGGGCAACAAGAGCGAAACTCCATCTCAGAAAAAAAATTAAAAAAATAAAATAAAATAAAAGACAGTAGCTCTCATTAAGTGTACAACAATAATAGAAAGAGTATCTTTCTGGATCAAGTAAGTAGTTATTCTTAAGTAATTGTGGATTTATAGAAGGTTTTCCCCAAATTAGCTGTTTCTCATCTATTTTTATAGAGGAAATTATATTTTAATCATGCAAAAAATGATCATTCTATAATATGCTAGATTTTCCCACATATAGGTTGAACACTGGAGAGAAGTTTCTGTTGGTTGGTTGACTTTCAGGCAGCAAATCTATCCAACAATGCCATTAGAAAGCCAAGATCCAGAATACAGTACTGCAGTCTATGGCCATACCACCCTGAACGTGCCCAATCTCATCAGAATACACTACTGCATTGTTTGATAGGGGCCTTTGACAGCATCTAAGCTGTAAACGAAAGTTTGGTTGAGCCCCTGCTAATGCTATTCTCTCAATCATCAGATCAAAGTCATGGAGCAGGAGGAGTATTTGAGCCTTAGGAGGCGAAAGAATGACAAGTGAAAGTAGTTAGACCAAAAAAGAATAAGAGGGTCAGATTTGTGTCTTGAAGTATCCTCTTTTGTGCAAAACTGTCACTGTATCCTACTAAAATACTCCAAGAAGGGACGAGAAAAGGAGTACCTCCCTCTGGTGGTGAGGAATTTTATATCACAGATGAGATTTGTTTTAATTCTAGAGGAAATAAATCTCCTGACATCTAGCTTATAATTACGGGAAACTCAAGGAGAACTTTCTGAAGATTGAAATCTGTAAGAAAGTAGATTTCCAGAAAAGAAGTTCCCTCCTGTGAACAGAAAAAAGGACGTATGGGAAAACACCAGGTACTGATGAATAATGTGTTTCCCCCGAAGGTATCCTATTCCTGGCACTTGTTGATTTCGAGTTCCATTTTATATACTTAGAATCTCATGGAAAAGGAGTTCCAATTTGAGCTTAATCTGCAATTCAGCCATGTCTGGGCACATATGAAGAAAGGGAGGATGGGCAAGCCCACAGCCAATTTGCACAGCTATCGAGGAAGCTCTGAGAGAGAAGGCTAAGGGTGGGAGGAGTCCTGCATGAGCCTGACCTGTGACAAAGCCACCTTCCTAGGAGTGGAGGGGCATTTCCCATCGTTTCACTACAAGGCCTGAGATACCCTGGAACAGAACCAGCGTTGCTCTCCTGCTGTCCACAGTATTGATAAGAGGCTAATCAGTTAATAGGGTTGCTCCAAAAAATAAAAAAATAAAATAAAAAGTAAAGACAGAGCTTAGTTAAGATAGAAGAGACATTACATTTGTGGGTGGAAGATATGAAAAGAAACGTGTTCTGATGGACAGCAGTCAGGCTCCGTACTATTCAAGGTTTAGGCATCCACTGGGGGTCATGGAATGTACCACGGATAAGTGGGGAATACTGTATAGATGTCAAAATAAAGTCAAATTAATAGATAAACGGATAAACAAAATGTGGTATATATACCATGGAATATTATTTAGCCATAAAAAGTAATGAAGTTGTGACACGTGCTACAAAATACGTGAACCTTGAAAACACACCACGTGAAACAAGCCAGGCACAAACGAACAAATATTGTACTATTCTACTTAAATGAAATAACCTGGAATAGGCAAATTCATAGAGACAGAAAGTAGAATAGAGATTACCGGGGGTGGTGGGGAGGAGGGAATGGGGAGTTACTGCTGAATGAGGTGATGAAAATTTTTGGAAACAGATAGTGGTGACAATTTCACAACATTGTGAATGTAATTAATGCCACTGAGTCATGCATTCAAAAATGGTTAAAATCGGCCGGGTGGAGTGGCTCATGTCTATAATCCCAGCACTTTGGGAGGCTGAGGCGGGTGGATCACCTGAAGTCAGGAGTTCGAGACCAGCTTGGCCAACATGGTGAAACCCCATCTTTACTAAAAATACAAAAAATTAGCCAGCATGATGGCAGGTGCCTGTAGTCCCAGCTACGTGGGAGGCTGAGGCAGGAGAGAATAGCTTGAACCTGGGAGGTGGAGGTTGCAGTGGGCTGAGATCACACCACTGCACTCCAGCCGGGGTGACAAGAGCGAAACTCTGTCTCAAAAAAAAATTTTTTTTAATGGTTAAAATGGCAAATTTTATACTATCTTTATTTTACCACACTTTTTAAAAAGTAAATAACAACAACAAAAAAGAAATTGAGCCAGTTCCAGCCTAGCTTAAGGAGTAGAGAAGCAAGATTTGGGGGGCTTATTAGAGGGAAATCAGATGGGATCAGAAAAGCCATAGTGGGGTCCAGTCCAACCCTTTCTGGGCACACGACTCCTCTCCTGATGTGAGTGTCCAGCCTCTGCATACGTATCTGCTCCCTCACAAGATTACTTTTAAGGCAGCAGAGTCTAACCTCACAGTTGGGGTGTCTCCGCAACTCCCAGTCCCTGCATTTCTGGGCGGTCACAATGGCACTCAAGAGAACACTAGAATGATGCAAAGGCAGCAGGGTGAGAGAGCTTCAAAGCCAGGCACACGATCCACCTGGCAACTGGGATCTGGAATTGGGTGACAGTGTTTTCTAAAGACTCATGTCAAATGTAATTGAATACCAGGAACAGTAATTGCCTATTTGGAGAAATGGGTGATTGTCTAGCAATGAAGCTATAGCTTTGGCAGAATCTAACATTGTATTGAAATCGGTTGCTTTGTTCATCTGCTCCATATAGGCTACATCTTTATACATGTGCTGTTGACGAAAAACAAATGCCGCGTTTTCTCAGGAAGGAGTCAGCTGGACTCTTGGCAGCACCTCTTGACCGAAGTTTTGGTGGAAAGTGGAGACCAGGTGCTAACAACTATTGATTGATAACTGACGTTGAGAGGATCTTAGCAGGCAGGAGGAGGCAAGGCCTCAGGTACAAGAGGACTATAGAAAGAGAATGTGCCTGCCAAAAAGCCAGGTCTTCCCTACTGGGGCAGGATAAAGTCAAACACAATAGGAGTTCCCTGGCTGCCATCTTATTCATCTCAGGAGTTCATCAGAAAAAGAATCCAGAATCTAACAACCCAAAGGAGGCTTAATTTTTGTACTTAGTACAAAGCTACAAAAATTAAGGTGAATAATGGCACCTTTGTTTTTGTTTTATGCTATCGTACGCAACTCAAGAATAATGACATAATGACATCTTTTTTTTTTTTTTTTTTGAGATGGGGTCTCGCTCTATTGCCCAGGCTGGAGTGCAGTGGCTCGATCTTGGCTCACTGCAACCTCTGCCTCCTGGGTTCAAGCGATTCTTGTGTCTCAGCCTCCCAAGTAGCTGGCATTACAGGTGATTACACCACACCCAGCTAAGTTTTGTATTTTCAGTAGACACTTGGTTTTGCCATGTTGCCCAGACTGGTCTTGAACTCCTGACCTCAAATGATCCACCCATCTCGGTCTCCCAAAGTGCTGGGATTACAGGCATGAGCCACTGTGGCCAGCCAAGAATAATGACATCTTACAATCAACTGTTCTTGATGGTCTACAATGCATTTGCAGTTTTATCTTTTCATTTGCTCCTCACAGAAACTCCCTAAGGAAGGGAAGATAGGATTATCTTCATTGTTTTGGTGAATAAGCTGAGGTTTAGTGTAACTGAGTGACTTAGCCAAGACCACACAGTATGAAGTGACAGGATGGAGTTTAGACTAAAGGTCTCTTACTATTTGTAGTACCTCACTAGCCAGTTCATATTAGCTAGAGGTAGTCTCACTTTCAGATCCAGAGACAAATTGACTTATAAATACCGAGAAAATTCTAGGAGGTAGCAAAATAGCAGATTTGGAGCTATTTAAGGAGAAGAGAAATTTTATGTTGGGAAAAATGTGGAAGAAGAAGAAGTGAATATGAAAAAATGCTGCTATGGTCTGAATGTTTGTGTTCCCTCCAAATTCATATGCTGAAATCTTAACTGCAAAGGGACAGTATTAGGAGGTGGGGCTTTGGGGAAGTAATTAGGTCATGAGGGCAGAGCCCTCATGAATGAGAAAAGTGCCCTTATCAAATAGGCCCAAGGGAGCTTGTTCACCCTTCCACCTCGTGAGGACACAGTGAGAAGGCATCACCTATAAACCAGAACTCAGGCCCTCACCAGACACCAACTCTGCTGGTGCCTTGGACTTCTCAGTCTCCAGAACCGTGAGACTAACTTCTGCTGTTTCTAAGCCACCCAGTGTGTGACATTTTGTTGTAGCAGCCTGAGCTAAGATAGATGCTTAATGTACTCAGTTTTCTTCTCCCCTCTTCTCTCCTATTCTGACCTCCTCTCCTGTTCTCTCCTCTCCTTTTCTTTCCTATTCTTTTCCCAAGACAACCTTTTCTGAGTTCAGTTTTAATGCTCCATGCTATGGGTGTCTTGATAATCTGGGAGCGGTTCAGGTGAGGAACCCGACTGTGGCAACTTAGCTGCCCTGCACAGGGCTCTGCAAGTGGTAGGTTCTCAAAATGTGTGACTGGCTTCAGAAGTGACGTTTTAGGAGGACTTAAGTAACATCTGTTCAGAACTGGAAGTTTTTCCAAATATGTAAACTTATATTGACCGTCTTAATGGCTTGTGACTTAATACCATCATCAGAAATTGCTTTTCAAAATTATGCTACGTACAGTTTTATTGTAAAGGAAGCAAAGTTGGCTGTGCACGGTGGCTCACACCTGTAACCGCAGCACGTTGGGAGGCCAAGGTGGGTGGATCACCTGAGGTGAAGAGTTCGAGACCAGCCTGGCCAACGTGGTGAAACCTGTCTCTACTAAAAATACAAAAATTAACCGAGTGTGGTGGCACACGCCTGTAGTCCCAGCTACTCGGGAAGCTGAGACAGGAGAATTGCTTGAACTCGGGAGGTGGAGGCTGCAGTGAGCAGAGATTGCGACACTGCACTCCAGCCTGGGTAAGACAGAGCAAGACTCCGTCTCAAAAAAAAAAAAAAAAAAAAAGGAGAAGCAAAGCTGTGATTGCAACCATATCTTAAAGTTCGAAAGATTTCCTAGCGAGTACTATATTCTCTTTCATTTCACAAAAGGGTTAAGTGTTTTTTCTGATTACTAACAGAAGATAAAGATTTCTCATCCAGTGCCCCGATACCTACATGTATCTGAACAGATGGGCGATAGTGCTAAGGGAATTGATCTGAATGTGTATCAAAGAATGCAGGAAATGCCATGAAGTCAACCTCCTACCTCATCTTATTTCCTCTGAAAGCAAACACTTTACTTACATAATAATTTCTTAGAAATAGTAACAAACAATAGGGGCAAGCCTGACTATTTAAAGACACAGTTGTGGGGAGATCTAAGTTTATGGATCAGAGAGGGTGTGTTAGAACTTTGGTAACAGGACAGGAGTCTCTGATTTATCATTTCTTAGGAACTCCAATCAAAACAACAAAAACCTATGCCTTTACTAAGATATTCCTCAATATCTGTGTGACAGGCAGAGTGTCTCTCTGTGTATCAGACACCACAGAAGTACTCCAAGCCTCCAGCAGGGGCAGGTAGAAAAACATATATCTCATATATATATATATCTCATATATATCTCATATATATCATATATATATCTCATACATATCATATATATACATCATATATATATCTCATATATACATCATATATATCTCATCTATATCATATATATCTCATCTATATCATATATCTCATCTATATCTCATATATATCTCATATATATCTCATATATATATCTCATATATATCTCATATATATATCTCATATATCTCATATATATATCTCATATATATATCATATATATATCTCATATATATATCATATATATATCTCATATATATATCATATATATCTCATATATATCTCATATATATATCATATATATATCTCATATATATATCATATATATATCATATATATATCTCATATATATCATATATATATCATATATCTCATATATATGATATATATATCTCATATATATCATATATATGTCATATATATCTCATATATATCATATATATGTCATATATATCTCATATATATCATATATATCTCATATATATCTCATGTATATATCTCATATATATCATGTATATATCTCATATATATGATATATATCTCATATATATATCTCATATATATCATATATATCTCATATATATATCTCATATATGATATATATATCATATATATCATATATATCTCATATATATATCATATATATCTCATATATATCATATATATCTCATATATATCTCATATATATCTCATATATATATCTCATATATCTCATATATATCTCATATATCTCATATATATCATATATATATCTCATATATATCATATATATATCTCATATATATCATATATATATCTCATATATATCATATATATCTCATATATATCATATATATCTCACATATATATCATATATATATCTCACATATATCTCATATATCTCACATATATCTCATATATATATCTCACATATATCTCATATATATCTCACATATATCTCATATATATATCATATATATCTCATATATATCATATATATCTCATATATATCATATATATCTCATATATATCATATATATATCTCATATATATATCATATATATCTCATATATATATCATATATATATCTCATATATATATCATATATATATCTCATATATATATCATATATATATCTCATATATATATCATGTATATATCTCATATATATATCATGTATATATCTCATATATATATCATGTATATATCTCATATATATCATGTATATATCTCATATATATGTCATATATATCTCATATATATGATATATATATCATATATATCATATATATCTCATATATGATATATATATCTCATATATATATCATATAAATATCTCATATATATCATATATATATCATATATATATCTCATATATATATCTCATATATATATCATATATATCTCATATATATCTATATATCATATATATATCATATATATCATATATATGTGTATATATCATATATATATCTCATATATATGGTATATATCATATATATCTCA
This sequence comes from Homo sapiens, assembly GCF_000001405.40. NCBI lineage: Eukaryota > Metazoa > Chordata > Mammalia > Primates > Hominidae > Homo > Homo sapiens. The sequence goes on along the minus strand of NC_000003.12, from coordinate 185,454,502 downwards.
TATATATGTATATATATCATATATATCTCATATATATATCATATATATCTCATATATATATCTCATATATATCATATATATCTCATATATCTCATATATATATCTCATATATATCTCATATATCTCATATATATATCTCATATATATCTCATATATCTCATATATATCATATATATCTCATATATATCTCATATATATATGATATATATCTCATATATATCATATATATGATATATATCTCATATATGTATCATATATATCTCATATATATGTATCATATATATATCTCATATATATGTATCATATATATATCTCATATATATGTATCATATATATATCTCATATATATGTATCATATATATATCTCATATATATGTATCATATATATATCTCATATATATGTATCATATATATATCTCATATATATGTATCATATATATATCTCATATATATGTATCATATATATATCTCATATATATGTATCATATATATATCTCATATATATGTATCATATATATATCTCATATATATGTATCATATATATCTCATATATATGTATCATATATATCTCATATATATGTATCACATATATATCTCATATATATGTATCACATATATATCTCATATATATGTATCATATATATATATCTCATATATATGTATCATATATATATATCTCATATATATGTATCATATATATATATCTCATATATATATATAATTTTTTTTTTTTTTAGACGGAGTCTCGCTTTGTCCCCCAGGGTGGAGTGCAGTGGCGTGATCTCAGCTCACTGCATCCTCCGCCTCCCAGGTTCAAGTGATTCTCCTGCCTCAGCCTCCTGAGTAGCTGGGACTACAGGTGTGTAGCACCACGTGCAGCTAATTTTTGTATTTTTAGTAGAGACAGGGTTTCACCATGTTGGCCAGGATGGTCTCAATCTCTTGACCTCGTGATCTGCCCGCCTCGGCCTCCCAAAGTGAAAAGCATATTTAAGGACTTGTTCAGCTCCCAGGGATGATGCCCCTCCAAAAGTTCAGGACTGTTTTCATCAGACACTTTCCTGGTGGGTAAACTCATCGCCCTTCAGGGATGGGGGGCTATGAGAAGGAGGCTGAAATGCCAATTGCTAGTAAAATGTCTTTTCTGAGACTGAATCTTTGAAATGCTACTGGAAGTCAGTGGGGAGATGCGATTCACTTTACAAAATTCATTTCTGAAGCACAATAACATTAAGTGAGATAAAGCTATATGAGAAATGAGAAATTAGGTAATTTTGTTATGTTCTATAAGCATACAGCTATAATTCAGGATCATCACATTTATTTCAAAAGTTATAGTTCCATTCCTTTTGATATTGCCTGGGTCTGGAAGGGATAAGGGCCTTATAAAAAATTCATCTCTCACCACCCCCTTATCCACATTGATAGTGGTTAGATGACCAATCCTTATGACATTTGCACCCTTTTAATTTAATTGCCACCAATTCTTCCCCTCTCCAGATCTGCGCCCTTATGATGTGCTGTGGCAGATTCTCTTGTCAAGAGGTGAAGCCTATTTCTCAATCCCGAGAATCTGGGTTGGCCTGTGACTTGCTTGGCCGATGGAACATTAGCAGGAATAATGCAGCACAGGCCTGGAAATCACTTGTGCATTGGGACTTGCTCTCTCGCTACATTTGTTACCCTGAGAACACTATGTGAACAAGCCCAAGGTGGCCTGCTGGAGGGATAGAGGCCACGTGGAGGAGAAGCAAGGTGCTCTAGCTAATAGCCAGCCAGTGGTCAGGTGCGTGAATGAGACCGTCCTAGGACCAGCCAGCCTCCCAGCTGACCTGACAATTCACCACAGACACACGAGTGAGCCCAGTCAAAGCCAGTAGAACTGCCTGGCCCAAATTGCCAACCCATAGAATCATGAGCTACATACACATAAATGCTTACTGTTCTAAGCCATAAGTTTTGGGATGGGGCCAGGCAATGGCTCATGCCTGTAATCCCAGCAGTTTGGGAGGCCGAGGCAGGGAGATCGCTTGAGCCCAGGAGTTTGAGACCAGCCTGGGCAACATGGTGAAACCACATCTCTACCAAAAAAACAAAAACAAAAAACAAAAATTAGCCAGGTGTGGTGGTGCATGCTTGTAGTCCTAGGTACTTGGGGGGCTGAAGTGGGAGGGTTGCTTGAGCCCGGGAGGTGAAGGCTGCAGTGAGCCGAGATCAGACCACGGTACTCCTGCCTGGTTGACAGAGTGAGACCTTGTCTCAAAAAATAAAAATAAAAATAAAAGTTTTGAGATGGTTTGTAGTACAGTAGAGGCTAACAGAATCATTAAATTATACTTACTTGGAGCTACTAGGTGACACACTTAGAGAAAAGGTTCTCTCTAGGCTGAGTTCTATCATAGGCTCATTGTGGTATTTAACCTCCCACGTCTGTACTTCAGCTTTTCTACTTCAAAGAAGATAATACTTTCTTGAAGGTCAGCAGTAATCCTAATTCAGGTGTATGTACATTACAGCTTTCTTATCTTCTTTTTCTCTTTTCTCTTCAGCAGTTTTACCAGGAGCCACTATAAGGATAATATTCTGACACGTGTTTTTTCTTTTCTTTCTTTCTTTTTTCTTTTTTTTTTTTTTTGAGGCGGTGTTTTGCTCTTGTTGCCCAGGCTGGAGTACAATGGCATGATCTCGGCTGAACACTACCTCCGCTTCCCGGGTTCAAGTGATTCTCCTGCCTCAGCCTCCTGAGTAGGTGGGATTACAGGCATGCGCCACCATACCTGGCTAATTTTGTATTTTTAGTAGAAGCGGGGGTTTCTCCATGTTGGCCAGGCTGGTCTTGAATTCCTGGCCTCAGGTGATCTGCCTGGCTCGGCCTCCCAAAGTGCACCCGGCCAACACGTGTTTTTTCAAATGAGTTAATAATAATGTTAAGTGCTTTAAAAGCTCTTAAGATGTCATATGTGTGAAGTATCATATTTATTGTGTCACAATGAATGGAGTTATATAACTATTATAACAAACACAATGGGCCCTTCTAAGAGTTACTCTGTTTCATTGAGAGTTCTCTATCTGTTTAGTAGCACCTGGTAGGAAGTTTCCCAACTTACCTGAGACTTGAAGTAAGTTTCTTGTGGGGTGGCAAGTACATCTGCAGAGGCAATGTCTAAATGCATGAGTGTCTGCCGAAAAGAAGGTCGGTTTCGAGGTTTACTCTGCCTAAAAGTGAAAAAGACAGTTTGTGCATTTCAGAAGTTGTATCCAGGAGAATGAAGATTTTATTTTACTTTATGAAGAAGATTGTTTACTTCAAAATGGCTATATCTGAGTAAAACCAGCTGTACTCCATTATATCAGGATAGCATAACTGAATTGTATCTCAGTACAGTTTTAACATTTCTTTTTTTCTTTTTTTTGAGACGGAGTCTCGCTCTGTCACTCAGGCTGGAGTGCAGTGGCGCAATCTCAGCTCACTGCAAGCTCCGCCTCCTGGGTTCACGCCATTCTCCTGCCTCAGCCTCCTGAGTAGCTGGGACTACAGGCACCCGCCACCAGACCTGGCTAATTTTTTTGTATTTTTAGTAGAGACGGGGTTTCATCGTGTTAACCAGGATGGTCTCGATCTCCTGACCTCGTGATACGCCCGCCTCGGCCTCCTAAAGTGCTGGGATTACAGGCGTGAGCCACCGTACCCGGCCCTTAACATTTCTTTAAATTTATTTTTTATTTTTTTTTCAGAGACGGGGTCTCACTATGTTGCCTAAGCTGATCTCAGACTCATGGGTTCAAGTGATCCTCCTACCTCGGCCTCCCAAAGTGTTGGGATTACAGGCGTGAGCCACCATGCCTGGCCCTGCAGTACAGTTTTTTATTTATATTTTATTTTATTTTATGTTTTTAACACAGAGATGGGGTCTCGCTATGTTGCCCAAGCTGCTCTTGAACTCCTCGCCTCAAGTGATCCTCCCATCTCTGCCAGCCAAAGTGTTGGAATTACAGGTGTGAGCCACTGTGCCTGGCTGCCCTGCAGTACAGTTTTGATATACTGAAGAGCAAAAGGAAAATGTAATTATGAGATACGTCTAATGATGAAATGGAAATCTAGGATTAGTGACCTATTTAATAATAGTCCATTAGGACTAGCAAAGAAATAGTAGCTATCATTGACCAAGGCCTACTATTTTGAGATAATAACACCAAGTTCTTTATTTCTAAATTTTAATTAATTACAACACAATAACTCTATGAGTCAGTGTTGTCTCTATTTTACAAATGAGAAAACTGATATTGAATAACGTGCCCAAAATTGCACAGATAGAAAGGGGCAGAGCTAGTATTTGAACCCAAGATTCTCCTACTCCAAAGCTCCTATTCTTTCCACCACCAGGATATTTACTCCAAATACACATTAGAGACCTCCCTATTGTTTTAGAGACAATATTCTTACCACGTCTGTTTCATAAGGATTTTGAATCCATCAGGGCAAGTGGAAGGAACTGGAAGGTGGAGGCTGTTGCTTCCAACACCCCAGATAATGGCTGAAGAATCTACATCTTTGTAAGGGATCTCTCCTGTCAGCAGCTCCCAAAGCACCACTCCAAAAGACCTACAGTAGCGCCGGGAACATGGACAGAAGATGTTTCAGAAAGACTGATTTGTATTTTAGTTCTCTATTAATTGAAATCAAATTAGTACATATACCCAGTTTTAAAATTCTAATACTGCTATAAGAAAAACAGAAACATCTGGGACAACTCTGAAAAAAAAAAAAAAATCTATGTGGGGTAATCAACACTACCAGAAATTAAAACCTGAATAATTAACTCCCGTGTGTGAACAGATCACCAGCATAATGGACTGGACAAGAAATCCAGAAATAAACCAAATACATTTAGGAATTGAATGTATGATAGAAGTGACATCAAAAACCAGTGGGGAAAAATTGATTAGTTAATAAATGTTGTTGGAACAGCTAGGAAAAAAATTAAATCTATAACTCACCATAAATCAAGATAAATTTCACATGAATCAAAGATTTAAATAGAAAAATGAAACCATAAAAATCTTCTAAAAAATAAGGAGTTAAAAAATTATCTAGGAGTGTTAAAAACTTTTTTTTTTTTTTTTTTTTTTTAGACAGCATCTTGCTCTGTCACCTAGGCTGGAATGCAGTGGTGCGATCTTGGCTCACTGCAACCTCCACCTCCTGGGTTCAAGCGATTCTGCTGCCTGAGCCTCCCAAGTAGCTGGGATTACAAGTGCGTGCCACCACGCCTGGCTAATTTTTTGTATTTTTAGTGGAGATGGGATTTCACCATGTTGGCCAGGCTGGTCTCGAACTCCTGACCTCAAGTGATCCACCCGCCTTGGCCTCCCAAAGTGCTGGAATTACAGGTGTGAGCCACTGCGCCTGGCTTTTAAAGACTTTTTAAACCATGAAATCTAAAAGCCATAAAAGGAGAAATTGAGAAATTAAACTGTATTTTCAAAATCTGACACTGAAAAAAATACCATAAGCAAAATAACAAAATGTGAAGTATCTACAATTTACACAAAATGTGAATCTCCTTAATACATAAAATACTCTGATAAATTATGAGTAAAAATCAGAAAGCTGAGCAAAGATTATGAGTCATTCACAAATAAGCAAATACGATGGCTGTAACACATATGAACAAAAGTACAGGCTCACTTATCCTAAGAGGAATGCACCCAAGATACCGTTTTTTTACCTATATGATTGGCAAAAATCCAAGAGTTTAGCACATTTTGTTGGTGAGACTGAGAAAACACTCTTACATATTTCTGGTGGGAACATCAATTAGTAATCCCTAAGGAGGGTACTTTAGTAATGATTATCTAAATTACGAATGACCCCACATTTCTACTTTTTCCTATTTGCTCTGGTATTACATGCAATTTTGACATGTGCTATTATTTTGGTTTTAAGCCTAGAAGTTACTAGTTGCCAATTTTAAGGGTAAAAGAAAAGCTATTACAGGGAAAAATACTGTTAATAGAAAAGACTTATAACCTCAGAGGAAAGGTTACAGAGATTTTTTTTTAAAGCATAGCCTATAGAGGCTGTTCAATAAAAGGGCAAAACAACCTCCTACATCTCAAACATGTCTAGAGAACATAATTGTATCATAGCAAGGTACATTATTGATATGTGTAATGATGACCTGAGTCATTGAGATTAGGTAAGCTCTTGTACTTTACTCAAGAAGGTGAGAACTATGTAACACATTTCAGAAAGACTTCTATACTAAATGATCATTTGAAGTAAACTTTCAGTTTCCTAGAAAGTTCAGCATATTCTCTGAGGTCCCCCAAACTGGTGACTTACTGAGTAGATAGCCACCCTAATTCCCCCTAATCCTTCTCCCCATATATCACCATACTGGGAAGTACCTCAGAAAATATGAGGCTGAAATCAACCAAAAGTGAGCAACACTGAAGAATATTCTGGAAAAGTAAGTGCTGAAGGAAGACAGTGCTAATAGGGCGAAAGTGGGAAAAGGCTTTTTAGTTGGCACAACTGGTGGCGCCACTCACCATATATCAACTTTTTCAGAGACAGGTTCATTCCGTATCACCTCTGGCGCCATCCATGCGACCGTGCCAGCAAATGACATCTTGGTACTTTTGTCACTGAGTTCCTTAGATGTACCAAAATCTGAAATTTTTACCGCATCTGTGTGGGTCACTAAAACACTTTAAAAAGAAATAAAAAGAAAACATCTGGATCATTAGTACTAACGAAAACCATGATTCTAAATGGCTGAAACTGAAGACTTTATCTGCTACTTCCTATCTTGTAGCATTCAGCTTGCAGTTTCCAATGTCACTGGGGCATTGGCTATACACTAGAAATAGCATCATTCATACTTGTGAGGCAGTTTAGCGTAATGGGCTTTTAACACCTAGTCTTATTCTGCCTCTTCTACTTGCTGTGTGACCTTTGCCAAGTTATTTAACTCTTTTTTTTTTTTTTTTTTTTTTTTTTTTGAGACAGAGTTTCACTCTTGCCGCCCAGGCTGGAGTGCAATGGCACGATCTCAGCTGACTGCAACCTCTGCCTCCCGGGTTCAAGGGATTTTCTCCTTGCCCCAGCCTCCCAAGTAGCTGCAATTACAGGCACCTGCCACCATGCCCAGCTAATTTTTGTATTTTTAGTAGAGATGGGGTTTCTCCATGTTGGCCAGGCTGGTCTCGAACTCCTGACCTCAGGTGATCGACCCATCTCAGCCTCCCAAAGTGCTGCGATTACAGGCATGAGCCACTGCACCCGGCCTTACTTAACTCTTCTAAGCCAGTTTTCTCATGTGTAGGATGGAGACTCTTCAGGTCTTATTCACAAATTGAAAATGCAAAAAGTTCTCAACCAGTTTATATTTTTTTCACATGTATAAGGCAAACTCACTTTCTTCATCCCATTTTGTGTGAACAATAGGTTTTGCTGCAGATTTGTTAATGTGGTTGATTTTAGGATGCTGCTCCAGACCTCGCTGGATGTCTAAGGTAGTGCACTACCTTTCTGAAAATATCTTGCTTCAAGAGTTTTGGATAAGGGATGATAGACCTGTAATAACAATCTCACTGAATTTTCATTTGAATTAAATGAGGTAAGATACATAAGGCACCGTTATCAATAAATATTGGTTTCCATCCTTGCTGGCTTTAGCCAGGCCACTAAAAAGAGTACTTCTTTTAAAACACTGTTTAAATGATAGCCAACTAATATCATGAATGAGACCATGATGTTTGGGATTCATTACATTAAAAGGCTAATATATATGCTGGGATTTCACTAGTGCTGATAAGGAAAAGCAGAAATAAATCCAAGCTTAAGTAAATTCCACACCAGTCCTGTTTTACTTGTCATAGTAGTTATCTGAAAATGTGGCCTGAGGCAAAGTGCTCTCTGCCAGCCTTGAAGATGAATACAATCCGGTACCAAATTGACAGCTTCACATTAGATCGAATTCACTTGCAATAACCTGTTCAGAACTTTAGAAAATTAAAGACTTAGGGTTTCAGAGGCTTTAATGATCTAGGGACCTATGTTTAATGATGAGAGGCTTACGAGCGTGGTGGCGGGCGCTTGTAGTCCCAGCCACTCGGGAGGCTGAGGCAGGAGAATGGCGTGAACCCGGGAGGCGGAGCTTGCAGTGAGTGGAGATTGTGCCACTGCACTACAGCCTGGGCGACAGAGCGAGACCCCATCTCAAAAAAAAAAAAAAATGATAAGAGGCTTCATCCTCAAATAGTATCAGAATTGAGGAGGCTGTAAGGCAGAAAGCATCTGACTCTATCCCCTTGCTTCTCCATTTGAACCAGGGATTCCTTCACATTTACCATGCTCACAACCCCAACACCAATGGCTATTTACCAAATAGCTCAGAGCTTACAATTGCTTTTGAATACCATCCTCCATGCCCTGGTTTTGCACGTAATATGTAAAATTTATATAACTTAGGAGTTTTGATTTAACAGTGTTAGTCTTAGTGAAAATGCATAAGGATTAAAATATTATGGGATATATGAGAGAATTGGAGAATTGATATCATACACCAGGAAAGTGAGAGTAGGCAGTAAGCCCCTAAAAGAGGGAACTTTTTATGGGAACTTCCTCTCTGCCTCTGTTGGTGTGACAAGAGAGGATGGACTTGAGAGGAGACTAGAAAAATATAACATTAGAATTTTTCTGAAATCTTCTCTGAGACAAAGTTGTGGTCACAGAGCCTGCAGATTTAATGTAAGTAATGAGATCTCTTGTTACAGCAAGTCAGATTGATCTCTGTCTTCCCAAAGTCAGCTTGAAACCTAAAGAAGCCAACGCTGCTGGGGTTGGGAGTGTTATTGCTAATAGAGGGAAAGGCTTACTGGGTAACCCAATTACTACTCTATTCTACGGCTTCCTGACTCCTTCCCTCTAAGATTAATTCATAAGGAGAACAAGTTGGTTAAAAAGGAGACCATTCAGAGAGGCCTTCAGGTAGTTCATGTCCTTTACATGTATGCACTGGATGGCAAAAGCAACAGGGTAAGAATGTGAACGGAAGAAATGAACACTACACAATCATGTTTACTTGCAAGTAAAGCAAGGAGGAGGTTGTTCAGTCAACTAAGCACTGTAATAAATATTGCTGAGAATGATGGTGATAAATAAGAGCTGTTTTGAAGTTTATAATGAAGGATTGATTTATACCGTCCATGGAGGAAAGGCAGGATTCATTGTGAGTCCCCTACCTTCACATAATGAGGTAGAATGCAGTAACCTTTGGTTCAGAAATTCTAGGTTCGAGTCCTAGCCCCATGACTTTGGGCTAATCTCTAGTTTTCCTTACATAAAATAACAATACTTGTTACGTATCCCACACAGTTTTTGCCAGGATCAAAGATGTGATAATGGATTCCCCCTAAGATATTATAAACCATGAAAACACTATGCAAATATATATATGTGTGTGTGTATATACAATAAATATATAGTTTTTTTAAATTTTTATTATTTTTTGAGACAGGGTTGTGCTCTGTGGTCCAGGCTGGAGTGCAGTGGTGTGATCATGGCTTACTGTAGGCTTGACCTTCTGGGCTTAAGTGATTCTCCCACCTCAGCCTCCTGAGTAGCTTGAACTATAGGCTCATACTACCATGCCTGGCTAATTTTTAAATTTTTTGTAGAGATGGGTTTTCACTATATTGCCCAGGCTACAAATATATTTTGAAAAGAGATTAATCCTTTGCTTATCTAACCCAAAATGTGATGATAAATAATAAAAATAATGTTTAAAAATAGGAGTTATACTGAAATAAATCATTTTATCAATTTCTTTCTTCATTCAATTTGGGGAACTAACTACACACTCCTCTTAAAGTGATTGGTAGCCAAGAAATCATTTTGAAAACAGAGATTACTAGAAATAGCCCTGCTTCTCTTACATAGCCAGTGTTTATTTTTCCTATGGCCATTGTGAACCTTGTAATTGTTTATTTCCTCCTTTGCTTAGACACTAGAAGCTCAAAGCCAAATCTGTAATCCACGTCTACAGAATCTTACGGCATATAATTTGTGAACAATTTTTAGTTCTAATGTTTTTACTTTTCCTTTGCCTCTGCTTCTTTTTATTTTTATTATTTATTTATTTTTATTATTTTTTTTTTGAGACAGAGTCTTGCTCTGTCACCCAGGCTGGAGTACAGTGGTGTGATTTCAGCTCACTGCAACCTCCTCCTCCTAGGTTCAAGCAATTCTTCTGCCTCAGCCTCCCAAGTAGCCGGGACTACAGGCACCTGCTACCATGCCTGGCTGATTTTTTGTATTTTTAGTAGAGACAGGGTTTCACCACGTTGGTCAGGCTGGTCTCAAACTCCTGATCTCAAGTGATCCACCCACCTTGGCCTCCCAAAGTTCTAGGATTACAGGCGTGAGCCACTCCACCCAGCTAGCCTGTTTCTTATTTATCCATTTTATCCTGTTGTATACATTTCTGAAACTCAGTTTAAAAAGTTTTTTGAACACATGGAAAACAACAAATCAAGCCTTCTAGCGGGAAGGTCTGGCATTAGCTATCTGAGATGACAGAAGGTGAATACTTCAGATAATAATGAATTTTGTTTCACAGTTGTATGATTTAAAAGCACCAAAAAGGAAAAGTGGTTTCAGATACCTGGACGTATCTGCCCTACAGGTAACCAGGTAGGTCAACAATAACCCAAGAGATGCGCAAACAGAATTACCCACTGTGCTGATTGAAACTGAACTAAAGGTATGATGTCTGAAAACGTCAACTGAGGTTGATAAAAATTCTGTATTTCAAAACAACAAACCAAAATAGCTGAAACATTAGCCCCAGAACTCACTTAGGTGATTTGAGATCACGATGAATAATTTTATGGAGGTGCAAATAATTCATTCCACTTGCAATTCCTGTGGACCAGTCTACTAGCAATCGAGGTGTGATCTTCCTGCCAGCTCGTAAGACCTCGTAGAGTTGTCCATGGGCACAGTATTCCATGATAATACAATAACATGGGGCCTGAGTACAAACACCCCTTCCAAGAAAACATAAACATGTACATCAATACACACATACAAGTATACATATGTATATTTAAAGAATATTTAATAAAAACCAATTCTATACCCGAATTATTTTAAAAATGTGTATAGATAATAGTTCCTGATTCTCAAATTAGCATGGAAACTTCTCTAGTCTACAGGTTTCTCTATGATGCACATAGACAATTTTTGTTTGTTTTGTTCACTCTGGCTATCTATATGCTGTGCTGTGTCTGGTGCCTTTTCTGTGGGACCCTTCCATTCCGGGACAAAGAGCACACTTTTCTGAAGTTTGTGCAGGCTGGATACTGTGTTGTTTTAGATCATTAAGAATAATTTGGGAGGCCAAGGCGGGTGGATCACAGGGTCAGGAGTTCAAGACCAGCCTGGCCAAGATGGTGAAACCCTGTCTCTACTAAACATACAAAAAAATTAGCTGGGCATGGTGGCGCGCGCCTGTAGTCCCAGCTACTCAGGAGACTGAGGCAGAGAACTGCTTGAACCCGGGAGGTGGAGGTTGCAGTGAGCCGAGATTGCACCACTGCACTCTAGCCTGGGAAACAGAGTTAGACTCCCTCTCAAAAATAAAAAATAATAATAATTTGGCCAGGCCGCGGTGGCTCACGCTTGTAATCCCAACACTTTGGGAGTCTGAGGCAGGTGGATCACCAAGGTCAGGAGTTCGAGACCAGCTTGGCCAGCATGGTGAAACCGCGTCTCTACTAAAAATACAAAAATTAGCTGGGCATAGTAGTGCATGCCTGTAATGCCAGCTACTCGGGAGGCTGAGGCAAGAGAATCACTTGAGCCTGGGAGAAGGAGGTTGCAGTGAGCCAAGATCGTGCCACTGCACTCCATCCTGGGTGACAGAGTGAGACTCTGTCTCAGAAAAAAAAAAAAGAAAAAAAAGGAATAATTTAAAATTTCTTCCTTTTAAAGTTTTAGAGGGTTTTATGAGTGTACAGGAAGATAATTCAGAGAAAATACTTCTACTTTTAATATTATTTGCTGAATTTTAAATTACTCAAATTAAAAATAACTAACTAGACTGAGGACCCAAAGACGACTCAATTTTCCATCTTACATAATCTTTGAAAAACATTTCTTTTTTTTTTTCATGTCAGACAGGTAATGTGGTGACGTCGTAACAAGGTTGGAGGGAGGCACATCTCACCCGTGAGTGGGAACACCCAGTCATGCTTATGAATCACAAAAGAATATGAAAATATACACTTTTTTTTTTTTTTTAAGAAAGAGTCTCGCTCTGTCATCCAGGTTGGAGTGCAGTGGTGCAACCTCTGCCTCCCAGGCTCAAGTGATTCTCCTGTCTCAGCATCCCAAATAGCTGGGATTACAGGTGTGCACCACCACGCCAGGCTAATTTTTTTTTTTTTTTTTTGAGACAGAGTCGCTCTGTCACCCAGGTTCGAGTGCAGTGGCACAATCTTGGCTCACCACAACCTCCACCTCCCGGGTTCAAGCAATTCTCCTGTCTCAGCCTCCCGGGTAGCTGGGACTACAGGTGCCCACCACCACACCCAGCTAATTTTTGTATTTTAGTAGAGACAGGGTTTCACCATATTGGTCAGGCTGGTCTTGAACTCCTGACCTCAGGTGATCTGCCTGCCTCAGCCTCCCAAAGTGCTGGGATTACAGGCTTGAGCCACCGCTCCTGGCCACCAATTTTTTTTATTTTTAGTAGAGACGGGGTTTCATCATGTTGCCCAGGCTGCTCTCGAACTCCTGTACTCAAGTGATCCACCCGTCTTGGCCTCCCAAAGTGCTGGGATTACAGGCGTGAGCTACTGCATCCAGCCTATACAACATATTATATATCTATTAGCCTTTATTTGCATCAATTCCTACATCATCCATGAAAACCTTTTCCAATTATTCCAATCCAAAAAGATCTTTCTCTTCCCTAAATTCCTATGATATACAACAGCCACTAGTTCTTTATATGCAGTTTTTCTCTCTGCATATAGATTGTAAGCTCCTTGAAGGGAAAGGTCTTCAAGTTCTTTTCTCTCTACCTCAACGCCTAGAGGTTCACAGCAAGTCTCTAGCAAATGTTCGTTAACTTCACCTCAACCTTCTTGACTAAAAAAGCCTTCAAATAACATGTGCAGAGGCCTGGAGGAGGAGGAAGGAGACTAACATGAAAGAACCTCTTCTATTTTTCAAGGACATTTCCATGTTTATTTGTCTTATTTAATCTGCCCCAAATTACCATAAGATAAATATTACCTTTTCCATTTTTACAAGGAAGGCTCAGAGTGAGAAAGTGACTTGTCCTAATCACAACTAGATCATACAACTAATAAGTGACAGAGCTGGGATTCAAACTCAGTCTGCCTAATTTGAAAGTCCATGCCCACTCCACTCTGTACAATACTGCCTCCCTTTTAGCTTTTTAACTTCTGTTTAGACAAGCACATTGGGAATTCTTGTGTTAACACCATTATCTCATAAAAGGGAATGATCATAGTAACTCTACTTCTGTTTTGTTCTCAAGATGAGAAGAAAAATTACTATATGTAATTCTCTATGTCTTATCGCTTATGGGTATACATGCCTTCCTTTGAAACTTTCTAGAGAAGTTAGCAGAGTATCTGTAAGACATCCAGTTAAAGCCTTCAGCCAGCTACCAACCCATGCCTATCTCTTCAGCTGCTGTAAGTGATGAAAGAATTTTGAGGTCATGGCTTACGGCACTGATCATATGAAGGTGATGATGATCTTATAACAATAGCAGGTTATGAAGAAGTATAATTAGTCTTCATTTTCCCCTGCCCTGATGTGCCTGTCAAATGCCACAAAGCTATTTCTATTACTCTCCTATCATTTTCTAGGCTACAGAGAATTCTTATCTTGATTTTTAATAATTTTTTTTCAAGTTCCGGTTATATGTCTCTTAGGAAAGCTTGGTGAACCCAAGTGTCTGGCAGCTACAAACAAATGATTAATTATCATTACAGAGAACTAATAAATACGGCAGGTATAATGTAATATGCTTAAGTATATCAACATAAACATTTTTGAAGGTACTCAGCCTCCTATTCGACTATGTTTTAACTTGTTCCACATAGAAACGGTCTAACAGTGATCTTACGCACCTTTTATTTCTCTTGACTGACGAACGAGGAGCAATCATTCCATCATCCCTGTACTATGACAAGGTTTCTTAGTAGCTATAAATAACAGCTCTATAATCACTTCTAATTGCTACCTTTTCTTCCCCTTGGCACTGAATTCCATTAGGAACAGTCAGGTTGAGTTTTCTTAAAAGATTAACAAAAAAATTGGATGCAAAAAGAGTATAGCATTCTTATCTTGTACTTCCCCTTCTGTATGTGGTTTTTATTAACTTCAAAAGAAGCTGTAAGCACAGAAATCAGTATCCAGAGAGATGTACTAAAATCTAATCATTCTCTCATATATCTTCCAGACGGTCCTGAATGGGATTCATTGGCCAAGCAACACATGGCACAGATGGCTGCAAACATAACACTGCACAATGCCCAAGAGCATGGTGTAATGGGCCAGGAACACAGTCTCACTATTGTTTTCCATGTAGAGGTAAATACTATTCAAGTGTCTTCAGCCTAAAGAGTTGGGCACTAGCAGGGCAGTGCTGAAAACTGCATATGCAGGTAGGAGAGTCAGAAGGGAGAGGTGGGAAAAAGGAAGAAAGAGAAAGAAGCAAAAGAAAGGAAGTAAAAATAAAGCTTCTCACAACACCATCCTATTAGGACACATTTCTACTTTCAGTGACCCCGGGTACCCTACTGGAAAGCCCTCTTACCTGCAACACACAGCCTAATTCACTTCAAGAGGCCAAAAGGCCATACTCATCTACGGGACATTCTGTGTCTCAAACCCAGCGTCCTAGTGATCTAAGTTTAAAAGCTTTTGACCCTTCCTTCCATTTAGGAGGGTGTAGCATACTGGAAGTGAAGATGGTCTCAGTGTAGTAAAATGAAGGAAAGAAAGAAGAGGGTCTCTGTTTGTCTGTCTGCTTGAAATAATCTCCCCATTGTCTTTTGAAATTTATCCTCTTTGGAAAGATGATAATTGGTCTCTGCAGCATTTCATTTTAGTCACACATCCTCCTGGCCCTACTAGGTCAACCAAGGATAGAATTAACTGCAGCAATTGAAGCTTTCTCCCATGCCCTCTGCATGAATGTCCCTTCCCCAAGGAAATGAATCCAAGTACTTCTTTCTGTCTCTTAGTGTCCTGGTTGAATGCTTCTCTTTTTTTCACAGGTCTTTCCCTTTCCATAAGGGGTCTTGTTTGGGAATCAAAACTCAACTTCAGTACTCATTTAAACCCATTCTACAAAACCTGTACCCAAGATTTACCTTCCTTACTTTGTGGATGTGATCCCAATTAAGACTTATCACATGACATTTTTAGCTTTATAATCAGAGTTTTATCAAGGAAGGATCCATTCTGATCCTAGTTCCTCCTAGTTTAGGAGGGGGATTTGTAAGTTATTCCACTTTTAGCTGTAGCCTCATTGGTCATACTGTTTTCCAGGAATGCAAAATACATATCAAATATATCACAAAGCTCCAGTTTCTAAACTTTCATCCTACCTAAAGATACTTGTCCTGTTCTTCACCTTCTTTCCTCTAAAGCCACTTACCACTTATTTGTTTAAGCCTAGGGCAACATTAAAAGGCTAGTGAGGGAGAGAACTCAAGGGAAAGATTCAGGCAGAAGAGATAATATCTATTTAGAGCTCAGCACTTCCACCCTTTAAACTTTGACTCTCCTCCTTCTGTTAGGGATCCCAGGCAATATTATGAAAAGAATCATCTAGGCTAGAAAAATATGTTCACAGACTCTTGAAAACAATCACTTTGTGAAATGAATATAACATATGACTTACTATCAATAACTCAACAATCATTAGGTTAAGAAAGCTGAATGTTTGACATTGCTTGGAAGGAGATCTAGGAAAACCAGAGGCTATACTCTAAAGGTACCTGCCATTACACGTTAATGTTTAAGAAGGGATGCTAACAGAACCTAATACAAAATATGTATCTACTACACAAGGATTGATTGTTCTTTGATCACTTCAGATGTTACCTTTGTCTCTTTCTTTCTTTCTTTCTTCTTTCTTTCCTTTTTTTTTCAGGGTCTCACTCTGTCACCTAGGCTGGAGGGCAGTAGCATGAACATGGCTCAACACAGCCTCAACCTTCTGGGTTCAAGCAATCCCCCTGCCTCAGCCTCTTAAGTAGGTAGGACTACAGGCCTGTGCTACCACATTCAGCTAATTAAAAAAAATTTTTTTTTACAGACAGGGTTCCACTATATTGCCCAGGCTGGTCTCAAACTCCTGGGCTCAAGTGATCTGCCTGCCTTGGCCTCCCAAAGTGCTGGGATTACAGACATGAGCCACTGCGCCCGGCCAACTTTGTTTTGTTAAGTGAATCTTAGGCTGTTCAGGTGATATTGAAGTAACCTCTGTTATCCCATTGATAAATGAGGTTGATGCAGCAGATCTGACTGCTTGGCAGGAACCCACATTTTCCCTTCCTGCCCCATGTGCATGCCCCTTCCATGTACTTCCATGTACTTTGCACATACTTCGGCAAAATGAACCACTGGATTATAAGATGCCTGAGGACACAACTCCAATTTAATAGTTCCTTGATACCCTCCCAAAGCACCTAGCACAGTGCTAAGTCTAGAGAATGCTTTTGAAATATCTCTCAAAGCAGAAACTTGTGTGTATATATTGGGGGAAAGAAAATAGGTCTACTTCTTAAAAAAAAAAAGCCTTGACCTACTTGAATGCGATGATGTTAGGGTGCTTCAACTTCCTCAAATGCTTGATATCCGTCTCATTCTGTTCTCTCACTTTCTTGATGGCCACCTCTTCCGCCCGGAACTTGCCCAAGAAGACCGCTCCTTGGGCTCCACTACCCAGCCACTGCAGCTCTGAGATCTCCTCAAATGGCACTTCCCAAGTATCTAGGCACACAAGCAAGAAATAAGCTTGAAGAGATCTCAGAAGGGACCACTCTACAAGGCCATTCTGAAGGTACCAACTTCATCGTCACCCAGGATGACCCTTACCCTCTGTCTCCCGGCAAAAGATAGAACCTTCCTATGTACCTTGGAACTATAGATCAAATATTCATAAACATTAGTTTGTATCAATTTTTAAATCACTGAAATAAAGCAGAGCAGAAGCCTCCAATATACCTTCCTCCAAATAAAACATATCCTACCACTCCTGCAGTCCTACCTCCTCACCTTAAGCTTGCATGTCAGTCAATTTACCCGTCTGTCTCTATGCAACTATCCCTACCCCATCACCCACTATCGGTGTTATTTTATTCCTCTTTTAATTTCTGGTGCAGATGCTCAGTGAATCTTTGCTAATTTTTTTTTTTTTTTTTTTTTTTTTTTTTTTTGAGACAGAGTCTTGCTCTGTCACCCAGGCTGGAGTGCAATGGCACGATCTCAGCTCACTGCAACCTCTGCCTCTGGGGTTCAAGCAATTCTCCTGCCTCAGCCTCCCAAGTAGCTGGGATTACAGGCACCAGCCACCATGTCTGGCTAATTGTATTTTTCAGTAGAGGCAGGGTTTCACCATGTTGGTCAGACTGGTCTCGAACTCCTGACCTCAGGTGATCCACCCGCCTTGGCCTCCCAAAGTGTTGGGATTACAGGTGTGAGCCACTGCGCCGGGCTGCTAATGAATTTTTTAATGATACTCTCCTAAGAACTTCATTATGCATACTACTTACATTAATATTTACCTTTTATTGAGGACTTACTATATACCATACACTAGCATAGTACTTTACATATATCATATGTTCAATCCTTACAACAACCCTACAGGTATGGCCTTATTATAGTTATTTAAAGATGAAAAAACTAAGGCATAGGGTGGTTAAGTAAATTCTCCTAAAATCATATAACTGATAACTGGTAGAACTGGGCCTAGAATCCCAGGATTGGCCAATTTTACGAAGAGTGCTTTCTCTCCTATATGACATTGCCTCTCAAAAGTAATTGAGAGAGCCATTAGTCATTAGTCATGATATGCTTACTTATATAGCTGTAGTATTTTCAAGTTTCTTTTTCCTTAGAGTTTGAATATTTTTTTGCACCAGAAATTTAAGAAGGGTCATTTCTAAGTGGTGGCATTATTAGTGCTTCATATTCTCTATTGTTTTCTGTCTTAAAAACTATTTTTACCATAAGCCTATATCACTTTTATAATGAATAAAATGCTATTTTAAATAAAGCACTTCAAAAATTCAATCAATATGTGCTTTAATCTCATGAAACTTTTTTAAAAAAGAATGTAATCCATTGAGGCTTCTCCTTTCCCCCTTCTTACCAGAGTATTATCACAGGTAAGAAACAAATATCAAAGAGCTAAGAGCCCCACGGAGTGAGAAAAATGATGCCAGTGTGAAAGGTCATGAGAGATTCTCCTCAGATCACTCAAAAGCCAGTGTTTGCAGAACATGGAACAAAGTAGTGTTGAGTTAGCTTCAAAGATACTCTGGTCTTGAAAGCAAATCAACTCACCATCCACTGCATTGATGAAACAATTTATCTGCCTCTAGAAGTGAGCTACACTTCCCTCTTCTCTAATTTTCTCTACCTTAAGAGAAAAGAAATCCTGTAGATTCTTAATAAAATGTTTTCTCATTACAATTGCTAAAACCTAACCTTCAAAATATAACTACATAGAGCAAAAAGTATATAAAATGAGGGTGGTTTATGCCGTGGGCCTTCATCCCGTTCTCCTGATATGAGCAGTATTAAAGGTTTCCACTCTACTGAAATTGAATAAATGCTAGATAAAAGCAAATCTCTCTCAAATACAAATAGCTGACAAATTTAAAATCACCCAAGAAACACATGATACCAAGTGAGATTTGGGAGGAAACAGCAAGTGATAGCGTTGGCTATTTTAACTATCTTTAGGGTTTCTATAGAGGACAAGTATTAATAAGTGGCTCATGAAATCTCACTTTCACCTCCATGGGCTCATACATGCAGCACACGTGGTACACAGATATCGATGGCATATTGTAAGATAGTTTTCCTCATTAGGGGTCCAGTGACAAAAACAGTATCATTGGCCAGGCGTGGTGGTTCACGCCTGTAATCCCAGCACTTTGGGAGGCTGAGGCAGGGTGGACCATGAGGTCAGGAGTTCGAGACCAGCCTGGCCAATATGGTGAAACCCCGTCTCTATTAAAAATACAAAAAAAAAAAAAATAGCCAGGCATGGTGGTGCAGGCCTGTAATCCCAGCTGCTTAGGAGGCTGAGGCAGGAGAATTGCTTGAACCCGGGAGGCAGAGGTTTCAGTGAGCTGAGAATGCGCCACTGCACTCCAGCCTGGGTGACAGAGCGAAACTCTGTCTCAAAACAACAACAACAACAAACAAACAAACAAACAAAAACAAAAATAAAAAAACCTCAGTGTCATTTTGACAATTCTGGGGGCTGAATAAAGTATTATTACTGGACTCTGGGGCAAGAACATAACTGAGCAGTACGTCTTTGAACAGCTTTACACAAGCCCAAATTACCCTAATTTTTAATAAAATAACTACTAAAATTAGACTGTTTGGGTGTCTTTTTTACCCTATTTACTCAATCTTTAGTTACTGTTAAACATTGGAAACATTAGAGAAAGATCAGAAAAGTCAGAAAAACACAGATTTTATGTGAAAGCTCATCCCACACCCACTTGCCATCTACCCTCCTAGTTTGTGTTCATGTTTACAGCTGTGTAAAAATGGCAGGTGATGTCTAATTTTTTCTACTTTTTCACATATCATGTATCCTTCATGTAGTTCCTATTTTTATTATAAGTTCTAATAGTTGTTCTGTACCCTCTTACCTGTTCTGCATAAGTATATCCCCAGATTCAGTTCCTTGGTTAAAGAGGACAGTTTCCTGGCTCCAGGAATACATACATTCCAAATTCTGTCCAAAAGGATTTTGATAGTTTCGCTCACAATAGCAAGGTATGAACATGTTGGCAGTAAGTGTTATCAATTCTTTTTTGGTTCTATTTTAGTTTAGTGTTTTATAACTTTGCACTAGTTTAACTGCCGGTGCTCACATTTGTTTAATATTCATAATCTGCTTTGCATGAATTGTCAAAACCCCTTTGTTCATTTATCTATTAGCCTTCCATTGTTCACATAAACTTGAAGAAACTCCTTCTATATTTCTTTGATACAAATGAGAATATTTTTATAAGCCTTTTTCTTTTAATTTTATTATTTTTGAACAAAGTATTCTATATCATTGTCTATTATTTCCTTTGTAATTTCTTCCACTGCCTAGTCTACCTTCTAAAAGTTATCTATAGTTCATTTTTAAAAATTTAATCTTTACTTTCATCTGAAACTTATTTTGGTGTATGGTATGAGGACAGATATAAATTATTTTTTTCCACATTGCTATTTAATGATTCCCAAATAATTTGTTTAAAAATCCTTTCTTTTCATATTGCTTTAGGATACTTACATTGTAACTCACTATGTTTTTTAGAAATAATGCCTATTAGTATTTTTATAAGATGATAAACAGACTAATTACTAAAATACAAATACATTTGGCACTCAAATACAAAGTATTCCGAGTATTGCAATAAAAAATAAAATTATCCTCTACCAACCTCTACCTCATGCCTGTGCTATTCAACTATGTTCAGCCAAGTCTTGATTATCCATAGAAAAATAAAGTGGATAGTACTGGTAATGAAAGAACACAGATTGTAAAATAAAGAAAGTAATGCTTCAACAATGTTTCTATCCATCTTTTTACTGAAACTAATTATCAGAAGTAAAATCGATTGATATGAATTTAGCACTCTTTGACCAGTCTCAAAGTCCCTATCAATAATGAGCAGAGAGCTCAGAAATGGGAAAATGGCAGAAAAAAGGAAATTGGTGATAAGGATGCACAAAATTAAGGGCCTAGATAATTGATGAGTGAGATAACTAATCTCATAATAATGAAGAACTGACTACACTCTCTCTAGAGTTAGTCCCAAACTTTTCGTTGCTTCTATGTCTGTCCCACTGCTACTCTTCCCCAGCGTTTATCTTCAATTTTATCTTCCCAATGACTATGATCTTAATTCCAATATCCACCAGAATCCTTAGGACTGAGAAAAAGACACATGCCCACCCACTTTAAGGCAACAGTTCTCCTTTGTTTATTCAGACATGGCCATGACAGTACTTGCTTTGAGACTGGAAACTATTTGACAATAAAAGATTAAATTGCATGCTACTTTACTTGGGCTCACTATCAACATACTCAAAGGGAGGTGAGGACATCATTAAAATTTTTTAAAAATCCAGTGACAGTTCCTCATAAGTACCAAATGTAGGGACACATCTGTGATATGTGTTAGCCTTCGGTTGACTGCAATGCAGGATTGAAGATTGGCTCCCTGATCCCAGACCTGACAAGGAAATTTGCTAGTCTCTGGCTAGCGAAACCCTTTCATGGTGCACAGCAACACCAGCCCTCAGTAGGATATCCTGCAATCTGCTGAAAGGCCAGGCACCTGCTGTGCCTGTGTCAGAATCTTAAGCTGACCAGGGCTGTTTCTTATTTATTTGTGAAATAAACCCTTTTGAAAGTCACATAATCAGTTGGAAAACAAATTAAATACTAGTTTACAGAATAATAACAAAAAATTTTAAAACCTCCTTTTGACAAACATATGGGCTGGGTGAATCGCCCCTCATTCTGAGTCTGAACCTCAGTGATGCACTTGGATCCTGAGATCTTCAAATTATCACCAAAAGTAAGTCTAAGACTGGACAAGCAGAGACCCTAAAAACCAAATGTACTCGATCACTTATGCAGCTATCAGTAGGTTTTGTGTCCAACCAAAGAACAGGGAACTTTTAAAAAATAACAAATTAGGGCCGGGCGTGGTGGCTCATGCCTGTAATCCAGCACTTTGGAAGGCCGAGGCAGGTAGATCACCTGAGGTCAGGAGTTCAAGACCAGCCTGGCCAACATGGTGAAACCCTGTCTCTACTAAAAACACAAAAATTAGCCAGGCGTGGTGGCACACGCCTGTAATCCCAGCTACTCGGGAGGCTGAGGCAGGAGAATCGCTCGAACCCAGAAGGCAGAGGTTGCAGTGAGCCAAGATCACACCCATTGCGCTCCAGCCTGGGCAACAGACCAAGACTCCATCTCAAAAAAAAAAAAAAAAAAAAAAGCAATTAGAAATGGTTATCTCTGGATTGTGGAAAGACAGGTGATTTTAATTTTCTTCTTTATTTTATTTTCCTGCTTATATTTATTTCCAATGTAAAACATAATAATGCTGTTAGCAAAAAACAACTAATTTCCTTTAAAACCTTGAAATCATGGGGGCCAGGGGGTGGAGGGAAAATGAAAGCAGAATGTGTAGCGTGTCGGAGTATGTATGAAAGAGAGAGAGAGAGAGATACACATACATAAAACCAGGGACTGACGAAGAATTTTTGCATGGAGCAAGAATAGATGATATGGTTGACAAGTCCTGAAAAGGACCTGGAAGTGATAGATATACCAGTAATCCCAATATAGTTATGGAAAACAGGTATAGAGGGAGGAGTTGGTATTTGGTTTAAGGAATGTATTGCAGAAACAGGGGAAATAAAATGCATGAAAAAAGTGGATAATGGTAACTGAAGTCTGCTGGCTGTTGTGGAAAAGCTGTCAACAGTCTTGACTAAAAGAGATGAACAGACTTTTAGGGGAGGGTCCCAGAGTCTAAAATTCAGTTATAAAATAAATAGAATCTCATTTTTGGTCCATATTTTCCCTTTCCAGAATTTCTTGGTGAGAGAACTCATAAAAATTTAATCATTTACATAAGGCCACAAAGATATGTATCAAAAGTCTTAAAACAACACATCTTTTGAATTCAACTATTCCTCTCCTAGGAATTTATCCCAAGGACTAATCAAAGATATATGCAAAAGTAAAGGAGTAGACAAATGGTCATTGCAGTATGGCTTATAATAGCTAAAAATGTAAACAAATTAATGTTGAGCACTAGGGGATTGCTTAAAAATATTGGCACATTCACATCATTTAATATTATGTGGCCATTAAAAATGATGCTGAAGAATTATACTTAAGACATGGAAAATGTTCACAATATGAAGTGACAAAATATTACAAAACAATATGTGATATAGTTTGGCTCTGTGTTCCCACCCAAATCTCATCTCGAATTGTAATTCCCACGAGTCAGGGGAGGGGTCTGGTGGGAGGTGATTGGATCATGGGGCGGATCTCCCCCTTGCTGTTCTGGTGATAGTGAGTGAGTGCTCACGAGATCTGGTTGTTTGAAAATGTGTGGCCCTTGCCCCTTCTCTGTCTCCTGCTCTGCCATGGTAAGACCTTCTTGCTTCCCCTTCGCCTTCTGCCATGATCCTGTTTCTTGAGGTTTCCTAGCCATGCTTCCTGTTAAGCCTGCTGAACTGTGGGTCCATTAAACCTCTTTTCTTCATAAATTACCCAGTCTCAGGTAGATCCTTAGAGCAGTGTGAACATGGATTAATACAGTATGACTCCATTTTTTAAAAGTATACACACACATACACAAATAGACTAACCTAATATATAATGAAAACATTAATGGTTATTCTCAGGAGATGGAGGATCATAGATTATTTTAAAATTTTTTTGGAGCTTACCTGTATTTTCCAAATTTCATACGTATATTACTTTTGTTATCAGAAAAAAAAGTTACTTTGAAGAATATTAATGAGGTTATACAAGATCTTGTCCTTTGCGAGGACATGGACAGAGTCAGAGGCCATCGCCCTTAGCAAGCTAATGCAAGAACAGAAAACCAAATATCACATGTTCTCACTTACAAGCAGGAGCTAAATGATGAGAAAACATAGACACAAAGAGAGGAATGACAGACACTGGGGCCTACGTGAGGGTGGAGGGTGGGGGGAGAAAGAGGATCAGATAAAATAACTATTGGATACTGAGTGATGAAATAATCTGTACAGTAAATCCCCATGGCACAAGTTTACCTATATAACAAACCTGCGCACGTACCCCTGAACCTAAAATAAAAGTTTAAAAAAATGAGGTTATAAAGAACACCAGGGCTTCAAAAGTGTAATATTAATATTTGAATTAGAATATTGAATATATTGTTACACAATGATGGGAGTTAAAAACTTAATTTTTTTTTTTTTGAGGCAGAGTTTCACTGTATCAACCAGGCTGGAATGCAGTGGCACGATCTTGGCTCTCTGCAGCCTCTGCTGGGTTTAAGCAATTCTTGTGCCTCAGCCTCCCAAATAGCTGGGACTACAGGTGCACACCACCATGCCCAGCTAATTTTTGTATTTTTAATAGAGACGGGGTATCACCATGTTGGCCAGGCTGGTCTTGAACTCCTGACCTCAGGTGATCCGCTCCCCTTAGCCTCCCAAAGTGCTGTGATTACAGGCTTGAGCCACCACGCCCAACAAAACTTCCTTTTTTTAAAAGCTGTGTGATCTAGAAATAATAATGCTTCTCAAGATTGGTTAGATATTTTGTCATTTCCTCAAAATGTAAGCTTTCTATGCCTTTATTGTAAGAAAATAACTCCTTTTTACTATAATCTAAGTTTTACTATAATCTAAGCCCTACAATCTTCAGGGGCATTACCATGTGGCTTCTGTCTGGTTTTAAATTGGTCCAGCAGCCATCAGATTTTTTTGATTGTATAAGTTATCAGTAAACTTTTTAAAATTTATTTTTATTTATCCATTAATTAATTATTTTAGAGAAACAGTCTCACTCTGTCACCCAGGCTGAAGTGCAGTGGCACCATCATAGCTCACTGTAGCCTCAAACTCCTGGGCTCAAGTAATCCTCCTGCCTCAGCTTCCCAAAGTGCTGAGATTATAGGTGTGAACCACTGCACCTGGCAAAAAATTTTAAATATGTGGCCACTGCATGATTTCTTTATGTATTATATATCTGCACAGCTATATTAAAATATGAAATATATCTGAAAATGTATGAAAATAGAAATTTTAAATGATGAGATAAACATGATCTCTAATATTTTCTTCTTATAATCCCATGGATTGTTTTATATGTACTGTACTTTGGACACCGCTAGACTGGATGACCACAAAAGATGGGCTACAACCAAAAAAGACCCACCAAATGTGAATCTCTTCCCTTCAGCTGGTCTACTGGAAACTGAAATGAGGTATTCATCTGTCACTAGTTCTTTAATTTGCCCAAAGGTCATAGGTTATCCAGCTAATGGTGGTGACGGTGGTGGTGATGGTGTGTTTACACAAGAAATATCTTCCAAGTCCATATTCTAGCTTACCTTGCTGCTGCAATTTGTAATCAGTGGAATATGCCTTCCCAATGATATTCCATACAGGCCTTAAGCATCCAAATAGTCCTTCAAGAAACCCACCACTGCCACTGCCTGACCTGCTGAACTGAATCTTTATGTCTTCAGTTCCGCTTGTGCTCTCTCCGTCCACCGTGTTGCTGTTCCCCTGAGACACCGCCGTCTCTGATTCATCGTGTTCCCTTAGCTGAAGAACGCTGTTCTCAAACTGGTCCCTGGAATCCTCACTTACGCTCGTCAACACTGTTGTGGTGACGGGGCTGTGCACGCTCTCGATTAGCTCTGTTCGTACCATCCCCTTTTCCTGCTGGTCCTCGAGCAGCTTGGGAGAAGGGTGGTTCCCCATAGCTGTGAGCTCATCTTGTAGTCCATTGAAGGTTTTGCTTTCACTGAAGGGTAAGTGTGGAGAAGAGGAGCAGCTCAGGTGCTCCTGAAAGTTGGCCATCGTGCCATGAGTATAACCAAAGTCCTGAGATGACACTCAGAAGATTTTTGGGACAGAGTTCTGACTTAAGAGAGGGCTCCAAAACCTGAGAAAAACAGGAGGGAGATAAGAGATCATCCTTTCTTTAGTATGCACACTACGACACTTCTGTTTGCATTAAAAAAAACTGAAACAATGGGGATTGGTTAACCTGTGGGTTAGTCCATGTGATGGAAATGAGTGCAGCAATGAAAAATTATGCTGTGGAAGAGTATTTATGAACATGACAAAATATCCATGACACATTAATATAAAAAACAGGTTAGAACAATATATACAACATTAACTTAGAAATTTATTTAAAAGGACATACATACAAGAAAAAAGACTTCAAGGAAAAAATCCAAGGAACTAACAACAGTTAATTTTAGGTGGTTAGATTTGGGGGAGGTTTATATTGTTGTGATTTTCAAGGTATTCTAAGCATTCTGTTTTAATATCTATTATCTTTTTTTTTTTTTTTGAGACGGAGTTTTGCTCTTGTTGCCCAGGCTGGAGTGCAATGGCGCGATCTCGGCTCACTGCAACCTCCGCTTCCCAGGTTGAAGTGATTCTCCTGCCTCAGCCTCCCAAGTAGCTGGGATTATAGGCATGCATCATCACACCTGGCTAATTTTTGTATTTTTAATAGAGACAGGGTTTCTGTATGTTGGTCAGGCTGGTCTCCAACTCCTGACCTTAGGTGATCCAACCCCCTCGGCCTCCCAAAGTGTTGGGATTACAGGCGTGAGCCACCGTGCCCGGCCTATCTTTTTAATCAGAAAAGAATGTTTCCCTTTCTACAAGGGAAATTTAGTTGTTCTGATATACACATCTTTAGTACAAACTACATCCTGTGTTATAAGTTGCTACTCATCTTTTCTCTTTGCTTTCGTGTCTTATCCACTGGGGCACTGCGTCACTTTATAAGGCATTCATTAAGTCATGGAGATAAATGTCATGTGTCTGTGACAAGACAAGTTTCTAAGATATAAAATTTGTTTTTATTATACTGCACCAAATCTGGGGTAACACAACTAAGCCCTAGCTCTTTAAACTTGTTCTTTGCTTCTGATCTGTCCATTAGCACCATTTCTTGTGGCCACCTAACCTTTAAAAGTGAAGATTTGTTCTAGATTGGCCAGATCACGCATAGTCAATCTTAAATTTATTCAAAGTATGTTTTTTTTTCTTTTTTTTGAGACAGAGTCTCGCTCTGTCACCTAGACTGGAGTACAGTGGTGTGATCTCGGCTCACTGCAACCTCCGCCTCCCAGGTTCAAGCAATTCTCCTGCCACAGCCTCCTGAGTAGCTGGGATTACAGGCACGCACCACCACGCCCAGCTAATTTTTTTTTTTTTTTTGTATTTTTAGTAGAGACGGGATTTCACTATGTTGGCCAGACTGGTCTCAAACTCCTGACCTCAGGTGATCCACCTGCCTTTGCCTCACAAAGTGCTGGGATTACAGGCATGGGCCACTGCGCCCAGCCCAAAGTATGTTCTTATCAGAAATGTACTTTCTTTTTAAATCCCTTTGTAACAGTCATTCCTTCCTTCACTCTGTACTAAGCATCTAGAATATGCTAGAGGTCAGGGTATGAAGATGACCTCATTTTGCAGAGGGGGTAAAAGAAAGACCAACAAAAAATGACAGAACAGTGCTTATAATCAATCAAGTAAGTGCTCTGAGAGCACAGAAGAGGGAGGAATAGTTTCAGGGAAAGGTGCTCAAAGGTGGTAACTTTTGATCCATTTGAAGGAAGTGTAGGCATTCATTAAGCAAGTCAGGAAGGTGTGAGTGAAGGAAGAGGGGGAAGGTATTACAGGTGTGGGGGAAACTGTGAAGGAGGGCATGGAAGCTTGAAAGACTATAGAACAGATGAGAAATCCAAAGTGGCTGGAATGTAGGCTATATATAAGTGCATGCAGAAAGACATGAATGGACAGATAGGTAGGGACTAGACTATAAGGAGCTTTGCATGCCAGGCTGAGTTTGAGATTTTATACTGAAGGTGATGGGGAGCCATAGTATCTTATATTGCGGATTATGGATTAAAATAGACCCTCTCAATTTTATTATTTTCTTATCTTCATAACTGAGACCTAAATTTTAAGCCTTTTATTCATTACCATATCCCATGAATAGCTTGTATTAGTGAACCAATGAAAACATCGTATCCTTGGCTGGCGTGGTAGCTCACGCCTGTAATCCCAAAACTTTCGGAGGCCAAGGTGGGCAGATCATGAGGTCAGGAGTTCGAGACCAGTCTGGCCAGCATGGTGAAACCCCATCTCTACTAAAAATACAAAAAATTAGCCGGGCATGGTGGTGCATGCCTGTAGTCCCAGCTACTCAGGAGGCTGAGGCAGGAGAATTGCTCGAACCCAGCAAGCGGAGGTTGCAGTGAGCCAAGATTGCGCTACTACACTCTAGCCTGGGCGACAGCGTGAGACTCCATCAGAAGAAGAAGAAGAAGAAGGAGAAGAGGGAGAGGGAGAGGGAGAGGAAAATATCCTTTCCTCTGAATTCTTATTCATTCACTGAGCTCCTATTACATGGTATGCAGTGTGTTAGGCATTAGTAAATGGTCCATAGGTTCCTACCCTTTGGGAAATCACAATCCAGAAGGAAAGACCGATAGATAACGGCCACATAGTTAGATATGGGACAAAGATATGTAAAAGATGCAATGGGAGCTCAGAAAAATAAATATAAAATGTGTCTAGAGATGTTATAAGAAGAAGTTTTGCTTGAATTGAGTCTTGAGGGGTGAATTAATGGTCACTAGGAAAGAAAGACTAGGCATTCCAGGTAGTATGGGGAAACAGCAGGAGATAACTCTTAGAAAAAGTAGGCAAAGGCTAGATTATGGTAGGCCTGTATGACAAGCTAAATCTTTGGGGTTTTATCCTCATGACAACAGAGAGCCATTAAGGAATTTTAAGCAAGGGAGTAATCTGGTCAGATAAATTAAAATCACGTCTATAGAAGTAGAGGTTAGATTCAAAGGGAAAGACTAAAGGTCCAGTTAGAAGGTACAGTTCAAAAAGAAATGACTTGGACCTGAATAAGTCAGTTAGCAATGGCAGTGAAGAGAACAGGAAAGATTTAAGAGGTAGAATTAGTAAGATCTAGTAATTGATTAGACATGGATGTGGGTAAAGAAAAAGGGGAGAGGAAGACTTTTCAAATCACTTATTTGGAATAATGAATAGACAGACAATGTCAATAACTGAGATATGAAATGCCAGAAAGAAAGGTTGGGAAAGAAGACGATTAGCTCAACTATGGACATACAGAATTTAAGGCCTACTATGCATCATGCACTGAGCTAGGGAGCTAGGCTTTTACTGATGCTATCTGATTTTAAAAAGACACTTTGTAGAGAGAGATTGGAAGAAAGATAAAGATGGGGCTCATTTATCACAGGGGCAGAAGTTTCCAAATCATAAAGCTAAATTCAAAATGTGTTTATTGAATATATACTCAGCCTGCACAACATGGCAAAAAGTACAAAAAATACAAACATTACAAAAAATACAGAAATTACAGAAAATACAAAAATTAGCTAAGCATGGTGGCATACGCCTGTAGTGTCAGCTACTTGGGTGGAAGGCTGAGGTGGGAGAATCACTTTAGCCCAGGAAATCGAGGCTGCAGTGAGCTGTGTTTGTGCCACTGTACTCCAGGCTGGGCAACAGAGCAAGGCCCTGTCTCAAAAAAGAAAAAAGAATATATACTGAGAATTGTGCCATGCACTAGCCTAGATTCTGTGGATATAGAACGTTACTGTTACCATTACTATTTTTAATAATAAGTAAGACAAAGTGCTTTACAATTTACAGAAGGCTGTTTACATAATCAGCAATATACTGGTAAATCAGCTCTTTCCAAAACAACAGCAATCTGGTTTGTAGTGTTTGCTCATTTCCCTGGTGTAAATATTCCCACCACAGCAGATTTCAAGCTAATAAAAGTTTAACAACTTGCTTGCAAAGTTTCTAAATATTTGACAATTGGCTCTTAAAAGCTGGTGTATAAGCCAGCTCCAGCACCATAATCCTTGTAATAATGTCATTTCTATTTCACAAGAGAAGAAATTTCTCTAAAGTAATATACTCAGTAAGTAATAGAGCAGGAATTAAAATCTAGCTCAAAGTTCAGATTCCCCAAATCCTTTGCCTTTTTTACAACACGATGGAACATTTTATGACTCCTCACTTTCATAGAGTGCTTTCCAGGTTAAAAAATGCTGTTATCTGTGATCATTTGATCTAAGTTTTTGATCCCTAGGTAAGGAATCCAGAACACAGAATGATTATCCCTATTTTTCATGGAAGGAAATGAAGGCCTACAAAGAGGTAGATGCTAAAGGTCACAGAGCCGGGATGAAATACCGGGTTATTTTCCCTAATCATGACATTCTCTCCTGTACCAGGCAATCTCTGAAGACATGGTTCCTATCCTGTTGAAGCTCACAGACTACTTACGGAACTAATAATTACACTGAAGGAATAACCTCCTGCCATCATCCCCCATGACAAGTGAGCCATATTCCGTTCTACAGAGCCAAGAGAGATGGGAACAATGCTAAAAGAGGTAGGATTTGAGATGGACCTTTAAAGGTAAGGCGTGTGACAGACGGAAGGAAATCAGGGGCGAACAAGAGCACTGGCAGAGGCAGGGAAGCGGGAATGACCAGAGCGTGCGTGATGGGGCTGCTGACCCAGAAACAGCAGTGGCTAATGTGGGGGAGCAGTGTGCAGCAAGGGTAACTCCTGCTGCCACACGTGGGCTCTGAAAGCTTACGATACAGTGCAGGTGATTCTTCCCTCCTAACAAACCAGAGAGATCACTTTAACTGGACGGGGTTAGGTTAAGAGGCACTTAAATTATAGGGTATGGAGAAATCTAGGCCTTGAGAAGCTCCCTGGGAATATAAGGTTGGGGCAGGGGGAAGAAAGAAGAAAAACTGGAGCCCTTTGTTACAGACACCATTCCACCCACTCCAGCCTCCCCTCCCCTGTTCTTTTCGTGCTCATCTCTGAGCTTTGACATTACTGATCTCCTCATTATACTTTCTGGCTGATCACCTGCCACAACCTTGAGCTGTCTCCTGCCTTTGGCCTCTCTGACCTTGCCCTGCCTCATCTCTTTTAAGACTGCTGATTTCATACTATCTGACCTAGCCAGTGACTCAGCAGTTACTTCCGGTCTGCCTTGGCTGCCAGGACTCTTGGTTATCCTATACAGCAGCAGTCCCCAACCTCTTTGGCACCAGGGACCAGTTTTGTGGAAGACACTACTTCCACGGACCAGGCAGGGGGGATGGTTTCAAGATGGTTCAAGTGCATTACATGTATTGTGTACTTTATTTCTATTATAATTACATTGTAATACATAATGAAGTAATTCTACAACTCACTATAATGTAGAATCAGTGGGAGCCCTGAGCTTGTTTTCCTGCAACTAGACAGTCCTATCTGGGGGTGATGGGGGACAGTGACAGATCATTAGTCATTAGATTCTCATAAAGGGCACATAACCTAGATCCCTAGATCCCTCGCATGCACAGTTCACAATAGGGTTTGTGCTCCCATGAGAATCTAATGCCCCATGGATCTGACAGGAGGTGGAGCTCAGGTGGTAATGCAAGTGACAGGGAGTGGCTGTAAACACAGAGGAAGCTCTGCTCGCTCACCCACCTGCTGCTCACCTCCTGCTGTTCCGCCCAGTTCCTAACAGGCCACAGACTGGTACCAGACCATGGCCTGGAGGTTGGGAACCCCTGCTATACAGCACAAGTCTTACGTGCTATTGGCTCACATGAATTGCATACCCAAATATATATGTGAATTTCAGCCAAACACTTACTTGTGTGATTTATTTTTTTGAATCAAACTATCAGACTTTATATTAATTCCTCGTAAATTTCTACTTTGTCAATTTTTTATCCCGAACTTCTGCCCAATACATAATGTTAGGATGGGCTCATACACAGAAAGTTAGAAAAACACATGTTTGTTTTGTAATTTTTTTCCTATCTCTAACAGGTTAAGGATGAATGTAAAGTGGACCTGTTCCCATTGGCATGAGAATGAGTCTAATCACAGTCATCATACGCGTTTGATATTTAAGAGATCAGGGGAAAACAGGACAATCAAGGAATATGGTTCAACCTACTTATTTCACATATGAGAATCAAATTTCAGAGAGATTGTCGACTTGCTTAATATAACATCTGACCAGTGGCAGAGCTGAGATGAGTCCTCCTTCCTCAGCCCAGCTCCTTCCACTAGCATGGTTGTTTGTTTATTTGAAGAGAAACAAATAGCCGTGGTATCATGGCCACTGATGACAAAAACAATAGCAAGTCCCAGTGCTATTCTAGATGCACTAAAACTATTCCCAAGGAAACACTAGTGCCTACCTAGCGGGGTGACCCTGCGCCTATCCACAGGCCAGCAGGAGGCTACCCACTGACTGCTCTCAGAGTAGGCAGAGGTGAGGTAAACCTCAAGGGTGTATAAAGATGTGTAGTCAAATAGGCTTCCCTCATGCTCACCAAGAATATCTAGTCCAACGGGTCCCAACAAAGGCAGAGAAATAGAGAGGTACAAGAACAAAGGGAAAGAAAAATCATCACCATGGCTATATTCAAATATGATCAGAGCTGACTCTACATTTAAGAAGAGTGTAGGAAGCTAAAAATACCTAAGTTTTACCTGTGTTTGTATGCACACCCACACGCTGCCACTGCACAGTGAAGAGACTGTTAGGTGGAAACTGCGGGAACACAGGTGGTTCCACTATCTCTGGCTGTCTTCTGCCCTCTCAGTTCCTCTCTCCCTGTGCAAATCTGGCTCAGGTACCCTCATGGGAACTGATTGTTTGGTCCTTTCAATTCATAAGAAATCAAAACTAGTATAAATTAGAAGGAGACAGAAAGGAAGTGGGGCAAGATTTTTGAATGTTGAGAGTCAAAGGGAAAAAGACAAGGAACATTGGAGGGATAAAGGGCAAGTTTGGAATGGCACCCTTATCAAAAGAAAGTACTATGGGAGCCAGGTGCGGTGGCTCATGCCTGTAATCCCAGCACTTTGGGAGGCTGAGGCAGGCAGATCACCTGAGGTCAGGAGTTCGAGATCAGCCTGCTCAACATGGTGAAACCCCATCTCTACTAAACTACAAAAAATTAGCTGGGCATGGTGGCAGGCGCCTGTAATTCCAGCTACTCGGGAGGCTGAGGCAGGAGAATTGCTTGAACCCAGGCAGGAGGTGGAGAATGCAGTGAACCGAGATGCTGCCACTGCACTTCAGCCTGGGCAATAGAGGGAGACTCCGCCTCGAAAACAAAACAAAAACAAACAAACAAAACAAAACAAAACAAAAAAAGAAAAGAAAAGAAAAGAAAAAAGAAAAAGAAAGTACTCCGGGAAGGTCTGTAGGTGAGGTGATGCTACTGCCGCCCTTACAACAGGTCCCGATCCGCAAAGGGTGCAGGAAGTGCTCCCGTATCTGCCCTTGAGGAACACTTTCCCTACCTTCTGAGTTTCTTGGCCCCAAGAGGAGGAAGTGGTTTGTGCAAAATTAGTAGGCAAGAGTTGGAGACAGCAGCAGCTGTGCATTTGGCAGGGCACTGCCAATTTCTGGAAATTACCTTGGTTTTGTGCCAAGATCCCAGGATGCAATGTAGAGAGAAAGAGGAATGGAGGAGGTAATGTGGCCAAATGGCCCTTAAATTCTTGGATTTCTATCATAGAATACAATTTTTCCCATGTTACTAATTGAGGATTTTTATAATGATCAGATTTTAAATTTTATATCATAAATATGAATAAATCAAAGATTTTGGACAATTTAGCCCCACAAAGTTTTTGATGTGACTAAAATTGAATAAAAAATTAAAGTAAGCATTATTGCTACAAGATTTATTGATTGACACTGAGCTCTTTCTAAGCTATCTTCTCTTTACTTGGCGTCTTCTTGCCTATCTTTAAAAATGAATACAACACTGCCATCTTAGTCTTCTGGTCATTTCTCTAAAATTCATATAGCAGTTGAGAACATAAAATAATTTCTGCTTCTAGGAGCATCAATCCCATTTTAAAACTTAGATTACTTTACTTGTGCATAGTAATAACATAAAATGATCTTTCCAGGATAGAGGTCTGTCACCCAGATCTTAATTTGAACTTTGAAAACATTAGCTAGCTTCTTCGAATGGAGTTGTGTGATTAGAAGTATGTGACTTCAAATCAGGTAAAAAGAATGGCCTACAATCGTGCCTTTATCCCTACTTACTCTCTTAACTGTGGACCATCTCCTGAAACGCCTATTTGAAGGAACAATAAAAACTCAAATCGACAAAATCCACTGACCTACCTCTTTTCATCTTCTTTATAATATTTCATGAAACAATTATGCATTCAAAAATATTGATTCCATGTTTACCATGTACCTATATTTTCGGTTAAGATTATGAATGTTTAATAATCTTGAAGTATGCTGGAGACATCAAAAAAATAAAAATTACAAAGAAGCAAATTCTCCATGGTGACAAATTACCTTTTGAATACCAGTACCTATAAATGCAACTGTGATTACAGTTAAAATAAGTTTATTGTAGGCTTTAAAATGAATAAAGATACTTCATTTTCAGAGTAGTAGTCTATAAATTTATCAAGAAATAGAAACTTGTGAGGCTTCAAAAATGCCTTAAGTCAAAGGTGAAACATCTTGACCAAAGGAATGATTTATCCATAAATCATATCATAAATGCTATCTCCATAAATCTTTAATAAATAATATATGGTATTTTAAGTATTAATATTCAACATTTTCTGACCTAAATCCAGCTGCCATATGAATGATAAAATCAGTAACTTTAAATGTTTTAAAAATAAGATACAGACATATATGTACCTTTAAATATATAAATATTAATAGGCATAAAAATTTAAAATGTGTATAATTAAGTAAGCATTTTAAGAAATTATGTTTAAAAGGTCAACAGTGGTTATTACTGTTGTTCTTTGAAGTTTTCTATATTTTTCCAAATTTCTACCATTAGCATGCATTATTTGTTTAATCAGAGGTTTTCAATACAAATCCTTGTTGCTTTAAACGCACAGATTAATGGGCCCACTTCACTATATTTTCAGATATGAAAAATGATGTGAAATGTTAAGGATACTGTCAGGAAAGCTAATTGTCACTGTGTGCTGAGGCTTGCAAACAGGCATAAAAAGAACTATAGGCCGGATGTGCTGGCTCACGCCTGTAATCCCAACATTTTGGGAGGCCAAGGTGGAAGGATCCCCTGAGGTCAGGAGTTCGAGACCAGCCTGGCCAACATGGTGAAACCCCAGCTCTACTAAAAATACAAAAATTAGCACACCTGTAGTCCCAGCTACTCAGGAGGCTGAGGCAGGAGAATTGCTTTAACCCGGGAGGCAGAGGTTGCAGTGAGCCAAGATCACGCCACTGCACTCCAGCCTGGGTGACAGAGTGAGACTCTGTCTCAAAAAAAAAAAAAAGAATTATAAATTCAAAATGAAAATAAAAGTGAACTTAAAAAGACGACAATGAGCAAACAAAAGTTAATGACTCCTATTTTGTTTTTACCTTTTCTACTAATGAGATTCACATTTGATTCTAGAAAAGGCAGAATGATCATGATTAAGAGAACTGAAACCCAAAACAGATGAAAAGACAAGAACATGCTTTTCCTGTGGCAGCAGCCGGGCTGAGAGGAGCGTGGCTGTCTCCTCTCTCCGCCATGGCGTGTGCTCGCCCAATGATATCGGTGTACTCCGAAAAGGGGGAGTCATCTGGCAAAAATGTCACTTAGCCTGCTGTATTCAAGGCTCCTATTCGACCAGATATTGTGAACTTTGTTCACACCAACTTGCGCAAAAACAACAGACAGCCCTACGCTGCCAGTGAATTAGCAGGTCATCAGACCAGTGCTGAGTCTTGGGGTACTGGCAGAGCTATGGCTCGAATTCCCAGAGTTCGAGGTGGTGGGACTCACCGCTCTGGCCAGGGTGCTTTTGGAAACATGTGTCGTGGAGGCCGAAGGTTTGCACCAACCAAAACCTGGCGCCGTTGGCATCGTAGAGTGAACACAACCCAAAAACGATATGCCATCTGTTCTGCCCTGGCTGCCTCAGCCCTACCAGCACTGGTCATGTCTAAAGGTCATCGTATTGAGGAAGTTCCTGAACTTCCTTTGGTATTTGAAGATAAAGTTGAAGGCTACAAGAAGACCAAGGAAGCTGTTTTGCTCCTTAAGAAACTTAAAGCCTGGAATGATATCGAAAAGGTCTATGCCTCTCAGCGAATGAGAGCTGGCAAAGGCAAAATGAGAAACCGTCGCCGTATCCAGCGCAGGGGCCTGTGCATCATCTATAATGAGGATAATGGTATCATCAAGGCCTTCAGAAACATCCCTGGAATTACTCTGCTTAATGTAAGCAAGCTGAACATTTTGAAGCTTGCTCCTGGTGGGCATGTGGGACGTTTCTGCATTTGGACTGAAAGTGCTTTCCGGAAGTTAGATGAATTGTATGGCACTTGGCGTAAAGCCGCTTCCCTCAAGAGTAACTACAATCTTCCCATGCACAAGTTGATTAATACAGATCTTAGCAGAATCTTGAAAAGCCCAGAGATCCAAAGAGCCCTTTGAGCACCACGCAAGAAGATTCATCGCAGAGTCCTAAAGAAGAACCCACTGAAAAACTTGAGAATCATGTTGAAGCTAAACCCATATGCAAAGACCATGCGCCGGAACACCATTCTTCGCCAGGCCAGGAATCACAAGCTCCGGGTGGATAAGGCAGCTGCTGCAGCAGCAGCACTACCAGCCAAATCAGATGAAAAGGCGGCGGTTGCAGGCAAGAAGCCTGTGGTAGGTAAGAAAGGAAAGAAGGCTGCTGTTGGTGTTAAGAAGCAGAAGAAGCCTCTGGTGGGAAAAAAGGCAGCAGCTACCAAGAAACCAGCCCCTGAAAAGAAGCCTGCAGAAAAGAAACCTACTACAGAGGAAAAGAAGCCTGCTGCATAAACTCTTAAATTTGATTATTCCATAAAGGTCAAATCATTTTGGACAGCTTCTTTTGAATAAAGACCTGATTATACAGGCAGTGAGGAAAAAAAGAAAAGAAAAGAAAAGAAAAGAACATATATCAGTGTTTTGATTATTTCCAAGTTCTAAGGTCCAGATGAATTACATGTGAAGGCATCAAAACTCTTGCATTTAGGATTACAAAAACAACCTTTGGTAAATAATTATCTTCAGGAACTATGAGCAAGACAGTTGTTCATGGAAAAGTAGAAGATAAAGAAATACCCTATTTTTTTAAAAAGGAAGATTACAGAATATGTGGAACTATGAACTTAAGTTGGTCCCTGACAAGATGCTAAGTATACAGTAAGCATTCATTAAATGCTAGTCTCTTTCCTTCTTTTCTTTTCCTTTTATTTTGTAACCATTTCCTCTCTTTTTTGGAACTCTAGGACTCTCCTAAGATACATAGTTTAGGAGAACAAGAATTGAAATGGTTTAAAAATTATTATTAAACCCAAAATTTAAAAGAAAAAATAAAAATAAAATTATTTTTAAAGAATTTGGTTTATAGCTGGGCAAGGTGGCTCATGCCTGTACTCCCAGCACTTTGGGAGGCTGAGGTGGGAGGATTGCTTGAGCCCAGGAGTTCAAGACCAGCCTGGGCAACACAGTGAGACCCTGTTACTACAAAAAAAAAAAAAAAATAGCTGGGCATGGTGGCATGTGCCTGTAGGCCCAACTACTTACTAGGCTGAGGATCACTTGAGCCCAGAGGGTCTAAGCTGCAGTGAGCCATGATTGCGCCACTGTACTCCAGTCTGAACAACATAGCAAGGCCGTCTCAAAAAAATAGTGCTATTATATACACTTTAAAGTTATTTCTTGTCCAGTCTGTATTCAGATGTACTTCATCATATTGAGAGCAATATTGTAAGGGCTTAAGAGAGAAGGCACTAGAGGAAGATAGACCTGGATTCAAATTGTAATCACTAACCTCGCCATAACTCTCTCTAAGCCTCAATTTTGTCATCTATAATTAGTAGTAACAACAGAATCCACCTCATAGAGTAGATGATTATACGAGATAGTATATATAAAAAAACACATTTACCCTCAATATTTGTTAGCTATGCAAATCTTTAACTAGAAAAATTAGAATAAACAGATATATGTCAATATGCTCAATATATATGTGAAATCAAGGGGAATAAAAAGAAGGGCAAGGAAAAGACAAGTAAGCTTTTCCTTAGGAAAGTGATAAGATGAGAAAAGAGAGCTAAGAAGAGGGGAACGGGTTGATATATATAGAAACTGAGGCAAGCTGAGCTTGTAACATTCATTTGGTATTATAAATGAAAGCACAAAGAATCAATAAACAGTGAGATACCAGATCAAAAGGGTGAAAGCAAGATGGAAAATAGGAGACAAAAATCCCAAATGTATGCAACTTCTTTTTCATATTTCATTTCCTTTGTCTTTAATTACAGCAGTTATTTTTACATTCTAGGTTTTAATTAAATTGCACACATAAAAAGGAAGGTTCTACATGGCTATAATATTTGGGAGAATATTAATACTACGTAGTTGTAGTATTTGGGAGAAAAAAATTGGCCGGGAGCAGTGGCTCACACCTGCAATCCCGGCACTTTGGGAGGTCGAGGCAGGCAGGTCACCTGAGGTTGGGAGTTTGAGACCAGCCTGACCAACATGGAGAAACCTCGTCTCTACTAAAAATACAAAATCAGCTGGGTGTGGTGGCACATGCCTGTAATCCCAGCTACTTGGGAGGCTGAGGCAGGAGAATCTCTTGAGCCCGGGAGGCAAAGGTTGCAGTGAGACAAGACGGCACCATTGTACTCCAGCCTGGGCAATAAGCGTAAAACTCTGTCTCAAAAAAAAAAAAAAAAAAAAAAAGAAATTAACCCTTCTGGTTTTAATACTGTGATGTTAAATTAGGAGATGATTTCATTGATTCAAGAAAATATCTCTAGGAAAACATTGCTTATGCTTTAAACATAAGAATAATTAGACCAGGGCAGGGCATGGTGGCTCATACCTGTAATCCCAGCACTTTGGGAGGCTGAAGCAGGTAGATCACTTGAGCCCAGGAGTTCAAGACCAGCCTGGGCAACATGAGAAAACCCCATCTCTATTAAAAATACACAACAAAAATTAGCTAGGCATGGTGGCACATGCCTGTGGTCCCAGCTACTCAGGAGGCTGAGGCATGAGAACCTCTTGAAGCCGGGAGGCAGAGGTTGCAGTGAGCCATGATCGCGCCACTGCACTCCAGCCTGGAAGACAGAGTGAGACCCTGTCTCACAAAAAAATAAAAATAAAAATAAAAATAAAAAATATATGCCACTTGGGAAGTGATGGATAGTGTGCTGCTTAGTAAGAATAGACTGGCTCTGCTCTCAGGAGCTTCATGACTCTAAGCAAGTGAGAAAGGAGGAAAAGTCTTTTAAAAAAGTGTTTTAAGAGTAGTGACAGGATCTCACTATATTGCCCAGGCTGGTCTTGGACTCCTGGCCTCAAGCAATACTCCCACCTCATCCTCCCAAAGTGCTAGGATTACAGGCATGAGCCACCACGCCTGGCCAAAAAATCTTTCTGAATGAAATTATATTATGGAAATTTTCTTTTCTCATTAAATTCATTGTCAGTATTTGGATTGTTTAGTTGGACAGTAAAATATAACTAGAGATATTAATATATAATACATTCTATACTTATTTTATACTATACATTAAAATCAAATAATTCATTGCCAGTTTAATATTTAGGGCTGTTGAAGAGCATCAGTAACAGACTTCGACTTCCAATGACATATATGAAAGTTCTCACAAAGCTGCAGATTCTACACCCTGTTCCTGGGCAAGTCCTAGATATACTTGGTAGGCAAGAGGCCATCCAAAGTCCTTCTGCTATCCTTGCGTTGCTTTTTCAGGCCTTTCTTAAGAATGGTAGAATCATAGATGGTTCAAGTTCGGAGGGAGCAGTGACTGGGCCATGCCTTCTATTTTTCAAGATAAACAACTAAGTCTCATAAGTTTGTAAGAGTAGAATCAAACATTGTTTATCTCTGTACCTTGTCCTTTTTCTTTTCCCACCGTCTAGCCTCAGCACCTAGTGCAGAACCTGATATAATATGGTGGAATTCAATTTTTTTGGATGAGAAGACTTTACACTCACACATAGCAATGTGATAACGTATTAACAACATTTATTGAGATTATGTGAAACCGCTCTAAACACGTTTCCCATATTAACTTATCTAATCCTCACATCAACCCTTTGGGAAAGGTATTATTATTACCCCTTGACAATAATTGGTGAAAAATTGGGGCACAGATAGGCTAAATGACTCACAGCTACTAAGTGGCGAAGACAGGAATTGAACCCAGTTCCACTCCAGCACCAGAGCCTGAGCCCTTAACCACAACACTGTATTGTCGATATTATAATGGGCTTCTGTTTAACTAAAAAAGGTCTAGGTCAGAAAAATATGGAATAGGCTCATATTTTACCTTGAACTTAGGTTCCAAACTTGGATGAAAGGTATGAATTCTTAGCAATAACTAAAGATAATTGGAGAATTCTAAAATATGCTCACTTTCTGTAGGGTTTACTCCATTCTGGTTTTTGTTTGTTTTGTTTTTTGTTTTTTGAGGTGGAATCTCGCTCTGTCGCCCAGGCTGGAGTGCAGTGGCACAATCTCAGCTCACTGCAACATCTGCCTCCCGGGTTCAAATGATTCTCCTGCCTCAGCCTCCCGAGTAGCTGGGACTACAGGTGCGTGCTGCCACACCCAGCTAATTTTTGCATTTCTTGTAGAAGTAGGGTCTCACCATGTTGGCCAGGCTGGTCTTGAACTCCTGGCCTCAGTTGATCCACCCACCTCGGCCTCCCAAATTGCTGGGATTACAGGTGTGAACCACCGCGCCCAGCCCCATTCTGTTTTTAACATTAAAACTCTATACTTGCATCATCCAATATTATAGCTTCTAGTTATACGTAGTCATTTAACTTTAATTAAAATTAAATAAAATAAAGATTTCATTCCTCAGCTGTACTAGTCCATTTTAGGTATTCACTAGCCACATGTGGCTAGTGGCAACCATATAGGACTGGGAAAAAGAACATTTCCATCATTACAGGAAGTTCCATTGGACAGTGCTGCTCTATGCGCTTTATTCATATTAATAGATTGGTCTGTTGTAAGGATTAACCAACATTGTGGCTCCCTTCGTACATGGGGATTTGCTAACTGCACAGTACTCCACTACCTTCTTTAATATGACAGGTTTGCAACCATGTTTTAGTAATATTTGTGAATGATTTAAGTATAGCTCATTCTAATGATGGTTCATCAGGATCAAACTGAATTGGGGATTTTATCTTTTAAAAGACTGTCCAAGGAATCATAGCTGTGTGTCTAAAAGGAACCAGAGGAATAATTTTCAATATCTAAGTAGGTTCATTTGTGGAGAATCTAAAAAATGAAATTAGATTACTGCTACCATCATTCCTTGAAGCTCCTAATCATAGCACTAGTGTAGGTGAAAGGCAGAAACCTAGGGGAGGGCTAATGGAGGAAAAGGTGAATAGGAACAGAAGTTTTACCAAATCACCAGAAGTATGTGTCACTTCTCAGAGGAGACTGTATTACAGATAACCAGGACAAAAGCTCCAGGATGAACAAAGCACTCCTGACTCTGGATCCAATGTCGAATTTTAATAGAGCAGTAACTAAAGCCAAATTAGTGAGAGATCCTATTGTTTTAGACTTTTACATTTCTTGTGACTTACTGTTGTTTTTGCTCACAGAAGTAGTCCTGAGCTTTAATTTTTAAAGTAATGATTCAATCAAGATGATACTCTAGAAAATGTGTGATAGAACATTTTGAGCTTTACCAACAATAGAAATTTGAAATTGTCAAAGATTGGCCATTTTTCACTTGTCTTATGTCACTGTTTTGGAATGACTCTGTGCTAGAGTGTAATCCATACCCATTGTTTAATTATTCATTGAGGGTAGTTTCAATTTCTACTCCCAATATATAGCTGAAATTTGCAGACTGCTAAAGGATCCTAGATAAATCCCATCTGTCCAAAATGAGGATGACAAGGAAGAACATCAATAAATATTAATTATTGATTCTAAGTGCTAAAAAATGATAAATATATAAGACAGTTCTAATGGAAAGAAAAATAAATGTAAAATAATAAACTATTTGTGACAGAAAACAATATGTAGTCTCTCAATACAAATGATAAATATATAAGACAGTTCTAATGGAAAGAAAAATAAATGCAAAATAATAAACTATTTGTGACAGAAAACAATATGTAGTCCCTCAATACAAAGGTTAATATTACAAAGGTAGAATTTAAAGACATATTTAGGCTGGGCATGGTGGCTCACACCTGTAGTCCCAGCACTTTGGGAGGCCGAGGTGGGAGGATGACCTGAGGTCCAGAGTTCGAGACCAGCCTGGCCAACGTGGTGAAACCCCATATCTACTAAAAATACAAAAATTAGTTGGGCGTGTTGTACACACCTGTAGTCCCAGCTACTCGGGAGGCTGAGGCAGGAGAATCACTTGAACCTGGGAGGTGGAAGCTGCAGTGAGCTGAGATCATGCCACCGCATTCCAGCCTGGGCAACAGAATGAGATTCTGTCTCAAAAAAAAAAAAAAAAAAAAAGACATAACTGCCTCCCTTTAGGAATCATAATTTGAATTCATTACAAGTGCACATGGTTTCATTAAGTGCTCCTAAAAAGTTGCATATAAATCACATTTTTAAAATAACATTTAAAAATCACTAATAGAAATTACTATTTGAAGTATCACTGATAAATCTACTTGCAAAATGAAGAATCCTTCTGAAATGCTAATGATTGTTTTATTATTGTACTTGTTTGCTTAATTTGAATTTTCTGTTGTTTCAATGTCTGGTATTAGTTGTTTAATTAAATGTCAATTTCATAGCTCTCAATAAATTTCCCTGAGTAGGTGGTATGTCCAGCAAATCTACCTGAGAAGTCAGTATTTGTCATGGGCTTGGAAACCATGTGCCCAAACATGTTAGAACTGTGTGCAAAATAACAGTAATAAGATTTTGTACAAAGGCTTGATGACTCTTCATATGAGTAAACTGTGAGGTTTTGTACATGGGTTTTGTGACGTACATTCTGGCTATGTGCAAATGTTTTTCCCTTCATTTTCTGATTTTTTTTTCTGTGTTCTAAATAACTGATTGCAAATTCATGTGTATGCATGTCTAGCTGTTCTTGAATCATGGTATAATCTACAGTTAGGACATCTCATAAAGTAAGGACAAGAAAAGACAACTCTACTTGAAGAAGCCAGGAAAAACCAAGGGCCCTTTTACCTAACACTTTGCTTCCGATGATAGCTTTGAAGGGGGAGTCATTGTTTTTTGTGACATCTGTTTACAAAAGGAATGGGTATAACATAAACATCACTTACTTCTCTTAATATTCCATGAAAGAATCTTATTCATATGCTGAACCTTTTTTTTTTTTTTTTAGACAGAGTCTTGCTCTGTCACCCAGGCTGGAGTGCAGCGGTGTGATCTTAGTTCACTGCAACCTCTGCCTCCTGAGTTCAAGCGATTCTCCTGCCTCAGCCTCCTAAGTATCTGGGATTACAGGCGCCCGCCACAATGCCTGGCTAATTTTTGTATTTTCAGTAGAGACGGGGTTTCTCCATGTTGGCCAGGCTGGTTTTGAACTGCTGACCTCAGGTGATCCACCCACCTCGGCCTCCCAAAGTGTTGGGATTACAGGCATGAGCCACCACACCTGGCCTATTTTTTAATTTTTAAAAATT
Source organism: Homo sapiens (assembly GCF_000001405.40). Lineage (NCBI taxonomy): Eukaryota > Metazoa > Chordata > Mammalia > Primates > Hominidae > Homo > Homo sapiens. The sequence goes on along the minus strand of NC_000003.12, from coordinate 185,410,630 downwards.
GACACATAATAATTGTACATTGTTATGGGATACATAGTGATGTTTCAATACATACAATACATAGTGAGCAGATTGGGGTAATTAGCATATACATCATCTTGAACATTTATCTTTTTTTGTGTTGGGAACATTAAAATATTCTCTTTTCTAGCTATTTGGGAATATATATTATTGTTAACGATAGTCATCCTACAGTGCTGTGGGACGCTATAGCTGTAGAATTTATTCCTCCTATCTAGCTATAATTTTGTATCCTTTAACAAATCCCTCCCTGTCTATCCTCCCCAGCCTCTAGAATCCTCTGTTCTGCTCTTTACTCCTATGAGTTTAACTTTCTTAGCTTCTGCGTATGAATGAGAACATGTGGTGTTTAACTTTCTGTTACTGGCTTGTTTCACTTAACATAATGTCCTCTAGGCCAGGGATCCCCAGCTCCCAGACCGCAGACTGGTACTGGTTTGTGGCTTGTTAAGAACCAGGCTGCACAGCAGGAGGTGAGCAGCAGGCGAGCGAGTATTACTGCCTGAGCTCTGCCTCCCATCAGGTCAGCAGCAGCGTTAGATTCTCACAGGAGGGCAAACCCTATTGTGAACTGCACATTCGAGGGATCTCATAAGGTTGTGCGCGCCTTATGAGACTCTAACTAATGCCTGATGATCTGAGGTGGGACAGTTTCATCCTCAAACCATTCCCACCCACCACCCACCACATCCCTAGTCTGTGGAAAAATTGTCTACTACGAAACTGGTCCATGGTGCCAAGAAGGTTGGGGACTGCTGCTCTAGGCTCATCCATGTTGCTGCAAATAACAGGATTTAATTCTTTTTTTATGGCTGAATAGTATTCAATTGTGTACATATACCACATTTTCTTTATCCATTCTTCTATTGTCGGACATGGGTTGATTCATACCTTGGCTATCATGAATAGTCCTGCAATAAACATAGGGGTGCAGATATCTCTTCAGTATACTGGTTCATTTTCCTTTGGGTAAATACTCAGTAGTGGGGTTGCTGGACCATATGGCAGTTCTATGTGTGTTTTTTTGAGGAACGCTCATACTGTTCTCCATAGTGCTGTACTAGTTTACATTCCTACCAACAGTGCATAACAGTTCCATTTTCTATGCATCCTTGCCAGCGTTTATGTTTTTATCTTTTTGATAATAGTCATTTTAATGGGTGAGATGATATCTCATTGTGGTTTTGATTTGTACTTCCCTGATAATCAGAGATATTAAGCTTATTTTAAATTAATTAATTAGAGACAGGGTCTCGCTCTGTAGCCCAGGCTGGAGTGCAGTGGTGTGACCTCAGTTCACTGTGACCTCCGCCTCCTGGGTTCAAACAATTCTTCTGCCTCAGACTCCCAAGTAGCTGGGACTACAGGCACACACCACCACGCCTGGCTAATTTTTGTATTTTTGGTAGAGACGGGGTTTCACCATATTGGCCAGGCTGCTCTTGAACTCCTGACCTCAAGTGATCTGCCTGCTTTGGCCTCCCAAAGTGCTGGGATGACAGGCATGAGCCACCAGGCCTGGCCTCCAGTCTGCAATTCTAAGGCAGGACACACGCTCCTTGAATCATCTCAGTTGCCCTTGTTTGATCTATGTCCAACTCTAGTCCACCTTTTTATATACATATATATTTATTTATTTATACATTTCATTGGTAGACGCCTTCTGATGATGCCCAATGTGGTAGTGAGTTGGCCAAAAACAGCACACAGAGCAAATTTCATGACTAACCTCCCATTAGTGCAAGGTTGCCCTAGGACTGTAATAAATCAGATCGTAATGAAGCCTGGTATATTATAAATAGTTGTTGTCCCATGTTTATTACATAATGCTTATGATGTGCTGTAATTGCAAAGAGTGCAGGTTTTCAAATCAGAAATACCTTGTTTGATTCCTAGCCACTTATCTGCTGTGAAGTCTTTGACAGTTATGTAAATATTCTGAATTCTAGTTGCCTCACTTGTATACAGGATATACTAAACCTCCCTTTTGGGGTTGTTGTAGATGCAAATCAAACTAATCGGCTTCTTTTTTTTTTTTAAGATGGAGTCTCACTCTGTTTTCCAGGCTGGAGTGCAGTGGCATGATTTCGGCTCACTGCAACCTATACCATCAGAGTTCAAGTGATTCTTCTGCCTCAGCCTCCTGAGTAGCTGGGATCACAGGCATGCGCCACCATGCCCGGCTAATTTTTGTACTTTTAGAGGAGATGGCATTTCACCATGTTGGCCAGGCTGGTCTCAAACTCCTGACCTCAAGAGATCCACCCGCCTCAGCCTCCCAAGGGGATTACAGGCTGGGATTACAGGTGTGAGCCACCGCACCTGGCCGAATTGGCATTTTATTGAGAGCTTACCATAAATAAGACCCTGAAAGCTTCAAATGGTTTCTCTCATGAAATAAGTTTGATTTCAACTGCAAAATTGGAAGATTTCACTCTATACTCCCACTTTCTGATTTTTTTCCTGTAAAACTATTAAACAAGATTTCTAGTTAAATGTGATAGGTTGAACATAAACATTTTATCTCTGCTCTGCCCATGCCAGACGCTACTAAGATAAAAGTAAGGCAGAAAAAAAAAGTGGCTCACACCTGTAATCCCAGTATTTTGGGAGGCCGAGGTGGGAGGATCACTTGAGCGCAGGAGTTCAAGGCTACAGTGAGCTATGACCATGCCCCCTCACTCCAGCCTTGGTGACAAAGCAAGACCCACACTCAAAAAAAAAAAAAAAAAAAAAAAAATTCTCAAAATTCTACAAGGAAATCTAAAATGAGCAAAGACAAAAGGCTACATATTGTATAATTCCATTTATATGAAATCCATTTACAGAAAAGACAACACTATAAGGACAGAAACCAAATAATAGGGGCCAGGTGTGGGAACTGATTAATAGGGGCAAGGTGTGGGGAAGAGGGAACACACTTGAGCTTTCTTCCCCCTTAATTCCACCGCTGAAATTGGCAAAACGCACTCTGAAGCTAAAGTCCCCACGCTGTCCTGAGCAATAGTAGAATCACCAGAAGGCATCAACAAGCTGCTGGACACTGATACTTTTCCTGATACTTTGTCAAAGACACTTAAGAAGTCTTTGACAAAATCCATTTAATTGCGCATGGTGTGGCAAACTTTGTTAAAATGCAGTCACTCTGCTTTATAGTTATAACGTTCTATTTTGTGTATATAGAGTTAATTTTGTATTTAGAATCCTTTAGCACCATTTGAGACAGAGGTACCCCTGAGTGTTTCCAAATGAAAATTAATAATCATAGGTCTAGACAGCAAAATGAGGTAAGAGTTTAGCACAGTCACGATTACATATCTTTAGAATCTGAAAGCCAACCTTAGAGATTCCCACTCCAGAAAGTGGAGGTGGGTTAAGGCTCAAGATCTAGGGTCTGGTGGTGGCAAAAAATGGTTTAAAAAAGAAACATTATTTATATCCAAGGTTCACAGACAAATAGATAATCAGCTCATGTACAATTTCCGTCATTTACTGAGGCAAATCAACTTAGAGTGTCCTTCCCATATAATCTTTAGAGTTTCTACTGTTCTTTTGTAATTTTCTTTTCTTTCTAGGCATGCTTTTAATATAAAATTTTAATCTTTATTTTACTGGATAAAAATGTTGTGAGAATATACCCCACATCTCTTCTGGAATGATCCAGCCCCACTCTATGATTTCTGGCTTTCATTTCAAGGCTTTTTTCCACAGATCCCCTTTTTACTTGCCTAGCATGAAAACAAGCCGGTTCATTAGTGAGAATAGTTATTGCAATAGGGCATCCATTCAATCTCAGAAGACGAAAATGAATTGAGCACCAAAATTTAAAATATGAAAATAAGTCATTATTAAATACCTATGGGAAAAATCACAAAATCCTTACATATAGTCTGTTAAATGACCTTCTTCACATAATAACTGAAATGACAATAGGGCTAGAATAGTACCAAAATCTTAGAAATTAAGCCATCTACAATACTTTGTACCATCTAGGCTTTGGGATTAGTGGCTTTTTCCCTTAGCCTACATATGTCTAATCCCATTTGACAAAATTAGAAGGCATGCTTGGCTGTGGTTACAGACAAGCTCAGAGAATAGTCTGATTATTTTTTAATCCCAGTAGATTCAGATTCAGATTCTGATTTATTCCCTCTTTCTTTCTTACAAAAGAATCAAGAGAGAAGACTTAAATTGCACAATAGCTAGAATTTAGTTTGAGAGTTAAAGTGTTAGCATAAAAATGCACTTAGCATACTTCTAAATATGCCTTCCATGTTACTGGCTTTATTTCAAGGCTTTTCTTGACATGGCAGTACAATTTAATTAAGGAAGGTGCTACAAAAAGAATGGCTGGGAACTAAATTGCCGGCTAGGAAGGGCTAAATTAAGAGTCAAGTGGCACCCTGGGCTTCCTGTTTTTCTGACTTCAAACTGTTTTAGGTAATTTTTCCTGGCTACTCTGGGACCTTCCAATCCTTTTAAACTCTTCTGATATTGAACTCTTACTACTCTTTCACCCAGGGTCGTGACATTGTATAATTCTAGGGGGCCTCATTCCCACTGACAGCCCTGCTTTTATTATTTCTCTCTTACAAAAATGCTTCTAAAAGTCAAAACTATTTCTAACAAGATCAACTGACGTCAACTAGCTGTTTCACTTTAGAGAATTAACACTCAGTGCTTTTCCAGTTCCCTCACTCAGTAAACATGTATTGAGCATGTGCCAGACATCACGTTATGATGCCATGGATGATGGAATAGACCCGGTCAGATAGTCCTACCCTCAAGGAGCATACAAACTAGTGTGTCAGATAAGCAAGTAAGCAAGTACAATGTAAGGCAGACTTTAGCCTTCAAGCACAGTATAAGCACAGCAAGGGAAGCAGCAACTATGATTGAGTTACCAGAGAAAACTTCACAGAAAAAGAGACATTTGAGCAAGAAAGTGAGGCCTTGAAGAAAGAATCAGAGTTACACCAGTGAAGAACGAGTGAAGGATGGAGAGAGATGAGGCTGCTGTCTGGAAGAAGACATATATTCTGGCCAAAAGAACTGCGCAAAGAAAAGAATGGAGGGCAAGAAAATAAATAGCATTTTCCAAGAATAGCAAACAGTCTGGAAGAGCTGGAACATAAGGTGCATACAGAACAGTGATCAGCACTGCTGTAACTATAGGGTGGTGCCACATCATAAAAGGTTTTGAATGCTGGGCTAACGAGTCTCTTTTCTTTGATCAAAAGAATTTGGCCTCATAGAAAACATTACTCATTACTTATGCAATGATCAGAAAGCTTTTGTTCAAGACCACAGTAATTGGAATGTGCAAATGTGTAGTTTCTGAATTTATGCGATTACATTAAATAATGCATATATACCTTAATAGCAAAATAACATTGTTTGATGGCATAAAATTGAGGCTGAGTTTCTCTTAAGTCATTCATTGGCAGGGACACATTCTTCAGAACCACTTCTAGAAATCTAACAGTAGTCAGGTAGAAATAAGCATGCTGGCCTTAGAGCAAAAAAAGGCATGACACAAGAAATATTCAATGTACTGAAATGCATTGCTAGTGAGAACATCAACTAAGAACTTACAATTTTATACATTGCCAGTAGGATGGGCTACAAAATTTGCAGGGCCAGTACAAACTAAAAAATGAAAGACCCCTTGTTTAAGAATTATTAAGAATTTCAAGATGGAGATAACAGAGTATTAAACCAAGCATAGGGCTGCGCGCGGTGGCTCATGCCTGTAATCCCAACACTTTGGGAGGCCGAGGCGAGGCGGGCGGATCACCTGAGGTCAGGAGTTTGAGACCAGCCTGGCCAACATGGTGAAACCCCATCTGTACTAAAAATACAAAAATTAGCCGGGCGTGGTGGCGGGCACCTGTAATCCCACCTATTTGGGAGGTTGAGGCAGGAGAATCACTTGAACCCAGAAGGCTGAGGTTGCAGAGAGCCAATATTAAGCTACTACACTCCAGCCTAGGTGACAGAGCAAGATTCTATCTTGAAAAAATTTTTAAAAAATTAAACCAAGCGTGGGTCCCTGTGCAACTGCATAGGTTACATACCCATGAAGCTGGTCTGATTGCCAACCCCAACTTTTAAGGACAATCCATTCCGTTTCCATAGCCTGACGTATGTAAACCAGCTCTCACGCTCAAGTGTAAACTTTGCCATCAATTTGCCCCCAGAATTGATCTCATCTCCATCACTGTGCTTTCCTCCCTGCCTTCACTGGCAGTGGGGACCACAAAAGAGTTCCTCTTAGAGAAATGCTGACACCTTCATCTGTTCTTACAATGCTATTTTCTGCTTACTGAAAACAGGTTTTGTTTCCTTGATCTTTTGTGTTTAAAATTTCCCCTCTTTATAAAGTCTTCACTAATCACAGGTAAGGTAATAAGTTCTTATCTATTTCCAGTATTTAATCTTACACTCACGCACTATCCAGGCTACTGTTTATGCAGAGTGTAAGTATGGCTGCTACTGCTGCAGATAATGTTAATGGCAGTGGTAGTGGCAGGTATCACTTGCTGAGTGCCTAGGCACTGTGCTGGGCATTTTACAGTCCTAAAAATTGATCATTAAATGATCCCATTGTTATCTGATGTCCTTGTTCTTTATATTTTAGTCCTATTCTTCAGCACCTTCTCCAAAGTAAAAGGAAAGGAAGGAGGGGGAAAAAAGCAAACCTTAGGTCAGATAATTTTGCTACTTGTTAATAGAGTTGATAACAAAACTGTGACTTTTTAAAGAAAGATATAAATAATTACCTGATTACAGCTTCTATATTATCTATGCATTTCATTTATTCTCCTGACCTGTGATGGATAAACCAGCCATTAGGTTTATCTGTATATATAAGTTGGCCATTTTCGGTAATAAAACCATAGAGGAAAGATATCATGTCTTCTTGTTTTTGTTTTCCAGCTTTACTGAGGTATAACTGACAAATAAAAATTATATTTACAGTAAAAAATAAATTGACAAAAATTGTACAGTGTGATGTTTTGAGATATATGTACATTGTGATGATTACCACAATCAAGTTAATTAGCATATCCATCACCTCACCATATCTTTTTGAATTACATTAGTACAACATACACATAGTCCTAATTGTGAATGGAAAAAAACTAAAACAGAGCATTTACTATAGCCATAAATTCTATTCAACCAATTAATAAGTATGTACATTATGTTGTGCCTTATGCTTCATGCTATATTTAAAAAGTTCAAGTTTTCATAAATGTTAGTGTATTATCACCTCTGAAGAAATTCAGAAAAGACCACTCTGTGGCCCTGAATCAATCAAGGAGATGTATGTTGGTTCAGAGTGGGGTTAATTTGTTTAGACTTCAGCAATTTCCGAACAGCAGCAGATCTAAAGTCAGATACTCTCAACTGATCTGAATTAAACTCTTTTGATTAGATTACGCCTATCTACTTTAGCTAGATAGAAATTATTTCAGTCTACTAACAATTTCCAAAGCACTCTATGTATAGCTGAGGTTTGGCACGGTTTTTCTTATCTCCATTTTGCCTTTTATTTTTTGATTTGGGAAGACTATATACCAGTATCTTCTAAATATGAGAAATAGGGAGGTTTTGCCTTTTGCATGCGTCAGATATATCTAGTACCTCAGGACGTTTTGTCTCCTGGGCCACAGCTTAACAGTATTAGCAAAAGCAGTTCAGCCAGGGGGGAATTGAACAGCAGCTGAGTCAGTCTAATAATTTACACTGGGGAAAGCCCTTGGAATTCAGAGGCACATTGCCCAGCTGGAGAGACAAATCTAATCTCTGCTAATGATGTTCCTCCCTCTCTTTCCTATCAGGGCTGGGTTTTTTACACATGCGCACATAATTATATATGCACACTCAGAGTCCAATGAAGCCAAACAACACAGCGCCCAGGATTAAATTACACAGTAAGATTTCCAGGCATCATCTGGCCTCTACGTCCTAATAAATGCTGTCCATGGTTCACACCGTGGAGATGTTAGAGATCTTAAGAATTCAACAGCACAGACAATAAATACTAAAATTCAAAGGCGAGAACATTATGATTTTATAATGAGACTGGATATAATAAGCTTGACTTCTTAAACAGACTTAAATTTTAAAAGTACACACTAGAAGAAAGGACACAGACTCCAGACAAAGATGTACATGGTAATAGGTAAAGAGGTGAAGAAACAACACAAAGAAAATGTTTTAAAAAACCACCCAAAGCAAAAACCAGTAGATAAAAATAATTTGTAGAAAAAAAACCCTGACAATAAATAAATAAATAAATTGTGATACTACTACCATGAATAATAATTTGTATGTGCTAAGGCCCGAGAGGCTTTTCTTTCATTGATATACCCAGAATGAGGATAAAGTAGCCTCAACAATAGCTTCCCAGCAAATACAGTGGCGTCTTTCCTAGGACCGTTTTTAAGAGCACCTGTCCACCCAAGGTGAGATTCCCCAAATGCCAGAAAAGCAACACTTATAGTAGGGAGAGTCCAAGTAAATAATTCTTGAAAATCTGATTTAATCCAGAAGGGGATGGATTGCATCTCCTTCGGGAACTCTTCCTTGAGCATCATTTATCACACTCAAGCTTTCAAGAATATTGAGTAACTAAAAATTATAGGTTATATTTTCTGGTAGGACCCTGGGATGCAAATAATCCGGGTTTCCAGGTAAGAGGTCGCTCCATAAGCTTTAATAATCTACCAAAAAGAAAGAGCTGACACTCTCCTATGAAAATCCAGGAATCTCACCAGAAATCGTGCCTCAAAACCTCATTTCCACATGGAAGTATGCCAAGAAAAATAAGCCTGACCATGTGGTTGTTTATATTTTATTACAATGCATAATGTTCTTCATATACTGATGAAACTTTACTTACTAAAATGTTTTAATAAGTACGTGTATTTTTATATAAAGCCCTTTGCAAATGACATCAATTATTTTAAAAAGAGGGAAGCAATTTAATAGTTAATGCCTCTGCCGCTTTACTGAAGTAAATAGGGAGTGGTGGGGTAGGGAGTCACCATCTGGGGCTATAAATTATAATCCTGCTACATGGTAATGGACAGAGGGCTGATCCATGAAGCTCCCCGAGGAGATTCCATCTATCAGTGCAGCCATCCATAGAAGGGGCTGAAGACAAGGGCAGCCCTGAGCCCAGACAGGGAGGGGACCTGTCCCAGCAGCAGGATACAGTGCTGTCAGATTTTCAAAAGCAACTCTCACTCACCTGCTCCCACACGAACTCATCAATTCAGGAAATTATAGGGAAAATGCTCCCCCTTTACATTTTGGCAATTAGAGGGTAATTTAGGATTCAAAGAGCCCTGGGCAAATAAAGTCCTCAAATGAGAGAAAACAAGTAATAGGCTTAGGGCTGCTTCATCCATAGTTTGTTAACTTGCAAATATCACTTGAAAAGAAAATGGTGATATTATTTACCATCAAATGAAAACTGCTGATGATGTGTTCACCTGGCAAGAGGCAGCACTACCTGCACGCATGAGCTTGTATAAACCTGCAGAGCCCCCAAACAAGGTGCCCTAGTGGCCCATGATTCTCTTCTGCCTCTTGCAGCAAGGTAAGCTTAGCTGCTTTGGATTATTTCCCAAATATAACAATGTTAAAGACAGTATTAGCAGATCAAAAGAAGACAAAAAAAAAAAAAAAAACAAACAAACACCCAGAATTATCCTAATAAGAAGAGAAACAGTGCAGAAAATCAAGTTTATTGAAACAATCAAAAATTACAAGTCAAAAAAAAAAAAACACCTAGCAGCCTTATAAGCACTTGAGATCATTCTTAGAAAGATAATATAATTAGAAGTGCTAAAACAACTGTTTTTTTCTTGCATGCTGCTTAAATACTTAAAATTTAGATCTTTCGTGTCTTTGAAAATATTCAAGGACTTTTATAGACGTCCTCACATCAGTTCTCACCACAGCCCTGTGAGAAAAGCACCCATCCGATTTGCTACTGAAATCACAAGGCTACACCTAAAAACTCCCATTTCTGTGAGGAAAGTGGTCACTTAGATATTTGCTATTCTGCTCACTGACTCAACAAATGCTATGTTAATCATCTATGTTAATCATCTGTGTTAAGCAATAACGATGATGCGAAGATGAACAAAACAGTGGACCCCTGCTCTAGAGGAGTCTATTAGAGGAAAAATGGATGAATAAATAGTTACCATGTAATGTGAGAAGCTTTCTAAGGGAGATGGGTACAAATTATTGAAGTACAAAGAAGGGAAAAATCCCCATCCAGGATGACCAGGGAAGGGGTATGGAGAATATCATCCAGAGGGGCAGGGTGCGCAGACGCAGGGAGGCGGGAAGGAAATCACGTGGTTGTTTGGGGAGACGCACAAACATCAGCAGGGCTGGTGAGAGGTGATGAGAGATGTCGAAAATAGGGCTGGAAAGGTGGATTCGAGGATTTTTTTCTTTTCTCCTGTGGACAGAGAACTATGGAGAGGTGAAGGGAGGTGACATGATTCGATTTGAAAGATGATTCTGTTTCAGGGTAGAAAATGGAGGGAGGGCGAATGGGGTGTGGAAAGAGCTCTAGGGAGAATGGAAAGAATCTGAGCAACACTTTGGAGACAGAATTAACAGGATAGAGTGACTGGCTGGATGTGATGGTGACAGAGGGTTTTCTGGTGTGGAGGATTCAATGCTACCACTAATTGAGGCAGGACCTCCAGCAGAGGGGGTGCAGGGCGGAGGAGCTGCAGGGAGGAGGTAACGAGCCAGGGTTTATCCTTTCCTATACGCCATCAGGCAGGGAGGGAAATAAGGAACTAGCTAAACTGTAACTGGGGCAAAGAACTACAAATATTGTTAGAGAGATGAATACAAGGAAAAGCTTCCTTCCTTCCTTCCTTCCTTCCTTCCTTCCTTCCTTCCTTCCCTCCTTTTTTCCTCCCTCCCTCCCCCCCCCCCCCCGCCTTTCTCTCTCTTTCTTTCTGACGGAGTCTCACCCTATGCCCAGGCTGGAGTGCAATGGTGTGATCTCCGCTCACTGCAACCTTTGCCTCCTGGGTTCAAGAGATTCTCCTACCTCAGCCTCCCGAGTAGCTGGGATTACAGGCACGTGCCACCACGCCCGGCTAAAATTTTTTTTGTATCTTTAGTAGAGACGGAGTTTCACCATGTTGGCCAGGCTGGTCTGGAACTCCTGACCTCATGATCCGCGGGCCTCGGCCTCCCAAAGTGCTGGGATTACAGGCGTGAGCCACCGCACCTGGCATCATATCATTTTTATATTCAGGTCAGGAGAGTTACAAATTTTATGGACCCATTTTATCCTCAGCTTGGTGATCAGCATTTTTTTCTCAAGGGTAATTTTGTCACTTTCCTTTGTTTCTTTTTCCTCCCCTCACTAACACTAATATACACATGAATAATCTCCTCCTATCCTTTCCTCAACCCAACAGTGTTCCTTTCTTCGAAACCCTCTGTCTTCCAAGAGTCACACTTTGGTTTGCTCAATAAATCACTGATGGCTAAAGGATGCGATGGTGAACATAAAAAAAACTACTAGCATCAAAGCCCAAATCCATATTCCCATTAGCTACATATAGCTTTATTGTTTCACTGCTTTCTTTAACCTTTAAGTCTTCTGAATAGGACACTTGGCTACCTCTTAGCTGTAATGACAATCAACAGGACTGTCTAACGTGGGCACCACTGTTCCAAAGGCATTTCAGACCAGCTATTATTTCCATGGATATCAGAGTATATTTGTATTGACTCTGAGCACTTAGCATCTAGAGAAAATGAGTCTGATTCAACATAATCTGCAAGGAATAGAAGAAATGAGTGCATACGTATAAGAAGGAAGTAGGTACCACAATTCAGCAAATCTTTCCTGTGTGCCTGCTACATGCTAGGCACCATGTTTCTCAGAAGCCATATGGGGCTGTAATGGTGTAAAGATAACATCTTCCTTATCTTTTGGTATGCCTGACATACTAAATAATTTTTTAAAAAGAAAGAAATAGTCCCTGCTCTTCAGAACTCAAGTCTAACCTAGTAGGGGATATGGTAATATCTTGTAGGGGAGATAGCCACAAACGCAATTAGTTCTAATGAAGGGAGACTGTGCTATAGAGGCACTAAGTATAGTGAGATTCAATAGGAATAGAGAGATTACTCTTTCTGCTTTTGGGGAATAAGAGGCTGCTCATCTGCCTTCACAGGATAGGAGATCAAAAGTTTGAAATTTTTTTTTGTGGAGGACTGTCTTTCTTTCTGGTGCATCTGATAAACCCTAAATGAATATTTTCACATCTATAACTAAAAAGGCATTAGGGCTACTGGCTCACAGATGCAAAGACAGTATCAGGTTCCCTTTCTTAGGCTCTCGGTTATTTCTCAGAACAGACAGCATTGCTTGTCAGTTCTTCAGGTCACACTCTTTCGAATGTTCCTCTCCTCACCCCCACAAGTCTGTCCAATACCTCAAAACCCTCCCAGAGTCTGTAGGCTTCTCTCATCATAGCCCATCAGTGTACTGTCCCCTTCTTGCCACCAGCTCTCCCCACTCCACAGGGCCAGGGGTGACCCTAAAGCTTCCAGCAAGTAATTTCACAAGACAGAAAGGTTGCCAGTTCCCTTTATGTGCAGCCCTTCCAGGAGGCAGGGCAGACCAGGCGACCTTTCAAAGTCTTACTGGCATATGGGCAGGCTCCGCTCCAGTCTCATCCACACGGCCACTGACAGGCCGGGAACCAACGCCTGACAGGAATATAAAAAAGCCCCTGGCTCCGGTCCACCCCACAACCCTCATGGCAGGCAGAGAAATGTGTTTTTGTGTCTCTTCTAACAATAAGACATCCTAGATATATTATAAGGGTCAGACTGATTACTTCTTTCTCCCCCCTGTAAAAAGGAAAGGAAAGAAAAAAACAGTCCTATTTAAAGGAGGGAGTTTCTCAGAGAGCTTTAAGGAGATCTTTGTAAACAATTAATAAAATAGTCACATTTTCTCCATCGAAATAGAAATAAGTTTATCTATAGAGCAACATAAGTATTTTCTATGCTAAAATATGCTACATACTAAAGCATTTATATACTGCATAATAGCATTTAATGCTACTCAATATTTATGAATTCAACAATTTTGTAGTTTAATGATTTTGAAAGAAGTTACCATGAACCAGGAGTCCCAGCTGGGCCATAAATTATTTGTTTGGCCTTGGGCAAGTCACTTAACCTCTCCAGGCCTCAATTTCCTCATCTGCAAACTGAAGGAATTGGACTAGAATGATCTCTAAGGTCCTATAAGCAATTAGAAAAAACATTCTGTGAATATAAGAAATTAGAACAATCCAATAATGGAATAGGATATCTCACAATTGATTAGCTCTCCATCACTGGAAATGCTCAATGTGGGGCACATCTATCAGATAAATTGCACAAAAGATTTTTGCTTTGGGAAAGAGGATTGAACCGAATGACCTCTCCTATGTCTTTCAATTGTAAGATTCTCTTATCTTATGAATTGGTTCTGGAAACCATGAAAAAAAAACAAACAAGAATGAATACGAAAAGCAGGGGATGAAATGTCATCCTCTAGGTATAGAAAATGTTTGATGTTATGTTAACAGAACAATGACACGTATAGCAAGTCACTGCTTTGCTAATAGGGACTGTTCACCTTGGGTTAGGTTGCTGGGTGGTGTAAATAACTGCAAACACAACACCCAGCAATGAAAAGGTCTGCATGCCTTCAGTCACTCCAGACTGAGCACATAGGGTTTCACCACACCGACCCTTCTGACTGTCAGAAAAAATAAGGGAAGGAGGGAAGAGGATCACAGTCAGCTCTCATTTGTTTGGGGACAACTAGATGCTCCCTACAGCAGGTGTGCTCCATCGGCCTATGTCCTTAGGAACAATGTATCAAAACAGCAGCAAATAACAGTAATCACTGTTATCTTACATTTGTATATTGAGTTGCATTTCCAAAGTAATTTCATACATTTTAATTTCATTTGAGCCTCATAATAGCCATGTAGGGTGGACAGAGCAGGTATAATTGATCTTTCTTTGAGGAAAATTGAGGTGTATTACCCTTTCCTTAACAATGGGAAACAGCTCAAATCATTATTCTATCACTTCCAACTCCTTCAAATGCTTTTATCACCAAGAGGTCTGGAAGGATGTACCTATTTTTAATTATTTATTTATTTATTTTTGAGACAGAGTCTTCCTCTGTCACCCAGGCCAGAGTGCAGTGGCACAATCTGGGCTCACTGCAACCCCCGCCTCCCGGGTTCATGCAATTCTCCTGCTTAGCCTCCTGACTAGCTGGGACTACAGATGCGCACCACCACGCCAGGCTAATTTTTGTATTTTTAGTAGAGACGGGGTTTCACCATGTTGGCCAAGCTGGTCTTGAACTTCTGACCTCAAGTGATCTACCCGCCTCAGCCTCCCAAAGTGCTGGGATTACAGGCGTGAGCCACCGCACCTGGCCGAATATACCTATTTGTGATTTCAGTATATTTGTATATACTCAGAAAATGGCCAAAAAAGGAAACCAGTAATAATCTCAAATTGTAATGGTGTTTTTAAAAGCTAAATTAGGGCCAGACGCAGTGGCTCATGCCTGTAATCCCAACACTTTGGGAGACTAAGATGGGCAGATTGCTTTGAGCTCGGGAGTTCAAGACCAGCCTGGGCAACATGGCGAAACCCTGTCTCTACTAAAAATACAAAATTCACCGAGCATGCGTGCCTGTAATCCCAGCTACTTGGGAGGCTGAGGCAGGAGAATCGCTTGAACCTGGGAGGCAGAAGTTGCAGAAAGCCGAGACTGCACCACTGCACTCCAGCCTGAGTGACACAGCAAGACTCCGTCTCAAAAATAAAAATAAAAATAAAAGATGAATTAGAAATAATATTGAAGGCCGGGCACGGTGGCTCACGCCTGTAATCCCAGCACTTTGGGAGGCCGAGGCGGGCGGATCACGAGGTCAGGAGATCGAGACCATCCCGGCTAAAACGGTGAAACCCCGTCTCTGCTAAAAATACAAAAAATTAGCCGGGCGTGGTGGCGGGTGCCTGTAGTCCCAGCTACTTGGGAGGCTGAGGCAGGAGAATGGCGTGAACCCGGGAGGCGGAGCTTGCAGTGAGCCGAGATCGCACCACTGCACTCCAGCCTGGGCGACAGAGCGAGACTCCGTCTCAAAAAAAAAAAAAAAAAAAGAAATAATATTGAATTAGAAATGCCTGTTGCATCTGAGAAATAATAAAGGGGACCAAACAAAACAAACCTAATTTAAGTTATAATACAGCGATGTCATTCTGGAAGCATGCAATGGTAGTTTGGTATAGTGGAAAGAAAAAAGAAAAGTCAATAGACTGGGAAGAAAGAGAGAAAAGCAAAGTATTTGAAACTCATGATACCTATATCAAGAAACAAGAATCTTTCTGCAGAAATTATATTGAAAAAACTACATTTAGATTTATCAAGAATTAAGCAAAGGAGATCAGTACTAAATATATCCCACGTTCAAAAAAAGACATATTTTGATATAAAGTTGGCATGCAAAAACTTTATACCTTAGAATTAAAAATATCAACTTCCATGAAGTCATCTATTATGCTTACATTTTTCTATAGTTTATCTCATTTAGTCTTTATGTCAGTATCATCATCATTTTATAGATGAGATAATGAGGTACAGAGAGGTTAAATAACTTCTCTAATGTTACACAGTCAGTAGATTGCTTGTTCAGTCCATCTGATTTCAAATTAGGTCTTTCTAGAAAGTTTCCTCTCCTTAGAGCGGAAATATATCCAAATTTTGCAGTTATATTTAGTTACTGGAAACATGATAAATTAAGAAATAAAGAAATACTTTAAAAACCTTTCCTAATAAATGGAAGGCTGAAAATTCCATGAGATGTTGGAATTTAACTCCCCCATCCTAGTGATTGAGCATTAGAGTAATAAGAACTGGTATACTTACGTAGTATACCCTGGAATAGTTATGTAGCTATATGATCTGGGGTAAGCCCTTGAACTCTTTAGGCCATAATCCAACATATACGTCTTTCATTCTATATATGTACTAAATATAATTGCTGGATGTTATGCTAAACATCCCAGGCATAGAAAGATGCTTGAGACATGTTTCTCTATACTTAGAGTTTATTTTCATTAAATCGACTTAGTTAAGTCAAAATTACCTTCTTAATCAACATCATTCTTTTACGTTTCTACTCCAAGCAAGCAGGTACTCAGGGACTTGTACCCAGAGGGACACAGGATAAAACAAAAATTCTAAATGAGAAGTCACTGACACCTGTGAATCAGAGGACTACTGGGAATAATTTTTCAAACCTATAGCCAGCTAATCCCACCTTGCATCACATTCCTGTTCTCCTTTGTTACTTCCAAAGATGTAAGTCCCTCTGGTTTTTAGTCTCAACCCTATATTTCTTCAGGCATCCTCTTCCCTGACCCCACCTCTCATTCTCCCTTGCCTCCAAAACTTTCCCCTTGTACCCTCCTGTTCCAACATCCACATCTTGGCTAAATGCCCCCTCAACCTCCTTGAATAAGTGGCCACACTTGACTTTTCTCTTTCATTCCTCCTTGCTAACCGTCATCACATCCAATTAATCACCAAAATCTTGCTGATATCTTCTTGTCAGGGAAGATTGAAAGACTTTGAAATGGGCAGAAAAAATGACTGGGTATTCTGCCTAAGGAAATAGGTTAAAAAAAGATGATTGAGTACTCTTGCCCAGGGCATGACTCCCAGTTTTTTGTGAGCCTTTCCTTGTTTTTAAGATATTTACGGCTGGGCGCGGTGGCTCACACCTGTAATCCCAGCACTTTGGAGGCCGAGGCGGGTGGATCACGAGGTCAAGAGATCAAGACCATCCTGGCTAACACGGTGAAACCCCAACTCTACTAAAAATACAAAAAATTAGCCGGGTGCAGTGGTGGGCACCTGTAGTCCCAGCTACTCAGGAGGCTGAGGCAGGAGAATGGCGTGAACCCGGGAGGTAGAGCTTGCAGTGAGCTGAGATCACGCCACTGCACTCCAGCCTGGACAACAGAGCGAGACTCCGTCTCAAAAAAAAAAAAAAGATACTTACAACTCTGTAAATATAGCAAATAGTAATGCAGCTGATTCTTATCCATAGAAATGCAACTGAATTGTGCCTTCTGGCGGAATGTAATTGGTTATTGCCCTGTGGATATTGACTAGTTTTGCCCCTAATTATACATTAATTGCAGCATTTCCGCATTCCTGATTGCGTATATGCTTTGAATTTTTCTTATAACATCTTACTAGTTTCCTCATTAATTAATGAGTTAAATAAAATCTTTGACTCATTTTATGTGTGTATGACTTATTTTTCTCTTATAAAAAGCATCCTTTAACATTCTGAATATCTCTTACATTTGCATACTTCTCCCCACCCCAATAACCCCTTCTAGCACAGGTCATTAGCATCTTTGCCTAGATTATTTTATTTTACTTATTTATTTTTTTTGAGATGGAGTCTCACTCCATCACCCAGGCTGGAGTGCAGTGGCGTGATCTCGGCTCACTGCAACCTCCATCTACTGAGTTCAAGTGATTCTCCTCTCTCAGCCTCCCGAGTAGCTAGGATTACAGGCACCCACCACCAGGCCTAGCTAATTTTTGTATTTTTTTTTATAGAGACAGGGTTTCATCATGTTGGCCAGGGTGGTCTCGAACTCCTGACCTCAGGTGATCTGTCTGCCTCAGGCTCCCAAAGTGCTGGGATTACAAGCATGAGCCACCACACCCGGTCAGCCTAGATTATTTTAATTCTCACTAATTGTACCGTTGTCTGTAGTCTCTTTATCCTATTCCATGATCTCCATAACCAGAGTGATTTCTTCAGCATGTAATTCTGAACATGCCACTCAACTTCATAAAATCTCCTGCTCCCAGAACAAAGTGCAGCCCTCTAGGCCGATTTTGCTTCTCCAGCCTCATGTGTGACATTGACCTGCAGTTCTCAGTCAGATTCATTTCAGTTCTCTGAATTCACTGCCTCCTCTGTCACCTCTAGAATAAAGTACTTGCAATTGCTTTGCATGCAACACACTCCACATGCCTCTCTTCTCCCAATTCTTGCCTGTTCTTTAGGGCTCATCTCTGTTACCACTTCCTTCAGCAAGCCTCTCTCTAGTCTGGGTTAGATGCTCCACTTATGTCCTCCTGTGGAGCCTGTATTCCGTCAGCCCTTTACCTCCTCCCCTAATAGCACATATCACGCTGTATTATAATTGCTCTTTAATGATCTCCTCTGCTAGTCTTTAAGCTCTGTGCAGGCAGGTGCCATGTTCAGGTTTGAATCCTGAAATCCTTACTTAAGCAGCTGTATAATCTGGGGTAAATCCTTGAACTCATTAGGCCATAATCCAATATATAATGTCTTTCATAAATTTTATCTTATATCCAACATGTTCAAACCTGCTATTGTTTACCACTACATCCCCAGGGCATAGCATAGCATGTAAAAGTCATGCAAGAACATATTCTGAAAGTCGAATTCTCTATATGGTCCCAGGATAATAATAGAAACTTCACTATAAAAATCCTTCTCAAGGACTATGACCTACCCCACCTACCCATGCTCACCTCCCCCACCCGCACCCCAAAACACAGGTTATACTTAAATAGAATGTACTTCAGTTTATTTAGGTTTTTATTTTACAGATATCTAACCTATCTGCTTTTTAATTGTGAACAGTTCCATAGAATGGCCATCCTAGGAGAGATGAAACAGAGTTTTGTTTTACTTTATGATAGGGAAAAGGGATTGGGAACAGAAAAAAGCAGGAGAAAAGGAAAAGAAGGTCAGAATTACATGAAATGGCTACAGTAGATATGATGGATTCCAGCTGTTGCTCAACCATTAAAAAAAATCTGTTGATTTCCTATGTTCAACCAAGTAATATCATGAGTTTTAGAATAAATGTAGAAAACAGTAACTTTGTAATAAGGCACAGAAACAGTACATTAGAGGTCCTTTCTGTGTTCCTTTCTTTATACTATTTTATATTTGTTTTTGAAATTAACTGATATTTATTTAGGTCCTGTGTTTACGGTTTATCCTTAACAGACAAAATCCTTGAGATGTATTATTTAGCCTTAAAAAGAAAGGAAGTGACAGCACATGCTACAATATGGATAAGTCTTGAAGACATTATGCTAAGTGAAATAAGCCAGTTGCAAAAAGACAAATATTGTATGATTTCATTTATATGTGGTACTTACAGTACTCAAATTCATAGAGACAGAAAATAGGATGGTGGTTGCCAGGGTGTGTGGGGAGGGGGAATGGGGAGTTACTGGTTAATGGGTACGGAGTATCAGTTTTACAAAATGAAAAGAGTTCTGTGGATGGATGGCAGTGGTGATGGTTGCACAACAACATCAATGTACTTAATGCCGTTGAACTGGACACTTCAAATGGCTAAAACTGTAAATGTTATGCTATGGGTATTTTATCATAACAAAAAAAGAAAGGGCAAAATCCTGCCTTCAGTATTGAAATTGCAGTAACTGGCAGCTATTGGTATGAACCTTGGACAGACCGGGATGTGTAGGATGGTGCTGTTGATGCAGGTATAAGAAAGGAAAATATCGGCCCAGCGCAGTGGCTCACGCCTGTAATCCCAGCACTTTGTGAGGCCGAGGCAGGCCGATCATGAGGTCAAAAGATCGAGACCATCCTGGCCAACATGGTAAACCCCATCTCTACCAAAAATACAAAAATTAGCTGGGCGTGGTGGTGGGCGCCTGTAGTCCCAGCTACTCAGGAGGCTGAGGCAGGAGAATCACTTGAACCTGGGAGGCAGAGGTTACAGTGAGCTGAGATTGTGCCACTGCACTCCAGCCTGGCGACAGAGCAAGACTCTGTCTCAAAAAAAAAAAAAAAAAAAAATTCTGACTGTAAAGTGATTTCAAAGAAACTTAGGAGATAAAGCTGAAGGTTGAAAACATTCACAAGAATAAAATCCTGCTTTGTAATGAGTAACAATAAACTATTCTCTAAGGGTTGTCTATTAGAACCTCCATCTTTGCGTAGCCTTTAAGAAAAATGTTATTTTCTCTATGAAACTGTGCTCACTTGCCAAGGAGGGAGGCTGCGCAGTGGCACAGAAAAGAGTTTGGACCCTGAAGCCAGACAGTCTGAAACTGAATGCTGACTCCACCTTGATGAATTTACTCTCTTTGTGCTTTGGTTTCAACTGGAAATTAGAGATAATAACAATAGCACCCACCACACAGAGCTGCTGTGAGAATTAAATATGTAAAGCACTGTGAACAGTGTCTGGCACACACTAAATCCAATAGAGATATTAGCTATTACTCACACCCTACGCAATGGTGCTTATAGTATGCTCTGGGAACTCCTGGGGACCTCTGAGATCTTTCAGGGGGTCTGTGAATTATTTACATAATAATAAGATATTATTTTCCTGTTTATCACATTCTCTCACAAGTAGACAGTGGAGATCCCCCGTGGCCACTATATACCATTTGATATCACAACAGATTGAAAGCAGAAGCAGATATGAGAATCCAGTTATCATCTATTAAGTCGGACATTAAAGACATTTGCAAAGACCTCTTTTCACAATACCACTCTCCTCACAAAAAATTGTGAAGGTTTGGAAACTGTAGTTCTTTTTTCATGAAAGAAAATGTTCTTTATGTTACTGTATGATAGGTTTATTATTTTTAAAATAAATTAATAAATACTTAACAAATTTTTTGTTTTAGTTTCTAATATGGTAAATATAGACGATATAACTCACATAAACAAAAGCCCTTTGGTTTGGGGTCCTCATTTTTTTTTTTTATCGGTCCTGAAACCAAAAAGTTTGAGAATTGCTGCCCGACTAAAATACGGCGTATGTGTCAATCTCTCCAAGTAGACTGTGAATTCTTGTGGACAGGAATACTATTGTATTTTTTTTCTTTTTCTTTTCTATCTTTTTTTAAAAAAAAATTTCCCCCAGGTATCAACTGGCAGTCTTTTTTACATGGTTAGACAATAAATGAAAAGAAAGAAGCTAATATATATTAGCAACTATCATTTGTTCAGGGCTTAGTATTTGTGATGCATTATGCTCAGACTTTATGTACCTTATCTCATTTAACCCCTGTTAGGTTCTGTAATTATTCCTATTATATACATAGGAGAAACTTAGAGACTTTAAATAACTTACCCAAGGCATACAGCTAATAAATGGAAATACTAAGACTCAACTAGCATTGTCTCACTTTAGAGGCCAAACTTGTAACCCCTTTGAAAGAATGGGATTGTGTACAGAAATTTGGAAGGCTATGATTAGGCAAGACAAATCATTTACAAAGCATGGTGCTCATAGTATCTATTAAGTACCTAGTTTACCTTTACCAGAGGTTTGTAATTCTGAATGACTCTTGGATGTTCATATTGTCAATTAGAGCAACTTTTATTTTGTTTAACGCAGAGAACATACTCTCATACACTGATGTCTAAAAGGTCTTTTCTAAGAAGGTCAACTCCCTAACCAGAATGTACTGCCTCTGCTGCTCAGGGAAGTAAAAAAGAGGTACCTCTGAAAGAACGAATATGACACAAATTTTAAGGTGTAACATTTAAAAAACAATGTAACAATATTATGAAAATTTGAGAAATGAATTTATTTCTGGTTCTATTCTATCCATTGGTCTGTGTGTCTGTTTTTATACCAATACCATGTTGTTTTGGTTACTATGCCTTTGTAGTGTATTTTGGAGTCAGGTTTTGTGATGCCTCCAGCTTTGTTCTTTTTGTTCAGTATTGCTTTGGCTATTCAGGGTCTTTTGTGGTTCCGTATGAATTTTAGGATTGCTTCGTCTATTTCTGTGAAGAACATCATTGGTATTTTGATAGGGATGGCATTGACTCTCTAGATTGCTTTGGGTAATATGGCCATTTTTAACAATATTAATTCTTCCGATCCATGAGCATGTGATAGCTGTCCATTTGTTTGTGTTCTCTTCAATTTTCTTCTTCTTTTTTCTTTTTTTGAGCCAGGGTCTCACTCTGTCACCTAGGCTGGAGTGCAGTGCTGTGATCATGGCTCGCTACAGCCTCGGCCTCCTGGGCTCAAGCAATGCTCCCATCTCATCCTCCCGAGTAGCTGGAACTACAGGTGCATGCCACCACATCCGGCTACTTTTTGTATTTTTTGTAGAGACAAAATTTTGCCTCGTTTCCCAGGTTGGTCTGGAACTCCAGGACTCAAGTGATCCACCTGCCTCAGCCTCCCAAAATGCTAGGATTACAGGCATAAGTTATGGTGCCTGGCCTCTTTAATTTCTTTTATAAGTGTTTTGTAGCTTTCTTGTATAAGTCTTTTACCTCCTTGGTTACATTTATTCCTAGTTGGGATTTTTTTTTTTTTGGTAGCAATTGTAAATGGGATTGTTTTCTTGATTATTTTTCAGCTAGTTTGTTGTTGGTATATATTTTGTGTAAACTACTGATTTTTGTGCACTGATTTTTAAACTTTTTTAACCACCTAAGTTCTTGTCTCATGTATGTTGATTTTCGTATCCTGCAACTTCCCTGAATTTGTTAATCAGTTCTGTGAGTTTTTTAGTGAAGTCTTTAGGATTTTCTATATATAAGAGCATGTTATCTGCAAAGAGGAAAAATCTGACTTCCTCTTTTCCAATTTGGATGCTGTTTATTTCCTTCTTTTGCTTGATTGCTCAGGCTAGGACTTCCCATGCTATGTTGAATGAGACTGGTGAAAGTGACCATATTGTTCTAGTTCTTAGAGGAAAGGCTTTCACCTTTCCCCATTCAGTGTGATGATAGCTGTGAGTTTCTCTCATGTGGTCTTTATTATGTTGAGGTATGATCCTTCTATGACTAATTTGTTGAAAGTTTTTGATCATGAAGGGATGTTGAATTTTATCAATAATTTTTCTGCATCTATTGAGGTGATCATATGGTGTCTTAGTCCATTTTGTGTTCTTAAAAAGGAATACCCGAGGCTGGGTAATTTATTTTTTAAAAAAAGGTTTCCCTGGCTCCTGATTCTGATGCCTCAAAAAGTTCAAGACTGGGCATCTTCATCTGGTGAGGGCATTAGGCTGCTTCCACTCACGGTGGAAAGCAAAGGGAAGCCAACTTGTGCAGAGATCACATAGAGAGAGAGGAAGCAACAGAGAGGTGGGGAGGTGCCAGGCTCTTTTTAACAAGCAGCACTCACAGGCACTAATAGAGTGAGAACTCACTGATCCGAAAGGAAGAGCATTAGTATATTCATGAGGGATCTGCCCCATGACCCAAACATCTCCCATTAGGCCCCACCTCCAACACTGAAAATCAAATTTCAAAATGAAATTTGGTGGGAACAAATAAACCATATCCAAACTATGGCATATGTCCTTCATTCTGCTGATGTTGATGTGATGTATCACATTTATTTATTTTTCCTTTCTTTCTTCAACTTTTATTTTAAGTTCAGAGATACATGTGCAGGATGCGCAGGTCTGTTACATAGGTAAATGTGTGCCATGGTAGTTTGCTGCACACATCATCCCATTCCCCAGGCATTAAGCCCAGCATCCACTAGCTTATTCTTCCTGATCCTCCTCCCTCTCCCACCCCCTGCCCTCTGACAGGATTCAGTATGTGTTGTTCCCCACCATGTGTCCATGTGTTCTCATCATTTAGTTCCCACTTATAAGTGAGAACATGTGGTATTTGGTTTTCTATTCCTGCATTAGTTTGCTAAAGATAATGGCCTCCAGCTCCATCCATGTCTCTGCAAAGAACATGATCTTATTCCTTTTTATGGCTGCATAGTGTTCCACGGTGTATATGTACCACATTTTCTTTATCCAATCTATCATTGATGGGCATTTAGGTTGACTCCCTGTCTTTGCTATTGTGAATAGTGCTGCAATGAACATACGCGTGCATGTGTTTTTAGAGTAGAGTGATTTATATTCCTTTGGGTATATACCCAGTAATAGGATTGCTGGGTCAAATGGTATTTTTACCTCTACGTGTTTTAGGAATAGCCACATTATCTTCCACTAGTTTACACTCCCACCAACAGTATCAGAGCATTCCCTTTTCTCCACTACCTTGCCAGCATCAGTTGTTTTTTGACTTTTTAATAGCCATTCTGATTGGTATGAGGTGGTATTTCATCATGGTTTTGATTTGCATTTCTCTAATGATCAGTGATGTTGAGATTTTTTTGATATGTTTGTTGGCCACATGTATGTCTTCTTTTGAGAAGTGTCTGTTCATGTCCTTTGCCCACTTTTTAATGGGAATGTTTGTTTTTTTTCTTGTAAATTTGTTTAAGCTCCTTATAGATGCTGAATATTAGACCTTTGTTGGATGCATAGATTGCAAAAATTTTCTCCCATTCCGTAGATTGTCTGTTTATTCTGTTGACAGTTTTTTTTGCTGGTATCACATTTATTGATTTGCATATGCTGATCCATCTTAATAAGTTCCACTTGATCATGTGTATTAAGCATATTAACTTTTTTTTTTTTTAAGATAGGGTCTGCTTTGTCACCCAGGCTGGAATGCAGCGGTGTGATACTGGCTCACTGCAACCTCTGCCTCCCAGGTTCAAACAATTCTCCTGCCTCAGCCTCCTGAGTACGTTGGACTATAGGCACCCACCACCACGACTGGCTAATTTCTGTATTTCTAGTAGAGACAGAATTTTGCAGTGTTGGACAAGCTGGTCTCGAACTCCTGACCTCAGGTGATCAGCCCACCTTGGCCTCCCAAAGTGCTGGGACTATAGGCGTGAGCCACCACACCCAGCCATGTATTAACTTTTTGATGTTTTGTTGGATTTGGTTTCCTAGTGTTATGTTGGGGATTTTTGCATCTATGTTCATCAGAGATACTGGCTTGTAGTTTTCTTTTTTTGTTGTGTTCTTGCCTAGTTTTTGATATCAGGGTAATTCTGGCCTCACAGAATGAATTAGGAAGAATTCCCTCCTCTTCATTTTTTTTGGAATAGTTTGAGAAGAATTCGTGTTAGTTCTTCTTTATAAGATTGGTAGAATTCAGCCAGGCATGGTGGTTCCCACCTGCAATCCCAGCACTTTGTGAAGCTGAGGTGAGTGGATCACTTGAGGCCAGGAGTTCGAGACCAGCCTGGCCAACATGGCAAAACCCCATCTCTACTAAACAACAACAACAACAACAACAAAAATACAAAAATTAGTTGGACATGGTGGTGCATGCCTGTAATCCCAGCCACTCGGGAGGCTGAGGCAGGAGAATCACTTGAATCCGGGAGGCAGAGGTTGCAGTGAGCCAAGATTGCACCACTGCACTCCAGCCTGAGAGACAGAGTGAGACTTTGCCTCCAAAAAAAAAGATTGCTAGAATTCAGCAGTAAAGCCACCAGTCCTGGGCTTTTCTTATTAAAAAACTAATCAAAATGGATTGACAACTTATGACCTGAAACTATAAAACTACTAGAAAAAAATATCAAGGAAATGCTTCAGTACATGGGTCTAGGCAAAGATTTTACAGCTAAGACTTCAAAAGCACAGTAAACAAAAAATAGAAAAACAGGACTACACTGAATTTAAAAACTTCTACACAGCAAAGGAAACAATCAGCCAAGTGAAGAGATAACTTGTAGAGTGAAAGAAAATATGTACAAACTATTCATCCAACAAGGGACCAATATGCAGAATATACAAACAACTCAACAACAAAAACTAATAATAATAATCCCATTACAAAGTGGGCAAGGGATCTGAATAGACATTTCTCAAAAGAAGACTTAAATAGCAAATGGGTATATGAAAAGATGCTCAGCATCACTAACTACCAGGGAAATGCAAATCAAACCACAGTGAGATATATCGCAGTTAGAATGGCTATTATCAAAAAAATAACAAAAGTTGGTGAGGATGTGGTGAAAGGGAAACTCTTATACACTGTTGGTGGGAACATCAATAAATACAGCCATTATGGAAAACAATATGGAGGTTTCTCAAAAAACTACAAATAGAACTACCATATGATCCAGCAATCTCACTATGGGGTATTTATCCAAAGGAAAGGAAATCAGTGTATCAAAGGGATACCTGCATCCCCATGTTTACTGCAGCACTGTTTACAATATCAAGATATGGAATCAACTCAAGTATTCATCAATGGTTAAATGGATAGAGACAATGTGTCTCACACACACACACACACACACACACACACAGAATGGAATACTATTTAGTCATAAAAAAGAATGGAATGCAGTCATTTGCAGCAGAGGTAGAGCTGGAGGTCATTATGTTAAGTGAAATAAGCCAGGCACATAAAGACAAATACCAGGTTTTCTCATTCATATGTGGGAGCTAAAAAAAAGTTGACCTCATGGAGGTAGGTAGTAGAACAATAGTTACCAGAAGCTGGGAAGAGTGGAGAAGAGGGGATGAAGAGAGGCTGGTTAACAGATACAAACATACTGTTACGAAGAAGGAATAAGTTTTAGTGTTTGATAGCACAGTAGGGTGACTATAGTTAACAACAATTTATTGTATATTTCAAAGCAGCTAAAAGAAGATTTGAAATGTTCCTAACACAAGAAACTGGTAATTGTTCAATGATGGACATCCTAAATACCCTGATACGATCACACATTATATACATGTATTAAAATATCATATGTATCCCATAAGTGTGTAATTATTATGTATACTTAAAAATTTTAAAAACTATTGGTATATGTCTTAGTCTCTTTGTGTTGCCATAAAAGAATACCTGAGACTGGGTAATTTATAAAGAAAAAAGGTTTATTTGATTCATGATTCTGCTGGCTAGAAGGCTGGGCATCTGGTGAAAGCCTCAGGTTGCTTCCACTTATGGCAGATGGTGAAGGGGTACCAGTATGTGCAGAAATTACATGGCAAGAAAGGAAGCAAGAGTGAGGTGGAAGGTACCAGGCTTTTTTTTTTTTTTTTTTGAGACAGAGTCTCACTCTGTCGCCCAGGCTGGAGTGCAGTGGCACGATCTTGACTCACAGCAAGCTCCGCCTCCCGGGTTCACGCCATTCTCCTGCCTCAGCCTCCCGAGTAGCTGGGACTACAGGTGCCCGCCACCACGCCCAGCTAATTTTTTAAAAAATATTTTTAGTAAAATCCCATTACTGGTATATACCCAAAGGACTATAAATCATGCTGTTATAAAAACACATGCACACGTATGTTTATTGTGGCATTACTCACAATAGCAAAGACTTGGAACCAACCCAAATGTCCAACAATGATAGACTGGATTAAGAAAATGTGGCACATATACACCATGGAATACTATGCAGCCATAAAAAATGATGAGTTCATGTCCTTTGTAGGGACATGGATGAAATTGGAAATCATCATTCTCAGTAAACTATCGCAAGAACAAAAAAACCAAACACCGCATATTCTCACTCATAGGTGGGAATTGAACAATGAGAACACATGGACACAGGAAGGGGAACATCACACTCTGGGGACTGTTGTGGGTTGGGGGGAGGGGGGAGGGATAGCATTGGGAGATATACCTAATGCTAGATGACGAGTTAGTGGGTGCAGCGCACCAGCATGGCACATGTATACACATGTAACTAACCTGCACATTGAGCACATGTACCCTAAAACTTAAAGTATAATAATAATAAATTAATTAATTAAAAAATATTTTTAGTAGAGATGGGGTTTCACCGTGTTAGCCAGGATGGTCTTGATCTCCTGACCTCGTGATCCACCCGCCTCGGCCTACCCAAAGTGCTGGGATTACAGGCATGAGCCACCGCGCCCGGCCGGTACCAGGCTCTTTTTTAACAACCAGCTCTTGTGGGAACTAATAGAGTGAAAACCCACTTATTCCCATGAGGATGGTGCCAAGCTCTTCATGAGGGATCTGCCCCCATGACCCAAACACCTCCCACTAGGCCTCACCTCCAACACTGGGGACCAAATTTCAAGATGGGTTTGGAGGGGCAAACATCCAATCTGTAGTTTTATACTACCTTCAATTTTCTTACCTGAAAAAATTTTAAATGTAACTCTAATTGTAATATACTTGACAATTTTTCTCCTGTTTCTTGTCTCTTATCACTACATCATATACAGTAGTCTTAACTTATTTGCAGTTTCATTTTCCACAGTTTCAGTTACCTTGGTCAACCATGGTCCGAAAATAGATGAGTAAGATATTTTGATGAGTAAGATATTGGATAAGTAACATATTTTGAGAGAGAGAAAGAGATCACATTCACAAAGTTTTATTAGTCTATTGTTATAATTTTTCTATGTTATTAGTTATTGTTGCTAATCTCTTACTATTCCTAATTTATAAATTAAACTTTATCATAGGTATATATGTTTAGGAAAAATATCTGGTATGTATAGGGTTCGATACTATCTGCAGTTTCAGGTATCTACTGGGAGGTCTTGAACCATATCCCCTATGGATAAGGGGGGACTAGTGTACATTTTTTATATTATTGGATAGACTTCATCATCATCCTTTTAAAATGGCAGCATATTGATTATTAACTACAGTTAAGTCTTGTTATTCATAATAGCTACATTCTATAAAGCCTCAGTGAGCACTGAACTAGTGAATATTGAGCCATTGCTCCTAGGGGAAGTATAGGGTTAGGTTTCTGTAAGCCTCTGGTCACAACATGCTTGTCAACTGATCAATACATAACCTTGTTTTATGTGTGCTTCTGTTTAAGGACACTTTGCATAATCTATATTGTTGATTTATTATTATCAAACTCATGGCCAACTGCACAATAACTCATGCCTAAATGGAACTTCTCTGTAAGGCACATCATAGCCTTCTTGGGCTCAGGAACACTAGACAGCATTTCAACACTATGCTTTGGCACCATTTTAAACAGTGAAATCACCAACAAAAATGCAAAAAACAGGGCACTAAGTAGACCTCAAGAAGGACAGTTGTTTACAATAGGAGAGCTAAAACAAGAAGGCAGAGCCTCATCTTGTTCGACCCCAGCTGGGAGTGTGTTATGTCAGGTGACTCAGTTTTTTTGCTGTTGTGTGCATGTCTGCAAATGACTTTAAAAGCACCAGGAGTATTGATTTGGGAGTTAAAAATAGATTCTAGCCACTAGGTGAATTTGCAAATATAGTATCTGTGAATAACGAGGATTAACTAACTATATTTCCCTATTATTGAGCAGTTAAGCTATTTATTTTCTATTAAAATAAATGCTATGATCAATACTCTATGCATGAAACTCTTCCTCTTGGCTGGACGCCGTGGCTCATGCCTGTAATCCTAGCACTTTGGGAGGCCGAGGTGGGTGCATCACTTGAGTCAGGAGTTCGAGATCAGCCTGGCCAACATGGTGAAACTCTGTCTCTACTAAAAATAGAAAAATTAGCCGGGCGTGGTAGCACACGCCTGTAATCCCAGCTACTGGGGAGGCTGAGGCAGGAGAATCAGTTGAATCTGGGAGGCGGAGGTTGCAGTGAGCTGAGATCTTGCCACTGCACTCCAGCCTGGGTAACAGAGCGAGACTTCATCTCAAAAAGAAAAACAAAAAAAAACAAAAAAAAAACAAAAAAACCTTCTTCCTCTTTTAGGAGTATTTCCTAGGAGCTACTGGGAAATTTAGAATTTTGATACAGCCTGCTTCTCGTAGTAGTTCTTGGAGTGCCTGCCTTATGACAGTTCTTCAGATCCTTGCTACTCACAAAATGTGGTCCTAGGACCAGCAGCGTTAGCATCACTTGGGAGCTAATTAGAAATGTTGACAAAAATCATTCCAGGCCAAGCGATCAGAATTTGTTTTTTTAGCAAAATCTGCAGGTGATTTCTAGGCACATTAAAAGTCTGAGAAACTCTGCTATAAATCAAGGATTCCTGAAATTTAGCACGCATCAGCATTACCTAGCCAGCTTGTTAAACACAGATGGCTGGGCCCCACCCTCAACATTTCTGACTGCGAATGTCTGGGGAGTGGCCTGAGAATGAGCACTTTTTTTTTTTTTTTTTTTGAGATGGAGTCTCGCTCTGTCGCCAGGCTGGAGTGCGGTGACGTGATCTCGGCTCACTGCAACCTCTGCCTCCCGGGTTCAAGCGATTCTCCTGCCTCAGCCTCCTGAGTAGCTGGGACTGCAGGCACGCAACACCATGCCCAGTTAATTTTTGTATTTTTAGTAGAGATGGGGTTTCACCATGTTGGCCAGGATGGTCTCTATCTCTTAACCTCGTGATCCTCCTGCCTTGGCTTCCCAAAGTGCTGGGATTACAGATTTGAGCCACCACGCCCGGCCTGAGAATGAGCACTTCTTCTGTTTTTTTGTTTTGTTTTGTTTTTTGAGACGGAGCCTCACTTTGTCGCCTAGGCTGTAGGGCAATGGCGCAACCTCAGCTCACTGCAACCTCTGCCTCCTGGGTTCAAGTGATTCTCCCACCTCAGCCTCTTGAGTAGCTGGGACTAAAGGCACCTGCCATCATGCCCGGCTAATTTTTGTATTTTTAGTTGAGATGGGGTTTCACCATGTTGGCCAGGCTGGTATTGAACACCTGACCTCAGGTGATCCACCCGCCTCGGCCCCCCAAAGTGCTTGGATTACAGGCGTGAGCCACTGCACCCGGCCAAGAATGAGCACTTCTAACAAGTTCCCAGGTGATGGTGATGGTCCTGGTCCCCGGACCACACTTTGAGAACCACAGCCTTAGCTGGTTCATGGGTAGGTCTCTTGCAGAGTTGATGTTTTTAAATTGCTAATTCATCTTTCTTGGTGAGATGGAGGGAAAAAAATAATGAATGTATAACTCATCAAAAGAAATCCGGCTGACTCCTTTTTCAGACTCAGCCCGCCTGCACCAGGTGAAATAAACAGCCTTGTGGCTCACACAAAGCCTGTTTAGTGGTCTCTTCACACAGACACGTGAGACACTTGGTGCCAAAGACCCGGGTCAGTGGGACTCCTTCGGGAGACCAGTCCCCTGTCCTCACCCTCACTCCATGAAGAGATCCACCTACAACCTCGGGTCCTCAGACCAACCAGCCCAAGGAACATCTCACTGATTTTAAATTGGGTAAGTGGCCTCTTTTTACTCTCTTCTCCAACCTCTCTCACTATCCCTCAACCTCTTTCTCCTTTCAATCTTGGAGCCATCCTTCAATCTCTCCCTTCTCTTAATTTCAATTCCTTTCATTTTCTGGTAGAGACAAAGGAGACACCTTTTATCCGTGGACCCAAAACTCCGGCGTCTGTCACGGACTCGGGAAGACAGCCTTTCCTTGGTGTTTAATCACTGCGGGGATGCCTCTCTGATTATTCGCCCACGTTCCATTGGTGTCTGATCTCCGCAGGGACGCCTGCCTTGGTCATTCACCCACATTCCCTTGGTGGCAAGTCAATTGCAGGGACACCTGCTTTGGCTGCTCACCCACGCTGCAGCCTGGGGCTGCTGCCCGCCCCCTTTCTCCGTGTCTCTACCCTTCTCTTTAAACTTGCCTCCTTCACCATGGGCAACCTTCCACCCTTCATTCCTCCTTTTCCCTTAGCCTATGTTCTCAAGAACTTAAAACCTCTTCAACTCTTGCCTGACCTAAAATCTAAGCGTCTTATTTTCTTCTGCAACACTGCTTGGCCCCAATACAAACACGACAATGGTTCTAAATGGCCAGAAAATGGCACTTTTGATTTCTCCATCCTACAAGACCTAGATAATTTTTGTCAAAAAATGGGCAAATGGTCTGAGGTGCCTGACATCCAGGCATTCTTTTACACGTCGGTCCCTCCCTAGTCTCTGCTCCCAATGCGACTCATCCCAAATCTTTCTTCTTTCTCTCCTGTCTGTTCCTTCAGTCTCCACCCCAAGCTCTGAGTCCTTTGAATCCTTCTTTTCTATGGACTCATGTGACCTCTCCCCTTCTCCCCAGGCTGCTCCTCGCCAGGCCAAGCCAGGTCCCAATTCTTCCTCAGCCTCTGCTCCCCGACCCTATAATCCTTCTATCACCTCCCCTCCTCACACCGGTCTGGCTTACAGTTTCATTCCGTGACTAGCCCTCCCCAACCTGCCCAGCAATTTCCTCTTTAAAGGGTGGCTGGAGCTAAAGGCATAGTCAAGGTTAGTGCTCTTTTTTCTTTATCCCAAATCAGATAGCGTTTAGGCTCTTTTTCATCAAATATAAAAACCCAGCCCAGTTCATGGCCCGTTTGGCAGCAACCCTGAGATGCTTTATAGCCCTAGACCCTGTAAGGTCAGAAGGCCGTCTTATTCTCAATATGCATTTTATTTTATTACCCAATCTGCTCCCGATATTAAATAAAGCTCCAAAAATTATGAAACCCCACAACAGGACTTAATTAACCTCGCCTTCAAGGTGTACAATAATAGAGTAGAGGCAGCCAAGTAGCAATGTATTTCTAAGTTGTAATTCCTTGCCTCCACTGTGAGACAAACCCCAGCCACATCTCCAGCACACAAGAACTCCAAACACCTGAACCGCAGCTGCCAGGGGTTCCTCCAGAACCTCCCCCCACCCCAGGAGCTTGCTACAAGTGCCGGAAATCTGGCCACTGGGCCAAGGAATGCCCGCAGCCCGGGATTCCTCCCAAGCCATGTCCCATCTGTGCGGGACCCCACTGGAAATCGGACTGTCCAACTCGCCCGGCAGCCACTCCCAGAGCCCCTGGAACTCTGGCCCAAGGCCCCTTCCCAGATCTTCTCGGCTTAGCGGCTGAAGACTGACACTGCCCGATCGCCTCGGAAGCCTCCTGGACCATCACAGATGCTTTAGGTAATTCTTACAGTGGAGGGTAAGTCCATCCCCTTCTTAATCAATACGGAGGCTACCTACTCCACATTACCTTCTTTTGAAGGGCCTGTTTCCCTTGCCTCCATAACTGTTGTGGGTATTGACGGCCAGGCTTCTAAATCTCTTAAAACTCCCCAACTCTGGTGCCAACTTGGACAACATTCTTTTATGCACTCCTTTTTAGTTATCCCCACCTGCCCAGCTCCCTTATTAGGTCAAGACATTTTAACTAAATTATCTGCTTCCCTGACTATTCCTGGGCTACAGCCACACCTCATTGCCGCCCTTTTCTCCAGTTCAAAGCCTCCTTCACATCCTCTCCTTGTATCTCCCCACCTTAAACCACAAGTATAGGACACCTCTACTCCCTCCTTGGTGACCGATCATGCACCCCTTACCATCCCATTAAAACCTAATCACCCTTACCCTGCTCAATGCCAATATCCCATCCCACAGCATGCTTTAAAAGGATTAAAGCCTGTTATCACTCGCCTGTTACAGCATGGCCTTTTAAAGCCTATAAACTCTTCTTACAGTTCCCCCATTTTACCTGTCCAAAAACCGGACACGACTTGCAGGTTAGTTCAGGATCTGTGCCTTATCAACCAAATTGTCTTGCCTATGCACCCCATGATGCCAAAGCCATATACTCTCCTATCCTCAATACCTCCCTCCACAACCTCTCCACAACCCAGTATTCTATTCTGGATTTCAAACATGTCTTCTTTACTATTCCTTGCACCCTTCATCCCAGCCTCTCTTTGCTTTCACTTGGACTGACCCTGACACCCATCAGGCTCAGCAAATTACCTGGGCTGTACTCCACAAGGCTTCACAGACAGCCCCCATTACTTTAGTCAAACCCAAATTTCTTCATCATCCATTACCTATCTCGACATAATTCTGCATGAAAACACACGTGCTCTCCCTGCTGATCACGTCCGGTTAATCTCCCAAACCCCAACCCCTTCTACAAAACAACAACTCCTTTCCTTCCTGGGCATGGTTAGGTACTTCTGCCTTTGGATATCTAGTTTTGCCATCCTGACTAAACCATTATATAAACTCACAAAAGCAAACCTAGTTGACCCCACAGATCCTAAATCCTTTCCCTACTCCCCTTTCCATTCCTTAAAAAACAGCCCTAAAAGCTGCTCCCACACTGGCTCTCCCTAACTCATCACTCCCTTTTCATTACATACAGCCGAAGTGCAGGGCTGTGTGGTCGGAGTTCTCACACAAGAGCCGGGACTGCGCCCTGTAGCCTTTCTGTCCAAACAACTTGACCTTACTGTTTTAGCCTAGCCCTCACGTCTGCGTGCAGTGGCTGCCGCTGCCTTAATACTTTTAGAGGCCCTCAAAATCACAAACTATGCTCAACTCACTCTCTACAGTTCTCATAACTTCCAAAATCTATTTTCTTCCTCACACCTGACACATATACTTTCTGCTCCCCGGCTTCTTCAGCTGTACTCACTCTTTGTTGAGTCTCCCACAGTTATCGTCGTTCCTGGCCCGGACTTCATTCCAGCCTCACACATTATTCTGGATACCACACCTGACCCCCATGACTGTATCTCTCTGATCCACCTGACATCCACTCCATTTCCCCATGTTTCCTTCATTCCTGTTTATCACCCTGATCACACTTGGTTTATTGATGGCAGTTCTACCAGGCCTAATCACCACTCACCAGCAAAGGCAAGCTATGCTATAGTATCATTCAGGCTACCGCTCTGCCCCCCTCCACTACCTCTCAGCAAGCCAAACTGACTGCCTTAACTTGAGCTCTCACTCTTGCAAAGCGACTATGCGTCAATATTTATACTGACTCTAAATATGCCTTTCACATCCTGCACCACCATGCTGTTATATGGGCAGAAAGAAATTTCCTCACTAGGCAAGGGTCCTCCATCATTAATGCCTCCTTAATAAAAACTCTTCTCAAGGCCCCTTTACTTCCAAAGAAAGATGGAGTCATTCACTGCAAAGGCCATCAAAAGGCATCAGATCCCATTGCTCAGGACAATGCTTATGCTGATAAGATAGCTAAAAAAGCAGCTAGCGTTCCAACTTGTATCCCTCACGGCAGTTTTTCTCCTTCTCATCGGGCCACTCCCACCTACTCCCTCGCTGAAACTTCCACCTATCTCTTCCCGCACAAGGCAAATGGTTCCTGGACCAAAGAAAATATCTCCTTCCAACCTCACAGGCCCATTCTATTCTGTTGTCATTTCATAACCTCTTCCATGTAGGTTACAAGCCGCTAGCCTGCCTCTTAGAACCTCTCATTTCCTTTTCATTGTGGGAATCTATCCTCAAGGAAATCACTTCTCAGTGTTCCATCTGCTATTCTACTACTCCTCAAGAATTTCTCAGGCCCCCTCCCTTCCCTACACATCAAGTTCGGGGATTTGCCCACCCAGGACTGGCAAATTGACCTTACTCAGATGCCTCGTGTCAGGAAACTAAAATAACTCTTGGCCTGGGTAGACACTTTCACTGGATGGGTAGAGGCCTTTCCCACAGGGTCTAAGAAGCCACTGCAGTCATTTCTTCCCTTCTGTCAGACATAATTCCTCGGTTTGGGCTTCCCACCTTTATACAGTCCAATAATGGACCAGCCTTTACTAGTCAAATCACCCAAGCAGTTTCTCAGGCTCTTGGTATTCAGTGGTGCCTGGTTTTACCTCAAACTGCCACCCTTAAGTCTCTAAGTGGATAGAAGATCTTCAGTGACAAAGTACCCTCCAACAGTTTCACCCTGATGAAGTCCTGTTCTTTACTTTTATGCTTACTCTTATTCTCATTCCCATTCTTATGCCACCCTCTACCTCTCTCCAGCTATCTCCACCACACTATCAATCTCAGTCACTCTCTCCTAGCCATTTCTAATC
Organism: Homo sapiens; assembly: GCF_000001405.40. Lineage (NCBI taxonomy): Eukaryota > Metazoa > Chordata > Mammalia > Primates > Hominidae > Homo > Homo sapiens. Next base: position 185,374,832 of record NC_000003.12, on the reverse strand, counting down.
CTTTTTGCTGGCTTTGTATTTCTCTTTCCTCCAAAATCACCAAGGTATTGACTTACTCACTGCTAAAAAAAAAGGGGGACTCTATGTTTTTAAATGAAGAGTGCTGTTTTTACCTAAATCAATCTGGCCTGGTATATGACGACATTAAAAAAAACTCAAAGATAGAGCCTAAAAGCTTGCCAACCAAGTAAGTAATTACGCTAACCCCGCTTGGACCCCCTTGGACACTCTAATTGGATGTCCTGGGTCCTCCCGATTCTTAGTCCTTTAATACCTGTTTTTCTCCTTCTCTTATTCGGACCTCGTATCTTCCGTTTAGTTTCTCAATTCATCCAAAACTGTATCCAGGCCATCAGCAATCATTCTATATGACAAATGTTTCTTCTAACAACCCCACAATATCACCCCTTACCACAAAATCTTCCTTCAGCTTAATCTCTCCCACTCTAGGTTCCCACGCCGCCCCTAATCCCGCTCGAAGCAGCACTGAGAAACATCGCCCATTATCTCTCCATACAACCCCCAAAAATTTTCGCCACCCCAACACTTTACCACTATTTTGTTTTATTTTTCTTATTAATATAAGAAGACAGGAATGTCAGGCCTCTGAGCCTAAGCCAAGCCATCATATCCCCAGTGACCTGCAGTATACATCTAGATGGCCTGAAGTAACTGAAGATCCACAAAAAGGAGTGAAAATAGCCTTAACTGATGACATTCCACCATTGTGATTTGTTTCTGCCCCAGCCTAACTGATCAATGTACTTTGTAGTCTCCCCCACCCTTAAGAAGGTTCTTTGTAATCTCCCCACCTTTGAGAATGTACTTTGTGAGATCCACCCCCTGCCCCCAAAACATTGTTCTTAACTCCACCGCCCATCCCAAAACCTATAAGAACTAATGATAATCCCACCACCCTTTGCTGACTCCTTTTGCGGACTCAGCCCGCCTGCACCCAGGTGAAATAAACAGCCGCTGTTGCTCAAAAAAAAAAAAAAAAAAAAAAAAATCCTTTTCACTGTATAGGACCAGGCTAACCAGGTTGAGAACATGTCATGGTTGGCAGGGGTAGGGCAATATGGATGGGAATTGAGAAACAGAAATAGAAAAAAAAGTTTTGTTCTCTTGTTATTTAGGCACACTCTATCATTAAAGTATCAGAAAAATATTCTTTTTGTTTGTTTGTTTTTTGAAATGGAGGCTCTCTCTGTCACCCAGGCTGGAGTGCAGTGGCATGATCTCCGCTCACTGCAACCTCCGCCTCCTGGGTTCAAGTGATTCTAGTGCCTCGGCCTCTTGAGTAGCTGGGATTACAGGCGTATGCCACCACACCTGGCTAATTTTTGTATTTTTAGCAGAGTCGGGGTTTCCTCATGTTGGCCAGGCTAGTCTCGAACTCCTGACTTCAAGTGAACCACCCGCCTCAGCCTCCTGAAGTGCTGGAATTACAAGCGTGAGCCAGCTGAAAAACATTGAGTAGTTTTTCATAAACTATATTTTATGAATTACATACAAAAATAGGAGAATCTGAGGAATTTGGAAAAAGTATCAAAGATACATTTTTGTTCGTTTGTTTCTACTTTTTCAGTTTCCTGTGATGAAAAATAATATACAGCTATGAAAGCACAGGTCCAAAACAAGGCCCAGAAGCTTAGCTTCCCAGTCTCTGACAAATCCTTGGCTATCACTACCCAAGAATAAACCAGAAGTGATTTCTTAGAACATGGAACTCTCAAGACTATCATTTCCTTACCCCAAAACTTCAAGTCCAGCACACAGCCAATTCAAGTCCATAACTATTTGTCAATGTAAAGAATTTCTGGGTACAAGTTCTATGTATTTCAGGTAGATCAAAATGATCATTTCATATTTCTCATGAGCTTGGTGAAGCTTTAGCAGGACAGTCTCAGGTACAGGTATTCCCTTGGAGTGACTTCCTTTTCCTGGCAGGGGAAAAAGAGGAACCTTATCTTAGGGTCCTCTTTGCTCTGCATTAATAATAAGGTTATCTTATCATCTCTCTTTACGTTTCAGATATGGTCAAAGTCTATTAGAACTGGTTGGCTCTTCTTTGTTTTTAAAGCCATTCCATAGCCTATTAAATAGTTAGCAGAAAAAAGATAAGGGCTGTTTATAAGAAAATTTGTGACAAAAGCAGATTGGCTTTAACAAAATCTGGTATCAAAGGTCTAAGATTCAGTTAAAAGAAATCCTTATCATCAATGTAGATAACCTTTTAATCAAAGGAGAGCAGATGATGAGTGAGTACTTTTCAATGTGTTATGGTGGAAGCCCTGATTGGAGAAAAGAAATTATTACAGAAAATATAAAAGATTATGTGACTGTTTTTCTTTCTCCAAGAAACCTGGTCTAGTCTGTCTCTAGGTCTTTGAGAATACTTAAAAGACTAGATTGGGGCATAGCTTCAATCATTAACACAAGCAAATGATCTATTATTTTTTCTTAGACAAACAGATGGAAGGAATCCTACTCCAAAATGGCCAGAAAAAGGAGGAGGAAGGGGAAGGGAGAACCTGGCAAAGTCGTAAAATGTCTTTGTAAATGGGCTCTTGAGCCCTAATGGCTGTAACATCAGGTGAGTATTTCCCAGCAGTTTCTATGCTTAGCAAAAATGAAAGTGGGTCTGTAATTTAGGTCTGGAAGCAGTGGCTGGAAATATCCAAAGGTATGTTGCATCTGTTCCTTCTTAGTGTGCATAGTATCTAAATTTGTTATGGGAGAGGAAATAATTGGTGAGTAATTAGTAAAATGCTTAACCTAACTTTAATCAAGAGATTATTTTCCCTGGAAAAAGCAATCATGGCTTTGCATTTTGGTGAGCTTTATCTCACTAGTCTCAATTATCCATGGTTATCCAAGCCTGCAGATAGCCTAATGTGTCCCATTAAAGGCAGGCAGGCCAGCTACTAAAAATGCAGGCACAATGCCTCAGGGTAATAAGGAGCCTTAGTGGGCTTATTTTGCAAATTGAGCCCTCTTTAGTAATGGCAACTGTGACAGCCCCCCTTTAGGACTCCAAAGAGTCTTTTTCAGTCTGAGTCCCAGATCCACTCCCTTCTGTTTAAGGTGGAAACGGCTGTCCTGGCTGCCACCTGCCTCATCAGCTGAGCTACCGTCTCCCTGGGCTCTGCTCTCCTTTTTTTCTGTCATCTTTCTCCAGTCCTTCATCTTTGGCTACCTTAACCTTGAATCAATTCATTCTTTCACTTCTCTGGCCTTTTGTGAATCCAGAATTTCACTAAAATGTCCTCAGAATTGCTCAATTCTACTATTACCCCAGCCCAGGAATTCACAATGCAAATTAGCACACTGAAGACAATCACCATCTGTCAGCAGGATGTTCTACATTGTTTTTCCTGAAAATTTTTAAACAATTAAAATTGTACAGTTACTGCACATTCTCTTAGGGTTGCCCTGCAACACATGATTGCATTTTGTAAGATGTTTTTACCACACTGCTACACAGATATGTATTGTTACTAAATGAAAATGCTATATGAAAATTATTATAGCTGTTAGGACTAGACATCAGCCCTCTTGGCTTGACAATTATACAAATGAAGAAGGGTGTAAGAAAAATTCCAAACTGATGAAATGAACATACAAATGAAAAGGGAGTTTTTTGTTTTGTAATTTTAAAATTTATCTTTTTTTTTTGACAAAATCTACAAATTTAAAATACCAATCTATCGACCAACTTGTTATTGGGAAAATTATGAAAGAACAATTTTCAAAAGCTAGCAATTATCATACAGAATAATATCTTATTTTTACAAAGGCTGGTTATAATATTTATGAATTTAGTGGGTCTTCATTTTTTCAATTTAATATAGTCTTCATCCTTCATCTAACTTCAGCTCGAGTTAGAAGACAAAAGGAGGTAGTGAGAGATGGGCAGAAAGAGGTAATAGGATGAATTTTGTTAGGAGCACTAACAAAGGTTATTTCAGGAAAAGGCTACAACGTACAACCAAACTGAGGCTACTGGATTATCGGTAGCCACATCCCCTATTAGCCCAGATCACCAAATCACTAGTCTAATGGAAGCTTTTTTTTTTTTTTTTTTTTTTGACTACAGAGAACAATGGTCAAGACAATTGACATTTATAATGGGCATGCCTAAAGGTGTTGAAGTCATAACTGATCAGGAATCTATTTCCTGCTTATAAGGAAAGTGCGTGGGCAAATCTGAAGGTGATTTAACCTATAATCCATCACCTAGATGTCTCCATCTGAACAATTCTGACACTTTCTCCTCCTCCCCAGCTGTCGCAGCATGCCATGGAGGCTAAATTTCTATAAAAATACTGTGAAAGGACCGGGCGCAGTGGGTCACGCCTGTAATCCCAGCACTTTGGGCGGCCAAGGCAGGCAGATCACTTGAGGTCAGGAGTTCAAGACCAGCCTGGCCAACATGGTGAAACCCTGTCTCTACTAAAAAATACAAAAATTAACTGGGCATGGTGGCACATGCCTGTAATCCCAGCTACTCAGGAGGCTGTGGCAGGAGAATCGCTTGAACCCAGGAGACGGAGGTTGCAGTGAGCTGAGATCACGCCAGTGCACTCCAGCCTGGGCAACAAGAGCAAAACTCCATCTCGAGAAAACAAAAAACAAAAAATACTATGAAAGAATTGGAATAAAAGTAGATTTTAGCCAGATTGCCTTAGAAATTGTCCCTTGCTTATTTAATGTTGTTAATTAACATCCAGGTTCCAAGAATCTTACAATGTTAGCATTAAAAAGAACATCTGAGATCACTAAGAACAATTTTTTCATCTCTCATGTTAAAACCAAAGCTTAGGAAAATTTTTAAAAAGCTAAGTGGGTAACTGCCTTGCTAAGGATGACCTGGTAAGGACGACCTGATTGCTACATAGACTCCTACAGTCTTAGTCCAATTCTTTTTCCATTGCATCCTCATGCCTTGCAGTAGGTAAAGAGAAAACATGTTGATTTTATCCATTTTAGTGTAAGAATCTTCTAGATAAAGAAGGCAGGTAAATGGATGAATGATAGAACCTCTTTATTAAAAACTTTACTATACACCAAGGGTTCAATTCAACCTCTGTTCAAGGTGGTGAGTGTGAAACTCCTGCTAAAGTGTTTTTAAAAGCAAAAGAAATTTAAGTGTTTTCAATATTGCCTACATCAGTGGTTCTCTGCCCAATTCATCTGAGAAGCAGAACACATCCCACCCATTAACTATGCCTTACTATGCAGTGATTCTCAGTGGTGATACTATGGGAGGGCACACATCTGCATCCACACACTTATGTAGGAGGATCTATTCTAATAGAGAAGCATGCGAGTTTAAAAGAGCTCTCCAAGCACCACCCTTGCCCTGTTCTTCACCCAACAGAAACATCACTAATCTCCCCAAAATGGCACTTATACAATAAAGTTAATACTGAATATTCACTTTGACTTTTAGGACTTAGAAGAAACTCTCTTTACATCTCAGGGTGCCTGACTAGGTCAACCACTGACCCCTTTGTTTGATGGTTCACCATCTCTTTGAGGAATCAATATCCGCACATAAACAATACAATGCAAAAGTCCCATTTTAAATTTACCCCACTCCCAGCACGCTCTATTCCCCTCCCATCTTTATTTTTCTCCTTAACATTTATCACTGTCTAAACATAATTTACTTACTTACTGTTCATCTCCTTTCATTAGATTAAACTAAGTTCCAAGAGGGCAACAATTTTTGTCTGTTTTATTCACTGCTGCGTACCTAATACTTAGAACTCATAGTAAATGCTCAATCAATATTGTTGATTAAATGAATAGAAAAATGATGACAACACCTTTATACTTGCTAATTCTACTTGGTTTTTTTTTTTTTTGAGATGGAGTTTCACTCTTATTGCCCAGGCTGGAGTGCAGTGGTGCAATCTCGGCTCACCGCAACCTCTGCCTCCCGGGTTCAAGTGATTCTTCTGCCTCAGCCTCCCGAGTAGCTGGGATTACAGGCATGCACCACCATGCCTGGCTAATTTTTTTGTATTTTTAGTAGAGACAGGGTTTCTCCGTGTTGGTCAGGCTGGTCTCAAACTCCTGACCTCAGGTGATCCGCCTGCCTTGGCCTCTCAGAGTGCTGGGCTTACAGGTGTGAGCCACCGCACCTGAAAGTTCATCTTTTCTATCATTCCCTTCAATCATTCTCTCATGCCCGGTACATGGGCCCTCCACCCTCTTAGGGCTTTTTCTGCTAGCTACGTCTAGGGAGAGTATAGCCTGTCTAGGCTCCATGGTTATTATGTGATAATCCTCATTTACCTCCAACTTCTTACCTTCCACTGCACCTGCTGTGCCAACACTTAACCCTATATAACCCCCAACATCTAACTTACCTTACTCTTTCTTTGCCCATTCCAGAGCAGTGCTACAGAAGATTTTAAATTCATGCTGGACTGGACCGAGAGCAATTCATGGCAATACTTAATGTTCACAATCCATAGTAAACAGAAGAAAGAGAACAGAACTAGGAATTAAAGCTGGGTTTGAAAATTAGATATAACATATACTACCTGGTGTCTTTGGTTAAGTCAGTGACCTATCTGAGCCTTTTTTTCCTCATCTGTACAGTGGGAATACTACTACCTACTTCATATCACAAAGATTACATTTAATTAATTAATTTTTTGAGACAGGGTCTGTTCTGTTACCCAGGCTGGAGTGCAGTGGCATAATCAAGGCTCACTGCAACCTCTGCCTCCTGGGTTCAAGCAGTTCTCATGCCTCAGCCTCCCTCCCGAGTGACTGGGACTACAGGCGTGTGCCACCACATCCGGCTAATTTTTGTATTTTTTGTAGACCCAGGGTTTTGCCATGTTGCCCAGGATGGATGAAGATTATATTTTAATAAAATAATGTATATAAAAGCTCCCAACAGGTTTATAGCCATGTAGGCTGGGCACAGTGGCTCACGTCTGTAATTACAACATTGTGGAAGGCCAAGGCAGGAGGATCACTTGAGCACAGGAGTTTGAGACCAGCCTGGGTGACATAGGGAGACCTCATCTCTATAAAAAATTTAAGAAATAGCCAGCTATAGTGGCATGTGTCTGTGGGCCCAGGTATTCGGAGCCTGAGGTGGGAAGATGGCTTGAGCCCAGGAGGCTGAGGCTGCAGGGAGCTGTGATCAAGCCACCATATTCCAGTCTGGGTAACAGAGGGAGACCTTGTTTAAAAAAAAAAAAAATTTACAGACACGTAGAAAGTGCTTAATAAATGTTAGCTCCTCCTCTTTAACATATTTCATTAACTTCCAATGATACCCTCACTCTTTGAGTGAATAACAAGAAAACTCAAGCTTTCTGGTATGAATCTTCTTAATTTTCCTTTCTTCCCTCCTTTTCATATCAGAATGCTATGTTTTCGCTCATTTTCTTTCCTGATTCTGAAAGTCTCTCTCTCTCTTCTGTTCTAAGACCCTGCATGTCAATAGTTTTCAAGCCCGGCTGCACATTAGACTCAGCTGGGAAGCTTTTTAAAAATACATCATCACTGGGTCCCATCACAAACCAATTAAATATAAATCTCTGGAGGTGGAAGCATGGCATCAGTATTTTTTTTAAGTTCCCTGGTAGGGTGCCAAGACAATTTAATGGGGGAAAGAATAGTCTTTTAAACAAATATTACTCAAACAACTGAATATCCAGATTCAAAAGAATAAAGTTGAACCCTGTCTTTATAGCACACACAAAAAATAACTCAAAATGAGTCACAGATCTAAATGTGGAGCTAAAACTATAAAACTCTTAGAAGAAAACATAGAAGTAAATCTTTATGACCTTGAGTCAGGCAAAGCCAACTTAGATATGACACCAAAAGCATAGGCAACAAAAGAAAATAAAACTGAACTTCATCAAAATTAAAAATTTTTATACCATAAACAATATTATCAAGAAAGTGGAGGCAACCTATGGAATGAGAGAAAATATTTGCAAAGTATACATCTGATAAAGAGCTTGTGTCCAGAATATATAAAGGACACTTGCAAGTCAGGATTAAAAGATAATTTAATTTTTAATGTGGACAATGTGTCTAAATAGATATTTTTCCAAAGAAGATATACAGATGGCCAATAAGCACATAAAAAGATCCTTGACATCATTCACTTTTAGGGAAATATAAACCAAAACCACAATGAGATTCCATTTCAAACTTGTTAAGATGGTTCTAATAGAAAAGATAGATAATAACAAGTGTTGAAGAGGATGTGCTGAAACTGGACCCTCATACATTGCTGATGGGAATGTAAAATGGTGCAACCACTTTGGAAAACAATTTGGCATCTCCTGAAAATGTTAAACATATAGTAATCATAATGACCCAGCAATTCAAGTCCCAGGTATATACCCAAGAGAAATTAAAACAAATTCACACAAAAATGTGTACACAAATGTTCATAGAAGCATTATTCCTAATAGTCAAAAAGCGGAAGCCCAAATATCTATCAACTGATGAATGGATAAGTAAAATATGGTGCACTGGAATATTTCTTGGGAATAAAAAGATAAGAAGTACTGATATAGGCTACAACATGGACAAACTTTGAAAACATTATGCTAAGTGAAATAAGCTAGTTACAAAAGAGCATGTACTGTATGATTTCATTTACATGAAATATCCAGACTGAGCAAATCTATATATAGAGAAAGCAGATTGGCGGTTGTCTAGGGCTGGGGGGTGAAGAGAAATGAGGAGTGACTGCTAATGGGTATGTGGTTTCTTTTTGTGATGATGAAAATGTTCTAAAATGGATTGTGATGATTGTACAACTCTGTGAACATACTAAAAACCATTAAATAGGAAAAAAGAAAAGAGAAAAGAAAGGAAGGAAGGAAGGGAGGGAGGGAGGGAGGGAGGGAAGGGAAAGGGGAGGGGAAGAGAGGGGAGGGGAGGGGAGGGGAGGGGAGGGGAGGGGAGGGGAGGGGAGGGGAGGGGATGGGGAGAAAGAGGTAGGGAGGGAAGGGAAAAAGGTTCCACAGGTAATTCTAATACTGAAGTTTATTTCCGGCATTTTCCTTTCTAGATTCCTTCAGAGTAAAGACTGCATTTTCTAAATTTTTTTCTCCCCCATATTCTTACAGAATAGTAACACAGAGCAAGGGTGTGATTTTTTTATTTTTATTTTTTTGCAACAAACTGTTCTTGGGGAATGTTCTTTATTTTAATCAAAATTGCAAGATCAGGCTGCCACCTGGCAGAATTGGTCATCTTGGCTATCTTGAACTATTTGAGCTCTCCAAGCACTTAATTCAGCTGAAGCACACAGAAAGAGGATAGGCACACAACGCAAACCAAACTGACCGGTTTTGCCATCTGAAGTATGGTTGTTCTGTCATCTACCAGTGGATGTGGCCTCTGGCCCTTAGGAACCATTCTTTTGACAGTTCCCCAGGACATGGCTCTGGTTTGACTGACTTTGTTTACTAAATAAATTAATTCCTACTTCTGGAGTAGCTTCAGTTTTTAAACAGAAAGCCATCTATTGACAGTCACTGATACACAGGATTTTATTGTTTGATATTAAACAATTAAGAGTTATTGTTTTTTTCCCTACAAGTACACTATACATGAAGATAAATATAATGTAGAATACAGTCACTAGGAGTGGGGAGAGAGGGGGATTCTATATCTGCTCTGTGCCTTAAAGTAACAGTTTTACTTTAGTAAATCCAAAGTACATACTGTATTTCTTTCACAGAAATAAGGCTCTCTTTTGGCAAAATGTGCATCAAAGACAGAGTCTGATGAACATTTTTTAAGATGAGTTTGATTATTAAACAACATTTTTTAAATATCCTAAGAATTTGACCTTTCGTGCTAGTAGACTTCAATAATTTAAAATTACTTGGAAATTGCTACTTTCAACAAACTCTCTGAAGATATACAAAAAAGGAAAATGCTGAAATAAGTCAAGATGTTTACAAATATTATGTCTAAAATGTTATCTCATTTGTTAAACCCAGAAAATAAAAAATAATAAAATATGAAACCATAATTGTCCGAGTATAGGACAAAGATCTGATTTAGAATCAGGCAGAGGTTTTCCCTCTATTACTCCAGCAAGTTCAAATGTACTCAGAAATACAAAATGATTGACGGTAATATCAAGATGAGAAACAAAAGACAATGTTACATCCTCAGGTATGATAAGTTTGAAATTAGATGAGTTTACAGTTGGAAGATTCATTAAGAACAACAATTCAAAAGATATTATAGCCATAATTTAGAAGTCTTGCTTCACGAGAAAAGATAATATAAAAATCTAAAAATTAAGTATTGATTTTACAAGGTAAACATGGCAGCCTGGATTATAAGAAATATCAGGCATTTTGCTTTCTCAGGAGAAAGAACAACTGGGTACATGCTGCAGACTGGCATATAAATCGCTCAAAGTGAAGCAGTTGGGAAATGCTGTCAGATTATTCGGGTTGAGGAGCTGCCCCAGGGGCAGAACATGTCACAATGTCACATCCCTCTTCTTTACTCTCACAACTTTCACCAGAATAAACAGACCCTTGGAAAACAAATTCAATCACAAATAGTAACTTTTTGTTAAAACTACAGTAGCAAACTACCAAACCAACTTTATACATGGAACATATCAGAACTTTTCCATGTTTCCCCAACACAGTGGAATAAACTATTTTCAGCTAATAAGTTCATCTTAGGAAAACACTCATGTGCATTTCTATGCAATATAATTGTGGAACATTGTAACCACTTCTTAGTTTTCATTAGAGGATATTGAAAAACCCAAGTTTAAGGATAATTCCCCCTTTCCCTCGAATGCAGCTTTTTAAGTTTTTGACACTATAAAGTGTAGAGAGTGACATAAAGAAGAGCTATGAATATATATAAATACACCACTATGGCTCCCGTCATAAGAGCTTTTGAAAAATGGTTGAACAAGTATTCATCTTCACCAAATTGCAATCGCAAGATACTGACTGTTACACAATATGAAACAAAGGCAAGGTGAAGGGTGAGGAACGGCAGAAAGGACGGTCGCAAGGAAGACAAGTGCCCCACAGGATAGAACCTGCTCTGTCTTGCGGGCCCCGCTTTTCTCAGCACCTTTCTGGTGTTCTGGGCTTTTCTGCTAATACCATCCACATCATCTCTCAGAGAAATGAATCTCCCTTTAAGGAAAGCCAAGCAGGCATCCGAGGTAACGTGCAGAACCGTAAATGAAAAATGTCCACGTCTAGCAGGCAGACAAGCAAAGGAAAACCAGCTGTCAGTTTCAGAGGCTCCTAGCTGTAACGGGGTTTCGGGTTTCTCTCCGCCTCTGTCTCTCTGTCTCTCTCACGGTGTCGCCCTCAATAATATCAGCTTTCTAATCACCTCAAATCACACATTCTCTGTCTGTCCTTGTGAAATAAATACTGAAGAAACAGGAAAAACAGAGTGCAATACTCACAACAACGAAGAATTCCTACACATGCTGTTCCATTTTCTTGCTTTGAAAAGATGTAAGGTGAATTTTAAAAGCCTTGCAGAATTGGAAAAATAAAGGGGAGGGGGATTCCACCCACACAATCCTCCAGCCCACCGCAAAGGAGCCCAAAGGCTTGCTGACGTCACAGATTCATGAATGGATGTAAATTGGGCTGGTTTAGGATTCCGCACAGACTTCGCTGTGGTGTGTGTCATGAAAAAAAAAAGAGGGGCGGGTCCAGAGTAGGCCCAGCCAATAGGCTTCAGGCAGACATGGCCTTCCTTCTTTTAGAAGGAATCTGGTCACAGAATAAACAGAGCCCGCCAATCAGGCATCTGCCACTGCCTTAAGACAGACTGGCAGCTTGAGTGTGTGTGTGTGTGTGTGTGTGTGCGTGTGTGTGTGTGTGTGTGTGTGTGTTTCAAGCTGTGATAGTCATAAAAACATTATTATTGTTATTGAATGAAGGAATCAAAATAGAATTTCTGTGGAATCAAGGATAACAAAAATGCATATAGAAGAAATCCCATCTTTTATTCATTAGAACTCTTTTCTTCAACCCTTTTCTTACTGTTCAGCAATATGCCTGATGCGATCAAAACAAATCAAAGTCAGGAAAACCATTTCTAAAACTAGCAGACTAGTGGACATGTATGCCCTGCTCACCACGACTTGTAAAAGCAAAATTGTCGGGACTTGTAAAAGCAAAATTGTCGGGAAGAACGCATGGGAACAATAATCTAGTAACTAAGAAAACAGACATATGGAAAATAATATTACACGAATGTAGCTGTTTTGCACAGCAGTAACATCTTGCTGACCTTCATGATGTATCAAAAGTGGATATGGAAGAAAAATTTACTGCTACTTTTAAGTAGGGTACAGTGTTTCCTCATTGGTTTATTCAACTTCTGGCAGTCGATTAAGACACAGCTCCAAAAGGGCACTTAATGAAACTTTGAACAAATTTTGGTTTCAGTAAGATGTTTTATTATTAACAGCAAAAACAGCTGTATTAAATTCACTCAAGAGGCATCTCTTTCTTCTTTATTTTTACACTTTTCAGTTATACAAAATTGGAGATGAATATATTTATTGTCCCTACTCCCCATCACTACACTTCACAATGACTAATACTTGACAAATACTGATCATGATTTTTCTGAACTTGGGAAATGGCCTCAATCCTTGAAACTAGAACGATCGTGGTTAATATAAAGCCTCAGTTATGAGGTGTCCAGTGACCAAGAACATTCTGAACAGAGATCTGCTCTATTTCTCAATCAGATTATTTATACAACTGTGAGAGAAGGAAAGTGGTGGCCTGTTTCTAAGTGGTTCTGGAGGGTCTAAACCTGACCACTAGTAAGTATTGCACACTTCTTAGCTCATTTGGAAAAGGAAAACTTTTCAGGATAATTTTACACACAGCAAAGATATTCAGTGTACTGTCTATATTGAAGCAATAGAATATCGTTGGCAAACAACATAGTTAACAAACTTCTCTAAAGGAGCTTATTGTGGAATATCACTACAAAAAAGATAGACCAAAGAAGTTTACACATGTAACATGGGAGTGCTCAAGGCAAATACGGCATTGGTACACGCCCAGTAGGCCTCAGTGTACCACATTATTTAAGAACGAACATGCAAGGCACGGTGGCTCATGCCTGTAATCCCAACACTTTGGGAGGCCAAGGTGGGCGGATCACGAGGTCAGGGATCGAGACCATCCTGGCTAACATGGTGAAACCCCGTCTCTACTAAAAATACAAAAACAAAATTAGCCGGGCGTGATGGTGGGCGCCTGTAGCCCCAGCTACTCGGGAGGCTGAGGCAGGAGAATGGCGTGAACCCGGGAGGCGGAGCTTGCAGTGAGCCGAGATCTTGCCACTGCACTCCAGCCTGGGTGACAGAGCAAGACTCCGTCTCAAAGAAAAAAGAAAAAAAAAAAACAAAAAACGAACAAATGGAAAGCTGAAGAATATACATCTCTATTTAACAACAACCAAAGCCAATCAGGATACATTAAAAGAATCAGATTTATGGAAAACATTTTTTTCTTCCAAAACAATACAGACTAACTAATGGAAAGAGGCAAACTTTTTGTGGACTATGTCAATAAAATAGCCAAGAAACATCAATTTGTGTGTGTGTGTATATATATATATAATATATACACACACATATAAAATCTGTATATATGTATATGTATATATGTGTGTATACACACACACACACACACACACACATATATATATATACACATACACATATACATATAAAATCTGAGGTCAGGAGTTTGAGACAAGCCTGGCCAACATGGTGAAACCCCATCTCTACTAAAAATACAAAAATTAGCTGGGCATGGTGGCACACATCTGTAATCCCAGCTACTCGGGAAGCTGAGGCATGAGAATCGCTTGAATCTGGGAGGCAGAGGTTGCAGTGAGCTGAGATCACACCACTGCACTCCAGCCTGGTGACAGAGTGAGACTCCCTCTCTCAAAAAAAAAAAAAAAAAAAAAAAAAGCTAAAGCTGTTGTAGAAGTTTTTCTGTAAGTTTTGACAGCAACAAAATTACTAATAAGTCCACTATGGATGGGAGTAGTCTCTGAAGCAATTCAACAAAACAGGGTCTATAAATGCTTCTAATAACAGTCACCTAAGATTCTTGGCTCAATATATAACCTGGAAAATAAAAACTTGGGGGCTTTATGGACTTGCCACTTCAGTAAGATGATAAACTTGGCCTCAGTTAGCATGCTTCCTGTACCACAGGAACATCAGCTAGGCCAACAAAGACTCCTCCATGTCAACTATCATGGGAAATCATTGGAAAGATAAGCTGTCTCACCAAATTATGGAAGATATAGAAGTCAGTCTTGGAGGAAGTCATTATCATTTTAGAAGCAGAAGGTAGGAAGGGATATAGAGGCATGAAAAATGTACACTCTAGAGAAGTACAGCCCAAGAGAACTTGCTGTGATTATGGAGCATTCCATAGATTTGAAAGATGGCTAGTGTTCTTGAGGAAGTGAATTTTTAATGTAAAGTGATTTAAATTTATTTAACTCCAAAATAGTCACATTTAGCTGGTGGCTATGGTATGCAACAATGCAACTCTAGAGATATCAAGCCAAGTCCCATCATTATAAGTAATTTTTAATTGCAGCACATGGGCATACTAAGTGTGGAGGACTGCAAAGCCATTATCAAGGTGAGTAAGCTCTTTTAAGAACCAAATGAATCTCCTCAAACTTCAGTAATAACTGGAAAATGACTCTAGTCTCATTATGCAAGAAGATATTTAAAACTCATTATTAGATAAAAATCTATATATAGAAATTAAGGTACAATAATTCTGCTATAAAATATAAGCTATTCTTGTTTTGGAGTTTTTTTTTTTTGAGGAAAAAAATGTGTTTTTAAAAAAGGAAAACAACTCATTTAAGCCAGAATCGAAGTCCAAAGTATCATGACCCATGGGCAATTTTTGTCAGAAATACCAGGAAAAAGAAAGAGTTTAGTGATCTCAAATGCTAATACGTGGAGACTCAAATTTCCTTCACAGATAAGTGTGTAGTGGTTAAAAGCTGGTAAAGAGATCTGGGCTCAAATCCTATTTCTGCCACTTATTAGTTATGAATATTCAGGTAAACCTGAGTTTCAGTTTTCTCATTATTAGAATGGGGATTATAATAGCCTATATTATTGTGTGAAGGTTAAAGTAATATTATAACACATGTAAAGATTTGCACACAGTACCTACATACAGAAGTTACTCAGTAAATGATACTGGTAGCTGGTTTTATTTTGTTATTGAGACCCTGCTACTCTCTCAACAAGGGAAATTTCAACAACTGTGCAGATCCAGGAATCAGAACCACAGGAACTAATACAACATCTTTATTTTGCTTATAATAAATCTTGAACAGATCTGATATGGTTTGGCTCTGTGTCCCCACCCAAATCTCATCTTGAATTGTAATCCCATAATCCCCATGTGTTGTGGGAGGGATCTGGTGGGGGGTAATTGAATCATGGGGGCAGTTCCTCCATACTGTTCTCATGGTAGTGAATAGGTCTCACAAGATCTGATGGTTTTATCAGGGGTTTCCACTTTTGCATCTTCCTCACTCTCTCTTTGCCTGCTGCCGTCCGTGTAAGATATAACTTGCTCTTCCTTGCCTTCCACCATAATTGCGAGGTTTCCCCAGCCATGTGGAACTGTAAGTCCAATTAAACCTCTTTCTTTTGTAAATTGCCCAGTCTCAGGTACGTTTTTATCATCAGCGTGAAAACAGACTAATACAAAATCTTTTCAGGAAATTCTAAAAATATCTATTAGTGACCCAACTTCCAAAGGGAAGTTCATCCAAGTCATTTTCCTTCAGGTGGTTGGGGAATATCTTTGGGGTTCTGAAACAGATCAGGGGAACCTTCAGGTAGTTATGCTAGCTGATCAAGAGCTCTATTCATTGTTTTTAAAAAGCAGCTACATTTTTCTACATAAAGATGTAGTTTGTATAAAATGATGTGAATTAATCTGGAAAACAATCTGTCTCCTAGTTGGGAATACTGGTCAGAATTCTCCACTTTCATATCAGAATGTTAACCCTATTTCCACTCCAAAGTATATGGAGCCTTGGTCAATAACTGAATTTCAATATTCAAAGACCTCAGCAGATTATTATTAATACTGCCATTTTTCTCTGTCCAGCTCCCATTAAATGCCTATCTGAGAAAGTGATTTTTAAGAAACATCTAAGGAAAAACATTCTTATAAGTTCACTCAAATCTATCCTTGTGTCAAGGGAGATCATCAGAAAGCTACATGCTATCTAAATATCATTAGCCTAATACCCCTTAGAAGAATAACTATCATTGAGTGTTGTGGTCTTGCTTTTATTAAAAATTATTATAAGGAAGATTCATATTGCTTCTGTGTTGTCCATTATCTTGAATGATATCTCCCATGTAAGGAATTCACATGGAGAATTTGTTTTACAACTTAATATGAAGGAAAAATTTTCTGTTCTTGAAGAATTATTAGGTGTCTGTCTACCTTTTAGATGATAACAGTGTAATCCACTGAATTTTCATTTTTTCGACCCTGCTGCTGGGAAGCTCAGAGCCAACTTTAAAATTCATATGCTTTAAAATAAGCTAAGCACAAAAGTATATATTTACATGCATACTTGCTTTCTCTTCCTTGTTTTGGGTTGGATTACTCTATGGTTAACCTTATTATATACATTCTTTTTTATGATAAGCACTTCAAACACTTTTTGAAAAGGTATGCTATAAATAAAAATTTGCACTAAATACATATCTGTAAACTTTTAAGAAGATTAAAGCCTCATGTTAAATTCTACAGTCATCTTTATATTAAAGGTACACATTATGGCAAACTTTAAAGAATATTGTGAGTTAATTAGACTTAACTATTCAATATTTTTAATTAAAGGATAATAAAATATCTAGCCAGCTGGAGAAAAGCAATTGCTTGAGATTTTATGTGCTATTCAGAATAAGTCTTAACAGCTTAATGAAGCTTTAATGTGTTATTCCTGTCAAAAGGATGATTACCAATGAGGGATATAAGATTCTTCTCTGACTGATAACACAAATGTACTGAAGCAAATCAAAAGCAGATGGATTTCTCAATTAATAAAATATTTACCATCCCCAAAATACACCATTCCATAACATACAAATTCTGGCAAAATACCATAAACCAAACCTTTGCAGGATTAAAAATAATATACTGAGTTTGCAAAGGTACTTTATACACTGAAAGAGCAAAAGAAGACTTTATAGATTACTTTACTCATCCACATAGAATTCATACTACTTTCTTTCTTTCTTTTTCTTTTTTTCTTTTTTTTTTTTTTTTTTTTAGATGGAGTTTCACTCTTGTTGCCCAGGCTGGAGTGCAATGGCGCGATCTTGGCTCACCGTAACCTCCGCCTCCCGGGTTCAAGCAATTCTCCTGCCTCAGCCTCCTGAGTAGCTGAGATTACAGGCGCCCGCCACCACATGCAGCTAATTTTTTTTGTATTTTTAGTTGAGATGGGGTGTCACCATTTTGGCCAGGCTGGTCTTAAACTCCTGACCTCAGGTGATCCGCCCGCCTCGGCCTCCCAAAGTGCTGGGATTACGGGCGTGAGCCACTGCACCCGGCCTAGAATTCATAATACTTTCTTAGAGCTCATGTAAAAAGAGAGAGAGAGAGAGAAAAAAAAAAAACTTCTTAACTCTCTAACTTCTATTCTTTGATTCTGTTTTAATTTCTCCCCTTCTTTAGCTAGACACAAGTTGGCATTTCCACTGTAGCCACACATTGCATGCAATATAATTAAAGACCAAAACATCAGAGTAGTGGATATCTGCCTTTTAAAGTCGGGCGGCAGAGCGAGACTCCGTCTCAATACATAAATACATACATACATACATACATACATACATACATACATACATACATGAAGTCTGCCTCTGTATCATCCCCATTTGAAGGAAATATCTCTCCCCCACTTTTAGTCCATATGGTTCAGATAGGGATGACCCCATCTGAAGCGAGTGCTCCAAGAGTGAGCACGTGGCACAAGGATGGCCAACTCAACTCCCTGGTCGTAATAATTAGTGAAAGGATAGACACATCCTCCAAGCCAGCCAATAAGCATAATCTGAGTCATCCCCAGGATGTTTGACAACTATTGGCTGGGTGGGGGCTGAACATTTGTTTCATCAGGATACTAGCTGTAAGGACAAGTAGGCAGAGGGCTGTCGTCTCCATCCATATATCGGGCAGAGGAAAGCAGACCAGAGATAAAGGAAAGAAGACAGATTCCTGAAAAAGGCCACTGGACATCTAACTTCAGTCTTGTCTGAAGCCAGTTACTCTGCTGGACCTCCCAATTACATAAGCCAATCAATCCCTCCCTCCTTACTCCCTTTAAAAAACACACAAACAAACAAGTTTGATAAAGGTTTCTGTCACTTGCAGCCAAAAGAGTACTTATTAACACAATGTCATTAATTGATTCTCTTTCATCCTATTCAAGAAAACCAAATTAAAATCAGATTCCCTGTACTATAGAATTCCTTTTCTGACATTAATAATTTCAATATATTGGTAGACTAACTTTCAAATTCTGTCTTCTAACTCTCACATGGTGTTTACACTTTATTATTATTATCTTTGTCACCATCAAAAGTTCGACATTTTAAAGACCCAGTATTTCCTCTCAATAGCAAGCTGTATCTTTGATATTTTGAAGTCAGTGACCTTCACAGAAATCTTTTTACCGTTTATCTCAATTCATCCAGGCTTTAAGATACATTAATTCTGAAGCCCTGGGCAAGGTTACTTAAATGTTCACTTAAATGACTCACTGTAAAATGGAAGTAATTACAGGTATAGCACAGCACCTCAGCATGGTAAACAATGTTAGTTATGTTACTCAATAACCTCATAATCAAAACTATAACTAAACATATTTTATATTTCTGAATTTCATGCATTTTCTCTTAGGTTATTCTTATTCTGTGGTTGACAGATTATAACTTTGAATCTCTTAATTTTTTTTTCTATTTCTCTCTATTCAAAGGTTATAAAAGTGTATTTTTCCTGTGACCTATCCTTTTTCTGACCTTCATTTTAAAGTCAATTCTGAGTTCTCTTTGCTTTTTGTTTGTTTGGTTGGTTTTTTTGAGACGGAGTCTCACTCTGTCGTCCAGGCTGGAGTACAGCAGCGTGATCTCAGCTCACTGAAACCTCTGCCTCCTAGGTTCAAGTGATTCTCCTGCCTCAGCCTTCTGAGTAGCTGGGGATTTCAGGTGTACGCCACTATGTCCGGCTAATTTTTTTTTTTTTTTTTTGAGACAGAGTTTCGCTCTGACACCCAGGCTGGAGTGCAGTGGCACGATCTTGGCTCACTGCAACCTCCGCCTCTCGGGTTCAAGTGATTCTCCTGCCTCAGCCTCTGGAGTAGCTGGGATTACAGGCACGCACCACCATGCCAGGCTAATTTTTGTATTTTTAGTAGAGATGGGTTTTCGCCATGTTGGCCAGTCTCAAACTCCTGACCTCAAGTGATCTGCCCGCCTCAGCCTCCCAAAGTGCTGGGATTACAGGCATGAACCACCGTGCCCGGCCTTAATGTATCTTCATTATATTACACTCTTTTGGAGTTTCAGATATCTAAATTCCAGAAATAATAATTGGGAGCAAATCTGGTCCTAGACATTCTTTGTAAACGATCTTATACTGCACTTTACAGTTTACAACTTTCTTTAAAATAGGGTAGTTGTTGGTTCCATTTTACTTGTGAGAAAATTAGGGCCCCGGGAAGATTGGCTCGTCTAATATAGCTTTTATCTAAACTCTGTTATCTATTGAAACTGACTATACTTTTAAATTCTATCCATTACCTGTTAACCCTCCCCCTTTAAAGACCTGTTTTTCATCATCCAATGAGTAAAATTAAGGATAAATTTTTAAGAAGTAGCAATGCAAAGATTAAAAAGCCAGTTTCTAAGTATCAAGGAGCTTTGGTGAGATGAGTAACAATACAAAATGGTGTAGATGTTAAATTAGTGGGGTAGACAGGAATGTTTTACTTGAATTTGGGATACAATACTAGAAGAAAGGTAACTGAAATTTGGGGGCAAGAATAGACTTCCTTGAATGGGACCATCCTACACACAGCAACACATTTAGTACCCTGCCCCCCCCCCATACTTATAACAGTCCCAGTGTTGTTCTTGAGGCTCTTGATGAGCTCTACTTGAGGCATCTTTATTCTTGTCACATTTGTCTCCAGGGCACTTAGATGTTTCCCTAAGGGACAGGACATATCTATCTGCTAAGGGTCTGCTCCTACCTCTCTATGTCAACAGAGGGCAGCGGAGAGCATCACCCGGTAGCCTAACCTATAGGCTTCAAACGGGGGCAATGCGTACACTCCCCAGGCATTTGCTTCCCTAGGCACTTGGATTGCCGTTGCCCCGGTTTGAAGCCTACAGGTTAGGCTACCGGGTGATGCTCTCTGCTGCCCTCTGTTGACACAGAGAGGTAGGAGCAGACCCTTAGCAGATAGATATGTCCTGTCCCTTAGGGAAACATCTAAGTCCCCTGGAGACAAATATGACAAGAACAAAGATGCCCCAAGTTGAGGCTCATCAAGAGCTCTGGGAATGTGAAGTGAGGCTGAGTCAAGGCCAAGAGCCGCTCTTCCTAGACCAGATGATAGCCGATACTTACGATTTACTTATCTTTGGCAAGTTGGCACGCTTGTGAAGGGAATAAAGGCTTGTCCTTACACAAACACAGCCTGGTCTAATGCTGCAGTTTGCTCTACTAGTCCCAGTCTGCACTGCCACCCTCTTACCCAGAGCTTGAATTAAGTCTTTCTTCTCTTTGATGGAATGACCATTTGGGGTTGGCGGGGGCGGGGTGTGGTTATGGTCAGTTTCAACAAGGAGGTAGACCTTGAAGGGGAAGGATTTGGGGAAACTGGATATGAGAGAGCAGGGACAATTCCCCCAAGGTCCATATCAAATGTAAAACTGGTAAGGCATACATTAGTACTTTTCATTCTAATATAAGATTACAGTGTGTGAGTACAGCAAGTGAAGAACTAGAAGTCAAAGATGATAAGATATTAACACTGAATCAGTAAATTGTGAAGTCAGTTTTAAAATGAGCCTTATATGACCATCCATAAACAGGTCCATACTATGTAGAGTCATACTGTTAAGTCAAGTTTAGCCTAAAGCTGCCTCCTTATGTATTTAAGTTTGGCCTAAAGATTTTTCTGTATATTGTAAACTGTAACAAGTAGAGGTGTAAACCGACCGTAGCCCACACCTATGCCAATCACTGGGTTTTGGCCAATCAAATGTAGCCAACTGTTCGAACCATGTTCAAATAAGGCAAATACTGAGCTGGAACCAACCCAGCTGTTTCTGCCCCTCGCTTCCGTTTTCTGTACTGTCACTTTCCTTTTGCTGTCCATAAATCCTCTTCCATCCCATGGCTGTGCTGGAGTCTCTCTGAATCTGCTGTGATTCTGGGGGCTGCCAAGTTCACAAATTGTTCATTGCTCAATTAAACTCCTTTAAATTTAATTTGGCTGAAGTTTTTAACAATACCCAGCACTATAGTCATCTCTTTACTATAAACACTGATGAAGGGGACAGAGGGGGAAGGACTCAAAAATCTTTCAGGGAAAAACTCTGTTTTAAAGTGTACTCATGAATGTAATTATACGTTATGTCCAGGAAATACACTTACAATTAAATAATGAAGCCGCATTGGAAAGCTCTTGGTTTTCCATTACGTGTAATTGTACTACCTCAAGATAGGATAGTAATATCTTTACCTCAAGTAGTAAAAGATAGTAGTTGCTACTAGCAGCAACCTGCCCTGAATCAATCAATTTATATTGTATTTTTAAACTTTTACTTCATAGGTTCCAATCCAGTCTGTTCAACTAGGTTGAGAATTAAAGCTGTACAGGTAGCATTCATTAAACAGGTAATAAGTAGATACAGGAGAATATAGGAATGAGGAAGGGGGCTGGCCATAGTGCTTTTTTAGATACTCTGAACATCAATATATAAATCAAGTATACATTTTTTTAATGCATGCCATCTATGTTCAAGATAACATATGCTGGTGTATTTACACAGAGGGATAAATCACAGAGCCTGATCTCAGCCTATTTCACTAGACAAGAAACACAATAAATAGGAAAATAAAAATTGTTTTAGTGGCTTAAAATTATAACAGAAGGTAGAGTGGTAGAGATTGTCCTCGAATATCCAATCTTTCCTCTTTCCTTTTGGTAAGAGAATCCTTGATCCCCACTCCTACTTTTTTTCTTTTTTTTTTCTTTTTTAGACAGAGTTTTGCTCTTGTTGCCCAGGGTGGAGTGCAATGGCACGATCTTGGCTCACCACAACCTCTGCCTCCTGGGTTCAAGTGATTCTCCTGACTCAGCCTCCTGAGTAGCTGGGATTACAGGCATGCACCACCACACCCGGCTAATTTTGTATTTTTAGTAGAGATGGGGTTTCTCCATGTTGGTCAGGCTGGTCTCAAACTCCCAACCTCAGGTGATCTGCCCGCCTTGGCCTCCCAAAGTGCTGGGATTACAGGAGTGAGCCACCGCGCCCGGCCCCCACTCTTACTTTTAAAGTTTTAGGTGGGTACGTGGCCACTCTGCTAAATAGTTCTGTACTTTCCTGGCTGTACACGTGACCACATGACTAAGTTCTAGTCAATGAGATGTGAGTGAGTGAGTGATGTTTGCAACTTCCGGGTCTTGTTAGAGATGAAGCTGCTGTCCTGGACTCTTTTTCCTCATTGCCACACTGAGTCAACTTGTACCATGCAGATGATGACAACACCCTAGGCAATGGCAGAACAAATAGAAGTAACCCTGGGCTTTGAATATTCTAATGAATCAAAGCTGTCTATCTGTCCTGAATTACCTGCCTGCTTTAGGGTTGCTAATGATGAGTGTTCTTCCTTTTATGAGGCACCAAATTTTTTGAGACTCTGTTACTGCTACTTACTCTACCCCACTAATATATCCTGCTACTTGGTGTTACGTGGCTATTCATTAAATGAGATAAGTAAATGATTGCTCTAGACATTCTGAGAATTAGTTACTCAGAGAACCAAGATACTGGGAGAAATCTTAAAACTCAATCTACTCTGTCTTCCTTTTTTTAACATATGAATAAATGCAAGTTCAGAGATTTGTCCATAGTCTTGGAATTCATGGCAGAGCCAGGAATTGATTACCAGTCTCCTGGGATCTTCTTTGCATGACATCATCCCATCTGTGGATAACAGTGACCACTAACACTGCCTCTTTCTTTGGCAGAGTCAGTTAACATTCACTCGGTAATCCTGGGACATAGAAAACTGTCCTCAATTCTAAAGGAAAGCCAACAAGATTTTTAAAATCACATTTTAAAAAACTTTTATTCTAGTTTCAGGCATATATGTGCAGGTTTGTTATATAGATAAATTGTGTGTCATGGGGGTTCAGTGTACAGATTATTTCATCACCCAGGTAATAAACATAGTGCCCAATAGGTAGTTTTTCAGTCTGCATCCTCCTCCCATCCTCCACCTTCAAATAGGCCCTGATGTCTATTGTCCATGTGTACTCAATGTTTAGCTCCCACTTATAAGTGAGAACACGTGGTGTTTAGTGCTCTGTTCCTGTATTAGTTCACATAGGATAATGGCCTCCAGCTCCATCCATGTTGCTGCACGGAATATTATCTCATGCTTTTTTATGGCTGTGTAGTATTCCATGGTGTACATGTACCACATTTTCTTTATCTAGTCTACGGTTGATAGGTTGATTCCACGTTTGTGCTATAGTGAAGAGTGCTATGATGATTATATGCATGTATGTGTCTTTAGGAAAGAACGATTTATTTTCCTTTGAGTGTATACAGAATAATGGGACTGCTATGTCGAATGGTAGTTCTGTTTTAAGTTCTTTGAGAAATTGCCAAACTGCTTTCCACAATGGTTGAACTAATTTACATTCCTGCCAACAGTGTATACACGTTCCCTTTTCTCTGTGACCTTGCCAGCATCTGTTATTTTTTGACTTTTTGTAATAGCCATTCTGATTGGTGTGAGATGGTATCTTATTGAAAAATCACACATTTTGTCTCAAAAGTATCTGAAATGTAACATAAGAGAAAATACTAGCATACCATATAGTATGATTAAAACAAGGATGAACAAACAAGAAACATGGACCCAAGCAATTATAGTCAGAGATCCAACAAGATATAAGTGACAATGGTCATAAAAGTGTCATAGGAAGCCAGGCGCAGTGGCTCACGCCTGTAATCCCAGCGCTTTGGGATGCCAAGGCAGGTGGATCATCTGAGGTCGTGAGTTTGAGCCCAGCCTGACCAACATGGTGAAACCCAGTCTCTACTAAAAATAAGAAAAATTAGCCAGGCATGGTAATGCATGCCTGTAATCCCAGCTACTCAGGAGGCTGAGGCAGGAGAACCGCTTGAACCCGGGAGGCGGAGGTTGCCGTGAGCCGAGATCGCGCCACTGCACTCCAGCCTGGGCAACAAGAGCAAAGCTCCATCTCAAAAAAAGAGAAAGTGTCATAGAAGCAGTTGTGATAACAGAAGTGCTTTGGAAATATAGAAAATACGATTCAAGAATCCTTGGATCAATTCATAAGTGCTCTGTTGAACCTAATAAAACATGCTAGGGTCTGGAAATATATTTTAAATTCTTATAAAAATTTCTATTTTTCTGTGGCCTGGAAAATTTTGATGCTTTAATCTTTTAAAAACCACCTCAGAAGGCTTTGGCCCCAGGGTCTCCCTTGTGCTGACTAACCAACAATAGACATTCTTTACTAGAAACCTGTCTTCTAAGCTGTGTCCTTGCTGAAGAGAAAGAGTTCCTGCCTACTGCAGTGTACGCACACAGCATGCTAAGAGCATATGAAAAGAAGGGGAGTCTTAGGGAGACATGAAAGGAAAGAGTCACCATAAAGCAGTTAACTTCATTTATTCATTCAGGAGACAGTTCAGAGCACTTGGTATGTGCTAGCACTGAGCTGAGATCTGATGATAAACACACAGTCCTCGCCCTGAAGAAGCTTACAGTCTAGAACTGGAAAGTTTCCTTTCTTAATACGTCTCACATACAGAATTTGGGCTGGGATGGAATTAAGGGTGAAAAAATTATTCATTCCAAAATACAGTTTTTGAAAACCACTCCAGACCATCTTCAGTTAGTTGAATCCCAATCTGTTCTTTCTCATTTTGAGACAGTCTTAAGATTGGGTAGATCATATACACCATGGAATTCCACAGACCCATAAAAAGAATGAAGTCATGTCCTTTGCTGCAACATGGATGCAGCTGGAGGCCATTATCCTGAGTGGATGAATGCAGAAAGAGAGAACCAAATACTACACGTTTTCACTTATACGTGAGAGCTAAACAATGGGGACACATGTACGTAAAGATGGAAATAAGAGACATTGAGGAAGGGAGGGAGGAGAGCAAGGACTGAAAAACCATCTCCTGGGTATTAAGTTCAATATTAGCATGATGGGTTCAATAGAAGCCCAAACCCCACCATGACACAATATACCAATGTAACAAACCTGCACATGTGCCCCTTGAATCTAAAATTAAAAAAAAAAAAGAATAAGTAGAAATGGAAGCCTTTGATTACAGTACCATATGCTTACAGCTGCTGCTTGTTCCTAGTTCAGAACAATCTGATTTCTCTGCCTTTGAAATCACCATTAGCTTTCAACCGGCCAGAGTACCAAGTGCTCCTCTTTTCTTTTCAAAACCCATAACCACTAGGCCTATCTTTTATTTATTTATTTATTTATTTGTTTGTTTGTTTTGAGACAGAGTCTCGCTCTGTTGCCAGGCTGCAGTGCAGTGCCGCGATCTCAGCTCACTGCAACCTCCGCCTCCTGGGTTCAAGCGATTGTCCTGCCTCAGCCTCCTGAGTAGCTGGGACTACAGGCGCCCGCCACCACGCCCAGCTAATTTTTGTATTTTTAGTAAAGACAGGGTTTCACCATGTTGGCCAGGATGGTCTCGATCTCTTGATCTCGTGATCCACCCGCCTCGGCCTCCCAAAGTGCTGGGATTACAAGCGTGAGCCACCATGCCTGGCCAGGCCTATCTTATAGCCACTCCTCGTGGTCTAGGGGACAGAATATCCACCTGTCAGTATAGTTTGGAAAGAAAAGCAGCATGTCCATAGGTCCCCTATGGTAGTGTTGCTTGCTCCTGTTATGAGTGAATTACAGAAAATGCTTGTCTAACTTTAGGGGGAATGTTATGATCTAGAGAAAACTATTATAAATACTCGAGAGATGTATTGGGCCTAAATTTCAAAATGAGCAAAATGAAGCTCCATTGAATATCATTCAAAATGGAAGCAGTGGCCTAAAAAGGCCACATTTTCTTAGATGTGTTTTTAGTTCATTAAATTACTCGAGGCTCCATAATAAATGGTCATCTTCAAAAGGCCATTTGTCTAGAAAAGAGGCTGGTGTCTTGAAGTGGCTTCCACTATAAGTAAATATAAAGAGAGGTAGGAGGAAAAAGTAGAATTCCAGAAAACCAGTAAAATATACTGTAATTAGTAAACAATGCAACATTTGAAAAATTAAATGCATTTTCCCCAGGAGATTATTTGTTGGAGCTCACTGCTTAGTTGGAGTATAAAATAGTCGCCAATTTCATGCTACATTTATATTTCTTTTTCTTTTCTTTCTTTCTTTTTTTTTTTTTTTGAGACGGAGTTTTGCTTTTGTTGCCCAGGATGGAGTGCAATGATGCAATCTCGGCTCACTGCAACCGCCGCCTCCCAGATTCAAGCAATTCTCCTGCCTCAGCCTCCTAAGTAGCTGGGATTACAGGTGTGCACCACCACACACACCTGGCTAATTTTGTATTTTTAGTAGAGACAGGGTTTCACCATGTTGGCCAGGCTGTTCTCGAACTCCTGACCTCAGGTGATCCACCCGCCTCGACTTCCCAAAGTGCGGGGATTACAGGTGTGCGCCACTACGCCTGGCTACATTGATATTTCTGAAATCGCCTCCATTACAAGTTCTTCACATTTAGGGCAAGTTCTTTTGTATTGTTCCCTCAAAATGCCTGGTGACATTTTCAATCGAATGAAAGAATGCTTTCTGCTGCTGCCATCTACTGCAAACTTAAAAAATGTGTTTTAAAAATGTGAAAGAGAAAATGGGCTAGTATTAAAGAATAATTTATAAGTCGGACAAGTAGACCGAGATCAATGTCATGCTTTACTTTTAACTAAACTATTAATTATTCCAGGCCTCTGAATGATGATCAATAAGGCAATGTATAAGAAATAGAGTAAATAGAGATGTATAAAGAAATAGATTAAGCTACACAGAACAGTATTAAATGGCTTTGTAAAGCTACACCTTGATATATCTGTATCTGTATACATAATCTGTAGTCTGTCCAATATATAAAAGCAAATCTCGGCCAGGTGCAGTGGTTCATGCCTGTAATCCCAGCACTTTGGGAGGCTGAGGTGGGTGGATCATAAGGTCAAGAGATCAAGACCATCCTGGCCAACATGGTGAAACCCCGTCTCTACTAAAAATACAAAAATTAGCTGGGTGTGGTAGTGCACACCTGTAATCCCAGCTACTCAGGAGGCTGACGCAGGAGAATAGCTTGAACCCGGGAGGTAGAGGTTGCAGTGAGCCGAGATTGCGCCACTGCACTCCAGCCTGGTGATGGAGTGAGACTCTGTCTAAAAAAAAAAAAAAAAAAACTTCCTTTGTGCTATGAACACCTCAGTTCAAAAGTAGTGCAAAATGCACTTTTACTAATTTGAACAAATGTGAGTTCAAAAATTATCAAGGTAGATAGATAAGCATACTAATAAGGCAGAGGGAGGAGGAGGAAAAGGTCATGAACAAGCAATTCACAGAAAAAATCTTGCACCCTTTGGAAAGGGTAAGGCAAAATAGATACTCTTATACACTGCTGATGGCTAAATAATTGCTGCATCTTTTTTGAAGTACAATTTGGCAATAGGTATCAGTAGGCTTAAAATGTAGATATCTTTTGACCCAAAATTCAAGTTTGAGAAGTTAATTCTAAATAAATAATCAGTACTTTGCAAAACGATCTAGCTACAAGGACTTCATCACATAATTATTTAAAACAAAAATAACTGGGAATAATATAATACTCCTAACAATGGAAGGTATTAAATAAATTATGATAAAACTATTCAATAGAACACTTAAAACCTTTACAGGTTGTATACTAAAATGTATAGGAACAGGTAAAAATATTCATGACAAAGTGTGAAAAAAGGCAGTCCACACAATAATAGATACCAGGTGATCTAACATGTATAGATGACTAGAAGGTTGAAGGATACAGATCATACATATATCATGCCTATCTCTGGATATAGAGAGACTGGTGATTTTATTTTCTTCTCTTTTAGTATAAATTTCTAGATTATCTGTGAAGTACAAATGTATTGCTTTTGGGAAAAGTTACAAAAATTGATAAGATAAGAAAAGTTCACTGCTATTTTAACCAAATTATTTTAACTTTAAGAAAACGCGTTATTGGGGTTTTGGGGAGATGTTGGTCAAAGGATACAAAATTTCAGTTAGAAGGAATAAGTTCAGGAGATCTCTTGTATAACACAGTGACTATAGTTAATAACAATGTATTCCACACATGAAAATTGCTAGAATAGATTTTAAATATTTCACCACAAATAAATAATAGGTATGTGAGGTAAAACAAAAACAAAACTTGTTACAATTTTTTCCCTTCTAATTTAAGCAAGATAGCCTGAAAATGATTCTGTAATACACTATGTCAGCAGTTCCCAACCTTTTTGGCACCAGGGACCGGTTTCATGAAGAGAATTTTTCCATGGATTTAGGGGGCGGGATGGGAGGGGGTGGTTTCAGGATGATTCAAGTGCATTACATTTATTGCGCACTTTATTTCTATTATTACATTGTAATATATAATGAAATAATTACACAACTCACAGTAATGTAGAATCAGTGGGAGCCCTGTGCTTTTTTTCCTGCAACTAGACAGTCCCATCTGGAGGTGATGGGAGACAATGACAGATCATCAGGCATTAGATTCTCATAAAGGGCACGCAATCAAGATCTGTCACATGTGCAGTTCACAATAGGTTTCCTGCTCCTATGAAAATCTAATGCCACCGCTGATCTGACAGGAGGGGGAACTCAGGGAATAATGCAAGTGATGGGGAGCAGCTGTAAATACCAGATGAAGCTTACTTACTGGCCTGCTGCTCATCTGCTGTGCAGTCCAGTTCCTAATAGGCCACAGACCAGCATCAGTCAGTGGCCAGGGGGTTGGGGACCCCTGCACTATGCTGTAATAGATAGTGTGTCTTTTCACTAGAGTGAGGGATGGTCATGGCTGAGATATACATTGAGGAGGTGGGAGGATTTGGAATGA
Source organism: Homo sapiens (assembly GCF_000001405.40). NCBI lineage: Eukaryota > Metazoa > Chordata > Mammalia > Primates > Hominidae > Homo > Homo sapiens. The sequence goes on along the minus strand of NC_000003.12, from coordinate 185,345,290 downwards.
AAAGCCTTAACCGGAAGAAGGTGTATGCGTTTACGTGTGTGTGTGTGTGTATGTGTGTGTGTATACTTTTTTGAGAGAAAACAGAAAAGTGCAGATGGCAATAAAAGATGATGAGATTAGTAGAAATGGGGCCGGGTGCAGTGGCTCATGCCTATAATCCCAGCATTTTGGGAGGCCAAGGCAGGCGATCACCTGAGGTCAGGAGTTCAAGACCAGCCTGGCCAACATAGTGAAACCCTGTCTTTACTAACAATACAAAAATTAGCTGGGCATGGTGGCGCATGCCTGTAATCCCAGCTACTTGGGAGGCTGAGGCAGGAGAATCATTTGAACCTGGGAGGCAGAGGTTGCAGTGCACTCCAGCCTGGGAGACAGAGCGAGACTCTGTCTCAAAAAAAAAAAATAAATTATGAGATTAGTAGAAATGAAGTTGCGAGATCCCATTTCCAATAACATTATAGAAGGCAGATCACCTGGTGAAAGGAAAAGGTGACAGATTTGGGATTCTATGGAGCAAGAGAGGTTTCAACAGCCACTGTGGGAAACAGTCGCTAGAAATGAAAGGCCACCAATCAGCCATGAGGGCCTAACTGAGGATGCAAAGCAATCAACGTGGTAGCTGAAAATACGATTAAGGCGGTACTCTGTGTTGGGCATAGTCAGAGGAGGAAGGACCAAAGGCTGATAAGGGGGGCGGAAGTGATTATTAAATGGCTAATGATATTTCCAAGTTGGATGGGGCATAAATGGAAAGGGGTCAAGTGCATATTCAGTTTGGTATCTACTGCCATGTATAGTGTATAGCAGAGCAGGGTAATATATGTTTAAGAAAAAAGAAGTGAGGAGAAACTGTGTAAGGAGAGGGGTAAGATAATTAACTGAGCACCTATTATGTAACAGATTCTTTTGTCACAGATCATCAAGTCTCTTCTTATTGGCTGGGTTTCTCCTTTGCCTATAAGCCCGTCCATGTCTCTCCTTTTCAAAATTTCCTTCTGACTTATCTATTCACTCCCCTTTTCTTTACCACCAAACTTCTTGAAAAAACACTATATACCAGGACTAGCAGATACTAGGCACATGTGCCTCTATGCCTCTTCCCAGACCCATAGCAGGTATAGACAGTAGATGGTGGCACTCTTTCCCACAGACATACTCCATCAACATATGCAAAATTGGGTAGCATCTAGCAAAGGGCCTTGTGTATGGGAAACATTCAATAGCAATTTTCTAAATGAATGAACACATGCATATCTTATAGCAAGGTAGATTTGTGATCCATCACATTTATTGGAACAAATAAGAAATGTTTTTCCACTGTATCTTTGATCTCCTGGAAATGGGTTCCCTTTAGGCTCCTAAAAATAGCACCTTTGGCTCCTTACAGGCAGGAAGCCCTTGCTTAGGTCAATCTAGTTAGCTGCATGCCAAGCTGTTTCTAACTACAGTACATTCCAGTTTGAAGGTATGTTTTGGGATCATGTATATCTTTTACCCTCCTGATTTTTATTATTCCATTTCTAGTCATTAAAAAATATCCAGCCAGGCGCAGTGGCTTACACCTGTAATCCCAGCACTTTGGGAGGCCAAGGCGGGCAGATCACAAGGTCAAGAGATCGAGACCATCCTGGCCAACACGGTGAAACCCCATCTCTACTAAAAATACCAAAACTAGCTGGGCATGGTGGCACGTGCCTGTAGTCCCAGCTATTCGGGAGGCTGAGGCAGGAGAATCACTTGATCCTGGGAGGTGGAGGTTGCAGTGACCCAAGATCACACCACTGCACTCCAGCCTGGCGACAGAGCGAGATGCCGTCTCAAATAAATAAATAAATAAACATACCCTGCTGAGAGTCGTCCGTTTGCAGCACAGAGGAGGAAAAAAATAAAAACAAGGCACTCCGTTGCCTTTTTAGGTACAGAAACCATCTTTGATAAGGCATTAATTCCACCCTGCAAGTAGGATTTGTGTAATCTCCAGGCCCATTATGGCAGACAAACTCTTAAGGTGCCCCTCATGATCCTTACCTTCTCGTGTTCACACCCTTGTGTGATTCCCCTCTTTGAGTGTAATACTTGCTTCCAATCAATATAATACAGAAAAGGTGCTGGGATGAACATGATTACGTGCACGTAATATGTGAATATGCTATATAAAACTGGAGCATTTGTCTGGAGTCTCTCCTTCCCTCGCTAGCTATAAGGAGGCTAGTGGCCATGTTGGGGAACCCCGCATGGCAAGGAAATGTGGGTGGCCTCTATGACCTAAGGGCAGACTTTAGCCAACAGGGAGAAAAAAACAAAATAAAAAAAACTGTAGTTCTCGGTACTACAACCACACCCTAAAACCACAAGGAAGTGAATGGTGTTAATAACTTATGTCTATGAGTTCCCCAGTTAAGCATCCAGAGAACGCAGCCCTGACTGAAGCTATGTGAGACCCTCAGAGAAGGACAAAGCTAGGCCATGCCCAGTAACTGAGGTGACAAATGTGTATTGTTTTGAGCCACTGAGTTTGTGATTATATTGTTACGCAGTAAGAGAAAATTAATACACCTACAGAACTTCACACTATTCCATCTAGAGACAACTTGCTTTACATTTACAGGAAACATTTACAAAAAGCACCTAATAAAGATTATAATGGCATACTCTAATACTCCTTTTTGTATAAATAATAGTGAGTAACATAACAAACATCTTGCCTGGTGACTCAAGCATGATTTATAGACCTAATATCAGTAGCAATAATCATATCTAGTACTGTATTAGATAGAGAATTATGAAAATATTCTTGCCTTCCAATGTCCTTTGTTTCCTAAAAGTCTTGTCTATGTCATCTTGGAGTTTCTTTATATAAAAGTCTCGTTTTCCAGTATGTTTCTAAAATAGCAAAAGCCTGTGGCATAGATAAGACAGACAGAGCAGCTTGCAGGTTGCATTGAAAACTGCAGAAGGGACAGATGAGTATACTACTTGTGCACTGCAGCATGCAGATTGCCCCAAAACGTAACAACTCAAAGCAACTAACATTTATTTTCTCATACAGTCTCTGAGGGGCAGGAATCTCGGAGCAGCATGGGTGAGTGGTTCTGGCTCAGGGTCTCTCATTAAGTTGCAGTCAAGCAGTTGACCAGGGATGTAGTCACCTGAAGGCTGGAGGAACTACTTCCAAAATTGTTCACTCACATGGCTGTTTGCAGGAGGCCTTGGTTACTTGTCACGTGGGCCTTTCTGCAGGGACATCTGAGTCTCCTCATGACAAGGCAGCTGGCTTCCCCTAGAGCAAGTTATTCACAGCAAGCAAAAAGCTGCAGTGCTTCTTATGACCTAGTTCAGGGCTTGGCAAACTTTTTCTTAAAGTGCTAGATAGTAAATATTTTAGATTTGTATGCCTTATAGTCTGTATCACAGCTACTCATCTCAGTTGTTGTCATGTAAAAACAGCCACATAGAATACACAAATAAATAGGCATGGCGTGTTCCAATAAAACTTTATTTATAAAATAGGCAGTCAGCCTGTGGACTATAGTTTGCCAATCTCTGACCTGGTCTCCAAGGCTGGAAACTTGAAGCCTCTTGCTCCTTCTTTATTCTATTCATTAGAAGCTAGTCATTAGGTCCAGCCCACACCCAAGGGGAGAGGAATTAGGCTATACCTCTTAAAGGGAGGAATAAAAAAGAAAATTTAGACATGCCTTAAAATCACTACCACAGGCTTAACACAGAAAGCAGAATGTGGGTTAAACGTTGCATTAGTTTCCCGGGCATATTTCAACAAATTATCACAAACTGGTGGCTTAAAACAACAGAAATTTTTTCTTTTACAGTTCTAGAGGCTAGAACTCCAAAATCAAGGTGTTGGCAGGCCCATGCTCCTGCTGAAGGCTTTGGGAAAAAACCGTTCCTTGCCTCTTCATAGCTTCTGATGGCTCCTGGAAATCTTTGATGCTCCTTGGCTTATAGCTTCTTCACTCCAGTCTCAACCTCTGTCTTTACATGGTCCTCTTCTCTATATATTTCTCTGTGTGTCCTCTCCTCTTCTTATAAGGATACCAGTTGTTGGATTTAGAGTCCACCCTAACTACTATGACCTCATATGTAACTAATTACATCTATAAAGAGCCTGTTTCCAAATACGGTCACATTTTGAAGTTCTGGTGGACGTGAATTTTGGGGGGACACTATTTGGTGTTGTGGTGTGTTGAATAGTATGCCCCCAAAATTCACATTTACCCAGAATCTCAGAATGTAACTTTATTTGGAAATAAAGTATTACATTAGTTAAGTTAATATGAAGTCAGACTGGATAGGATGGTGTAATAGTCCTTTCTCACACTGCTATGAAGAAATAGCAGAGAATGGATCATTTATAAAGGAAAGATGTTTAACTGACTCACAGTTCCGCATTGCTGGGGAGGCCTCAGGAAACTTACAATCATGGTGGAAGGCAAAAGAGAAGCAAGCACCTTCTTCACAGCATGGCAGAACAGAGTGAGTGCCAGCAGGGGAAATGCCAGACCCTTATAAAACCATCAGATCTTGTGAGACTTACTCACTATCACAAGAACGGCATAGAGCAAACTACCCCCGTGATCTAATTACCTCCACCTGGTCCCGCCCTTGACACGTGAGGATTATGGGGATTACAATTCAAGATGAAATTTTGGGTGGGGACACAGCCAACCATATCAGATGGGCTCTAAATCCAGTGACTGGTGTCCTTATAAAAAGAAAAGGGACACTTAAGCCCTGAAATATCTTAGGGAAGTTTCTCATCATCCTCAGGATAAAGTACACATTCCTTAACTTGGTACCTAAAGCCATTCCTGATGCGTCTTTAGCAACTTCTCTGTCCTCATTTCCTGCCACTTCCTTAATATTCACTCTAGTCAAATGCAACTGCTCCTTCTCCCAACCTATTAGGCTGCATGGCCTCACTGCTTCTTCTCCCTACAGTGCCCTGTCGCCTCTTTTCCTTGGATACAGGGAAGTACCCCATAGTTTACATCAGGTTTTATTTGCAATAAGAATGTCACCTAATGTGAACTGCATACTTTATTCCACACCTTTTGTATCATTAAAAAATCTTTGATTATATATTCTTTACATACATTAAACTCATAATCTCGTGCTCAGTATAATGCTGACAATGCTATACATTCATGTAACCACCACCCAAAACAAGACCTAAAACATTTTTATAACCTCTAGAAAGTTCCCTGGTGCATCTTTCCAGTCAATAAGACACCTCCCCTCCACCCCTTACCAAATATATTTTGACAAAAAAAAAAAGGAAAAGAAATAATTAAAGGTCACAAAACAATAATAACTTTTCCCATTGGTTATTAAAACTGCTTTGCATAGTTTCAGCTTGCATGATCATTTTTAGAGTCCCATATAACTAAGTGAGGGCTGTCTGTATGTTTTAATGTTTCCTTTTATTTTCTTTTCACCATTTTAGCTGTATCTGTGTGTGAATAGTTGCTGTAAAGCAGAGGTAGACAAACTATAGCCCACGGGCCAAATCCAGCTGGCTGCTTATTTTTACAAATAACACTTCATTAGAACACAGCCTCTCTCCTTCATTTATTTATTGTCTATAGCTGCATTTGTGCTACAATGGCAGAATTAGGTAGTTGCTACAGAGACTACATGGCTCACAAAACCTGAAGATATTTATATGTGGCCCTTTATAGAAAAAAATTTCCCAGCCCCTGCTCTAAAGCAATGTTTTGTAAAGTTTAGCATGCATCACAGTCACAGAAAAACAAATCATGGTACCATACCCCCAGAGTTTCTGATTCAGTTAGGCCTGGGGTGGAGCCCAAAAATTTCATCTCTAACAAGATCCCAGGTAATATTGATGCTGCTGGTCTGCAGAACACACTTCGAGAACACACTGTTCTAGAGATAGCATTTTATTTCATTTCATTTCATTTCATTATTTTAGTTTAGTTTAGTAGTTTTTTGAGACAGAGTCTCGCTCTGTCACCCAGGCTGGAGTGCAGTGGCACGATCTCATCTCACTGCAACCTCCGCCTCCCTGGTTCAAGCAATTCTCCTGCCTCAACCTCCTCAGTACCTGGGATTACAGGCACCCACCACCACACCTGGCTATTTTTGTATTTTTAATAGAGACGGGGTTTCTCCATGTTGGCCAGACTGGTCTCAAACTCTTGACCTCAGGTGACCCACCCGCCTCAGCTTCCCAAAGTATTGGGATTATAGGTGTCAGCCACCACGCCCAGCCTAGAGATAGCATTTTATAATTTTAACTTATTACACTTATTATACCTCATATACCACACTATTTTGTTTCCACCTTTTGTGCTCTTGTTATTATGTCTTTTACTTCCTTATACACTCTTAACTCTATTATACATTGTTATTATTTTTGCTTTAAACAGGCCAGAATCTCATTCTTTGTAAATTAACACAAGTAAAATTGACTTTTTATGGTGTATAGTTCTAAGAGTTTTAACTTATATGTGGATTCATGTAACTGCCATCACAATTATTCCCTCTGTTAAAGGATGTAGCAGGAAAGGGGAGCATGAACAAATGGGGAAGTTGACCACAGAGATGGAAAGTATAAAAAAGAATCAAGAAGAAATGCTAGAAATAAAAAATATCAAAATTGAAGAATTAATTTGATAGGCATAGGGGTAATGTTATATAATGAAGGCAACTTCTGTACTAAGTTGTAAGGTTTTCATAATATTTTCCTTATTCAGTGAACCAGCACTATTAACATCCACTTATATGTTAGTAATTTCCAACTTGCTACTTATGGCTTCTAAGTCATTTCTTGTATAATTTCTTAAGTACATTGTTTGAACACTTGATTCTTGAGCCTTTTGACTGGGAAAAGTTCTAGCAAAATTATTTTCTTTTTTACAGTTTCTTAAAACACCCATATGAGCCACTTGTTTTTCATGTCTTTTTTTTTTTTTTTTTTTTGAGAGAGTCTCACTCTGTCACCCAGGCTGGAATGCAATGGCACGATCTTGGTTCACTGCAACCTCTGCCTCCTGGGTTCAAGAGATTCTCCTGCCTCAGCCTCCCGTGTAGCTGGGATTATAGGAGCACGCCACCATACCCAGCTAATTTTTTGTATTTTTAGTAGAGACGGGGTTTCACCATGTTGGCCAGGCTGGTCTCGAACTCCTGGGCTCAAGTTTTCTGCCCGCCTTGGCATCCCAAAGTGCTGGGATTACAGGTGTGAGCCGCTGCGACTGGCCATTGCTTTTCATGTTTATTCCTATGGGTCTCATTATCAAATCATTTTTCAGATAATAGTTTATACAGGCAGCCCTTTACAATTTTTCAGTGAATGACTTTTTATGGTCTTTCCTTGATGAGCTTGTTTCCTAGTTTGTGTTAACCTAGTTATTTTAGGGAGTTTTAGTGAGGAAAATTTGTAGTTTCCTAGATACTTGGGAGCTATTGTGTCCCCTCCCCACCCCCACCATATTATTAAATTCTGAAAACTGGACAGACAATGGAAAGACAGCCTAGAGGTGAGGCCCAGTAGTTCTTAAACCTTCTGATTATAAATAATAAAGAATCAGGTTGCTAGAAAAGAGATCAAGTTTCAGTGACTAGGTCCAGGTTAATAAGTATTAGAGTTATATAAGCCTCTTTCCTTTCACCTCCTACAACCCCCTATATGCCTTCTGTGGAATTTCTCATCTTCTAAACACCCATTTTATGTTAACACAGGCCCGAAATCAGTTTTCAAGTTCTGATGTGAAATTCTTTTCATTATCATCTGCGTTGGCATTCTGCCTCCACTTATTTGCCTAAGTGTTTCTCTTGCCCATTTTTCTTAGATGAGATGTGTCATAAAATACCGTAAAGCGTGTGTTTACTTTGTGTTGCCTTTATTGAAAATTAGAGAAAAGGCTGCTGTACTTTCCAGGTGTTCTGTGAGTGTCTGTGAAACATCCTGTGTAAGTTGCTTCTTCTAAGTTTGTATTGCAAGTGTATTTTGAAATGAATTTTACCAGGATTCATCACATCATTTTGCTATGGAAACCACTGCTACGCATCTCACAACATGGCATTAAAGACCGAGTCATTAGGCCGGCTGCGATGGCTTACACCTGTAATCCTAGCACTTTGGGAGGCTGAGGTGGGAGGATCACTTGAGCTCAGGAGTTCAAGACCAGCCTGGGCAACATAGTGAGAACTCATCTCTATTTTTATTTAAAATTTTTTTTAAAAAAGATTTAGTCTTTAAATTACAGAGTCATGCTCAAAGTAGTATATTTTATTGTTTCATTATAATCACGTTTGTTGTTCTGTGAGGAAGGCAGAATGAGATATTATTATCCCATTTTCCAGGTTGAGGAGCTGAGACACAGACAGATGATTAAATAAGATGGCACATGAGGAAGTATCTAGGACAGATCCTGGTGTACATGTACATAGATACAGACATAAACACACATATATTCATACTTTTTTTGTAATAAGGGGAGGGCAATAATTTTTTTCTTTAAAAGAGTATATTTTGCTATCAAAAGGCAAATTAGTGGCAGATCTAAAGTTAAAGCCTTTTAACTTCCAGTCATGTATAGTCTATCTAGTAAGCCCTATTCAGATGACATTGATGACATTTCCATATCTCATTATTAGCTTTCCACATTCAGGAGAAACTGATATCTATAACAGTAGTTCAATTTTAAAAATACAATCCAGAAATATTATTCCTTAAACTTTCTTTTCTTTTTTTTTTTTTTTTGAGACAGAGTCTCACTCTGTCACCCAGGCTGGAGTGCAATGGCGCCATCTCGGCTTACTGCAGCCTCCGCCTCCTATGTTCAAGTGGTTTTCCTGCCTCAGCCTCCTGAGTAGCTGCAACTATAGGCATGTGCCACCATGCCCAGCTAATTTTTGTATTTTTAGTAGAGATGGGGTTTCACCATGTTGGCCAGGCTGGTCTTGAACTCCAGACCTCAAGCTATCTGCCCACCTCAGCCTCCCAAAGTGCTGGGATTACAGGTGTGAGCCACCACACCCAGCCAATTTCTTTTCTTTTTATATTTATTCTGACATTACATTCCATTTTGACTTCTTTTTGAGATTTATTTTCCTGAACAGGATGGGCCTTGGGTCAAATTCTGGTTAAGGTGAAGTTTGGCCTCTACTCTCTCTTCTGGTTCCTCTCCTACTTCTTATGTGACAACTCATATTCCATAAAACTTCAGTTCATGGGCAGCAACAGCAGGTAGGGGAATCTGATTCATCAGTAAACTATGAGTCAGAGACCAGGCATGCTACAGAATCTAGAATGCATAAAGACTGTCAGTCTACAGCCCTTCAAGCCATTAGGAACTAGGACTATAGGAGCTGAGTACAGAGAAGCAAAGGGTTAATAACCTGGAGTTTGCTAGGCAGTGAGAGAGGAGGGCTGAGCAGGCCAAGCCAGTACAGTTGGCCCTCCTTATCCTCCTCACTATCTGTAAATTGAAAATATTTGGGGAAAAAATTGCATCTGTACTGAACATGTATAGGCTTTCTTATTTCATAAATAATAAAGTATAACAATGATTCACATAGCATTTACATTGCATTAGGTATTATAAATAATTAGAGATGATTTAAAGTATATGAGAGGATGTGCATAGGTTACATAGGTTTTATATAAGGAATCTGAACATCCTTGGATTTTGTTATCCCTAGGAGGTCGTGGAACCAATCCTCCACCGATACTGAGGGACAATATATATGGAACCTGCAGCAAGGAAAATGAAAAATGCTTTGCACCTTTAGTCACTCTTTGCCCCTCTTACTAGGGTGAATTCTGCTGTAATGTGACATTAGCCTAGAGTAACTGCAACAGTTGGCTGGCCAACCAGCAAATAGGGGATGGGGTGTAATCACAGCTCTTTGGGCAGAAGGGTTTTCTTTACTCGAGTTGTTGAAGGGAAGGGGATCCAATTACATTATTTTGTATCAAAGAGGGGGCTTATTATAGCTCTCAAAAATACTATATTTTGAGGAGAGAATCAAAGCAACACTTCTCCAAGTATGTTCCATGTTCCAGATGAATAAAGGATTCTGTGATCAAACACTTTAGAAAATGCTGCATGGTCCTCTTACTAGAAACATTAACATATTAAAGGTCCTAAGAAGTTCTTGCAATAAGTTCATTTAATTGTATTTAATGTACTATTATGGTTAGTGCTTTTAGTGTCCTTCTCAAGAAATCTTTGCATAACCCAAGATTGCTGTTTTTTTTTTTTTAAGGTTTCTGGTTCTATGTTTAGATCTATGATCCATGTCTATTTATCAGTACATCCATGTCTATTGCAGTTTTGTGTAGAGTGAGAGAGGCATGAAATTTTTTCCCCCTATAAGAAAATCCATTTGTTGGCTGGGCGAGGTGGCTCATGCCTGTAATCCCAGCACTTTGGGAGGCCGAGGCAGGCAGATCACTTGAGGTTAGGAATTCGAGACTAGCCTGGCCAACATGGTGAAACACCGTCTCTACTAAAAATACAAAAATTAGCCACGTGTGGTGGCACTCACCTGTAATCCCAGCTACTCGGGAGGCTGAGGCAGGAGAATTGCTTGAACCCAGGAGGCGGATTGCAGTGAGCCGAGATGGCACCACTGGACTCCAGCCTGGGTGACAGAGCGAGACTTCATCTCAAAGAAAAAAAGAAAAAAAAAAAAAGAAAATCCATTGTTTCAGCAACATGTTAAAGAAAACTACTCTTTTTTCATTGAACTGACTCACCACCTGATCAAAAATCAATTGACCTTATATGTGTGAATCTATTTCTGATTTCCCTATTCTGTTCCACCGACAAATCTGCCTGTCCTCAAGGCAATATCACACTGTCTTGATTATTGTTTCAGAGTTAAGTGTTCAAGTCACGTATTATAAGTCATTTACCTTTTTGTTACTTTTCAAGATTGTTTTAGCTATTGTATATCTTTTGTATTTTCACAAAAAATTTAGAAATAGCTTGTCAATTTCGTCAATATTGCCTGCTGAAATTTTGATTGGGAATGCATTAGATCTACAGACTGATTTAGGGAGAAATGGCACCTTAACAATTTATATCCATGATCATGGTATATATATATTGCACTTTCTATTTCTGAGTTGTTAAGTTTTTCTCAGCAATGTTTTACAGTCTTGAGTATAGAGGTGTTGTGCTCTTTTGAAAGATTTATTCCTGTGTGTTAGGTATTTTTTCTTATTTTCTTTCTTTCTTTTTGAGACAGGGTCTCACTCTGTCACCCAGACTGGAGTGCAGTGGCATGACCATAGCTCACTACAACCTCCACCTCCTGGGCTCAAGCGATCCTCTCACCTCACCCTCCTGAGTAGCTGAGACTACAGGTGCGTGCCTCTATGCTGGGCTAATTTTTGTATTTTTTGTAGACACAGCGTTTTGTCATGTTGCTTAGGATGGTCTTGAACTCCTGAGCTCAGGCAATCCATCTGCCTCAGCCTCCCAAAGTGCTAGGTTTATAGGCATGGGCCACCACACCCAGCCTCTTTTTCTTTCTATTTTTTTCATATTTTTAATTTTTTTAAATGGATATGAAGTCTTGCTATGTTGCCCAGGCTGGTCTTTAACTCCTGGCCTCAAGTGATCCTCCGGGCTCAGCCTCTCAAAATGTTGGGATTACAGGCTTGAGCCCACTGTGCCCAGCCAGATATTTTTAATGGTGATATTTTCACCTATTTTAGCTGTTGTTTCTAGTATGATTTTTATGTTGACTCTAACCTGTGGCCTTACTAAGTTCATTAATTAGTTCAAGTTTTTTTTATAGATTGTATAAGGTTTTTTATGCATACAATCATGTCATCTGTTAATGACAGTTTTATTTCTTTTCTGCACTTTAGGTCTTTTAATTTCTTTTTCCTTTTTTGTTTTTGCCTTATCATACTAGCCCTATACTAAGTATCTAATATACATCATCTCATCTTTACAACAATCCAATGTTATTCCAATTTAACAAATAAGAAAATGTGGCTCAGAAAGGTTCAGTAACTTGTCCAATCAAGATTGCACAGCTATTAGTAGATCTAGAATTCAAACCCAGGTAGTCTTATTCCATACCTGTATGTACGACTACTAGACTAGCTTATAAATTTGGAAAACTCAAGGGCACAAGAACAAAAAATGTTATCAAATTAAAAATAGGAAAAAAATTCCATTACTGGCAAAGAATATGAAGAGTTCACAGAAGAAAAAGGCATTTATTTTAAATATGAAAAGATGCTCAACCCCTCTCATAATGAAAGAAATACAAATTAAAACTATGATAAAATGGTATAGCTGCTATGGAAAACGTATGGTGGTTCCTCAAAAAATTAAAAATAGAATTACCATATGATCCAACAATCCCATTGCTGGGTATATAGCCAAAAGAACTGAAAGCAGGACCTCAAAGAGATATCTGCACATCCATGTTCACAGAGGCCTTATTCGCAATAGCCAAGAGGTAGAAGCAACCCAAATATCTATTGATGAATGAATGGATAAACAGGACATGGCATATACATACAATGGGATATTGTTCACCTTACAAATGAAGGAAATCCTGCCATATACTACATCACGGATAAGCCTTGAGGACATTAGGCTAAGTGAAATAAGCCAGCCACAAAAGGATAATTACTGTGTGATTCCACTTACATGAGATAGCTACTAGTCATTCATTGAAACAGAAAGTAGAATGGTAGTTGCTAGGAGTTAGCAGGAGGAGGAAGTGGAGAGTTGTTATTTAATGAGTATAGAATTTCAGTTTCACAAGACAGAAGTGTCCTGGAAATCTGTTGCACAAGAACGTGAATATACTTAACACTACCGAACTGTACACTTAAAAATGGTTACCTATGTTATAGGATTTTTAACCACAATTAAAAATGAAAATTAGTTTTTAAAACTTCAACACAAATTTTATTGTAAATTCTAAAAAACAAACACTATGCTGAAACCATTATTTAACCTATCAAACTGGCAAAAATCCAAAAGTCTGATGATTCTGTTGGCAAGGATATGAGAAACAGTACTCTTATAATGGGGGGGGGGAGTACACATTGGTACAATCCCTAAAGAAGGCAGTTAGGCAATATTTATGATACCTTTTGATCCAGTAATTCTACTTTGGGGAATTTAGTCATATGGATATACTGTATGCATGTATAAAATGATACATGTACAAGGCTATGAACTTCAGCATTGTTTACAATAGGAAGACACTGGAAACAACCAAAATGTCTATCAACAGGTGACTGGTTATATAAATTACAGTACATCCGTACAATGGATTAGTAGGCAGCTATTTAAAAATGAGGACACTCTCTATGTACTTACATGGAAAGAGATTCAACATATATTACAACTGAAAACATTTAGAACATTACGTATAATGTTATGTGTAAAAAGGAGGGAAATAAGAATCTATTTATACTTTTATATTTCCTTACTACATATATCAAGAAACTCTGGAAAGATACATGGAAAAATAATAGCCGTGGTTTGGGGACCCTGAATGGGAGCTGAATGGATGGAGAACTGGCTGGAGTGGGAAGTTGATATGTTTTGGTCTTGGAAATGTGAATATATCATCTATTCAAAAAATTCCTATGGTTGGAAATAAATTTTAATGACACCAGTTGTCATACAACGATTTACCAAGTGTCTACTACATGTCAAGCAGGCACTATCCTAGGCACTGACAATATGGCCCTGAACAAGACAAAGTTCTTACATTCTAGAGGGAAAGACCAAATATATATCCTACATAACACAACACACACACACATACACACACAGGCATACATATATGTACACACATTTTTTAATTTATAAAATAAATACTGCCAGGTGGCTACTTAAAAAAAAAGAAAAGAAAAGAAAAGGCCAGGCGCAGTGGTTCACGCCTGTAATCCCAGCACTTTGGGAGGCCAAGGCAGGCAGATCACCTGAGGTCGGGAGTTCGAGACCAGCCTGACCAACATGGAGAAACCCCATCTCCTTACTAAAAATACAAAATTAGCTGGGCATGGTGGCGCATGTCTGTAATCCCAGCTACTGGGGAGGCTGAGGCAGGAGAATCGCTTGAACCCGGGAGGCAGAGGTTGCAGTGAGCCGAGATCCCACCATTGCACTCCAGCCTGGGCAACAAGAGTGAAACTCCGTCTCAAAAAAAAAAAAAAAAAAGGTAAATTAGGTTAAAAGAAAAAAAGTGTTATGGTGGAAGTGGAGTAGGGTGCCATTTTAGTTAGGGTAGTCTGGGAAGGCCTCTCTGAGGAGGAGCTATTTGAATAGAGACCCGAATGAAGGCTGGGAAGAAACAATGAGGGGGAAGAGCTTTCTAGGCAGCAGCTGCCCTAAGGCAAGAGCAGGTCTGATGTGTTCAAGAGAAAGCAAAACACCTTTGTAGCTAGAGCAACCTGAGTGAGAACAATGGCAGGCAATGATGTAAAACACATGCTTGAAAGCCAGATCCTGAGGGCTGGTTTGTAGGGCACGAGCAGTGGTCTGGATGGTATGGGCACCTACTGGAGGTTAAAAACATTGTTTTCAAAGGGGCTTGTTACCATGCGGCTAGTACACACCTGTATGGCCTTCCAGGTTGTTAAAAGACTGAAACATTTCAAGTCCCATGAGAAAAATAGCTGCTTCCCTAGTAACAATGTTACCTGCCACACTGGCTTCTTTCCCAGGACACCCCCCAGCCCTCCACTCCTTCTCCTCAACCAACAAGTAAATGAGGAACTTGGCCCAGCAGAAGCTATTGACTTGGAGAAGTTAATCAGCTCAAGAGGCTAGAATCACGAGATTCAGAAAGCTAGAGGGTGAGTTAAGGTTTTCAGTTCATTGTAGCCCTAGAGCCTTAGGACAACGCGTCCTGGATTCCATCTCACCGAGATTCAGTTGGGGCCCAGCACCATGATCTGAGCTCCCGCTCAGTACAGCAGAAACAAGAAGCAGGATAGAGAAACAGACTGAGGTCTGAGATGAAGACAGAGGAAGGGGAAACCCAGTGAACGTCTATATAAATAATCTCTCTTCTGAGCACTCCTCCAGTGATTTGAAAGGCTACTGGCTAGGCCGGGCGCGGTGGCTCACGCCTGTAATCCCAGCACTTTGGGAGGCCGAGGCGGGTGGATCACGAGGTCAGGAGATCGAGACCATCCTGGCTAACATGGTGAAACCCCATCTCTACTAAAAAAAAAAAAAAAAAAAAAAAAAAAAAAAAAAAATTAGCCAGGCATGGTGGCGGGCGCCTATAATCCAAGCTACTTGGGAGGCTGAAGCAGGAGAATCACTTGAACACGGGAGGCGGACCTTGCAGTCAGCCAAGATTGTGCCACTGCAGAGCGAGACTCCGTCTCAAAAAAAAAAAAAAAAAAAAAGGCTACTGGCTAATTCGACCTTTTATATAGTTAAAAGTCATATAATTGTCATGTACCAGGTTTTTTAAAAATGCATTGTGGTAAAAGGGAAATAGAAAATACCAACCTTTCCAACACCACATGCGACCTTAACATTCTCATGGCTGCATTAATAAAGTCAATATGTTTGTGTAACAATGTGTAGTTCCTGGATCCTAATCTCAAGACAGAAGAGCTGAAACACGGCAACTCTAATTTCATATATGAAACTCATTTTACGCACCATAGTACTGGGAATTTAGTCTGAAAAATCCATACAGATGTCAAATCTTAAGAAAACAGATTTCTCCGAAGTTGCGTGAAACCTCAGGCTGCTTGCCACTTCTGTTTTACAAAGTTCTTCCTCTTTGAAAATACATTCTGCTGCTCTTAAATCTTGGATCCCAACATCTTGTTACAGGATATTAAGTTCTACTTTATTCTCATTCTTTTAATTTCTTTGAACATCAAAACCTCCAATTTAATGATCTGAGAGACTGCTAAATATTTGCTGACATGAATCTGTAACTATGAATCTAAACCAGAGGAAAAGCAACTGGAAAGAACATGAGGATAAATCTAAGCACTGCTTAGAAACAATCTCTCGGCACTAGGTACATACTCACTTTTATTTTCTAACTGTAAACACTTGCACTCAACATAAGACATTAGAAATCATTTCGTGCACACGGGACCTGTTTTAGCAGCACACTTGCTGATACACCTCACGGCTTTCTTTTCCATTAAAAAAAAATAAAACTACTGCTGAGTGCTGAAACTTTCTTTTCAGTAGTTCTAATCCCTAAGATTTAGAGCCAGGTAGAAACTTGATTTAATCTTTGATGGAAATTATTCTTACAATCCTTTTTATATGAAAATGTCATAATAGTTTTTTTTAAAAAAAACTACTTACACCAAGCTGAAGTCTGAACAGACAGCATGGAACTACCAGCAGCCGCCAGTTTCCTCACAGACTAAACTAAACTTTGCTCCCTTCCTGGCTGTTTCTGGATCAGGTTCACACTGATACACATTTACAGTGGCCTTGGAAGCTACCAACCAACACAGCGAGGTGGGAGGGTTTGTTACTCTAACTCTTGTTTGATAACTGCTTATCAGCAACTTCTCAAAGGTCGACTTAAATGTGTTTAAAGAGACAAATGTAAGGAAGATTATAAGGAAAGCCTGAAAAATCTTAAAATCTCCGATGGCTGGGCTTTGGTTTCCGAGGGGATTTCTTTCCCATATGTTCCTGGAAAAAAGAAAAAAGAAAAGGATAGTCCTCTGAGCTTCAAATATCTTGCTTTCCTCTCATAAAACTTTCCCAGCCACCTGCAGTGGCTCTCGCCTGTAATCCCAGCACTTTGAGAGGCCGAGACGGGCGGATCACCTGAGGTCAAGAGTTCAAGACAAGCCTGGCCAACATGGTGAAACTCTGTCTCTATTAAAAATACAAAAATTAGCTGGGTGTGGTGGTGGGTGCCTGTAATCCCAGCTACTCGGGAGGCTGAGGCTCCTTTTTGAAACTCCATTTCAAAAAACAAAAAACAAAAAGACAACTTTCCCTTCCTCCTCAGAAGCTATACATTGTACAATCATGGCAGAAAAGGGCCAGAAAGTTGTTTCTCCACTATAGTCCTCCCCCATCTCCATTCTCCCTGACTTTTTTACTAGTGAAAGAAAGTTCTTGGTAAACGTAGTATTTTCTGACATTCAAACCACCGGCTGATCTGATGTAAAGTGAGAACATGGATCCCAAATTCTATTCTTTGCAAGATAAAATATGATACTGCTTCATCTCTTGCCACATTCCTAAGCTTCTTTCCCTTCTGAGCTACCATATTTCTTTATTTTATTCCTTCCTTCCTTCCTTCCCTCCCTCCTTCCCCCTTCTTTCCTTCCTTTCTTCCCTCCCTCCCTCCCTCCTTCCTGCTTCCTTCCTTCCTTTCTTTTCTTTCTTTTTTCTGACAGAGTCTCACTCTGTTGTCCCGGCTGGAGTGCAGTGGCACGATCTTGGCTCACTGCAACCTCTGCCTCCCAGGTTCAAAGGATTCTCCTGCCTCAGCCTCCCGAATACCTGAGACTACAGACGCCCGCCACCGTGTCCAGCTAATTTTTGTACTTTTAGTAAAGACGGGGTTTCACCATGTTGACCAGGCTGGTCGCAAACTCCTGACCTCAGGTGATTTGCCCGCCTTGGCCTCCCAAAGTGCTGGTATTACAGGTGTGAGCCACTGCGCCCAGCCTTGTAATTTCTACCATTAGCCTTTGAAGCAGCAACCATTTATTACATACTTACTGCACTAATCACTTTATGAACATTATTTTATTCTCTCCCAGGCAATAAATTTGGAGATCATCTTAATTCTTTTCAGTCTGACTCTCTGAGTCCAATTTGACCCCTTCACTATCCTGGGGATCTTCTGCAACAAGCACCGTGATAGGCAAAATAATGCACCCCTCAAAGATGTCCATGTCCTAATCCTGAGAACCTGTGAATATGTTACCTTCCATGGCAAAAGGGACTTTGCAGATGTGATTAACGTTTAAGGACTTTGAAATGGGGAGATTATCCGGAGGAGTCCAACCTAGTCACATGAATCCTTGAAAAGCAGTGAACTTTTCCCTCCCAGCTGTGGTCAGGGAGATGTGATAGGAGGACTTGACTAGCTCTCGCTGGCTTCGAAGATGGAGGAAGGGGCCTCAGAGGACTGCAGGTGGCCTCTAGAAGCTAGGAATGGCAAGGAAACTGATTTTTCCCCAGAGTGTCCGCCCTGATGACACCCTGGTTTAGCCTAGTGAGACCCATGTTGGTCTTTTGACCTACAGAACTATAAGATAAACTTGTGTTGTTTTTAAACCACAAAGTTTTTGATAATTTGTTATGGGAGCAATAGAAAAATAATACAGGTACTTTAATTTCAAGCTCCTTTAAAATATAATACTCAAGACTGAACAGAATACGCAAATGAAAACTGATGCAGAAAAAAAGTTGTGGAACTATCAAATTCATTAATCTGGGTGCTGTACTTTTATAAATGCAAATCAAGATTATTTCAAATTTTTAAAGCATTATACTCTTAACTTAGTGGCCTCCTAAGTCTTTGGCCCATGAGCTACATTAAACCAAGTGCCTAGCTGTACCCTCATTTTTTTTTTTCTTTCCTGTGTTGGGATCAAACACACACAAGTTTCCCAAGTGTGAATCCTGGTTCTATCCCTTACTTGCTGAGTGATTTTAGGTAATTTGCTTAACCTCTCTGGGTCTCAGCTGACTCATCTGTAAAACGGGCACAATATTTCACCTACTTTTTAGGTAGGATGAAGTGATGTAGCTCATACAAAGTAGTTGGACCTGTGCCTGGAACATAGTAACTGCTGGGTAAATGTCAGCTGCTACTGTAAGGACGGGCTTTCTTGTGGGAGCTGAGGAACAGGCTAAGATTCGTGTCTGGATCAATAGATAAGCTGCTCCAGGGCAGAGGTGCCCTGGAGAACAGGAGCCACTCCAGATTCTGCTAAAATCCTGGGGGCGTGGTGGGGTTTGAGGCTTTTAAGTATATGTGGAAAGGGCTTGAGCTGATCCTAGTTGGATTTCATGGGTCTGAGAATCCCACTTTCCCCTGGAGTTGCAAAGTAAACACTTGCTACCTGCCAGGCACTGTGCTAGCAATGAATCCATCTGACAAGACTCCTATTCTCCCGGGACGGACATTCCAGCAGGAGGGTGGAGAATAGACAAACCAGGAAATTTCATGGGGTGCCAAGTACTGTGATGATAAGAGAACAGGGTGACTGGGGAAAACTCAATATTCAGGACTCACTGAGAAGGAGGGAAGTTTGAGCTGAGAGGAACATGAACTGAGGAGTGAGGGGAAGAAACAGTGTTTCAAGCGAAGGAACCAAGCGTGAAGCAAGTAGAAAGGAACAGTGTTTCAGCCAAAGGAACAGCCAATGTAAAGGTTCAGAGGCAAGAATGACCTTGGCTTGCTCAAGAACCAAGAGGACGAAGGCCAGTGTGGCCAAAGCAGAGATCAAGGACCAAATGTGAGGCCCAAAAAAGTAGTCAGGGACCCTGTAACTGTGGGGAGAGGTTTGGATTTCATACACTGAGATGCCATGGGAAGGTTTTCAGCAGCCAAAGGACAGAATGTGATTGACAAGGGAACACTTGAACCTGACAGGAAGCTGGTCCTGCCCAAAGCCTCTGCTTCAAGTTCCAGAATCCCCTTCACAGCCAGTCTGATCATACCTGGTCCTTCTTACCTTCTCAGCTTTTAACCACCCCTCTACCTCCCAAAACCAAATAGGCAGTTTTGAGGTGACACTGAGCCAAGGTAGCAGTCTATGAGGAGGAGAGAGCAAGGGATGCAAAGCGACACACGTGACGGCTGCAAGTTCCTCTTTGTAGTAGGCTGAATGGTGGCCCCTCAGAAAGAACCCATGTCAAATCCCCGGAATCTATGAATGTGACTGTATTTGGAAAAGGAGGCTTTGCTGATGTGACTAAGGATCTCAAAATGAGATCATCCTGGATTATCTAAGTGGGCTCTAAATCCAATGACCTGTCCTTGTGAGAGAACCCCCTCATTCTTTTCTCAGTTAATTTTAGAAATGAAACACAGGGTCCTACATACAACCTTTTTACATTTCACATTTTGGTTTTAGCCCACTTTTCCAAATTATTAAGATCATTTTGAATCATGCTGGCTGTCCTCTGTCATAGTAAGTAACCTTTTCAGCCTAACTACGTCTACTTAATGACCATGATTTCACCCAAATTATTAGTAAATAAACATTGAACAGTCAAGATTGAGAATAGAGTTCTGAAACATGTTATTAGAGACCTTTAGTTTGATACTGATCCATAAATCAATATTCTTTGGGTGCACATGTTTGATCAGCTACAAAACCACCTATTCTCATACAGCTTATATTTTTGTAGTTCCTCAAATATGTCAGGAGAACAAAATACCTTGTAAGTAAAGACATGTCCACAGCATCCCAATCTTGTCAAACTCTAATGGAAATGAAGATGTAGTTTGTTTGAGCAGTTTTTTTTTTTTTAATTGTGCCGGTTCTTAGTGATTATCATTTTTTTAAAGAGTTTACAAACTATAAGTTAATTCTTTTTTCTAGAAGTCTCCTTGAGGTTAAAAGGAAGTTTACACAAATGGAGGAAATGACATGAATCTCTGTCTCAAAATAGGAGATATAAGTGGAGGAGAAAAGTAGGGGAACATTAGAAAAGAAAGCATGGCGGAAGGGGCAAGCACGGTGTGCCCCTGGGAGAGGGAAGAAACCAGGCTGGTCATAGCAGGGGTGGTTGTTGAAAAGTACTGGGAAATCGGAATTGAAACATAGAATGTAAAGTCTAGAAAAAGGGACTAGGATTTAAAATTAAAATATCAGAAAATGGGAGGAATCAAAAGATTTTAAAGCGAGAAAATAAAATAATAAAGGTGCTTTAATAAACAACCTAATTGAAAAGTGGGCAAAGTACATGAACAGTTCAGAGAAGAAATATAAATGGCTCTTAAATATATAAAAAGGCACTCGGCTGGGCGCGGTGGCTCACGCCTGTAATCCCAGCACTTTGGGAGGCCGAGGCAGGCGGATCACGAGGTCAGGAGATAGAGACCATCCTGGCTAACATGGTAAAACCCCGTCTCTACTAAAAATAAAAAATAAAAAAAAATTAGCCGGGCGTGGTGGCGGGTGCCTGTAGTCCCAGCTACTCTGGAAGCTGAGGCAGGAGAATGGCGTGAACCCAGGAGGCAGAGCTGGCAGTGAGCTGAGATCGCACCACTGCACTCTAGCCTGGGCGACAGAGCAAGACTCCGTCTCAAAAAAATGAATAAATAAAAATAAAAATAAAAAGACACTCAACCTCACTCATTATAAGAGAAATCAAAATTAAAAGTACAATGACGTCATCTTAACCTATATTTTCACCTAACAAATTGGCAAAGTTAAAAAAGTTTCATAAGATACAATGTTGGTGAGGTTATGGGAAAATAATGGAGGATAAATTGATAGAACCTCTCTGAAGAGCAAATTGGCAATCAAATTATGAACACATACACTTTCACCCAGCAATAACTAAAAACATACACATGTACGTGAATATTAACTGCAGCATTGTTGGCAAAAGAAAAAGATGGAAATCAGGAAGGAACTGGTAAATTAAATTATAGTACAGATATCTAATAGGATACTGGAATTTAAAAATTAGGTGACTGTGGCCAGGCACGGTGGCTCACGCCTGGAATCCCAGCACTTTGGGAGGCCGAGGCGGGCAGATCACCTGAGGTCGGGAGTTCGAGACCAGCCTGACCTACACTGAAAAACCCCATCTCTACTAAAAATACAAAATTAGCTGGACGTGGAGGTGCATGCCTGTAATCCCAGCTACTCGGGAGGCAGAGGCAGAATTGCTTGAACCCGGGAGGTGGAGGTTGCGGTGAGCCAAGATCGCGCCATTGCACTCCGGCCTGGGCAACAAGAGCAAAACTCCGTCTCAAAAAAAAAAAAAAAAAAAAGGTATGCCAAATGTAATGTGGTACGCTGGATTAGATCCTGGAATAGAAAAACTACAGTCATGGAAAAACTGGTGAAAACCAAATAAAGTCTGGCTTTTAGTTAATAGTCATGTACCAATGTTAATTTCTTAATTTTGATAAATGAGCCATAGTTATGTAAGATGTTAACATCAGGAGAAGGTGGGTAAAGTTTCTACAGGAACTTTCTGTACTATCTTAGCAGATTTTCTATACATCTCTAACTATTTCAAAAACAAAAAGTTTATTAAAACAATAGATAGACTTTTTTCCCAATAAACAAACATTTTAAAAATTATTAGAACAGCTATAGTGAAAATGGCTTGGAGAAAGGAGAAGTTAGAACCAAAAAGGTCAGATGGGCAACTGTGGAAGTAATCTTGGCATGAGGTGACGAGGGCCTACATTAGGGTAAAGATAATGAAATTACAGTGAAAATAATCAAATATAAAATGTATTTCAAAAGAAAAAATAAAAAATACTTGCAATATCAAAGAGAGATCAGAACAGTGACACCAGTGACAAAAGACAGAAATGAGATGAAGGGAGTGAGATTCATTTAACTCATTCATTCAATAAATATTTGTTGGTACCTACTGTGCAAGGCACCGGGGATGTGAGAGTGAGTTTATAAAGGCAAAGTGTGAAGTGACTCTAAAATGTCCTAGTTGAATTGTCCAAAAGGCATCTGGATACACAGTATGAGAGAACAGAACTGAGATAACTGAGAAAGATTATACAGAGTGAGGAAGGAGCGGCCAAAACTGAGCTGTGAAATATAAACACAGGGTAATACCAGAGAAGCATGGAAAACAGAGTAGGGATGGACAGAGGATTTTGAAAAGGAGCAGGATGGTGTAATTTCCTGGCAACCAAGACAAAAGAAAGATCTAGGAAAAAGGGTTCCATCAAATGCACTGTCTAAGAAACAAAGATACACAAAAGATGACAAGATGATCACAAAAAGAGACAGAGACCACTGATGGCCAAAGTCACCCAAGAAACTTCTTTCACTTTCAGTGAAGCCTAAACGGAACCCAGATTACAGAAGTCAACATTTTCCTAGAAGAAAGCCCTTCTGATTTAAAGGCCTTTGGCAAATAGAATTCCACTTAACGTGCTCCTCAAACTGGGGTATATGAAGCCGCAGAACAGATCTTTCTGTAGTATCAACTTTATATAGGGGAAAATATATTGAAACAGAATGAAAAATGCAAATTTTACATGAGCTTTTAAAGACAAATCCTGACATTTCAAGCATAGAATGTTCTTACAGGAGGTCATCTTCCTATTTCTAGGGCTATAAATTGACTTACCATTTCCGTAAGGGGATACTTGGGTAGAAATTAAAGAAGCACTTATATAATAGCCAGCTATAGGAAAATGTGTACTTGCTATTAAAACTCAGTCACGGCCGGGCGTGGTGGCTCACGCCTATAATCCCAGCACTTTGGGAGGCTGAGGTGGACAGATCACCTGAGGTCAAGAGTTCCAAACAATCATGGCCAACATGGTGAAACCTTGTCTCTACTAAAAATACAAAAATTAGCCGGGCATGGTGGCGCATGCCTGTAATCCCAGATACTCGGGAGGCTGAGGCAGGAGAATTGCTTGAACCCAGGAGGCAGAGGTTACAGTGAGCCAAGATTGAGCCACTGCACTGCAGTCTTGGCAACAGAGTGAGACTCCATCTCAAACAAACAAACAAACAAACATCAAAAAACTCGGTTACTTATAATAAAAAAATAAGAATATGGCCACATGTGGCAAATCACAATAAACACTTTGTATTCAAAGGAGAAAAATAATGAAAAAAATCTTGAATGTATCGTTCATATTTACCACTATTTTGCTATTGAGTCTCATTTATTATGTATCCTATATGTCTGTAGCTAGAGCTTAGCTACATGCTGAGAGTGAAGTTACAGAACTGACTATAACCAGATGCTTAATGAATGCTATTTGATAGTGTTGAATATGCATTGAGCCTCAATCAATACTATACACACACATACATATGTAAAACACGAGAGCATGGTATGTGCATATCTGTGTGTGCATATATATAATATACACGTGTATATGTGTGTGCACGCATATGTGTGTGCATGCATATATAATATACACATGTGTATATGTGTGTGCACGCATATGTGTGTGCACGCATATATGTAATATACACATGTGTATATGTGTGTGCACGCATATGTGTGTGCACGCATGTGTATATGTGTGCACGCATATGTGTGTGCATGCATGTGTATATGTGTGCACGCATATAATATATACACACATATGTATATATACATGCATGTATATATGCACGCACACACACATGCACTACTGTCACATACTATAGGTGTTAATTCCAGAATTGGTACTATGCTTCCAATCCTAATTTATATAAAAACAACTGAGACCCTGACTTAAGTGTAGTACACAGTATACCAGTAAAATGAAAATGCAGTTTTAATCTGTATTTAAATTGCAGTTTAATCTCTGCCAAATAAATTAAAATACAAATTTGGCATTAGATTTTCATAAACCAGGGTAAGCATGAGTTTGAAATCTTTGCTCTCATATTTTCCATCTAATTTAAAATATCCTCAGCCTGCAAGCCGGAAGGTAATACTCCCACCAAGTAAAAATTTCTTTTACATTTGTCTATGAGCAAGCCATTAGAATGGTAACCGTGGAGGTAATGTCCAGAAGCTTCTTGAAAATGCCATGGGAAACCTATGTCAGGTTGTAATTTTTCTAAAATCAATCATCTAGTCTGATGTCATTTGAATGGAGAAATTATTATCATTTATTAACCTAATGTAATTCTGATTGAGATCTCTACTGTTTAAAAGAAAACCAATTTTAAGAGTAGTCAAGATAAACTAGCTCGTTTCTTAAGGTTTGCCTTTCTACACTAAAAGTCACTTACTTAGGCCGGGCACAATGGCTCATGCCTGTAATCCCAGTACTTTGGGAGGCTGAGGTGGGTGGATCACCTGAGGTCAGGAGTTTGAGACCAGCCTGGCCAACATGGTGAGACCTTATCTCTACTAAAAATACAAAAATTAGCTGGGCGTGGTGGCGGGCGCCTGTAATCCCAGCTACTTGGGAGGCTGAGGCAGGAGAATTGCTTGAATCCGGGAGGTGGAGGTTGCAGTGAGCTGAGATCGCACCACTCCACTCCAGCCTGGGCGACAGAGCAAGACTCCTTCTCAAAAAAAAAAAAAAAGTTACTTACATAGCAAATAGTTTTCATTACTCCATCTTGTATACATTATCTGAAAACAGTCCCTGAGGCTAAGAAACAAAAAGCCAATGCAATACCCAACTTGGAAGACAGAATTACAGCTCTCATAAGTAATTCATTTCGCTTAAGCTGTGGCTTTCACAATTAATAACAACTACGGGGCATGTTGTCACTTTTTAACATTGCCTACTACCTACAACTCTCTGCTGTCACATTGTCAAAGAATTTTGATATTATCATGTTTCGAGAAAGCAAATCTGAATTGATATCCTAGGGAATAATTATTTCTTTTCCTACTTAACATTCATAATTAGGAGGTTGGTAGAATTCTCAAATCTTGTTGATTTAAATATATTTAGAGAACGTGAATTGATACAAACACTTTAGATGTCAGTTAAGTGAAATAATTAATACCACCATGCAATTTGGTATCTAGCCTAGAAGGACTGAAGAAGCATTCACCTATAATCAGCAATTCTACTCCCAGGCACACACACTAGCAGAGCTTCCCAACTGGTGTGCCAAGGCACCCTAGTATGCAATGAATGGGTGACAGGTGTGCCCAGATATGGAACTCAGCTCTCTAGTTCAGCAGAAGCCCCCAGGCCAGGACATAGCTTTACTTCTTTAACCTGGTGTATTGCACACATATCATCTATCATTTTCTATGTGTGCCGTGACACAAGAAAGGTTAGGGAACATTGATGGAGAAATGATTGCATATATGCGGTAGATACAAACACAGGAATATATGTATACTTAGGTGCAATGTTTGTAATAACTAACAACTGAAACATCACAATGCTCATCCATCAACTCATCTGCTAGGAAATTCTGTAATACTCCTACAATGCTACATTATACAGCAGTGAAAACTAATGAGGAATGCTATAAGCGTTGACATGGATAAATCTAAGGCTATAATGTAGATTTTTTTTTAAAAAAAGGCATGTCCCAGAAAAAGACATACAATAGGATTTCATTTTTATAAAGTTCAAAAACATGAAAAACTAATCAATATACTGTTTAGGGATATATAGAAATGTGATAAAACCATTGAGAACCGCAAGAGAATTATTAACACAAAATTTAAAACTCTGGTTACTTCTGAGGGTACAAGAAAAGTATAGAATCAGGAATGAGCCCACAGGAGACACTAGAAGTAATGGTAATATTGCTTTCTTAAACTAGGCTGTAGGTACACAAATGTTCTCTGTATAGTTATTCCATAAGCCTTACAGATGTTTTATAAATATTTTGTATCTACTCAACATTTAATAAACATTTTTTAAAAGCTCTATTTTGTCCAAAGTAGACAATGAATGTATCTGCCATCTCTGCAGCAGTATGAGTCTGTGGAACAGGAGGGACTGAAAGCATAAATTATATAGAAACTTTCACAGAAGCCCCTACAGACTCACACAACTCCAACAAAAAAGATTTGAAAGCTACCAACATAATTAAAATTAAAACTAAATTCAATGTGCTATCATTTTATGAGGCACCATATGTGAGAATTTTAACATTAAATGAAATATGAATTTCAAGATTCAGGACTGAATAAACTGCCAGCCTAGGGATGAATAACTGCTTTTGCTATTTTCTAAACAGTCAACATTTCACTGTGTATCTAGACCTCACAAAAGACATTTACAGAATGACAATACTTTAATTCATCATGTATTTCCAGCAATGTTTGCTTAGTCAAATGACTGTCTGTCAGGCAGGTTTATAAAGCTGCAAGAGCAAGAACTTGGTATGTTTCAACTGATATAACTACCAAGGATAACATACCACAGACGCTTTAAGAATTCCTTCCTGCCTGTACTCTGTCTCTTGTATTTTGTGGGCTGCACAATGGGAAGCCATTTTTTTTAAAGCATTGGATATTTTGCCAACCCAGAAGAGATATAATAAACCACAAAGGTATAAACTTAACTTCTAAATTAATTAAATTTATTATTTGTGATTTGAAATATTTAAAAAACCAGTTTGAACTCTCCCTTTAATATTAAAAAAATTAAACAAAAAGAACCACTTAAAAGCAGATAGGTTAATGTTTACACAAAGGCAATTTTTTTCCTTCGCTTTTTTTTTTTTCTTTAAAGTTTTAATGGGTGAATGACCTTGCTGGAATTCCCCTGTCAGTTCTGGAGTATCTATTTGGAACTTTCAAATAGAAACCACTTTTGTAAGTGGCATTAGAATGGTATGCCAAGTAGTATCTGTCTCAATACCTTGAACTTGAATGTTACACCACAGATGAATCAATAAACTTTACACAAAATGAAAGGTTTCCCTTCCCCACTTAGGCCATTTAAGAAGAGATCAAGTATAAATATATTTGACATTATCACGATGTAGGGTCAATTATACATAGAAAACTTCACGTTTACCCACTTCAAGAAATTTACTCTTGATATGGCTTTAAGTTATTCAAAGACAGGTCTATTTTCAAGTCTGTCAGACATTTAATATATCATGCTAAAGTTAGAATCTGAGTCCATACGTAATTCCTGTGACCTTAGTATAACTACCTAAAAGTCTAGATAATATAAAGCATTTATCATTTTTGTTTTACTTTAGAATTTCTAAGATACCTATTTTCACTGACAGAAATCACTTCAGATAAACTATGAAAAGGCTTCAGGAAACCTTTCCTTTCCAGCATGAGCCAAGTATGAAACTAACCCTAAAGCACTGAAGATCATTCCAGTCATAGGCAACAGGAAGGACAATTTAGAGCAGAAACAAAATATTTCCCCGACCTGGCCACACCTCTAGTTTCACCCTTGGCACTTCTCTCCCCCATTTTCAGAAGGCGAAAGAACAATAAAGATTGCTCTGGAATTTTAGCCTAGTCATCTAGCTTCCTCTCCAAAGCTGTTTTCAGGGCTGAAAAAACGTAACTCAGATTTCATAATCTGAGTTTCTACAGAACATATTGGTGTTTCAGAAGTTGACATGAAGGGCACACAAGAGTGAATGGAGAAAGAGTGGAGTATCAGGGAAATCCAGCAAAGGAAGCACTGCTTTTTAATATTTTTCCTAGAATATTTCAATACACTATTTTATAACAGTGGCTGGAATATTTTCAATATTACAAGTCTTTTAACAAGAATGTTTAAACTATTAACATGACATCATAATAATTATAGGATCAAATTAAAAACCCAGTCATCGTCCTTCCTGCCCAAGCTCACAATGTTTCCTATCCCTATCGTCTCCAATTTAGGATGGGATACTAATGCCACATATAACCGCAATCTTGATTTTTAAAATAAAACTGGAATTAAATTGTTGTGGTTGGGGACAGAGGGAGAGAAAAGACTAGATAATCAAATTGCTTTTTCCCAAGGACTTCTCTCTTCCATTCCTACCTCCCTACTCCCATCTAGTCAGCAAAACAAAAAAACTGTTTTTTCCTTTTTTGAGACAGGTCTGTCACCCAGGCTGGAGTGTAATGGTGTGATCTTGGCTCACTGCAACTTCCACCTCCCGGGCTTAAGTGAACCTCCTGCCTCAGCCTCCCAAGTAGCTGGGACTATAGGCATGTGCCACCACACCCAGCTAATTTTTGTATTTTTTGTAGAGACGGGGTTTCGCCATGTTGCCCAGCCTGGTCTTGAACTCCTGGGCTCAAGTGACTTGCACACCTCAGCCTTCCAAAGTGTTGGGATTAATGGTGTGAGCCACCCCACCCAGCCAAAAAAGAACTTTTGATGATGCTATTTTGGATATTAATAAAATATTTAACATAAAGAATTTGTAACTATTTCCTAACCTTTACTTTCCCAAACACTTTCTTTAAAAGTTATTGCAATATAGAGAGATGTCTGAAAGGATATTAATAAAAATGTTGGCATCCCAGGAGGTGGGGAGTGGAATTTCAAGAACATCTCTTCTTTTATTTTTTACATATTTTAGCTCAAATATATTTGTAACCAAAAAATTCCAATAAAATAATTTTTTTTCAATGCAAAGGTTTTTATGTGAAGTTATCTATCAAACAGTAAACTCTCAAATGCAAAATCAAGACGCACTTTGCCCTCTAAGATACAATTTCATTTTTATAAGTAAGCAAAAATATATTGCCTTTCTGTTCAGGGCTTTCTCTAATTGATCTTCTATACCTTAATGACTCATAAATTAATATCTCCTATTCAGAACTTCTCTCTTTCTCACTTTTCTGTGGTTAGTTTTGATGTATCTTAACCAAAAATATTAATATAATAATAGCAATATATATTAATCCACTGTTCTGAACACTTGATAATTTAATCCTCACAACCCTGTGAGATATTTCTAGTTAAAAGATACACTGTTATCCTCATTTTACAGATTAGGTCCCTGAAAGTAAAGGTGGTTAATATCCCATTTGCAATAGGGTACACTAACAAAATTTGTTAAGTGTTATAGTGAAACAATTTGCTTGTTTTGGATTTCTTTGGAAGCCATTCCCAAAGGAATGATACTTGAAGGAAAGGGATATTTGATTTTGTTATTTTCATTATGTATTTCCATATTTTTTCCCATGATTTTTCTAATGCAGTCGTTCTCAATTAATGGTCGCTGGACCAGCAGTATCAGCATCACCTGGAAGCTTCTTAGAAATGCAGATTCTCAGACCCCAACCAGACCTACTGAATCAGAAACTCTAGGGTAGAACCCAGCAATCTGTTTTTGTTAAGACATACACACATACATTCTCTCCCCTTTTTGTTAAGTTACTCCTCTAGGGTGGTTCTGATGCATACTAAAGTTTGAGGACCATTGTTCTATGTGTAATATATTTATAGTTTTTTTTTTCTTTTTTGAGTTGGAGTCTTGCTCTGTCACCCAGGCTGGAGTGCAGTGGTGCGATCTCAGCTCACTGCAACCTCCGCCTCCCAGGTTCAAGCAATTCTCCTGCCTCAGCCTCACGATTAGCTGGGATTACAAGTGCATGCCACCACACCTGGCTAATTTTTTTGTATTCTTAGAGACTGGGTTTCACCTTGTTGGTCAGGCTGGTCTCAAACTCCTGACTTCGTGATGCGCCTGCCTCAGCCTCCCAAAGTGCTGGGATTACAGGCATGAGCCACCGCACCTGGCCAACATGTATCAGTTATTTTTTAAAAATTGTGGCCAGGTGTGGTGGTTCACACTTGTAATCCAAGTGCTATGGGAGGCCGAGATGGGAGGATCTCTTGAGGCCAGGAGTTTGAGACCAGCCTGGGCAAGAAGATGAGACCCCCATCTCTACAAAAAATGTTTAAAAATTAGCTGGATGTGGTGGTGTGTACCTGTAGTGCTAGCTACTTGGGAGGCTGAGGCAGGAGGATCACTTGAGGCAGGAGGGTCACCTGAGCCCTGAAGTTCTAGGTTACAATGAGCTAATGATTGCAGCACTGTACTCCAGCTTGGGTGACAGAGTGGGATCTTGTTTCTTTTTTTTTTACTTTTCTTTTTTGAGACGTGGAGTTGCTCTCACCCAGGCTGGAATGCAGTGGTGTGATCTCGGCTCACTGCAACCTCCGCCTCCTGGGCTCAAGCAATTCTCCCGCCTCAGCCTCCTGAGTAGCTGGGATTACAGGCATGCATCACGATGCCCAGCTAATTTTTGTATTTTTAGTAGAGATGGGGCTTCAACATGTTGGCCAGGCTGGTCTCAAACTTCTGACCTCAAGTGATCCACCCACCTCGGCCTCCCAAAGTGCTAGGATTACAGGCGTGAGCCACTGCCCCCAGTCAGAATGAGAACTTGTTTCTAAATAAAACAAATAAATTCTCATTTAGCCACATATTTCATGTATTGCGGTATAATCAATTTTTTTTTACCACTTTTATTCCATGTCTTACAAGGGAGCACTCACTTGCATTTATTCCACATTTATTAAGCACCCTCTATGGCCAAAGAATGAGTGCTTGAATAACCAATAGCCTAGGAAGACAGGCAGAAATGCAGGATTCGCAATGTCAGCTGGTAATACAGCAACAGAAGTGCACAGCGTGCAGAGGAGGGGCAAACTGCAGTAGGTCAAGGACTGAATCTGGATCTCTTAGAAAATCTTGCACTCTACTTCTGAGAAACATTGTTTCTTGGCAACACATTCTGCTGCCCTAAACCCCAGGGATCCAAGCCCAAAACAGAGGCATTGCCAGAGCAGCATTCCCCATCAGATAGGGATTAACAAACTCAGTAAGGTCATTCCTCCTTGGTTAGAGTGCAGAGGCCGTGAGAGACAAGTAGAGAAGGTAGCCAGTTTCTGGGTTACCAAAGGGTCCAAAGAGCTTCCCAATTCTAATCTATCATTAACTTCACAATAATTCACCCTTCTTTTTTTTTTTCACCACTACTTCATGTTTTTCATGTCTGTATCAGGTATTTTACAAAATTTTTACTTTTCAAACTTGGAAAGGAAACTGTACTTTTCCAAGTTCATATTCTCCTCCCTAATACTTTAATCACTATTCTGAATTTGGTGTTTACCTCTCCAAATAAAAATTGTACTATTGGCAGGGTGCAGTGGCTCATGCCTGTAATCCCAGCACTTTGGGAGGCCGAGGTGGGCAGATCACGAGGTGAAGACATCGAGACCATCCTGGCTAACACAGCGAAACTCCGTCTCTGCTAAAAATACAAAAAATTAGCTGGGCATGGTGGCGAGCGCCTGTAGTCCCAGCTACTCAGAAGGCTGAGGCAGAAGAATCGCTTGAACCCAGGAGGCAAAGGTTGCAGTGAGCCGAGATCACGCCACTGCACTCCAGCCTGGATGAAAGAGTGCGACTCCATTTCAAAAAAAAAAAAAAAAAACTTGTACTATTGTTCATTTTTGTGAAAATATGAAATGCTTCTGAAATTTGTTTTATTCTACATTTTCCCCTTTTTTTTTTTGAGATGGAGTCTCACTCTGTCTCTCAGGCTGGAGTGCAAAGGTGCAATATCAGCTCACTGCAACCTCCACCTCCTGGGTTCAAGTGATTCTCCTGCCTCAGCCTCCTGAGAGCTGAAACTACAGGCACACACCACCACGCCTGGCTAATTTTTGTATTTTTAGTAGAGACAGGGTTTTGCCATGTTGAGTAGGCTGGTCTTGAACTTCTGGGCTCAGATGATCTGCCTGCCTTAGCTATTTTTCTAATTTTCTATTTCTTTATTATTTTTATTATGAAATTCAGAAAGTATGTCCGTATGTACTGTTAGAATTTTATATTCATCTAACATACTTTCAAATGTACTTTTTCTCAATGGCTATCAACAGGGGATAGGCCTTCTAATAATCATGCTGCTTTATAAACTGTCAGGCATTTTCATTAGAGAACTTTATTATCTATTTCTACTTTATTCAAAATATCATCCCACACTGATAGTTTGCATATAATTATGTAATCTATTTGCATCAAGATGCTTTTGATTTCAGCATACTATATTTCCACAATTGATATCTCATATATAATTACTTGATAAATGTTAATTTGTTTAGAAGTGCCCCGATTGCATTTAATCCCCTTCCTAGGGCAGCACAAAGTGGGAAATCTCTGCATTGTATAACCCCAAATACTTCTTCACTGGATAACTCTCTGCCAAGATAATATGAATCCTTCCTGCCCCTCAAAACATTAAAATCCCCAACAGAATCCTGCTGAGATAGAACCAGAGGGGTAATCCCCAATTTCTGTCCAAGCATCTCTCTGCGTGACCCTTGAAACACACATGCATGGATAGACTCATAACAGCACAGCCAAAGAAACAAAATTGGAACTGATATCCGAGCTTCTATCTTCTGTCTGCATCTTGGAGAGTGAAAAGCAGCAGTAATTCTGGAGGGTCATGTGACCTGACTGGAGGAGGTAGCTACCAGTCAGAAGTATACAAGTAAATACTTCTCCTTGGCTTGCAGCCTGGGGCAAAGGTTAGTCAGTTTTCAGAATACCCAGTAGAGGAAGGAGTTCCTCTTCACGTGGAAAAATGGAATTCAAAAATCCCACTGTTTCCCCAGTTTCCTGAAATCACTCATGATACCAAAGACACAGTGGCTATTTACCCAATGCCTTTCTAAATAACATTTAGGCTCTTACAAGGCCAATAAGTTTCACAACTTATATTCAACATGATTTTTGAGACTGATCTATGTTGATACGTGAAGCCCTATAATTCATTGTTAAATTTTATTCCAATGAATGAATAGTCCAGCAAAGCTCATTCATTCACTTTCCTTTTGATGACTGTGTAGGCTGTTTCCTTTTTTTTCTTTTAAAACAGTAATGCAATGAACATTTTTGTAGATTACTTGGGTAAGCATGAAAGACTACCATATTTTCTAAAACATGTGCCTAAGTATCTGCCCACTTTGCTTTCAACCAAAAATGTAGTTCTTTCAAAATAGCCAAATGAGAAGGAGAGGGGAGCCTAGACAATAACTAAAGGTCTACATACCAATTTGGGGGACTCTGAGACATCAGGGAACCTTGATGAGCCTGAGGACCTCCCCAGGCTGCCAAGAAAATAAGTAAAGGTGATTCTGGGTTGGGGCTTATGGTAGACACATGAGATTACAGGATGATATGGTTTGGCTGTGTCTCCATTCAAATCTCAACTTCAATTGTATCTCCCAGAATTCCCATGCATTGTGGGAGGGACCCAGGGGGAGGTAATTGAATCATGGGGGCTGGTCTTTCCCATGCTATTCTCATGATAGTGAATAATCTCTTATGAGATCTGATGGGTTTATCAGGGGTTTTCACTTTTGCTTCTTCTTCATTTTCTCTTGCCGCCACCCTGTAAGAAGTGCCTTTTGCCTCCCGCCATGATTCTGAGGTCTCCCCAGCCATGTGGAACTGTAAGTCCAATTAAACCTCTTTTTCTTCCCAGTCTTAGGTATGTCTTTATTAGCAGCATGAAAATGAACTAATACACAGGATTAACTACGAAAGGAGGAAACAAAGGCTACTATGACTTGGAGTAGGAATATTCCTAGGAAACTCATTCTATAATAAAAGAAAATCAACATACCACTTGTTGAGTGCTTTAGAGACATATGATTTAGAGAAACACAAAATAGCTTAATTCAAAGTGACTTCTGACTCAACTTCTGCAAAGTTGTCTTAAGTTCCACCATAGAGCCTGGATGTGTTCTGGAATGTGAGTACGACCTTTGCTTATCACTGTGAATATTGAAAGCAGAAAACAGCAAGAACAGAGAAGCACTAAGGAATACAGAATTGAACAAAGAAAAATGGCAATGATAGCATAGTGGCAGGTATTGACTCCTCTGCCTATCACAGGAATAAATGGATAGTTGAAGAGTTATATCAAGTTATTTTCATTTCTTTCTCATATATCTTTTTTTCCCTTTCCATATCACTCTTTTTTTCTCTTTGTGCTTCAGTTTGAATAACTTCTATGGATCTGCCTTCAAATTTATTTATTCATTCCTCACCTCTTTCCAGTCTGTTGAAATGCCTGTCAAAAGAGTTCTTCATCCCAGATATCATGTTTTTTTATTTTAGTGTGTCCATATGACTCTTTTTAGAGTTTACATTTCTCTGCTGAAATTCCCCAACTGTTCATGCATGAGGCCTACTTTTTCTACTTGTTCCTGTAATATATCAATCATAATTAAAGTCCTCATCTGGTATTTCCAACATCTGAGTCATCTCTGGGTCTGGGTCTGTTGATTGCTTTATCTCTTGAAAATGGTTGTGTTTTTTTTCATATATTTCATAATTTTTTATAGAATTCCAAATATTGTCCATAGAATAACAGTATAAACTGAAGGAAAGAATAGTTATTCCTGGAAATGGAGATGCCTATTCTGTCAGGCAACCAGGTGAACAAATTCCAAAGAGAGAGAATCTAGTCAGTGGTTGAGATGTTGTTTCCCTGTTGCTGTAGTTACCTTCTGTGCACCTTCCTCTAGCAGTGGGCAGCTACTATCTTGTGCTTCATGTGGAGTCTACAGTGTTCAAGGGATTTTACTCAGTGTTCCTGCTCCAATCTCAGCTTTCAGCAGTCACTGCATATCTGTGCCATAGAGGGGGTTCTCTCTCTCCATCCTTGTCCCTCCCTCAGCAGTAGGCTACAGCTGTTTTTAACTCCAGTCTATTAACAGAACTCATTGTTCTCCTGATATCTCAGTGTTAGCTAGGCCCTGTGCACCTAGGCCTCGGGTATGCGGCTTTCTGTGCCCCTACCCCAACCTCTTGGCAATGAAATTTTGCCTTATATCTGTGGAGGAACACTGTAAAAACAAAACAAAACAAAAACCCTCCAGTATCCCACGGATCACACTAAATACAAAATAGTAGCAGCTACTGCTGGAGAATGTTCTGTGCCTTCCCTAAGGGCAGGCAGCTTTTGCTTCTACCCTGCCCCCATAATCAGTGAATCTTTGCCTGGACTGAGGACAAAAGGGTTTCCTTTCATTTAAAGTTTTTGCTCCATATGAGAGAATAGCTGATAATTTAGGCAGGGTATGTAATTATGTATCGCTAAAGAGTGGCTCTCTTCAGTCTGCTGACTTGCCCCAATCTTTTTGTTTCTTTTTTCTTTCTTTTTTTTTTTTTTTTTTGTGAGACAAGGTCTCGCTTTGTCACCAGGCTGGAGTGCAGTGGTGTGATCTCTGCTCACTGCAGCCTTGACCTCTTGGGCTCAAGCGACCCTCGCACCTCCCAGCCTCTGGAGTAGCTGGGACTACAGGCATGTGGCACCACACCCAGCTAATTTATTTTTTCTTTTTGTAGAGGCAGGGTTTCACCATGTTGCCCAGGCTGGTCTTAAACTCCTGGGCTGAAGCAATCCACCCACCACCTTGTGGCCTCCCAAAGTGCTGGGATCACAGAGTGAGCATCCAGCCTCAATCTTTTTATGAGCAGTGGTGGAAGTTATTGTAGGTTCAGTTATGTACCCCTAAAAGATAAGTTAAAGCCCTAACCCCTGGCACCTGTGAATGTGACCTTATTTGGAAATAGGCTCTTTGCAGATATAATCAAGTTAAGATGAGATCACACTGGAATAGTGTGCGGCCCTAATCCAACATGACTGGCATCCTTATAAGAAGAGAAAACACGGTGGAATAGGAATCCCCAGACCTCATTCCCCCACAGAGATACTGACTTAACAACAACATATGGCCCAAAAAGACTTTATGAGAACTCCAGAAACCAGTTAAAAAGTCACAGTATCCCAGGCAAGCTCAAAGCCAAGAACAGCCACATTGAAACAGGCAAGAAAAGCTAATGCATTTCACCCATAATAGGCCTTCCCCAAGCCAGTCCAGCCCTACATAATTGCAAGTAAATGCCAAACTTGCATCTTCTCATCAGAAGGGAAAGAAAAGGATAGAATGTGCATCCAAAGTTCTAGCTTTTTAGGGAAGTGCCCAAGGGAATGGTTACTGTCCAGCTTGATGTGGAACACTGACAGAACCAGAATACTTTGGATGCTTGGGGTCCACTGAGAACAGCGGAGAGTTCAGCAGCTAACTGCAGCACCTGAGAACCTGCAGCACAGCCGACAGAAGACAACAGAACTCAGTGTTATTGGGAGAAAATGCCCAACTCATGGCCTTTCTCTCATGAAGAAAAGAGAAGAGTAGAAAGTATATCCAACCTTTCAGCTTTTCTGGGGACTGCCTAAGAGATGGCTTTCTGTCTTACCTGACTTGGAATGCTGACAGAACTGGCAACTTTTGCATGCCTGGGAACTGCTGAGAACAAAAGAGACCTAGGCAGCTTGTAGGAACACCAGAAAACCAGCAGTACCATGGAAAGACACCAGAGGGAGCAAGTGCCTAAAAAAGAAACCAGCAAACTTCTGTAATTGGGAAATTACAGGCACAGTTCAGAGGAGATACAACCCCATTAAAGGTTTGAGAGGCCCTAAGACTCTATAGCTGGGCTAAAGAGAGTCTTAACATCTCTTCCTCCCTGTATGAAGCCAGTCCAGAAGACTGGGAGCGTGGCTGTTTTTTAAAAATGTGCAAATCCCAGCAAAAAATAATCAAGAATACAAAGAAATAAGGGCCCGACCAAGGGAACAAAGTAAGTCTCAAAAAAAAAAAAAAAAAAAAAAAGACCCCAAAGAAATGAAAGTCTATGAATCACCAGACAAAGAACTCAAAATAGTTGTCTTAAAGAAACTCAATGCACTACAAGAGGACAGATAGACAAATAAAGGAAGTCAGGAAAATGATACATGAACAAAATGAAAATACCAACAAAGAGATAAAAACTATTTTAAAGGCTGGGTGTGGTGGCTCATGCCTGTAATCCCAGCACTTTGGGAGGCCGAGGCGGGCAGATCACAAGGTCAGGAGTTCAAGACCAGCCTGGCCAACATGGTGAAACCCCATCTCTACTAAAAATACAAAAATTAGCTGGGTGTGGTGGCATGCGCCTGTAATCCCAGCTACTTGGGCAGCAGAGGCAGGAGAATTGCTTTAACCTGGGAGGCGGAGGTTGCAGGGAGCCGAGATCACACCATTG
Source organism: Homo sapiens (assembly GCF_000001405.40). NCBI lineage: Eukaryota > Metazoa > Chordata > Mammalia > Primates > Hominidae > Homo > Homo sapiens. Next base: position 185,307,597 of record NC_000003.12, on the reverse strand, counting down.
CACTACAGCTCTGGGCGACAGAGTAAGACTGCATCTCGGGGTGGCGGGGGAGGGGGTGGTGCACCAAATGGAAATTATAGAGCTGAAGAATATAAAACTGAATTAAAAATTACACTAAGCAGATTCAACAGCAAACTTGATCAAACAGAAGACAAAATCAGCAAACCCATTAAGAATTATCCAGCTCCTGCTTGATAATTCAACAAAAAGTAAAAAGAATGAAGAAAAGTGAAGAATGCCTAAGGGACTTATGGAACACCATCTAGTTGACCAATATATGCATTAACTGGATTATCAAAAGAAGGAGAGAGAGAGAGAAAAGGACAGAGAGGTTACTTGAAAAAATAATGGCTGAAAATGTCCCAAACATGAAGAAAGAAATGGAAATCTAAATTGAACAAGCTGAAAGGACTCCAACTAGGATGAATCCAAAGAGGCCCACAGAGACACATTGTAACCGAACTATCAAAAGCCAGACACAAAGAATCTTGAAAGCAGCAAGAGAAAAGTGACTTGTCACATACAAGAGAACTCGCATGAGATTATTATTGGATTTCTCAGGAGAAACACTGCAGACGAGAGAGTGGTATGATACATTCAAACTGCTAAAAGAAAAAACTGCCAATCAGAAATACTGTAGCCAGCAAAACTGTCCTTCAAAACTGAAGGAGTTTAAATAAGACCTCAAACTGTAATAATCCTAGAAGAAAACCTAGGAAACACTATCCTGGACATTAGCCTTGGTAAAGCATGTATTATTAAGTCCTCAAAACCAATTGCAACAAAAACAAAAATTGACAAGTGGAACCTAATTAAACTAAAGAGCTTCTGTACAGCAAATGAAACTATCAACAGAGTAAAAAGACAACCTACAGAATGGGAGAAAATATTCACAAACTATTCAACCACCAAAAGGTCTAATATCCAGAATCTATAAGGAACTTAAAGAATTCAACAAGCAAAAGTCAAATAACCCCATTAAAAGTGTGCAAAGGAACTTTGAACAGACACTTCTCAAAACAAGACATACATGCAGCCCAACAAACATGAAAAAAGCTTACCATCACTAATCATCAGAGAAATGCAAATCAAAACCACAATGAGATACCATCTCACACCAGTCAGAATGACTATTACAAAAAAGTCAAAAGACAACAGATGCTAATAAGGCTGTGGAGAAAAGAGAATACTTATGCACTGTTGGTGGGAATGTTGATTAGTTCAGCCACTGTGGAAAGCAGTTTGGAGATTTCTCAAAGAACTTAAAACAGAACTACCATTCAACCTAGCAATTCCATTTCTGGGTATACATCCAAAAGAAAATAAATTGTTATACCAAAAAGACACATGCACTCATGTACATCACAGCACTATTCACAATATCAAAGACATGAAATCAACCTAGGTGCCCATCAATGGTGGATTGGATAAAGAAAATTTGATATATGTATACCATGAAATGCTATGCAGTCATAAAAAAAGGATGAAATCATGTTCTTTGCAGCAACATGAATGCAGCTTGAGGCCATTATGCTAAGAGAATTAACACAAGGATAGAAAACCAAATACTACATGTTCTCACTTACAAGTGGAAGCTAAACATTGGGTACACATAGACATAAAGATGGCAACAGTAGACACTGGGGACTAGCAGACAGGAGAGGAAGGGGAGGAAGGGAGACAAGAGTTGAAACACTAACTATTGGGTACTATGCTCACTACCTGGGTGACAGGATCAACTGTATCCCAAACCATAGCATCATGCAATATACCCATGTAACAAACCTGCACATATATCCTCTAAATCTAAAATAAAAGTTGAAATTATAAAAATAAATATATACAATTTCAAAAATTTTAATGAAGGAAAAAAATAGACCTTTCCAGATCATCAAAAGCTGAAGGAGTTCAGCACTAGAGCTGCCTTACAAGAAATGCGAAAGGAAGTCCCTCGGGTTGAAATAAAAGGATAGTAGATAACAACTTGAAAGCATATAAACACGTAAAGCTCTCTGTAAAGGTAAATACACAGGTAAATACAGAATCATGTAATACTGTAATGATGGCACATAAATCACTTTTAATTCCCATGTAGAATTTAAAAGATAAAAGCATAAAAAAACTATAACTATGAAATTATATTACTAGATACAAAGTATAAAAGACATAATTTGTGAGATTGATAAAGTAGAGGATATGTGAAGGAGTAGAGTTTTTGTACATGGTTTAAATTAAGCTGACATCAGTTTAAAATAGATTGTTACAATTATAAGATGTTTTATGTAATCCCCATTGTAAACACCAAGAAAATACCTTTAGAAGATACACGAGAGAAAGTGAGAAAGGTGTCAAAGCATGTCTCTCTCTACAAAAAGTCAACAGAACAAAAAGGCAAGCAGCAAGAGAGGAAAACAGGTACAAAAGAACTACGAGACATATAGAAAAGAAATATTAAAATGGCAATAGTAAGTCCTTCCCTAACAATAATTACTTCAAATGTAAACAGAACTCTCAATCAAAAGACATAGAAAATGGATTTTAAAGAAAGACCCAACTATAAGCTATGTATAAGAAACTTACTTTAGATATAAGAACACACATAGACTGAAAGTGAAAGGATGGAAAAAGATATTCCATGCAAATGATAACCAAAAGAGAACAGGGGTGGCCGGGTGCGGTGGCTCACGCCTGTAATCCCAGCACTTTGGGAGGCCGAAGGGGGCGGATCACAAAGTCAAGAGATTGAGACCATCTTGGCCAACATTGTGAAACCCCATCTCTACTAAAAATACAAAAATTAGCTGGGCATGGTGGCGCATGTCTGTAGTCCCAGCTGCTCGGGAGGCTGAGGCAGGAGAATCGCTTGAACCCGGGAGGCAGAGGTTGCACTGAGCCAAGATCGCGCCACTGTACTCCAGCCTGGGTGACAATGAGAGACTCTGTCTCAAAAAAAAGAGAACATAAGTGGCCACACTAATATCAGATAAAAGAGACTTGAAATTAAAAAAAATTGTCAAGAGACAAAGAAGGACATTATATAATAAAGGGTCAATTCACTAGGAAGAAATAGCAATTATAAATATGTATTTATATTTGTAACAGCAGAACACCCAAATATATAAAGGAAACATTGACAGACTGAAAGAAAAACCAGATGGTAACACAATAATAGTAGGAGATTTCAATGCCCCACTTTTAATAATGGATAGAACAACCAGGCAGATAATCAATAAGAGAACAGATGACTTATACAACCCTACAGACCAATTGGTATTAACAGACGTACAGAATATTCTACTCCACAACAGCAGAACACATATTCTTCTCAAGGGCATATGGAACATCCTCTGGGACAGATAACACGTTAGGCCACATGACAAGTCTTAACAAATTTAAGAAGACTGAAACCATACCAAGCATCTTTTCCAATCACAAGGAAACAAAACGAGAAATCAACAGCAAAAGGAAAACTGGAAAACTCACAAATATGTGTAAAATAAACAATATGCTCAATAACTAATTGGTCAAACAAGAAATCACAAAAAATTAGGAAATATCTTGAGGACAAATGAAAACAAAAGCACAACATACCAAAAGGTATGGGATGCATCAAAAGTAGTACTAAGGGGGAAAGTTATTAGTGGTAAACACACAATAAAAAAGAAGAAAGATCTGAAATCAACAACCTAATTTTGCACCTCAAGGAACCAAAAAAAAATTATAAACTAAACCCAGTATTAGTATTAGGAAGGAAATAATAAAAAATAGAACATAAATAAATAAAATAGAGGATAGAAAAATAATAGAAAGAAATCAGCAAAACTAAGAACTTGTCTTTTTAAAAAAGGCAACAAAATTGACAAATCCTTAGCTAGACTAAGGTAAAAAATAGAGAAGATTCAAATAACAAAAATTAAAAACAAAAGAGAAGACATTACAACTGATGCCACAGAAATAAAAAGGATTGTAAGAGAGTACTATGAATAATTATATGCAAACAAATTGGATAACATAGAAAAAATGATAGATTTCTAGAAACATACAACCTACCAAGACTGAATCATAAAAAAAAAAAAATTGGAAAAGACCTGTAACTAGTAAGGAGAGTGAATCAGTAATCAAACACCTCCCAACAACAACAAAAACAGCCAGGACCAGATGCCTTCAATGGACAATTCTACCACACATTTAAAGAAGAATTAACACTGATCCTTCTCAAACTCTTTCAAAAAATTGAAGAGGATAAAACACTTCCAAACTAATTACCACTACCCTGATACTAAAAGCAGACAATGATACTCTAGGAAAACTACAGACTGATATCCCTGATGAACACTGATGTAAAAATCCTGAACAAAATATTAGCAAACAGAATTCAACAGCATATTAAAGGGATTATACATTATGATAAAGTGGGATTTATTCTCGGAACACAAGGATGGCTTAACATATGAAATCAATCAATATAATATACCACATTAACACAATGAAGGCCAAAAACCATATGACCGTCTCAACTGATTCAGAAAAAGCATGATAAACTTCAATCTCCTTTCATGATAAAAACACCCAACAAACTAAAAATAGAAGGATATTATCTTAATACAATAAAGGCCATTTATGAAAAGTCCACAGCCAATGTCACACTCCATGGTGAAATACTGAAAACTTTCCCTTTAATATCAGGAAAAAGGGAAGGATGCCCACCTTCACCACTTCTACTCAACATAGTATTGGAAGTATTGGCCAGGGCAATTATACAAGAAAAAGAAATAAAAGGCATGTAAATTGGAAAGAAAGAAGTAAAATTATCTCTGTTCACAGATGGCTTGATTATATATGTAGAAAAACCAAAAGATTCCACAAAAAATTAATGAATTCAGCAAAGTTGCAGAATACAAAATCAATGATTCAGAATACAAAACACAAAAATCAGTGTGTTTCTATACACTAACAATGACCAATCTGAAAAACGAAACTAAGAAAACAAACCCATTTATAATAGCATCAAAAAGAATAAAATAATTAGGAATAAATGTAAAGAAGGAGGGAAAAGACTTGTACATTGAAAACTATAAAACATTGCTGAAAGAAATTAAAGAAGACACAAATAAATGAAAAGACATCCCATACTCATGGAGTGAAGACTTAATATTATTTATTTGTTAATTTATTTATTTACTTTTTCAGACAGTCTCGCTCTGTCACCCAGGTTGGAGTGCAGTAGTGGGATCTCAGCTCACTGCAACCTCTGCCCCCCAGATTCAAGCAATTCTCCTGCTTCAGCCTCCCAGGTAGCTGGGATTACAGGTGTGCACCACCACACTCAGCTAATTTTTTTTTTTTTTTGTATTTTTAGTAGAGACAGGGTTTCATTATGTTGGCCAGGCTGGTCTCGAACTCCTGACCTCAAGTAATCCACCCGCCTTGGCCTCCCAAAGTGCTGGGATTACAGGCGTAAGCCACTGCGCCTGGCAAGACTTATTATTAAAATGTCCATACTACCTAGAGGGACCTACAGATATTATTAAAATGTCCATACTACCTAAAGTGACCTACAGATTCACGCAATCCCTATCAAAATCCTAACAACATTTTTGCAGAAATAGAAAACAAAAATTTTTAATTCATATGAAATCTCAAAAGGCTCTGAATAGCCTTAAAAAATATGAGAAAGAAGAAAAAGCTGAAGGCCTCAAACTTCCTGACTTCAACATATATTACAAAACTTTAGTAATCAAAACAGAATAGTACTGGCATAAACAGACATATTGTCCAATGGAACAGAATAGCCCCAAAATGAACCCTCATGTATATGGTCAAATGATCTTTGACAAGGGTGCTGAGGTCACACAATGGGAAAAGGACAGTCTCTTCAACAAATGGCATTGGGAAAACTGGATGTCCACATGCAAAAGAATGAAGTTGGACCCTTGCCATACAAAGGTCCTATAAAATTTGACTACAAAGATGAACTCAGAATGGATCATAGGCCTAACTGTAAGACCTGAAACTATAACACTCCTGGAAGATAACACAGGGGAAAAGCTTAATGACATTGGGTTTGGCAATTATTATTTGGATATTGACATGAAAAGCACAGGCAACAAGTGCAAAAATTAGACAAATGGGACTACAGCGAACTTACAAACTTACATGCAGCAAAGGAAATAATCTAAGAGTGAAAAGGCAACCTTAAAAAGTTTCTCAAGAGAACTTGACAAAAATCCAGAATATATTAATATAATGAAGTCTTACAACTCAATAATAAAAAAAAAAAAATCCAATTTAAAAATGGGCAAAGAACTTGACAGACATTTCTCCAAAGAAGAGATACAAATGACCGACAAACATATGAAAAGATCCTCAACATCAATAACCATCAGGGAAAGGGAAATTAAAACCAGAATAGTATCACCTCATACCTATTAGGATGACCACTGTTAAAAAATTAATTAATTAAAAATAAATAAATAAATAAAAATAATAAGTGTTGGTAAGGATGTAGAGTACTTGGAGTCTCTGTACACTGTTGGTGGGAATGTAAAATAGTGCAGCTGCTATGGAAAACAGTAGGGAAGTTCCTCAAAAAATTAAAAATAGAATTACCATATGACCTAGCAATCCCACTTCTGGGTATATATCCAAAAGAATTCAAAACAAGATTTCAAAGAGATATTCACACGCTCATGTTCATTGCAGTATTGGTCACAATAGCCAACAACCTAAATGTCCACCAACAGATGAATAAAGAAAATTTGGTATATTCACACAATGGATATTATTCAGCCTTAAAAAAGAAGGTAGGCCAGGCGTGGTGGCTCATGTCTGTAATCCCAGCACTTTGGGAGGCTGAGACAGGTGGATCACTTGAGGTCAGGAGTTTGAGACCAGCCTGACCAACATGGTGAATCCCTGTCTCTACTAAAAATACAAAAATTAGCCAGCGTGATGCCAGGCACCTGTGGTCCCAGCTAGTCAGGAGGCTGAGGCAGAATAATTGCTTGAACCTGGGAGGCTGGAGGTTGCAGTGAGCCGAGATGGCGCCATTGCACTCCAGCCTGGGCAACAAAGCTACACTCCATCTGAAAAAGAAAAAAAAGAAAAAAAAAATAAGGAAATAGGGCCGGGCGTGGTGGCTCACGCCTGTAATCCCAGCACTTTGGGAGGCCAAGGCAGGTGGATCACCTGTGATCAGGAGTTCGAGACAAGTGAAACCCCATCTCTACTAAAAATACAAAAACTTAGCTGGGCGTGGTGGCGGGTGCCTGTCCCAGCTACTCGGGAGGCTGAGGCAGGAGAATAGCTTGAACCGGGGAGGCGGAGGTTGCAATAAGCCGAGATCGTGCCACTGCACTCTAGCCTGGGCAACAGAGTGAAACTCTGTCTGAAAAAAAAAAAAAAAAAAGAAAAGAAGGAAATCCTATCATATGCTACAACACAGATGAACTCTGAGGACACTGTGTTAAGTGAAACGAACCAGCCACAAAAAGAAAAATATTGCATGATTCCACTTATGTGAAGTATCAAAAATAGTCAAACTCTTAGAAATGGGAAGTAGAATGGTGCTACTAGTAGAATGGGGAAGAGAGAAAAGGTGAGTTATTCAAGGGGTACAGAGTTTCAGTTTTGCAAGATGAAGAAGTTCTAGAGATCTGTTTCACAACAATATATATACCGTTAACACTACTGTACTGTATCTTTAAAAATTGTTTTAAAAAGAGAGAGAGAGGGCCGGGCGCGGTGGCTCACGCCTGTAATCCCAGCACTTTGGGAGGCCGAGGCGGGTGGATCATGAGGTCAGGAGATCGAGACCATCCTGGCTAACAAGGTGAAACCCCGTCTCTACTAAAAATACAAAAAATTAGCCGGGCGCGGTGGCGGGCGCCTGTAGTCCCAGCTACTCGGGAGGCTGAGGCAGGAGAATGGCGTGAACCCGGGAGGCGGAGCTTGCAGTGAGCCGAGATTGCGCCACTGCAGTCCGCAGTCCGGCCTGGGCGACAGAGCGAGACTCCGTCTCAAAAAAAAAAAAAAAAAAAAAAAAGAGAGAGAGAGAGAAAACAGACAGACATACAGAGAAGATAGCAATATGAAGATGGGGTCATCGACTGAAATGTTGTTACACAGCACATTGCTGTACTTCATTCTGGCAGCCCTAGGAAAGTAACACAAGGGCCCACAGAAGAAAGCTTGCAAGTGAGTGCAGGCTCCTTTTGTGACTGGGGCTTCCCGTTATTCTGAAATGTTACATTAGCCCACATTCAGCCTTTAAGAATTCATTACAGTTTTAGCTGCTTTCTTCTTACCTACCTTTACGGTGCCTTCTCTTCCTCCTATGCTCTGCCAAAGGTAACACAGTTTCTGTGTCCTGTCTCTCTTCAAAAGGGCTTGCCTCTCTTTGGAATTTCAGTTCATCTGATTGCCTTGTGACCTCAACTCTCTGATGAGCTCAAGAAGCATCATGACTTTGTGGATTATCAAGATTTTTCTCATTGTTATGATGGGAACAATGTTCTCTTGCAACATTCTACATCCTAAACAGAAGCAAAATTTTCAGCATTTCCTGAAAGATGATTCCAAGGGTTATTAATAGATTTTATGAGCGAAAAAGAATTGTGATTACACGTTTGGAACGTGTTAAGATACACTATAAACTTTCAAAAAAGACTGCAACATTTTCCAAACATGTCATTACAGAACCCTTTTGGCTTACAAAATCTCTTGCAGTTGTGTCAGACATTCTGTGTACCATAGTTTAGGAGATAATGAGTTAAACGCCTAGACATGTTTTTTTTGTCCTCACTATATGGCAAAATTAGTGTCAGCAAACCAGTTGGGGGATATTTTCTTTCTGCCACTTCACCACTTTGACTGAAAATAAGATCTTTCTGTTTCTACATCACTTATGCTGGAAGATACGGTGACCTTTGCATTACTTCTGTCTCTTCTCAGGTTTTCTCCCGTTACTCATCAAATGCCAAAATGAGGAGATACTTGACTTCTTAAAAAATGAACATAAAGTTCCATCAAATAAATAAAATATGTAAAGTAAATTCAATAAACATATTTTAAATTAGTTAGGATAATGTATACTTACACATTAAATATAACAACACAAATTTAATCAGCAACATGTTATACATAATGCTTTTGGTAAAATACTTTCCCTTTGAGTTGTCCATTTTAATGGTTCTGTGGTGTTCTTAATGTTTCTCCTCATTTCCTTTCCTTGAAATACGTGGAACATAAATGGTTTTTTTAAAACATACATATTTCCATTATTTCCCTAAGTCTATGGTTCATTTAGTTTTCCTCTTTCAACCCTGAAAAAAATGGTGTGGGACAGATGTGACTTCAAATGTAATATTTATCTCTAAGTAAAAGATAGAAAAGAGAAAGCTTTCTAAGAAAGAAGAAAAAAATCAAATAAGAACTAGCACATTTTGCAAGTGGAACACCATTTAGCTAAATATTCTTATCTTTTGCCTCAAAAATACCAGCTTTGTTTAGTGAGGTACTGCAGAGTTTACTGAAAGGCCTGTAGTCCGTCGCCACGTTCCCTGCTTTATCTCTGGCCTGCAGACATGGCAATAATTCTCAGACTCAGTTTTAAAAGACAAAAAAAAAAAAAGACAGAATTAGGAAACTATACATACCATGAACAGAAAGACATGTACTGTACAATATCTATTAATTGTATGCACACAGAGAGAGAGAGAGAGAGTAGCTCTTATTTTGGTTACTGTATTGGTGAAAAATTTCTTGAAGTCTAATTCATCTAACTCCCAATCTTCCTACCCTGTTTAGTTGTGACTACATAAGAACCTGTTTCTTTTTCTTTTCTTTTCTTTTTTTTTTTTTTTGAGACGGAGTCTCACTGTGTTGCCCAGACTGGAGTGCAGTGGCACGGTCTCAGCTCATTGCAACCTCCGCCTCCTGGGTTCAAGAGATTCTCCCACCTCAGTCTCCCGAGTAGCTGGGATTACAGGCATGTGCCACCACACCTGGCTGATTTTTGTATTATTAGTAGAGACAGGGTTTCACCATGTTGGCCAGGCTGGTCTCGAACTCCTGACCTCAGGTGATCTGCCTGCCTTGTCCTCCCAAAATGCTGGGATTACAGGTGTGAGTCACTGCGCCCAGCCAATAACCTATTTCTAAGTTGCCAATTATCTACCTCAAAAGGAAGGAAGCCACAACCACTGGACTCTCATGCTACCTCATGATTAGAGGAGGAGAAACTGGGGTAATTGATGTGCTGGTTGGTATTTTTCACAGCTTTCAAAAATATCCAATTACTAGGTTTAAATCAACCTTGGGAATGTCCTGGACATGACATAAGCAGAGGTAGTAGCTGTGACTACCATCTCTCAAATGTAGCAGAGCCTTTGTAATGGACAGACTGTGTACATTTTATGCCAATAGGAAATTTCCTAATACAGAAAGCAAGTTTTTTTTTAGAAGAGTAACTGCACAATGTCTTATAGTTAAATAGGTTTTCTGGGTTTCTATGTAAGACTCAAATATCTGTGACCTGTGCCAGAGAACAAATTCTTGATTCCAGTTCAATCATTTCTGAGCAACCTAACTCTCTAATAAGTCAAATTTATAACATGACTTTAGCCACTGTGCAGGACCTTCTGTACATTAACTTTACCCACTTTAATACTATTACATTTGCTTTGTCTTATTCTCTTTATGTCCCCATCCTACATACTATATGCATTTTAAAATATTTTTTAGAACAAGGCAGGATATAAATAAATTTAATTAATTCATCTTGTAAAATCATCTTGAAATATTAAGTCCTCATAATTTGGGCTACAGGTCTCATTGTCCCAAATATGCATCTCTGTGAGTACAGGTTAAATTCACTCAACTAATAAATAAGTTCTAAGGGCCCACCATGTGTCAGTCACTGTTCTCAACACTGGGGAAAATACCTATGAAGAGAATGCCAATCAGAGATAAGTACAATGGAGAACAGTAAAGCAGAGAAGACTAGGGATGCCATGTAGTGAGGTTACAATTTTAAATAAGATGGTCAAAGAGGGCCTCACTGAGGTCACATAACCTGAAGGGCCTAAAGAAGATGAGAGATTAAACCAGATAGATATCTAAGGCAAGGGTATTCCAGGCACAGGGAATATCAAGTACAAAGGTCCTGAGGCAGAAGGAAGCTTGGCATTTCTAAGGATCAGCTAAGAGATCTGGGCTGGGTAGTCCAATAGATGGTAGAGAGGTAAGGAGAGAGCAGAGGCATATCAGGTAAGGCCCTGGAGACCATTATAAGGACTTGGGCTCATACTTGGAGTGAGATGAGAAGCAACTGAAGGGTTTTGGTTTGTGTGTTTGAGACAGGGTCTTGCTCTGTTACCCAGGCTGGAGTGCAGTGGCACAATCATGGCTCACCGCAGCCTGGACCTCCTGGGCTCCAGCAATCCTTCCACCTCAGCCTCCTGAGTAGCTGGGACTACAGGTGTGTGCCACAATGCCCGGCTCATTTTTAAATTATTTTTATTTTGTAGAGACTGGAGTCTCACTGTGTTGCTGGTCTTGAACTCCTGGCCTCAAGCAATCCTCCTGCCTTGGCCTCCGAAAGTGCTGGAATTGCAGTCGTGAGCACTGCAGTCAGTCAAGAGGAGGGTTTTGAACAGAGGAAGTTAAACAACCCAGAACTTACAGTACTGAAATATCTAAGTGAAGAGTGGTGGCTGTGGGAAGAATCAGTTGACAAATATTTACTGAATCCCTACTATTTGCCAGGAAATTTCCTAAACACTGGGCATACAGTGTAATAAAACATGCACCAGTCATTGCCCTCCTGAAGGTTGTCTTGTAAGATTATTAATAAATGATTATATATGAGAAATAATTACAACTATGCTAGATGTGAGAAAAAAATGGGTGATTTATGACAGAATGATAGAGAAGGGAGGTCTAATCTAGTCTGAGATATGGAGGAAGGCTTCTTGGAAAAAATAATATTTAAAGTGAGACTGGTAGTATGAGTAGAAGTGGGTTATGTGAAGAGGAACAGGAGAGAGGAGGGCATTCCAAGCAGAAAGTATCTGCTCTGCAAAAGCCCTAAAGAAGGCTGGGCGCTGTGGCTTACGCCTGTAATCCCAGCACTTTGGGAGGCCCAGGTGGGTGGATCACGAGGTCAGGAGTTCAAGACCAGCCTGGCCCACATGGTGAAACCCCATCTCTACTAAAAATACAAAAATTAGCCAGGCATAGTGGCGGGCGCCTATAATCCCAGCTACTTGGGAGGCAGAGGCAGAGAACTGCTTGAACCTGGGAGGCGGAGGTTGCAGTGAGCCAAGATTGCACCACTGCACTCCAGCCTGGGCGACAGAGCAAAACTCCGTCTCAAAAACAACAACAACAACAACAACAAAAACAACAACAAATACCCTGAAGAAAAAAAAATGGCATTGTCAGAGAATTGGAAGACCATTATGGCTTGAGCTTAGTAGACAAAGAATGATTGAAGATTTGGGGCTGAATTCTAAGGGCAATAAGATAATAAGAGTTTAGATTGGAGGACCAAAAAGATTAGAATTGTATTTTTAAAAATCAGTCTAAAAGCAATGAGATTAGAGGGGGGAGGAGTAAATACAAAAAACCATTGAAGAGTTATTGCAAAAATGTAGGCGAAGATGATAAAATAAATAAGGATGGACATGGAAACAGGTGAATAATTTGAAAGATATTTAGGAAGTAGAAAAGACAGAATTTTGCAATGGATTAGTTTCATGAGGGTTGTGGAAGAAGGTCAGGGATAGCTGAAGTTGCTTAACTACTCTCTTGAACTTTCTCATAGGTAGATCCTACTTCCTACATGGAGAGGTAGTAATACCAATGCCATTTTTTGGCAAAGGAGTGGAGGAAGAAGGAACAACAAAATGTCAATTACATATAGTAATGAGCCTTTTATGCCACAGCTGCCAATTGTCATAAACATAACAGCCTCGATTTATACAACCTTTGCAATTCATTCTGTCTCCATTAATGCAAGAAGTTTGGCCATGGCTGTTCAGGAAGAATGAGGCAGTTGGATTCTACATTATACATCTTCTGATAAATATTCATATTGCTAGGACTATGTACATTCATATAATTTATAAGCAGAGAAAAGTAATACCTTGTACAACCTTCTATCACAGTTTAAATAAGTAATTCCAGGGCACTAAAGACAGCATTTCAGTACACTAAAGCACTAAAAAATTAGTTCTTCATCAATGAATTGGAAAGCACAACCATGCCCTATTGTTCACGGACACTATAATAAAGTCACCTATGCTAACCTAACCAATGCTATCATCAAAGAGGGAGATATCTATTTTTAGGAGTAACAGTTGAACAAGTTAATGTCAGTGACTTATTTATCTTAAATCATTAAACTAAAGATAAACCTAGTTACTCAGAGAAAGAAAAGAAATGGCATTTTCTTTTCCAGAGACCATCAAATTCCCAGTCATGCTAACTACATTCTCGATAGCCTCTCTCTACTTAGTCCTCAAGTAATGCTAAAAGGAGGGTTTTGTTTGCCATTAGGCCAGAAAGATACAAGTAAAAAAAAATTAAAAAGCAAAATATTTGACACAATCCTTCTGCTAGTAGAGGTTGAAGCAACCTTTTAAATGCTATTATCAGAATAGATATTAAAATATTAAATATCCATAAGGCATATAGGCTTTCTCTGTGCTACAAAATAAAAAATATTTCAATTACACCATAAGTCAAATTGATATTAAATTCTTTGTCACGAGTAGTAGCATAAAGTGAAAAAAAATGCTGAGTCTCCTAGGAATCCAAATGTGTAGGAAGGCATTAGTGCCAAAATGGTACTCCAAGAACAGCAACTGATGGGCGGGCACAGTGGCTCATGTCTGTAATCCCAGCACTTTGGGAGGCCAAGGCGGGTGGATCGCTTGAGCTCAGGAGTTCAAGACCAGCCTGGGTAACATGATGAAACCCCATCTCTACAAAAAATACAAAAATTAGCTGGGTGTGGTGGCATGTGCCTGTAGTCCCAGCTACCTGGGGAGGCTGAGGTGAGAGGACCACTTGAGCCTGGTGGGTCAAGGCTGAAGTGAGCCATGATCATGCCGCTGCTGTAGCCTGTGCCATTGCACTCCAGCCTGGGTGATAAAGTGAGACCCTGTCTCAAAAAGAAAAAGAGGCCAGGCATGGTGGCTCACGCCTGTAATCCCAGGGAGGCTGAGGCAGGTAGATCACCTGAGGTCAGGAATTTGAGACCAGCCTGGCCAACATGGCGAAACCCCATCTCTACTAAAAATATAAAAATTAGCCAGGCGCAGTGGCGAGTGCCTGTAGTCCCAGCTACTCGGGAGGCTGAGGCAGGAGAATCGCTTGAACCCAGGAGGCAGAGGTTGCAGTGAACCAAGATTGCGCCACTACACTCCAGCCTGGGTGACAGAGCCAGACTCTGTCTCAAAAAAAAGAAAAAGAAAAAGGAAAAGGAAAAGAAAGAAAGAACAGCAAGTGCAACTCACAGGAAAAAAAAAAGTACATTTTATTTAATGACCAAGTACACACACGTTCACACACACACATTTGTACATATAACTAAAACAATTTTTTATTCTTACCACGTGGGATGCATTGTGAAATATTCTATGTTCTTTCATGTAAAGAAAAATGAGGGTCACATTTTAGTAAAAAAGTTTCACAAATCACTAATATGTTATAATCTATAACTCCCATAACTGCTCTAAAGCATTGACAATGCTAAGCTATAATTTTAGGGGAATATATATTCGTGCTCCTTCTTAGAATTAGCCCATGATAGTATTTTAGGGACTCAACTCAGAGAAAAAAAATTTAACATAGCCTTGTTGCCATGTATCCAACCTGGACATGGTACATGCTTTCAGTGAGTTTAAATCACCTACCTTCCTAGGCCCAAAATCTGAGGGAATGACTTCCAACTGTGTAACAGGACCCTTTGTCTGTATTATACATTTTATATATGTCTTTTCATGTACATTATTTCATTTGATCCTCACAACAACCCTGTGAGGTAGGCCGGGGGGAAAATGTTAGATTCACTTTATAGATGACGAAGTTAAGGTTCAGAGAGGTTAAGTGACTTTCTCAGTTACCATATACCTAGTACGAAGCAGACAGAATAAGAACCACTAACTTTTGTGGTTGGGGGCCCTTTTCTCTAAACCACATAGCTTCTGAGAGTATAATGTAACCCAAAACATTTTTACCGCTTCATCCTCATTTCCTTATTGTTAATTCAACTTTTTTTTTTTTTTTAGACGGAGTCTCGCTCTGTCACCCAGGCTGGAATGCAGTGGCGTGATCTTGGCTCACTGCAGCCCCCGCCTCCTGGTTTCAAGTGATTCTCCTGCCTCAGTCTCTCGAGTAGCTGGGATTACAGGCGCCTGCCACCATGCCTGGCTAATTTTTGTATTTTTAGTAGAGATGGGGTTTCGCCATGTTGGCCAGGCTGGTCTCAAATGCCTGACCTTGGGGCATCCAGCTGCCTTGGCCTCCCAAAGTGCTGGGATTACAGGCATGAGCCACCGTGCCCAGCCTGTTAACTCAACTTTTTATAGGATATGATAAAAGACCTAATTCTAAATTCACCAAATTTATGCTTCTCTATCAATGAAAACTTATGGCCACAGAACACATTTTTTTTTTTTTTTTTTTTGGAAAGCACTGTCTCCTTGGCTCTAGTCTAAAGGAACGTAAGCAATATGAAGGACCCTAGAGGCCAAGGAAATTGAAGAGAAGTCAGAGGAAGGGATATAAAATGGAATGTATTAATGGATTTTAGCCCCTTTAAGCTTGTACTTTTGTGAGAGGGTTCAATGGAGAGCTTTAATGCAGATGAGACTTGAAGCTTCTGAAGAAGATCTAAGTCTTGATGAGGTTATTCAAACTCAAATCTTGAATGCATAATGATGATAGGCCATGGTCTTCAAAAACGTGGTACTTGATGCTTGAAAACAAAACAAAACACAAAAAAATTCTACTACAAGTCTAATAATTTTTTTAAGGGAAATTAAAAACTACTTTTGGGTCAGTAATTAATCAGATTACTAGATACCATGCTGAAAGAACAAAAGGAGAAAATCAAAAACAAAGAAAAGGAAAAAAATTTTTTTGAAAAGGTACAGTAGACAAAATGGCTGAATATGTTCATTGGCTTATCTCTTTGATTAATACCCTTCACTGAAAATTGCAACAGAATTTAAAGTTCTTACAGAATCTCCCTGGGGCTGTAGTCAGATACACTGATTTGATGATAATTTATTGTATGTCTTTGATCTCTATCCATGATATCAAATTGTCTTAAAGAGCTTTTGATCTCTGAAAGCATAGCCAAAATGCTTGTTGGAAGAGATAGCATAAAATGATGTTCACTTTGTGGGGTAGGGAAATAAACTGATGTGGAAGTATTATGGTTCAAAAATATTGTAATATTTAAACAGGGAGAAAAAGAAACAATGCCTTCAAATAGAAAAATTCAGATCCCTTTGCAAGGTTCAAATGAAAAACATAGTAAAAATATTGTAAACATGTGCATGATGCAACAAAAGACAGGTTATAGCCCTCTGAAATTTCAGCACAGTAAATAATTATCAGAGGCCTCTGTCCCTCAGGGTATACTAGCCTCTGTTCCATACCTCTCCCTTCTCTTTTTCAGAAGAGGTTTTTAATCTCACTGACTTAATTTTGTGCTCATTCTGTTTATCTTATATGCTTGTATAAACCTGCCTAAAAACTAATAATAATAGCAGCTAATATTTACTGAATCTATACTTTGTGCCAGGCACTGCTCTAGACACTTTATGTAGATTAATTCCTTTAATCCTCACAACAGTCCATGAATTAGATACTACTAATGTCTCCTATTTACAGATAAAGAAACTGAAGTACAAAAAAATTAAGAAATTCAGGTAATTACCGAGCTGGTAAATAGTAGAGACAGGATTCAAACTTGGGCTCTCTGGCTCCAGAACAGAAAGCAACACCCACCACTCTACAAAATTGGTTTCAATACAACAGAATTTACCAGGACCCGGGCTTTATCTTAATCAGCATTGTGCCATGTCACAATCTTTCACTTCATGTTATGATTAGAAAGCACAGTGACTAATGTAAATTCCCCAACAGGAGTAATATAGAATCCATTTCAGCAGTCACTGCTCAGAAGTGACACCCTGTGGGAATGTCAAAGCAGTTTAAAAATGAAGCACGCACTAAAATATTATAGTGATAAAGGATTCTGACAACTTTACTCCTTTTTTTGCTTAGGTATATTTTCTATAACCTAATTTTTGTAAAGTGGATATGAATTACTTGTATAATTTTTTTAAAGTTTTTTCAAGCATGCCATCACCATTATTGGCATTATATATATTGAACTTACGCTAAAACTATTAGATAAGTTTGTTCTTGCTCTACTTGAATAGCCAAAAAAAACGTTATTCAAGATAAAGTAAGCTTTATGGTAATAATGAAATAATAATAATAGCTATTTTTACTTAGGCAAGCCTTTATATACATTAACCTTCAGCAAATTCCTTTTTACAGTTGAGGAAATTGAGGCTTGAAATGAATAATAAAACTTAATTAATAGACTGGAGCCCAGATTCAAATCTGTCTGTATTACTCTAGAGTTTGCGCTCTTTCCACTATACAACGCAGCCTCTCCAAATGCCAAAATATCTGTCCGACTGTCTTTTGTTATTAAACACACTGAAGAGATCTTTCTAAAATTCAGGTATTCTTCCTTTCTTCAATAGAAAATACCAAACATAAATTATTTCTGTTCAGTCAGGGTTATCATATTGAATATCCATTAATATAGAGCTGTTTTCATCTTATCAAAAGGACTCAGGTTGCTACAATTTTAAATTAGCTGGTCTGCTTTATGGTTTTTTCTTTTTTTCTTTGCCTCTAATAGAAGCACCTGGACTCTTCATGGTTTGTTACTTCTAATATCTCATGGAGTTAGATGCCAGCTAATTAAGCCTATCAGAATTGTGTCTAAAATAAAAGTAAACTGAGTAAGGACCTGAGAAAAGCATGTTAATTTTATGTCTTATAATTTGAAGTTCAAGTAATTTAAAATTTATGTCCTGGTTATGGGTGAGGTAAGGTTGGTGGATAAGTGACCAGTGGATATGTTAGCTATCAGTATTTAAATATAGGAATAAGAGATTAAACCCATCGACAATAAATCACTTTATTACACTATAAAAAAGTTTTTAGGATTTGAAAGAGGCCTCCGGAATAATCTAGTACACTCTCCCATACAATGAAAAATTCCCTCTACAATGTTCCTGATGTTCAAATTCTGCTTAAGCAACCCTAATTACCAGGAGTTCACTGCCTCTCAACACAGTCTGCTTCACTGCTAACTATTAATAGTTCTATACTTTCTCTTATTTTGAATGAAATTTGGCCTCAAATAACAGAGAACAAGCATACTTCCTATGGAGTTTCTCCAACCCTTCCAAAGTCTTCTAAAAATTCCCAGTCCCCTCAATCTAGATCATCACAATTACCCTTTTATAGGATCAAAACGTTGAGTAAAAACAGTTCTCCTGTTCTGCAAGGTAATCAAATCTGTTTTTGTGTATTAATGTTTTACAGGTTAAAGTGATCTGTTTAATCTTGGTTAATCTTGATCATAAACAATTGGAATGCTAGGAAAGACTTATGTTCTAGTTCAATTCAAATTGAACAGCAATAAATTTTTGAGTTCTCTCTTCTTTCTGCCCTCCCCAAAACAACACAAAACAGAATCTCAAAAGATATGGTTAACATAATAATTTATGTTGCTACATTTTAATTTTCTCACTTAGGCTTAGGTCTGCCTTCCTGTCATTTCGACTCTGTGAATAATCTTAAAACTTCGAAAATTATTTAAGCTACTCGCAAAATCATCAATTAGCCTATGACAGGCCCAGCTCTAAGGCCTTAATGCACTTATTTATTTATTTATTTTTTCTCATTGACTAACTCAATAACTTCCTATCTGGTTTTCTGGAATATATATATACACACAAACACACACACACATATTCTCTTTTTCTCTCTCTATATATATACACACACATATATTTCTGGAATATATATATTCTCTCTATATAAATTATATATATTTTTCTGGAATATATATATTCTCTCTATATAAATATATATATTTCTGGAACATATATATGTATGTAATATACATAGATGTAGGTATAATATACTATGTATCTATGTACACACATATATACACACACATACAGAAGCAGCTTTCCTCATTTCTGTGTTTTCTACATGTAACTTTTACATTCAGGTTCATCTCCTTTCTTTCCATGTCACCTTTACCATATTCTATCCTCTTGATTTAGGAAAAGAATCTGTCCTTGGATTCAATTCATTGCTATCCATTCACTTAGCAAGAATAAGGAGTCTTAATCTAGGCATCCCACTCACTGATTTCCCCTTCATGATGATAGTGATTAATCCCAAGGACATTAGGAAACAAAGCATCATTTAACAGAAATGACTATATGCAAAATACTCTGCCAAGTTTGCCCAGGATGGAGTCCAATGGCGCGATCTTGGCTCACAGCAACCTCTGCCTCCCGAGTTCAAATGATTCTCCTACCTCAGCCTCCCAAGTAGCTGGGATTACAGGCATGTGCCACCATGCCCAGCTAATTTTTTGTATTTTTAGTTGAGATGGGGTTTCTCCATGGTTGTCAGGCTGGTCTCGAACTCCCGACCTCAGGTGATTTGCCTGCCTCGGCCTCCCAAAGTGCTAGGATTACAGGCATGAGCCTATAACTTCTTTTATTCTACTAATCATGACTCAACCCCTAGTTAGCAGCCTTCATTATTAATTTTAACAGACACACAATAAGTGGTATCATATAGGTATGTATCTTATAAAGCCTATTCTCAAGCAAGTTTCTAATAAAATCTCTATTAAAAAATAAAGATTATTATTTAAATTTTCATATAATTAATTTTACTTATCTATTACTACTACTCCAAATATCCTACAATAAAAGTGTGGGAAGACAAAAATGATTATCGAAGTAAAAGTCACCAGAATTTTCTGCTGCATTCCCAAGGCAGATAATCAGCCAATTCAAAGTAATACAAAATGAGATTGCCAATTATATAAATTATTTTTCTGGTTTGCTGATTTTACTAACAGAACAAGCTATTCTTCGAAATGCCTTAAGCCAGTTCTAAACATCAAGAACAAAGTAAAATAATAAGAGTTGTTTAAAAAGTCCCTAAATAGCAATTCAAATAAAACAAAGTTCATCCTATTCAGTAATACTGTGAAGTTCAGAACTATGCCACTGCAATACTAACCTAGCTTGCAAACAAAGGTAACACCCACGGTATCACCTGGTCAGGTCAGCAACATGCAATATACTGTAAATGAATACTGAATTCAGCAAGACTAAGCACTGAGTATTCTTAAGATCTTAATAGTAACAATCTAACGTCAAGGTTTAAAATATATTACAATGGACTGGAATAGATTGCAGCTCTGAAAAAAACTTAACTCATTTGTGTAACCCTACTTCTTCTAAATAGTCCAAGTATTATAAGAACAGAAAGTCATAAGGGAATAGTAAAAGGCTCTCATAATTGTTAAATTATCCTAAAGCCTTGCTGTTTGTTTCCTAGCATTATGAAAATACAAACATGCTCATAGTAAAAAAAAAAAATCAACCCAGCAGAAATAGTATATGGAAAAAATGTGAGATGTAAGTCTCTTCTTCCTACTCTAGGCCTCTAGTCTCATTCCCCAGGGTAATCTGTCAATAATTCCTTACACTGGTTTGAAGAAGTTTTGTATGTATGTATATAAATGTATGCTCTATATAAACACAAATGAAAACATACTATATGTAAAGTTCTTTTTATTGTTTTCCCAGTTAATAAGGTATATTAGAGATTTTTCCATATCTGCATCTCTGCACCTACTTTATCCTAAGAGCTGCAAAGTATTACTCTGTATAAAGGCAGTCATTTAACTAGACCTCTGTTGAAGCACAGGCTATTTCTAGCAGGTTGATTTTTTTTTTTTTTAATTTCAAACAATATGGTGAAAAAAATCTTTGTATGCAAATTTCTGTGTGTAAGGCCAAATAGATCTGAAAGATGAATTCCTAGAAGTACTGCCTGCTATAGAATTAAACAAATTCTAAACAAGAAACCAGTGTATCTACAAAGGAGACCAGCAAAAACCTGTAAGTTTAATGTTTAGTGATTAAAAGGTGACAAATATTATCATAAAGTTAGAAGTTTAGGTTCTGAAAATGAACAAACTGATCAATTAAAAAAGGCAAAATGGGAGAAAAGAAATTTTGCCCCCTTGAGACAGAAAGATAAAAGGCCTGGAGAATCAACCACCTAACAAATTTTTTTTAAAAGAAGAAGAAAGAAAAAATAAAATAGTATAAATAAGGCAGAATAAAGAAACGAAGACATTTTTTGGCCTCTTTTCTTGCTTAAACCTGAGGCACAAGATAAAACTAATCAGTAGATTTGATACATATACTATTACACAGCGAAACTTGGATGCAAGATAATTTAAATGACTATTTGAGGCCTCATTTCTACACGGGATCCACAGATTAAATTATTTCTACCCGGATGTAAAGTGTTGAAAGGAAGCTCCCCCCTAAAAAAAGAAAGCAGAGCAGTAGCCTTCCAGGAACAATATAAATATAGCTTGCCAATCTTAAATTTCTTATCAACTTTACAGGAAAATAAGAACAATTGCTTCATATATACAAAACAAACCTCTCTTTGGAAGGTCCTGATTAAAACATAAAGAGATTAAGAACTGTACTTTTCAATTACAATCCTATAATTTCCTAGGCAAATTTAAGATTGGTCTACCATCTCACCAAACATAAAACACAGTCAACTACTTACCTCTCCCAGAGTGCTAGGATTTGAATGCCACAATACATATTGACTCATGTTTTTGTCCATTAATGGTCCGTGGGTTTCTTTAAATGAAGTCCATTTTAGAGTCCATAGATTTCAGTGTTCTGCAAAACTAAAAACCTCAAGAATGTCAATGTACAGACCTAAGGTACCACTGAGATACCAACTCATTATGAATAAAAGTTATACTACACAGACATTTAGATGTCCAAAATTTAGTGGACATCACATTGAACAGCAGATTGACACTGAACAGGAGACTGAGGTAGCAAAATTAGACTGCATTTTTAAGTAAGACAATAATATTAACATAAATCTACAGGATCTCAAAACATGACTTTGTACCATAATTTTATGTATTCTAAGGGTGGCACCACGGTAACAGTATACACAAATGGGCATGATTCTGGGCACTTTCCAGAAATCGGGAACACAAGGTTTAAGGGTATGTAAACTTAAAATTTAAATAGTGCAATAATATATTTACATGTCAACTTTTTGGAGTTTTCAGCCTATTTTAAGAACATCTTAGATTTTTACATCTAAAAAATGCTTACGAGTTTCATCTTTGTAAAACACACACACACACACACACACCCGTATGACATAAATTCAGGGTTTCCTACCCCACTATACCCCATCTAACAGTAAGATTCTGAAACCAGAGCTGCTATCTCATTATGTAGCCCATCAACATTCACCTCACTGGACTAGGTAGTAATTCATGCCAAGATTTCATTACATAGCCTGACGACAGTCTCATCTGCACTTTTTTTCCATTTGACAACCAAAACCAATCTGGTTACAGTAGTTGTTTTTTAGGTCCCTGCCCACTTTTTATCACATTTTTAAAATTAATTTTTATTTTTTAAATTTTATTTATTTATTTATATTTTATATTTATTTATTTATAGTTCCTGAGGAGTTAACTCTGTCGCCCAGGCTGGAGTGCAGTGGCACAACCTCTGCTCCTGCAACCTCCCCCTCCCGGCTTCAAGCGATTCTCGCGCCTCAGCTCCCAAGTAGCTGGGATTACAGGCTCGAGCCCCGCCCGGCTAATTTTTTCCATATTTTTAGTAGAGATGGGGTTTCACCATGTTGGCCAGGCTGGTCTCGAACTCCTGACCTCAAGTGATCCGCCCACCTTGGCCTCGCAAAGTGCTGGGATTACAGGTGTGAGCCACCGTGCCCGGCCCCACACTTTATCACATTTAAGACACCTAAGCAAGTACTTCCAACAAAGGAAACAGTTTAATCTTCTTTTGGGGACCCTCTATTAATACAACTGTTCAGAAGGAGTTAACCTTACTTATAAACACCAGCTGTAATCTCTGGATTTTTATAAATTACTATTTTCATTTTTATAATGGAAAATATAAGATATATTCTCAATTATAACATATTTTTAGTGAGTTAAAATTCTCACATCTCAAATGTAAGTAGTACACTTACTTATAAGATAAGGAAGAAAACATTAAGAAAAAGGAAAGTGGCCGCGCGTAGTGGTTCACGCCCGTAATCCCAGCACTTTGGGAGGCCGAGGCTCTACTAAAAATACAAAAATTAGCTGGGGGTGGTGGCGCGTGCCTGTAATCCCAGCTACTCGGGAGGCTGAGGGAGGAGAATCACTTGAACCAGGGGGTCGGAGGTTGCAGTGAGCCGAGATCGCCACTGTACTTCAGCCTGGCGACAGAGCGAGACTCCGTCTCAGAAAAAAAAAAAAAAAAAAAGAAAGAAAGAAAGAAAAAGGAAAGTAAGTTTACTTTGCTTAAAAGAAAGCATTAAGAACAGTCAGTGCTACAACAGCAGTTTATTTACAACGGTCCAACTCCTCCCTGGTATCATTTCCCTACAAGTTCTTCCCAGAAAAGTAAAGGAACCTGAAAGAAGCCAAAGTAAATGACTCATCCTCTCCACCCGGATAAGAATACTAAGACACATTTCTGAATTTCAATAACCATAAAAAACAAAACTAACAAAAACCAACAATGTACTGGGTATCTCCTGCACCAGCATCCTCATAAACCCCTGGTTAGCAAACTAAACTGGAGTCATTTCTACATTCAGAGGTTAGAATACTGAAATTTGGGAGAGGTTCTGCCGGGAAGCCAGAAACAGGTTGGTTGGTTCATTCATTCATTCATTCATTCATTCCTTCGACAACATCTAAAGCATGCCTACTTGTCGCAAGGCACTATGCTACGAGTTAAGAGACAAAAAGTCGAGGTCCCTGTCCCCTATTAGCAGAACAGGTCGGGGTAGGTGAACCCTAGGTCAACTCATCTCAGTGCCCCAGGCTCCGTCTCTCCAACATAAGCGCCAGTGATCGGAAACCCATGACCCCCAGCCATGTCTGATTCCTAGAAGACTCAACCTGTCTGTATTTCCTCGACGACTTCGGGCCCCAAGACCAAGTTCCCAAGAGTTCTCCATATCCTCAACCCCTCAGAGAGTCTAATGCCAAGGAGCCTTTTCTTCAGCCGCCACCTAATGCTGTCCATTACCTAACCTGTGTCCACCCGCGCTTAGGGCCCCGAGCGATCTAGGCCATCAACTCCAGCTGCCACCCTCGCCCCCCGTTCAGATCCGCCCGCAGGTTACCTGTCGGGGATCCTAGGCTCCCAGCGCATCCCAGACGCTCCGCCCCACCCATGGCGTCACCCTCCACAACCAGGTACCGCCTCCCGTGCGTAACTTCCTGTGCGCCACGTCCGGCCGGAATTCCACCGGACCCGCAGTCCCGCTGAGCGCCCGACTCGGCTAGTGACGTCACTTCCGACCTGTCTTTGAGTTCACCTGGCATCCTGATGCGCTCCAGATCTTGCTTGTCGGATTTTATTTCGCCGGTTTGCTTCTCCGCCTGTGTATCTAGCCTGGAAAAGTGCATGTTATCTTTTTGCAAACTTCTTTAGCCTTCTTTTCGGCAGCCACTTCCCTCTGCTCCTTCTGTAGCTTGGACTCATCACTGGTCAAATTCACCTGGCCTCTTGGAGAAATCATGATTGTTACTATGATTTTTCTTATTTATCTACCTAGTGGAGTGCTAAGAGTGCAGGCAGTGAGGTTGTGCTATCTGGTTTCAAGTGCTGCCTCTCACTTCTAACAGTGTTACCTGGGCATGATACTTAACCTCTCTGTGCCCACTTCAAGTGTGAAACATAATACTAGTACCTAGAAAATAGGACGATTGTATTACTTGAGATAATACGTGGAAAGCACTGGCATATTGAAAGCATTCGATGAGTGTTAACCATTACTTTTTGCACTACTATGCACTCTTATTCCCTGTTGGAACATACCTGTGCTTAAGGACAACTGGAACCAGATTTCCTGCTACCCTTTATGTCCCCCCTACTTTTTTTTATGTTTATGGATACTCGGCTTTTAATTAATTGATGATGCCTGGCACCCTCTTCGGAACTGTGAGCCCCTCCAGACAAAGTTGGAATCTTATATAGAAAACAACTTTAACCCTGCTGGAAATAACCTGCTTAGTTATTGTGCTAGTTAATGGGGGAAAGTTGAATAAAACCCAGGCCC
Organism: Homo sapiens; assembly: GCF_000001405.40. Classification (NCBI taxonomy): domain Eukaryota; kingdom Metazoa; phylum Chordata; class Mammalia; order Primates; family Hominidae; genus Homo; species Homo sapiens. The sequence goes on along the minus strand of NC_000003.12, from coordinate 185,282,088 downwards.
TACCCTCAAGAACGTGGAGATACTCAATAAATGATAGTGGGAGGAAGGAAGTCAACCCAGGAAAAAGCAGAAGGGACCAGCTGAGCTGAAGATTTATCTTTGCCCAAAAATTTCGCAGAATGACAGAACTGAAAGGAACTTTTAGAGGCAATCACTTAGTCAACCTCTTGCTGTTACAGGTAAGGAAAATTGGATCCAAAGAAGCGTCTAAATGTCACACAATGAGTTTCAATGCTAGCACCAAAAGTAGAGTCTCAAAATGCTTGCCACCTCTCCCATTCCCAAAATCTGCCTCAAAATGTTAATAAGGTAAGGGTAGATTCACTTTTAAATCCTTCCCTCTCAAGTGAAAAGGATTAGGAAAATCCCAGTCCTGGAGAGACAAGGGCAATGTAACCTAGATGCCGCCTAATTGTGATGAACATCTGAATGTTTGGTGTGGCCATTGCATTCATTTGAAACACAGTATTTCCGTTCCCCTGGCAAACTTCTTATATTTACCCAGAAATAAAGAGTAAAGTATCAGCTCCTGTGAGCTCTACCTTCAATTTTAACTGGCTGGACAGGAATAAGTAACAGATCCAACAAACTCCAGAAGGTAACATAGACTCTGAATGTACGGTCAATGATGTGGCATAATTGCATTTAGTTTAATTGGAAGCAATTTCTCTTAATAACTATTCAACCTTTGTTTAGGAATATGACAGAGCTAGCATAGGCATTATTATTATTATTATTATGGAAATGTTGGTAGTGGGACCATGTAATGGAAAATAATTCAATGTTAATATTATCTCATAGGCCCATCTTGTTCCCTCATTCAACCAATGGCACTTTTTCTCCTTTGATACTAATATACTATAACTTAATACAACTAAATACAAAACAGGATGATACTTTAATCAAATTTAAAATCATTTGAATGACATATTTACGTTTCAAACAATCACAATTTACGCAGGTCTTAAAGTCAACTTGTTTGGGTTCTATGCCAAGCCCTGCTATTAACTAGCCATATGACCTTAAATCACTTTACCCCTCTGGCCTTAATTTCCTGTTTGTTCCATAGAACAAACCATGTATTAATCTGTTTAGTAGAAAACATGCATGTTACTTATCACTGTGACCACTAGATGGCAGGTGTTAAGGGACTCTTTTCCTTGCTTCCTTCTGGCTAAACAAAAACGTCATTGTCCAGTACCACCTATCTGAACAACTGCCTATACTAGTGATGATTGAGTATCCCAAGACTTTGAGAGAGGATACTCTCTAGAATGTTGAATGAATGAATGTTGAATGTTGAATGAATGAAAGGATTCCAGTATTTGTTCTGGGCCATCTATCCCTTACTACTGCCACCCCTGCCCCTTCTATTAAAACAGTTCCTCTTTTTAAAGCTATGGTGGTGGAAAGAGGAAGAAAAGATGAGATAACATAAAGAGGAGTTGGATTAGGAGGAGAACGGAGAAGAAGACATTGTATTGCATCTCAAAGTAAACATTGGTGCACTATGGTATTTTTGGATGGAATAATATGTCTAGGACTTATTTTAAAATAATACACGAGGGTATCAGATGATAACTATTGGTCATATATTGATATTGTTGTTTCATTATATTCTTGTCTCTCTTTTTGTGCATGCTGGAAATCTTCCTTAACACAAAGTCAAAAATAAGAGATCATGAGTGCATTTCTCTTTCTATAGACAAGATTGAATTCAAACTAGCCCACTGAATCTCAGGATGTTTTTGCCTGATGTTACAGAAAACTTGTCACAGATTGAGTATTCCAGATTGGAGATGAGAAGATTTTTGTTAGGAATGGAGTGGAAGCAGGATTGTTCAGAGGAAGTAGTTGAACTGCTATTCAGGTCCAGCAAATCCTCAGCCATCCTGGGAGGGAGCTTTAGAGTAAGTATTGCCCATCAAGAGTATCGTTGTCAGGCTAAAATAGCCAGCCCCTTATGCTAGATGCTGTCTGCCCTAGAAAGGGTGTAATCTCAAGCAAGGTGGCCTTCTGCAGCAGAAGCAGACCCTGAAGAAAATAGCTGGGGGCTGCCTGCTAACCGCATTCCCTGCACCTGGGCAGCAAGTGCTTCCTTGAAAGGGAATCTGGGCAGCGTATCTTTGCATCTTCCACAAAATGCAACACAAATTGGCTTAAACAATAAGGGCATATCTTGACTTCTATAACTGGAGTATTATGACAGGCATCAGGGTTGGTTGCCTCAGCAACTCGACGATATCATCCAGGACCCATATTTGTTTCTGTCTTGCTCTGCCTTCAGTAGCATCTGCTTCCACTTACGGCCAGCTTTCCTTGAGATGGCAAAATCGCTCTAGCAGCTTGTGTTCATATCTACACACTGTACACACCCTGAGGGGATGGACACACGTTCAGTGCAGGCATACCTCATTGTATTGTGCACCACTTTCTTGTGCTGCTCAGATATTGCATTTTTAACAAATTGAAGGTTTATAGCAATTTTGTGTAGAGTAAGTCTGTCAGTGCCATTTTTCTAACAGCATATCTCTGTCACGTTTTGATAATTCTTGCAGTATTTCAAACTTTTCATTATTATTATGTCTGTTACAGTGATCTGTGATCAGTGATCTTTAGTGTTACTATTGTAATTGTTTTGGGTCACCATCAACCATGCCATTAAGACAGCAAATTTAATTGATAAATATTGTGTATATTTTATTTCATCAATGGGACTTTCCCCCATCTCTGTCCCTCTCCTAGGGCCTCCCTATTCTGAAACAAAACAATATTGAAATTAGACAAATTAATAATCCTACAATGGCCTCTAAGTGTTGAAGTGAAGAGTCACATGTCTCTCACTTTAAACCAAAAGCTAGAAATGGTAAAGCTTAGTGAGGAAGACATATAGATAGCCAAGATGGGCCAAAAATTAGGCCTCTTGTGCCATATAGTTAGTCAAGTTGTAAATGTGAAGGAAATTAAAAGTGCTACTTAAGTGAACACACGAATGATAAGAAAGCAAAACAGCTTTATTGATGATATAGAGAAAGTTCTATTGATCTGGATAGAAGATCAAACCAGCCACAACATTCCCTTAAGCCAAAGCATAATCCAGAGCAAGGCCCTAACTCTCTTCAATTCTGTGAAGGCTAAGAGAGGTGAAGAAGCTTCAGAAGAAAAGTTGGAAGCCAGCAGAAGTTAATTCATGAGGTTTAAGGAAAGAAGCCTTCTCTATAACATAAAAGTGCAAGGTCAAGCAGCAAGTACTGATGAAGAAGCTGTAGCAAGTTATCCAGAAGATCCAGCTAAGATTATTGATGAAGGTGGCCACATTAAACAACAACAGATTTTCAATAAAACAGCCTCCTATTTTAAGAAGATGCCATTTAGGACTTTCATAGCTAAAGAGGAGAAGTCAGTGTCTGGCTTCAAAGCTCCAAAGGACCTGCTGATTCTCGTTAGGGTCTAATGCAACTGGTAACTTTAACTTGAAGCCAGTGCTTATTTGCCATTCTGAAAATCCTAGGGTCCTTAAGAATTACGTTAAATCTACTCTGCCTGTGCTTTATAAGTGGAACAAAAAAGCCTGGATGATAGCACATCTGTTTACAGCATGATTTACTGAATATCTTAAGCCCACTGGTGAGATCTGCTGCTTTAAAAAATAAAATTCCGGGCGGGCGCGGTGGCTCACGCCTGTAATCCCAGCACTTTGGGAGGCCAAGGCGGGTGGATCACGAGGTCAGGAGATCGAGACCATCCTGGCTAACACGGTGAAACCCGTCTCTACTAAAAATACAAAAAAAATTAGCCAGGTGTGGTAGCGGGCACCTGTGGTCCCAGCTACTCGGGAGGCTGAGTCAGGAGAATGGTGTGAATCCGGGAGGCGGAGCTGGCAGTGAGCCGAGACTGCGCCACTGCACTCCAGCCTGGGTGACAGAGCGAAACTCGGTCTCAAAAAAAAAAAAAAAAATTCCTTCAAAATATGGCAGCTCATTGACAATGCATCTGTTATCCAAAAGCTCTGATGGAGGTATACAAGGAGATGAATGTTATTTTCATGCCTGCTAACACAGCTTCCATTCTGCAGCCCATGGATCAAGGAGCAATTTCAAATCTCAAGTCTCATTATTTAAGAAATACATTTCAGCCAGGTATGGTGGTTCATGCCTGTAATCCCAGCACTTTGGGAGACCGAGGTGGGCAGATCACCTGAGGTCAGGAATTCAAGACCAGCCTGGCCAACATGGTGAAACCCCATCTCTACTAAAAATACAAAAATTAGCTGGGCATGGTGGCGCATGCCTGTAATCCCAGCTACTCGGGAGGCTGAGGCAGAAGAATTGCTTGAACCCAGGAGGTGCAGGTTGCAGTGAGCCGAGATCGTGCCATTGCACTCCAGCCTGGGCAACACAGCGAGACTCTGTCAAAAAAAAAAAGAAGTAGAAATACATGTCATAAGCTATAGCTGTCAATAGATAGTGATTCCTCTGATGGATCTGGGCAAAGTAAATTGAAAACTTTCTGGAAAGGATTTACCATTCTAGATGCCATTAAGAACATTTGTGACTAATGAGAATATTTGACAAATTTGAAGAGTATTCTGAACAAACAACATAGCAACTAGAAATACCTTACCATATGAGAAATGATAGTCCCTGAGAAAGCCCCTAAGAGGAACAGCTTAGGGCAGACTTGTTAGTATCTTTAAATATTTGATGAAAGACCATTCTATTAAAGATAAATTTAATGTATAATGCTTGAGTAGGTAAAAATATCAACATTAATAAGAGTTTGGAAGTTTGGAAGAAGTTGATTCCAACCCACATGGATAACTTGAGGGGTTCAAGACTTCAGTGTAGGAAGAAAGTGCAAATGTGGTAGAAATAGGAAGAGAACTAGAATTAAAAGTGGAGCCTTAAGATGGGACTGAATTGTTGCAATCTCATGATAAAATGTGAGGGAATGAGGAGTTGCTTCTTATGAATGAGCAACGAAAGTGGTTTCTTGAGATGAAATCTACTTCTGGTGAAGATGTGAACACTGTTGAAATGACAACAAATGATTTGGAATATTACATAAACTTAGTTGACAAGGCAGCGGCAGGGTTCGGGAGGATTGACTCCAATTTTGAAAGAAATTCTCCTGTGGATAAAATGCTACCAAACAGCATTGCCTGATACAGAGGAGTGTTTCATGAAAGGAAGAATCCATTGATGTGGCAAACTTTATTGTTGTCTTAAGAAATTGCTCCCTTTTCTCATCTGTCGCCAAGGTGCTCTGTCATGAAGAAATTAAAGCTGCATTGGGGTGAGGCCCACTTCACTCAGTGACTAACACCGCGCCTGGCAGAGACAGCCCTGCATTACCCACACCACGGCCTCTGTCTTCATCTCCAAGCTCCACTCCATCTACTTGACCCTCACCCTGCATGCTGATGAGGTGACCATCACAGAGAAGATCAATGCCCTCATTAAAGCACCTGCTGTAACTGTTGAACCTTTTTGGCCTGGCTTGTTTGCAAAGGCCCTGGCCAGTGTCAACATCAGAAGCCTCATCCCCCATGTAGGGGCGGCATACCTGCTCCACAATGGCTGAATCCCCAGGCTTAAAATCAAGGCACTTTGTTAGGGAAACCTGGAAAGAAATAACAACTGCTGGAACATTTGAGTTATATCAACCTGTTTTGCCTTGAACTCAACAATGCATCATATATTAGGTGTATTCTATTTGCTACTCAAAGCAGATGGAAACGTAATATTAGAGAAAAGGCAACTCAATTTGATTCCTCTTAAAGGTACATAACACTAATAATGGCTAACAATATGAATATTTTTATTGAGTGCTTTCCATAAGCCAGACAAATTCTAAATATGTATTCTCACAAAAGGGAGAAGACCATGCTTGGTAATAAAGAAAGATATATCTAAGAACAAATACTTTAGTAATTTTTTAAAAACTGACAAGTGTTGGCAAGGTTATGGAGACATTGGAAACCTCATGCATTGCTAGTGTGAATGTCAAATGGCATAGCCACTTTAGAAAGCAGTTTGGGGCTGGGCATGGTGCCTCATGCCTATAATCCCAGCACTTGGGGAGGCTGAGGTGGGCGGATTACTTGAGGCCAGGAGTTCAAGACCAGCCTAGCTAACATGATCAAACCCTGTCTCTACTAAAAATACAAAAAAAAAAAATACAAAAATTAGCCAGGCATGGAGGCATGCACCTATAATCCCAGGTACTTGGGAGGCTGATGCAGGAAAATCACGTGAACCTGAGAGACGGAGCTTGCAGTGACCCAAGATCGCACCACCACACTCCAGCCTGGACAACAGAGCGAGACTCCATCTCAAAAAAAAAAAAAAAAAAAAAAATGAAGAAAGCAAGAAAGCAGTTTGGTAATTCCTCAGTAAGTTAAGCAGAGTTACCATATGACCTAGCAATTCGACTCCTAGATATATACTCAAGAGAATTTATGCAAAAATTTGTATATGAAATGAATAGTTCATGAAAAATTTCATATACATATTCATATACTAGTAGCCAAAAAGTAGAAATAACCCAGATATCTATCAACTTGTGAATGAATAAACAAAATACAGTTTATTTTTGCAATGAAATATTCGGCCATAAAAAGAAACGAAGTATTGATACATGCTACAACATGGATGAAACTTGAAAACATTATTCTAAGAGAAAGAAGCCAGACACCAAAGGCCACATGTCATGTGATTCCCTGTATTTGAAAAATCTAGAAAAGGCAAACCCATAGAAACAGGTTAGTGTGTCTATTAGAGTAGATTGGTGGTTGCCAAGAATAGAGAGAAAGAGGAATGGTAAGGGACTGTTAATGGATAAAGGATTTCTTTTTGAAGTCATTAAAATGTTCTGAAATTAGAGAGTGGTGATGGTCGCACGACCTTGTGAATATACTAAAAACCACTCAGTTTTATACTTTAAAAGAGTGAATTGTTTGCCACCAGCCTGGGCAACATGGCAAAACCCTGTCTCTACAAAAAAAATACACAATTTAGCCAGATGTGGTGGCACACACCTGTAGTCCCAGCTGCTCAGGAGGCTGAGGTGGGAGGATCACTTGAGCCGAGAAGGTTGAGGCTGCAGTGAGCCGTGTGCATCACTGTACTCGAGCCTAGAAGACCCTGTCTCAAAAATAAAATAAAAGGGTGAATTGTATGGTATATGAGTTATACCTCAATAAAAAATTAATTATCCCTTTTAAGAAAAAAAAAAAAACAACACACCAGGTGCGTTGGCTCATGCCTGTAATCCCAGCATTTTGGGAGGCCAAGGTGGGCAGATCACTTGAGGTCAGGGGTTTGAGACCAGCCTGGCCAACATGGTAAAATCCCGCCTCTACTAAAAATACAAAAATTAGCCAGGCATGGTGGTGCATGCCTGTAATCCCAGCTACTCAGGAGGCTGAGGCATGAGAATTGCTTGAACCTGGGAAGCAGTGGTTGCAGTGAGCCAAGATCATGCCACTGCACTCCAGCCTGGGCAACAGAGCGAGACTCTGTCTCAAAAACAAACAAACAAACAAAAAAACACTTTCCTGGAAGTTTGAAAGGGGGGAAAAACCCTGTCTTTATAGTTTTAAAAGAGAGAGCAAACATGAGTTAAGGAAACACGAATATGGCCCAATTGATGAGAGGTACAGAATACAGGGAATGGATGCTCGGCGAAGGATATGAACAGACACTTCTCAAAGGAAGACATTTATGCAGCCAAAAGACACATGAAAAAATGTTCATTATCACTGGCCATCAGAGAAATGGAAATCAAAACCACAGTGAGATACCATCTCACACCAGTTAGAATGGTGATCATTAAGAAGTCAGGAAACAACAGGTGCTGGAGAGGATTTGGAGAAATAGGAACACTTTTACACTGTTAGTGGGACTGTAAACTAGTTCAACCATTGTGGAAGTCAGTGTGGCGATTCCTCAGGGATCTAGATCTAGAAATACCATTTGACCCAGCCATCCCATTACTGGGTATATAACCAAAGGATTATAAAACATGCTGCTATAAAGACACATGCACACGTATGTTTATTGAGGCACTATTCACATTAGCAAAGACTTGGAACCAACCCAAATGTCCAACAATGATAGACTGGATTAAGAAAATGTGGCACATATACACCATGGAATACTATGCAGCCATAAAAAATTATGAGTTCATGTCCTTTGTAGGGACATGGATGAAGCTGGAAACCATCATTCTCAGCAAACTATCGCAAGGACAAAAAACCAAACACCGCATGTTCTCACTCATAGGTGGGAATTGAACAATGAGAACACATGGACACAGGAAGGGGAACATGACACACTGGGGCCTGTTGTGGGGTGGGGGAGCGGGGAGGGATCGCATTAGGAGATCTACCTAATGTTAAATGACGAGTTAATGGGTGCAGCACACCAGCATGGCACATGTATACATATGTAACAAACCTGCACGTAGTGCACATGTACCCTAAAACTTAAAGTATAATAAAAAATTTTTTAAAAAAAGAGTCATTGACGAATTCAAAGAGTATTCTGAACAACCACCATAGCAGCTAGAAATACCTTACCATATGAGACATGGTAGTCCCTGAGAAAGCCCCTAAGAGGAACAGCTTAGGGCAGACTTGTTAGTATCTTTAAATATTTGATGAAAGACCATTCTATTAAAGAGAGATTTAATATATAATTCTTGAGAACAAAAGTAGAATCATGTAGGGGAAGGTCACAGGGAATAGAATAGGGACTATTTTTTTTTTAAGTAAACAGAACTCTACCATGAAGAGTACTGTGCTCCCCATCACTGGAAGCATTCAGGGGAATGAGTAATCTTTTATCTTTTGCCAGGAATGGTGGTAAAGCATTCCTGTATTAGAAAGAATACACAACGTAAGTTACCTGGGGCATATCTCCAACATATATGTATGTAGCCTTTTTCTTACTAGGGTCAGTTTGTCAGAAAAGCTGAAAGGAATGATCATTGGCAAATGAAATATTCTCTGAAAAGAATGATATACAGTGGGAAATTGGGAGAGAGACCTGCGAACGATAGCCTAATTGCATTTTCAACACGAAATGAAATTGGATGTTGGAGAATGCCGAGATGTCATAAAAGGTGCTTATGGTGTTGAAAAGCGACATTTCTTGTATGATTTTCAGTTCAGAAGCTGACAGAGATGACATATGTAATGAAAAACTACCTGCAGACCTAAAGCGATAAGCCAGGCTCACTGAAAAGCTGAGAAGTTGAAACATGAGAAATAGCAGTGAATGCATTCTCAGATCAATTTTTGGCTGTGTTCAGCTCAGATTTGGTTGCAGCATATGGCTGTGAACTTTAAATATGCTCAATAATACATCATTGATCTCTGACTAATTTCACCTGATGAAGATAACACGCGATTGAGTCATTTTTGCCACAATTGGGTTTTCTTTAGGAATCCTGACGGCTTCTATTAAACATTAATATAATGAATATATGTATATCTCCAAGGCTCAACACTTGACACTTGAACAAGCCACTTGAAATTATATAAATCATCATTACTGATATTCTTTGTGTCAACCTAAGAAACCAGCAGAGAGACTCTCTAAAAATATTGAGTTTAATTGGGAATAAGCAGAAGAACTGCAATCCAGAACACTGGGGCCATAGTAAACTGTGGGCATATTTGAGGAGGTTGAGGTAAGGGAAAACTTTTAAAGGCAAAAGAAGTACACATAATTTGTTTTGAAACAAAGAGAACATTGGTTACAGTGGCTTATCACAGAAGATGATGTCAGTTCATTAGTGGAGACAGTGTACCAGGCAAGCATTCTTGCGCATTTGGCTAGCTGTCCTGTGATTCATGAAGCAAGATGCAGGTTAGAAAGTCTTTGGCAAAAGTTCTTGTTACAGGCATATGTGCATAAGAGCATAAGAGACTTTCAGAGTCTTTGTTATAGTTCTTATCATAGGCATGTGTGCAGGAGGGCTTTCCCTTTCTAACCTGACTCTTTTTTTGTTTGGGTTTGACATGAGTGACTCCATCTTGAGATTGACAACTTTCACATTGGTATTGTGAAGAAGTTATTTTCATCCTATCTCTCTTTTTTTTTTTTTTTTTTTTTTTTGAGATGGAGTCTCACTCTGTTGCCCAGGCTGGAGTGCAGTGGCGCGATCTTGGCTCACTGCAACCACCACCTCCTGGGTCCAAGCGATTCTGCCTCAGCCTCCCGAGTAGCTGGGACTACAGGCGTGTGGTACCACGCCCGGCTAATTTTGTATTTTTAGTAGAGACAGGGTTTCACCATGTTGGCCAGGCTGGTCTCGAACTCCTGACCTCAGGTGATCCGCCTGCCTCAGCATCCCAAAGTGCTGGGATTACAGGGGTGAGCCACCACGCCTGGCCATCCTATTTCTCATTTCAAACATTTATGTGAGTTGCTTTTTTCCTTGAATGTCAGCCAACTTCACCCTGGAAGATTGTACCCAGTGCCCATTTAGGGCAGGGTAAAATTTGTTAACAAACAGACTCAAATTTATTTCTTGCTTCCTTAACAGTCTTTAATCACCCAGACTGGAAAGCATTATTTTGTTTATTCCAGAAAAACCTGATTGGTTTACCAGAGAAGTCAGTTTTGATGGCTTCGTGTCACTATTGAATGACATTTCACATGCAGCACCCTGGGTTCCAGGGCTAATAGATCACCATTGCAGGGAAAGCTGGGTTTAGATAGCCATTTCTGTTCTTCCTATGACAATAGATTTGCATGTTCTAGCAGGCAAAAGCTCGGCATTTGCATTGAAATCCAGCTCACCGTTTGCCTTCTGGGCATTATGCTAAATTATAGTGTTTCCATTCTTTTATCTTTGTTTTAAGCTTTAATGAACCACTTCTGATGAACTGATCTGCTTTTGTGAATTAGGGATATAATGCGACATAATGACAACAAGCCCAACCAACGCATTTAACAAGCAAAAGCACTAACATGAAAATGGTGTGGAAGTGCATTAGCCAAGAGGACCAGCATCCTGTTAAGTAGCAATTACTGAAACAAATTAAATGAGGAGATAATTTAAGAATATATCAGATCATAACAATGATAAGGAGACTGTCAAGTGGTCAAGCAGTCTATAAGCAGTAGCATGGTAGCAGCTGCTAAATTGGCTTGTCTTCCATAGACTCAGCAAGTAAGAAGCCCAGATGGATTTAGACAGTTTAGTATTTACTGGAAAAGAAAGTCAGCATGGTGTCAGCTCCCTGTATCCCTAGTATCACAGCATGACACCAAACAGAGGAACCAGATGACAGATGTCAGGAATGGTGAGTTGCTCTGTTGCTGAGGAGCAGGGCAGGATCAGCATTGCACAGCCCTGTTACTGTGCCCCCCAGTTTTGTCCACTAGGTGTCTTTCTTGCCTCACCCTAGTCCCTGCCCTGTTAAGAGCCAACCCTAAACTACTGCGAAGCATTTTTATAGATCTTCACAGAAGCTTGCAGCCGAACCCTTAGGTGGGGGCACAAGGCAGAAAGTTCTGCATTCAGTTGAAACTAGGAGGATAAATGAGAAATGGCCTGTGACAGACTCCTACCAGACAGAGGAGAGCCTGCCTCAAAGTGGCTCCGCACCATGCTCATTATCTCGCCTTGCTCCAGGAGGAATTTCAGGCTATTCAGAGCTGTGAAGCCTTGCCTACTTAGCCTTTGTGGAGATGTTCAAAGTTGCTAGAACACCCTGGCAGGGTTGTTCCTCTAAAGACCAATATCTGAAGCAAGATGACTGAATTTATTGCTTGCTATAGTAAGGGAAAACTGTGCTGGCTATGCACAGTCTCTCCAAGCAGAACAAGCTGTTGATCTTACATAGAGTTTTAGGGCACAGTGGAGTTCAGGGATCAGCGAATTTGCAGAGGTGTTAGAGATTGATATCTCACCTGTAAGAAGGTGATTGCTGTGATGAGGCTGTTGTTGATTGTCAACACACGGAAGCATGTGCTTAGGACTGTTTATGATTGGCTGTCATCGAGACATTGTCATTGACCATTGAGGCAGTTGTCCTTGCTGAATTGAATGGGGTCTCAACTGCTACTGTTACCAGGGCTTCAAGGCAGTCAGTACTTTTCTAGTAGAAGCCCAAATTCAGGCTCTTGTACCCGATGTGCAATTGATGCCAAACACTGACACATAGCAGTTTGGAGATAGAGGAAGGTTTGTTCTATTTGGCCAAAGCAACAAGGTAGGAAAGCAAGATGTCTCAAATCCATGTTAACAAAAAGAAAAAGCAGGGAATTTTTATGTGGCTAGAGAATAAAGGAGGGAGAGTTTTAGGGAATCAAGGTGAAAAGTCTGTTTCTTCAGTCCCACATAACACCTTGAACAACCAGAGTTCTGGGCGTCAGCAGCTGGTTGCAATAGCTTTCAATGCATTCATTCCTTCGGCAAACACCTTTTGTGACCCTGAAGTTATCTCCTCCCACTTGACAAAGAAACAGCACATCAGAAGTTTATAGTTATATTGTGGGAAAAACGGATATTGGGTAAAAAGCGAGTGGTTAACATGAGCAAGCAAGCAAGGTCCTGATCAGAATTCTCATTATTTCAGTCACTGAAAAATGCTGGGGTGCTGAAAATCTCAAGTGACCCAGTTACAGTAGTAGTGTTGCAGGCAAACCCCCAAATTTAGGTTCAGCTCACGAGGCCAATTGGGTTCTTGGCTTCACACGAGAAAGAATTCAAGAGCAAGCCAACAGGCTGGGAGCAGTGGCTCATGCCTGTAATCCCAACACTTTGGGAGGCTGAGGCGGGTGCATCATCTGAAAGTCAGGAGTTCGAGACCAGCCTGGCCAGCATGGCGAAACCCCATCTCTACTAAAAATACAAAAATTAGCCAGGCATGGTGGCGCGTGCCTGTAACCCCAACAACTCGGGAGGCTGAGGCAGAAGAATTGCTTGAACCCAGGAGGCAGAGGTTGCAGTAAGCCGAGAGGGCGCCACTGCACTCCAGCCTAGGCAAAAGAGGGAGATGCCGTCTTAAAAAAATAATAAAAAAAGAGCAAGCCGACAGAGTAAAGTGAAAACAAGTTTATTAAAAAGTAAAGGAATAAAAGAGTGGCTGCTCCATAAGCAGAGCAGGGTACCCCATATGCAGAGTAGCATTGAGGGAGATGCTAGCTGGCTATTTTATAGCTATTTGATTATATGCTATGCAAGGGGTGGATTACTCATGAGTTTTCTGGGAGCTCCTGGAACTGGGGGTTTCTCCCCCATCCAGACCATACAGGGTAACTTCTGGATGTTGCCATGGCATTTGTAAACTATCATGACACTAGTGGGAGTGTTTGTTAGTATGCGAATGCATTATAATTAGCATATAATGAGTACTGAAGGTTGCTTTTTTGCCATCTTGCTTCTAGCTGGTTTAGGCTGGTTTCTTTACGGTCTCCTGTCTTATCAGTGTGGTCATGTGACCTGTTGTTTACTGTCTCCTGTCTTTATCAGTGGGGTCTTGTGACCCACTGTTTTGGGAACTGATCCTTGCAGGCATTATTAAGCTGTTTCCTTAGCCTTAAACATCTTATGACTGCTGGTCATCACTGGCAAGGGATGTGCCTTGCTAGTTTTAAGATGGAGTTGATTTTAAAATGGTGTTACCCTGGGTCTCCCATGCTTCTATTTCCCTAACATAATCCTCCCTTTGCTTATCAGAGAACCCTTAATCTTAAGGAGAGATGAAGGACAAAAGTCATTCTTCTGTAACTTCTTCCTGCTGATTTTATGAGCATAGCCCTGCCTAGTAAAGGAGGAGTAAAAATATCTGGATGCCTGATCTAAGAGGCCTAAAGGCAGGATGTCTTTATTTCCCAACTCAGAAGATAGGACAGGTTAGAAGCCTTGTGCCAGCATCATCTTTATATGGGATTATTATAATCTAGATGACACAAATTTCACCAAGATGTTAAACAAGCAAGAGCCAAAGATTAGTAATAACAAGATAGCCATCAAAGGTCCTAGGAAGGGCAAAAACCAAGTAAGACTTGGGAGGGCACTTTTAATGAGAAGTTGCCCCATGGGGCCAACGAGCTCCAACCCTAGCCAATATAAGTCCAGTTGCCCACGTAGCGCTCAGGTGAGTGATGTCATATAATTGTATGTTAGGGGGCTCTGCTTGTCCTATTGTACATTGATCCAGAAACCAAACATTATCAATATCCTGGTAACCATGTGTTTTATGATCCCAAACGAAACACAAGTTATTTATAGGCTGATTGAACGGGTGACCACATAGCCATAGATATCCATTGGGGGTGCAAATCTGTATGGGATAGGAGTTGTTAAGAAGGCTGAGTACCTGTAGGAGGGACTAAGGCTGTTACTTATGTGTTTATTTGCAAAACAACAGCTTTAGGTGTCCTAGGGGTTCACAAGTGTAGGTCACGGTGTCTTTCTCAGGTGCCTGTGGGGCCTTATAAGAAACAGGTTTAATCTTTGGCAAGTATACCCAGCTAGTGACTCCCTCAAATTTAACAACAGTTGAAGTGCTTAGCAACACCTGATAGGGGCCCTTCCATTTTGGTTAAAATTGATCTTCGGGGAATCCTTGTCTCCAAGTTTTTAATAAGACTAAGTCTCCTGGTTGAACAGGGAAGCTACGAATATTTATGAAAATGGTCCTGATGCATGTATATTGAACAAACACGGAAGTAACATATGACTGTTTACCTTGGGGTGGAGAATTAAGCCTTCCTTGGCATAATCTTAGATTCTGTTTATAATTTGATATTTTATTGCCATGAAGAATCTGTCAGTCTTATAAGCTCTATTTTAATATTAAGGCTGGTCAGTTGTGCCTGAATTCCAAGGGGTGGTGGGGGGAGTATAGCAAGGTGTGTCCAACCCCCCATTTCCTTCATGGGCTGAACTAGTTTTTCAGGTTTTTTTTTTTTATTATTCTTTTTGGCCAAGAGGGGTGTTCATTCTGTTGGGGGGCTTAGGATTTTATTTTTGTTCATATATTTCCTTTTTTTGTCAAGGTATGAAAGAGGCAGTATCAATAGCCAAGTTTTATTTTGTCCCATATTGATGCTGGGGTGACTTGCCACCTGCCTCGGGTCCATCATGTCCTTCAGTGGGAACCCTGTGGCAAGGGACTTAGAGTCAAAAGATTTATAGCCAATTAAACATTACAGGCCAGATGGGAATGGAGATGGACAGGCATTCATCAACCCTTAAAACCCCTTTTAAGCAACCTACGAGCCAAAAACAAAGGTCATAAAATTGACTTTTCTATAAATTCTATGCATTGATCTATTGTAATCTTGGCTTTAGCAATTAGCTATACAAGACACAAGCATTTTTTTTTTCAGCTGCATAGGCATCTGTGCACCTGGCCTCGATTAGGAGGGTCTGAATTAATTTTATCCCTCAGGACCAGCCCTAACAATCTCATGTGATAGTCCCTGGGCCGCCTGGAGGGATTTAATAGTTTTAAATTCTGTAGGTAAAACAAAATATTTAAAAATTAGCAACGTTTTAAACAAAAGGTCATAGGCCTTGCCTAATTCTAAAGAATGATAGGAAAGGAAGCCCATAGGTAGCCAAACATTTAAATTATTTAGTATCAAGGCATAGAAAAAATTATATAATTTCAGATAAAGGCAAAATTATTAAATGAAATGAATTTTAATGTTTTGAATACAGGTCTGTCCCTGTGTCTCACAAAAGCAGTTTATGGCTGGGCGAGGTGGCTCACGCCTATAATCCCAGCACTTTGTGAGGCTGAGGTGGGCAGATCACCTGAGGTCAGGAGTTCGAGACCAGCCTGGCCAACATGGTGAAACCCCATCTGTACTAAAAATGCAAAAATTAGCTGGGCGTGCTGGCAAGCACCTGTAATCTCAGCTACTTGGGAGGCTGAGGCAGGAGAATTGCTTGAACCTGGGAGGCGGAGGTTGCAGTGAGTCGAGATTGAGCCATTGCAC
Organism: Homo sapiens; assembly: GCF_000001405.40. Classification (NCBI taxonomy): domain Eukaryota; kingdom Metazoa; phylum Chordata; class Mammalia; order Primates; family Hominidae; genus Homo; species Homo sapiens. The sequence continues at coordinate 185,266,117 of NC_000003.12, read as the reverse complement.
TCCAGCCTGGGCAACAGAGCCAGGGAGACTCCGTCTCAAAAAAAAAAAAAAAAAAAAAAGCAGTTTACTTTGCCACTTTTGCTCAGGTCTAAAGACAAGGCTTTGGTTAACTTGGGTTTGGTGTGAGATACTGGCAGGACTCAATGTCTTCTTCAGATGAGATATGTGTACCCAGGAGTCAAAGCCCTGTAACATAGCACAAGGATTAATTAATAACACCTGATAAGGACCCTTTTAAGGGGACAAGAAGGAGTCCTTTAACTGGTTTTCTTCCAGCATATGTAATTATGAGGCTTAAGGTGGTGATACTGGAGTTCATGGTCTGACTAGAAGCTGTAGAAAGATTCTACAGCCTTGCAGTGATTAATTTTTGTAGCCTCAATAAGCCCCGGTAATAAGACTGAGAGACTTAATTTAGGATGTTGATTTTGAGGACATTTGTTTAAGATGTAAACAGGCTCAAAACATTTGATTAAAACAGAATCACAGGTTATTGTAAAATAAGTCATACATTTAACCAAGAGTGATAAGTGATAATTAAAAAACCTCAAAGGCAATACAGAAAGTTAAATGGATGTAAAAACTGTAACCCTTTTAAATATCAGATGGTTTTTTGTTTTTTAAGACGGAGTTTCGCTTTTGTTGCGCAGGCCTGAGTGCAATGGCATGATCTTGGCTTACCGCAACCTCCGCCTCCCAGTGTTACAGGGTGAGTCTTTGTTCTTAGAACTCCCAAGATGGTGGCGGCTGCTCCCAAGATGGTGGCGGCCACTCCCAAGATGGCAGCAAGACTTTTGTTCTCTGACTTGGGGTTCTTTTCCTCATGGATAACAAGGAATAGAACCTTGGGCCATGCGGTGAGTGTTATAGCTCTATTAGAAGCCATGGGTCATGGAAGAGAACCATGGAGCCCAGCAACTAGTGTTCAGCTCATTTAGGACGAACCTGGGCACTTAGCCATGCAGGAACAATGACTTTAGCCTGATCGGGAGCAGCAATGGGCGCCTTGCTGGGTGGATCAGGAGCTCAGCCGACACCCTGCCGGATCCGGAGGGGTGGGAGTCAACAGCGGGTCTGCGACGGCGGCACTCAGCAGTGGTGGATGGCGAGAGAAAGCTCAGCTCGAGCCGGAACAAACACGGACCAGAAGAGTGTGCAGTTGCAAGATTTAATAGAGTGAAAACAGAGCCCCCATACAATGGGAGGGGACCCAAAGGGGGTTGCCCCTACCGGCTCGAATGCTGGGGGTTTATATCCCGATCATTGTCCCTCCCTGTGTGCTCTCAGGCGATACATGATTTGACTATTTCTTTACCTCCTGCTTTTAGCCTAATTTGTATTTTAGTGAGCCCTCTTTACTACCTAATTGGTCAGGTGTGAGCTGAGTTACAAGCCCCGTGTTTAACGGTGAGTGCGGTCGCCTTCCCCAGCTAGGCTTAGGAATTCTTAGTCAGCCTAGGAAATCCAGCTAGTCCTCTCTCACCAGGTTCAAGCGATTCTCCTGCCTCAGCTCCCAAGTAGCTGGGATTACAGGCATGCACCACCATGCCCGGCTACTTTTGTATTTTTAGTAAGAGACAGGGTTTCTCCATGTTGGTCAGGCTGGTCTCGAACTCCCAACCTCAGGTAATCTGCCCGCCTCGGTCTCCCAAAGTGTTGGGATTACAGGCATGAGCCACTGTGCTGGGCCTGTTTTGTTTTTTGTTTGTTTGTTTTAGCAATCAAAAACCTAATAAAGACAGCATAGGAATGATAAAATCTTATTTCTTAAGCCGGTTACCAAAAAGACAAAGAAAAACCTATTGCAGCGTGACTGCTTCTACTTATGGGAAGCCCATTTAGATAACCTGGAAGTCAAACTTGATAAAAGTGCTTGAATTTAATCAGACACAGAAAGAGTGTGTTCAAGGTTATGAGGATAGCAGGGGGAATACATGACTCTAAGGAATAGTATGAAAAGTTTTCTGACGGATGTGGTGGCTCACACCTGTAATCCCAGCACTTTGGGAGGCCAAGGCTGGCGGATCACAAGGTCAGGAGATCGAGACCATCCTGGCTAACATGGTGAAAACCCGTCTCTACTAAAAATACAAAAACTTAGCTGGGCGTGGTGGCGGGCGCCTGTAGTCCCAGCTACTCAGGAGGCTGAGACAGGAGAATGGCATGAACCCAGGAGGCAGAGCTTGCAGTGAGCCAAGATCACGCCACTGCACTCCAGCCTGGGCGACAGAGTGAGACTCTGTCTCAAAAAAAAGAAAAAAGAGAAAGAAAAGAAGAGTTTTCTGATTACATTGAAAATTTTGGCATATCAAGAAAAGCCAAAAGTACAGAATCAGGTTATGCTACAGGAAAACATTGCTTTTCTAGACCTTCAAGATAATACATTTTAGCATCAGGTCATAATAGTTAGAATTAGAGGAAATGAAAGAAAGTTACAGGAGCTGGCAAAAAAGCTGAAGGAAAGATCATCTCAGGCCTTCTCAAGCAGAAAAAAAGCTGAGAGCAGCAAAACTTGGCAAAAGTTGAACTTCTGAGATGTGATTCTGAGTTTTTAAAAGAAATAGGCAGGCTGGGCGCAGTGGCTCACACCTGTAATCCCAGCACTTTGGGAGGTCGAGGCAGGCAGATCACCTGAGGTCGAGAGTTCGAGATCAGCCTGACCAACATGGAGAAACCCCATCTTTAATAAAAATACAAAATGAGCCGGGCGTAGTGGCGTATGCCTGTAATCCCAGCTACTCGGGAGGCTGAGGCAGAAGAATCACTTGAACCTGGGAGGTGGAGGTTGTGGTGAGTCGAGATCGCACCATTGCACTCCAGCCTGGGCAACAAGAGCAAAACTCCATTTCCAAAAAAAAAAAAAAACATAGGCCAGGCACAGTGGCTCACGCCTGTAATCCCACTTCAGCAGTCTGAGGCGGGGGGATCACTTGAGGCCAGGAGTTTAAGACCAGCCTGACCAACATGGTAAAACCTCGTCTCTACTAAAAGTACAAAATTTAGCCAGGCGTGATGGTGCATGCCTGTAATCCCAGTTACTCGGTAGGCTGAGGCAGGAGAATCGCTTGAACCTGGGAGGTGGAGGTTGCAGTGAGCTGAGATCATGCCACTGCACTCCAGCCTGGGCAACAAGAGCGAGACTCCATCTCAAAATAAATAAATAAATAAAATTTTTTTTAATTAAAAATTTTTAATTTTAATTTTAATTACAGGTGTGGTGGCTCACGCCTGTAATCCCAGTACTTTGGGAGGCTGAGGCAGGAGAATTGCTTGAACCTGGGAGGCGGAGGCTGCAGTGAGCCAAGACTGTGCCACTGCACTCCAGCCTGGGCAACACAGCGAGATTCTGTCTCTAAAAAAATAAATAATATAAATAAAGGAAATAGATTATAAAATTGAAAGTAAAATTTTTTCTAATTTCAGTAAGAGCAAATCAATACCTTAGGAAAATCTTGTTTTAATATAGGGGACCAATCTTAAAAGACTATTATAAATAATTCCCTTTAAATTATAGCTAACTATGTGTGGTGCAACGCAGGGTGAACTCGAATGTGTTTCAGGTGACTTAAACCCTCTTTTTTTTTTTTTTTTTTTTGAGACGAATTCTCGTTCTGTCACTCAGGCTGGAGTGCAGTGGCGTGATCTTGGCTCACTGCAAACTCCACCTTCCAGGTTAAAGTGATTCTCCTGCCTCAGCCTCCTGAGTAGTTGGGACTACAAGTGTGTTCCACCACGCCTGGCTAATTTTTGTATTTTTAGTAGAGATGGGGTTTCACCACGTTGGCCAGGCTGGTTTCAAACTCCTGACCTCATGATCCACCCGCCTCGGCTTCCCAAAGTGCTGGGATTACAGGCGTGAGCCACCGCACCTGGCCAACCCTTCTTGTCTTATGCTAAATTTTTCCCTTACCCTATTCAGCTGAGGACAAGAGAAACTCACCCAGCCTCCAGTTCTATCATTACAGTTCATGGCTATCACTCTCGTGGAATGGGAAGCATGGGAAAGCGCAGACTTATCAAATTATAAGGATGCTAAAAGTCGGGGATTATACCCATGAACCAAAGGAAAGCTCAGAGTAGGGCATTGCCTCTGGAAGGAAAACATGCAAAGCAGCACCTGTGCCCACATAAAGTCAGAGATGTCTGACACTCAGATTGGACCCCAAAGGGGGTGCCCCGGGGGATCCTCTGGACCTCAACCTCTCCAAAGGAAACACCCTCGGCAGAGGTTCTGAGGCCTAGTACTAAGCCCTGCTTAGAATTTTCTCTGGCAGTTGCAATACTGTTTGGCCCCAATATTGTTTGGAATCTGGAGTTCGCTGTTGAATGGAAAAGTGGAATGGAGTTGCATGTATCCAGGCTTTTGGGCTGCTGTTTTAAGCAGGGTCAGGACTGGTTAGTATGTGAGGTTCTCTTTGGTGCTGTTCGGCCCCAGTGTTCTTTGGAATCTGGGGAGGTTTGGCCTTTAAATATCAAACTGCCGTGAAAACTGCTTTACCTGAAATTTTGGTTCACAGCATTGTATTACCTATTGGGGCAAACAAAGTAAAACTGGCAAGCCTATATTGCTATCTCATGGCTAGCATTCCAAGCTATCGGATCTTTGTGTGTGTGTGTGTGTGTGTATACATGTCTAGATGTGGTTATTTGTATGTACACTTATTGTTATATGATGTCTACCAAGTTGACATAAGTAAAAGAGCACTCATATATTAAGTAAATAAATCTAAGCAATTTCAAATTCATGTGACTTAAGTATAATTTACTAAACAAGTTTGTTTTAAAATTATTGATAAAATAAAAATAGGTATGCCTTCAGAACTGTCAGCATACATGTTGGTCTGGATTTTATGTTTGTCTTTGCTAGATACTTTGAGATGTCAGTGTTTGGCATAGAAGGTTATAAAACTATAACCCAGCCAAAACAAAATGATCTTGGTTTGAGTGCCTTTTTTTTTTTTTTTTTTTGACAAATGAGAGTAATTTAATATTATTTGCTAAATCTTCTGAGTTACTGGTAAAAATACCAATGTATTTAACTTTGAGGCTCTTACTTAGGTTTAGGTGAGCACCTGATGTTCACTGGCTATTGAAAACATGGTTAACAAGGAAACAACTAACTTTAAATGATAATGTCTAATACCTCAGTTTACAGAAGTAATCTAGATAAACTGTTAAAAAAGTAAAAGAATTAGCCAGGCACAGTGGCTCACACCTGTAATCCCGGCAATTTAGGAGGCCTAGGTGGGCAGATCACTTGAGGTCAGGTGTTTGAGACCAGCCATAGTGAAACCTTGTCTCTACTAAAGATACAAAAATTAGCCAGGCGCGATGGCTAGGCGCGTGTAATGCCAGCTACTCAGGAGGCTGAGGCAGGAGAATTGCTCAAACCTGGGAGGTGGAGGTAGCAGTCAGCCAAGGCCATACAACTGCACTCCAGCCTGGGCAACAGAGTGAGACGCTGTCTCAAAAAAAAAAACAAAAAACAAAAAGGGGAATGAACTGAGTGCAGTGAATGGAATAAATGTTTTAGGGAAACTTTTTATGTAAATTAAAATCTTAAAATTATTTGGGTTGTTCATTGAATATCTGGGTCATTTCCAATTAAGAAAGGTTTGTGATATGGGGAAATATGTATAATTGTATAATTGTTCTTATCTAAAAATGCCCATATCTGATAGTTCAGGATTTCTTGCTTTTTAGGATTTCATTAAAGTTTTAGGTTACTAAGGATAAGAATTCTAGTTAACACATAATTCTGTATACAAAATGTGCCTGAAAAAGTTGTGTTGTTTATGAGAAAAAGAATAATTTTGTCTAATTCAGAAGTTATCTAAAAGACAATCCTAAGCAAAAAGAACAAAGCTGGAGGCATCACGCTACCTGACTTCAAACTATACTACAAGGCTACAGTAACCAAAACAGCATGGTACTGGTACCAAAACAGATATATAGACCAATGGAACAGAACAGAGGCCTCAGAAATAACACCACACATCTGCAACCATCTGATCTTTGACAAACCTGACAAAAACAAGCAACGGGGAAAGGATCTCCTAGTAAGTAAATTATGCTGGGAAAACTGGCTAGCCATATGTAGAAAGCTGAAACTGGATCCCTTCCTTACACGGTATACAAAAATTAACTCAAGATGGATTAAAGACTTAAACGTAAGACCTAACACCATAAAAACCCTAGAAGAAAACTGAGGCAATACCATTAAGGACATAGGCATGGGCAAAGACTTCATGACTAAAACACCAAAAGCAATGGCAACAAAAGCCAAAATAGACAAATGGGATCTAATTAAACTAAAGAGCTTCTGCACAGCAAAAGAAACTATCATCAGAGTGAACAGGCAACCTACAGAATGGGAGAAAATCTTTTCAATCTACCCATCTGACAAAGGGCTAATATCCAGAATCTACAAATAAACAAATTTACAAGAAAAAAACAACCCCATCAAAAAGTGGGCAAAGGATAGGAACAGACACTTCTCAAAAGAAGACATTTATGCAGCCAACAGACATATGAAAAAATGCTCATCATTACTGGTCATCAGAGAAATGCAAATCAAAACCACGATGAGATACCATCTCACACCAGTTAGAATGGTGATCATTAAAAAGTCAGGAAACAACAGATGCTGGAGAGGATATGGAGAAATAGGAATGCTTTTACACTTTTGGTGGGAGTGTAAATTAGGTCAACCATTGTGGAAGACAGTGTGGTGATTCCTCAAGAATCTAGAACTAGATATACCATTTTACCCAGCAATCCTATTACTGTATATACCCAAATGATTATAAATTTTGCTACTATAAAGATACACGCACACGTATGTTTATTGCAGGACTATTCACAATAGCAGAGACTTGGAACCAACCCAAATGTCCATCAATGATAGACTGGATTAAGAAAATGTGGCACATATACACCATGGCATACTATGCAGCCATAAAAAAGGATGAGTTCATGTCCTTTGCAGGGACATGGATGAAGCTGGAAACAATCATTCTCAGCAAACTCTCACAAGGACAGAAAACCAAACACCTCATGTTCGCACTCATAGGTGGGAATTGAACAATGAGAACACTTGGACACAGGGCGGGGAACATCACACCCCAGGGCCTGTCAGGTGGTAGGGGGCTGGGGGAGGGATAGCGTTAGGAGAAATACCTAATGTAAATGATGAGTTGATGGGTGCAGCAAACCAACATGGCACATGTATACCTATGTATCAAACCTGCACGTTGTGCACATGTACCCTAGAACTTAAAGTATAATAATAATAAAAAAGACACATGCACACGTATGTTTATTGCAGCACTATTCACAATAGCAAAGACTTGGAACCAACCCACATGTCCATCAATGATAGACTGGATTAAGAAAATGTGGCACATATACACCATGGAATACTATGCAGCCATAAGAAAGGATGAGTTCATGTCCTTTGCAGGGACATGGATGAAGCTGGAAACCATCATTCTGAGCAAACTATCACAAGTTCTCACTCATAGGTGGGAGTTGATCAACGAGAACACATGGGCACAGGGAGGGGAACGTCACACAACAGGGCCTGTCGGTGGGTGGTGGCCTGGGGGAGGGATAGCATTAGGAGAAATACCTAATGTAAATGACGCGTTGATGGATGCAGCAAACCAACATGGCACATGTATACCTATGTAACAAACCTGCACGTTGTGCACATGTACCCTAGAACTTAAAGTATAATTAAAAAAAAAAAAGAAAAGGTTATTTATGAAACAATGTAGTAAGGAACCAGTAAGTAGGGGAGAGAAATGTGAAAAAAAAAAGTTTAGATAATAAAATATTCCTTAAAACCTGATAGAAAATTGGAGAAATTTGACTAATTAACATTTCATAGTTAGAGCTCTTAGTCTTGCCTAAAGTAAAATAAGAAATATAAGTATATTTTTTAATATACTTAAGCATGAAGCTGGTTAAGTATGGAGCTAAATTTCACATACATGCATGCATTGCTTCACACCGTTTACTGTTTTGCATGGATAGTGCTGGCACTGGAGTACTTATTGGTCATGTGCCTAGAGTGAATTTCTTGATTGTACAGGATGTATGATGATATTGGTGGACTTAAGGATATTGAATGGTGTATCAGGAATAAAATATTCATTATATGGGTGTTTGGGGGCCCTGAGTAACACTGTAGCCTCCAGGGTAGATTGAGTAGGAAAAATTTAGGGTGGGGTTCCTGTTTGTTTTTGCTTCTAATTTTCATTTGTTTGCTGTTTATTCTCCTCCAGGCTTTGCTTGTGGTCGCATAAATAGAAAACCATTTTTTTGTTTGTTGTTTTAGTTTCTAGTGGAAGGCTTTTATTTGGTTCTGTGAATAGTTATTTTATTTTCTATGCATTTCTACCAAGTCATCATTTGTTCCATTTATCTGGAATTCCTAGGCTACCTTTGTTGAGCTCACAGGAATTGGTGGAGCACACTAAGCTTTTTAACCTTAAACTAACTTTTTGGATATTAGGCTTCCTGATACTTTAAGTATATTGAGTATACTTTTGTAAATAGAACTTGAGTCATATTTCTCTCTCTCTGCCTAATTTCTTCAAAATTTGTAAATTGTTTGTGAATATTCTTAATTCATAGCAATGTGTTTGTTTGCATACAGTTGAGCAGGGTCACTAGGGCTGCTCATGGAGAGAGAACTCAAGAAAGCTGACATGCCGGCAAAAGGGTAAGAATTTCTTACCAGTTGGACTTCTGGCCCCTCTTTGTGCAAACTGGTTGAATGAATGGTAAAATATAATGAGAAGGCATGAGAATGTTAATTTTTATAAACATTTAACAAGCTTCCCAAAATCAAATTGCAGCTTCAAAATTGTCTTTTCTGACCTCAAACTTTGAGATGCTACAGCAGGCCCGTGAACCATCCAAAAGAGAGGTAAACAGGATTATTTGATATGTTTAGTTACATGGGAAGCATTGTGAAAATAAAAAATAATGTTTAATCATCTTCAGGTTATATATTAGTGAATGATATTAATATATGTTCCAGAATTGTATGGAATTTCTAAAATTCTAATATGTCTGAGTATATGCTATCAATCATAATTATTGTGTTATTGTAGACCACAGAAATAACCAAATCTCCTTGTCAATAGTGTTTTTAACTATCACTATTTAAAGTCATTTGAACTCCATGGTCTAAGTCAAATCAGCTATGAAAACCCATTAGTTATCAGTGCTATGCACCTAAATTGGAGAAACAACTGGTATTCAAGAGGACATAAGTCCAGTGTTAAGCATGGACTCATGGAAAACCAAGATGGCCACCTTGTTCTTCCTGAGTCCTTAAAGCTTTTGTTATTAAAGTTTCTGCATTCCGTGACTCATCATGGAAAAGATAAAATGATCCAGATTAAATATATACTGGTTTGCTGACTTATAAATTGCTAAAATAGTTTATAACCAATGTTTGGTTTACAATCAAAGCTTCAGGTACATTTGGCTACCTGATGGGCCATTTAAACATTTAAATTGTCATTTTATTTATTTATTTTTTTTTTTTTGAGATGGAGACTCGCCTGTTGCCAGGCTGGAGTGCAGTGGTGCAAGCTCAGCTCACTGCAACCTCCACCTCCCAGGTTCAAGTGATTCTCCTGCCTCAGCCTCCTGAGTAGCTGGGATTACAGGCATGTGCCACCACGCCGGGCTAATTTTTGTATTTTTATTAGAGACAGGGTTTCACCATGTTGATCAGGCTGGTCTCAAACTCCTGACCTTGTGATCTGCCCACAATGGCCTCCCAAAGTGCGGGGATTACAGGTGTGAGCCACTGCACCCAACCATCATCCTTCATTTACATAGGGCATACACCAGGTAACCAATGCAAACCTCTAGAGGGTATTGAAATCCCAGAAAATTCTGTAACTGGTCCCTTGAGCCACTTGCTCAGGCCTGCTCCCACCCTGTGGAGTGTGCTTTCATTTTCAATAAATCTCTGCTTTTGCTACTTCATTCTTTCCTTGCTTTGTTTTGCATTTTCAATTCTTTGGTCAAAACGCCAAGAACCTGGACACCGTCCACCCATAACAGTTTCGCTAGTTGCATGTGATTGTAAGACAAATAAAAATGATGTTGTGGGCTGGGTGCGGTGGCTCACGCCTGTAATCCCAGCACTTTGGGAGGCCGAGGCGGGTGGATCACAGGGTCAGGAGATCAAGACCATCCTGGCTAACACGGTGAAACGCCATCTCTACCAAAAATACAAAGAATTAGCCAGGCGTGGTGGCGGGCGCTTGTAGTCCCAGCTACTCGGGAGGCTGAGGCAGGAGAATGGTGTGAACCCGGGAGGCGGACTTGCAGTGAGCTGAGATCGCGCCACTGCATTCCAGCCTGGTCGACAGAGCCAGACTCCGTCTCAAAAAATAAAAATTAAAAAAAAAAAAAGATGTTGAGGCAGGAGTATAGGGCCTGAAGGCAGGGAACCTAAAGACTTTCTAGAACTAAATCAAATGGAAACACTTCAGCTATGACAGGAAATATTCTCTTCATTTACATAGGGTGTACACTGAGTAAATGACTTCGTAACTTCACTTCGTCCTCTTCATTTACATAGGGCGTACACCCAGTAACCAATGGGAAACCTCTAGAGGGTATTGAAACCCCAGAAAATTCTGTAACAAGGTCCCTTGGGCCTCTTTCTTGGGCCCACTCCCACCGTGTGGAGTGTCTTTTCGTTTTCAATAAATATTCGCTTCTGTTGCTTTGTTTTTCCCTTGCTTTGTGTGTTTCGTCCAATTCTTTGTTCAAAACGCCAAGAACCTGGACAACTTGCAGTCCAGACCCTCCTCTAGTAACAATGTTATATAAGTATTTGGTTGATGTTAGAGTAATCACTGGATGGGTTCTTCCTGCCTGCTGCACAAACAAAATCAATTCAGGAAGACCACAGCATTGCAGTAAGGAAAGAGTTTAATTGATGTGAGGCTGGCCACGCCACATGGGACATGGAGTTATTACTCAAATCAATCTCATCGAAGGCTAGTAGGTTAGGGGTTTTTCAAAGGTGGTTTGGTGGGCAGGGGCTAGGGTATGGAAAATGCTGACTGGTTGGGTTGGAGATGAAATCATAGGGGTTGAAGCTATCCTCTTGTACTGAGTTGCTTGTGGGTGGGGCCACAGGAGCTGTTGACTGGTCCAGGTGGAGCCATCAGTGTCAGGCAAACGTGAAAAAATATCTCAAAAGGCCAAACTTAGGTTCTACAATAGTAATGTTACCTGCAGGAGTAAATGGGGAAGTTGTCTATCTGGTGGCTTCCGGAATAATGGCTGGCAATGGTCTATGTTTACACCTTAGCAGAGAGAATTCACACTCCTCTGTCCTCCTAGCCTGGTGGTCTCTCGGTTAGCTTTACAAAGGCAGTTGAGTTTTGGGGAAGGGCTATTATCATTTAAACTATAAACCAAATGTCTCCCAAAGTTAACTTGGCCTAAGCTCAGGAATAATTAAGGGCAGCTAAAGGCAAGATGGGGTTGGTTAAATCAGATCTCTTTGACTGCCATAATTTTCTCACTGTTAGAATTTTTGCAAAGGCTGTTTCATTAGTACCCTACTCATTTAGGTGAAATGAACAATGTGTATTTTATGTGTTCCAGATGTGTATCAATATCACATAACTGTCAGGGAGGGCCCCAGGTATCTGTCCCTGTTCAGAAAGATCATGAAGATGAATACCGCGATGAGGACAGCTTGCCCGTCTCAGCGAACTCAGAACTTGTCCTCAGTAGCCAGCCCCTATGGGCCAAGGGGTTACAAACTTCGACTTGCCGGCAATTACAGCTGTTTTCCATCATTCTCCTTGCTGTACCTTCTGGTGGGAGCAGCATGGGAGTTAATAAAGGGAAAGCGACAAGCGTCTGTAGAGCGCCGGGTGGGGTCTCGGGAGAGGAGGGCTGGGTGGGAAGAGGCGCGGCGGGAGGCGGCGCCCCGGCTCGCATTGGCCCAGCCGGCGTCCCTCCTCTGGAGGAGGCCGGGCGCGCCCGGAAAAGTGGTTTGCCTGACGGCGAGAGGCAGAGGTGCCCTCGGTGATAGAGGAAACATGGCCGAGTATACGCGGCTGCACAACGCCTTGGCGCTAATCCGCCTCCGAAACCCGCCGGTCAACGCGATCAGGTAACGGGCTCGGTCGCCTCCAGCCCGGGGACCGTGCGGGCCTTAGCCGCCCTCTGGCTCCGGAGGCTTTGACTCTCCCCCGTCGGTTTAAACCGAGAAGGACACTCAAGAGTTGAGCAACTGGTACATGCCAGGAACTTTTTTTTTCTTTTCTTTCTTTCTTTTTCTTTTCTTTTTTTTTTTTTTTAACCTAGATTAGCTTGGTTAATCTTCGCAGGGAACTCTCGTCCCCGTTTTACTGATAAGGAAACTGAGGCTGAGGCTGAGACAGATCAACACTTAGGGAGTTGGCCTCGACCTGTCCTTCATGCGGAGCCCTCCTGCTTACTTGCAACTTTGGCTTTGCAGGCCGACTTTTTATTTTTCTTTTTTTTTTTTAATTATACTTTAAGTTTTAGGGTACATGTGCACAACGTGCAGGTTAGTTACATATGTATACATGTGCCATGTTGGTGTGCTGCACCCATTAACTCGTCATTTAATATTAGGTATATCTCCTAATGCTATCCCTCCCCCCTCCCCCCACCCCACAACAGGTCCCAGTGTGCAGGCCGACTTTCTAATCCAAAGGTCTTAACTTAGTTTGATGTTGGACTTTGATCCAGCCTCACTCCCCTTCTTTGAGTCCAGGCTGTCCTTACAATGTTTGGCTAAAGGCTTTAGGAATAGGGCAATCACTGGCATTAGTGGGACTTTTTTTTTTTTTTTTTTTAATGTTAAAAGTCCCACTAATGCCAGCTCAGTGATTAAAGCAGAATTTTGCCCTGGCCCGGAAACGCAAAATTATTTCTCCTGATTTGTTTAAACCTCAGGACTTTGGTGCTTCCAAGGAAGACTCACATCAGACTAAGCCTATGCAATAGCATTTTCTGAAAAATTGCACCTTATCTTCTTTTTCTCACTGGGGAGTATTTGCCTTGTGTGGTGCACTTTAAACATTAAAAAGTGAGATCAATGTTGCCTTTTTGAAAAGTAATGATTATTTGGTTTGGTCCTTCTACATCTCTTAAAAAAATAATTATATGTCAGCCTTGAAAAAGAATTACCTATCCACAGGGAATAAGATTAGTGGAAATTATAATTTATCAAGAATATATAAAGCATAGAGAGAAAGGTCTTTGGTCAAAATTCTTATAACATGCTGCTGAAGCAAAGAGACTGAAATGAGAAGACCTGCTAATTTTAATAGAATTTAAAAATCCTACTGTCATTGGATTTGATTTATCATTAGTATTAATATTAATTCATTATGAATTATTGCATTTAATAATGTCAAAAAATGCAGGACTAAAATCACATAAGGATGACATGTCTACTAACTTGCCATTCCCAGAATAAAAAGCAAAATATCTGTTATATTGGTTTTGACAAAGAAAAATGTAAGTAATATGATTACATGTCAATTTTGGACTGGTCTATATACTGATTAGAATTGCTAGATATTAGGACCTTAGGGGGAAAAGTTCCATACTCTAATACCCATGACTAGGAATATTTTCTGACAACTGTTTTTTTTTTTTCTTTTTTTTTTAAGCTCATTTGCTTGTTTTGAGACGGAGTCTTGCTCTGTCGCCAGGCTGGAGTGCAGTGGCGTGATCTCAGCTCACTGCAACCTCTGCCTCCCGGGTTCAAGTGATTCCCCTGCCTCAGCCTCCCGAGTAGCTGGGACTACAGGTGCGTGCCACCACGCCCAGCTAATTTTTTGTATTTTAGTAGAGACGGGGTTTCACCATGTTGGCCAGGATGGTCTCAATCTCCTGACCTCGTGATCCACCTGCCTCGGCCTCCCAAAGTGCTGGGATTACAGGCATGAGCCACGTGCCCAGCCTCTGACAATTGCTTTTAATATTTCTGGAATTTAACCTGCTCTCCTTGCCCACCCATGCAACCACCTGTGCCACCCCCATCCTCTTTGCAGGAGAAATGTTAGGGCCTACCTCATAAAGTTGTGAAGTTTAAATCAGCTGGAAATTATGAAGTGGCATTTAATAGATGTTAGTTATTCCTATTAGTCAGAAGACCTGTTCAAGCCCCAAAAACAGGCCCTGCTACTCAGGACCCACTTCAGTTTCATCAAGAAGATATTCTCCACTTGGGAATAAGTACTTCTCTGCCCTTTTTTGTCTGTCTTCTGAACTTTTTTAGGTAGAAATGGACATCCTAGGAGTTCCTCAAGTTTAACAGATTCCTCAATTTTTTTCTTACACTTTTTCTTTCCTCCCTTTCTTCCTTTTCCCCTTCCTATTTCTAATTTTATATGGGAAGTCGTCTCCTCCTAGCTGATTGAGAGATTCTTACTTGAGTGTAATACACACACACACACACACACACACACACACATATAAATTTTTTCCCCAAAACAAATAGTTTAAATCCTTCATTGCTAGTTTAGCCAGCCATGTTTGCTTCCATTCAGATAAACACCAGCCCTCTTTATAAGTATAGGACATGCCTGATTAATAGGCCTGTCTCCCAGAACAATGGCTTTCACACGATTGCTTTACTGTAATCCACAGAGTAAGAAAGCTCACGTTTTTACGTAGCAATTCAAGACACACTTACATACAAACACGTAACCGAAAGCAGTTTCCTAAAACAAAACCTATCCTTACTTGGTATATTGTTTGATATAGTCTATTTTCTCATCTCTTCTTTTTCTTTGAAAAAATCCTGGTCACAAGCCACAAACTTGATTTGATGACTTTTGGTTTAAAAAAAAAAACTGTCTAAAAAAAAAAGGAAAGACCTTCTATAGTCAAAGAAGCTGAAGAGTTTTGGTCAGTAGTCATGAAATGCTGTCTCTACTCCAGACTCTATTTCTTCATGCCTGACAGTATTAACAGGAGAAAATAATTTCATAACTTCTGCGGCCTTTACATTGCTATGACTCTCTCTGTCAGCTTGAATCTAGTAAAGTGCGTATCTGTTATAGCTATTTTCATTTTTTTCCTGTTTTTGATATTTGCAAAATTATGAACATAAAAAAGGAAGATAGGTTGAAATGGGAAAAGCTGGTTTCTTCTCCTCAGTGGCACTGATTGAGCTAATTTTGGCTAGTTTTGTAAGCATTGTTTATTCAGAAGGAAATGTGTGCCTTTTGGACTTTTTGATGTTATATAATGGTTCTGAATTTGCTTTTCATGGTCAGATTTGGCTTCTAATTAACCAGCTGAAGCCAAGAGGTTTTGTCTGATTTCATCTAGGTTAAGAGGTGAAAAGTAATTAGGTGTAAGGGAATCATTATAAATAAGGGCAAGTATCCTTTTTATTTCTTGGGGTTTTAACTAATAGTTGTTGGTCTTAACAATATGGCCTTTACAGAAGTTTGTTGTTGTTTGTTTTGTTTTAAAATTTATTTTTAACCCTGTGTACTAAAGAACAGAGATTTTACTCAGAATACTTGGAATTCCAAGGCAAAACTGATTGGAATCTGGTTCTGTGGTTTTTCCTTTTAAGCAGTTCCTCACCACTTGCCCTAGATTCTCTTATTGCTTGGTACTTATTAATCCCCTCCTTCTTCACAAATTTTCTCTCTTGGTCTTTGTGACTTTGAGCTCACTTGCTGAATCACTCTGCTGAGCTTGTCCCACTTCTTAAATGAAGATATATCCAGAGGATCTGCCCTCAGCTCTCTTTTCCTTTGGTAGACTCATTCAGTCTTGGTTTTAGCTATCTCTTCTGCAGATGACTTCCTCATATATTAAAACTTGGCAAAATCTGCTACATGCCCTATCTTTCCACTATCTTGCCTTTATATCTTATCTTAGTTAAGATTACGCTTGGCTGTCACTGACAGAATAGTGAAGATAATAGTGAATTAGACAATAAAAAGCTAATTTCTCTCACAGCAGTGCCCTGGAATGATACAGCTGCTCCACAATCAACAGGGGCCTCAATTATTTTCTCTGTCTATCTCTTGCTCTACCATCCTCAATACATAGCTTCTACCTCCTGATCCAAGGTGGCTGCTCCTGATCTAACCATCACTGGTGCCAGGAATAGGGAGGAAAGAAAAAGGGAAAAGCATACCCAAATCTTTAAGAACTCTTCCCCAAAGTTGCATATACCAAATATGCTTCCATCCCATTGGCTAGAACTTAGTTCCTTGTGCAGACCTTACTGTAAAGCAGGCTGGAAAATATAGTCTTTATTTTGGGCAACCATATTTTTGTGTTAGTCCATTTTCACACTGCTATAAAGACATATCCGAGACTGGGTAATTTATAAAGGAAGGAGGCTTAATTGATCACAGTTCCACATGGCTGGGGAAGCCTGGGGAAACTTACAATCATGGTGGAAGGCAAAGGAGAAGCAAGTACCTTCTTCACAAGGTGGCAGGAGAGAGGCATGAGTGCAGGGGAAACTGCAACTTATAAACCACTAGATCTCCTGAGAATTCCCTCACAGAACAGCAGCAGGGGGAAACCACTGGCATGATCCAATCAACTCCCGCTAGGTCCCTCCCTGACGTGGGGATCACAGTTTGAAATGAAGTTTTGGTGGGGATAAAGAGCCAAACCAGGCTGGGCGCGGTGGCTCACACCTGTAATCCCAGCACTTTGGGAGGCCGAGGTGGGTGGATCACGAGCTCAAGAGATCGAGAACATCCTGGTTAACACGGTGAAACCCCGTCTCTACTAAAAATACAAAAAATTAGCCGGACGTGGTGGCGGGCGCCTGTAGTCCCAGCTACTCAGGAGGCTGAGTCAGGAGAATGGCGTGAACCCGGGAGGCAGAGCTTGCAGTGAGCCCAGATCGCGCCACTGCACTCCAGCCTGGGTGACAGAGCAAGACTCCATTTCAAAAAAAAAAGAGCCAAACCATATCACATATATTCAAGTAAAAACCAAGTGTTTTAATACTATGAAGACGATGGAGAGGAATGGATATTTGAGGTAACTCACAGCCCCCGCCACAGCTCCTAGACTGTTTCTCATTTAATTTTCTTATATTTTAACAATATGAAAAACTGAAAGTAATTTCACCCTTCTCTGAACTTCAACATCACTTTTTCTTTGTACCTTTATTACAGCACTCAGATATCTTAGTGTGCCTTACATGATAAATTATGTACAAGTATTGGATAACTCCTTGTACAATATATAGAAGACATGTAATAATATTTTTAAATTGGTTGGTGTCAATTTTAAGCGGTCAAAGTGAAAGCACAGTGCAGGAAAATTACATTTTTAAAAAGTGGATTAATTTAATCTGGTCAGTGCTTAATTAATCATAGGCATATATATTATTTGTAGAAGAAATTTAATAGTCATAGTAGACATATTATTTGTTGGAAGCTTTATTGAGAAGTATCTACAGTTTTTATCCATTATGTGTGTGTTTAATTTTTCATTTTTAGGAAAGGAAAACACTCTGAATGGTAGGAATTTAATTCTGACTGATTTACTTCATGTATTTTGTTTTCTTTTAGTACGACTTTACTCCGTGACATAAAAGAAGGACTACAGAAAGCTGTAATAGACCATACAATAAAAGCCATTGTGATTTGTGGAGCAGAGGGCAAATTTTCTGCAGGTAACTCAAGTCTAACCCTCTCCCACCATCTCTGGAATCCAGCCACAGACTGAGACCAATACTGCATTAGCTGTGCTTGTTGGTAATAACTTAGTGTAGGTAATGGATATGGCAGACTTGAGTGAGAATGAGTAACACTGTGGAGAAAGGGACAGGAATTACAAGAGAGACCCAGAGAAGGGCTTAGTCTCTTTTATTGTGGATTGGGCTTTTAGAGTATATTTAGTTCCAGACTTGATGGCTGTTATACACCTGCTGATATATACCTGCATTGCATGTATCTCCACCATATGTGGGCTTGGGCAAATCTCTTTAACTTCCTGAACCTCAATTTCTCTATCTATAAAGTGGGAACAATAATATCTATTTTAAGGGGTTTTTGTGACATTAAGCGAGATAACATATCTGAAAGCCTCTACTACAGTACCTACACAAAGAAGATGGTCAATAAATGTTATTGTTTAATTCACACAGAGTCTTATAATAGAATTCATTTTTCTTCCGATAGTCACCCATCTCAGTGACCATGGCACTGCTTTATTGGGTTATTGTGTGAAGATGCAAAATTATTGACAAAATATGGCAAAAGTATGCTGAAATGGTGATTTATTCAATGGCATATATGGCGTCTTTTCCTTAATATTCATACATTATACCCTTTGACAAAAGTCACATGGATATGGGGGCCTATTCAACCTTACTGTAGCCAGAGAAATTTAATATGTGTTAATGGTAGTCTGAAAAGACACAGATGTTAGAATCATGGCAATAAATAAATATAAAAATGTGAATCATTATAATATTACCATTTATCTTGCCTGTTATATGCCAGTACCATGTAGGTTATTTATTAAATAATAATAATAAAAATAATAGTATTTTTAAACATGTTATATGTTAATTCTCAGTTAGTCCTACAATCCTCATTTACAGGTAAGAAGAGATTTTGAGCCTGGGAGAGATTAATATAATGTCCCAAACCTTAACCAGTTATTAAATGGCTTACTCACTGTTTGGAAATTTAAGGTTTGTCACCCAAGATGATGACGATGATGCATGGGAAGAGTGCTCAGAATGATAAAGAACTTGATATTTCTTTGTAAGAAAGAAGGTAGATGAGAGAATGTAATTAGAGTTTGGAGGCAGAAAAAATTATTCTTCTAAAAAAGTATTAGGGATTATGAAACTTGACTTAATACATTTACATAGAACAATGCACCCCAAAATGGGAGAATATACATTCTTCTGAAATACATCTGGAACATTTACAAAAATTGACCAGATACTGAATTATAAAATCTTATCTAAATAAATTTCATTAAGAATACATTATCTGACAACAATGCAATTAAGCTAGAAATCAATAACAAAAATATAACTAGTAATTCTCATATGTTTGGAAGTTAATTTCCAATATCCTCTGAGTAAAAACAGAAATAATGGAATTTAGAAAAAATTTGGAACTGAATGGCAATGAAAACATAATATAAAACTTGAGGGATGCAGCTAAAGTAAAACTTATCAGAAAATTTATAGCTTTAAAAATATATATTAGAAAAGAAAAATGGCTGAAATATAATGAGTTAAGTATTTATGTAAAGGAACTGACAAACTAACCGTAAAATACACCCTAATCAAGTAGAAGAAAGGAAATAATAAAGAGGAGAAATTAATGAAATAGAAAACATTTGAATCAAGAGGAACAACAATGTTAGTTTTTTGAGACTAATACAATTGACAAACTCTGGAGAGATTGAAGGAGAAGAGAAGGCACCAAGCAATGCATATAAAGAATGATGAAAGGGATATCATTGCAGATACTGTAGCCTTTAAGAAAGATAATGGCCCTTTGGCTGATGCAAGAGCCTAGTGCGGTGGTGGGAGAGGTATCAGCAGGAGCAGCGCTGCCACGGGGCCTGGGGGCTGACCTGTCTGACTTCCCATCCATGCGGAGCCCACTGGAATCGCATCCATATCTGGAGATGAGATGATTTTTGATCCTACTGTGAGCAAGAAGAAAAGAAGAAGAAGAAGCCTTTTATGTTAGATGAGGAAGGGGATACTCAAACAGGAAACGCAGCCCTCAGAAACAAAAGTCTGGAGCCAGAGCCAACTGAGGACAAAGATTTGGAAGCTGACAATGAGGACAGTAGGAAAAACGATGCTTCTGATGATCTAGATGACTTGAACTTCTTTAATCAAAAGAAAAAGAAAAAAAAACAAAAAAGATATTTGATATTGATGAAGCTGAAGAAGTTGTAAAGGATCTTAAGATTGAAAGTGATGTTCAAGAACCAGCTGAACCAGAGGATGACCTTGACATTATGCTTGGAATAAAAAGAAGAAAAAGAAGAATGTCAAGTTCCCAGATGAGGATGAACTACTAGAGAAAGATGAAGCTCTAGAAGATGAAGATAGCAAAAAAGATGATGGTATCTCATTCAGTAATCAGACAGGCCCTGCTTGGGCAGGCTCAGAAGGAGACTACACATAAGAGGAGCTGCTGAATTGTGTGTTCAACATCATGAGGGAAAAGAATCCAGATATGGTTGCTGGGGAGAAAAAGAAATTCGTTATGCAACCTCCACAGGTCGTCTGAGTAGGAACCAAGAAAACTTCTTCTGTCAACTTTACAGATATCTGTAAACTATTATATTGTCAGCACACTTGCATTTTTGTTGGTTGAATTGGGTACAAGTGGTTCTATAGATGGTAATAACCAACTTGTAAAGGAAGATTCCAACAAAAACAGATAGAAAATGTCTTAAGATTTATCAAGGAGTATGTCACTTGTCACACATGCTGATCACTGGACACAATCCTGCAGAAGGACATGCAACTCTTATTTCCTACAGTGTGAAACTTGTCATTCTAGATGTTCTGTTGCCAGTATCAAAACTGGCTTCCAGACTGTCATGGGCAAGCGAGCACAGCCCTGTGCCAAAGCTAACTAATTTGCTAATCACTGATTTTTCAAAGCGTGTTGTGGATATGTGGCTAAACCAGTTTGCCATCAGAGTGGATATACCATTGTATTAAAAGCAAGATAAAAAAGCTGCCAAGTTCTTTGGCTAGTGGCTGGTTGGTGTGAAATCCTTGCAAGATGCTGATGCTCAAGCTGTTGACATATGTATAGACTACTTTAACAACTGTCAGAGAAACATGATATGGGGTAAAGAGGTGCTTTTTTAAAATCGTTCATAGACTTCTGTAAAATACAAGATAAATTAAAGTTATTGTAACAGTGAAAAAAGAAAGATAATGAAAATATTATGAACATGTAAAAAAAATAGCTTCTCAAAATTAACTCAAGAAGAAATAGAAAACCCAAATAGTTCTGTAATCATTAAAGAAATTCAATCAGTAATCAGAAATCTCACCAAGTAAATACTTGACCCTGAAGACTCCACTGGCAAGGTCTACTGTAAAGTCAAGGAAAATATTCCAATTTTACATAAACATTTCAGAGAATCAAAAAAGTGGGGCCACTTTCTCTATTAGTTTCTTAGAGCACCATAACAAATTGCCACAAACCAAGTGGCTTAAAACAACAGAAATCTATTCTCTCATTGCTCTGGAGGATAGAAGTTTGTAATCAAGATATCAGCAGGGTCATTCTTCTTCTGTTTTCTTTAGGGAAGAATCCTTCCTTGCCTCTTCTAGCTTCTTATGGTTTCTAGCAATCCTTGGCCTATGGATGCATCACTCCAGTCTCACTTTAATCACATGGCTTTCTTTCCTCCATGTCTAAATTTTCCTGATCTTCTATAGGCCCACCCTAACTCAGCATGACCTCATCTTAATTTGATAACATCTGCGAAGACCTTCTTTCCAAATGTCACACTCACAGCTTCTGGGTAAACACTATTCAACTCAGTACACTTCCCAACTCATTTTTTGAGGCAGCATACCCTTGATACTAACACCTGACAAGGACAGTATGGAAAAGAAAAATTACAGGCTAATTTCATTTATAAATGTAGATATAAAAATCGTAGTGTAAATTGAGACAACAAAGCAACTAGGTAACAATATTATGACGGAAACAAACCCTCATATATCAATATTAACCCTGAACATAAATGGCCTAAATCCTCCACTTAAACATATAGACAGGCAAATTGGATTAAAAAACAAAACCTGATCGTTTTCTGCCCACAAGTGACACCCTTTGGTAAAAACACCCACAAACTCAATGGAGTGGAAAAAGATACACTGTGCAAACACAAAACAAAAATGAGCAGTAGTAGCTATATTTACATCAGATAAAGCAGATTTTAAATCAACAACAGTAAAAAGACAAAGAATGTATTATATAATAATAAAGGGTTCAATACAAGGAGAAGATATAGCTGTCTTAAATATATATGCATCCCAAAATGGACAACTCAGATTTATAAAACAAATACTACTCAACCTAATAAAAGAGATAGACAGCTATACAATAATAAGGGAGGACTTCAAAACCCCGCTGACAGCACTAGACAGATGATTAAGGCAGAAAATCAACAAAGAAACTATGGACTTAAACTAGACTTTAGACCAAATGGACCTAATAGACACACTTATAGAACATTCTATGCAATAACCGCAAAATACACATTTTTCTATTTGTGCATGGGACATTCTGTGCATGGAACGTTCTCCAAAATAAATCATATGCTTGGCCATAAATCAAATCTCAACAAATTCAAAAAAATCTAAATCATATCAAGTATCGTTTCATATTATAGTGGAATAAAAGTAGAAATCAGTAGCAAGAGGAACTCTCAAAACTCTACAAATACATGGGAACTAAACAACTTGCTCCTGAATGTTCATTAGGTAAATGAGGAAATCAAGGCAGAAATTTTTTTAAAATATAGAAAGATCTTAAAGTCACAACCTAATGTTGCACCTCAAGGAACTAGAAAAACAAGAAAAAAACCAAACCCAGAGCTAGCAGAAGAAAAGAAATAACAAAGATCTGAGCAGAACTAAATGAGATTAAGACAAAAAAATAATAATGAGGATTAAGGATCATCATGGTGGACGGGACACAGACTAGATTGCAGCTCTGACTTGGATGGACAGAGCAGCATGCAGAGGCTCATGTCGTGAATTTTAGCTCCAGAATGACTACTGGAATAAATCAGGAATCCCAAGAGGACCCACAGACCCTCTGAAGGAAGCAGACTGCTCCTGCAGGACACAGGAGACATCCCAAATACTGTGAGTGCCCAAACTGCGGAAATGGGAGAGGGAGATCCTCCATTCTGGAACACACACCCCCACTGGGGAAACTGGAGGTCTAGTTTGTGGGAGAAGATTCTGACCTTACCTGGAGATGAGTCAATTTAGAGAGCCATGTGAAATACATGGGTGGAGGAAGCAGCAGGAAAGGCCCTGGGAGCTTGCTGGGTCCCCAGGCAGGCCATTCCTGCCTAGCATCACAGAGATCCTTCGAGAGGGTGGCCAGAGGCATGGGGAAAACACCACAGGGAGACGAAAGTCTGCAGCTGAACTTTGTAACAATTTGAACCAGTCTAGAAGCCTCCTGGCCAGAACTCGGGGGAGGGTGGGAATCTGGAGTGCAGACTTCACAGGCAGGGGAAGAACTAAAGCCCTTATGCAGCTGGGAGGTGGGTAGCCTGGGGCAAGTTCTTAGCCCTGCTTGCCCACTGCCTGGAAACAGACTCAGTGCTGTTAGATGGGGAGTGAGACCAGCCCTTTGGATTGTGTGGGAGCTGGGTGAGGCCTGAGTCTGCCAGCTTTCCCCCACTTTCCTTACAACCTGCATGACTCGGCAGAGGCAGCCATAATCCTTTTAGGTACATGACTCCAGTGAAAGTTGAAAAGAGTGTCCTTTCCCCACTTTGTTTTTGTTTGCTTTGTCAAAGATCAGTTGGCTGTAGGTATTTGGGTTTATTTTTTGGGTTCTCTCTTCTGTTCCATTGGTCTATGTGCCTATTTTTATACTAGTACCATGCTGTTTTGGTGACTATGGCCTTATAGTATAGTTTGAAATCAGGTAGTGTGATGCCTCCAGATTTGTTCTTTTTGCTTAGTCTTGCTTTGGCTATGCAGGCTCTTTTTTTGGTTCCATATGAATTTTAGAATTCTTTTTCTAATTCTGTGAAGAATAATGGTGGTATTTTGATGGGGGTTGCATTGAATTTGTAGATTGCTTTTGGCAGCGTGGTCATTTTCACAATATTGATTCTACCCATCCATGAGCATGGGATGTGTTTCCATTTGTTAACATCATCTAAGGTTTCTTTCAGCAGTGTTTTGTTGTTTTCCTTGTAGAGATCTTTTGCTTCCTAAATAGTTTATTTTATTTTTTTGCAGCTATTTTAAAAGGGGATGAGTTATTGATTTGATTCTCTGCTTGGACACAGCTGGGATAATTGGTTAGCCACATGTAGGAGAATGAAATTGGATCCTCATCTCTCACTTTATACAAAAATAACTCAAGATGGATCAAGGACTTAAATATAAAACCTGAAACTATAAAAATTCTAGAAGACAACATTGGAAAAACCCTTCTAGACATTGGCTTAGGCAAGCATTTCATGACCAAGAACCCAAAAGCAAATGCAATAAAAACAAAGATAAATAGTTGGGAGTTAATTAAACTAAAGAGCTTTTGCACAGCAAAAGGAACAGTCAGCAGAGTAAACAGACAACCCACAGAGTGGGGGAAAATCTTCACCATCTATACATCTAACAAAGGACTAATACCCAGACTCTACAACAAACTCAAACATATCAACAAGAAAAAAAAATCCCATTAAAAAGTGGGCTAAGGACATGAATAGACAATTCTCAAAAGAATATACACAATTGGCCAACAAGCATATGAAAAAATGCTCAACATCACTAATGATCAGGGAAATGCAAATCAAAACCACAATGCGATACCACCTTACTCCCGCAAGAATGGTCATAATCAAAAAATCAAAAAACAGTAGATGTTGATGTGGATGCGATGAAAAGGAAACACTTGTACATTGCTGGTGGGAATGTAAACTAGTACAACTACTATGGAAAACAGTGTGGAGATTCCTTAAAGAGCTAAAAGTAGAACTACCATTTGATCCAGCAATCCTACTACTTGGTATCTATGCAGAGGAAAAAAGTCATACGAAAAAGATACTTGCACACACATTTACAGCAACACAATTTGCAGTTGCAAAATTGTGGAACCAACCCAAATGCCCATCAATCAACGAGTGGATAAACAAACTGTGGTATTTTTATACGATGGAATACTACTCAGCCATAAAAAGGAATGAATTAACAGCATTCGCAGCAATCTGGATGAGATTGGAGACTATTATTCTAAGTAAAGTAACTCAGGAATGGAAAACCAAATATTGTACGTTCTCACTGATATGTGGGAGCTAAGCTATGAGGATGCAAAGGCATAAGAATGATACAATGGACTTTGGGGATTTGGGGGGGAAGGGTGGGAGTGGGGCAAGGGATAAAAGACTACAAATACAGTGCAGTATATACTGCTTGGGTGATGGGTGCACCAAAATCTCACAGATCACCACTAAAGAAGTTACTTATGTAACCAAACACCACCTGTACCCCAATAACCTATGGAAAAATAAAAATAAAAACAGAAAAAAGAAATATACTTATGAAAATATTACAAATATAAGTTCGTAATATAGTATAAGAAGATACAAAGGATAAATGAGATGAAAAGTTGGTTCTTTGAAAAGAGAAAAATTTATATACTGCTAGCTAAACTAATCAAAAAGAGAGAAGTTTCAAATAAACACAATTAGAAATTATAAAGGTGACAGTACAGCTGATTCCACAAAAAGACAAAAGATGCTCAGAGACTACTGTGCACATCTCTACATGCATAAACTAGAATACCTAAAAAAAAAAATGGATAAATTCCTGTAAACATACAACCTCCCAAGACTGAATCAGGAAGAAATAGAAATCCTGAACAGACCAATACTGAGTTATGAGATTGAATCAGTAATAAAAAATTTTTTGACCAAAAAAAACCCAAGACCAGATAGATTCACAGCCAAATTTTACCAGATGTGCAAAGAAGAGCTGGTACCAATCTTCCTGAAACTATTCTGAAAAATCAAGGAGGAAAGATTCCTCCCTAAATCATTCTATGAAAGCAGTACCACCTTGATACCAAAATCAGGCAAGGACACAAGAAAAAAAAAAAACAAAAACTAAAGGCCAATATAACTGATGAACATAAATGCTAAAATCATCAGCAAAATACTGTCAAACTAAATCCAATAGCACTTCAAAAAGATATTACATCAATATTAGATGGGCTTTATTGCAGGGTTTCTAGGATGCTTCAGTAACTGTGATTCACCAGATAAACAGAATTAAAAAACAAAATCCATGATCACCTCAATAGATGCAGAAAAAGCATTTGGTAAAATCCAACATCCCTTCATGATAAAACCCCTCAACAAACTAGACATCAAAAAATACCTCAAAATAATAAAAGCTATATACAACAAAACCACAGCCAACATCATACTGAATGAGGAACAGGTGAAAACATTACTCCTGAAAACTGGAACAAGACAAGGATGCCCACTCTCACCACTCCTAGTCAACATAGTACTGGAAGTCCTAGCCAGAGCAATCAGGCAACAGAAAGAAATAAAAGGCATCCAAATTGGAAAAGAGGAAGTCAGATTTCCTGTGTTCATTGATAACATGGTCTTATACTTAGAAAATCCTAACGACTCTTCCAAAAGACTCTTACACTTGATAAATGACTTCAGTAAGTTTCAGGATACAAAATGAATGTACAAAAATCAGTAGCATTCTATACACCAATAACGTTCAAGCTGAGAACCAAATCAAAAACTCAGTCCCATTTACAATAGCCACAAAAAAATAAAATACCTAGGAATACATTTAACCAATGAGGTGAAAGATCTCTACAAGGGGTACTACAAAACACTGATGAAATAAATGATAGATGACACAGACAAATGGAAAAACATCCATGCTCATGCATTGAAAGAATCAATATTGTTAAAATGGACATACTGCCCAAAACAATATACAGATTCAATGCAATTCCTATCAAATTACCAATGTCATTTTTCATGGAATTAGAAAAAACAATCCTAAAATTAATATGGAAACAAAAAAGAGCTCAAATAGCCAAAGCAATCCTAAGAAAAAGAACAAAGCTGGGGGCAACACATTACCTGACTTCATATTATATTATAAGGCTATGGTAACCAAACCAGCATGGTACTGATACAAAAATAGACACATAGACCAGTGGAACAGAATAGAGAACCCAGAAATAAAACCGCATACCTACACCAACTGATCTTCAATAAAGTCAACAAAAATATGCAATGGGAAAGGATATGCTGTTCAATAAATGGTGCTGGGAAAATTGGAGAGCCATATGCAGAAGAATGAAGCTGGACCCCTATCTTTCACCATATACAAAAATTAATTGAGGATGGATTAAAGACTTATGTGTAAGATCTAAAATCATAAAAATTCCTGGATGAATATTTAGGAAATCTCTTTTGGACGTTGGCCTAGGCAAATAACTTTTGACTAAGACCTCAAATGCAACAAAAACAAAAATAGATGAATGGGACTTAATTAAGAGCTTCTGCACAGCAAAAGAAATAATCAGCAGAGTAAACAGACAACCTACAGAATGGGAGAAAATATTTGCAAACTGTGCATCCGACAAAGGACTAATATCTGGAATCTATAAGGAACTCAAACAACTCAACAAGGAAAAACCAATTAACTCCATTAAAAAGTGGACATTGTCTTTTGGTTATATATACTTAAAAATTTTTTTTGAAGTACACATAGGACATATACATTTGCCAAAAGGAGACATACAAGTGGCCAATAAACATATGAAAAAATTCTCAACATCACTAATCATCAGAGAAATGTAAATCAAAACTGCAATGAGATATCTCACACCACTTAGAGTGACTATTATTAAAAAGTAAAACAACAATATGTTGGCAAGGATGCAGAGAAAAGGGAATGCTTATACACTGTTATTTGGAATGGAAATTAGTACAACCTTTATGGAAAAACAGTATGGAGATTTCTCAAAGAATTAAAAACAGAGCTATCATTTGACCCAGCAATCCAACTACTGGGGATCCGTCCAAAGGAAAATATATTATTATATCAAAAGATACCTGTACTCATATGTTTATCACAGCACTGTTAATGATAGCAAAGTCATGGAATCAACCTAAGGGTCTATCAATGGTTGATTAGATAAAGAAAACCATAGTATACTACACAACCATAAAAAAGAATGAAATTACGTCTTTCCTTAGGCCATTATCCTAAGTAAAATAACTCAGAAATAGAAAATCAAATACCGCATATTCTCACTTATAAGTGGGAGCTATTATGAAGGAATAATTGTCAGGGAAAAAAAGGGGGAGCTAAACAATGGGAACACATGGACATACAGAGGGAAGTAATAGACATAGGGACCTTCAAAAGGGCAAGGAGGTTGGGGTGAGGGTTGAAAAGTTACCAAGTGGTACAATGTTCACCGTTTGGGTGATAGGCACACCAAAAACCCAGACTTCACCATTATGCAATATATCTGTGTAACAAACCTGTACATGTACCCCCCGAATCTATAAAAATAATTTTAAATAATCTTAGTGTACTGTGAAGCTGAATCTAACAACATATAAAAAGCATAATATATCACTTTTGTCCTAGGAATATCAGATTGGTTGAACACTAGATTAATGAAATTCATCCCATTAAAAGATTAAAAAGAAAAATTATATGATTATGTCGAGATGTAGAAAAAGCATTCTATAACATTTGACGTGCATTAAGAAGAAACATTCTTAGTAAATGAGGTACAAAAAGAAAATGCCTTAATCAGGCAAAAGGTATCCATTTTGAAAAATCTACAGGAAACAAACAAAATGGCGAATTGAAAGCTTTCCTTATGAGAAAGGAACAAGACAAAGCTGACTGCTCTCACTATTTCTTTTGACATTGTATTCAAGGTTCTTGATAAACCAGTAAAGCTAGTAAAAGAAACAAAAGATATAAGGAATGAAAAAGAAGAAACAAAACTTCATTATTCAGAAGATACAATAATGTTTGTAGAAAAATCAAAATAATCTATTAAAAAATTGTTAGAATTAATAAGAAAATTTAGCAGTTTTGCTGGGTATAAAAATCAATATCCCAATATTAATTAGATTTTGATGTGCTGGAAATAATTAAAAAGTGAAATCACTACACTGTTTGTGCTTTGGTTTTTCAGAAACTGGGATAATAATCATACTAACCTTATGCTGTAAGTAGAAGAATATAGTATAGCTTTTAAGAATGTGGGGTTTGTAGTCAAATTGCCTAAGTTTAAATCCCTATTCTACCAGTTATTAGTCATATGTCTGAAGTAGTCACTTGTCTCAAAGCATTAACTTCCTTACCTGTAAAATGGGAATTGTTATGCTGCTTAACTTAGGTGTTATGAAAATTAAATGACACAGTATATGAAACTGCTTAGCACAGTGCTTGATGCATTTATCCAATAATTGTTCATTTCTGTTATTATCTAAAAAACTATCTCAATCTAAAGCTACAGGAATGATAGGCTTGAGACTTGGATTGAAATTGATCTTGTTTCTCTAGAACCAAAAGGAATTGAAAACACGAAACAAAACACTGGACTAGAGAGTGAAATATAATGAATTGGTGAGAAAAAAGCTTAACTCCTGGATTGATGCTAGATGAGGAACAGGTAGCAAAAAGGGAAAAAAAGATGAATAGGCTAGATATAAAATAATTAATTTTTAAAACTTGTACCAAGCTTAGTGTTTTCAAAGAATAGATAATGCTGTAGGAAAAAGCTTACTATGTATAATGTTATATGAAAACAGGAAAATATAAAAATGATTTTATGGTATGCTCTAAATCAGCTGTCCTCAACCTTTTTGGTACCAGGGACTGGTTTCATGGAAGACAGTTTTTCCATGGACAGGGGTAGTGGGTGGGGGTGCAGGCCTGGGAGGGTGGGGGGGCAGGGATTGTTTTGGGATGAAACTGTTCCACCTCAGATCATCAGGCATTAGATTCTCATAAGGAGAGCGCAACCTAGATCCCTCACTTGTGCAGTTCACAATAGGGTTCACGCTCCTGTGAGAATCTAATGCCGCTACTGATCTGACAGAAGGCAGAGCTCAGGTTGTAATGCTCGCTCACACATGTGGAAAAAAACTAAGAACTCCTCAAAATATTAAATTATGGCTATATAGTGATATTTAGGGTGATCTTCATGTTCTTTTTAATTTTGCGTGGTTTTCAAATTTTCCATAATACATGTTATTTTTATAATCAGGAAAAGCAATAAATATTATTTTTATTGAAGATAAAAATCTATTACAAAAACATAATTCTAAGCTGCTTGATTAACATATAACTCATAAATATGTATACATGTTACCCTGATATTTTATATTGTGATGACTCATGCCCTTAACAAAGATATGGAGCTAAGTTGCTGTGAATAGACTTGATTAACAGTATCACACATACAAAAATGAGAGGGGCTGACTCAATCTCAGAATAATGATCTTTGGAGGAGAGTCCCTATTCCCCTTTTCTGAGATTTTTAATTTTTTTAAATATAGACTTACTACTTATTATATGGAAAGATAGATTTTAGAAAATTACAGAATTCCTGGTAAAGATTCAAGGATTTTCTCTCATAGCATTCTACATTCTCCAATATACTTGTTTTCAGCCAAGGATGAAGTGTAAGGGCCCAAAGAGGTCTGAGACTTTAGTCATCAGGAACTCTAAAAAAAATTAAGAAATAAATAAAACAAATTAATTTTTTAAAGAGTATCAGGTAACTTACTGTTATATAACAATGCCCATGTATTTCTCAACTCTGTTTTCTCCTTGTCTTTGTGCCCTTAGGTGCTGATATTCGTGGCTTCAGTGCTCCTAGGACATTTGGCCTTACACTGGGACATGTAGTAGATGAAATACAGAGAAATGAGAAGCCCGTGGTGGCAGCAATCCAAGGCATGGCTTTCGGAGGGGGACTAGAGCTGGCCCTGGGCTGTCACTATAGGATTGCCCACGCAGAGGTAACAACCAAGGCTCTATATAGTGGCTGGTGTGTGGGGCTTTTCTTTAGGGCAAACTCTAAATGTAGTCATAAGTATCAGCGGTGATTATTTTATTTATTTGTTTTTTTGAGATGGAGTCTCACTCTGTCTTCCAGGCTGGAGTGCAGTGGTGTGATCTCGGCTCACTGCAACCTCCACCTCCCGAGTTCAAGCAATTCTCCTTCCTCAGCCTCCCAAGAAGCTGGGACTACAGGCATGCTACCATGCCCAGCAAATTTTTGTATTTTTAGTAGAGACGGGGTTTCACCATGTTGGCCAGGCTGGTCTCAAACTCCTGACCTCAGGTGACCACCCACCTTGGCTTCCCAAAGTGCTGGGATTACAGGCATGAGCCACTGCACCCGGCCCAGAGGTGATAATTTTGAATGGTTAGCTTACTGGTTAACGACTTCAGCTGTTACGTGCCAGTACAGTGGTACTAATTGTTAAAATGTTCAAATACTTCACTTCCATTCTGGTAAGTAAACACCTGCTACTCTGAGCCCTAGTTTCCCTTGTTTCCCTTAACCTTAGCCCTAGGGCCTCTCTATGATCCATCAACTACAGGGGAACTCCTTGTTTCCCTTAACCTTAGCCCTAGGGCCTCTCTATGATCTTGTTTCCCTTAACCTTAGCCCTAGGGCCTCTCTCTGATCCATCAGCTACAGGGGAACTCCTTGTTTCCCTTAACCTTAGCCCTAGGGCCTCTCTATGATCTTGTTTCCCTTAACCTTAGCCCTAGGGCCTCTCTCTGATCCATCAGCTACAGGGGAACTCCTGAGTCAATAGAGAGCCCCGAGACTCTACCTCCAGTACTATGACCCATATCAGGTTTCACTGATGCAGTGCTCATGCAGTATGAGTATTAAATATGTTGGCTGTCACTTCTAAGTATACATTTAAATACTTCTTTGATAACTCAAAGATTTCTGTTTCATGGTCCCTTATAATTATCAGTACCTAATAAGACAAATTTCTATTGGAAAATAGCACAAAACTAGTAAATATGGGGAAATTTCTGGAAATAGGTTTAATTTAGGCTGTTAGACATGTCAGATGAGGTCTGTGATACCACTGTGTATCACAGTATATATAATGGTGGCATTTTTGTAATTAATATATTTTTCTAATGATGAAAATAATATTCATTCTACTAAACTAGAGAACATAAGAAAGTATACAGATGTAAACTAAAATCATCATAAACTCACAGTTCAGAAATAACCACTATTAACATTCTATTTCATTCTAGTCTTTTTTTGTATGTAATTTTTTCTTACAGATTCTTTTTCCTTTGAAAAATGTCCTTTAAAAAAAAGTACATTGGCTGGGCATGGTGGCTCATGCCTGTAATCCCAGCACTTTGGGAGGCCGAGGCAGGCAGATCACAAAGTCAGGAGATCGAGACCATCCTGGCCAACATGATGAAACCCCGTCTCTACTAAAAATACAAAAATTAGCTGGGCATGCTGGCAGGCGCCTGTAATCCCAGCTACTCGGGAGGCTGAGGCAGGAGAATCACTTGAACCTGGAAGGTGGAGGTTGCAGTAAGCTGAGATCGTGCCACTGCACTCCAGCCTGGTGACAGAGCGGGTCTCCATCTCAAAACAAACAACAACAAAAAAAACCACATTTGGGCTTTTTTTGTATTTAGTTTATACTCTATTTTTATACTATAATATTTAACCCATAATTAAATATTCTTTATTCTGCCAATCTCTGTCTTTTAATTAGAGAACTTAATACACTTATATTTAATGTAATTACTGATAAGGAAGAACATCTGCCATTTTGCTATTTGTTTTCTATGCTTTTTGGTTTTTTTGTTCAATTCCTCCATTACTGCTTTCATTTGTGTTAAATGTAAAAGTATACCCTTGTAACTTTCTTGCTGTTTCTTTTACTATATATATTTTTAGTTATTTTCTTAATGGTGGTTAACTTGGTGATTACAATTAACATCTTAATTTATGACAATGTAGTTCAGATTAATACTGACTGAATTTTAATAATATACAAAAAATTTGCTCCTCTGTAGCCTCCATTACTTGCCCCTTTATGCTATTATTGTCACAAGTTATATCTTCATACATTATGTACTGCTTAACATAGATTTATCATTGTTGCTTTACATAGTGGTCCTAAATCAGATAAGAAAAAGAGGAATTACAAATGAAAAATACATTATTACTGTCTTTTATATTTACCCATGAAGTTACTCTTTATCAGTGTTCTTTATTTCTTCATGTGAATTCAAGTTACTGTCTAGTGCCTTTTCATTACAGCCTGAAGTATTTCTTATAGGGCAAATATACTAACAACAAAATCAGTTTTTCTTTATCTGGAAATGTGTTAATTTTGCCTTCATTTTCAAAAGATAGTTTTGTTGGATATAGAATTCTTGATTGACAGTTGTTTTCTTTTGGCACTTTGTGTATGTTATTTCATGCCTTCTGGCCTCTGTGGCTGAGGAGAAATCATGTTACTCTTCTGGTAAATATTCTTTAAAAATATCATTATAGGCCAAGAACAGTGGCTCACGCCTGTAATCCCAGCACTTTGGGAGGCCAAGGCAGGCGGATCACCTGAGGTCAGGAGTTCAAGACCAGCCTGACCAACATGGAGAAATCCCGCCTCTACTAAAAATACAAAATTAGCTGGGCGTGGTAGCACATGCCTGTAATCCCAGCTACTTGGGAGGCTGAGGCAGGAGAATCACTTGAACCCAGGAGACGGAGGTTGCAGTGAGCCGAGATCGCACCATTGCACTCCAGCCTGGGCAACAAGAGCTAAACTCTGTCTCAAAAAAAAGAAAAAAAATCATTATAAGTGGCGGCATAATATTCAATCATATGGCTATACCAGAATTTATTTAACCATTTCCCAATGGTGTTTTAATTTTTATAAATGCTTACAAATAAATACACATATATGTCCTAAGTGCTCCTTTTCTGTGTCCCTCTTACCACAACCTGTACCCTGAGTGCAGATCTGAGTTACTAGCAATAAGTAAAGAGGTAGAGATGGGCAGTGATGGAAAGAATGGTGATTGACTGTTAGGAAAACCTCATGTAAGACAGGCCTCACATATGTGAGGTATTTTGGAACTGCTAGAATCACGATCTGGGTAAATGGCAGTCCGCATTTAAGTACCCTCCTCTCACCCTTATACCTGTAAATGGCTAACAGATCCTCAGCCACTTTTAAATGGAATGGGCCAAGAAAGGCAATAAAATAAAGGACTCAAGCTCCCCTTCTTGTCTGGACTGAGATTACTGTCTGACTTTAAAAAAAAAAAATAGCCTTTTGGAGATGTAATTTAAATACCATACAATTCATTCATTTAAAGTGTGCAATTCAATGGTATATGAGTATATTCTCAGAGTTGTGCAACCATTATCACAGTAAATTTTAGAACATTTTATCACCCCAAAAAGAAACCTTGTATCCTGTAGCAGTAATCCTCCATCACCTTCTGCTATCCTAAGCACCTACTAATCTACTTTCTGTCTCTATAGATTTGCCTATTCTGGATATTTCATATAAACAGAATCATACAATATGTGGTCTCCTGTGACTGGCTTTTTTTGTTTAGCATGTTTTGCCTATTCTGGATATTTCATATAAACAGAATCATACGATATGTGGTCTCCTGTGACTGGCTTTTTTTGTTTATCATGTTTTGCCTATTCTGGATATTTCATATAAACAGAATCATATGATATGTGGTCTCCTGTGACTGGCTTTTTTTGTTTATCATGTTTTGCCTATTCTGGATATTTCATATAAACAGAATCATATGATATGTGGTCTCCTGTGACTGGCTTTTTTTGTTTATCATGTTTTGCCTATTCTGGATATTTCATATAAACAGAATCATATGATATGTGGTCTCCTGTGACTGGCTTTTTTTGTTTATCATGTTTTGCCTATTCTGGATATTTCATATAAACAGAATCATATGATATGTGGTCTCCTGTGACTGGCTTTTTTTGTTTATCATGTTTTGCCTATTCTGGATATTTCATATAAACAGAATCATATGATATGTGGTCTCCTGTGACTGGCTTTTTTTGTTTATCATGTTTTGCCTATTCTGGATATTTCATATAAACAGAATCATATGATATGTGGTCTCCTGTGACTGGCTTTTTTTGTTTATCATGTTTTGCCTATTCTGGATATTTCATATAAACAGAATCATATGATATGTGGTCTCCTGTGACTGGCTTTTTTTGTTTATCATGTTTTGCCTATTCTGGATATTTCATATAAACAGAATCATATGATATGTGGTCTCCTGTGACTGGCTTTTTTTGTTTATCATGTTTTGCCTATTCTGGATATTTCATATAAACAGAATCATACGATATGTGGTCTCCTGTGACTGGCTTTTTTTGTTTATCATGTTTTGCCTATTCTGGATATTTCATATAAACAGAATCATATGATATGTGGTCTCCTGTGACTGGCTTTTTTTGTTTATCATGTTTTGCCTATTCTGGATATTTCATATAAACAGAATCATATGATATGTGGTCTCCTGTGACTGGCTTTTTTTGTTTATCATGTTTTGCCTATTCTGGATATTTCATATAAACAGAATCATACGATATGTGGTCTCCTGTGACTGGCTTTTTTTGTTTAGCATGTTTTGCCTATTCTGGATATTTCATATAAACAGAATCATATGATATGTGGTCTCCTGTGACTGGCTTTTTTTGTTTAGCATGTTTTCAATGTTCATCCACGTTGTAGCATGAATCAGTTCTTTATTGATTTTGCTGAATAATATTCCATTGTATGGATGTACTACCTTTCATTTATCCACTAATCATTGATGGACATTTGGGTTGCTTCTACTTTTTTGGCTTTTATGAACCATGGTGCCATGAAAATCTGTATACAGGATTTTTGTGGGCATATGTTTTCATTTCTCTTGGGTATATACCCAGGAATGGATTTGATGGGTCATATGGTAACTCTATGTTTAACATTTAAGAAGCTGCCAGATTGTTTTCCAAAGTGTCTACTCTGTTTTATATTCCCACTAGCAATGTATGAGGATTCTGTATTCTCCATATCCTCTCCAACACCTGTTATTGTCTGTCGTTTTTTAAATAGCCATCTTAGTGGGTATAAAGTGTTACCTTGTGGTTTTGATTTGTATTCCTCTGATGGCTAATGATGTTGAGCATCTTTTCAAGTGCTTACTGGCCATTTGTATCTCTTCTTTGGAGGAATGTCTATCCAGATCGTTTGCCCATTTTTAACAGGTTGCTTGTCTTTTATTATTGATTTGTAAAGTTCTTTATATATTCTAGATAGAAATCCTATATCAGATATATAATTTGTAAGATATGTATATTCTCTCCCATTCTGTGGGTTGTCTTTTCACTTTCTTGTGTTTCCTGATTCTTGCAGGACTCCAGAAAGTTGTTTCCAGAGAAAATTATTTTTGTTGGCTGAGACAGGTCATATTACAGTCAGAGAATAAATGTGTAAGAAGCTAAAAATGTGTTTCAACATGAAGAGTTAGGGACAGCACAGCTCTGTTTATGCTGTTAATTAAAGAAAAGGATGTGCACTAATTTGCCCTGTAGAAATCTTGCTGAATTCAGTGACACCATGCTTTTGAGAATACAGGAAATCCAGGGAAACGCTTGCCTTAACTCTGAACATACCATCTCATGCTAATGGCCTTTATGCCTTCAATCTTTGATAGGCTCAAGTTGGCTTACCAGAAGTTACACTGGGACTTCTCCCTGGTGCAAGAGGAACCCAGCTTCTCCCCAGACTCACTGGAGTTCCTGCTGCACTTGACTTAATTACCTCAGGTCAGTATAGACCTTGGCAACAACTGTCTAGATTAGTGTGAAGAATTGGACTAGGATTTAGAAAAATTCTGGCTTGACCACCTACTCCCTATGTAACCATAAAAGGATTCTTGAACTTCTTGGCCTCTCGATTTTCTGATCTGTAATATGGAGAACTACCTTTCTGAGCTTCTCAAACGTTATCGTGAAGATCAAATGTGAGAGCCTTTTAAATGAAAGTGCATGCAAAGAGCGAATCAAATTTAGGATTTTATTTCAGTTCAAGTGACTATTCATCAACACTGGTGTTCACATAGACTGCATTATATTCAGAACTAATTTAGAAATTGTAATATAGGCCGCACGCAGTGGCTCATGCCTGTAATCCCAGCACTTTGGGAGGCCGAGATGGGCAGATCACTTGAGGTCAGGAGTTGGAAACCAGCATGGTGAAACCCCATCTCTATTAAAATACAAAAAAATTACCTGGGCATGGTGGCAGGCACCTGTAATCCCAGCTACTCGGGAGACTGAGGCAGGAGAATCGCTTGAACCCAGGAAGCGGAGGTTGCGGTGAGCTGAGACTACGCCACTGCACTCCAGCCTGGGCAACAGAGCGAGACTCATCTAAAAAAAAATTGTAATATAAATGAGAAAACCATAATTTTCAAGGTATGTTTTCAAATTTTAATATGAAAATGACTAAATTTTTCACTGGCAAGTATTAAGATATCAGCTAGAAATGCAAGTTGTTCTTTTTATTTTCTTTTTTTTGAGACGGAGTTTCGCTCTTGTAGCCCAGGCTGGAGTGCAGTGGCATGATCTCGGCTCACGGCAACCTCCACCTCCCGGGTTCAAGTGATTCTCCTGCCTCAGCCTCCCAAGTAGCTGGGATTACAGGCATGTGCTACCATGCCCAGCTAATTTTGTACTTTTAGTAGAGACGGGGTTTCTCCATGTTTGTCAGGCTGGTCTCAAACTCCCTACCTCAGGTGATCCACCTGCCTTGGCCTCCCAAAAGTGCTGGGATTACAGGTGTGAGCCACCACATCCGGCCAGCCCGGTGCTTTATAAGTTGTTCTTTCTCAATAGAGAATGTGAACACTACAACACTAGACCACATTTAGAGACCCTGGATTTACTCTCTTTCTCTCTCTCTCTCTCTCTCTCTCCATATATATATATATATATATATTTTTTTTTTTTTTTTTTTTTTTTTGAGACGGAGTCTCACTCTATCGCCAGGCTGGAATGCAGTGGAGTGATCTCTGCTCAGTGCAACCTCCGCCTCCTGGGTTCAAGTGATTCTCCTGCCTCAGGTTTACCATATATTTGTTTGTAAGACATTAAAGAGACTTTCAGTTGAGGTCAATTTAGAAGAAAGAACATATGCAACAATACACTTCAAACAGATATAACTAATAATAAGAATTTAGGTCAGTCATCTTACTTTTTTGTGCCTTATTTTCTTTATAAATGTAGCTAGGAATAGCACCTACTATAGGGTGATGTGGCGAAAATCGGATAAGTTACTGCGTACAATGTCCTTAGGACAGCCCCACACATGGTGATCACTCCATAATTGTTAGATATATATTATTATTATTTATTAATAATTTCTTTCTTGAGATGGAGTTTTGCTCTAGTTGCCCAGGCTGGAGTGCAATGGCGCGATCTCAACTCACCACAACCTCCGCCTCCCAGGTTCAAGCGATTCTCCTGCCTCAGCCTCCCAAGTAGCTGGGATTACAGGCATGCACCTCCACACCTGGCTAATTTTTGTATTTTTAGTAGAGACAGGGTTTCTCCATGTTGGTCAGGCTTGTCTCGAACTCCTCACCTCAGGTGATCTGCCTGCCTCGGCCTCCCAAAGTGCTGGGATTACAGGTGTGAGCCACTGGGCCTGACCTATTTTTTTTTGAGACCGAGTTTCACTCTTGTTGCCCAGACGGGGATGCAATGCTGCGATCTCAGCTCACCGCAACCTCTGCCTCCTGAGTTCACGCAATTCTCCTGCCTCAGCCTCCCAAGTAGCTGGGATTACAGGCATGCACCACCACGCCCAGCTAATTTTGTATTTTTAGTAGAGTCGGGGTTTCTCCATGTTGGTCAGGCTGGTCTGGAACTACCAACCTCAGGTGATCCGCCTGCCTTGGCCCCCCAAAGTGCTGGGATTACAGGCGTGAGCTGCTGCGCCCAGCCAGGTATATATTATTATACCCAAAGATCTGTCTTTTTTAGTAAAAGAGGAAAATTGAAGAAAAGTGAGATGAAGATCTTGGTATTAGACTATATGCTGAAGAACAGGCCATAAAAAGAGCACAAGCTTTAGAATCAAAGACCTGGCTTTGAATCCCAACTCTACCACATATAAATAATATGCCTTGTGCAACTTAATTTTTATTTATTCATCCAGCAATTATTAATTTTCTCTCATATGCTGGGCCCTTTTCTAGGCATTAGGCCTATAGCAGTGAAATGAACCAACAAAAATTTCTGCCTTCATGGAGATTGTATGAAGAACAGAACAATAATCACAACAATAATCATCATTGTCATATTTCATTAATTCAAAAATGTCCTTTTCCCCACAGCTTTCAAAGTGAGATGACTCTCAGATTCATTGTAAGTCATGGTTTAATTTACAGTTTTTTCCTAGTTTCTGTGTTAGGAATTTGGGAGCAGCTTACTTGGGATATAGCTCAGGGTTTGTCATGAGATCGGAGTCAAGACACTGTGACTAGGGCTGTAGTCATCTGGAGGATCTACTTTCTTTCTTTCTTTCTTTTTTTTTTTTTTTTTGGAGATGGAGTTTCACTCTTGTCACCCAGGCTGGAGTGCAGTGGCACAATCTTGGCTCACTGTAACTTCCATCTCCTGGGTTCAAGTGATTCTCCTGCCTCAGCCTCCTGAGTAACTGGGATTACAGAAATGCGCCACCATGCCCGGCTAATTTTTGTATTATTAGTAGAGACAGGGTTTCACCATGTTGGCCAGGCTGGTCTTGAACTCCTGACCACAGGTGATCCACCTGCCTCAGCCTCCCAAAGTGCTGGGATTACAGGCGTGAGCCACTGTGCCCGGCCTGGAGGATCTACTTTCAAGATGACCCAGTCACATGGATGACTAGATGGTGCTGACCTTGGCAGGAGGCTTCCTTTCCTATGTACGGGGACCTCTCCATAGAGCTTCCTGAGTATTCACACAGTGTGACAGCTCGCTTCCTCCAGAAAGACACCACAGTGTCTTTTATGACCTACCGTTAGAGTCACATGCCATCTTTTCTAAACTCTCCTATTGGCTATGCAGGTCTTCTCTATTCAGTATGGGAAGAAGCTTGAATACCAAGTGGTTAGACTTGCTGGGGGTCACTTTGGAGACTAGCCACCACAACTGTATGCACACACATATGCCTACCTATTATATAATTTAGATAGATAGATAGATATAGACAGGTGGAGATAAGTGCTAAGAAAACACAAAACAGAAAGGGAGAGATATAAAATGTTAGGAATGGGAGGTGAATTAATATTTCAGGTAGGGTAGCTAGAAAAGGTTTCTCTACAAAATGACATCTGAGTAAAGACCTGAAGAAGGTAAGGAAGCTTGTTATGCCAATATCTGGAGGAAGAAATCCCACATACAGAAAATAGCAAGTACAAAGACCTGAGGCAGGGACATGCTTGGAATGTTCAAAGAACAGCAAGAAGGTCAATGTAACTGGAATGAAATGAGTCAGGGGAAAAGTAGTAAGAGGATGAAGTCATATCTTTTTGGGCTTGGAAGGTTATAGAAAGAACTTTGGCTTTTCTTGTGAATGAGGAAGAAAGGCATTGGAGTGTTTCAAGCAGAGGAGTAACATGCTCTCACTTAGGTTTTTCAAACAATCACTCTGGCTGTTGAAAATATACTAATTGGAGACAAGGACAAAAACAGGAAGACTGAGGGCTGCTATCATAATCCAAGGGAGAGATGATGGGGGCTTGGATCTGAGTAGTGGCAATGTAAATCATAAGATATGGTCAGATTCTGGAGATATTTTGAAAGTAGAGCCAACAGGATTTTGTGACAGAGCAGATACGAGATGTGAGAGAAAGAGGAGAGTCAAGGATGATCTAATG
Organism: Homo sapiens; assembly: GCF_000001405.40. Taxonomy (NCBI): domain Eukaryota; kingdom Metazoa; phylum Chordata; class Mammalia; order Primates; family Hominidae; genus Homo; species Homo sapiens. The sequence continues at coordinate 185,225,331 of NC_000003.12, read as the reverse complement.
GCCAGAGTGAGTAGCTGGAAGGATGGTGCCATCACTAAGACTGGGATTTCTGCTGATAGAGCAGGTTTTATGGAAGTATCACAAGAGCTTCATTTGGGACATGTTAAGTTTGAGAGGCCTGTTACACATCCAAGTGGAGATGTCAAATAGACAATTGGATAGACAGGCCTGGGGTTTAGGAGAGAGAGGTCTTCTGAACTCCTCTAAGCCTCTGTTTTCTCATCAGTAAACAACCACATGGTTGTTTTAAGGAATAATGAAATAACATGACATGCTTCTGATATAGTGCCTGTTAAACAGACCACATTTCATAAACGGTATCTGGCCCCCAAAGATGTCCACGTCCTAATTCCCAGAACCTGTGAATATATTATGTTACATTCAAAATAACCTTTGTACGTGTGATTACATTAAAGATCTTGAGAGGGAGATTACCCTGGACTATCTAGCTCAGCCCATTTTATCACAAGAGTCCTTATAAGAGGGAAGCAGAAGGTCAGAGAAGAGAGAAGACACTATGTGCTGGCTTTGAAGATGGCAGGAGAGGTCACAAGCCAAGTAATGTAAGCAGCTTCTAGAAGTGGAAAAGACAAGGAAAACATTCTTTCTTACAGCATCCAGAAGGAACACCTTCTGCTGACCTGTTTTAGACTTTTGACATCTTAAACTATAAGATAGTAAATGTGTGTTTTAAGCCTCTGAGTTTGTGGTAATTTGTTACAGCAGTAATACACTACTAATACAAAAGCTATTAGTAATCACGATATTCAGAATCCTGCTTTGGTTTGGAAAATATTTTTTTCTTTCTTTTTTTTTTTTTTTTTTTTTTTGGTGACAGGGTCTCATTCTGTCTCCCAGACTGGAGTACAGTGGCACGATCTCAGCTCACCACAACCTCCACCTCCCGGGTTCAAGTGATTCTCCTGCTTCAGCCTCTCCAGTAGCTGGGATTACAGGCACGTGCCACCACACCCGGCTAATTTTTTGTATTTTTAGTAGAGACAAGGTTTCACCATGTTGACCAGGCTGGTCTCAAACCGCCGACCTCAAGTGAGCCACCCGCCTCGGCCTCCCAAAGTGCTGGGATTACAGGTGTGAGCCACTGCGCCCGGCCGAAATTTTTTTTTTTCTAAGAAAGGGTGTTAAAGAAAAAGATTAGTTAAATTGTGAAAGTTGAAGATTCCCTACTGATGTGAATGAGGAAAAAAAGTGCCAACTTTGTAGGCACTGTTCCCATAGGAAATTAATAAGTAAATAGATTTAGGTGGCTAACCCTTTCTGATCTTCTGAAATCCATAAGACAGGTAATTCTGGAAAGTAGAGTGATTACAACAGCAACCTTCTCCACAATTTCCTTAGAATGCCGTCTGAAAATGAACGAATCTTTAGCAGTAACCACAAAGGATATGCCTGATCATATTGCAGTTCGTTCGCTGATGTTCTCTGTCCAATCAACTGACAGGACTACAGTGTCCTGCTCCTCTTTCTGTTTTATTTTCTAGGTGCTGTCCCCTTTGTTCACAGAAAAGCATAGAAAGCTCTGCTGTATTCTCATAAAGCTTGGCCCCAGCCCTGATGAGTTTCTCTATACTCATTCACAGGACAGGCTTTGAGCTCTAGACTTTGGTGGGATACCTCTTACTACCCAGAATACTATGGGGGGAAAGAGGAATTGGGAGTAACATCTTTATCCTGCCTGCCTTTTAGCTGTAGGTCCAGGTGGGTTTTCGCTATACATTTTTTAGTACTAGCACCTCAAGGCTCTCAGGCAGAAATAATTAATATCAGCAAATATTGTTCTATGACCAAAAGAAAGACACACAAAAATTCTTAAAACTAAAACAACTGCAACTCTAAAACCTATGAAAATATTTTATGACTTAAAAAAAAAGAAACATAAACGTCAGTCTGCTGAAACATTAAAGAAAACAAAAAATTTTAGAAAACTCACATTATTCTAAACTAGAAAAGAAAATATTTTGTTAAATAAGAACACCGTATTTAAAATCAAAACCTTAGCCAAAATAATTTCTTTTTGAAGCAATAAAAAGATGTGGTAGGATAGATTACAGAATCAACAACATAGAGGATAAAAAGAGACACATCTAAAGAATTCAGAAGAATTTAACAAAAAGATAAATAAAATGTAAATGAAGATAGCAGACATGGAAGATACATAACAGAGGTCTCTGCTTTGAATAATACGTGCTCCCAAAGCACAAGGCAAAAAAAATGAAAGCAATAACCAAAAGAAAAAATAGAAGAAATTCTTCAGACATTAAATAGCATCAGAGATTGTACTTTAACAAGCATGCCATTTTCCTGGAAAAACTGATGAGGAGATAATTCTTTGATGTGTCTTGGTAAAGATTTTAAACTTCCAGAAAATAGAATCCTGCAAGCTTCCCCAGGATAAAAACAAATAAAACGAAAGGTTACTTTCAAAGGAACTAAAATTATACCAGCCACAAGTAAATGCTGTGGAATATTCACATGCTAGGATGCTATGTAATATTTATGAAGAATGATGATCTAAATCTCAGGGTTCTTAAAGTGTGGTCCAGGGACTCTCGGGTGTGGCCTAAGACCTTTACAGAGTCCTTGAGATCAGATCTATTTTCGTAATAATAAGACATTACTTGCCTTTCTCACAAATGTGTAGTGGAATTTTCCAGAGACTGTAATATGCCTTGTGATATCACAACAGATTGAATGCAGAAGCAATAGGAGAATGAGAATGCAGCTGTCTTCTGTTAAATCAGACAGTAAATAAATTTGCAAAAATATAAAACAATTGCACTCTTCTCCCTAATTTTTAAATTTTTTATATAATTATTTTGCATAAAAACATTATGCTAACATGCAGTGAGTTTATTATTTTAAAATGAACTAATAAAGAAACATTTTTAAAGCTTGCAGTGATTTTTCTTTTTTTATTTTTATTTTTCTGAGATGGTATCTCCCACTGTCACCCAGGCTGGAGTGCAGTGGCACGATCTCGGCTCACTGCAGCCTCCGCCTCCCAGGTTCAAGTAGTTATCCTGCTTCAGCCTCCCAAGTAGCTGGGTCCACAGGCTCGTGGCACACCCAGCCAATGTTTGTATTTTTAGTAGAAACAGGGGGCGGGGGGCACCATGTTGGCCAGGCTGGTCTCAAACTCCTGACCTCAGGTGATCCTCCTGCCTTGGCCTCCCAAAGTGCTGGGATTACAGGTGTGAGCCACCACATCCGGCCTTGTGATTTCTACACCCAGACAAAAGCTTGCAGTTTTAATTTCTAATACAGTAAATATTGATATATATAACCTACATAAACACAAGCTTTTTGGAGTTCTCCATAATTTTTAAGAGTGCAAAGGGGTCCTAAGACCCGTTTGATAACTGCTAGTAGAAATCCGTATAGAAACCATGATATAAAATTGTGTATACATTAGCCAAATTAGAAAATAATGTGAGGCGGGCCGGGCACGGTGGCTCATGCCTGTAATCCCAGCACTTTCAGAGTCCAAGGCAGGTGGATCACCTAAGGTCAGGAATTTGATACCAGCCTGGTCAACATGGTGAAACCTCATCTCCACTAAAAATACAAAAAAGTAGCCGGGGGTGGTGGCATGGGCCTGTAGTACCAACTACTCGAGAGACTGAGGCAGGAAAATCGCTTGAACCCAGGAAGCAGAGGTTGCAGTGAGCCGAGATTGCGCCACTGCACTCCAGCCTGGGTGACAGTGAGACTCCATCTCAAAAAAAAAAAAAAAGAAAAAAAAATATCATGAGGCTATATGCATTAAAAATGGATTTTTCCTTTAAATGGGGGGATGATTTTATAAATCTGTAGTGTATAAAAGGAGAGTTAGACCAGAAATATGACATTTATTTCCTTCAATAAATCAAGTTAGATAGTTTTAATTTATAATGGTATAATAAATACAGTTTAAAGAATGTGAACTATTTTAAGTATGTAATGTCAAATTCATAAAAGGATGCTTAGGATCCAACATACTACAGGATTCAAAGCACATGAGACAATTTATTGTGCAAAAGACAAAATAGGAAGCAAAGAAGCCTAAAATATAGGAGGAAATCATAATAGTGTAAAATGAGTCTGTAAATTTGAGGGTTTACAGATACTTAAAGTATATGGGGGAATATTGAATAATTTTGTTGCCCTATTTGCAGTATTGCCTGAAACCAAGATTATTGGAAGAAATCAGGAAAACTGGCTTTGACAAAAAGAAATAAAATGAACTAGGATTGGCCTTTTCCCAAAGCACTGCTTAAAGAAACATCACTATTTTTAACATGCAGAAAAGAGGTAAAAACAGTAAGAATATGATGGGGTTTTGATTTGCATAGAAAAGGTCATAGTGAATTAGAAGAAAGCTAACATTAGAATTATACACCTGTCTTTTTAAGTAGTCTGCACAATTTTAGGAAAACTTGAATATGACATTTGGAAAGAGTTCCATGTGGAAAAAAATTGTAAAGGTTAGAAAAGAAGCTATCAAGAAAATTGGAAAAAATTGAGATTACTCAGGTTGGAGAAGAAACTCTCAACCTCAGTTCCCTTAGGGCACACAGGGTTCTTATTAGAGCCCATTGGACAGTGGTTGTCATCTACACTTACGATGTCATAAGAAAAAACAATTTTAAATTACAGCCTAAGAATCTGGATTGGATATACAGAGCCATGTCTTTAGATCCTTAGTTCTTTGATACAGGATAAAAGTCCAGCTATGCATCATTGAACAACGAGATATATTCTGAGAAATCATTAGGCGAGTTTGTTGTTATGTGACCATCATGGTTTACTTACACAAACCTAGATGGTATAGCCTATTACACACCTAGGCTATATGGTATGGCCTCTTGTTCCTAGGCTACAAACCTGTGCAGCATGTTACTGTACTGAATACTGTAGGCATTTGTAACACAATGGAAAGTATTTATGTATCTAAACACATCTAACATAGAAAAGGTACAGTAAATATATGATATCGTAATCATATGGGACCACCATCATATATGTGTTGTTGACAGAAATGTTATTATATGGCATATGACTGTACTTGGAATCCCATTGACTCTGTTAGAATAGTAGTGGTACTCTTCCAATTTTGTGAAATCCAAGCCAGAAGAAATCATTACAGCTAGAGAAATTTTTAGTCTATCTGGGAGTAGCTCACATTCTCCCTGCTTAGTTGACCTCAAAATCCTTTTATAATAATATCCAGGTTTCCATGTCCCATTTTGTGTTTGCTTGGTTCCCTTAACCTGGGTAGGCTGATTCACTCTCTCCTTACCAAAGTGATTTTATACACAGGATACTTATGTACAGAAACCATTTATGTACCTCTTACCCTACTCCTTACTCCAGAAGGAGATCTGAAAGCCTGTTTTCAGAGATACTTCCAGAAAACTGCCCAAATACTGCTTTTCAAAGAGAGACCTACCAAAAAAAAATCACTGAACTTTCTATCCAATCAAGAAAACTCATTTGTAGTTCTCTGAAGCAATAATAAGAACCAGGAATGGAGGGTTTGTCTCCGATGGCATCCACCAACACTGTAAGTGCAGTGAAGACTGTGGGACTGTTGCCACCAAGATGGATTTGATGGTTGCTTTTCAGAAGGCAAGATGGTACTGGCAAGAAAGCAAGCGATGTGTCACTGTCTTCTTCCTTCTGACCCTGGGGTAGGGGATGCTGATGTCCCCTACCTCTTACCTCAGAATATGCAGATCAAATTGCATATTTACAACTGGTGAAGAACTGTCAAGGCAAATTTAGGAACGGTGCAAACCCTCATCAAACTTCTATATCTCCTATTGCTGACATTCTGTACTGGAGGATGCCAATGGCATGATTGGATGCTAAGTATACCAGCACCACCACTGCCAGACACTAGATATTGGCACCTGTGAAATGAGATTTAACCTGTCGCTGCTGCTTAGTGTCACTAACTCCAAGCTAAAAACCCTCAACAGAGCACTCAGTTCACTAACTGGGGTCATGGGCCACACTCCAGCTGCCACAGTCAAATTGTCAATTGTCTAATCATCTGTGTCCTTTTCAGCTTCTGTAGTAGAAGGCAGGGCTTCAAAGCTCACACAATAGCAATTCCACAAACTAAGGGAGGAGCTGAGATGCTGGGTAGCCAAAAACTGGCAGAAATCCATCCCATTTGTCCTAGGTAATTTTAATTATACCTTATAGAATGTCAACTTAATTTTTTTCTCATTGAGTTAACTATATTTATGTCTGGGGACTATCTTTTTTTTAAATTTTCTCTCTCTCTCTTTTTCTTTGTTTTTGGAGATGGAGTCTATCTCTTTTGCCCAGGCTGGAGTGCAGTGGTGTGATCTCAGCCCACTGTAATCTCCACCTCCTGGGTTCAAGCGATTCTCCTGCCTCAGCCTCCTGAGTAGCTGGGATTACAGGTGCCCACTACCATGCCCAGTTAATTTTTGTATTTGTAGTAGAGACAGGGTTTCACCATGTTGGCCAGGCTGGTCTCGAACTCCTGACCTCAGGTGATCCACCCGCCTTGGCCTCCCAAAGTGCTGGGATTACAGGCGTGAGCCACCGTGCCCGGTCCTTTTTTTTTTTTAACCATCCACAGCCAATGGGGTGTGCTAGGGATAAGGTAGATACTATATATTACTCTGCTGCTGCTACTTCTATTATTATTATAAAAAACTAAACATCTCACATTTCTATAGAGATCTGTAGTTCATAAAGTACTTCTATAGAGATTTATAGAATATAAAGAGAATCTGTTATTCTCACTTAATACTCAGAATTACTGAGATAAGCATAATTATTGCCATTTGCCAATGAGGAAATTGTGGTCCTGGTGCAGTTCTTCATGGTCACACAAATAGTGGAAACTAGAGCTGGAGCTTGAATCCAAGTTTCCTGGTTACCTCAGTGGTGATCTTTCTATTCTTTCAGTGAGTGTGGTTCTTACTTATTTTATTCAATAATAGATATTTATATCCAGACAGACAGCCTTTCCTACTAGAGAGAGTAATGCTTTTGCTTTAATCTTACATCGCTCTTTGATTTGTTGTTATTGTTGTTGTTGTTTATTTCAGGAAGACGTATTTTAGCAGATGAAGCACTCAAGCTGGGCATTCTAGATAAAGTTGTAAACTCAGACCCGGTTGAAGAAGCAATCAGATTTGCTCAGAGAGTTTCAGGTAAGAAGATAATAATAAAAATAGCCAAAGACTGTAAACAGGATACATGTTCATTTAAATAAGAAACTCCTGGCCGGGCGCAGTGGCTCACGCCTGTAATCCCAGCACTCTGGGAGTCCGAGGTGGGCGGATCACGAGGTCAGGAGATCGAGACCATCCTGGCTAACACGGTGAAACCCCGTGTCTACTAAAAAATACAAAAAATTAGCCGGGCGTGGTGGCGGGCGCCTGTAATCCCAGCTACTCGGGAGGCTGAGGCAGGAGAATGGCGTGAACCCGGGAGGCGGAGCTTGCAGTGAGCCGAGATCGCGCCACTGCACTCCATCCTGGGCGACAGAACGAGACTCCGTCTCGAGAAAAAAAAAAAAAAGAAAATCCTGAGGCTGGGTAATTTATAAAGAAAAAAAGATTTAATTGGCTTACAGTTCCGCAGGTTGTACAAGCATGGTACCAGCATGTGCTCAGCTTCTGGTGAGGTCTCAGAGCTTTTACCCGTGGTTGAACGTGAAGCAGGAATAGGCACGTCATATGGCAAGAGAGCAAGAGAGAAGTGTGGAGGTCCCAAACTCTTTTTTTTTTTTTTTTTTTCTGAGACAGAGTCCCGCTCTGTTGCCCAGGCTGGAGTGCAGTGGCGCGATCTTGGCTCACCACAACCTCTGCCTCCTGGGTTCAAGTGATTCTCTTGCCTCAGCAGCCCAAGTAGCTGGGAATACAGGCGTCCGCCCACCATGCCCCGCTAATTATTGTATTTTTAGTAGAGACGGGGTTTCACTATGTTTGCCAGGCTCATCTCGAACTCCTGACCTCGTGATCTGCCTGCCTCGACCTCCCAAAGTGCTGGGATTACAGGCATGAGCCACCGCGCCTGGCCCCAAACTCTTCTAAACAAGCTGATCTCTCATCAACTAAGTGAAAGCTCTCTTATCACCAAGGGGATGGTACTAAACCGTTCCTGAGGGATCAGCTCCCATGACCCAGTAACCTCCCACCAGGCTCCCACCTCAAACACTGGGGACCACATTTCAACATGAGATTTGGAGCGGACACACATCTAAACCATATCACAGGCTCTATAATTTACCGCAGTAAAACTGTGGGCCTTGAGAACTTCTGTCTCCGCAAACTGAGTTATGTCCTTCTCTCAGTGGTTTCTTACTTTATGGACTCGGGATGTTCCTTTCAGAGTTCTTTCAGTGGCACTCACAGAGGTTTTTTTGTTTGTTTCACAGTTTCTTTTCAGTCTATGGATGTTGTCATCTTTAAATGAGCAAGATGGAGAGGGTAAAAATAGCCAGAAAAAAATAATTGGGAAGAGTATTGCGTTACAGGCAGAACAGAGTGCTGGTCTCCCGCTTGGTGGCAGGCAATGGCCCAGTGTCATTCAAAGGCATTCTTTTGAAGGAGTCATTCTTTTGTTGACCTTGGCAGAGACCAAACACTTTCCTGAAATAATCTTTCTTTTTTGTGGCTCTAGCCAGTTACTGTTTCAATGTGAAAGTAAAAGCTTGAACTGGAGAGGGGAGGAACGATGGGGAGAAAATAATGGAGACCCCTAAAGAGAATCAGCAAGTCCTTGCCCAAATAGAAATAAATTTCCTACTATTTTTCTCGGCCTTTCAGGCAACCTTCACTGTGTTTTCATCATTGTGCTTCCCGAGGGGGCTTATTGTTTTGTTAGAAGTCACTTGACAGACACACAGCAAAGGCTATTTGCATTTGGAGGTCCCGAAATGATTCTTTGGTTTGCTAAAGGTAGACCCGTGTCTGTCATTCACATCTGTAGTTTTAGTTTGTAAAGGTCTCAATTTCAACAGGAAGTTCTTTTCCTTAAGTGATTTCCCTAGATTCTGATTTGAGAATTAAGTTACTTCAAGAAATAGTTGAGGTTCATGATCTAGGAGACCTGGATCCAGGTCTCAACCTTAGCTACATTTCTAAAATGGTCTGGTTATAACTTTAATTTATTCACAATTTAAAATTAATTGTAAACATTAAATTAAGCATTTTTACTTTATAAAACTTACAAAATAGTGTTTCATCTCAACGACATTATACAGTTTGTCCACTTGGTGGCATCCAAATATTGAGGCACCATTTGCTTTAAACCTGTAATTCACCTTTTAACACTTCAGGGCTTTAGACAATTATGTGTTACTATTTTAAATTATAATCATGAAAACTATATAGAAAAATGTAAAATTGTGATATAAAAATGTGTAGAATATAAATGTACATGTATTTGCAATTATACAGTATATAATCGTGTATAGAGTAATGATCATTATCTGGAGTATGTATGAATACAGATACAAATGGAAAGGAAATAAGCAAAAATGAAAATGTTAGTTTTTCTCCAAAATTTCTTAAGTGATTTTTGCTTTTGTTTTGTTTTATTCTCCAGCTTAGGATAAGTTAGTTTTCTCAAACATTTCTAAATTATTTTTGGTTTTGTTTTTATTTTTTCCAGCTGTATTGAGGTGTAATTTCTACAGATAAAATTCATGCATTTTAAGGGGGAGTTTGGTGAATTTTGGTAGTTGTTTACAGTTGTATAACCATGGCCACAATCAAAATATAGTTCTATCACCCTAAAAAGTATTCTCATACCCCTTTCCCATAAATCCTTTTTTCTTCCCCTTGGCCGCAGGCAACCAGTGACCTACTTTCTGTCATACTTTTATGGTTTTTTTAGAATCTCATATGGATGAAATCATGCAGTAGTATATAGTCTTCTGTGGCTGGCTTTATTTTGTATAATGTTTTTGAGAGCCATTCCTATTGTTGCATGCATTAATATTTTGTTCCTTTTTATTGACTTGTATTCCACATTGTGGGTAAACCACAATTTGTTTATCCATTATCAGTTGATGGACATTTAGTTTGTTTCCACTTTGGGCCTACACAAGTCTTTGTAGACATAGTTTTTCCTTTTTCTTGGGTAAATACCTGAGAATAGTATTGCTGGGTTGTAATAAGTGTATGCTTGACTCTTAAATGCTTTTTAAAATTTATTAATAAAAAAATCAGTGATTTAAAAGACACTAATTTTTGCCAAGCAGATCAGAACAGATGGAACAAATACGGTGAGACTGAGTTTAAATAAGCTCTCATTAGAATGCTTGTAATACATCCTGTCTAGAAGGCAGCTGGACAATCACTTATAGAGGCTTAAAATTACTCATACCTTTTCACTTAGTTTTTCTATTCTTAGGAATTTACCATAGAGAAATAATCACATAAATACACAAAGATTTGTATACAGTAATACTCACTAAAGCTTTTAGATTATCATAAAATATTGGAAACAACTCAAATATTTAGTTCTGGGAAATTAATTATGTAAAAACGATAATCTCAATGAACTGACTCCATTCAGCTATTACAACTTCCATTTTTAAAGAAAGTTGAAGAACTTGGAAAATTGCTTACATATAGTATTAAGAAGAAAACAGCCAGGTAGAAAATTTTACAAGTGTGTGCGTGTGTTCTTATATGTACCTGCATAAGGAAAAAACTATAAGGCGATGTAACAAATTTTCAGTAGTGGTTGTACTTGGGTGGTAGGTAATCTAGACTCTTGATTTGAAAAAAAATTTATCTTTTCCTAATATCTAAGTCATTAAATTTACCCCCTCCCCCAAAAAAATGGATGACTTTGGGAGGCCAGTGTGGAAAGGACGCAGTCTGTTAGAGAAATGGGCTCAGGACTGGAGGTCAGGAGAGACAGAGGTCTCAGCTTTAGCTACGGGACCTTAACAAATCATCTTTGGGGCTTTGTTTTATGTATTGGTAAAAGAAAGGGTTCAACAAAATTAGCTGGTTTCAAATCATGTTCTGAGACCTCACAGGCTACAGTGGTTGGGTGCTTAGTTATTTGTCCTTGCAACAACTCAAGCAAGGTTTTGGGGTGTAATGTGTGTTTTGGGGTTTAATGATTAGAATCCCATGGAAACCCTAGGACTTTTACTGTTTTTTCTTTTTTAAATGAGTTCCACTGTTTGAAATCCTATGATTTCTTGGTGCTGCTTTGTAATAGACAAACGCTGGAGATCAAGGTAGAGAAAAAGACAGATCAACCAAGGATTAACTCAGAATCTTGTCAACATTTGCCATTTATTCTCTTACCAAATTTATAATTTAAGGAGGCCTATTTATTTGCCTTTCATTTTCATTTGAGGTATTGTGCCTATCTTTTCTTTTTGTGCTTCCCCACTTTCCTCTTTTTTCTCTTTCTTTTTTTCTTTTTTTTTTTTTTGAGACGGAGTTTCGCTCTTGTTGCTCAGGCTGGAGTGCAATGACATGACCTCGGCTCACTGCAATCTCCTCTTCTCAGGTTCAATTGATTCTCCTGCTTCAGCCTCTGGAGTAGCTGGGATTACAGGCATGCATCACCACACTCAGCTAATTTTTGTAGTTTTATTAGAGATGGAGTTTCACCATGTTGGCCAGGCTGGTCTTGAACTCCTGACCTCAGGTGATCCACCCGCCTCTACCTCCCAAAGTGCTGGGATTACAGCCGTGAGCCACCGCACCCAGCCTCTTTGTTTTAAATACAGTGGTTAGTGTGTGGTCATTTAGCAGAACAAAATTGATGGATTAACTTGAAGGAAAGTTTCCACAAAAATTCAATATGTTAATTACATTAAATATATATGCATTTATTAGAAATCTATAGTTATGGAAAGCTAGAGCAATTGTCTTGATCTAGAGCCATGGTCCTCAAACTTCACTGTGCATCAAAATTGCTTTTTGGTGGGCTTGTTAAAGCACGGTTAGCAGGGCCCCACTCATTACTTTCTGATTCATTAAATCTGGGGTGGGGCCCAAGAATTTGTATCTCTAACAAACATGCTTAGGTGATGTTGATGCTGTGTTCTGGGGACCACACTTTGAGAACCATTGATATACAGAGAACAAGGGTAAGAAAGGAGATAATTTTTGCTAGTTTTGATTTTTTTTACACCTGACACGCAAACACTACCTATAGTCTTTTTTTTTTTTTTTTTTTTTTTTTTTGAGACAGAGTCTTGCTTCTTCACCCAGGCTGGAGTACAATGGTGCAATCTTGGCTCGCTGCAACCTCCGCCTCCTGGGTTCAAGCAATTCTCCTGCCTCAGCCTCCCAAGTAACTGGGATTACAGGCACAAGGCAGCACACCCGGCTAATTTTTGTGTTTTTAGTAGAGACGGGGTTTCACCATGTTGACCAGTCTGGTCTCGAACTCCTGACCCCAAGTGATCCACCTGCCTCTGCCTCCCAAAGTGCTGGGATTACAGGCGTGAGCTACCGCACCCAGCTGCTATAGTCTTAAAGATATTTTTGTAAATCAGTTATGAAAGGCATGGTTAAAATGCATACACATATGGTTGCACAACCTTGTGAATATTCTGAAAAACACTGAACTATACACTTTAAAGTGGTGACTTTTGTGGTATGCAAAGTCTGTCTCTGTCTTAAAAAAATACATGTTGAATTTTTGTATTCCCTTTTCCCATTTGTAACCATATTCCAATTATTCAGCCTATTCTCACTCCCACTGCTCAAATGTTTGCTTTAAAACAACAACAACAACGAAAGAAGAAGATGAAGAACATTTATTTAGTTTCTACTTCTTATAGGAAAGGAGGGAGAAAAGGGAATTTCCAATGGTCAAGGTTCCAATCAGCACTTTTGGAACCAATTACGAGTGGGAAGGGAGTGTAGAAGGTTAACATACCTAAAACGCAATTTGGGACTTAGCGGCACATTTCTCTACAAACTTAACACTGTATCCTGGTGAGTTGACTGTGGAAGTTCATTAGCTTTATGCATTTTAATGTTCGTATTCTATGAAGCCTCCCAGACTACTGCAGTGCAATGGATTTAGCAGTGCAATGCAGAATTACTTGGCCAAACCAGATTGCATTGGCTAAACTAGGGAGGGGAGCATCCTATAAAATGCTATATATTTGCACATGCATGTGGCTAGCAGCCTGCCTGTTTCTGAACTAAGAACTCCTGTTCTCATGTGCATGTTTCTGGCATGATGCTGAATGTGTGTGCTGTTATTCAAAGACCAAGAGACTAAAGGCTCTCTCTCTCTCTACCTTCCCCAGCTGGAATGGGCACAGGGAATTATCCAGCTGGGAGTGTCAACTCTGGAACCTAATGCTCCGTTTTCCTTTCTGTAATGAACCCTGGTCCTGTTCCTGTGGCTGTGCTGGGCTGTGTTAGCCACTTTTAACAATTCTAATTCTGCCTAAAGACCTTGGTCTATTTGTTCTTTTGGAGTTGTGGCTTTTAAAAAACCTTAGTGGTTTTATTTGTCTTTCTCTTCATTTTATCTTCTTCACTTTGTAATTTATTTTTACCCGCTGTGAACATTTATATGAACATGTTTCAAAAGAGCAGAGTGACCTGCCTTACATAGGAGGCCTACGCACATGTCTAAATTGAGCTTCCTTTTTACCTGCTAGACAAGTTCTGTGGGTCACCTTCTTGAAGCCTGTTAATGTGCAGTTATTCTGTCTGTCCTTTGCAAAGCTTTTATGATGGACACAGCTTTCTGTTTATCAGGGTTAGAGAGAGAGAGAGAGACAGATTCCTTGATGTCTGTGTTCACGATTTCCGTGAACCGCATGTTGAGTCTCTCTTTAGCCTAGGCAGAGAAAATCTTTTCCTGCCATTACAGCAGAAGAAGAAGGGAAAATAATCACCTCCTTTTGTTCCTTCAGAAACGTGACTCACTTATCTTTTTTATCAAAAATGTCATAGAATACCTCATAGAACTAAGAAAAAATGTGAATGGGTCAAGGAAAGAATTCAATTAATAGTATATTTGAATCACTGATTACTTCCTTTCCTCCCCATTTCCCTGGGCAGCCAATGCTGATGCTGACATACTGACACTTGCCTCTCTTATTGTATAGGTACTGCTGAGTGACTTGAAAACTACCAAGTATACAAGAAATACACTTTGAAAACAACTGTACTTATACACCCAAAGGGGAAATTCTGAATATCTTATAACTGAAGTTGTAAGATAACAGCATCCTTAGTTATAGCTGTAGCAAGAAAGAGATAGGAAATTGAGCAGGGAAAAACCATCTATGATTGTGCCCGGATCCAAAATTTTCCAGTGGGTATGCTTAGTTTGGCCCTAGGACTGGTCTAGACAAGTGCCTTGGATAGCTCCCAAAATGCCCATATGCAGTCTGCGAGGTTTTCAGTGTCCCCGGGATAATAGGATTATGCTGATCAGAACTAATTACTGCACACCATTAAGCAGGCTTTCTTTTCATTTCAGTTTTGTTCTCTCCTCTCTTTTTTTCCCATCTTTTCTTTTCAATCTCTGGCCTAAAATGAAATTGCCAGGAACTGCAGCTGTCCTTGATTCAGTGGCGGACAACACTCTCTGCTCTTGGAGCTCCCAGAGGCTATACCTTAAAATCAGCTTCTGAACTTTTCAAGAATAGTCTTACTAGGCCCCACCTTTAAATATTCCCTTTTTTTTTTTTTTTTTGAGACAGAGTCTCACTCTGTCGCCCAGGCTGGAGTGCAGTGGCACAATCTCGGCTCACTGCAACCTCTGCCGCCCAGATTCAAAGCGATTCTCCTTCCTCAGCCTCCCGAGTAGTAGCTGAGACTACAGGCACCCACCACGCCTGGCTAATTTTTGTATTTTTAGTAGAGACGGGGTTTCACTATCTTGGCTGGGCTGGTCCTGAACTGCTGACCTCATGATCCACCTGCCTCGGCCTCCCAAAGTGCTGGGATTACACTGTGCCCGGCAAAGATTCTTAACTGAATCTATGGTGAGGCCTGGGCATGGCTACTCTTAAAAAATTCAGCAGTTAATTTTGAGGTATGATGTGGGCATCTGAACTTCGTAAACTCTTCAAATAAATCTGATGTGTGCTATGATGTTGAGAAGCACCCCCAGGAATGCTGGGAACAGAGGTAGTATCACAAGACAGAGATCCAACTCTAAGATATCCCAGCGCTGTCTATGCCCTGTTACATGGCATAGATTGCACCGGCAGCCCAGCCTGCCTTCCTCCTCCGCTTGTGCCTCCATGCTCTTGTTCTCTCCTTCCTCTCCCCATTGTCCATTCTTGTCTTCCTTTTAGGTCACCGGCACATTAAATCATCTGTAGACCCTGGGGGAGTCCCCATTCTTCTCTGCTGAGTTTGCTTTCCCTTAAATTGAGGATTGGGCTAACTCTTTGGGTAATTGAGCAAGTAATTGGTGGGCCTATTGGATACGGTTCATGTTTTTTCAAAGTAGTAGGGTGAGAGGGACCACATGCCTATAACCACTGTCTTCTCTCCATTCCTGAATCCTATTCTTTAACATCATATGGGAAATCATTAATTCAGAAACTCATTCTTTCCAACACTACTTACTAATCAAGCATTAAGAAAATATTCTTGTCTCTTTGATTTAAAAAGGAGGCTGAGATTATACAATATATCTATATTACCATGTGCACATGATTACATCCAAACCTTACTCACGTTCCCTTGGACACGCCTAACACACCAATGCCAGAGGGGCTCAATGCCAGATGCGCTTATGTTCATATGTCTTTTTATGGTGAAACTGCTCTGGTATAAGCCCTGGTAGGCTTTCTGTCTAAATAACTAAGATGTACATTTTTGATAAAATGGTTTTATTTTTTAAGAGATGCCAGTACATTATAGAAAACAACTTCTGGTATAGCTGAAGTTTTGGTAACTGTAAGTTGTTATGAATTTATTATTTTATGAAAACTTTGGAATCATTCTGTAAAGTTATTTTTTAAAATAGTACCATAAGGATTCTTATTAAAATTTCATATATAATACATATGGAAAATATATTTTTATGCTATTAAATATTTATATCCAGAAGCATGGTGCTTTTCTGTTTTTATTAAGGTCTTATTTTATGTTCTTCAATAAAATGGTATAGTTATCTTCTGAAAGGTCTTGTACCTTTCTTGATAAATTCATTTCTAGATACACTTTAACAGTTTTAATGAGGCGTGATTTGCCTTATAGATTGTGCAGCCATCCCCATAAATCAATTTTAAGACTTGTCCACTCCCACAAAAAGTTTCTTCATGCCCATTAACACTAACTCCTACTCACATCCCCAGCCCTAGGCAACCACTGATCTTTCTGTCTCTATAGATTTGCATTTTTTGGACCTTGGATCTAAATGGCATCATACAATATGTAATGTTTTGCATCTGGCTTCTTTTAGTTAGCATAATGTTTCTGAGGCTCATCTGTATCTGTATTGTAGCATGTATCAACAGTTTGATCCTTTTTATTGCTGAATAATATTCTATTGCATGGCTCTATCAAATTTCTTTAGTCATTCAACAGCTGATGGATGTTTGGATTGTTTCCAGATTTTGCTATTATAAATAATGCTGCCATGAATATTTGTAGACAAGTTTTCTTTATGGCATATGCTTTCATTTCTCTTGTGTAGATTCCTGGGAGTGAAATTGCTGGGTTGAACAATCAGTTTATGTTTATCTTTTTAAGAAACAACTAAACTGTTTTCCAAAGCAATGTGCTGTTTTACACTCTCAGAAGCAACGTATGAGGCTTCTGGTTTCTCTACATCATCACCAACATTCAGTAGTGATGGCTTTTTATTATAGTCATTCTAGTAAGTCTAACTGCATAACAAATGACCCCAAAACTTAGTGGCTTAAAATCAAACATTTATTCCACAATTTCTGTGGGTCCAGAATCCAAGTGTCCTAGGTCCTCTGGCTTTCAGATTTCAAACAAAGCTACAATCAAGGTGTTGTCTGTGGCTGTAGTCATCTCAGGTTGATTAGGGGTCAGGGGGAGAATCTGCTTTCAAACTCACTCAAGCGGTTGTTGGTAGGATTCAGTTCCGTATGGGCTGTTGTACTGAGGGCCTCAGTTCCTCACTGACTGTGGGCTGAAAGCCTCCCTCAGTTCTTTGCCACGTGGGCTTCACCATAGGGTGGCTCACAACAGGGCAGCTGGCTTCCATCAGAGTGACCAATTTGAGAGGGCAAGAAAGTATGAGCAAGACTGAAGCCAGAGTCTTTTTGTAACCTAATCTAGAAATGACAGCCCATTACTTAGAGTCTGTCTACCACATTTGTTGCGGTTTTAATTTGCATTTCCTTAATGACTAATGATGTCGAGCATCTTTTTGTGTGCATATTAGCCATTCACATATGCTCCTTGATGAAATAACTGCTCAAGTTTTTGCCCGTTTAAGAAATTACATTGTTTACCTAATTATTGAGTCATAAGAGTTTGTTACATATTCTGGAAACAAGTTCTTTATTTGATATTTGATGTGCCAATTATATTTTCTATTGCTGTGCTAAAAAATTACCACAAGCTTAGCAGTTTAAATCATCCGAAATTATTTTCTTACAGTTGTGTAGACTAGAAGTATTGTAGAGGTCTCCCTGGGCTAAAATCCAGGTGTCAGCTGGTGCACTCTTTTCTGGAGGCTCTAGGGGAGAAACTGTTTCCTGCTTATTTGGGTTGTTGGCAGAACTCAGTACTTTGCATTGTGGGATCAGAGTCCCCATGTTCTTGCTTGCAAACTTGCGACCTTGTAAACCTTAAAGGTCAATCCCAGCTTCTAGAGAACACTGCATTCTTTAGTTCTTGGTCTCCTTTCCTCATATTCAAAGCTACATCAGTGCCAACAGGTCGAGTCCTTTGCATGTTGCATTTCTCTAACCCTTCTTCCTTGTTGAATCCCCCTCACCACAGTCAGGAAAGATTCTCTGCTTTTAAGGACTCATATGATTAGATTGCACTCAATCAGATAACACAGGGTAATATCCCCATCTCAATGTCTAATTTTTTTTTTTTTTTGAAATGGGGTCTCACTCTGTCACCCAGGCTGCAGTGCAGTGGCACGACCTTGGCTCACTCACTGCAACCTCTCAGGCTCAAACGATTCTCCCACTTCAGCCTCCAGAGTAGCTGGGACCACAGGGGTGCGCCACCATGCCCGGCTAATTTTTTGTATTTTTGGTAGAGACAGAGTTTCACCACGTTGCCCAGGTTGGTCTCAACCTCCTGAGCTCAAAGCAATCTGCCCACCTCGGCCTCCCAGAGTACTGGAATTACAGGCGTGGGCTACTGTGCCCAGCCAAGGTCTTTAATCTTACTCTCACCTATACATCTCTTTACCATGTGAGGTTATACATTCACAGATTCTAGGAATTAAGACATGAACATTTGGTGGGGGGGGTGTTATTCTGACTACCACACAAGTATTTTCTTCTAGTTTATGGCTTGTCATTTCATTTTTTTTTTTCTGTTTTTTTTGGAGACAGAGTCTCGCTCTGTCACCCTGGCTGGAGTGCAATGGCATGATCTCGGCTCACTGCAACCTCCACCTCTCAGGTTCTAGCAATTTTCCTGCCTCAGCTTCCCGAGTAGCTGGGATTACAGGTGCACACCACCATGTCCAGCTAATTTTTTGTATTTTAGTAGAGATGGGGTTTCACCATGTTGCCCAGGCTGGTCTCGAACTCCTGAGCTCAGACAATCCACCCGCCTCGGCCTCCCAAAGTGCTAGGATTACAGGCGTGAGCCACTGCACCTGGCTGTCATTTCATTTTCTTATTGATATCCTTTGAAGAACAAAAGTCTTTAATTTTTATGAAGTCTGATTTCTTGTTTCTTTTGTATGTCATGCTTTTGGTGTTGTATCTAAGAATACTTTGCCTAACCCCAAGGTCCTGAAAATTTTTTTATATTTTCTTCTAGGAATTTTTATAGTATTAGTTCTTCAATTTAGATTTGTGATCTGTTTTCAGTTGATTTTTATATATGGTGCTAGGTAAGGACCTAAATTTTTTTTTTTTTTTATTGTTTTTGGCATGTGGATATCCAATTATCCCACTACGATTTGTTGAAAGATTCTCCTTTTGAGGATTTTTTTCTGAACGATTATTATCTAAAGTGTGTTGTTGCTTTAGGGTCACAGTATGCTTGTGTGCATCTGTTACCATGTCACTGTGGTCCTTCGCTGAGTGCCCTTAGGGGACTAGAATCTTTCCAATAAACCACGTTTGAGATCGTATGAGTCAGCGTGCAGTGTAGCCCACACTTGAGAGTGTGGATTTATGTGCACAGTCACTTTGCTCTGGGTGGAAGTAGGTTATAGTTGACTTACTTTCTCGGTGCTTGTTCCTACAGCCCCTCTTTTCATGTGTTGCTCAATCTCCCTATCCCTTCTTGGTGCTTGCACATCTCAGACCCTTTAGCCAGACCCTTTAGCCAAACCCTTGCCAATAACAGTATTTTTGTTCTCAGTTCTGTTCCCTCTGGTTGCGGAGACTTTGAATAAAAATGCACACACCTATTCAGTGGGATTTAGCTGGAAAAGGTGACCTTCCAACCTCACGTCAACTTCTGGCTCCTCAAACAGTAGGTTGGCAGTAAGGCAGGAAAGTTGTTTTCCCATTTCTCACTGAGCAGATTGTGAATATTTCCATATGGATTTTCTGTTGTTAATGTTGCTCCGATTCTTTGTTTTAAAATAAAAATTCTGAATGTGAAAAAAAGAGACTCTCCTTTCTTCCATTGAATTGTTTGGACACCTATGTTGAAAATCATTGGCTATAATTGTAAGAGTTTATTTGTGAACTCTCGATTCTCTTCCATTGATATATATACCTATCCTTGCATCAATACCACGCTGTCTCCTTTTCTAGGTATTTTAAAGTTTTTGTTACTATTAGGAACGGAGTTAAGGTTATTTTGAATCTAAAATATTCACTCAATAATAGACACTAGAGTCTCTACTACAGGGGAAGGGAGGGAGGATGGCAAAGGTTGAAAAACCAACTTCTGGGTACTATGCTCACTACTGGGGTGGCAGGATTATTCATATCCCAAGCCTCAGCATCGTGTGATATACCCATGTAACAAACCTGCACATGTATGCCCTCAATCTAAAATAAAAGCTGAAATAATTTTTAAAAATTAATAAATAAAATATTAACTCAGAACCGTTTTCCTTAGACTCATTAATATTTAATATATTAATATTAATTACAGATTAAATATTAATCTATTGATTAATTTAATTAATTAATCATTAATCTATTATAAAATTGTCTTGGTCTTGGATTAAAAAGAAAATACAACTTTTATGCCTAAACTAGGTAACCTAAAATTGCTTTGAGTCTACTAAATTCTATCTTGTAGGACTGTGTTGCAAAGATATCAGAGATGTTAGTGTACATATGTTTAGTGTACATTAAATGTCTTAATGAATAGCTTTTAGTTTGTGCTTTGAATTTGAACAGGTTATTGTTATTACTATATATTCACATTCCCTTTGTACAAGTAACATTTCCAAAGCTCTGATCCTTCTTATTCCTTTCAGATCAACCTCTAGAATCCCGTAGACTCTGCAACAAGCCAATTCAGAGCTTGCCCAACATGGACAGCATTTTTAGTGAGGCCCTCTTGAAGATGCGGAGGCAGCACCCTGGGTGTCTTGCACAGGAGGCTTGTGTCCGTGCAGTCCAGGCTGCTGTGCAGTATCCCTATGAAGTGGGCATCAAGAAGGAGGAGGAGCTGTTTCTATATCTTTTGCAATCAGGGCAGGCTAGAGCCCTGCAATATGCTTTCTTCGCTGAAAGGAAAGCAAATAAGTGGTCAACTCCCTCCGGAGCATCGTGGAAAACAGCATCAGCGCGGCCTGTCTCCTCAGTTGGTGTTGTTGGTAAGACCATGGGGTAATGAATGGAATCCTCCAAATCTGCTCATGTAATGTGCTACCATTTGCTTAGGGCTACCGGATGCTAGGTTTCACGTAAGACACATTACTTGTGTTAGCTAAGCTAATTCTCACACCACCCCATGAGCTCTCTTCTTTAACATGAGAGGCCTAGAGACGCCAGCCTTCTCAATGGTGAGCTAAACACGAGTAGGGTGAAAGTCTGACCCTAGGTCTGACTCCAGACTGGGAATGTTTTATTCTTTTTTTTTTTTTTTTTTTTTTTTTTGAGACAGAGTCTTGTTCTGTCACCCAGGCAGGAGTGGAGTGGCTCAATCTCGGTTCACTGCAACCTCCACCTCCCAGGTTCAAGTGATTCTCTTTCCTCAGCCTCCTGAGTAGCTGTGACTACTGCCACCATGCCCAGATAATTTTTGTATTTTTAGTAGAGACAGGGCTTCGCCATGTTGGTCAGGCTGGTCTCGAACTCCTGGCCTCAAGTGATCCACCTGCCTTAGCGTCCCAAATTTCTGAGATTACAGGTGTGAGCCACCATTCCTGGCCTAGCATTTTTTATTCTATGCTACCTCTTCCCTGTATGAATCTCTCATTCCTGGATTTCCTGATGATGATGATTTGTACCACATTTCAAGGTGTGGCCTGTCACTCTCATAGCTGGGTATTTGCAATCAAGTCTCTGTCTTTCCGTCCCCCGATCCATTCACTTCACCTGTTCAAAACCACTATCCTCAAATCCATCTTAACCCTGAAACCATGGCTTCCTTACTTTTTTTCCCTCTGGAATTTTCCCAAACAAAATATCTTCCTTCCTCAGATGCTAGCTCCCTGATTGGCTTCTCTGGGCCACTTTCCTAAGCTTCACTTGCTCTTAGTCTCGGCTCAAGAACGGTCTTTGGTGGATTTTAAATCCCTTGAGATGGTAAGTGAAGCATTCTTTGCACCAGCTTAGGTACAATCTTCTGGGGAGAGGGTCCATAGTTTACTAAAAGCATCAACTTTCTTTCTTTTCTTTTTTTCTTATATTTAAGTTTTTTTAATCATAATTAAAGACATGCAGGAAAGTTATAATAGTACAAAAAATTCTCATATACTTTTTATCCAGATCCTCCAAATGTTAACGTTTTACTATATTTGTTTTATTTCCCTCTCTCTTTTCTGAACCCTAAGAAAAAGTTACAGACTTATGTGTATTTCCTAAAATTAATATTCTCATACATGACCACAGTATAATTTATTTTAAAAAACAGGGCAATTAATATAAAGAACTATTATTTAGTCTATAGCCCTTATTCTGATTTTTCTTTCTTTTTTCTTTTTTTTTAACCATCTTTACGATTTGTAAGTATACAGTTCAGTAGTAATAAATATATTTATATCCTTTTTTTTCCCTTCATCTCCCATCCCCCCCTCCCCTTCCTGGCCTTTGGCAACCACCAATCTACCCTGTATCATTATGAGATCTACATTTTAAGCTCCCACATATGAGTGAGAACATATGATATTTGCCTTTTTGTGTAAAAGCATCAACTTTCTTAACCCTTGCCCAGCTGTCTAGCACAGTGGTCTCCAACCTTTTGGCACCAGGGACCAGTTTCACGGAATACAATTTTTCACGGATTGGGGGATGATGGTTTTGGGATGAAACTGTTCTACCTCAGATCATCAGGCATTAAATTCTCAGAAGGAGCATGCAACCTAGATCCCTCACATGCGCAGTTCACAATAGGGTTCGCGCTCCTGTGAGAGTCTAATACCACCACTGATCCGACAGGAGGCGGAGGTCAAGGCTGAAATGCTCCCTAGCCTGTTGCTTACCTCCTGCTGTGCTAACAGGTCACGGACTGGTACCGGTCCACAGCCAGAGGTTGGCGACCCCTGCTGTAGCACCAACCCAACTTGGAGGCAAAGATCTCACTCCACATTTTCTCAGTCTGTTTGTTCTCTCAATTCAACTTTGGTATCAAAGAATCTGTCTCTAATATAAATACATTGTGCTCCTTTCAGCTCTGACTCTGTTGAGGTCTACCCTTGATTCGCTTGGGATTTTTTTTTTTTTTTTTTTGATATGGAGTTTCGCTCTGTCACCCAGGCTGGAGTGCAGTGGCGCAATCTCAGCTCACCACAACCTCCGCCTCCCAGGTTCCAGCAATTCTCGTGCTTCAGCCTCCCAAGTAGCTGGGATTACAGGTGCTGCGCCACCAAGCCTGGCTGATTTTTGTATTTTTAGTAGAGACAGGGTTTCACTATGTTGTCCAGGCTGGTCTTGAACCTCTGACCTCAGGTGATCCGCCCACCTTGGCCTCCCAAAGTGCTGGAGTTACAGGCGTGAGCCTTTGTGCCCAGCCTCACTTGTGATTTTTTAAGAAGATGGATAAGTAGAGTGACAAAGAACTATGATTGTTCCTCTTTTTGTACTATTAAATATTTCAGCAATACCAATATTTATTTCTAGTTGTTGTGCACTTAACCTCTTTCTCCTTCAATTCCTTCAAGTCAAGAATAATTAATGCAAATAATAGCAAGCTGGTAAGTGTATCAGTATTGTGTTTGTCAACCACTGTTTGAGAGGATTTCCCGATTTTGTTGTGAACCTTTCTTTAAAAGCCTTCAGGTTTGTTTCTGGCATATAATGTGTAAAAGTTTGAAGTATTTTTTTAAAATGATATCCACATTGTTTTGAAAAATATTGGAAAGGGCGTACTAAATATATAAAAGACACGTAGATAGAAATCAAGTAAGAGGATCTGGACGTTTCTGCCCTCTTCATGTGTATTGCTACACTGCCATGCGTTTCATCTTCGTGATGCAACCTTCCACCGCTCCCTCGTGTCCTCTGACAGACTCCATGACACTCCTCTGCCTCCTGACTGAAACCCGGCTTACCCTGAGGACCTGCATCTGCTGCCCTCTCCAGGGAATGCTGCCGCTTCTCCCACACTCCATGGACAGCTGGGTCACTTCTCAGACCATTGCGCTTTATGGGACACTGTCCTTTGTGGTCCTGCACTGTGGTCTTGTCGTTCTATCCCTTTTCATTACTGTCATGGCTGCCTTCCATTTGCTGAACACTTTAGTACCTGGCTCACAGTTACCCACTTTGGCCCAAACCCTGCTGCCATCCTGGTTGTCCTCATCGTCTCTATGGACAATCATTCCCTCCTTGTAGCATCTGGGTTTTTTGCCTCCTCAGACTCAGGGACATTCACCTCACCTCACTTCCACATTCCACACTCGCTTCTCCACAGGTCTTGTCGTTACCCTGAATATTTCTCCACTTCCAAAATCTGAAACCCCTCTCTTCACTACCACCACCACCTCATATCTTTCCTTGTATCTTTCTTAATGGGTTATTTCAACTACATCCATTACTTGATCAGCTCCCCTTATCTTTATTTTCTTCTCTATTCAGCTTTAATTTTAAGAGTTATCATTTCAGCCACTCTCGGGCCAAAGTCTCCAAACTCCATGATTCATTGCCCTTCCATTGTGCTCCCCGCAAAATCCTAACCCTGATGATCTCAATTTTTGGCTTGTTTCCATGAGCCCAGGCCCAGGCTTCTCAGCCCCGCAGGAGACGCAGTTCTGATTAGTAACCCTGCAAGTTCACGTTCTCACACCACACCCAGGCTCCCAGGCCTGTCAGGACAGGGGAATGTAGTTGATCAGAAACTGCAAAACTAACATTTAAAACATCCTTATTTGGTATTTACTTCTCTGAGTAGAAGAGGTTCCTGATCAAATTCAATTCCATGGCAGTCAAAAGCAGTAATTTGGCAGGGGAGCAGGACTCCTTGCCCCTGTCTATATGCATCTGTGAGGCAAAATTAGAGAACTATATGAAGCTTGAAACCAATAGCTAGGAGGCCAGAGTTTCAAACCCCACATTCTACCTTTTAATGTAGAAAAGTTTTATCAAAGCTAAAGTTTAGGATACAAGTTGCTATAGAAGTGAGAGCTGTTCAACCTTCTTGTTCTTGAGAGAAGTGCAGGGGGTTAATAAATTTGGAAAACTGTGTTCTTAATAATTTAATATATTTATTATATAGTATTGAGTAATTTAATACACTTGGAAAATTAACTAAATATGTTCTAGAGAGACTAAATCAGTGATTTCTGATGACTGATACATCCTATCTTCAAAACCAATCCTCCATGCTAGTAAATACAAAGTATAGAGGAGTAATATATAAGTGGCTTTCACAAAGCTGTTTTCATCCACAGTGGGCTGGTTAGGCAACACATCATCTGCCACTGTAACAGGTAACCCAGCAATCTCAGTAGCTTAACACAATAAGTGTTTATTTAATGCTTATTCCATAAGGTCATTCTAGGACCAGGGTTTTTTCCCACTAGTGGCTCTGCCATTCTCCATGATAAGGGTCAGCAAACTTTTTCTGTAAAGTTCCGGATGGTAAATATTTAAGCTTTGTGGGCCATACAGTCTCTGTTGCAACTACCCACGTCTACCGTTGTGCACAAAAACAGCCATAGAGCCGGGCATGGTGGCACATGCCTCAGTTGCAGCCACTAGGGGGGCCGAGGCAGGAAGGTCACTTGAGCCCAGGGCATAGAGGCTGCAGAAAGCCATGATGCCACCACTGTACTCCATCCTGGGCAACAGAGCAAGACTGTATCTCTAAAAACAAACAAAATACAAAACAAAACAAAAACCCAGCCATAGACAATATGGAAACAAATTAACCTTGTGTTCCAATAAAATTTTATTTATGAACACTGAATTTTGAATACGATATAATTTTTCATGTGCCACAAAATGGTACTTTTAAAATTTTTTATTTAAAAATGTAAAAACATGTTTTTGCCTGCAGGCAGTGCAAAAATCGGCAGTGGGCGGGGTTTGGCCTACAGGCCACAGTTTACCCCATCACCTACTTTAGGCCTCCTGCAAGGCCTCAGAGTCATTCTCTGCATTCTCTACATCTGGGTGGCAATGGAGGATCTTGTGGGAGATTTTAGGAGCCAATCCAAGAACCCACATTTCCCCCAATCACCACCATCGTATTTCATTGACCACAGTTACTCACAGGCCCTAACAGGATGCAAGGGATCTAGAAAGTACAGTCTTCTGTGTGCCGGCAGGAAAATGAATTGGTGTTGGGAACAAACAACATTTTTCATCAAATAATTTTTCTTCATTTTCCATTTTTTTCTTGCCTTTGCTTAAAATATTTCTCCCTATGTTTTTCCCTTCCTCGACCTGGATGGTTCAACTTCCTCAGTTTTACCTATTACAGTCTAATCTTCCTTTAAGGTCCATTTCAAATGTCTTTGTCTTGAAGCTTTTTTTGATTCATCCAACTGAATGTAATTTTTTCCCTTTGAATCAAAGAAATTTGAACTTTTCACATCATTTACTTTACCATATGGAATGGATATTGTGAATTCCTCTTTCCACCGCTAAATCAGAAGCTCCCTGAAGGTTGATGCTCTTCATGTTTTTTTTTAATAACAGTTTAATTGAAATGTAACTCACATATAAAATTCACCTTTTTATTTATGTATGTATCTTTTTTTAAATTTTTTTTTTTTGAAGACAGGGTCTTGCTGTGTTGCCCAGGCTGGAGTGCAGTGGCACAATCTTAGCTCACTGCAGCCTCCATCTTCCAGTTTCAAGCAATTCTTTGTGCCTCAGCCTCCTGAGTAGCTGGTACTATAGGCATGTGCCACTATGCCCGGCTAATTTTTGTACTTTTAGTAGAGATGGGGTTTTGCCATGTTGGCCAGGCTGGTCTCAAACTCCTGGCCTCAAGTGATCCACCTGCCTCAGCTTCTCAAAGTGCTGGGATTACAGGCATGAGCCACTGTGCCTGGCCAAAATTCACCCTTTAAAAGCGATTCAATGTAAAATGGTACAGCTGCGGCTGAGCACAGTGGCTCACCCCTGTAATCGCAGCACTTTGTAGGGCCAAGGTGGGTGGATCACCTGAGGTCAGGAGTTCGAGACCAGCCTGGCCAACATGATGAAACCCTGTCTCTACTAAAAATACAAAAAAATTAGCCAGGCATGGTGGCAGGTGCCTGTAATCCCAGCTACTCCGGAGGCTGAGGCACGAGAATCGCTTGAACTCGGGAGGCGGAGGTTACAGTGAGCTGAGATCACACCACTGCACTCCAGTCTGGGTGACAGAGCAAGACTCCATCTCAAAAAATAAACAAATAAATAAATAATAAAATGTTGCAGCTTCTATGGACAACAGCATGACAGTTTGTCAAAAAGGTAAAAATTGCCATATAATCCAGCAATTCCACTTCTGGATATTTACCCCAAAGAATTGAAAGCAGGGGCCAGGCACAGTGGCTCACGCCTGTAATCCCAGCACTTTGGGAGGCCAAGGCAGGTGGATTACTTGAGGTCAGGAATTCGAGACCAGCCTGACCAACATGGTGAAATCCCATCTCTACTAAAAATACAAAAATTAGCTGGACGTGGTGGTGCACACCTGTAATCCCTGCTACTTGGGAGGCTGAGGCAGGAGAATCGCTTGAACCCAGGAGGCAGAGGTTGCAGTGTTCCGAGATCACGCCACTGCACTCCAGTCTGGGTGACAGAGAGAGACTCCATCTCAAACAAACAAACAAAAAAAGAATTGAAAGCAGGGACTCAAATAGATATTTTTACACTCATGTTCATAATAGCATTACTCACAATCGCCTAACAGTACAAGCAACCCAAGTATCCATTGAAGGATGAATGGGTAAATAAAATTTGGTATATACATACAATGGAATATTATTCAGCCTTAAAAAGGAAGAAAATTCTGACACATGTTACAACATGGGTGAACCATGAGGACATACTGCTAAGTGAAATAAGCCAATCATAAAAGATCAAATACTGCATAATTCCACTTACATGAGGTACCTGGAGTAGTCAAATGCACAGATATAGAAAATAGAATGGTTGGCCAGGGTTGGGGAGAGGGAAAATGGGGAGTTATCATTTAGTAGGTGCAGAGTTTCAGCTTTGCAATTCGAAAGAGTTCTGATGATGGTTGCACACCTTGTGAATGCATTTAATGCCACTGAACTGTGCACTTAGAAATGGCTATGATGGGAAACCTTATGTGTATTTTGCCACAATTTTTAAAAATCAGAAAATGCATAGTAAGCATATCACCAAAAAAGAATACAATTCAATGGTTGTTAGATATTGACAGAGTTTATGCAACCATTGTCACATCAATTTTAGAACATTCTCATCACTCCCCAAAGAAATCCTCTACCCATCAACAGTCACTCTCCATCACCCTTCCCTCCAGCCCTTGGCAACCACGAATCTATTTTCTGTCTCTGTGGATTTGCCTATTCTGGACATTTCATATAAATGGAACCATACAATATGTAGCCTTTTGTGTCTGGCTTTTTTTTTTTTTTCTTCAAGATGGAGTCTCACTCTGTCACCCAGGCTGGAGTGCAGTGGCACAATCTCAACTCATTGCAACCACTGCCTCCTGAGCCCAAGCAATCCTCCCACCTCAGCCTCCTGAGGAGCTGGGACCATAGGCACATGCCACCACACCTGGCTAATTTTTGCATTTCTGGTAGAAACAGGATTTTGCCGTGTTGGCCAGGCTGGTCTTGAACTCCTGAGCTCAAATGATCCTTGCGCACTGGCCTCCCAAAGTGCTGGGATTACAGGCATGAGCCACCGTGTCCGGCCCTGGCTTCTTTAACTTAGCATAATGCTTTCAAGATTCATTCATGTTATAGTATGTATCATTATTTTATTCTTTTTTTTCGAGACAGAATTTTGCTCTTGTTGCCCGGGCTGGAGTGCAACGGCGTGATTTCGGATCAGTGCAACCTCCATCTCCCAGGTTCAAACGATTCTCCTGCCTCAGCCTCCCAAGTAGCTGGGATTACAGGTGTGCACCACCACGTCCAGCTAATTTTTGTATTTTTAGTAGAGATGGGGCTTCACCATGTTGGTCAGGCTGGTCTTGAACTCCTGACCTCAGGTGATCTACCCGCCTCGTATTTTATTCCTTTTTATGGCCGAATAATATTCTCCATTTTGTGTATCTATACACCAGTTGATGAACATTCAAATTGCTTCTATTTTTTGGCTAATTTTTTAACGTGAGAAAATGAAATTTATTTTTATTGTATAAATGCAAAATTTACAGGAAAATATTTTAAAGCTTTAAAAAATGCCAAGTGACATTGATACAGGAAAATCACAAAGCAGGAGAACTACACTAAATTAATAGATTTCATTTTAAAATGTCTCATCGTATCTCAGATTTTGGAATATTCCATTTCTGTGGAAGACAGTTGATTCTGTTGAAGATATAATGCCCCCTAGTTTAATTAACAAGTACTGATAGCCACTGATCTATTTCTCTTAAGGAGGAGATAAGAAAGATGTGTATACATTCTGTGTACAGGTAATATACACAATTTTCTGGATCCAGCCTTAGCTCAGGGTTTCTGAAATTATTTTTTTAATTTTATTTTAGATTCAGGGGGTACGTGTGCAGGTTTGTTACATGGGTGTATGTATTGCGTAATGCCAAGGTTTGGGCTTCTAATGTTCACTCAAGTAGTGAACACAGTACCCGATAGGTAGGTTTTCAACTCTTCCGTCTTCCCTCACTCCCCCTTTTGGAATCCCCAGTGTTTATTGTTCCCATCTTTGGGGCCATGTGTACCCAGTGTTCAGCTCACACTTATAAGTGAGAGCATGCAGTATTTGGTTTTCTGTTTCTGTGTTAATTTGCTTAGGATAATGGCCTCCAGCTGCATCTATGTTGTTGCAAGTGTGTGATTTTATTCTTTTTTATGGCTGCATTTGGCTATTTTGAATAATGCTGCTACTGAACATTCATGTACAAGCTTTATGTGGACATGTATTTTCAGTTCTCTTGGAGATTTAGATATCAGTGGAATTGCTGGATCATAAAGTAACTCCATGTTTAACATTTTGAGTAACTGCTAAACTGTTTTTTGCAGCAACTGTACCATTTAAAAAATTTGCCAGCAATGTATCAGAGTTCTAATTTCTCCAAATCCTCACCAAAATTTGTTATTGTCTGTCTTTTTCATTATTGCAATCCTAGTGGGTTTGAAGCATTATCTCACTGTGGTTTTGATTTGCATTCCCTTAATGACTATTGATGTTGAACACTTTTTCATGTGATTATTACCCATGTGTTGCTTGTGCTTTGGGTGTCATGTCTTAGAAACCATTGCCTAATTCAAGATCACAAAGATGTATCCATCCATCAGACTTACTCCTAAGATCTGCTTCTAAGAATTTTATAGTTTTAGCTCTTACATTTAGGCCTATGATCCATTTTGAGTTAGTTTTGTATATGGTGTGAGGTAAGGGTCCAACTTCATTCTTTTGCATGTGGATATCCAGTTGTCCCAGCATCATTTGTTGAAAAGACTATACTTTCTCTGTTGAATGTTCTTGGCACTCTTGTTAAAAATCAATTGGCCATAATTGTGTGGGTTTGCTTTTGGCTATCAGTTCTATTCTGCTAATCTATATGTCTATCCTTTTGCAATGACCACTATCTTACACTGTCTTAAATACTATAGGCTTCTTTTTTTTTTTTTTTTTTTTTTTTTTTTGAGACAGGGTCTCACTCTGTCACATAGGCTGGAGTGCAGTAGTGTGATCATAGCTCACTGCAATCCTCAAACTCCTGGGCTCAAGATATCCTCCTGCTTCAGCTTCCCAAATAGCTGTGACTATAGGCATGCACCATCATGCCTGGCTAATTTTTGTTGTTGTTGTTGTTGTTGTTGTTGTTGTTGTTGTTACAGAGTTTCAATCTTGTTGCCCAGGCTGGAGTGCAATGGTGCGATCTTGGCTCACTGCAACCTCTGCCACCTGGGTTCAAGTGATTCTCCTGCCTCAGCCTCCCAAGTAGTGGGGATTACAGGCATGCACCACCACACCCAGCTGATTTTGTATTTTTAGTAGAGACGGGTTTTCTCCATGTTGGTCAGGCTGGTCTTGAAATCCTGACCTCAGGTGATCTGCCCACCTCGGCCTCCCAGAGTGCTGGGATTACAAGTGTGAGCCATTGCACCTGGCCCCCTGGCTAATTTTTAATTTTTTATAGAGTTGGAGTCTCACTGTGTTGCCTGGGCTGGTCTCAAACTCCTGGTTCCAAGTGATCCTCTCACCTTGGCCTCCCAAAGTGCTGGGATTACAGGCACGAGCCACCTCACCCAACCTTGAATAGTTTTGTCATACAATTTGAAATTGGGAAGAGTGAATCCTCCAACTTTGTTCTTTTTCAGTATTGTTTTGGCTCTTCTGGATTTCTTGCATTTCTATGTGAATTTTAGGATCAGCTTATTGATTCTGCAAAAAACCAGCTGGGATTTTTATAGGAATTGTGTTGGTTCTTCACATCAATTTGGGTAGTATTACCACCTTAACAATATTAAGTTGTCTGATACAAAAACATTTAATGTTTTTCCATTTATTTGGTCTTACTTAATTTCTATTAACAATGTTTTGTACTTTTTAGTGTACAAATCCTCCTATTCTTTGTTAAATTTCTTCCTGTGTATTATTCTTTTTGATGCTATTGTAAGTAGAATTGTTTCTTTTAATTTTATATTCAGATTGTTTATTTCTAATATATAGAAATATACTTGATTTTTGTATATCAATTGTGTACCTACAATCTCGTTGGACTCATTTATTAGTTTGTATAGCTTCTATTTGTGTGTGTGAATCTGACTAATTTTTATATCCTCTGAAACACTTAAGAGAGTGCAGAGTCTTAACTAGTACTCAATCCATTTGTGTTTCTTGACTCAATCTCTTTAAATGCCACATTGTCACATAAGCCTTCCATCCAGTGAATAATTTATCAGTTCCCAATACCACTGAATCATTCTTTTTCTCCTTTGATTTTTATCTGCAGGCTTGGGAACAATGGGCCGAGGCATTGTCATTTCTTTTGCAAGGGCCAGGATTCCTGTGATTGCTGTAGACTCGGACAAAAACCAGCTAGCAACTGCAAACAAGATGATAACCTCTGTCTTGGAAAAAGAAGCCTCCAAAATGCAACAGAGCGGCCACCCTTGGTCAGGACCAAAACCCAGGTTAACTTCATCTGTGAAGGAGCTTGGTGGTGTAGATTTAGTCATTGAAGCAGTATTTGAGGAAATGAGCCTGAAGAAGCAGGTCTTTGCTGAACTCTCAGCTGTGTGCAAACCAGAAGCATTTTTGTGCACTAATACTTCAGCCCTGGATGTTGATGAGATTGCTTCTTCCACTGATCGTCCTCACTTGGTCATTGGCACCCACTTCTTTTCGCCAGCTCATGTCATGAAGTTGTTAGAGGTTATTCCCAGCCAATACTCTTCCCCCACTACCATTGCCACTGTTATGAACTTATCAAAAAAGATTAAAAAGATTGGAGTCGTTGTAGGCAACTGTTTTGGATTTGTGGGGAATCGAATGTTGAATCCTTACTACAATCAGGCATATTTCTTGTTAGAAGAAGGCAGCAAACCAGAGGAGGTAGATCAGGTGCTGGAAGAGTTTGGTTTTAAAATGGGACCTTTTAGAGTGTCTGATCTTGCTGGGTTGGATGTGGGCTGGAAATCTAGAAAGGGGCAAGGTCTTACTGGACCTACATTGCTTCCAGGAACTCCTGCCCGAAAAAGGGGTAATAGGAGGTACTGCCCAATTCCTGATGTGCTCTGTGAATTAGGACGATTTGGCCAGAAGACAGGTAAGGGTTGGTATCAATATGACAAGCCATTGGGTAGGATTCACAAACCTGATCCCTGGCTTTCCAAATTCCTATCACGGTATAGAAAAACCCATCACATTGAACCACGTACCATTAGCCAGGATGAGATCCTTGAACGCTGCTTATATTCACTTATCAATGAAGCATTCCGTATCTTGGGAGAAGGGATAGCTGCTAGCCCAGAGCACATTGATGTTGTCTATTTACATGGATATGGATGGCCAAGGCACAAGGGCGGGCCCATGTTCTATGCTTCCACAGTTGGGTTGCCCACAGTTCTAGAGAAATTGCAGAAATATTACAGGCAGAACCCTGATATTCCCCAACTGGAGCCAAGTGACTATCTAAAAAAACTGGCTTCTCAGGGAAACCCTCCCCTGAAAGAATGGCAAAGCTTGGCAGGCTCCCCTAGCAGTAAATTGTGATTCAGTCTTCCAGATTATGCCTCACATGCTAGCATCAGGTAATGCTGACTGAATTTCAGTGAAATTAAATCAAAAATCCAAAGTAAGATTGTTCTGAAATACAAAGCAAAATAAATAATCATTAGAATCTTCTGTGTAACGACTCTAATGGTCAAATCTTTAGGAATGTGCTTCCTATGCCTCTGAATCTGTCCTTATCAGATAAATTCAATGCATGAACTTGTGTGAATATAATACCATAATAGCTAATGAAAGAGGCTCAGGCATAAGTTGAGATTCTCAAATGCTTTTATCATTGGATAAATGTGTCATCAATTAATAAATGATAAATGCAGCTAAGTCATACATTCATTTTGACTCCTTTCAATGTCACACACATAGTATTGATCAGAAATCTTATGAATCATACATACACTCAACAAACATTAAAGTTGTAGGAAAAAGACAGTTGGAAATTGGTAAGGGAACTGAGTACTTCAAACCAGCACAGGGAACTTAGGTTAGTGTGGCAAGCCTTTCCTCTTCTGGTCTTTCCTCTTCTGTTTATGGAGAAATAATAGAAAGTAGTAAGTCGTTAACTTAGTGTAAGAAGGGTCTTAGAGAACATCTAACCTTCTAGGATTTCCCAATTCTGTGATAGAGTAATGACACCAGTTTTCCTGTCATGACAAGCCTCTGTGATGTTACATATGGAAATGGTTGAATCTTGAAAAATCTAAAATTGTTGCAAAACATATTTTGTATGATTTTGTTGTAAGAGTTCTTCTCTTTTTACTTTTTGCCTTGTGTAGTTAAAAATTAAGGGGCTGGTCAATACAAAAACTTGTACACAAATATTTATAGCAGAATTATTCATAATGGCCAAAAGCTGAATACAACCCAAATGTCTATGAACTAATGAATAGATAAACCAAATCTGGTATATCCATACAATGGACTATATTATTCAGCCATAAAAAGAAATAAAGGGCCAGGCACAGTGGCTCACACCTGTAATCCCAGCACTTTGGGAGGCTGAGGCAGGAGGATTGTTTGAGGCCAGAAATTTGAGACCAGCCTGGGCAACATAGCAAAACCCTGTCTCTACAAAAAATACTTTCCGTACATTAGTGGTTGCCTAAGGCTAGAATTGGGGGTGATGAATGGGGAGTACAGGATTCATCTAATGGGTACAGGATTTCTTTATGGTTCATGAAAATGGTCTAAACTTATTGTGGTAATGGTCACATAACAATATATTAAAAACCATTGAGTTGTATATTTTAAGTGGGTGAATTATATGGTATGTGAATTATATCTCAATAAAGTTGTTAGTAAATAAATGGGGCTGAAGATGTTATCCTTCATTGTGGTGTAAATGAACTTTCACAATATTTTCACCTGTGAACCCAAATAAAATGATTAAAGTTCTGATGGAAAAATCTTGAATGGAGTATAAGTTTTCCGTTGTTAAAAAGCAAACAAAAAACCAACAAAAAATCCAAGTGTGCCTTGAATTGTACAGAGCACAATTATTATGTTTGAAATGTGTACTACTTAATTTTATATAATTTGGTTTGTGAAATTAAAGACATCAATAAAAATGATTCCTGAAAGTAGTAATTTTGTCTCCAAAGTGACTTGCTTTCAAATCAGTGTTAAAAAAAACCCACTAACTTTTTCTTCAAACCTGGAATTAATTTTGAGTTCTTACAACTTATTTTCACCCTACAGTGGCCTCTAGATTAAGGGGGTTTTTTTTGTTTTTTTGTTTTTGTTTTTGTTTTTTTCTGACTGGAGTCTTGCTCTGTCGCCCAGGCTGGAGTGCAGTGGCGCTATCTCAGCACGCTGAAAGCTCTGCCTCCCAGGTTCACACCATTCTCCTGCCTCAGCCTCCTGAGTAGCTGGGACTACAGGTGCCCGCCACCACGCCTGCCTAATTTTTTGTATGTTTCAGTAGAGACAGGGTTTCACCATGTTAGCCAGGATGATCTCAATCTCCTGACGTCATGATCCACCTGCCTCGGCCTCCCAAAGTGCTGGGATTACAGGCGTGAGCCACCACGCTTGGCCTAGATTGAGATTTTGAAACTAGAGGGTCTATGAATAGGTTTTATGAGTCAATAACCCCTGAAATGTTATGATAAAGTTTGTGTACATGTATCTGAGTACATTTCTTGGAAAAGGTACCATATCTCACATCATATTCTAAAAAGTATCATGACCCGACCAGGCGCAGTGACTCACGCCTGTAATCCCAGCACTTTGGGAGGCCAAGGCAGGTGGATCATGAGGTCAGGAGATCGAGACCATCCTGGCTAAAACGGTGAAGCCCCACCTCTACTAAAAATACACAAAATTAGCCGGGTGTGGTAGAAGCACCTGTAGTCCCAGCTACTTAGGAGGCTGAGGCAGGAGAATCACTTGAACCTGGGAGGCAGAGGTTGCAGTGAGCCGAGATCATGCCACTGTACTCCAGCCTGGGCAACAGAGTGAGACTCTGTCTCAAAAAAAAAAAAAAAAAAAAAAAAGTATCATGACCCAGTAAAGGTTAAGGACCAATAGAAAATGGCAAGAGCAGCCTGGCAAGGTGGCTCATGCCTGTAATCCCAGCACTTTGGGAGGCCAAGGTAGGCAGATCACTTGGGGTCAGGAGTTTGAGACCAGCCTGGCCAACATGGTGAAACCCCGTCCCTACTAAAAATACAAAAATTAGCCAGGCGTGGGGCGCATGCCTGTTAGTCCCAGCTTCTCGGGAGGCTGACGAAGGAGAATCCCTTAAACCCGGGAGGCAGAGGTTGCAGTGAGCCAAGATTGTGCCACTACATTCCAGCCTGGGTGACAGAGAAAGACTCCATCTCAAGAAAAAAAATGAGAAAGAAAACAGGAAGAAGAAAATATGAGTTCATTCCTTCTTATTTTACATCAAATGAAGCCAAACTAATTCGAATTTGCTGGGTCCCACATATAATAGTAGTTAATATGATGAAATTTTCAGGATATCCTCTCCTGTCCTTGAACATATACTTGCTTAAATGGCTGATTTTGTTAATAATTTTAAAACTTAAAAAAAAAACTTTGGATTTTGTTTTAAAAAATATGTTCTAATGATCATTGACTCTGATGGGAATTATATATTGGAAACACCCTTGAAGCTGTAAGACTCCCAGCTTGAAAGATGCTCTTAATGATAGTACTTAAATCAGTAAAGCCACCATGCAGCTGCAGTTGCTCTCTATTTACTTTCAGCAGGAACAGGTGTGCATGAGAGCAATTAAAGTGAGGAATCCTAAATTCCCCTGATTAATGATGTTACAGAATTCTTTATGCAAATCACACTCTACTGCACTGTAGGAACCTAAAATTTCAAGGTCTTAGATTTGTCTTTAAAACAGATACCTAGAAATCAGAAATATTGCAGCCTCACTAGATTATCTGAACCTTTTTGGTAGCCATTGATAAGATTAAATCAAGTTCTCTGGACTATGTTTAAAAGCAGCTTTCTGCAAGAACAGAATAGTTCTTGACTATTCTTGGGACTGTCAGTGCCATCTGCTTATCTTACCAGCTTATACGTATTTTGAGATTAACAGACAAGTTACACTGCTTCCAGGCAGGACAGCAGCATTCACAACTCCAGCGGACACCATTCATACTGTGTACCAAGGGGTTGTCATCCACATAGAAAAGATATGAATGACATCCCCAGGAATTGTATAATGCCTAGTTTTGTTTCCAGGACACTCTGTGTGGCAGTTTCAAGCCAAAAACTCTTCTGGTTATTGCTGTATCTTTCTAAATAATAGTTGACAAAAGTGGCTGAGAAAACCTCTGTTTAGACTGGATCACCAATGGGACCAAATTTGGGACAAAATGGGACAAAATGATTGCATTTTGTTTGTTCTTTTTAATATTTTTTTCCTAGCACCCTGAGAAAGAGGAATATGAGAGAGATGAACAGAACTTTAAACTCTTGTCCAAAGAATACCAGGGCATTTAATTTATTTTTTATTTTTTATAGATACTATGTTGCCCAGGCTAATCTCAAATTTCTGGGCTCAAGTGATCCTCCTGTCTCAGCCTCCCAAAGTGCTCAGATTACAGGCATGAGCTACTGCACCTGGTCCCCCTGCACATTTCAATTGAAATATTTATTTCTTCTTTTGCACCCAAACTGAAAGTAGCCTGGCAGAATGAGTGCCTGAAAGCATCTCATAAGATGACCTGAGCAGAGCTAATGCAGTCGCTCATGCGCACATTTTCACTGTACTTAGGCTATTCCACATTCTCTAAGACGACACACAAACAGTT
The DNA here is from genome assembly GCF_000001405.40 of Homo sapiens. Classification (NCBI taxonomy): domain Eukaryota; kingdom Metazoa; phylum Chordata; class Mammalia; order Primates; family Hominidae; genus Homo; species Homo sapiens. Next base: position 185,187,935 of record NC_000003.12, on the reverse strand, counting down.
GCTAATTCTAGCCATAGTGTGATATCCCTAGCATGAGATTAGGGCAATTCCACATTCTCTAAGACGACACACAAACAGTTGCTAATTCTAGCCATAGTGTGATATCCCTAGCATGAGCTTAGGGCAAAACCTTCTCCAACCAGATCCTAAATGCACATGGATTTCCAAAGCTGGCCAAGGCCTAGAGTGTTGTTGATTTGGAAATTGACCGTTGGCTGTCCCCCAAAGTTTCTCTTCTTATGTAGGGATAAATGTCCCAATTGTTAGCTAAACATATAGTTGCCCAGAATACACAACGTATTTGTCAGCTTCTCTTATATGGAATTGTGGATATGTGACTAACTTCTAGACAATGGGATGTCAGAGGGATTGTCACATGACAGCTTCTGGGAACTGGCCTTCACAGTCAGATGATGTACAGCCTTTGCCCATTTCATTTTTGTCTCTTCCTCCATCTTCCTGCCTGGAACACAGATGTGATGGCCAGAGTTGCAGCCACTAGACTAGACCATGAAGACAGAGGCCAGGCCCTGGAATGAAGAGCAGGAATGAAGAGCAGTAAAGAGCCTGGGTCCCTGAGGAGCTCATGGAGCAGCATTGCCACCCTACCTCCAGCAGTCATTTATGTGAGAGAGCAATCAACTCGTATCATGGAGAATTTCGTGTTATTTTTAAGTCTTTACTCATAACTGACCCTAAAATCTGAATGAATGCAAGTGGGATCCAAGAATTAGTACGGTTTGGGGTTCTTTGTTTTTTGTTTGTTTGTTTGTTTTCTCAGTGCTATAGGCAATTCTGATACACAAGTAGTTTTACTGATTTATTTATTTTGGGACAGAGTTTCACTCTTGTCGCCCAGGCTGGAGCATAATGGCACGATCTCGGTTCACTGCAACCTTTGCCTCCTGGGTCCAAGCACTTCTCCTGCCTCAGCCTCCCAAGCAGCTGGGATTACAGGCATGTGCCACCACACCCAGCTATTTTTTCTATTTTTAGTAGAGACGGGGTTTCACCATGTTGGCCAGGCTGGTCTCGAACTCCTGACCTCAGGTGATCCACCCGCCTCGGCCTCCCAAAGTGCTGGGATTACAGGCATGACCCACCAGGCTTGGCCACACAGGTAGTGTTAAGAATCTAGTCTCATTAAATAAAATTTGTTTTTTAAAAAAATGTTTTTGCCAGTCCGATGTGTTTTTCAACTTGATGTTTAATTACTCAGAAATTTGTATATGTTTCACATATAATTGTTGTGGGCAGACGGAGATGCCCACTAAGAACCTGAGAATAGGGCTGTAAATAAACATTTGGTAGGAAATAGTCTCACAGGCCTACTTGAACCTCAGCTTGACTATTACTTAATTAGAAATAAAAAACATTCATGAAGAAAATATGTATTAACAGAAGGAGAAGTGATTAACAATAGCATAAGGGAAAAGAAGAAAACTTGGAAAAGCAGCATCTCTCAGCACTGACTAAAAGTACTAAATCTGGGGTACATAAACTTTCTGCTCACTAGATCAGAGATCTCCAAAATGGGGTGCCGCTACCCAAAAGAGCATGAAAAATGTTCCACAGAGGTGCAGGCAGAAGATACTAGAACTACCATTGCTACTTATTTTTGCCTACAAAATAAGAACTTAATCTTGATTAATATTTTGTGTGCTGATGTTCACTGTTGCCCTCAACAGGCTGCATCTCAGACAGCTGTGAGGTGTCCTGAGCAAAGCAGGAGACATCCAAAATGCAGAGGCCGACAGTGGTATCCTCCCACTTTCATTTGCTTTCAGCGTATTGAGAAATATTGTAGATTCTATGTAATGGGGTAAGTGGATAGTCAGACTAAATTATTTAATTTAACTAAACTAACCGTCACAAAAAATTCCTTGAAGGGAGGCCCTCTTAAAAAATTTACTTATGAATGGATAAAGAAAATGGGGTACACATACACAATGGAATATTGTTCAGCCGTAAAAAAGAATAAACCCTGTTATTCGTGGCAACATGGATGGCACTGGAAGATGTTATGCTGAGTGAAATAAGCCAAGAACAGAAAGCTAAATACCACATGTTCTCACTCATATGGGGAAGCTAAAAAAAGCAGATCTCATAGAAGTGAAAAAAGTGGAACAGAGGATACCAGAGGCAGGGAAGGGTAAGGGGAAAGGAGGGAGAGGGAGAGGTCTGTTAAAGGATACAAAATTACACCTAGATTGGAGGAATAAGTTCCAGTGTTCTATACCGCTGTAGGATGATACAGTTCACAATAATATATTATATAGTTTCAAATAGCTGGAAGGAGAATATTGAATTTTCTAGACTCAGAGAAATGATAAATGTTTGAACTGATGGATATGCTAATTAGCCTGATCTGAACAGTATACAGTGTATGTATCAAAACATCGCCATAAGCCCCATGAATATGTATAGCTATTATTTGTTAATTAAAAAATAAAATTATAAAAAAAAGGATTCCTTCAAAGAAAGCACAATTGAAGATAAAACAAAGCAAGCAAAGGTGAGCAACGAGAAAATGGCAAAGCTGGCAGTTCTGGTGTCAGCTTTTAGTCAGCTGCATTACAAGGTAGAATGAGTTAGTCAAATCTCGCAAGAAGTTGGCCAAAAAAAATGGAAATTATCAAGAAGATTATTAGAAATTTTGATCGATGGCCGGGTGTGGTGGCTCACGCCTGTAATCCCAGCACTTTGGGAGGCTGAAGCAGGTGGATCACCTGAGATCAGGAGTTCAAGACCAGCCTGACCAACATGGTGAAACCCCGTCTCTACTAAAAATACAAAAATTAACTGGCATGGTGGCACGCGCCTGTAATCCCAGCTACTCGGGAGGCTGAGGCAGGAGAATCACTTGAACCCAGGAGGCAGAAGTTACAGTGAGCTGAGATCGCGTCGCTGCCCTCCAGCCTGGGCAACAAGAGAAAAACTCCGTCTCAAAAATAATAATAATAAATAATTTTTTTAAAAAAGAAGTATTTATGTACCTGCCATAAATAGTGAAGTTTGCCCTAAAAGTATACTGTCTGATATTAGCTAATAATAATATGAAACCATCACATATTAGTAACGTGTTTTAATACATTATTTAATCAATATCTAATCACTTATAAATTTCTTTTTTGTGTTGTATAATGTACATGTATATCAATATAATAGGAAAAGTATATGATTTGTAAGTCAATAAGCATTCTGCATATTAGATATATATACTAAAATTTTCTGTGGTGTGCTACCCAGATCCTCTTTCAGGAATGAAAGATTGATTAATTCTCCCAGCTTCCAGAAGTGCTGCCAGAAGATGGCCTTCTTTAGGGACTGCCTTGCTCAAGGTCACACCTTCTTCCAAAGGTAATTTGCTCCGTTCAGGCGTCCCCTTACCCCAGCTCTGCAGGGCTGACATAGTCTAGAGCTCCTGGTGGGTCACGTTGATTGGAATGAGGTCTTCCTCCTGGTGGGTCACATTGATTGGAATGGGGTCTTCCTCCTGGTGGGTCACATTGATTGGAATGGGGTCTTCCTCCTGGTGGGTCACATTGATTGGAATGGGGTCTTCCTCCTGGTGGGTCACATTGATTGGAATGGGGTCTTCCTCCTGGTGGGTCACATTGATTGGAATGGGGTCTTCCTCCTGGTGGGTCACATTGATTGGAATGGGGTCTTCCTCCTGGTGGGTCACATTGATTGGAATGGGGTCTTCCTTCATCCTGCAATGCTCCTCAACTTCTTCCTCTGCTCATTCCTGCTTCTCTCTCCTCTCTTTCAATGGTGTTAATTCTGAGATCACTCCCTAAACATTTTGGGGTTTTTTTGTTTATTTGTTTATTTATTTATAATTTCAACTTTGATTTTAGATTGGGGGTACACATGCAGGTTTGTTACATGGGAATATTGCATGATGCCAAGGTTTGGGTTATAACTGATAATTTTGCACATGAATCTCAGTCTCAGAGTCTGCTTCCCAGGAAACCTAACCTACAACAGTGAAGGTGCATGATTAAAAATGCTTGGCAGGCCGGACCTGGTGGCTCATGCCTGTAATCCCAGCACTTTGGGAGGCCAAGGCGGGTGGATCAACTGAGGTCAGGAGTTTGAGACCAGCCTGGCAAACATGGCAAAACCCTGTCTCTACTGAAAATACAAAACATTAGCTAGGCATGGTAGTGTGCATCTGTAATGCCAACTACTTGGGAGGCTGAGGCAGGAGAATTGCTTGAACCAGGGAGGTGGAGGTTGCCTGAAACAAGACCGCGCTGCTGCCCTCTAGCCTGGGCCGCCAAATGAGACTCCATCTCAAAAAAAATAAAAAAAAATGCTTAGCAATAGTCAACTTACAAGCCATCAACTCTTCAGTATTTGTTTAATAGACTTCTTTTGATCTCACCTGCCATCAGTTTTCATAAATATTCTATGTGTGCTAGAATTTTCATTCTCTATTTCATGAATATGGAATTCTACTATTAGATCAAGCTTGTTAATTATGTTACTCTAGTTTTCTCTACAGCCTTGCCTATGTTTTATCTGTAATCTTACCTTCTTCTGATGAGCAGGGTCAATTACCCATGCCAGGATGGTTACAAAGAGCCAGAAGTGACTGGGGGGCAGTCATAGCTTAACAGATTCTTACTCTATCTCTGGTGGAAGTATTTCCCCTCTAGGAACCAGGACTTCTAGATAAAGAGTGTTAGTTGCTTTTGCGGGAAATAAAATTCCCCAAGGGGGCCACTTCTACTTCCACTATTTGGTGTCTATAACCCTGTATTCTATCTATTGGTAACATAGCACCATATGTGATTATTGATTTAGAGTATGAACTATATCCTGGAGAGTGATACCCCATTTCACGGGGCATCATTTCAAAACTGGCACCTCAACAGTACCTGCAAAGATATATCCCATTGCTCTAATAGGAAGGCTAGCGGCTTCTATGTAGTACAATATGTGATTGGACTAGAGGATCCCATAGTCGTCCATCCACTTCTATACCTCTTTTGTCCTTTTGTTCCAAAGTATGTCCTTTTCCCTGATGCAATATTATGTGAGGTCTTGTACCACTGATTCAGATTCTAAGTCCTTGGAGAATGGTGCTGAAACCCTGTAGTCAGAAAAGAAAAACCGATATCTGGAATATACGTCAATTCCAGCCAAGATGGATCACTGATCCTCCCAGAGTAGAAGAGTTCTGATGTAGCCTACTTACCGCCAAGTGGTTGATTGGTATCCTTGAGTACCAGCCCCCGGGGTGCAGCATTTACTAGTCTCTGGCTAGTGAATTGTACATTCAGCAACTAGATCAGCCTTGGTGAGTGGGAGCCCCTTCTGTTGGGTTCATGCATGGCCTCCATCCCTACAACCATGCCTACTCTGTTCATGGGCCAGTCATGCCAGTGCTAAGGTGGGCAGTGATCGTGACTAGCTGATGTCAGCTAGCCTGGCCGCTCTGTCTACTTGGTTGCTTAATTCACCTTCTGTAGTAGGTGTTCTCTGGAGGTCATTAATATGTGATACACTGCTTTTCACATTTCACACCCACTCCCACAGGTCATCCATCTCTAAGTTCCCTAGTTCTCACTGTCCCCTGACTTCCAATATTCCTCCTTCTAGGACTTGACCAATCATCCAAGCTGTTTACCATTGCCCACATATCCTTACCTCAAGCTACTTCTCTGAGACTTTGGATCTCTTCCTCAACCATCTGCCATAGCAGATTCAATGGTTAACCTAGCAGCATATTAACAACGTCTCCTAGAGTGCCTAGGCGTTGAATCTTGTGTCTTGAAGAGTGTTTCCATGTGGATAAACTCTACCTACCAAAGTTTATGTTCTGCCACTCACTTGATCTAGCAACCTCAGGTCTAGTCCCACACATGCTCTCCTCGCTTCTGCTGATAGGTGTTGGCTACGTCCTACAGCACCTTAAGGGTATGATCCCTTTTCTCCCCTAGTGATCTCAACACCTCCCTGGATGAGTTATTTCGTGACTTAACTCTAATTATTGTTCTAGGGGCATTTTCTGAGCTGGGCATGTGTTGTCTTATAGGACAGAAGCCTCTTATCTTCAAGCAAGTGAGGAGCACTAGTGTTTAGCAGGGAAAGGCAGGTCACTTCTGCAGGCCCAGAGCATTTAGGGGAATCTCAGAATTTGAGATTTTCAGATTCATTGACCCGATGTCCCCATCCCAAGTCACAGGGTCCCACTTCTTCCTAATCAAAGCCCTAACCTTATCATAGTGGACTTACCATGAAAATTCAGCCTTTTGCAGAACTCCACTTTCCTTATAATGAAGTCCCTGGCCTGATCCTCTGCTTTTTCTCCCCTGTGACTACAGGAGATGAGCTTCTTCATATGCTGCCAAGGAAGTCCCGTGATGTTCACAGATCATCTTACATTGGTAATTAATCACCTTCACATCTTTTATTATATTTCTGCAGTGCAGCAATAGCCTCCAGCAACCACTATCTGACTCCATATAATCACAATTTTCGATAGGCCTCTCAAATGCCTGAGATATTGCTTTCATTACTTCCTACCGATATCCCATCACAACTTCTGCACGGGTAAAAGTTTTAACTTTTGCAGCCACAGCACGCCAGGTGGTATCAGTACTCCACTTACTACGAGGGATGATGTCCTCATTGCCAGGTGGCTGGTTGATGATCCAGTTCCAAAATTCCATTTTAACGGTTTGCCTCTTAGGACCTCTTCTGTTAAAATTGCCATAGAATGGGAAGGAGACCCGAAGCAGAGATTTCCATGCAGGTCTACTGGTGAATGCTCTTGGCAACAACAGCTGTAAGGGAGTGAAGGAAACAGGATTGAGCAGAAGGATGGGTTGATACAGATGTAACAGGGGCTTCAGTGGACCCATGGGGAGGTCAGGGGCTTGGATAGTCCTTCAGAGATCCTAAATTAAGGCAAGGGGGATGGACCTTTGTACCCCAACCTTGACTTGCTTTTGGCTGTGGGTTGCCCCTAGGGAGGAAGGCATAGCCTTGGACATACCATCAGCCAAGATCAGTATCCTGGGATCAATTCAGGTCCTTACGGCCAGTACTCGCAGCAGCTGGGGGAATCTGGTCGGCGCGGCACAGCATCAAAGAGCTCTGCCTTGTAGACCTTCACTATTGCTCTAATCACTCTCATTATACTTTCAGCTCCTGTTTTTGTAATTTGCTCAAGAAACCTGCAACTCCCAGCATCCCTCCTCACCTGGACACTCATCCCTGTGTGGCCGTGGACTCTTTTCATTGTATGGCATCTAATCTGATGTCTGATCTTTCTCAACTCTCCAAATCCTTCTCCTGAGTCCTCTCAAACTCAACATTTGCATTAGCATGTCCTCTAGTCTCAAATGTGTATTGAACACTTCTGTATCTCCTTGGGGTCTTCAAGAGGGTCTCTAATAAATGACTGCATCAGCCACCTTTTGAATACATTGAAAAATAAAACAAAAAGTAACTATGGGGGCCAAAATAGCACCTTTACTAGAGACAGAGGACAGGCAGGAGGATGTGGTTTGATGTAGATTAACCCCATGGACTTGATAACACTGCCCTGGAGAATTAGATGGCTCGCCCTGCACAGTCACAGCAGCAAGGGGCCACACGTATGTTCTCACATTTTCTGAAGCCCTCAGTTATGTGGTTTTAAATGATTCCTTATGGCATGTTAGTTGAGGCCCTAACAAGTGAGGTATAATCAGGAAAAAGAGGGAGATAGAACTCTCAAGAACAGTTAATCGATAATTGAATGTAACGAGTGTCAAGTGCCAAATGAATGATGTAGAATGTTAATACTGGAATTCAGAGAAGAATGTACTCACTAAAAAATGTATGCTCCTTAACCTTAAGGAGGCCATGCTACCACATTTCTTTAGACCATTCATTCCCCCATTCCTCTAGATGATTCTTTCGTACCTCCTATTCTTCCAGATTCTGTCACCTCCTTCTCCATCCTCCTTCTCAGCTGATGTCCTTGCTTCTTTCACTGAGAAAATAGAAACAATCAGGAGAGCTTCCTCAAGTGCCCACCAACACATCTACCCACCTCCCTGCATCTGTGCTCACATATTCTGCCTTCCCTCTTGTTTCTGTAAATAAACTATCTGCCCATCTATTAAAAATCAGCTCCTCTGCTATATTCTAGATACCATCTCCCTTCACCTACTCAAATACCTGGTCCCAGCAATTCTCTCCCCTTTCTTCTGCTTCATCAACTTCCCTCTCTCTACAGCTTCTTTCTAATCAGTACATAAAGTTGTACTTTCTTCCATCTTAAATAAAATCTTGTTTAAAAATCCTTTTTCTATTAAAAAAATTTGATCCCATTTCCCCTTCCAGCTACCAGCTTGCTTCTTCTTCACAGCAAAACTTCTCTACTGATTTTTCTCATTGTTTCCTATCTTTTCCTCTCATTCTTCCTTAAACCTACTCCAGTCAGGTTTTGATCACCACCACTCTACCAATACTGCCTTTGTCAAGTCCACCAGTGACACTTTTTTTTTTATTATTTTTTAGACAGAGTCTTGCTCTGTCACCCAGGCTGGAGTGCAGTGGCACAATCTTGGCTCACTGCAACCTCTGCCTCCCGGGTTCAAGCAGTTCTCTGCCTCAGCCTCCCAAGTAGCTGGGATTACAGGCGCTCACCACCATGCCTGGCTAATTTTTAGTAAAGACTGGGTTTCACCATCTTGGCCGGGTTGATCTTGAACTCCTAACCACGTGATCCACCCGCCTCGGCCTCCCAAAGTGCTGGGATTACAGGCACTCACCACCATGCCCAGCTAATTTTTAGTAGAGATGGGGTTTCACCATCTTGGCCAGGCTGATCTTGAACTCCTAATCTCGTGATCCACCTGCCTCGGCCTCCCAAAGTGCTGGGATTACAGGAGTGAGCCACCGCGCATGGCCAACCAGTGACACTTTTATTGCTGAATCCAGTGATCAATTCCTGGTTTTCATCTCACTTAGCTCATCGATCATTCCCTCTTCCTTACAAAGCTTGCTTTGCCTGATTCCAGGACTTCACCAGCCTCTTTATTTCTTCCACCTCGTTGGTCTCCTGCTCAGTTTCCATTACTGGTTGTCTATCTCCCCCACCTCTAAATAGTGGAGAGCCCAGGGCCCAGGCCTTGAATCTCTTTTTTTCATGCTCCATACCTGCTGTCTCAGTGATCTCATTTAGTTTCGTGGTTTTCAATATCATCTGTACACAGAGAACTCCTAAATTCGTACCTTCAGCCTAGACCTCTCCCTTGTTTGTCTATTTGACATTTATGTTAGGATGTCTAGTGGATATCTAAGACTTAACATGTTCAAATTGAGCTCCTGATATTCTCCATCCCCCTTCCAGTCCTCCCCCAAAACAGACTTCTGTAAATCTGCCCCATTCTCCGTAAGTGATAGCTCCATTCTGCCATTTGCTCAGGACATACACCTTAGTGTCATCCTCAGCTCTTCTCTTTATCTCACTCTCCGCATCTAATCCATCAGTAAATCTCGGTGGCTCTACCAGCAAATATATTCAGAATACAACTATTTATCACTGCCTTCTCTGCTATCACTGGGTCCAACCTATTATTGCCTCTCCTCTGAGGCAATGGTGTCTTAACTGGACTCCCTGCTTCAGCCCTTGTTTTACTACAACCATATCAACACAACAGCCAGAATAGCTCTTGTATTCAAAATAGTCCGTGGTTTTCTATCTTATTTAGAGTAAAAACCAGCCTTTACAATGCTACAAGACCCTACATGATCTAACCCCATTAGCTCCCTGACCTCACCTTCTGAATGTTTTGCTCATTCTCTGTCCAAGCCAACGTGGCTTCCTTGGTATTTTCTGAACATGCCAAGCAAACTCCCACCCCAGGGCCTTTGCACCTCCTATTCTGTCTACCTGAAACTCACTTCCCTCAGCTATTGCACAGATTTCTGCCTCACTTCTTTCCTTCTGCTTTGAAGTCACCTTGTTAGAAGGGCTTTCTCTGATGATTCCGTATCAACAGCAACCATTCCCTTCCCCAATATTCCCTGTCTCCTTGATCTTGCATTTTCTTCATAGCACAGTTACTGTCTGACAATACTTTCTATGCTTCCCCCTCTAAAATATCAACTCCTTACAAGCAGTCATTTTTGGTGTTTTGTTTGTTGTTGTGTCTGGAACCTAGACCAGTGCCTGGACATCGGAGATGCTCAATATATTTGTTGAAGAAATAAAAATCTTAGTTTATACCTTGTCTTAGACTAGCCATTCTAAAAGATCCCACCTTGTGTTCTGCATGCTGGAGATTAGCCCAGGCTATGTTAGAACACTGAAGGAAGGCCGTAGAAAGATTGCTCATCCATCATCTGCCTCAAAACTACCTGGCACAGCTTAACGTAAGAAATGTAAAAGCCAAATTTCCATTGGTAACCTAACTTTCGCCTTGTCTACCCACCCCTAATTATAGAACAAATGATCCAAAAAAAGTTTGATGATTTGTGACTTACATTAAAAAAAAATCTCATAGTCCCAGCTACTCAGGAGGCTGAGGCAGGAGAATTGCTTGAACCCAGGAGGTGGAGGTTGCCATGAGCCAAGATCATGCCTCTGCACTCCAGCCTGGATTCTGCCTCAAAAAAAAAAATTTAAAGGAATTAAAAATCAAATTACATTTCATTGTACAATTTACAAATCCACTTTTTCGAGACAATAATATTACATAACAAAGAATATAAAACTCAAGAATATTTGTTATTAGAATGTATGAGTATTTGAAATATGAACTGTTACAGAAAACGTCTTGGCCATACCACTAAATTGTCAGTTACCCAACTGGCCCTCGGAAACATCTCATAATGTAGACTCTACGTTGGAAAATAAAACAAACTTAATGAAGCGCAATTGATAATCACTTCCAAGAACTCAAAGTATGGAGTGTGGGTTTCGTCTTGCTGTGTTTTGTTTTGTGTTTTTGCTGCACTGCCCACCAGATGGTGCTGTTGAGAAGTTTTCTTAAAAATTCTGAGTTCGGGGTCAACTATTAACTAAGTAATAGAATATAATTTCTATGTTCAATAGCGGTTCTCTAATATTGTTTTTATTACTTTAGACAAAATGTTCTGTAGGCTCCTGGAACTTGTGCATGGGTGGGATGCGGGTCAGTTTCATAAATAATAGGCAATGTGAGTCGGTGGAAATTGGAGATAGAATTTCAGCTGCAGCAGCATTTGAAATTAGTAGATTTTCATGATCATTATGTACTTGGCTTCCCAGAGTTAAAATATTATGTAAGATGTACACAATTTTTTGTAGCTCTTGTTCAGCCTACAAGAGTGAGCATAATAATACCATTTCAATTTTTAAAATCCAATTGCTTATTCTTACATGGTTCCTGAAAAGCTAGCTTTATTAATTCTTTAAAATATGGGCAAGAATTTTAAAAATAATAATTTAACAGTTGGATTTGTGGCTCTTTCTACACAGATATTTTGTCTATTAGTAAATTCAGGGATTTTTTTGAGTGTATGCTATATACTGTATATCACTGTAATCATAGTACGAGCCATTCATACAGTATAGCAATTAGTCTACCTGGCCATTTCCTAAGAGCCACTAATTTTAATGAGAAAATCAGTGAATATAGGTAGTCAGATTTTACCTGATTTGCTACCGTTTTAGAGCTTTCATGGAAATTTGAGAGTCAGTGACCTCTTTTATTTTATCCTTTGTGCAAATGGAACCTTGCCGTGAAATAGGCATTACACTTGCTTTTTCAGATTAAATTCCAGCTTCTTTACCTTTTACATGTTGACTCTATTTTCCATCTTTTAATCATTATTGTCACCAGAATTGGGACGAGAAAAGGAAGGCGCCATTTACATAATCACTTGGCTAATCATGTACATTTATTTACATAAGTTATAAATCTATCTGAGAGAATGAGAAGCAGACCCGGGGGGAGTGAAGAGCCTGGGGTGGGGGTTGGGACTTCCCAAAGGTCCTTCAGGGAGAGGGAATCTGAGATGTTAGCTTTCCGGAAGTCAGAAGAGCGTGGACAGCAGACATCTGGGCTTGAGGGCGCTGGGGCCTGCCTGCGGGGAAACACAGGCCACGAGATTGTCTCTGGGGAGAGCGAGAGAAGAAAGCGAAGCAGGCGGCCTAAGCAACACTCAATGTACTGCTTTCTCCTTTTCTCTCCAGCTGATGTTCCCACTTCCCAGGGCCTCCGCCGGGACGTGGGGATGCAGAGGATCAGCAGCTGTTCTGCTGGGCTGCTGGCAAGGGAGTGGCTCTAGCACAGACACCCCTTTCTTCTTCCTCGGAGGGAGCAGGAAGTTGCTGAGTGAAGCGTTGTTTCTCAACCTCTCCACCCCCCAGTTATCAGAGGCAAGGCTCTGTGTGGCCGTCTGTCTCCTGTTCCTGGGCAGGGCTGGGCCAGAGGACAACACCAAGATAAATAACCCCAGCATACTAGGGCCCTCTTTTACTGCTTGTGGACTTAGGCAACCTGGCAGTGCTAGCCAGATTCCAAGGCTAGAGGCTGGCTTAAGCGAAAGGGGCAATTTGGGGAGTGGTCTTGCTCTGATGCCCCAGAGCTGTTTGTTTTTGTGCCTCTAGTTAGTAGAATATTTGGAGCCATAATTGCCAAATGTGTAAAACCACACCGTTTTTGGGTTAAAGAGAGACAGACGAGAGAAAGAGACAGACACAAAATGCATCTTTAATATACCTTAAAATATGTGTATATGCATAATAATAATTGTCCTTTTTTCTTTTGTTTTCCTAAAATCAGAACAGGACAGCACACTCTCTCTGTCCACCCATCAAGTTCATCATCTGTGGATCACTGTATTTATCATTGAAAAAACATACACCACCCCTAATATTGCAGAGCAGCATTCTAAATATTCTGCTTGTATTAACTCATTTAATTCTCACAATACCCCTATGCAGTAGGCATTCCAGTATTATTATCACCGTTTTACAGATGAGGAAACTGAAGCACAGAAAGATTACTTTTCCAAGGACACACAGAGATAAACCCAAGTTTTTTGTTTGTTTATTTGTTTTTTGTTTTGTTTTTGATTTTGTTTTTGTTTTGAGACGGAGTCTTGCTCTGTTGCCAGGCTGGAGTGCAGTGGCGCAATCTCGGCTCACTGCAACCTCCGCCTCCTGGGTTAAAGTGATTCTCCTGCCTCAGCCTCCTGAGCAGCTGGGACTATAGGTGTGCGCCACCATGCCCAGCTAATTTTTGTATTTTTAGAGATGGGGGTTTCACCGTGTTGGCCAGGGTGGTCTCGATCTCTTGACCTCGTGATCTGCCTGCCTCGGCCTCCCAAAGTGCTGGGATTACAGGCATGCACCACTGTGCCCAGCTGTTTTTTTGTTTTTTGGTTTTTTTTTTACTGTAAGTTGTGGGATACATGTGCTGAACATGCAGGTTTGTTACATAGGTATACATGTGCCATGGTGGTTTGCTGCACCTATCAACCCGTCTCTGGGTGATAAACCCAAGATTTTAACGTGGGCAATCTGGCTCTAGAGTCTATGCTACTAATTATTATGCTATGCAATTTGTACTTATTTATAAATCACACACATATGCTACTGTAATAACATTAGTATATACCTCATGAAACACAAACATATACGGACATTTTAAAAGGCAATGTTAAAAATAAATATAAATATAATTTCTGATATTTTCTTCCTTGACTCCAATAGATTGTCTTGTAATCCCCCATTTTAGAGACCACTGTTTGAGAATTTGGAGCCCTGTGGAAAGAGCCTGACCACGACAGGCTCAGGGAACATGAGCTGTACCACTTCACCATTAATACAGTGAGCTTCCGATACTTTCCAGCACCATGCTTCCTTTTTAACACAACCAAGTTTTGCAGATGCTCATATAAGAGTTGTACCTTTAGGCCGGGTGTGGTGGCTCACGCCTGAAATCCCAGCACTTTGGGAGGCCGAGGCAGGCAGATCACCTGAGGTCATGAGTTTTAGAGCAGCCTGGCCAACATGGTGAAACCCCGTCTCTACTAAAAATACAAGAATTAGCTCCAGATGGTGGTGTGCACCTGTAATCCCAGCTACTCAGGAGGCTGAGGCAGGAGAATCACTTGAACCCGGGTAGTGGAGGTTACAGTGAGCCAAGATCGTGCCATTGCACTCCACCCGGGGCAACAAGAGCGAGATTCCGTCTCAAAAAAAAAAAAGGGGGGGTTGTACCTTTTGTATCTGTTGATTGAGAAAAGACACTATAATTGAAGCTATTGAGTAACACGTGCTTTCAAATGACTTGATTAATTACAGCGGCACCTACATAATGTAAAAAGTGGCCCACACATATGCAAGTCACATTAATTTTTCAGTCTACGTAGAATACTCAGTATATATATGGATTTGCTTGCTTCTTCTGGGTCCCCGGCGTGCATAACCTTTGTAGATGCTGGAATTTGTTAGTGTGGTGGAAAGATTTTGAGTTCACAAGCCAGTCAGAAATGAGTTTGAATTCTAGTCTCACATATGCGACCTGAAATAAACAACGAATTTTTTCCCTGCCTGAGTTTCCTTGTTTGTAAAAGGAGGATAATACATCCTTGCTTGTTTGTTGTAAGCACAGCTATATATAAAAAGTCTCGGATACATATTGACACAATAAATGGCAGCCATTATTCTCAGAAGCAGATTTACTCCGAAGCTAGCAAAGCTTACAGCTCTTGGCAGGGGCTCTTTCCAAGACTTCAGGAAGGCCCTGGCAATTTTGTGATTTGTAATCTTGTACTCTTTTCCTTAAAAAGGGCCCCTAAAATTATATACCTGTCAGGTTCTCATTGGATCCGCCGAATTACTGCTGTGCTATGCTTCCACTTAAAGGGAATATCTGAGAAACGAGGTACTATAATGACAGGTAAAGTGCCCCGCCCCTCTGATTAGAGCCAATGATGGGAGTGCATGTGAATTGCTGAGGCAGGTTCAGAGCCAGTTCCCAGAAAAAGGGTTTAAACAGCTACCCTCCAAGGAGAAGTGAAAGTGATTGCACTAAGTATTCAGCCTCATGGGGGTGGGGGTGTGGAGAGAGGGGCACTGAGAGGGAGCTGGGATGCTTCCTGACTCCCCTAGGCTCTGCGTAGCAACCAACCATGTCAGCAGGGGTGCGCTTCCCATGTGCCCTAGTCAGACTCAGAATTAAAATCTCTTAGTTGGGCTCTGAATAATGTCCTAAACTGGTGGTTCTCAACTCTGGATGCACAGAAGAACAATCTGGGGAGTTCTGAAAAAATACTACCCCGGAGATTCTGACTGACTTGGCCCAGGGAACTGGTATTTTTATGCACTCCTCAGGAAGTGTCAATGTACAGTCAGGTTGGGGAACCACTGCCCAAACTAGTACGTGCAGTTTCAGTAGGACAGACAGTGGAGTCAAAGCTAGTGCCCAGCAGTGGGAGAGACAGCAGCAAATGGCACAAATCTTTCTTAGGACTCCCGTGGGGCAGGCACTGTGCTTGGAACAAAGATGCCTAAGAGCTCTGACTGTCGCTGGCACACAAGGAATTTACAGTCTAATCAAGGTGTACCGGCTGCCATGATTCTTACAAGAGGGACTCTGAGCTCAGCTAGGATGTGTCAAGGAAAGCCTCCTGGAGTGACTTGAGTCATACAGGATAAAGTAATTATCCAGATGAAGAAAGGAAAAGTGGGGTTTAGGGATATGAATTACGATATTGCATTGAGTGTATTGACTGGGCTGGGGCTGTGGGAATGACATGAAATTCCAGATTAGTAGAACGAAAAAACAGTGAGGCAATGAACATTCATCAGCTAATGTAAAGGAGTAAAGAGACATTGGACCATGGGGCAAGCTAAAGGGGCAGCTGGACTGGCTGGAAATGTGCCAGAGGAGCAGCCCTGGGAGCAGAGGGTGATGGCACAGCTCTTGGGTGACCAGTGAGAACCACAAGTCCATCCAGCCCAGATGAAGCGCCTCTGCATCCCAAGCTGGAGAAGGAGGGGCCACAGGGCTCTCGACAGACCTAGCCCAAGAGGATGATAGAATGGGAAGGAGGACCACTTTCACTGGGATTGATTGCCTTTGGGGTCACATGAAAGGTCCATGAACTTTCCTTCTCAGGCACAGCTCTGGGAGGGCTGTTTGACAAATAGGGAGATTTCAGGCCATCCTGAAACTTAGCCCATCTCCACTGGCCTGGCACTGCTGTTTCCAAAACTACTTCATTTAGGAGCTCAACAATTTGTGTTTACTCTCAATAATATGTTTTGTTTATAAGTTTTTTCTTCTTCTTTTTTTAACATTTTGAACATCCATCTTGTCTATGATACTGCCCTGCATGCTTCCATAATCAGAAATTTGTTTCCCTTCTTCCACTGGGAACATGTTTTCCTGTTTGTGTTTCTAGAGCATTTAACCAGTTGGTTCTAGTTTATATTTAACACTCTGACTCATGATAATAACTGTTTACTATGTTCCTGGCATTATGCTAAGTGCTTTATGTACAATAACTGAGTTATTCTGCAAAAGTACCCTCAAGATACGTATTATGGGTCCCATTTTACCACTAAGGAAAAGGAGACAGAAATTTTAAGGAACTTGCCAAAGACTATCTGAGTCCAAAATACTGTTCTTAATTGCACTCTCTCTCTCTCTCTCTATCTATATATATACACACATACACATATATGTATAAATATATATGTAAATGCTTCTTTATACCAATAGCATTTTGTCATGATTCTTTTCCATACTGTACTCCTTCTGTTTTGTCATATATTAAGCTCTTAGCGTTTGAATTAATGTGTTAAATCTGTTTATTTCAGATTCAGTAACTTATTCTATTTTTAATTTAATGCTCCACTGCTTTTATAATGATGACTTTGTAACATATATTAAAATTTAGTACAGCCAAAAATATACAATAGTGTGAATCAATAATCATTACATCCTCTAAAATAAGTATTCTTTGGCATTCTTCTTGCTATTATCCAGCTGAATTGCCCTCTTATTTTGTTAGACACTTGAAGTTAACCTGCCGAGGCTTTAATTGGTAAATCTACATGTTGCCTAGGAAATACTATTTTATTCACTTTTCTAATCAGATATGGAACTTGATTTATTAACAACGTCCTCTGTAATTTCTCTGAACAAACCTTACTATAAGTTAAATCAACCCCATGTGTTTAATCTGTTTTGGTTGTACTAGCAACAATAAAATTTATTTTTTGTATTTCCTTATTAGATATCAGTTTCATATTGGCATATATACATAAAACAGTATACGTACATAGAATATATAATAGATACACGCACATACACACATGTATGTACATACAAATGTTTTAGAGGTATTAAGGTTAGTCCTGCAACTGAGCTCATTACTTTCAGTAATTTTCAGTTGATTTCCTTAGATTTCTAGGTTTGTAGTCATGTCATCTGCAAAACAGATTATTCCTTCTCTGGGAGTAAAGGATATATTGTCATATAAGAAAAATGGGCTTGAACAAGGCAGACCAGGCAAGCTGCATTTCTGGTGCATTACTGAAGTAAATCCCATAAGACAAAAAACAATCCCGAAATTACTAACACCTGATTTTTTAGAATTTCATCAAGAAGAGAATGAGAATTATAGCAAATACCTTATTAAAATCTCTTCAGATGGCCAGGTGCGGTGGCTCACACCTGTAATCCTAGCACTTTGGGAGGCTGAGGCAGGCGGATCGCTTGAGGTCAGGAGTTCGAGACCACCCTGGCCAACGTGGCGAAACCCCATCTCTACTAAAAGTACAAAAATTAGCCAGGCGTAGTGGCGTGTGCCTGTAATCCCAGCAACTCAGAAGCCTGAGGCAGGAGAATCACTTGAACTCCAGAGGCAGAGGTTGCAGTTAGCCGAGATCACGCCACTGCACTCCAGCCTGGGCAACAGAGCAAGACTCCATCTCAAAAAAAAAAATCTCTTTGGATAATTATTATATGTATACATATATTTGTTTTTCCTGTCAATGTGATATGTTATGTTATCGTTTCTTCTGTGTACCAGTTTTGTGTCTTTAGAATAAAGTATAATGTACTCCAAATAAACCTTGCTATAAGTTAAATCAACTTGTGTTTAATAATTTTTCTCTTTTTCTACCAAGTTGAAATCTTAATATTAATGTTCATAAATAAGATTTGATTTCAGTTTCCTATTCAGATTTTGAAATGAATCATTTTCTCTTCACGAAATGAGCTGGGTAACGTACAACACACATAAGCACTCACATACATTTAAAGTTTGTATAACAGGAATTTTTTTTGTTCTTTGAAAGTTTACAAAATTTTTGTAAACCCATAAGGACCAGGCATCTTTTGGGGTGTAATTTCTTGTATTTCTTTTCTGGTTATTTCATCTGTCACAGTGCTTTATATTTTTATCAGCAAGTACATATTTGGGTATCAAAATTTACTTATATATACATATATAGAAATAATATTCTTTTAAATGCCAAGTCTACTTTGTGTTATTTACATCTTATTAACATGTATTCTTTCTTTTTGTTTTGACGGAGACAATAGTCTTTTGTAGAAAAATTACTTTTTACTGTTTCAATATACTAGTCTGGTTTTGTTCCTCATTTTATTTACATATAATCTTGTTTTATTTTTCCTACTTTAGACTAACCACTTTTATCCCACTAAATATTTTAAGTGGACTTTAAGTTCATCATGTTTACCGTTTTTTTAAATTAATAAAAGTATTGGCCGGGCGCGGTGGCTCAAGCCTGTAATCCCAGCACTTTGGAAGGCCGAGGCAGGTGGATCACAAGGTCAGGAGATCGAGACCATCCTGGCCAACATGGTGAAATCCCGTCTCTACTAAGAATAGAAAAATTAGCTGGGCATGGTGGTGGACGCCTGTAATCCCAGTTACTCGGGAGGCTGAGGCAGGAGAATCGTTTGAACCAGGGAGTTGGAGGCTGCAGAGAACTGAGATCTCACCACTGCACGCCAGCCTGGTGACAGAGCAAGACTCCGTCTCAAAAAAATAATAATAATAAAATAAATAAATAAATAATTTTTGAAAAAAGTATTTAGGATGCTCTTTTAACACAATAAGTATACAATAATGCAATGGTTAAAGGCATGGGTACCAGGGTCAGGCTGCTTGGGTTCAAATCCCAGCTTCAGGCCTTACTAGCTATGCTGCCTTGGACAAGTTCCTTAACCTCTCTGTGCCTCCAGCATCCTCATGTGTGAAGTAGGGGTAGTTACCAGGATCTGCCTCATAGATTATTTTTATAAAAATTATGTGAGATAAAGTGAGCTTTTAACATAGTACTTGGCACATAGTAGGCTGTTAACAAATGTTAGTATATTAGTTGTCATTGTTATTAATTAGAAAATATGAATTATCTGTAGGAGGACTCAGAAGAAAGGGGCATTTCTAGTGAGCAGCAGCATGAAAGAGAAGGCTTGGCTTTGGCGGTTGGTCTCTGAGTGAGGGGTGCAAAACGGTCTGTGACCCCCAAGCTGATACTGTGGGTTTACACCTGGAAAAGCATGGAAACTGCTTACAAAGACCAGCTCTTGGTCAACTATAACACAGGCGGTGTTCCGGGTGATTATAGCTTCCGCTGTTTCTGCTCTTCTCTTCACCTCTACCTTGTCCCTTAATAGCCTCTCAACTCCATCGCCAGTCACCCTTTCCCCCATTTCAAACCCAGATGAATTTCCACTAAGGTAATACATGATTCATAAGATAGCACTTCTATTTTATTTGAATTTAGCATTTGATGCAGTTTTAAGACAAATTTAACTTTCATGCAGATTTTTATGGCATAGTAAAATGAAATGTTAGATTGTAGTTTTGTTTTATTTTGTTTTGGAAGATGGTTGATTGGGTAGGGGTCTTTCTAGAGGATCCACATACGCACCTTCTTACCCATCAACCTAGTCCTATTTCAATACCAAAACCAGAGAGTTTGCAGGCCAGGCACGGTGGCTCATGCCTGTAATCCCAGCACTTTGGGAGGCCAAGGCAGGAGGACTGCTTGAATCCACGAGTTTGAAACTAGCCTGGGAAACATAGTGAGACCCTGTCTCCACAAAAAATTAAAAAATTAACCGGGTGCGGTAGCTCTCGCCTGTGCTCCCAGCTGTTCGGGGAGGCTGAGGCGGGAGGATCACTTAAGTCCAGGAGGTTGAGGCTACAGTGAGCTCTGATCGTGCCACTGCACTCAGCCTCGGCAACAAACTGAGACCCTGTCTCCCCCCAGAAACAAAACAGAAAAAAAACAGTTTGAATTTTTGTCATGGGTCAAGGAAGGAAAGGAAGTTAAAAAGAGTGGAGTAGAAAGGAGTCTCTAAATGAATAACTGTAAAAAAAAAAAAAGGTAGGGGTGGTATGAGAAATAAAATTTTAGGCACTCTTCCTGGCCACGTGTACCTCAGGGCCCAGTCCTTCCTACCTCCTCAGTGAGGAAGAAGTTTCTGCGCCAGGCACGTTGACTCACCCCTGTAATCCCAGCACTTTGGGAGGCCAAGGAGGGTGGATCACCTGAGGTCAGGAGTTCGAGACCAGCCTGGCCAACATGGTGAAACCCCATCTCTACTAAAAATACAAAAAATTAGCTGGTCATGGTGGCAGGCACCTGTAATGCCAGCTACTCGGGAGGCTGAGGCAGGAGAATTGCTTGAACCTGGGAGGCGGAGGTTGCAGTGAGCTGAGATCGCACCATTTCACTCCAGCCTGGGGACAGCAAGACTCCGTCTTGAGGAAAAATAAACAAATAATAAATAAATAAGAAGTTTCTAATCTGAATGGTCAGAGTCCAACACATCGACTGGGCTATATGGCAGATGGTATTTTCCAAAATCATCTCATCTCTCATGCTGTTCTTATGTGATGCGAACACGTCTCTGTTGTGAGGTGGGGTCTCCCTCCAAACCTAGGCTGACCTTAGTAACTGCCTCAACGAATCCAATGTAGTCATGCTGCCTGACTTTTTTCTCTTGAGAGGGAGTTTCGCTCTTGTTGCCCAGGCTGGAGTGCAATGGCGCGATCTCGGCTCACTGCAACTTCCGCCTCCCAGGTTCAAGCGATTCTGCCTCCTGAGTAGCTGGGATTACAGGCATGCGCCACCATGTCTGGCTAATTTTTTGTATTTTTAGTAGAGACAGGGTTTCTCCATGTTCGTCAGGCTGCTCTCGAGCTCCTGATCTCAGGTGATCCGCCAGCTTGGGCCTCCCAAAGTGCTGGGATTAGAGGCATCAGCAACCGCGCCTGGCCTGTCATGCTGCCTGACTTTTGAGGCTCGGCCCTAAAAGTCAATATAACTTCCACTTGGCTCTCTCTCAGGACCCTTCCTGTATTCTGAGGAAGCCACACAGAGGGCCCATGTGTTAGTGTGCCAAGCAACAGCCAGCCACCAGACGTGTGAGTGACTGCTTCCTCAGGCAGGTCCAGTTCCCAGCCTCTGAGTCTTCCAGCTGAGACTCCAGACATGGTGGGGCAGAGAAAAGCCATCTTTGCTCTGTCTTGTGTGAATTCCTAACCCACAGAAACTGCAAGAGATAATAAATGATTATTGTTGTAAGCCATTGAGTTTTAGAGTGATTTGTTATGCAGCGCTAGGGAAATAACACATTTACCAAAAGATGCATTTACTAAAGGGTGTGAACCTATATGCTTCCCTTTTATGGATTTGGTTTTTGTTTTTGAGACAGGATCTCGCTCTGTCACCCAGGCTGAGTGAAGCGTCATGATGCGATCACAGCTCACTGCAGCCTTGACCTCCTGGGCTCAAGCGATCCTCCCACCTCAGCCTCCTGAGTATCTGGGGCCACCAGCATGCACCTCCACATCCGGCTGTTTAAAAAAATTTTTTTTGTAGAGATGGGGTCTCACTATGTTGCCCAGGCTGGTCTCAAACTCTTGGACTCAAGCAATACTCCCGCCTCAGCCTCCCAAAATGCTTGGGTTGCAGTTGTGAGCTATTGCGCTTGGCCCTATATGCTTCTTTCTTGTGCTTCGTATATCATTTCTAGGTGGATCAGGCCTAGCTCATTTCTTCTCTCTTCTACTTTCCCCCTAACATGCATTTAGGTGAGCAAATAAGCCAAGGCCTGCTATGCAATCCTGGCCACACAGTTCCCCTGTTTCTTAGACCTCCTCCTCTTTGCATATGGTCAGAGAGCAGGAAGATCCCGAGAGGTAGGAGGCCCCTACCTCTTTCACCAGTGAGCTCTACATTGAGGTACAGGTGCTCGGACCTTCTTAATAAAGAAGCACCTGTTTCTTCCAGGCGTGGTGGCTCACTCCTATAATCCCAGCACTTTGGGAGGCCAAGGTGGGCGGATCACCTGAAGTCAGGAGTTCAAGACCAGGCTAGCCAACATGGTGAGACCCCCGTCTCTACTAAAAATACAAAAAAAAAAAAAAAAAAAATTAGCTGGGCGTGGTGGTGCATGCCTGTAATCCCAGCTACTTGGGAGGTTGAGGCAAGAGAATCACTTGAACCCGGGAGGCAGAGGTTGCAGTGAGCCAAGATTGTGCCACTTCACTCCAGCCTGGGTGACAGAGTGAGACTCCGTCTCCAAAAAAAAAAAAAAAAAAGTACCTGTTTCACAATCTACGATCATTTATTATGCTTAGCTTCCTGGGGGTCTAATGGGAAGGGGAGAAGGGTGTGGCAAGCAGGGCTAGGGTGTTGCTGGGTCCTTGCCTATAATAGCACAGGCTCAAAATATCACCCTAATGACCAACAATGGGCAGGGAGTGAAAAGGAGTCATCAAGATTGAAAATGTGTACAAGCATCAGCCAATTTCCCTTCATACCACTAAGGGAGAAAGCAGAGCAGTGTGGCTTTGGAATCACTAAATATGGACTCTTTCATTCTCCACCAGGAACAGATTGTGGGACGAGTGGTTTTACGACCTTGAGCAGGTAACCTTATCACCTTTCTGTGATTCCACTTTCCTGAATAATAAAAGGGACATTTTACTTAACCAGTCATGTTACTCTATGAATCCACAAATCTCTCCGTCAGTTTCACAGCTATTTACACCTTGAGCTTCAGGAAGGAACATATGCATTTGGATACCCACTGGAGAAGTGAGGAGGGAGGGGAGTCCCCAGCCCTGTGCCTCCTGGAAATCACAACAGCTGTCACTGGGGCTCAGCTCTCTCCCTCCAGGAAGCAGAGATGAAACTCTCCCCGATAGCAGCTCCCTGGGGGAAGCCAGCTGCAAGGGAGGGAGAAGAAGCCTTGGTTCCACCCTCATTTCACCCCAGGTGAACTAGCTTTGTTCTGAACTAGGGTAACAATAGTGCACCCAAATCCTACACAGGTATACACCCAGGCCGAGTAGGTGTGAGTAGCAGAGAAAGAGAGCAAGGCTTATCCTTGTGCTTTGAAGCCAGGGCAGGAAAGGGGTTCATTTTCCAGATAGCTATGTAAAGAACCTAGCACCATTGACATCATTGACATTACGGTTGAAGCTAATTGCTTTGATGGTCCTTTGTACCTGAATATCAGGAAAAGGGAGAGGGACTTTTGGAGGAAGCTTCTGGTTTTGTACTGGTTACATGTCATCTTCCTGCAACAATTTCATACTGACATTTAAAATAAGGCCGGGTACGGTGGCTCACACCTGTAGTCCCAGCACTTTGGGAGGCCGAGATGGGCAGATCACCTGAGGTCAGGAGTTCGAGACCAGCCCGGCCAATATGGTGAATCCCCGTCTCTACCAAAATTACAAAAGAATTAGCCAGGCATGGTGACCTGCGCCTGTAATCCCAGCTACTCAGAAGGCTGAGGCAGGAGAATCGCTTGAACCTGGGAAGCTGAAGTCAAGATTGTGCCACTGCACTCCAGCCTGGGCAACAGAGCAAGACTCCATCTCAATATAAATAAATAAATAAATGTATCATATTTCTTTTCTTTTTTTCTTTTTCTTTTTTTGAGATGGAGTTTCGATCTTGTTGCCCAGGCTGGAGTGCAATGATGCGATCTCAGCTCACCACAACATCTGCCTCCCAGGTTCAAACTATTCTCCTGCCTCAGCCTCCTGAGTAGCTGGGATTACAGCCACGCGCCTCAGTCTCCCGAGTAGCTGGGATTACAGGCATGCACTACCACGCCTGGCTAATTTTGTATTTTTAGCAGAGACAGGGTTTCTCCATGTTGGTCAGGTCTTGAACTCCCGACCTCAGGTGATCTGCCTGCCTTGGCCTCCCAAAGTGCTGGAATTACAGGAGTGAACCACCATGCCCGGCCCAAGAGTATCATATTTCTGATGTGCCTTACCACTCCCAGCCTCCTGGCCTCCACTGGACACACACATATGCACTATCCGAGGCATGTCAATCATAGGGCCTCCTCACCCAGTCCCTTCTATGGGAAATTGTCCTCTCATAGCTCCTGCTAAAGGAGCAGTTTAGGTGGCCTTTATTTACATCGCATGATGTGCCTTCTCTTCCTTCAGCTGTGGATGACTGCTGAGATAGTGGTTGAAACAAATTCTAACTCTCGGGAATTTAATCTGGGAGGGAAGAGGAAAATGCAGGTCATATCGAGAGCTGAATTAGAAAAGATTTATAATGGAAAAGAACAAGATGGAGTTGGGATTAGAGGAAGTCAGAGTAGAAGGAAACAGACTGATACTATGTGTAAATAGAAGCTACAAGGTAGACAAAAGACAAAATAGGAAGAATAGCGGTGTTGGTGATATGGGATACCTACACGTGGGTAACAGCAAAATCACATATTCTGGAGCATACCAGTGAAGCCGCATTAACTTCTGCTGCTGCCAGTTCAGGCTGCCTTGGATCCAGCCCCACTTCCTGGAGTCCTGGATGTACTGTGACTTTTGTTCTTGGAGTCTCCTGTTGCGCCATGTGCCTCCTGACATTAAACTTCTCATCACTTAAAGTACCCACAACCAAAAGACAGATCCACATACCCCTCAAGCACACTGAGTTCTGAGAGTTCCAGCACGGCTGTTCCAGGATGACTCTTCTCTTTGAATAGAATGGCGAGGACATTCGCTGTGTGCTGGAGTCTCGCCTCCTTCAGTGGAGATGACGGCCATTATTGCATCACTATCAGAATGTCAGCTACCACTTCTCAAGCACCTCTTTGGTGCCGGGAACTGTACTTGATATTTAACAAGCAGTATCTCATTTAATCACAACAACCTTCCTAAAACTGGTGTTATTAGTCTCTTACACAGCCAAAGAAACGCTGGCTCAGAGAGCATAATTAACTCCCCCAGGGATACCAGTTAGCACGTGGCAGAGGCAAGATTAGAACTCAGTGCTGTCTGACTCCAAAGCTCTTGTCCTTTTCATTCTGCTTGACACTTCCCTAAGGAGTGCCACTCAAGCCAGCTTCTCTTGAAACTGAAATGAGCGTCGCAGACAGCAGAGTTTCAAACATGTGTGGCTTTGGTACCCCTAAGGAAGGCAGGCACTGTGCAATTCAACACGGTCCCTGCAGCTCCTGAATGCAGGACCCTTCACCCAGGACCCTTCACTCCTTGATGTTATTTTCTTGGCACAGAGGCATTGGAGTTTGCAGCCTCTGTGAGTGAAGCAACCTGAATGTATAAGGGCAACTTCTTACGCAGTCTCTTCTTTCAGACTGCTTTGAACTGCGTATTGACTATTTGCATGCTTCATATGAGTGACTCACAGCCACTATGATCTCCACACATCCCAAATGGAACATTTTTTTCTTTCCCTCCAAATATGTTCCTCTGTCCTTGTTCCCTAGCTAATGACTGGCATTGTCCTTGAAACTCCTCCCCTCCCCAGAAACAATCCCAAGACTTACTGATTTTACCTTCCCAGGATATCTACCATTCCTCTCCCCTCCTTCCTACCCCCATCATTCAACCCTCTTCGTCTCCCTCTTGGACTAGCAGTTGCCTTATCTCTGGTCTTGTTCCATTCAATGTATCCTCCTGGGTCTTTCCTGAGTCAGCATTCAAAATGCCCATTTGATCCGGTCACTCTGGGCTCAGCATTCCTCAGTGGGTCCTGTACTCGTTATTTATTGTGGCAGAACAAATTGCTCCACAACTTAACAAGTTAAAACAAGAAATATTTATGATCTTACAATTTCTGTGTGTCAGGAGTATAGGTGCAGCTGCGCTGGCCAGGTCTCTTACAAGGCTGCAGTCGAGGTGTTGGCCAGGACTGTGGTTTCATCTCAGGTTCTACTGGAAGGATTTGCTTCTAAGCTCACTCACATGGTTGTTGTCAGGGTTTGGCTCCTCACCGGCTGTTGGCCAGAGGTGTCAGGTCCTTGCCATGTGGGCCTTTCCCTAGGGCCACCCACAACATGGCTCCTGGCTTCCCCTAGAGTGAAGTCCCTGAGAAAGAGAGAGACCAACACAACAGAAGTCACTTTCCTTGTCAACTAATTTTGGAAACAACTCCCATCACTACTTTTACGATTGTTAAGTCCAGTCCATACTCCAGGGGAGCGAATTAACACAAGGAAGTAGCGGGAGCCATCTTAGAGGTTGCCCAGTGGTTTTGCTCTGGTGTTGTGGGGATTACAAACAAACGGGGTTCCAGCCTTACCCCAGCAACACGCAACAGCCTCAGCTGGAGCAGCTGGACTTTACAGATGTTTCATTTATGATTTCTGATGAGTTTTTTAATTGAACAAAGTGCGCCCAGCTGAAAGATATACAAAAACTATGGGTTTAGAGGACTCGGTCTAAACTCTACCAGGCTTTTCGTGATCTGGCCCCTGCCTACCAGTTCCGCCTCTTGTTTGACTGCTCCCACATGACTTTCAGGCAAGACAGATCCACACAGCAGCCTTTGCCTTTCTTGCCTTTCTTTCATTATACCCCACCCCAGCTTGTCTGCGTCACCAGTGCCGACGCATCCTTCCTAGGAAATGTTTTTAAATGGCTCCAGGCAGACATGTTTCTCCCTCATTCTCCTATAGTGCTTTGTTTAAACCCCTTAATCAAAGCAGTTACCTTTTATATTCCTATGGTTGGTTTATGTCTTCCCTCGAAATTTTCTCTAGCATCCAGCCTAGGGCCTGGCACATAGAAAACACTCACTAGCTATTTGTGGAGTGGATGAATGAGCCCAGCATTGTGAGCAAGATGCTCTCTGAGCGCACGGGGCCCTGGGTGTGCTTGGAGGGCTGACCGCAGCCACGCATCTTCACAGTTTGCACATGGAACCTCAGCTGCCTCATTTATAATCCATGAGTCAGTCATTGTATTCCAGATTGTTCTCCACTGTCATTTCAGCCTCTAGCTGCTTCCTGAAATGAGATAAACCTGAACTATTTTAATTGCTAATCATCAAGAGAAAATATTTTTTAAAAAATGAAAATGGTAGAATGTGTATGTTATCCTACCATTAAAAGGAGCAAGAGTGTTCTTGTTTCAAAATGACGAGAGATCCATTGCTTCCCGAAGTAGGTGCGGACTGTTGAAGAGTAAAAAACTGGGTTGTGTTGTGTGGAGCACAAAATCGACCTGATCCTACACCTACTACTGTCACATCACATCACTTAAGAGAAGCTCTCTGCTTATTGGTCCCGATGAGCACGAACACTGAGAGCGTTTACCAAGGCCCACCAGGGGCCAGATCGTTGGGAGGTTAAAGACTGGCCTTTTTGCCTTCCCCTTCTATGTTCAAAACCTACTCTGGAGGTTCATTTTTCCACTAAACATTTTCATAGATAAAAATACTTCTCCAGTTGATAAAACAAATTGATACAAAACTGCTGTGTTCCTTTCAAAGAGCAGCTGAGGGAGATAATGGCAAATTTTAAAAATTCATATTAAGGTGATCCACAATCCACCACTTAAAAAATATAAGAAATGCAATTTTGGACTGGCTTAGCGTTGGGTGGCTTTCTATTTTGCCTTTGATGGTGGCACAATGATATGTTTTGTGGGAAAGCTGGCCTTCGTGATGCAATATCAAAAGGTTAGAGGGGAAACCATGAATATTTCTCCACTATGGGTCTGTCATTCATGCAATGTATAAAATGCCGCTTTGGCCAGGTGTGGTGGCTCATGCCTGTAATCCCAGCACTTTGGGAGGCCAAGGTGGTGGAGCACGAGGTTAAGAGTTTGAGACCAGCCTGGCCAAAACAGAGAAACCCCGTCTCTACTAAAAATACAAAAATTAGACAGACATGGTGGCGGGCACCTGTAATCCCAGCTACTCAGGAGGCTGAGGCAGGAGAATCGTTTGAACCCAGGAGACAGAGGTTGCAGTGAGCCAAGATTGTGCCACTGCACTCCAGCCTGGGCAACAGAGCGAGACTCTGTCTCAAAAAATTAAATAAATAAATAAATAAATAAATAAATAAATAAAATACCACTTTGAATTTGTGGTTATTTCAGCCTGGGTCACCTATAGAGGTAAGATATTCAGTAAGATTACAAGCCAGTTGTTTAAGTTAGGCTTCTTCTTAATTTCAAAGACTTCAAAGGAATCTCCTCATGCTTAGGGTCTAAGGTTTGCAAGACAGGAATTTGAAAAACAAATTCCATCCTATTTGTGAATTTTCAGTCATAAATCTTTCAATGCATCCATTCAAAACTATTTGTTGAGTATCGTCTGTGCACCCCTGCCTCACTACTTGAGGCACGAAGTAGTAGGTGCAGAGTCCTGAAGTATGGAGGAGAAAGTGAATTAAGAAAAGGCTTCAAGAAGCATTTGAGCCAGAACTTGCAGGAAAGGCAGGATTCCACACGTGTAAAAGTGGGTGGCCGGGCAATTCAAGGCAAAAAGAATAGGATGAGAGAAGGCACTGAGGCAGGCAGGAGAGGATATTACATATCCAGAAACAAGACAATAATCCAGGGAGTTTCCAGATACGGAGGCGTAGGGAAGAAGAGGTGGGGAAGTTGGGAGGGCTTTTTATATCCTACAAAGGACCTTCATTTTTTCAAGTAGGCAACGAGACGCATCAAAGGATTTTAAGCCCAGGCATAATGTGATCAGATTTATGTTTTAGGGAGATCTCTTCTCAGCCTCATGAAGGAAGGATTGGAGCAAGGAGAGTCTGTGGACATGGAGGCATTTGAAGGTGCTGGGAAGAGATGGACTCATATTTATTGAGCATCTGCAATGTGCTAGACACAGGGTTTGGCCCTTCAAATAAGTTATTGTATTTAATGTTCACAGCAAGTGTATGAGGTAGGAATTACAATTCTCATTTAAGAGATGAGGCTAAATAACTTGCCCCAAATCACCCAACTAGGAGGTTGTCGACCTAAGCTTTGATTCCACTCTGTCTGATTCCAAAGCTGCTGCTCTTTTCTTTCCATTTGAGGGGATGATGAGGGTCTGAATTCTGCCGTCAGCAACACTGAAGAGGCATCCTCCCTCCCAACAGAAGACTCTTAATTTAGTTTCACCTCATTTGGAAGCTTCTCCATCCACTTCATCATTCTAATTGCTTTAATATGACAAATTGACCAATTACTAGCAGGTTATTTATAACCATGGTGGAATTAGTTGCTTAGTTCAATCAAGCAACCAAAAAGTAACTGAATTGTAATGACTCGATTTATCAAACTGTTCCAAATGGTTGGTGTGCACATATATAACTCATATTAGTGTTAGACCAATATATGCAACAGAATAGTGGGGGAGTATTTGACTATTCACAAATGACAGCTGAACCAAAATAATTCTAATCCCAGCTCTATAGCCAAGTGGACAAGTCTTAACTTTGAACACTAAAAGATGTTCTAGAGAAAGTTCTGGGCTCTTTTTTGTTGATAGAGAAACTGAAGCCTAGAAAGCATAAGGGATTTGCCAAGGTCTCCCAGCCAGAAAATGCCGGAGCTTAGACTTGAACTATTTGCATTGTTTTGATGCTGTTTTCCTACCATGCCTGCTGCACCATGACATGGAGTCACTTAGCCTCTTGAATCCTCAATTATTTTGTCTACAACATGAAAGGATTGGTGGATGTATCAGTTAACTTTTGCTGTGTAAGAAACCACCCAGAACCTAGCAGCCTAAAATAACGGCCATTTTATGGAGCTTATGATTCTGTGGTTGATCATGGTGGTTGTCCTGGTCTGGACTGGCTCAGCAGATCTCTGTTGGACTCTCATGCTTCTGTGACCAGCTGGTGGGTCTACATGATCTGCCATAGCCCCATTCATAGTTCTAGTGGTTGACAGACCATTGGCTGGGGATCAGCTGCTCGCCAACTGGAGCACCTCATTCTCCTTCACAAAGCATTTTATCCTTTAGCAGCCTTGCTCAGACTTGTACACATGGTGGTCTCAGGGTTCCAACACAGAAGGAAAGGGCAAATCCCAATAAGAATGCTGTTTGCAAATCTTTACCATTCTCGCTACTCTTTCATTGGCTAAAGCAAGTCACATGGTGTAGCAGGCAGCTTCTGAAATGGCTCTCAGTGATTCTTGCCTTCTGGCATTCCTGCCGTCATATAATCTTCTCCCCTTGCATGGAGCTGGACCTAGCAACTTGCTTCTAATGAGTAGAATATGACAAAATTGATGGAATATCACTCCTGAGAATAGGTTATAAAGGATTGTGGTGCTCTCTCTGACTCTTCTTAAAGACATACTTGTTCTGATAAAGCAAGCTGCCACGTCTGAACTGTCCTATGGAGAGGTCCATGGAGATCCTAACAACCGGTGAAAAACAACAGTTCCTACGGAACTGAATCTTGCTAACATACAGTGAGTGAGTGAGCTTGGAAGCAGACTCTTCCCTGGTTGAACCTTTAGATGGGAAAGCAGCCTTGGCCCATATTTTCACTGCAGCTTTGTGAGAGACTTAGAAGCCAAGGACCTACTGCAGTTACATCTGGGTTCCTGACTCACAGAAACTGTGTGTTCTTTTAATTTGGGAGTGATTTGTTACAGAGCAATAGATAACTAATACACACAGCTAAGCTCAGAGTCAGTGTGGGAGGTGACTATCCAAGGGTACAGTTATAAGAACAGTAATTATATGAATTATTTATACATACTTGCAAACAATTTACCAAAGATGAATCTTTTCCAGCCCTTTAGAACCGGAGATGAAATTATTTTCACTATTTCAACAATTATTTATTCTCTGCCCTAAATATTGAAAACAAGATGGAAATGTTCCTGTCCTCAAAGAGCGTACAGTTTGTGTCGGGGAAGGGACACAGGGAAAGATATTAATTGAAGAATTCCTTCTTTAATTTTTGTTTACAATTGGGATAAGTGACCTGAATGGACAGCGTGTATAGCTCAGTCTGGACTAGTCAGAGAAAATGGCACTTAATCTGAAGAGGTAGATGGGGGATTAAGAGTCAGGGACAGAGGAAAATTCCAGGCAGAGGGAGTAGTATTCTTTTTTATTTTATTTTATTTTATTATTATTTTTTTGAGACGGAGCTTTACTCTGTCATCCAGGCAGTGCAGTGGTGCAATCTCAGCTCACTGCAACCTCTGCCTCCCGGGTTCAAGTGGTTCTCCTGCTTCAGCCTCCTGAGTAGCTGGGATTACAGGTGCGCGCTACCACACCCGGGTAATTTTTGTATTTTTAGTAGAGATGGGTTTTCGCCATATTGGCTGGTCTTGAAATCCTGACCTCAGGCGATCTGCCCGCCTTGGTCTCCCAAAGTGTTGGGATTACAGGCATGAACCACTGTGCCTGGCAGGGAGTAGCATTCCTTTTTTTTTGAGATGGAGTCTCACTCTGTGGCCCAGGGTGGAGTGTAGCAGTGCGATCTCGACTCACTGCAACCTCCACCTCCCGGGTTTAAGTGATTCTCCTGCCTCAGCCTCCTGAGTAGCCAGGATTACAGGTGCGCACCACCATGCCCAGCTAATTTTTGTATTTTTAGTAGAGATGGGGTTTCACCATGTTGTCCAGGCTGGTCTCGAACTCCTGACCTCAGGTGATCCATCCGCCTTGGCCTCCCAAAGTGTTGGGATTACAGGCATGAGCCACTGTGCCTGGCAGGGAGTAGCATTCTTAAAGGGGAGCTGGAGAGGTGGTCAGCAGCTACAGGACAAGTTCATATTTATGATCAAATTGTATGCTATTATGCAATAATTATGGTTAGAGATTTTAAAATTTCCTTTAGAGATATACACCAAAATATTAATGGATGAAACGATTTGATGTTTGAGATTGGCTTAAAAATGATCCAGTGGACAGGTTGGGGGCCTGGAGTGGGTGGCGCTGTAGATGAAACAAGGTTTTCTAAATGAGTTCATAATCGTTGAAACTGGGTGATGGGTACATGGGTACATGGGGGGTTATCTTCATCTCTCTATGTTTGTATATTTTGGAAAGTTTCATAATAAAAAATTTAAAAATCGTATCCCAACAACACATCCTGAAAGCTGTGTGTATATATTTGAGAGGTCACAGCAATTACCTCCTCCCGCTCCACACCAGACAGTAGAAATCAATAACGTCTTTAGGGCAAGGTGATGGAATGAGTTTCATGGTACAGAAAATGTAAAGGCTTCTCAACTTCAAATCACGTGTCTAACCTAAAATAAGGTGTTTGGATAATTCATCTTGCCTCCTAGCTAAAGTGCTATATTGCATGCTTTCTCATGCTCATTTTTTACTAGCTGAGATGGTTTATTTCATATATTGTGGAATCTTACCACATGGTTCACCCTGGGGTAAAAGTCAGGGGAAGGATCCCATACAAGTATTAGTTACTGAAATACAGAGAGGATGCCGTCATAAGGCCTTCTATGATAGGGGCAGTATTAGAGTGAGTTATAGGTTGGAGAAAGAGAAAAATAGGGTAGAACAGATGGAAAGTCCCCTTTGAAAAATTGTTGGTTGGCTTGCTGCAGTAATAATGGAGTATGGATTTCTTTGATTAAGATTTCTCTGCCTTTTACTTCCGTTATTCTGAGGTAGGTCAGACTGTGAAGTTAACAGCAGGGGTGCATAGATTTTGTGTCAGAGATGTATTCCTTTAGGATTTTTTTGAGGCGGGGAGCAGTTGGGGTGGAAGCTGATGAGATGATTCTTCATGTTTGCAACTGTTTCAATGTTAGGTTAATGGGGGAACTAGAGTTTGTGATTTTGATTCAGACCTTTCTGGAAAATACTTTTGCTGCCAAATTGAGTCTCTCCCCAATCCCTAATAAATGAAGATTTCACCAGAGTCAGATATATGCAAATTACATTTCCCTTCTCAAGCCAAGGTTACATAAAAGGGAAAATTATGAAAGATTGCTTATGGCAGCAAGGATTTTCAAGCTTGAGGATGAATTTGGTTGTTTCAAAACCATGATGAGTCTCTTGTCAGTGCAAAGCAGGAAAGGCATAAAGGAGAAAGTGGACCTGGGCATAAACATGTTCCCACACAGTGTTTGTGCTGAAAGCCTTGTTCCTTGAACAAGCATTCTTCTGTGCGTTTGGCAAATAAGGAGGGGGTGTCCCCTCCTCTTCTGTGTTCAAGGCTGGGTTCTGGCCTTGTTGCAGGGAAACACTAATTCCCAGCAGTGCACCATGGGAGCAAATGGTTTGTTTCCTCTTCAGTGAATCCAGCCTGGGGTCGGTTCTCAGCAGCAGAGCCTGGCATGGAAAATCTATTTGGAGCAACTTGTCCCCAGGAGGGAAGAGTGCGAGCCAACTGTGTGGGGAAGCCGCAGCCACCACAGGGTCAGTCACACCTGCTGGCCAGAGCAGGCGCTAACACAGAAAGGCAGAGTCCTCCGCATACATGAGTCCTGTTTGTGTGCCCACCCACTCCTATGTACCACACACACCCGATTTGATCCGTATATGCCATGTGCACACTCGACATGCCAGATACACGCACTGCACTGCCACACATATACCATACACACACCACTCTGTATTACTAAGCATACCCACCCCCACAACACGTGCACAAGCACATGCACGTCCAACTACACACATATACATATTCTGCACGCCACACACACTCAACCACACACACACCACCCACACTCCACCTCAGTTATAACATTCATTTCACATACACACGTATACACACACCTCACCAGTCACTTGCATCACGCATACCACCCACCATGTACCATGAACACACCTAACCACACACAACCACACACGCATACCCACCATACATACTCCAAATAATCATACACACGCACGCAACACACACATCCCATGCACACCAAACTACACATACGCAGACACACACACACATCAATGCACCCAGCTTTGTTGCTTTCCCGCTCAACGGAGGCGGGGGTGGGAGGAGAAGGGGGAGGGGCTGCGGTCCCGGCGAAGGTTGGGGCGGGCGCGGGAAGGCCCGGGCGCACTGGCCTGGGGTTTGGGGCGAGGCGGGCAGGGGTTGGCGGTGCTGGCCCCTGACGCGCCCTGTGGCCGCGCTGGGGCAGGAGGCCCGCCCTGGGTGGGGGGAGTGCGCGCGTGTGCACGAGCGTGTGCGCGCCTCCCAGGGGCTCCATGCCCAGACACGGGGAGGTGTGTACGAGGGAGATGTGAGACGCCTGTGGGGACAGGCTGTGTGTGTGAGATCCTCGCTACGCGATGCACCCGGCCCGGGCCACTAGGAGGTTCGGGTGGGCGTGGGCCAGGTGTGCGCAGCCCTCCGTGGAGCGTGTGGACGCGTGTGTCAGTTCTCGGTGGCCAGTGTCACTCGGGGGGAAGTGCATATGTAGGCTGGCGTGCATGTGAGTACAAAGCGGCCGAGGAGTGTGTGTTCACCACGGCCCTCCGTCGGGGTCTTTCTCCGAGGAAGGAGTGAGTATGTGAGGAGGACCTCGCTGTGACCGGCGGGGACGCCGACGGCCAAGCTCCCCAGCGGCGTGTGTGTGAGAAGGCCGGGCTCGCTGAGGAACGTCGCGCGGGGCCGACCGGCGCGCGCCTGTGCGCGTGCGTGTGCGCGTGGGGCGCGGCGCGCGCCGCGCCGGAGGGAGGGAGGCTGCCAGCCCGGACCCGGTCGCAGCGCCCGGGGCGGCTCCTCCTCGAGCCTGGGACCGCCGCGCTCCCGCCGCCGCCGCGTGCTGGCGTGACTCCCGGCCCGTGCCGCGCCCTCCCGCGTCCGCAGCCGGCTCGGCTTCCTGCCCACCCAGACGTCGCTTCTCCCGGGCTCCCGGTGTCGGCTCCGCGCGGAGGGAGAGGAAATGAGTGCGGCGGCCTCGCCGGCGTCGGAGCGGGGTTGGAAGAGCGAGAAACTAGATGAGGCTCAGGCCCTGGCGCGGAGTTGCGCCGCCCGCAGACCCGACTTCCAGCCGTGCGACGGGCTGTCTATCTGTGCCACGCACAGCCATGGCAAGTGCTTCAAGCTGCACTGGTGCTGTCACCTAGGATGGTGTCACTGTAAGTCGAGCCGCGTCTTCCCGCCTTCCGCCGCGGTCCGGGGGACGCCCGCCGGGCCGTCCGGGGTCGCTGCCGGAACTCTGCGGCCGCGGGGCTCCGGGCTCTGCCGGGGCTGCTCTGCCGGAGGCTGGGGCCGCCGTGGGCTCCGGGCCCGCCGGAGCTTTCCTTGCGCCGGACGGCTGGGGTTGGCGCTGCCTTGACGACGAGATGAAATCCCGTGGGGCGCCTCGCTTTCTTTAGCTACTTCTACAAAAGGGAGCTCCCTGTCCCAGGGAAGCGGGAATCTGGTTTTTTTTCTTTTCTTTTTCTTTTTTTGACCAAGGCGTCCAGGCGGTGTTTTGAGAAATGGGAGCGAGCCAGCTGAGTTGGCGACAGCTGTTGGGGATGCCTTTTTTCAAGGTTGCTGGTTAAAGATGCTCCTCTTTTTCTTTCTCACTTTTGTCTTCCTGGGCTGCTATTTAAAAGAAGGAGCCCTTGGATATCCAATTGTTTCCCCCTTGATTGTACCCAAATTGAGAAAAAGCGCTAATGTGGGAGGGATTGCTTCCAAGAAGTTAATATTAACAGTTTGGAAGGTCGAGCTCCTTAAATACCCAGATGTAGAATTTAGAGCCAAATAAATGAGACTTATAAAATTACAAAATAAAATGAGTGAAAGTAAGCTTAATAGTCTTAAACCAATTTATAAAAGCTAGAACCAAATGGTCTAAACCCTTTCTCTGTGTTTAGCCTCCTGCCTGTGATTTTTAAATAGATTAAACTTAAGTAGCCATTTAATTAGAATTTCACAATTTGATTAGCTAATAGTATTTGGACTATATCCGATGAATCATTCATTTTAAGAAATATATTCTAAAGTTAGTTTCCACATATATTTGTAATAGAGGGTTTTGGAGTGCTTATTTAGGACATTTTCCAAGTGATCTTAAGTTAAAATGAATTTTTCTTTGTTGAGAAAAAAATAGCTGACAACCAGGAATGCAGTACATAACAAATCCTTATTTACATTAATCGAACATAAATGAATATTTTAAATCGAATTTATGAATTCAAGGATAGAGGATCATTTTCT
Source organism: Homo sapiens (assembly GCF_000001405.40). Taxonomy (NCBI): domain Eukaryota; kingdom Metazoa; phylum Chordata; class Mammalia; order Primates; family Hominidae; genus Homo; species Homo sapiens. The sequence continues at coordinate 185,151,555 of NC_000003.12, read as the reverse complement.
TTACAAATTCCAGGCACATAGAACAGTATTGATTTCTGGTGTTCCATTTGCTTATGGGCCAGTTTCTTCCTATTTCTCATTATTCCTGTTGTGCTCAGATCTGTTCTCTTTTGTTAGTATAAAGCATTGCTTCACGGTGGGACAGGGTACCGAGTTGGAAGTAGCAACTCTAGGAAACCTGGGATGCTGAAGTGCACAAGTAGAATCTGGACTTTCATTCATTTCGTGGGAAAGTATAGAATCGTTGTGTAAAATGTGAGGAATGTTCAAGATAGTCCAGGTTACTGTCTGTCTTATTTTGACAGTGTCTTCTCTAAGTACACCGTTACTGATGGGAACCTTGCAGTTTTCTCAGACAGCTTCTCCCTTCATTAGCCTTGACTCTTAAAATACTCTTCCTTATATGGAGCTGAAATCAGTTACTTTCTAACTTCTTTCTTCTGCTCCTATTTCTGCCTTATGAAATCATATAGAACAATTGAATCCTTTTTTAGATCATGGCTGTTTCAACTCTTCATATATACATTGCTGAATATACATATGAATGTCTTGCACATATGGACTGTCTTCTCTCTGTATCCCTGGCCATTCTCACAATGTCTTTCCTGAAATAGGTTTAACAATAATGTTCATTGAATGACTGAATGAAGCTAGTGATCATCTTTCTCTTAAGGCATTTCTTTGTCCTATTTATACATTTCCAGTCCCTTCTGCCTTTCCTTTTATGGAATAGTATTCAGGCTCCTAAGCATCTTGGTTGTTCTCTTCTGAACATGTGCCAAGGTGGTTTTGATCCTTTGAAGACTGTGGCCCCTAGAAAGGTAGACAATATTCCAGTTGTGGTCTGATCAGTCTAGAGTTGAACAAGACCACTACCTCCCATGTTCGAGATACTGCTATTGCTGCAGCTAGCATCACATTAGCTTTTCTGATATCTTCATCACATACTGAGCTTGCTGCTGTCAGATTGAACTAAGCTTGCCATCAAAGCCATTGAGCTGTTTTGTTTTTTTTTAACATATGTGACAAGCCACTGTTTGCCCATCTCACACTTATATTTTTGGACACAGGTACTGATCCCTTAGATATCTTTTCCTATTAAATTTCATTTCATTAGAATGAGCCTAATTTTGTGTGTGTGTGTTTTTAGATCCTGGCTCTTTCTTAATATATTTATAAGCTGTTTGTCCTAGGTTCATGTCATCCACATACTGGATACCAACAGTAGTACAGTACATGTTCATAAAAGTTACTGATAAAATTGTTGAACAAGAGAAAGCCACAGATAGAGTCCTGAAGCTTGCGGGTAGAACTGCCCTTCAGGTTGATAGCAATTCATTAATGAGCACTTGTTAGTTATGATTGTTCAAACAATTACCTAGCCACCTAGTTGCACTGTTATCCATCTTATATTTATCTTGTATATGGGTGTAATGAAAACCTGGTCAAATACCTTATTGAAATCCTACCAACACACTGTTTTTACTGCCTCTTTTTGATCTGTGACCTATCTGTACATACACTCTTTTTTTAAAAAAAAACAAGAAATTAGGTTAATCTGGTAAAACTCAGGTTGATTCCACAAATGGTTACCATTTTCTTTTCTAAATGGTTAGAAACTGTTTTAAAATAAATAATCTGAATTTAGAAAAGGATTGACGTCAAGTATACTGGACTGTCGTTGGCAGTTGTTTCTGTTTTTTAAAAAATCAGGACTACAGTTATTTGTTCTTTTCCAGTCTTTGGCAGTCCTCCGGTTCTCCACACTTCCTCCACTGGCAGCAGCTCAGTGATCCCATTCACTAAAAGCTTGACTTCATTTAAAGCAGCTAGGTGCTCTGTTACAATCTCCTCAGTTATCCTGGGAATTAATTCTCTCTATGCTTTTTAGCCCAAAATAAGCAGAGTTAACATGTTTGAGAAGTTCTCCTTTCTTTTTGGTATTCATGGAGTTTACAGTATCAGTCCTAAGCAGAATTCCTTTAATTCTGTTGAACATATATTGAACACCTTCTCTTTATGAGACATTATTTTGGAAACTCAGAATAAAAATATGAATACAGCTGGACCACACTGGACCCCATATGGACCATTATGGACCCTATATGCAGAGTCTAAGGACACAATCATACTGTATTTACTGTTTTTTTTTTTTTTTTTTGGGAGACAGAGTTTCACTCTTGTTGCCCGGGCTGGAGTGTAGTGGCGCGATGTCTGCTCACTGCAACCTCCACCTCCCGGGTTCAAGTGATTCTCCTGCCTCAGCCTCCCAAGTAGCTGGAATTACAGGCATGCACCACCACGCCTGGCTAATTTTATATTTTTAGTAGAGACGGGATTTCACCATGTTGACCAGGCTGGTCTCGAACTCCTGACCTCAGGTGATCCGCTTGCCTTGGCTTCCCAAATTGCTGGGATTACAGGCATGAGCCACCATGCCCAGCCCATACTGTATTTACTTTTGTAATTCTTTTAAAATCACAAATGATAGAAGTGAGAAAACTATCAGTTTGTTTGCCAAATCTGAGAATACTAAAATGAGAGGATTATCCTGATGCTTGAAAAAGGTAGATTCAAAACAAGGAAGTTCAGTTTTATGTGGTTGATTTTAATCTTGTGAAATATATAGACTTATAAAATAGAAAAAGCTTAAAAATATGTACATGTCCATAAAAGACATAAAGCACATATACATTCACAGATTCAGTGCTTGGTGCATTATTAAAGGAAATGTGTATTTGGGTAATGGCGCATTTTTGAGGATGTTGCCTGGGAGGAAAGCATCATATGTTCTGTTGGTATCACTGTCAAAAATAGATTATTAAGCTGAATAAACCATGAATCTGAATGTGTAACTTAATTTTTCCCAGTAAGGAGTGATATTGGCTTGAATTAACGAGTGAAGGTTTTCAAGAGGCGTTTTGAGAGAGAAAGAAATACATGGCTTCGCGAGAGAGGAGGGATGGGAAAGAAATCATATGTAGGTATTGTAAAGTAGAATTTTGTGGCTACTTAGAATACTTAGAATAAGAAATTAGATTGGTGGAGGTGGAGATAAGAGTGTATTTGAGAGATATTTGAGGTGAAATCTATAGGGTTAATTAAATTTGGTCGGGAAGGGAGGGGAAGATTATTAAGGTTAACTTCTAGAATTCTGCTTTATGCAGCTGTGGATGGTGGTGCCATTCACTAACAACGAAATACTGAGTAACTAGGATTGGGAGGAAGGTCATGAATCTAGTTTTGGATCTGTAGGATTTAAGCTGCCTTTGTCCTCACATGGTGATGTCGGTAGGCAATTAGATACAGGGATGTAGAACTCAGAGGAGAGGTCTGGGCTAGAAATAATATGTAAGTAATTTACTTACTTATAGGTTGCAGTTGTAGCTGTGATGAAGCGTGAGCACCAAGGGAGAGACTGTAGCGTGAGAAGTAAAGAAAACCATTAAGCTTTCCCTTTACAACACCAGAGTGTTTTCTTTTAGGACATCAGAGTCTGGGTACAAGAGGATAAGCTGGCAGAGGAGTCTAAGAAGAGATGGCTAGAGAAGAAAAATCTGGAAAATATGGTATTGCAGAAGCCAGGGGAAATTAGTGTTTCAAGAAAGAGTATGAAGATGAAACCAGTTTTCAGCAGGCTAATTATTAGATATTGGTAAAATACACAAAGAGTGATTTTCATTATTATGGAGAAGAGGGTGAAAGGTTTAGTCTTGCAACAGTGACTTCAGGAATATACTTAATTGAAGCATTAGTCAAAGCTGTTGGAGGCTCTTGAAGGCAAAAGAGAACAGAGCGTTAGGAGCTAAGAATTAGGACACAGACAATTGTTAATATTTACTGAGTGATTACTTTGTACCAGAATAAGCTTATTATGCTGAGCACTTAATAGCCAATTATGTAATTATGTCCATTTCACAGTTGAGGAAGAAGGCTTAGAGCTTTTCCACGGGCACATAGTAAGGAGTAGAGCCTGGATTCGGATCTAGCTCTGTTCGATTCTACACCCGGACTCTTAACCATCATTGCACTGTAGAGCAATTTAAAATTAGTGAGCAGAACCAACAGAGCTCAGTTCCATTAAAGCCAATGATGGGGAAAGTTTTTAAGAAATGGGTGGCAAGTTGTATCAATTGCAGTAGTTAAATCCGGAAGAATGAGAACTGTAAAGAGGTCACTGTATGTGATAGGAAGTGACATTCAAGTTAAGGGTTAAGGAAGAGAAAGTAATTAGAAGGTGACAGGTGGGGCTGAGTGGGTGGATGTGGTATGATGTAGGTGCTACCAGCCAAACTCAGAGTTGGCTTAAGAATATCACATAAGCTCAGTTTTCTGTAGAAGAAATCTTAAAAGATTCTGTTTCAGGTTGAAAGCAGGAAGAGTGGGACTTGATGTAGTCTAATAGGTGGTATTAGCATATCTAAAGAAAGACTGTCACAGCAAAAGGTAGATGGGCAGCATAGAAATAGAGACAAATGGGAGTTGGAGAACCAGAATTTGGGAGTGCTTTTCAAGACTGTTCAGAGAAGATGTTATGCTGTCTAGAGAGTTTAATATCTCTGGTCCTTATGGCTGCGCTATCGCAGCAAATGTTTGGTTACACATTTGGCTTCCTGTTTATAGATTTTCTGTAGGGAGAGAAGGAGTTGATTAGAGGGTTCAACTGTCAGGACTTTGGGGCAAATATACTTCTTTTCGTTAGTAAATTAGCATTGTGATTTTGTGTTGTTCTATTCTGTTTTTGTGCTTCTATACAACTCTAGGAAAACTCACAAAATCAGGTTCTGACTTCCACGGGAAAATGCCACCTGGTTTTCCTAAAGGACTTCTGATTCATATCAATAACAATAGCTACAAAAAACGTGTTTAAGAAGTTTGATAAATGAAAACTAGCAACAACAACAAAAATAAGGAGTGGTAGTTTGGTTGGAAAAGTCAACTAAAGTTTTTTTCTAAGAATGAGGGTTCTGCCGGGCATGGTGGCTCACGCCTGTAATCCCAGCACTTTGGGAGGCTGAGGCGGGTGGATCACCTGAGGTCAGGAGTTCGAGACCAGCCTGGCCAACATGGAGAAACCCCGTCTCTACTAAAAATACAAAAACTAGCTGGGTGTGGTGGCACATTCCTGTAATCCCAGCTCCTCGGGAGGCTGAGGCAGGAGAATCGCTTGAACTCGGGAGGCAGAGGTTGCAGCGAGCCAAGATCGCGCCATTGCACTCCAGCCTGGGCAACAAGAGCGAAACTCCCTCTCAAAAAAAAAAAAAAAAAAAAAAAAAAAATGAGAGTTGTAACTTTGTCTAGTGATTGAAGGAAGAGGATACAGATTTTAAGAGGAGAGCTGTGAGGTGAAGTTCTGAGTGAGTTTCCTCAAAGCTCTTCCAGAGATAGAGAACGCTGATAGGTTCTTCCAGAGATAGAGAAAGCTGATAGGTTCTTCCAGAGATAGAGAAAGCTGATAGGTTCTTCCAGAGACAGAGAAAGCTGATAGGTTCTTCGAGAGACAGAGAAAGCTGATAGGTTCTTCCAGAGATAGAGAAAGCTGATAGGTTCTTCCAGAGATAGAGAAAGCTGATAGGTTCTTCCAGAGATAGAGAATGCTGATAGGTTCTTCCAGAGATAGAGAACGCTGATAGGTGTCTTTCTGTGTAGCTGGTGCTTCAATGATGGATGCACGTAAACTTCAACAATAACAAATAACACACATCATGGCTATGTGCAGGCACATAACTTTTTGTAATCTTTTCGTATGTGTTTGCTCATTTAAACGTCACAACAATCTTGTGAAGTAGGTACTGTTACTATCTTCATTTTTAAGATTAGGAAATTTGCCCAAGGTCACGCGTAGTACCCCTAGCTGCCTGTGGCAAATGTATATCAAAATCTTACAAACCAGCTGGCAACCAGGGCTGTCGGTTTCTTGGTTCCACTGAAGGTATAGTGAGGATGATTTCAGCTGTTTTAAATTCCTTTTGGAAATAGCATGTTGAGAATGCTTTCTGAGTTTAAGAGAAGGGCAATTATATGCAGTATGAATATTTTTGGAATGGTTGTGAACTCTATAAAACCATGCTTTCAAAAACAATAATGTATTTGAATGAAATAAAATTAAAATAAGAGGCAAAAAAGACTAGGCAGTTTTTATTATTTGTATGATACGAAGCTTCAGTCATGTCTTATCCTCAGCTAATCTCTGACTGGCACAAGCCGTTTTTAGAATTGTATACACACCATTAATTATTACTGGCTTCCAAGCCTGTTGAACTTAGAGATTTAAACCACATGGCTTTTGAGGGCCTTTCTATAATTTCCCACATTACAAAATCCTCACTTCATCCGAATTTGTTCTTTCATGTTATAGATCTCATTAATTACAGGAAAGAATGTTTCTAGGGAAATTGTGTTATTAATTCCAAATCAGTATAGGAACACAGGCCTTCGGCAACCAGAAGTTGTCTAGTAGAAGATTTGTTTTCTTAAAAAATAGGGAATCGTATACACATAGAATGTGGAAGGCAGAGTATAGTCCAGCAAAGAGCACCTGTGTTTGAACTGTGAGTCTTATTGTTTGCAGGGTGACTTTGGGTAGATTACTAAACCTCCTGTTGCTTCACTGTACTCTTCTGAAAACTAGGAATAACAATTCTGTTTCATCCAAGCGCCATGGTGGGTGCCTATAGTCCCAGTTACTCAGGACCACTTTGGCCCAGGAGCAACATTGCAAGACCCCCATCTCTTAAAGAAATCCTACCTCACAGAGTTGTTGTGAAGATTAAATGACATATTGTGGCTGGGCGTGGTGGCTCATGCCTGTAATCCCAGCACTTTGAGAGCCAAGGCAGGCGGATCACCTGAGGTCAGGAGTTCAAGACCAGCCTGGCCAACATGGCAAAACCCAGTCTCTACTGAAAATACAAAAATTAGCTGGGCATGGTGGTACATGCCTGTAATCCCAGCTACTTGGGAGGCTGAGGCACAAGAATTGCTTGAACCTGGGAGGTGGAGGTTGCAGTGAGTCGAGATTGTGCCACTGCACTCCAGCCTGGGTGGCAGATTGAGACTCTGTCTCAAAAATAAATAAATAAATAAACAATATATTGCAAGCAAAGTACTTAGTGCAAGTATTCAGTAAAGGGAAGGATCAGCCCCTCCTCCAAAAAAAGCAAAAAGCAGTGGAAATACTAGGTAATGTAGATGTCCTGATGGCAGGCACTGGAGTCAGACTTCGTGTTTGAATGAGCTCTCCCTACTTAATAGTTACATGGTTTGGGGAAGTTACTTAACCCGTCTTTCAGTTTTCATGTTGTTAATATGGGGATAATAGTACCAGCTTCTTGGTGTTGTGATTGTCAAAGTCGGCAATTGTTTTCCCCCTTCCTCAAATGTCCTGGTTAATCTGGAATCTACCCTGTGACCGTACTGATTTGTTCAATTAAACACTGAAAAACAACAAAGAATAAAAATACATGTTTTGAATATTACACTTGGATTTTTTTTATTATTCTCATTGTGGAAAGTTCTATTTTGTAATAGTTCCTATGTGTTGAGTGTGTGTGTGTGTGTGTGTGTGTGTGTGTTTACCATAGAATCTTACATTTTGCTCCAATTCTTACTCCCCAGCTTCATCCTGTTTTCCTCCATTGTTAAGCAATGGACAGCTCTGGTTAATCAAATATACCAAATAATAGAGAGCTATCATATATATCACACATGGGTTAACAAGTTTCAAAGGATTCAAGTATTATAGAGCTCATCCTATGTTAAAGTGAAACTGAACATATTCAACTTTGGTGCTTTAGAAGTCTCATCAGTGTGTACTGAAAAATGGCAAGAATGCTAGTTAATAGAGGAGTCCTGGTTGCTAGAATGCTGGGCCAGTAAACTTAATTGCAGCCCTTCCAAGTTATTTTACTCAAATTCACAGGATTTTTCCTTTGCTTTTCTCTTATACTTCAATTTTCTGATATTTTAAGAGTATTTTGTAAGCATACTGCCAAAAATGTGTAATATCTGGAGTGCCAACAATGTATAATACAAACACCCCCCCAGCTGTATCTGTACAATGCCTTCCCAAGTAGGACAAATTCTTTAACCTCTCTAGTGCTTGTTTGTCCATTTAAAACTGGGTGTTTTGGTGTAATACAGATGTACTTCTGTATATCTCTATCTCATTTTAATGGATGTTTAGTGAAATAAAAGCACTAAGAATATAACAATTTGGTATTTCATGGAAAATTTTATCTGTTGGACTCATTTGCTTTATCTTTCCCTTTTTCTGACTACACACTCTCTTCCTCTTGTCTCGCCTTTCCCCCCAATACATTTAGAAGAAAGTTGCAGACATCATGACACTTCATACCAAAATATATCGGTATGCCAAAAAAAGAGAAATATATCAGTATGCCTGTCTCAAGAATGAGGACATTTTTCTATGTAACCACAATACTGTACTCACACCTAAGATAATTAACAGTAATTCAGTCTACCATAGTTTTCTTAATGGTAAAGAAAATGACTTTATAAAAAATCCAGGGGTCAATCAAGATTCATATATCGCATTTTATTGTTAGGTAACTTTAGCCACTTTTAATCACTCTAAAGCAATCACACTTTTTTTTTGATGACTTGAATTTTTTGAAGAGTCCAAGTTAACTGTTTGGAGAATGTCCTATATTCTGAATTTGCCTAATTGTTTCATCGTGATTAGATTTAGATTAAACATTTTTGTCACATTATTACATGAGTGATATTGTGCCCTTCTCACAGCATCACATGAGAAAACACATCATGTGTCTTGTTCTGCCAAGGCTAAGGTGGTAACTGCCACATCTTTCCATTATAAAGATGCCTTTTGCTTTTTTTCCCTTTGGTTTTTAATGAGTGATCTGTGGGGTGATACTTTGATGCTGAGTGAATAGTCTGTTCCCTAACAAACTTTAACCCAGTGATTTTAGTATTGGCTGAAGATCCTTGCGTGCATCACTTACTACGCTGGTGGTTGCAAAACAGCGATGTTCAAATTTTGTCATTCCTTCTACCATTTGATGACATCTTTTATAATGAAGAGGTTCTCTAACTGTACCCCATCTTCCTCATGTTACTGTAGACAAATTGATTCTTTGTTTTTGAGCAGGGTTTCGCTGTGTCACCCAGGCTGGAGTGCAGTGCAACCTTCCTAGGGTCAAGCAGTCCTTCCACCTCAGCCTCCAAGTGGCTGGGGCCACAGAAGCATGCCACCATGCCTGGCTCATTTTTTTATTTTTGTAGAGAGGGGGGTTTCACTGTGTTGTCCAGGCTGATCTCAAACGTGTGAGCTCAAGCGATGCCTGCCTTGGCCTCCCAAAGTGCAGGGATTACAGGCATGAGCCACTGTGCCCAGCCAAATTGATTCTTTTTTTTTCAGTGTGTTATAATCAAGTATTATAATTATTTTTGATGTTCAGATTGTCTTTAAATTTGGCCAGTGAGAATGCCTGCAAGCTGGCTTCTATGTCTTTTTCATATATCTCAACATTTATTTGAGCATTTCCCAGTTTTCTGGCACAAGATGTCCCAGGCTTACCTAATGATTTCCCTGCCCCAGATCAGAAATCATTTTTCTAAGGAAACCGAGTTCCTTTTCATGAGAAATGGTATGGAAACCATTATCTGGGTTTTGAGTCTGCTTATTTTTATTAAGAGATTATTGCATTTAGGACTTTTCAGTGGACAAATTTAGGAAATGTGTGTGTGTGTGTGTGTGTGTGTGTGTGTGTGTTTCCTTTGCATTTCCCCACTGCATACTTGTACCTCCCTTGTCAGTAAAACCCTGGTTTCTGATATATCATAATACTCACTAACCTATTCTTCATTTCTATAATTTTATTCCCAGAATGTTAGTGGAAACATAGAGTACATAACCTTTTGTGATTGGCTTTTTTCATTCAGCATAACTCTCTGGAGATCCATCCAGTTTGTTGGATATATCAGTAGTTTGTTCCTTTTTATTGCTGAGTAGTATTCCATGGTATACATGTACCACAGTTTAACTTTTCACCTATTGAAGGACATCTATTTTCAGTTTTTAGTTATTATAAATAAATCTGCTGTAAACATTTTTATACAGTTTTCTACTTGAACATAGTCTTCATTTCTCTGGTATAAATGTTCAAGAGTGCAAGTGCTAGGCTGTATGGTAGTTACATGTTTCGTTTTTTTTTTTAAGAAACTGCCAAACTGTTTTCCAGAGGGTCTATTCCATTTTACATTCCCACTAGCAATGTATGACTGGCCTAGCCTCTTTACCACATGCTCACCAGCATTTGGTGTTGTCACTGTCTTTATTTTAGGCATTCTGATAGCTTTTGTCTTAGTGAGTTCAGGCTGCTATAACAAAGTACCAGAGACTGGGTGGCTTATAAACAATAGAAGTTTGTTTCTTGCAGTTCTAGAAGCTGGAAGACTGAGATAAGGGTGCCAGCATCTTTGGGTTCTGGGAAGGGTTGTCTTCTGGGTTTTAGATTGCTGATTTCTCATCATATCCTCGCTTGGTGGAAAGAGGGATAGAGCACTTTCTGGGGTCTTTTTCTTTTTTTTTCTTTTTTTTTTTTGGTGACAAGGGTCTCACTCTGTTGCCCAGGCTGGAGTGCAGTGGCACGATCTCGGGTCACTGCAGCCTCTGCCTCCTGGGTTCAAGCGATTCTCCTGCCTCAGCCTCCCAAGTAGCTGGGATTACAGGTGTAGGTCACCATGCCTGGCTAATTTTTGTATTTTTCTTTTTTTTTTTTTTTTTTAGTAGAGACGGGGTTTCACCATGATGGCCAGGCTGGTCTCAAACTCCTGGACTCAAGTGATCCATCCGCCTGGGCTTCCCAAAGTGCTGGGATTCCAGGCGTGAGCCACCGCCTGGCCCTGGCGTCTTTTTTATAAGGGCCCTAATCCCATTCATGAGGGCTCTACCCTCAAGACCTATTATTACTTCCCAAAGGCCCCACTTCCTAAGACCCTCACATTAAGGATTAGGATTTCAACGTATGAATTTTGGGGGACAAACATGCAGCCCACAACAGGTGTGTATTGATGACTGATTTTGGTTTTAATTTGCATTCACCTAATGGCTAATGTTCACGTGCTTATTTGCCATTTATATATCCTCTTTAGTGAAATGTCTATCCATGTCTTTTCTCCTTTTCTAATTGGATTTTTTAAACTGAGTTTTGAGAGTTCTTTATTGTAGATACTAGACTTTTGTCTAGTGGTTTGCAGATATTTTCTCTGTAGTTTATCTTTTCATCCTCTTAGCAGAGGCTTCCCCCACCTTTATTTATATGCCAAAAAACTGCATGATTAGTTTATAGTTGACCCTTGAACAACATGGGTTTGAACTGCATGAGTCCACGTATGACTGGGTTTTACAACCAAATGTGGATTGGAAATATAGTATTCCCAGGGTGTGAAACCCATGAATACCGAGGGCCAACTGTGGGACTTGAGTATGTTCAGGTGGGGGCTCTGGACCAATCCAATGTGTATATTGAGGGATGACTGTGTATAATTTGGTGAGTTAACAGAGTCTTTTGAGATACAAAATTTTAAATTTTGATGGAGTCCAGTTTATCAGTTTTTCCTTTTATGGATTGTGCTTTTTGATGCTTTTAAGAACTCTTTGCCAAGCTTGAGATTTCAAATATTTTTATTTTTTTTCTAAAATTTTTATAGTTTTAAGTTTCGTATTTAATTCCATGATCCATTATGAGTAATTTTTTATAAGGTGTGGCTTAGATCACAATTCACTTCTTTGCCTATGGATGTCCAGTTGCTCCAGCACCATTTGTTGAAAGATTATCATTCCACCATTGAGTTGCTGTTGTACCCTTGTCAAAAATCATATTGTGTGGGTCTATTTCTGGGTTTTCTATTTTGTCCCTCTGGTCTTCATGTCTCTTCTTCTGCCAGTACCATACAATCTTGCCTACTATAGCTGTATAAGAAGTCTTTAGTTGGGTAGACTGAATTTTTTTTTTTTTTTTGAGACAGTCTTGCTCCGTCACCCAGGCTGGAGTGCAGTGGTATGATCTCGGCTGACTGCAACCTCTGCCTCCTGGGTTCAAGCAATTCTCCTGTCTCAGCCTCCTGAGTAGCTGGGATTACAGGCGTGCACCACCACACCTGGCTCATTTTCGTATTTTTAGTAGAGATGGGGTTTCACCATGTTGGCCAGGCTGGTCTCGAACTCCTGACCTCTGGTGATCTGCCCACCTTGGCCTCCCAAAGTGCTGGGATTACAGGCGTGAGCCACCAAGCCTGGCTGGGTAGACTGATTTTTTCCCACTTTTTCTCTCGTCGTCATTGTCTTCTTTCTTGCCCCTTCTTCCTCTTCTCCTCCTCCCCCCTCTCCCCTTCTCCTCCTTTCTGCTCCTCCTTCCTCCTCCTCCTTCCTCCTCCCGCTCCCCCTCCTGCTCCCTCTCCCTCTCCTTTTTTGAGACAGGGTCTCACTGTCGCCCAGGCTAGAGTGCAGTGGTGTGATCATAGGTCACTGCAGCCTCTACCTCCTGGGCTCAAATGATCCTCCTGCCTCAGCCACTCAAGTAGCTGGAACTACAGGTGTATGCCACCATGTCCAGCTAATTAAAAAACTTTTTTTGTAGACACATGGTCTCACTATTTTGCCCAGGCTGGTCTCAAACTTCTGGGCTCAAGCAGTCCTCCCACCTTGGCCTCTCAGAGTGTTGGGATTACAGGTGTGAGCCACTGCGCCCAGCCAAATCTTTCACCTTTAAGTATAATGTTAGCAGTAGATTTTTTGTAGATGTTCTTTATCAAGTTGAGGAAGTTCCTCCTCTATTCCTATTTTCTGAGAGGTTTTAAAAAAAATCTTGAATGGGTATTAAGTTTTGTCAGATGCTTTTTTAAAATCAATTAATAGGATCATGTAATTTTTCCTCATTAACCTGTTCATGTGGTAGATTATATTGATTTATTTTCAAGTATTGAACCAGCCTTGCATCCATGGAATAAGCCCCACTTGATTAAGGTGTAATTATTTTAGTATATTGTTGATTTCTATTGGCTAATAGTTTGTTAAATATTTTTATGTCTTTATGACAGGTGTTGCTTATAGTTTTTTTTTTTATTATTACTGTCTGTCTGGTTTTGGTGTCTGGTAATTGTAACTTCATACAATGAATTAGAAAGTTTTTCCCCTTCTATTTTCTCGATGAAAATGTGCAGAACTGGTATTAAATTTTCTTTAAACATTTGGTAGAATGCTCTAGTAAAACCATCTGGGCCTGGAGGTTTCTTTTTCTTGTTGTTGTTGTTTTTGAGTTTAAAAATTACTAATTCAATTTTCTTGTTATTATAGGGCTATTCAAATTATTATCAAGGAATGAATGTAGATCATTGGCATTTTTTCAGGAATTGGTTTATTTCATTCTGAGTTGTCAAATTTATGCTTGTAGAGTTGTTAATAGTAGTTCCTTACTATACTTTTGTTGTCTCCATGGTATGTATGACATCCTCTGCTTCATTCCTGATACTGGTAATTTGTGCTGTTTGTCTTTATTCTTTGTCTGTCTTGTTAGAGGTTTGTTAGCTTCATTGACCTTTTAAAAGAGGCAGCTCTTTGTTTCATTGATTTTCTTTCTGTCAGTTTTTCTGTTTAATGTGTCTTTGATTTCTGCTCTCATCTTTATTACGCTCTTCTTTCTGCTCACTTTGGGTTTATTTTGTGCTTTTTCTAGCTTCTTGATGGTGGGAGCTTAGATTACTGATTTGAGGCTTTTATTCTTTCTAATATATGCATTTGTTACTGTAAAAATTCCTTTCAGCACTGCTTTAGCTGTGTATCATAAATTTTTATGTGTTTTATTTTAATTTTCTTTCAGTTCCATGTAACTTTTGATTTCCCTCGAAACTTCCTTTCTGACCATAGATTATCCCAAGTGTTTGGAGATTTTTCTAACTTTTTATTAACTGGTTTCTCGCTTGATTCTACTTTGTATGATTTTAATTCTTTTGAAATTGTTGAGGTTTGTTTTATGGCCCAGGATATGGGTCAAGTGTCATGGACACCTGGAAAGAATGGGTATGCTGCTGTTGTTGGATGAAGTGCTCTATAAATGTCTTTTAGATCCTGTTTATTGATTTTGTTGTTGAGTTCTTCTATATCCTTGCTTATTTTCTGTCTATATGTTCTGTCAATTGTTGAAAGAGGGTGTATTAGTTCGTTTTCACGCAGCTGATAAAGACACACCTGAGACTGGGCAATTTACAAAAGAAAGAGGTTTAATGGGATGTACAGTTCCATGTGGCTGGGAAGCCTCACAATCATGGCAGAAGGCAAGGAGCCACAAGTCACATCTTACGTGGATGGCGGTGGACAACGAGAGGAGCGCTTGTGCAGGGAAACTCCCCTTTTTATAACCATCAGATGTTGTGAGACTTATTCACTACCACGAGAACAGCACGGGAAAGACATTCAGTTACCTTCCACCAGGTCCCTCCTACAAAACGTGGGAATTCAAGATGAGATTTAGGTGGGGACACAACCAAACCATATCAGAGGGGTTTACGTAAATTGTGGGTTCGTCTTTTCAAGTCTGTTAGTTTACCCACAGATATTTGTAGTTTGTTGTTGTTGTTGTTGTTGTTGTTGTTGTTGTTGTTGTTTTGAGACAGTCTTGCTCTGTCACCCAGGCTGGAGTGCAGTGGCGCAATCTCGGCTCACTGCGACCTCCACCTCCTGGGTTCAGGCGATTCTCCTGCCTCGTTCCTGAGTAGCCAGGATTACAGGCGTGCACCACCATACCCGGCTAATTTTTGTGGGTTTTTTTGTTTTGTTTTGTTTTGTTTTTGAGACAGAGTCTTCGCTCTGTCGCCCAGGCTGGAGTGCTGTGGCGCGATCTCGGCTCACTGCAAGCTCCGCCTCCCGGGTTCACGCCATTCTCCTGCCTCAGCCTCCCGAGTAGCTGGGACTGCAGGTGCCCGCCACCACTGTGGGCCCAGCTAATTTTTTTATTTTTAGTAGAGAGGGTTTCACTGTGTTAGCCAGGATGGTCTCGATCTCCTGACCTTGTGATCCACCCGCCTTGGCCTACCAAAGTGCTGGGATTGAGGCGTGAGCCACCGCGCCTGGCCTAATTTTTGTGTTTTTAGTAGAGACAGGGTTTCTCCATTTTGGCCAGGCTGGTCTCCAACTCCTGACCTCAGGTGATCCACCTGCCTTGGCCTCTCAAAGTGCTGAGATTACAGGCGTGAGCCACCATGCCTGGCCAGATATTTGTAGTTCTTTTGTCTGATGCATACACATTTGGGATTGCTGATATCTTGTTACACTGACCCTTTTTTTCATTATCTGATGTCCCTCTCTGTATCTGGTAATTTTCTTTTCTGTGAAGTTGACTTTAGTTGATATTAATATAGCCATAACTGCTTTCTTTTGGTTAATGTTCCCATGATGTATCTTTTCCTTCCTTTTATTTTCAACCTCACTATACTGTTAAATTTGTAGGAAGTTTCTTGTACACAACATATTTTTGTCCTGAATTGCAAGCCATTCTGTCAATCTCTTTTAATTAATGTTTTTAGACCATTTATGTTTTATGTGATTATTGATGAGTTATAGATTATGTCTGCCATTTTATATTTTATTTTTTTCTTGTTTTTTATTTTTCTTTTCTTTTTCCTGCCTTCATGTGATTTATTTGAACATTTTTTTGAATTCCATTTTGAATTATCTCTAATATTTTTGAATGTCTTCTTTGTGTATCTCTTTAAAAATTCGATTTAATTTTTTATTGACACCATATTTGTATATATTTATGGGATACATGTGATATTTTGTTACATGCATAGACTGTGTGATCAAGTTAGGGCATTTTGGGTATTCATCACTTTGAGTATTTATCACTTCTATATGTTGGGAGCATTTCAAGTTCTCCGTTTTAATTATTTTGAAATGTGCAATACATTGCTGTTAACTATAGTTACGCTACTCTGCTATCGAACATCAGAAATTATCCCTTTTGTCTAATGTATGTTTGTACCCATTAACCAACTTCTATTCATCCCCTCCCCACATCTTTCCCAGTCTCTGGCTAATTTTTGTATTATTATTTTTTAGTAGAGACAGGGTTTCATCATGTTGACCAGGCTGGGCTTGAACTCCTGGCCTCAGGTTTTCTGCCTGCCTCAGCCTCCCAAAATGCTGGGATTACAGGCATGAGCCACTGCGCCTGGCCTGGTTCTTTATACTTCTTGTCTTTGCCAAGATTATTTCTTTTCTGAGGCTTTCTACAGTTTCATTTGCTTGAAGTGTGTTTGCAGTTGCTCACTGAAGCATTTTTTTTTTCATGGTTGCTTTAAATTTATTGTCAAATCAGTCTAACATCTCTGTATCTCAGTATTGGCATCTGTTGATTGTTATTTTTCATTTAGTTTGAGTTCTCCCTGGTTTGTTGTTATGACAAATGATTTTCAATTAAAATCTGAACATTTTTCCATTATATGAAGAGACTCTGAATCTTAATTAAATAAGATCCTTCTGTTTTTGCTGGCTTTTTTGGGATACCATTCTGGCAGGGGAAGGGGCTGCATCCTCATTATTGCCAGATGGAGCTAGAAGTCCAGATTCCACACTTGTCCTCCACGGACACCCTGGAGATGAGGCTCGTTGGTATCTCTGGGTGGGAGTGGGAGTTTTTGCTCTCCCTTAGGCCTCCACTGATACCACCATGGGGGGCCTCAGTACCACTGAGTCCTGATTTCTGCAAGGCCTCTGACACTTCCTGGCTAGAGTATTGAGGTACCTTTTTAGAGCCTTTCAAGGGTGGAAGTTCATCTTTGGCCCCAGCTGTCAGCCTTTACTGGCTGGGGTAAAGTACACAATTTTTTCTCTGATGTTTGGCTGGAGTAGAGCAGTTATTCTCTGAAAGTTTTTTTTGTCATTTTAGGTTGCTCCTTCCCTGGTCCATTGGCTAGAGAGAGCAGGCATTTTTTAGGGCTTCTTTTGTCTGCTGCCATTTATGTTTCCTGATTGACAACTTTTTTAGCCCCAAGTCTGGCAAATAGGAGGAGAAAAAGATACACAAGAAAATACCAGGGAACTCACTACCGTGTGGTTGCTTGGGCCCCGAGGTTCCTAGTTGGTCAGGCTTCTTCTCCCCACCTTTCAGTCTTTTTCTGTTTGTTTTATATGTAATGTCTAAGGTATTTAGCTATACTTAGTGGGGAGGAATAGGGAAAAGTATCTATTCCATTTTCCTGGAAATATTAGTCTCCATCTTTTTTATTTGACTTTAATTTTTGAATAGGTAAAAGTTTTCATGGTTCAAAAGTCAAACTATTTGGTGTTACTGTCACCAGAATAAAAAGTCAACCTATGTAAAAAAGAATACTAAAAAAGTTTCATTTGTATCCCAATATCTTCTACTGCATTTGAATCCATCTCCTCTATATATATATGATGTATTTTTTTTCTTTTTCTTTTTGAGACAGAGTCTCACTGTATCACCCAGGCTGGAGTGTGCAGTGGCACAATCATAGCTCACTGCAGCCTTGAACTCCTGGGCTCAAGCCATCCTCCCACCTCAGCCTCCTGAGTAGCTGGGACTATAGGCATGCACCACCAAGCCCAGCTAATTTTTCTGTTTTTTGTATGGATGGGATTTCACCATGTTGCCCAGAATGGTCTTGAACTCCTGAGCTCAAGTGATCTGCCCACCTCAGCCTCCCAAAGTGCTAGGATTACAGGTGGCTTCTTTCTCATTTCTTCATGCTTGCATGCTACTTTGTTGCATATATGTGTAATAGATGTGTTTTGTTTTTGTTTTTGTTTTGAGACAAGTCTCACTCTGTCACCCAGGCTGCAGTGCAGTAGTGTGATCTGGGCTCACTGCATGCAACCTCTACCCCAGGGTTCAAGGGATTCTCCTCTCTCAGCCTCCCAAGTAGCTATGATTCAGGTGTGCACCATGCCTGGCTAATTTTTTTGTGTTTTTGGTAGAGACAGGGTTTTGCTGTGATGGCCAGGCTGGTCTCAAACTCCTGACCTCAGGTGATCCGCCTGCCTCGGCCTCCCAAAGTGCTGGGATTATAGGCATGAGCCACCATGCCTGGCCTGTGTAATAGGTTTTTTAACCAATTTCTTACTGCTGAGCATTTTGTTTGTTTCTCATATTTTACTTTTACAAATAATGTTTCATTGAGTAACTTGTGCATCTGTTGTCAAGATATATTTGGGGAGGTACATCTTTAAAGTCCTAGAAGTGGGATTGCTGGACCAAATAATAAATACATCTGTAGTTTTATTAGATATTGCCAAATTCTGTTTCATATGGGTTGTACCATTTGCCCTCCCACCAGCAACATGTAAGAATGCCTGTTTTCTCATAGCTTCACCAACAGAGTGTATTGTCAAGCTTTTGAGTTTTTGCCAATGATTATAAGTGAGAAATGGTATCTCAGTGGTTTTAATTTTACATTTCTCGTATTATGAATGAAGTTGAGCATATTTTTGTTTTTAACTGTTCTTTAAAGATATTTTCACTGACTGTGACAGTATGATAGACTTCCAGTATATTGAAGATCATACCACCATCTTCTGGATTTCTTTGTTGCTGTGAAGAAGTCAGCTGTCAGTTGTCATTCCTTTGAAAGATATCTGTCTCTTTTGCCATTCCTTTGAAAGTTATCTGTCTCTTTTTTCTCTAGCTGCCTTTAAGATAGTATCTTTGTTTTTGGTGTTCTACATTTCTCTGTGTGTCTGTATTGGAATTCTTTTGATGTATCCTGTTTAGAATTAATTTAGCTTCTTCAATCTGTGCATTGATGTCCTTCATCAATTTTAGAAAATACCTGACCACCTGCTCTTCAAATACTGTCCTTTCCCCATTCTCATTGTCTTCTTCTTCTGGAACTTTGATTAGATATGTATTATACGTTTTCACTTTGTCATTCATTTTTTAACCTTTATTTTATATTGTCTGTTTCATATTGAATCTCTTTGTCACTCTATACTGCCTTCTGGAGAATTTCTTCGGATATGCTTTCTGCTTTGTTCACAGATCTGAACAAACTAAAGTGGAAGGCATATCTGAAGAAATTGTCCAGAAGGCAATATTTAATGCATTGAGTTTTTAATCTTTTTTTTTTTTTGGTATTTTACAGATCTTCTATTTGATTCTTTTCAAATAGTCATTTTGAAAAAGACTTCCTCATTTTTAATAGTTACTTGTTTTTACTCATATCTTCACTTTCTTTTATTTCTGTGAACACAAGAAACATACTTGTTTTATGTTCTGTTTCTGATAGTTCCAATATTTGAATCTCTGCAGATCTGATTCACTGGATTTTACTAAATGCCTTGCTCATTTTTATGTTTCACAAATTTTTAACTGTGAGCTCCAGTTTATCCCGTGGAATGTTATCCCATGGAATTCCTTCAGATCGGATTTGCTTTTGTTTTCTCCAGATGCCTAGGGACACTATTACTACAGGATTGCTTTAGACTAAACAAATAGCTTGACATACCTGGACCAGCCTGGAAGTCTGAAGTTTGGCTGGAATCTGTGGAAGGACAGCTTTTGCTTGTGAGTTACAATTTTTCCTCCCCTCTTTCCTCATGTGTCCTGAGTTTAAGCTATGTAAAACCCCTGTAGGAGTTGGTTTATTTGTAATTTACTCTTACACTGATGATAACTTTTTGGAGAGTTTCTTTTTACAATATCTGTAGGAAGCCTTAAGCTTTATTTCATGAACCTTGACCTTCTAAAAGGTTACAGAAACCAAAAAGCCAAAGTTTACCTATCCCAGCAAATATCCTCAAAGTAAACATTATGCTCAATTTTCCACTTGCTTTTCTGAATTTCTACTTTTACTTGGGTTTCTGCCTGAATATTCCTTATTTTTGTCAGTTCATCAATGTAGTGAGGAATATTACAATTTTTTTCTAGCATTTCTCAGTTGCAGAAGGATTATTCAGGTTGCCTGGTATACCATTTGGTCAGAAAAAAGTCTGTTACAAAAATCCTGCTATATTGTATGTCCCTTTTTAAAAAGTTGTTTCAAAGTTTGTTTTGAACAACATGGAATATAAATACATGTACATATGAATTCAGTAAAATAAGAGACAATAAATATATTAATACTCTGTTTAACCGGATATCAGACTTCAGGCAAACTCTATTATAACAAGATATTACCACTTGGTTACTTTTTGTTGAGTGGTAAGCACCTCCATTCAAAACACTGCAGAAATGATCACCTAGTCATAGAGTTCTGACAGTTAATGTACAGGTTAAATTACAACAGCTTCTGTAAAATTAGTTTGATTTGGCTAAGGTGGATATTCTTTTAATTGTTTACTATTTTTAGACTGCACCATTTAAGAATTACATTTTAAAGCCGTAATGAATACCACTTCACACCAGCTGGCATGGCAGTAATCACAAAGAAAGATAAGTGTTGGTGAGGATGTGGACAGATTAGAACCCTCATGCATTGTTGGTGGGAATATAAAATGGTGTAACCACGTTGGAAAACAGTTTGGCAGTTACTCAAAATGTTAAACATAGGGTTACCATATGACTTAGCCATTCTACTCCTAGATAACCCAAAATAAATGAAACATATGTCCATAAAAAAACTTGTATACAAATGTTTATAGCAGCATTAATCATAATAGCCAAAAAGTAGAAAGAACCCAAAAGTCCATTAATTGATGAATGGATAAACAAGGTATGGAAAATACACAGATGGACTATTATTTGGCAATGCAAAGGAACAGAATGAAATACAGACACATTCAGTAACATGGATGGACCTTGAAAACATGTTAAAGGAAAGAAGCCAAACACAGAAAGTAACATATCGTATGATTCCACTTATATGAAATGGCCAGAATAAGCAAATTTGTAGAGACAGAAAGTAGATGAGGGGTTGCGATGGACCAGGGAAGGGGAGAATAGGGATTGACTGCTGTGGCCAAGAGGTTTCTTTTTGGGGCAGTGATAAAGTTATGAAAGTAGATGGTAGTGGTATTTGTACAACTTTGTGAATATACTAAACCCACTGAGTATATACTTTTAAAGGATAAATTTTATGGTATGTGGGTCATACTAATAAAAATTATATGAAGAATAGTTTATAGCCCAGGCTGGAGAGCAATGGTGCGATCTCGGCTCACTGCACGCTCTGCCTCCCGGGTTCATGCCATTCTCCTGCCTCAGCCTCCTGAGTATCTGGGACTACAGGCGCCCACCACCACACCTGGCTAATTTTGTTTTTGTATTTTTAGTAGAGACAGGGTTTCACTGTGTTAGCCAGGATGGTCTCGAACTCCTGACCTTGTGATCCGCCCGCCTCGGCCTCCCAAAGTGCTGGGATTACAGGCATGAGCCACTGCATCCGGCCAATATATTTATTTTTAGCCCAAACTTTAGTAAAATATTTTTATAGGATGAATTTGTGAATAATTGACAAAACATGGAATAATTTTCTAGGAAGAAAAGGAAACAGGAAAAATAGAAAGAAGTAATACTATTTCACCTTAATTTAAAGGATTATATTACAAGAGATACACTGGAACAGAAGCCTGGTTGTTATTTTAGTTGCTTATTTTGAGAATATCTCTAAGCCAAAATGTCAGTGATTACCTTTGATTATTTAACCATAGTGAAAATATTACTTATGCTTTAGTCTGTTTATTGTAATATAGGCTTTACTTTTTGGATGCTGTGTTACAATCTGCTCTTAATTCAAAATGAATAAGCATGTTATAATTTTCTTTTGTTTGAATATAAATATTTTGGTAATGGGACAAGTTTAACATTGCCTTCTATTAAAAAGTCAAGAAACAACAGATGTTGGTGAGGCTGCAGAGAAAAGGGAATGCTTCTGCACTGTTAGTGGGAATGTAAATTAGTTCAGTCACTGTGGAAAGCAGCTTGGAGATTTCTCAAGGAACTAAAAATAGTACTACCATTTGACCCAGCAGTCCCACCATTGGGTATATACCCAAAGGAAAAAAGACATATGCACTCGTGTGATCACCACAGCACTATTCACGATAGCAAAGACATAGAATCAACCTACGTGTGCCCATCAGTGGTGGAGTGAATAAGGAAAATGTGGTACATACCCACATGGAATTGTGTGCAGCCATAAAAAAGAACAAAATTATGTTTTCTTCAGCAACATGCATGTAGCTGGAGGCCATTATCCTAAGTGAATGAATGCAAAAACTAGAAAACCAAATAGCGCATGTTCTCACTTGTAAGTGGGAGCTAAACAATGCAAACACATGGACATGAACATGGGAACAATAGACACTGTGGACTTTTAGAGGGCAGACGGAGGGGGGCCAGGATTGCAAAACTACCTGTTGGGTACTGTGCTCACTACCTGGGTGCAGTATACCCATGTTACCATCCTGCACATATGTACCCTGTATCTAAAATAAAAACTGTAATTTTAAAAAGTCATGTCTAATGTATTTAATAGTATTTGTCTTTGACTCACAGAAAAAAATAATAATTTAAAATTTATGTTCATAGGAGCTTTTAAAGAGAAATAGATAATTGAATTTTTAAAATTATCAACATGCTGGGCACTCAAGGAATATTTGTTATTAATGATTAAACTCAGATATTAATCACTTGATTAAATCCATACATTCATGCTGTGATAGAAATTACCTCTAAGTTCTCTAGAACTTAAGAAAGAAAGCACCTTGAGATCGTCTGTTTCATAGTTTTTCAAATTATGCGAAGACAGAGTTTCACAGAAGCGCGTTTGATAGAAGGAAATTCACAGTGAAAGTGACCTGTGCTGGGTCCCCCATTCTACTTCAATCAGGCATCTGTTTATCTGTTTTACATAAAATGAGGAAACTGAAGAAATTGTCAACATTATCATAAAACAAAGTTATGTTTTTCTGGACTAAGTAGCCTTCAAGGTTAATCAGATACAAATCCATTTATTTTCAGAAAAGGAGTTAGAAAACTCAAAAACTTCTCTGATTTCATTAGTGGGTTTTGTTGTTTTTTTTTTTTTTCCGAAACAGTCTCGCTCTGTAGCCAGGCCGGAGTGCAGTGGTGCGATATCGGCTCACTGCAACCTCTGCTTCTGGGGTTCAGGCGATTCTCCTGCCTCAGCCTCCCAAGCAGTTGGGATTACAGGCGTGTGCCACCATGCCCGGCTAATTTTTATATTTTAAGTAGAGGCGGCGTTTCACCATGTTGGCCAGACTGGCCTCGAACTCCTGACCTCAGGTGATCCACCCGCCTCGCCTCCCAAAGTGCTGGGATTACAGGCATGAGCCACCACACCTGGCCGATTTTCACTTTTTACCTGGTGGTTTTGTTATGTTACAAAAGCACTCACTAAAGTCTTCAGGGCTGATACCATCCTTAAAGAATCTATGCTGTAGCAGTGAGGACCATTGTCAGGTTTCAAGCAGCAGTTAACTGTCTAAAAATCAGCATTATTTGTCATACTAAATTAATGTTGCCCATTTGATGATTATTGGCTTTGCTGCTTGCGTATTTAATTTGAAAATTAGTTTCTGCTTTGCAGTTGTATAAGAACTATAAGCATAAGAGGTTTATGCTTAACTTTGTGTTTGTTTTAGTGAATCCACACTAATGAAAAAATTGAAGCTGTTCTTGAGGGGAAAATCTCCTGGGCCAAATCATCCTGTAACCTTAACTCATAAAAGTTGTTTTTCAACGTCTCAATTTTTTAAAGCTGTTGTATCTACTCTAGATTGTTCACATGTTGATTATATGGATTTGCTCTTTTTGAGGGAGTCGGTTTACTCGGACATTAAAAAAACAAATAGTGGCCGGTCATGGTGGCTCACGCCTGTAATCCCAGCACTTTGAGAGGCTGAGGCGGATGGATCACCTGAGGTCAGGAGTTCGAGACCAGCCTAGCCAACATGGGGAAACCTCATCTCTAATAAAAATGCAAAAATTAGCTGGGCGTGGTGGCATGTGCCTGTAATCCCAGCTACTTAGGAGGCCAAGGCAAGAGAATCGCTTGAACCCCAGAAGCAGAGGTTGCAGTGAACCGAGATCGCGCCACTGCACTCCATCCTGGGTGACAAGAATGAGACTCCATCTCAAAAAATAATAATAATTTAAAAAAAGAATGAATGTCTAGGTCTTAGTTCCTTTCTTCAAGCTAATCTATACCATATATCTTCTCAGGGAGTTAGAAATTAGACTTTTTCTTAAAAGTTGAGATAAAATTATAAAAAGTTTACAGTTCTGCAACAACATTTAGTTTTTCAGTAACACCTTATTTATCTCATTTTTAGGCCCAGTCTTTAAACTGATTAATATCTTCCCAGCTGTTAGCTTATTTTAGTTCTGTCAAAATGAATTAGTTTTTTTTACTTTTACTTTTTCATCCTATGGTTCTAGATAGACAGCCCAAAATGATATTCAGGCATATAAAAGGGACCTCTTACAGGAGGCAGTGGAACGACATTTTCAGATTTTCCTGGATATGAGATAAGGGAATTGGGGAATATCAATAGAAAAGATGGAAAACAGATTAACTGGAGATCTTTGCTGAGACAGTAAAGTGGATTTTTAAAAAGCTATAGAATCTCCTTTGGGGATTTTAATGTGAAGATTTTGAATAATATTTTTATCACGTGATTATCATTGCAGTAAGGGAATGGACAAGTGATTTCTTGCATGTTTAAAATTTGTCAGTGGGCTGTACCATCTCTCCAGGGCTTGTTTTGTGGCCATACAACTGTGCGATTGGAGAGGTCCCACTCTTAGAAGGGCCATGTGCTCTGTAAGTTTTGAACAAGGGGCCAGCATTTTCGTTTTGCACTAGGACCCAGCAATGGAGTCAGTCCTATTTTTTCCCCATGATTGTTTCACTTAAAGCAAAGAAACCCATGTCATTAATGTAAATGAAGATAATATCTATTTCTTGGGTTTATGATAAGACGAATTAAAACGTGGAAGTCGGAAGTCCATTTTGAGTTTCCTCAGTATGCATTGTAACTTTCTGTTTTTTATATTATTTCTCACGTATTTCTTCCTGGCTGCTTGTATCTAGAGGCACCCAGGGAAGTTATTTGGGACTCTGTACTGACAGTAATGATGCTGTTCTATATCTGTTTTGTCATATATCCCTGAATTTCACTTGTCTGAGAAGTCAGATCCTTCAGTCTGTGACTGACATCCTTTTCTATCATCTTGCAACAACTTCTCTAGGCTATTTTACCTAGGAAATAGGCCTAGAGCTTTCAGCTGTCATAAGTTGTTAGCTATACAAAGACATTGGCAGCCTGAACTTAGACACTATATCGTTTGATACTTGTTAAATTCAAGAGACCAATTAAGTTAAAGAGCAGGCTTGAAATTATATATAAAAAACTGCTTAGAAAAGTTGAACATTATAGAATTGTTAGCGATTTATCATTTTTACCTTCATTTTTTCATCGACATCCTGTTGTACTTGCCATGATCCTTTTCTTTTTTAAAAAGTCAGGCTTATTAATTATAACTTACATACAGTACAATTCACACATTTTTATTTGTACAGTTCTGTGCATTTTAACAAACATATATAATTGTGTAACTATCATATCATCAAAGTGCAGAATATTCCTATCATCCAAGAAATTTCTTTCAACTTTATAGTCAGTCATGTATTCCCATCTCACCCCCATCCCTGGTAACTGCTAACCTGTTTTTATGCCCTAGAGTTTTGTGTTTTTCAGAATGTTTTATACATGGAATCATATGATATGCAACCTTTTTATTATACTTTTTATAATATTCCAGGATGTTATATAAATGGAATCGTGTAGCATGTAGCTTTGTCCACTTAACATAAGGATCTCGAGATTCATCCCTGCTGTCGAGTATATCAGTAGTTGATTCTTTTCTTTTGCAGTTTAGCATTCCATTGGATGTACCACAATTTGTTTAACATTCATCAGCTGGTGGATATTTGGATTGTTTCTATTTTGTCTGTTAAGAATAAGGCTGCTATAAATATTTGCATGCATTTTTTGTGAGAATGTATGTCTTCATTTCTCTTGAGTAAATGCCTAGGAATGGGGACTACTAGGTCACAAAAGTTTATGTTTAATTTTCTAAAAAACTACCAAACTGGTTTTTGTTGTTGTTGTTGTTGTTGTTGTTGTTGTTGTTGTTGTTGTTGTTTTTGGAGATGGAGTTTCACTCTTGTTGCCCAGGCTGGAGTGCAATGGCATGGTGTCAGCTCACCGCAACCTCTGCCTTCCGGGTTCAAGCGATTCTCCTGCCTCAAGCCTCCCAAGTAGCTGGGATTACAGGCATGCTCCACCACACCCGGCTAATTTTGTGTTTTTAGTAGAGACAGGTTTTCTCCATGTTGGTCAAGCTGGTCTCGAACTCCCGACCTCAGGTGATCCACCCACCTCAGCCTCCCAAAGTGCTGGGATTGCAGGCGTGAGCCACTGCGCCCGGCCAAACTGTTTTTCAAAGTGGTGGTTTTATTTTGCATTCCCACCAACAATGAATGAATATACCAGTTGCTCTACATCCTTGCCAGCACTCGACAATGTCAGCGCTTAAAAAAAAGTATCAATTTAAATATATGTGTTATAGTATTTCATTGTAGTTTTAATGGGACTTCTCTAACGTAATGATGTTGGACATCTTTTCATGTGCTGGTTTGCCATCTGTATAATCTTTGGTGAAATATCTGTTCAAATTGTTTGCTCACTTTTTTAAAAAAACTTTTTAATTTTTTTTAACTCTTTCTATATACTGGATATCAGACCTTTGTCAGACATATGTTTGCAAATATTTTCTCCCAGTCTGTGGATTTTCATTTTCTTACACTGTCTAGTGAGGAGTTTTACATTGTAATGATGCTCAATTTAACATTTTTTTTTAACGGTTTATGCTTTTCGTGTTCTGTTTAAGAATGACTTGCCTCATCCAAGGTCACAAAGATTTTCTCCTATATGTTCTTCTCGAAATTTTATAGTGTAAGTTTCATGTTTACGTCTCTGACTCCTTCATTTCTAGGACTCCTTTATTTACAAAAGTTTGTTATTTACAAATTTGTGTCTATCCTTTCACCAGTGCCACATTGTCCTAATTACCATAGCTGTATTGGAAGTCTTGAAATCAGGCAGTGCGAGTCTTCCAACTTCACTGTTCATTTTCAAAATTGTTTTAGCCATTCTAATTCCTTTGTCTCCATATGCATTTTAGAATCAGCTTCTCTATTTGGACTGCACTTGCATTGAATTTGTGTATCAATTTGGAAAGATTTGCTTTTTCTTCATGTACAGTCATTCCTTGGTACCTATGGGGGATTGATTTCAGGATCCCCCCGTGGATACCAAAATCTGTGGATACTCAAGTTCCTTATATAAAAGGGTGTAGTATTTGCTTGTAACCTATGCACATTCTCTTGTATACTTTAAATCTCTAGATTATTTATAATACCTAATACAATGTAAATGCTATGGAAACAGTTGTTATATTTTATTGTTTAGAGAATAACGACAAGAAAAAAGTCTATACATGTTCAGTAAAGACAAAACTATCCAGTTTTTCCCCGAATATTTTCAGTCTACAGTTGTTGAATCAGGAGCCTGTCATAATTCTGACAGACAAAATTCCAGACAGTGTAATCCTGAATGTTGAAATTCTGAAAGATCAAAATCCTGAAAATATAATTCTGGAAAAAATAATTTAAAATTCTTCAAAGGACATTTGTTTACATTTAGAAGTGGGATTTATTTGAGAAACATGTAAAAACATGACAGAATACTTCATAGGCCAGTTTACACAATAAAATAGGCAATAATATATATTTTTGTAATCATAAATATTCAGGTATAGTAACAACAGTCACATATGTATCACAATTATGAGCAGACAAACCATATTCATAAAGAAATAGGTCATAAAGATGGGGACCATGGTGTGTCCCTATAATCCCAGCTGCTTGGGAGGCTGAAGGGGGAGGATCGCTTGAGCCTAGGAGTTCAAGTCCAGTCTTGACAACGTAGTGAGACCTCATCTCTTAAAAAAAAAAAAAAGGAAAGAAAAATATATCAAAAAGTGAAATGTATAAAGGCACTATAGTTGGTAATTGTGTGTACCCAGCTTTGTAACTGTAGTCACCCAAAATATCATGATGTTCAATCTAAGTGTTTTGATGAGATATATCAAAAACCACGATGGGTCACCACTACATATGTCCTCTTTCAAAGAGCCGAGATCTCAAGAAATTTATCTTTCACAAATGCAAATGTAAAAAAAGGACTTTTTTTATTTGTTAAGTTTCAGCATTTTTATGCTTACACACACAGTCAACATTGTGATAATGCAGTTTCACAGAGTGAATTTTTTTTTTTTTTTTTTTTTTGAGATGGAGTCTCGGTCTGTCACCCAGGCTGGAGTGCAGTGGCGCGATCTTGGCTCACTGCAACCTCTGTCCTCCCAGGTTCAAGCGATTCTCCTGCCTTAGCCTCCTGAGTAGTTGGGACTACAGGTGTGTGCCACCATGCCTGGCTAATTTTTGTATTTCTTTTTCTTTTTCTTTTTTTTTTTAGTAGAGATGAGATTTCACCATGTTGGCCAGACTGGTCTTGAACTCCTGGCCTCAGGTGATCCACCTGCGTCGGCCTCCCAAAGTACTGGGATTACAGGCATGAGCCACTGCGCCTGGCCCATGGAGTCAATTTTTTGATGTCCAAGGAGCGGAAGAAAAGCCTTTCTCAGCTCTCAGAGACCAATTGCCTTTTGTATTTGTTCTTTCCTGGCCCTCAGCCAGTTGGATGATGCTTGCCGACATTGAGGTCAGATCTTCCTGCCTAGTCTACTCAGACTCACACACTAACCTCTTCTGGAAACACCCTCATAGACATACCTAAAATAATGCTTTATCATGTTTCTAGGTATTGCTTAATCCAATCAAGTTGATCCCTAATGGGAAGTCCATAAGCCCATCTGTCATCACCTTGGCACCCATATGCATCTCCTTAAACCATACTTAATTTCCAAATAAAGACAATAACAAGGTAATAGTTCCACTTTCCGTGATGCAACTATCCTCGGATGGTGATTTACAGGATTTTAGACACTCGGGGCTTTCGACTTTAGGGATTTTGATCTTTTAAGATTTCAACATTTGGGATTATGGCATTTGGGGTTGTCTTTTGAGATTGTGATCCAAACCCAGTTGAATCCACAGGTACAGAACCCACGGATATGGAGGGCCAATGGTATTCTGAGACTCTATTGTTAGGTTTATACATATTTAGGCTTATATATGTTCTTGGTCAGTTGACCCTTTACCATTATGTAATGTCTTTCTTTATCCTTGGTAATATTACTGGTTCTGGAATCATCTACTTTGATATTTATATAGTCACTCTAGCTTTCTTTTGATTAATGTTTGCATAGTATATTTCCTTTATACTCTTGCTTTTTTTTTTTTTTTTTTGAGACGGAGTCTCGCTCTGTCACCCAGGCTGGAGGGCAGTGGCACGATCTCGGTTCACTGCAAGCTCCGCCTCCTGCGTTCACGCCATTCTCCTGCCTCCGCTTCCCTAGTAACTGGGACTACAGGCACCCACCACCATGCCTGGCTAATTTTTTGTATTTTTAGTAGAGATGGGGTTTCACTGTGTTAGCCAGGATGGTCTTGATCTGCTGACCTCGTGGTCTGCCTGCCTTGGCCTCCCAAAGCGCTGGGATTACAGGCGTGAGCCACCATGCCCGGCCATGCTCTTGCTTTTAACCAATTTATTTCTTTATTTTCAAAGAGGGTTTCTTGTAGATAGCCTATCATTGGGCCTTGCTTTTTTATACAGTCTGACATCATGGCTTTCTTTGATTGTCCTGTCTGACCTAGCCTTACTACTTCTCCAACTTCACATGTCTCATTACACTCTCTCTCCTCTACTCTTCTCCCATCAGATTAACCTTAATTCAGTTTGTAGAACTAGTGAAATTCTTGCTCAAGACCATTGTTCTTGCTATTGTCTCTGCGTTGAGTGTTCTCATACCCTGTGGCATCTGCCATCCTCCCCCTTTCAGCCTCTCATGCTATAATAAATAGTCCTCTTGTCATGTCTCTTCTTAAACATTACCTCTTCACAGAAACCTTTCCTGGCTATGCTATCTAGAGTAGGCTCTCCCTGTTCTTTCTAACAGAATCATGCTTCTTTTTTTTTTTTTTTTAATTTCCATAGATTTTGGGGAACAGGTGGTAATTTGGTAATTTGTGAGATTTTGGTGAACCCGTCACCCGAGCAGTATACACTGAATCCAGTTTGTAGTCTTTTATCCCACATCCCCTTCCCACCCTTTCCCCTCAAGTCCCCAATGTCCATTGTATCATTCTTACCCCTTTGCATCCTCATAGCTTAGCTCCATTTATGAGTGAGAACGTATGATGTTTGGTTTTCCATTCCTGAGTTACTTTACTTAGAATAATAGTCTTCAGTCCTATCCAGGTTGCTGTGGATGCCATTACTTCATTCCTTTTTATGCTGACCAGTATTCCATCGTATACATATATACCACATTTTCTTTATCCACTTGTTGATTGATGGGCATTTGGGCTGGTTCCATATTTTTGCGATTGTGAATGGTGCTGCTATAAACGTGTGTTCAAGTATATTTTTTGTATAATGACTTCTTTTCTTCTGGGTATATACCCAGTAGTGGGATTGCTGGATCAAATGATAGTTCTACTTTTAGTTCTTTAAGGAATCTCCATACTGTTTTCCATAGTGGTTGTACTAGTTTACATTCCCACCAGCAGTGTAGAAGTGTTCCCTTTTCACCGCATCCATGCCAACATCTTTTTTTTTTTTTTTTTTAGTTTTGGATTATGACCGTTCATGCCGGAGTGAGGTGGTATTGCATTGTGGTTTTGATTTGCATTTCCCTGATCATTAGTGAGGTTGAACATTTTTCCATGTTTGTTGCCCATTTGTATATCTGCTTTTGAGAATTGTCTATTCATGTCCTTAGCCCACTTTTTGATGGGATTGTTTTTTTCCTTGCTAATTTATTTGAATTCCTTGTAGATTCTGGGTATTAGTCCTTTGTTGGGTGTATAGATTGTGAAGATTTCCTCCAACTCTGTAGGTTGTCTGTTTACTCTGCTTATTTTCATCTTTCTTTATTTGCCCTGCATATCTATTTGTTTACTATACTGTCTACTTTCCCCTCCTAGAATGCCAACATTATGAAGGTAAAGGAATCTTGTCCGTCTTGTTCTTTATTGAATGGCTAGCATTCAGTAGTACAGTGTCTGGCAGATAGTACATATTTGTTGAATGACCAAATGAATAATTTTCAAAATTTGCTTCTTTCTAGGACTTACATAGTCTTACATGCTTGTACATTTTCACCGTTAGACAGAAATGTATTTATACTTGCGAAGTTACCCTTTACCCATTAGCAGTCATATACATATCTTAAGTGATTTGTAGTGCTGTTATTATTATATGACCAAGTATATGATCTTTGTAAGACACTTTTTTCTTTTTCTTTTTTTTTTTTTTTTTGAGACAGAGTCTAGCTCTGTTGCCCAGGCTGGAGTGCAGTGTCACGATCTCAGCTCACTGCAACCTCTACCTCCCACATTCAAGCGATCCTCCTGCCTCAACCTCGAGTAGCTGGAACTACAGGCATGCACCACCACGCCCAGCTAATTTTTGTATTTTTAGTAGAGATGGGGTTTCACTATGTTGGCCAGGATGGTCTCGATCTCTTGACCTCATGATCCTCCCACCTTGTCCTCCCAAAGTGCTGGGATTACAGGCGTGAGCCACCGCACCCAGCCCTTTTTCATTTTTTTAAAAGCACCCCAAATTCCCTAAGATGCAGGTAAAATGAGGAAACATTAAACTGAAAATAGATTAGTGATGTACTTTTCTGAAAAATTCGGAGATTAACTGAAAGACCAACATAAGCTTTATTATTTAGACATGCCTTTTCAGTTCATTTTCACATTTACATATGTAATGAGATATAGTATACTATTTAAATTTAACATTAGGTGACTAACTTTAAGCTCTGTTAAAATGGCTGTATTTTTAGTAGAGACGGGGTTTCACCATGTTGGCCAGGATGGTCTTGATCTCCTGACTTCGTGATCTGCCCACATCAGCCTCCCAAAATGCCGGGATTACAGGCGTGAACCACCGCGCCCGGCTTCTCTTAGCACAAATTTCAAGTGCCATATATAACATATTATTATTAACTATAGTCACCGTGCTGTACTTTAAGTCCCCAGAACATACTCATCTTAAAACTGCAAGTTTGTACCCTTTATTGGTCATTAATTTGTTTCTTGAAAACTTGGTATGTTCTTGGTTTAGGAGAGGCAACCTCATAGTACTAAAATGTGGGCAAATGTGTAGTCATTTGTGAGCTGTGATGGAAGCAAACAAATAACATAAGCTTCCATCCTGATATTGTTTTAATTATGCCCACTAAAGACTCATTGGAAAAACATTTAAATGTTTCAAAACTCTGAAGGGATAGATCATGTATTAAGAAAATGGAAGTTGCCTTAGCAACCAACTCCTCTCTTTCAATATGGGAATCCAGGAGAAATTTACAGACATCATTACCATCGTCTGTAAAGGGACAAAGTAATTTGCAGGGGGAGTTTTTAAGTTTAAGTGTCTTTTCAGTAGTAGAGTAACACGGTAGAGTGGTTCTTGAGATCATATTATTTTAAAATGACTTAACTTGCGTAGAGTACAATATTCAACTTTTCTGTTTTCCTAGAAGTCATACATGAATCTAAATTGTTTTAAAATTTTTATTTAGTGTTCTGATACTTGTTTTAAATTTAACCCTGGAAGCATGACAAGGAAAATAGTAGTTTAAAAAAAGTATGCAATTTTTTTTAGGTTATTGTCTTTTCTGAAAAAATTTTAGTGTAATTTAAATGTTAGGGCTTTATGTCAAGTTTTATCTTTATAATGTTTTCACTATAAAGTAGTGAGGCTGTGTTACAAAGTGCAATATGTGTATATTCATATGTGTTCAGGCATTTACTGAGTACCCCCTCTGTATTAAGCACTGTGCTACCAACAAGGTATATAAAGATGAAAGACACAGCCCTTGTCATTAAGGAGCCCATAGTCTAGTGGAAGAGACAGATAAGTAAAGTAAAAACTATAGTCAAGTATATATGCCGTATAAAAATATATCCAGGATGGTTTGTCAGCACAGAAGCAGAGTATCTAAGACTTAGGGCATCAGGAAGACTTCTAGAACGGAGGATGCCCGAGCTTAAAGGAAAACAGGAATTGGCTAAAGAAGGAAAGAACCATCATGTCCCATCTCCAGTAAGACTTGCAGATATGAAAGAACATTCATTTATTCATTTATTCAACAAACATTTGTTGAGCATCTATTATATGCCAGACATATACAATGTAATACTGCCTTGGGGACATATTAGAACATAGAACTAGACACACTCCTGCCTTTTTAGGCATATGAAGAGAATAATACAATAATCACAAAAAATTGTAAAAACTATAGTTGTGATAAATGCAGTGAAGGAGAAGTCCAGGGTGCTGTGAGAATGTGTAATAGAGTGGGGATTGGGGCAGTATTCCCTGAGGAAGTAACACTAAACCTGACAACTGAAGGATGGGTCCATAAACAAAGATTATACAAAATTGTACTGATTTCACTTTTACTGTTAGAAAATGTAGGTTCTTGGGTATCTTTCAAGATCTTCAATGAGTTCAGTCTAGCTAGAACGTAGCGCACATGTGGGAGAAGGAAAAGACAAGCTGGAGAAGTAGGCAGGAACAAGATCATGGAAAGCCTTGTATACCTTTCTAGGAAAATTGCCTTTTATCTTGAAGGTGATCGATATTGTGAACCATTTGAGGATTTGAAGCCAAGCTGGGAGAAACATAATCAGATTTGTGTTTTAGAAGGATCTTCTTGAGAAAGATTACTGTGGAAGGCAAGGCTGTATCTACTTGTTTCTTTGCTAAGTAATACATGATAGGTTCTGTGTTTTTAAATTTTAATACCATATTTTTGTTCCTTCAGTTCTGCCATATCAGTGGCTTTTCTCTCTCTCTCTCTCTCTCTCTCTTTCTGTGTGTGTGTGTGTGTGTGTGTGTGTGTGTGTATGTGTGTGGTACACAAATGGTGAGAACCAGGGTTTTTACCCTAAGTGATGGGCATGGCTTCTAAAGATTTCTCACAGATCTTACAATAACTGAATTGGAGGAAATATATTTTACATATTTTAAAGTGATATGGCACTTACCCAGAAATAAATAATACTAACTGATGTTTTCAGTAGAAAAAAAACAATTGGGAAATTCCTAGATTGTGCTATTTGCATTTTTATTGACAAGGTTGCTGATTTTAAAAGTAAGATAGAGGTTCTGTTTAAATAAATAATTGGTAATAAATGTTGATTTTCCATAAATGTGGTTTCTCACTTGAAAATGTAGAGGGTCAGGCCGGGCGCGGTGGCTCACGCCTGTAATCCCAGCACTTTGGGAGGCTGAGGCGGGCGGATCACGAGGTCCAGAGATCGAGACCATCCTGGCTAACATGGTGAAACCCCATCTCTACTTAAAAATACAAAAAAAATTAGCCGGGCATGGTGGTGGGCACCTGTAGTCCCAGCTACTTGGGAGGCTGAGGCAGGAGAATGGCGTGAACCCCTAAGGCGGAGCTTGCAGTGAGCCGAGATTGCGCCACTGCACTCCAGCCTGGGCCACTGAGCAAGACTCCGTCTCAAAAAAAAAAAAAAATGTAGAGGGTTAGACTAACTGACCTCTAAAGACCTTTCTATCATAGTCTATGATTCTGTGTTTGCTTTTCAACAGGTCATTTTTCAATAGATACATACCTTTGCTTTGCTGTACTGACACAACAAATTAAGGCAGTGGTTCTCAACAGTGGATAATTTTGCCACCCAGGGGACATTTGGTAATGCCTGGAAACATTTTTGGTTGTCACAACTGGAGAGTTGCCTACTCATTTCTAGTGAGCAAGAGGTCAGGGATGCTGCTGAACATCCTAGAATGTAGAGGATAGCTCTTCACAAGAATTGTCCAGCCTAAAACGTAAATAATAACAGAAACCCTGAATTAAGGCAAGATTGATAAGACTACCTTTGGTTAATATATAGTCCTTGAGTAGATATGACATTCTATCTGTACTATAATATTTGTTTTTTCGTTCACTCATTCATTCTAAACATTGCCAAATGACGTTAAACACATCATCTTCGTATTCCATGTGCCATTATCTAATACAGAGTAGGTGGTGTTGAGATCCCTGAGGGGTACCAATAAATAGCATTCTTCCTTTGCTGAGTTGTGGGCCAGTTGAGAAATAAAATAAGAATATTCATCTGCAAGCCAAAATATTACCGTCTGTCTACTAAACACTGAATTAGAGGATGTAGCTTGTATTTGCTAGCATATGGGCTTCCAAATTCTGCACCTCAGAAGACTTATCCACCTAGGCATAGCAGCACTGGACTGGGACAAGCTCCGTTGCAGAGACCATCTGCAAGGGACTGAATGTTTGGTCCCCCACCGTCCAAATTCATATATTGAAATCCTAATCCCCAATGTGATGGTTTTAGGAGCGGTGAGACCTTTGGGAGGTAATAGTTCACGAGGGTGGAGTCCTCATGAATGGGATTAGTGCCGTTATGAAAGTGACTCCAGGGATCTCTTTAGCGCTCTTTTTGCCGTGTGAGGTCACAATGAGAAGTCAATGATCTGCAGTCCAGAAGATGGCCCTCACTAGCATCCAACCATGCCAGCAACCTGATCTTATAAACAATAGATCTCTTTTGTTTATAAGCCATACAGGCTATGGGGCTTTGTTATAGCAGCCTAAAGTGATTAAGACACTGTCTTTAGAGAACTAGGTCAGAACTTGCATTACCTTTGGTTGGCTCACTCCCAAGAGGCAAAAGGAGGGTGCTGAGCCAAGCATATGTAGTTTTGTTTTTTTCCAAATTTGCCAGCCAAGAAGCTATTCTCTCTCTCCTTGACCATAGGGAGGAAAGGCATAGAGAGGGGCCAAGAGTTTTATGCCACTTGAGCTCTCTCCATATGGAAGGATACATCAGGGAAGGAGAGGAAGCCTTCTCCATAATGGGTCCCAATAAATGCTGACAGATTATGATGTAGAATCTACTGTAAAGTCTACAGGGGGAATATCAGTTTATTTTTTTTCTGGGTTTGTGTACTTTTATTGTGTCTAATCTGTCCATCAGTTAACCAGTAGCCAAATGACTACAGCCAAAACAGGGGAAAATTAATTAGAATTTTAGATTATAAAAGGGACCTTAAAGATTATTTAGTGTATTGGCTCTCAGTCTTGGTTGTACATTGGAGTCACTTGAGAAGCTTTTAAAAAAATATATGCCAGAGTACCATCCCAGACCGTGTAAAATAAAATCTTAGGTGGGAGGAAGTAGGACCTGAGCATTTATTATTTTGTAAAATACCCCTTAGAGGATTCTGCTGCACACCCAAGATTGAGAATCACTGATCTATTCTAACCTTCTCATTTTATAAAAAATTAAACCAGAGCGTTTGAGTGAATTGCCTGAGGCTGTAATTAGTGAAAGTTAGAGTAAGAATCTGGCCTTCTGCCTCAGAGTTTAGGGCTTCTTATTGAAAACAAAGTGAGTTCCCTTTTTTTCCCCATAATTTTAGTTCAACAAAAGAATTTGCAAAAGCAATAGTCTTACGTCTGGAGATCTGGATTTTAATCTGATTCTGGTGTTAGCTTATTAAGTCATTCGGCCTCATTTTCCTTCTTTTTTAAAATTAAAGAATTAGACTAGAGCATTTCCAAGGTTTTTTCAGTCAGTAAAACCCTATGCTTCTATGGTTTCAAATATAAAGAATGAGCTTTATTGCTCCTTAGGGTTAATTGTTGTTTTAATTTTTAGTAAGAATCCACTGTCTAGCAAGAATGATGATAGGTGCTTTCATTTACATTCATTCCTTTTAATGGAAACATTTTAGGATAGGTTTCTGATGGGGAATCTTTAATCATTAAAATCAAGATTCTACTGCTATTTAAATTATAATACCTTGAGCTGGGCTTCTTAGTTTCATTAATTTACTGAAGATGTGGACTCTAAAAACATATTTACATGATAGAGACTATCTGGAAAAATGCTGTTAATTCTTGGATATTTCCAAGTGTGGATATGTTCACATATCTGAATAATTACTTGACTCCTTTTAATTTAATCTGAATATTTCTGAATATTTCTCAACATATAACAAAACAAAGTTACCATTTATGGTATTTCAGTTATTTTTGTGTTCATTTGGTTATTTTCTTTTTTTGGGGGGTGGGGGCGGAGTTTTGCTCTTGTTGCCCAGACTGGAGTGCAATGGCGTGATCTCGGCTCACCACAACCTGTGCCTCCTAGGTTCAAGCAATTCTCCTGCCTCAGCCTCCCAAGTAACTGGGATTACAGGCATGTGCCACCATGGCCGGCTAATTTTGTGTTTTTAGTAGAGACAGGGTTTCTTCATGTTGGTCAGGCTGTTCTGAAACTCCCGACCTCAGGTGATCCACCCACCTCGGCCTCCCAAAGTGCTAGGTTTACAGGCGTGAGCCACCACGCCCGGCCCATTTGGTTATTTTCTTAGAGCAATCAACTTAGAAAGTATTCTTTGACATTTAAGTTGTTAATTTAAATTGTTACAGATTCTGACTCTAAGGACAGGACCTATTATATTCCAGGTACTAAGCCATGTACCTCCCCCTTCCCTGTTCCACATAGCTCTGTCTCTGGCACTTAAGAAGTATATAATAAATTTTGGTTGGCTTATTTACTATTTTATATTCTGGCATTAATAGCCCACTGTGTCTTTTTTTCATATATATCACAACTGGAATTTTACTTTTGGCACTATCTAGCAATTAGTTATAATAGAAGCCCTAAGACTAATGAATAGGATTATTTCAAGAAATGCTTTTACTAGTGTTAGTTATTTATAGGTCCTTCTATGCTTGTTCATTATTTTATGACCGGATAAGTTTTCCTGACTTTTTCTTCCTGAATAAACCTCAGGTGAGGCAGGAATCCAGACACTTACTTTCAGCCATGTTCGAAGAAAAGGAAAATGCTCTTTAAGCAGTCTTGTTTCCTTCAGCCTCTATTCTTAGAATTCTATCCAGAAAAGGTATGGCACAGTTAGTTCTTTACAAGTCTCATCTGTTTTATTTTACATTGCCATTAACTTTCTTTTTTTCTTTTTTGTATTTTTTAGTAGAGATGGGGTTTCACTGTGTTAGCCAGGTCTTGATCTCCTGACCTCATGATCTGCCCGCCTCAGCCTCCCAAAGTGCTGAGATTACAGGCTTGAGCCACCATGCCTGGCCCTACATTGCCATTAACTTTCTACATATTGTAGATCTTTTCTTTAGTATAGATAAAAACTTCTATTTGAAGGCAAACATTAGATGGTCCTACTTTATTTTCATTGCAAATCTCTATGGGATTTATGTGCATGTCAAATGGCAATTATTATTTTGGAATAAAAATGTTAAAAATTTAACTCATGTTCAGTGACTCAAGTTTGAAATAATGTCATGAGAACTTTTACTGAACTTGCATTATTGGTTATTATTTATTGTATACTGAGAGTTTGGTGGCATGTAATATTCAAAAAAAGAAAATATTAATTAGTTTAGACATGCAAAGTCCAGGGATATAGTGAAAAATACATTAGGTAAAAGTTCAAAATAGAGGTTACCTCTTACTGTGATAGGGTAGGAGGAGGGAGGAGAATTAGATTGGGTATGAATATGCAGAGACTTCAACTATATTGATAGTTTTATCTTTTAACTAGATGGTGGGTACATGAAGTACATAGAGTACAAAAATAACTTATATACCTTTGTGTGAGAAAGATATTTCATAATTTTTTAATGGTAAAAATAAATGAATATAGGTTGTGCAAACAGCATAAGTGTAATTTTTAGCCTATCAAGGAATGCTGATATGATTTGTTGAAAAACTTGGCTTAAATAAATTTTCTAGTGAAATTTGAAAATCGTGGAATTATTTGGCAATAGAAGCAGAGTGTTTCAAGTCTAAATGGATGGGAGAAAGCAAAACTAGTGAAATTATGCTTGCTG
This sequence comes from Homo sapiens, assembly GCF_000001405.40. Classification (NCBI taxonomy): domain Eukaryota; kingdom Metazoa; phylum Chordata; class Mammalia; order Primates; family Hominidae; genus Homo; species Homo sapiens. Next base: position 185,112,403 of record NC_000003.12, on the reverse strand, counting down.
GGGAATAGGAAAATGAGAACCAGGTGGCAAATGACCAGTCACTCAACCAGTTTCTTGTTACAGTCAGAATATAGTCAGAAAATGGGCCACGAGTGACTTCTATTTATTTTTTTTGATACAGAATCTCGCTCTATAGCTCAGGCTGGAATGCAGTGGTGTGATCTTGGCTCACTGCACCCTCCGCCTCCCAGGTTCAAGCGATTCTCCTGCCTCAGCTTCCCAAGTAGCTGGGATTACAGGCGCCCACCACACCTGGCTTATTTTTTTGTATTTTAAGTAGAGACAGGATTTCCCCATGTTGGTCAGGCTGATCTCGAACTCCTGACCTCCGGTGATCCACCTGCCTCAGCCTCCCAAAGTGCTGGGATTACAGGCATGAGCCACCACGCCTGGCCCAGCCCCATGATTTCTGTTTGGTGTTTTAAAAGTATTTTCTATCTCTTTGTTTAAATGCTTACTTCATTTATGCATTGTTCTCTTGACTTCAGTTAGCATTTCTGTTCAGTATTTTGAATTCTTTGTCAGGCAAATAATATAATTACATTTCATTAGGGTCAGTTTCTGGTATTTATCTTGTTCCTTTAAAACATCATTGCCTGATTCTGTTTCCTTTACTCTCTGTGTTGATGTCTACATATTAGATAGAAGAGAACCCTCTCCTAGTCCTTACTGACTGGACTTGCACCTTCACCAATCAGTGTGGCCAGAGATCCTGGGGTCCTCTATCAACTCTTCCAAATTGTTTTTCAAAATAGTTTTCCCAAGCAGCTGTATACCATTTTACATCCCCACTATCAGAGTTCCAGTTCTCCACAGTCTTGCCAACCGTTTTTATTGTCTTTTTTATTGAAGTCATCCTAATGGGGGTGAAATGGTAGCTCATTGCGGTTTTGTTTTGCATTTATCTAATGGCTAATGATGTGTTGAGCATTTTTTCATTTGCTTATTGACCATCTTTAAAGACATATCTATTCAAATCCTTTTGATCATTTTAAAATTAGATTGTCTTCTTATTGAATTCTAAGAGTTCTTTATATATTCTGATATAAATCTTTTGCCATATATATGACTGGCAAATATTTTCTCTCTTTCTGTGGGTTGTCTTTTTTCACTTTCTTGATGGTATCTTTTGAAGCACAATGATTTTTTATTTTGATGAAATCAAATTTACTTTTTCTTTCATTGCTTATGCTTTAACAAAACATTCTCTAATTCAAGATCATAAAGATTTATTCCTATGTATTCTTCTAAAAATTTATAGTTTTAGCTCTTATGTTTAGTTCCATGATGCATTGTGAGTTGCTTTTTGTACTTAGTGTGAGACAGGGATCTAATTTTCTTTCTTTTGCATGTGTGCCAAGAACAGCTCAGTCAGGGAGACCCTAACCCGGCAGCGCTAGAGGAATTAAAGACACACACACAGAAATATAGAGGTGTGAAGTGGGAAATCAGGGGTCTCACAGCCTGCAGAGCTGAGAGCCCGAACAGAGATTTACACACATATTTATTAACAGCAAGCCAGCCATTCGCATTGTTTCTATAGATATTAAATTAACTAAAAGTATCCCTTATGGGAAATGAAGGGATGGGCCGAATGAAAGGAATAGGTTGGGCTAGTTAACTGCAGCAGGAGCATGTCCTTAAGGCACAGATCGCTCATGCTATTGTTTGTGGCTTAAGAATGGCTTTAAGCGGTTTTCCGCCCTGGGTGGGCCAGGTGTTCCTTGCCCTAATTCCCATAAACCCACAACCTTCCAGCATGGGCGTTATGGCCATCACAAACATGTCACAGTGCTGCAGAGATTTTGTTTATGGCCAGTTTTGGGGCCAGTTTATGGCCAGATTTTGAGGGGGGGCCTGCTCCTAACACGTCCCCCTTATTCGATTTGCAAATCAATAAAAGCAAGGGCAGCTTTGTCATGGTGAGCTACTTCTCGCAGGAGTCAGGATCCACATCTGCAGACTATACAAAGACAAACAACACAGATTAAAAGCACAATCGTCATTGAAATCACAGAGCTTCCAAGTGTTTTTATCCATTTTAACAGGTTACTAGCTGCTAATTTGTCTGCAGCTCCTTCAAGCACTCCAGTTCCTGGCATTAAGGTCAGGTGTGCCTGGGATACTTTAAATATTTGTTCTTTAATTTTGCAATAGCCAAAGACAAGTTTGTAGAGTGTCTTTCTAGATGCTTTTTTATTCTTTACCAAATTTTGATCTTATTAAGAGCTATTAATAGTTTCCACAAATCTTTGTGTTTAGCTCCTACAGCGGGCCATATCATATGAGGTTGAGGTGCCACTATACCACCATGGTTCCAGATAATAGGAACTCTTGTCATACTTTTTATCATTTCTGCCATCCGACCGTTTTGTTCAGACCAGCTGAACATAGTGTGGCCGTGGCATGCAGACTGACAGGTGCAATTTAAGCTAAACATCTCCTTAGGGGACCAATTAATAATGATTCCATAGGAATCGTTGTGTAGCACCTCTGTCTGTTCTGCAGTGCAATCTTCCTAAACAAGTACGTTCATTATTTCTGGCCAGGTTCAATTTTGTTTACAAATAGGTTTTTGAGGGTGGTATGCCTCAATTATAGGAGCAGATTTATTATGGTAAATACTGAGATCAGAAAGCGTGTGTAACTGTGTCATAGAGTGATTACATCCAGGCATTATTGCCAGCCAAAATGGATAAATATGCCCAATAAGTATAATTGTTCTCTGTGTCAGCCCTTGTTGAAGGAATACTCACGGCAGTGGTGATAACCACTATCATAGCTACCATTAAATTATTCATTGTGACTGACTGTCCCCCTTTCCTCCGGTTTTCTTCTGCCATCTGTGACAGCTTTTTGATCTGTCCCCAGATGAGTGGCTGTGTTCGACGGGTGTTGCTTGTGTCAGTTGGGGTCCTCCTCAGCATCAGCCTCGACATGGCTGCAACCGGGGGGTCCTTGGGATCCTCCCAGAATCTCTTCCTCGGCATCTGGCTCATGATAAAGTTTCAGGTGTCTTGATGGTATCCAAATCAGCTGTTGATTTTGACCTGGAGAAACGCAAGCATAACCTCTACCCCAAGTTATTATTTTATCTATGTCCTAACTTTTTGTTATCGGATCTCTCCACCAAACCAATTGTTTTGCTTCTGTCTTTGCAGCTGGTTTCTGTAGTTGCTGTTCAGCTGCTGATAACATCTGGCCTTTGGGCAGGCTCAAAAAATTTAAAGTTAATAATGCCAGATTCAGTTGCATCTGTGGGGTTCCATATTCTCTGTCTCCCCCTTTCTGCTTTTGCAACTGCTGTTTTAGGGAGATATTCATTCTTTCCACTATGGCTTGTCCTTGAGAATTGTATGGGATGCCAGTAATGTGTTTAATATTCCACATAGAGAAAAATGTAGCTAGAGCTTGGCTAGTATAACCTGGGGCATTGTCTGTTTTAATAGAAGCTGGAATGCCCATCACCGCAAAACACTGGAAAAGGTGACGTTTAACACAGGCAGAAGACTCTCCTGATTGGCATGTAGCCCAGACAAAGTGAGAAAAGGTGTCCACACATACATGTACATAAGCTAGTCTCCCAAACGAGGGAACATGTGTGACATCCATTTGCCAAAGAGAGTTAGGTTCCAGTCCTCGAGGATTAACTCCTCCTTTAAAAGATGAGGAATGTACCATTTGGCAAGTTGGGCATCACTGGATAATAGCTTTAGCTTCTTTCCAGGTAATGCTGTATCTGTGTTTGAGACTAGAGGCATTAACATGGGTTAAATTGTGAAAGTGTCTAGCATTAAATATTGCCTTAGCAACTAGGCGATTGGCCATTTGATTCCCTTCAGTCAAAGGTCCTGGAAGAAAGAGGTGTATGAGCCCTAATGTGAGTGATGTAAAAAGGGTGCATTCTAATTCTAACTGCTGTTTGCAATTGGGTAAATAAAGTCATCAGTTGTTCATCACTTGTATGAAATTGTAACTGAGCATTTTCAATTAACTATGTGGCATGAACCACGTATGAAGAATCAGAAATCACATTAATAGGCATATCAAAAGCAGTCAATACCTCAATTACAGCTACAAGCTCTGCTTTTTGATCTGAAGTATAGGACATCTGGAAAACTTTACTTTTTGAGCCAGAATAAGAAGCTTTACCATTGCTAGACCTATCTGTAACATTTTCAGCACCTTCAATTGGTTTAAATTTAGTTATTTTAGGGAGAATCTAATTAGTTAATTTCAAAAACTGAAACAGTTTTAAGAAAATGATTATCAAGAATACTTACAAAGTCAGCTAAATGGGTTTGCCAAGTAAGACTATTTATAGAAGCTTGCTGTATTTGTGCCTTCGTGAGAGGGACAATAATTTTTCTAGGATCATATCTATGTAATTTAACAATCTGAGTTCTCCGAATCCCTATCATAGTAGCGATTTGATCTAAATAAGGAGTTAGAGTCCGTGAATTAGTATGTGGAAGAAAAAGCCACTCTTACTAAGTCCTGTTCTTGGACAATAACACCTGTAGGTGAATGCTGAGTTGAAAAAATTAGCAAATCTAGAGTCTATGACTATTAAAGGCCAATTTTTTGGAATTACAGCAGGAGAAGGCAATCCTGGCTGTAATGCTCACATAGGTTGTATAACTGAATTGATGGCTCTTAAGTCAGTTAACATTCTCCATTTACTTGATTTTTTCTTAGTTAGGAAAACTGGAGAATTCCAAGGGGAAAATGTTGGAGCTATGTGCCCATTTTCTAATTGTTCAGTAACTAATTTCTCTAAAGCCCCCAGTTTCTCTTTACTTAGTGGCCATTGTTCTATCCAAATTGGCTTATCTGTTAACCATTTTAAAGGTGTAGGTTCTGGAGGCTTAACAATGGCCACCATCAAAAATTATTTCCTAATCTTTGTCAGGAACTTTGTTTTTCCACTTGAAGTGGTTCTTTCAAACCTTGCAAATTTTTTTCTAGTCCCATACCAGGGACATACCCCATTTCACGCATCATATGTTGCCTTTGAGGGCTATATAATTGTTCTGGAATTAGAACTTGTGCTCCCCATTGTTGTAATAAATCTCTCCCCCATAGATTTATAGGTACGGAAGTTATAATTGGTTGAATAGTCCCAGGTTGTCCATCGGGCCCTTCACAATGCAAGATATAACTACTTTGATATACTTCAGGGGCTTTACCAACTCCAGCTATGTTAAATTGAGTAGGTTGAATTGGCCACGTGGACGGCCAGTGCTATAGAGAAATGATTGAAATGTCCGCTCCTGTATCTACCAAACCTTTAAATTTCTTTCCCTGAATAGTTATTTCACAGGTAGGGTGTTTATTAGTAATTTGATTTACCCAATAAGCTGCTTTGTCTTGTTTATTTGTGCTTCCAAATCCTCCTGTTTGTTTAATTTCACTTTTCCCCATGTCCACATACGGCACAATCAGGAGCTGTGCTATACACTGTCCTGGCTCTGCTTTCCAGGGAACAGAAGTAGATGTAACAATTTGAATTTCCTCATTGTAATCTGAGTCAATGACTCCTGTATGTGTTTGCACTCCTTTTAAATTTAAACTAGACCTTCCTAAAAGTAATCCTATCGTCCCTGCTGGCAAGGGTCCACAGAGCCCTGTTGGAACTTTTTGCGGGGGGTTCCCCAGGCAGAAGGCTCACAGCTTTTGTGTAGCATAGATCTACTGCGGCACTACCGGCTGTGGCGGGGGACAGACATTGTACAGGGGTGAGGGAATGGCCTGAGCTGGAAAGGCCCCGGTTTAGAATGGGGCCTGGGACGGGCCCTCATGGTGTTTCCCAAAATCAGGTTCCCATCTTTATCAAACTTAGAGTGACACTGATTAGCCCAGTGTTTTCCTTTTTTACATTTTGGACATATTTCAGGCTCAGCAGTTTTCTTTTTTTCCCTCAACTGGCGGCCTGACTTGCTGATTTTTTCCACATTCTTTTTTAGTATGACCGTGCTTCCCACAGTTAAAAGAAGCTCCAGGAAATGGAGTATTTCCTTTATCCACTCTCAGTCCTGCCATTGCCTGTGCTAGCAGAGTAGCCTTATGCAGATTACCTCCAATACCATCACAGGCCTTGATGTAATCAACTAAATGTGCTTTCCTGAATTTAAAAGGAAAAGGCTCAAATGTAGCTATAATATTTCCCTGTTGATCTGGGGGGTGTATTCTAACAGGGAACTGCCAAGCCTCTAAATCACTCTCTCATCTAGCTTGCTGAATTCCTGCCTGAATAAAACTTAGAGCGGTTGCTCGAGGCGCTGCTCGAACAATCACTGGGGCAACTACTTTTCACCCAGTGTCCTCTGGAAAAGAAAGATATGGAGGGTCTTTTTCTTCAAAATAATAATGAGGGGGTGCAGAAGGATAGGGATGAACCTCTCCTTCCTTTGCCACTTTAGCTGGTAAATAAATATGCTCTGTAACCTCTTCTGTTACTTTGCTATACTCTCCTTCCTCCTCATCATCAGTGTGAAAAAGTTCCAAGGTGGAACAAACCACACCCCACACTTATCCCATTGTTACCCTGACGCTTCCAAGCTCCCCTTCTTACTCACCACAGGGATTGCTTTAAGAGTACTCTGGTGTCCTCCAGCTAGTTCCACATTCTCCAACCATCGCTCCAGCGACCCTTCAACCTGGATTCGAGCCCCCACGATGGATGCCATTTGCCGAGACCAGCTCGGTTGGGGAGACCCTAACCCAGCGGCACTAGAGGAATTAAAAACACACAGAGAAATATAGAGGTGTGAAGTGGGAAATCAGGGGTCTCACAGCCTGCAGAGCTGAGAGCCCCAAACAGACATTTACCCACATATTTATTAACAGCAAGCCAGCCATTAGCATTGTTTCTGTAGATATTAACTTAACTGAAAGTATCCCTTATGGGAAATGAAGGGATGGGCCGAATGAAAGGAATAGGTTGGGCTAGTTAACTGCAGCAGGAGCATGTCCTTAAGGCACAGATCGCTCATGCTATTGTTTGTGGCTTAAGAATGGCTTTAAGCGGTTTTCCACCCTGAGTGGGCCAGGTGTTCCTTGCCCTCATTCCCGTGAACCCACAACCTTCCAGCATGGGTGTTATGACCATCATGAACATGTCACAGTGCTGCAGAGATTTTGTGTATGGCCAGTTTTGGGGCCAGTTTATGGCCAGATTTTGGGGGGCCTGCTCCCAACACATGTGGATATCCAGTTGTCCTAACATCTACTTAACCTATTGAACATATAGAATACAGTTGTAGTCATTGTTTTAGTATATTTGCTAATTTTAACATTTGTGTCAGTTCTGGGTAGATTTTAATTGATACTTTCTACATTATTAGTTGTATTTTCTCCTTATTTGATATGTCTGGTAATCTTTAATTGGTTGTCAGCATTGTGAATTTTACCTTGTTAGTTGCTGGATATTTATTTTTTAAGTTCAGGGGTATGTGTGCAGGTTTGTTATAAAGGTAAATTTATGCCATAGGAGTTCGTTGTACCAATTATTTCATCACCCAGGTATTAAACCTAGTACCTATTAGTTATTTTTCATGATCCTTTCCCTCCTCCTACCCTCCACCTTCTGGTATGCAGTGTGTGTTGTTCCCCTCTATGTGTCCATGTGTTCTCATCATTTCACTTCCACTAAGAACATGCGGTATTTGGTTTTCTGTTTCTGCATTAGTTTGCTAAGGATAATGGCCTCCAGCTCCATCCATCTCTCTGCAAAGGACTTGATCTCATTCTTTTTTATGGCTGCATAGTTTTCCATGGTGTATGTGTACCACTTTTTCTTTATCCAGTCTATCATTGATGGGCATTTGGGTTGATTCCATGTTGTTGCTACTGTGAACAGTGCTGCAGTGAACATATGCATGCATGTGTCTTTATGATAGAATGATTTTATATTCCTTTGGGTATTTACCTAGTAATGGGATTGCTGGGTCAAATGGCAGTTCTGTTTTTAGGTCTTTGAGGAATTGCCACACAGTTTTCCACAATGATTGAACTAATTTACACTCCCACCAACAGTGTATAAGCATTCCTTTTTCTCTGCAACCTCTCCAACACCTGTTATTCTTTGACTTTTTAATAATAGCCATTCTGACTGGTGTTGAAACAGGTCAGGGTTACTGGTCTTGTTGTCTTAAGGTGTTACCCAAGCTCATCATCTCACAACCAAGAGAATTAAGGAGCATGGACACAAAGGATGAGGTTGGAGGGAAAGTTTAATAAGCAAAAGAAGAAAGCTGTCCACAGCGGAGGGGGGAGCCAGAGTGGATTGCCGTTTTACAGTTGAACTCAAAAGCTTTTATAAGAAACTCCTGTCATCTCTGTAGCTGTTTGAGTAACTTCTCTTATCTGAAAAGCTGTCTGCATAACTCTCCCTTATCTGTGTAGTTGTGCGTATGTCTCTAGGCATGCACAAAGCACCCTTTCTCTTGTTTGTATAACTGTGGGTTTCTTTTAGGTAAGTCCCCCTCCTCCCTGTGCAGGTTCCCACAGAGCCCACCATGTATATGCCTGAAAGGGACAGGAGCCTTTTTCCTGGGAGCCCACTAATCACACAAAGAACAAAAGGCTTCTGTGTTGGATCTTACCTGCTTATCTCTGCAGGTGCAGCCTGAGTTTTCCCCAGGCTGCTCTATTTTTGCCTGTAGCCATGATTTTTCAGGCAGGCTGCTTCTCCGAGGACCAGTCTTAACTGTTTACCTAAATGATTTTTCCTTTTCTTCTCCCTCAGTGTGAGATGGTATCTCATTGTGGTTTTGATTTGCATTTCTGTAATGATCAGTGATGTTGAGCTTTTTTTCATATGCTTGTTGGCTGCGTGTATGACTTCTTTTGAAAAGTGTCTGTTCATGTTTTTTGCCCACTTTTTAATGGTTTTTTTTTTCTTGTAAATTTAAGTTTCTTCTCGATGATGGATATTAGACCTTCGTCAGATGTATAGTTTGCAAAAATCTTCTCCCATGCTGTATGTGGTCTGTTTACTCCGTTGATAGTTTCTTTTGCTGTGTAGAAGCTTTCTAATTAATCCCGTTTGTCTATTTTTGCTTTTGTTGCAATTGCTTTTCGTGTCTTTGTCATGAAATCTTTGCCCGTTCCTATGTCCAGAATGGTATTGCCTAGGTTGTCTTCCAGGGTTTGTTTGAGACAGAGCCTCACTCTGTGGCCCAGGCTGGTATGCAGTGGCACAATCTCTGTTCACTGCAACCTCCGCCTCCCAGATTCAAATGATTCTCTTGCCTCAGCCTCCTGAGTAGCTGGGATTACAGGCAGGTGCCACCACGCCTGGCTAATTTTTGTATTTTTAGTAGAGATGGGGTTTCACCATGTTGGCCAGGCTGGTCTCGAACCCCTGACCTCAGGTGATCCACTCACCTCAGCCTCCCAAAGTGCTGGGATTACAGGCATGAGCCACTGCCATGCCTGGCCGTCTTCCAGGGTTTTTATAGTTTTGGGTTTTACATTTAAGTCTTTTATCTATCTTGAGTTAATTTTTGTATATGGTGTAAAGAAGGGGTTTATTCAGTCTTCTGCATATGGGTAGCCAGTTATCTAAGCATCATTTATTGAATAAGGATTCCTTTCCCCATTGCTTGTTTTTATCAACTTTGTAGAAGATTAGATAGTTGCAGGTGTGTGGCCTTATTTTGGGGCTCTATTCTGTTTCATTGGTCTGTGTGTCCGTTTTTGTACCAGTGTCTTGCTGTTTTGGTTACTATAACCCTGTAGTAGAGTTTGAAATCAGGTAGCATGATGCCTCCAGCTTTGTTCTTTTTGCTTAGCATTGCCTTGTCTATTCGGGCTCGTTTTTGGTTCCAGTGCATTTTAAAATAGATTTTCTAGTTCTGTGAAGAATGTCATTTGTAGTTTGATAGGAATAGCATTGAATCTATAAATTGCTTTGGGCAGTATGGCCATTTTAATGAAACTGATTCTTTCTAATAACAAGCATGGAATGTTTTCCCATTTGTTTGTGTCATCTCTGATTTCTTTGAGCAGTATTTTGTAGTTCTCCTTGGAGAGATCTTTCACCTCCCTGGTTAGCTATATTCCTGGTTAATTTTTTGTGTCAATTGTGAATGGGATTGTGTTTCTGATTTGGCTGTTGGCCTGTTTTTGGTATATAGGAATGCTAATCATTTCTGTACATTGAATTTGTATCCTGAGACTTTGCTGAAGTTGTTTATTAGCTGAAGGAGCTTTTGGGCCGAGACTGTGGGGTTTTCTAGATATAGGATCGTGTTGTCTGCAAACAGGGATAGTTTGATTTCCTCTCTTCCTGTATGGATGCCCTTTCATTCTTTCTCTTGCCTGATCTGCCTGGACTTTCAATTCTATGTTGAATAGGAGTGGTAAGAGAGGGCATCCTTGTCTTGTGTTGGTTTTCATTAAGAATGCCTTACCTTTTACCCATTCAGTATGATGATCGCTGTGGGTTTGTCATAGATGGTTCTTATTATTTTGAGGTATTTTCCTTCAATACCTAGTTAATTGAGAGTTTTTAACATGAAGGAATGTTGAACTTTATTGAAAGCCTTTTTCTGCATTGATATGGTTTGGCTGTGCCCCCACCCAAATCTCATGTAGAATTGTAATCCCCATGTTGGAGATGGGGCTTGGTGGGAGGTGATTGGATCATGGGGCTGGTTTCTAATGGTTTAGCACCATCCCCCTAGTGTTGTCTCGTTGACAGAGTTCTTACCAGATCTGGCTGTTTGAAGGTGTATAGCACCTCCTCCATCACTTTCTCTCCTGCCAGCCATGTGAAAATGTACCTGCTTCCCATTCACCTTCCACCATGATTGTAAGTTTCCTGAGACCTCCCCAGAAGCAGACGCCTGTTCATTCTGCAAAACCATGAGCCAATTAAACCTCTTTTCTCTGTAAATTACCCAGTCTCAGGTAGTTCTCTATAGTAGTGCAAGAATGGATGAATGCGTGCATCTATTGAGATAATTGTGTGGTTGTCTTTAGTTATGTGATGAATCATATTTTTTGATTTGTGTGTGTATGTTGATCCAAACTTGCATTCCAGGGACAAAGCCTACTTGATCGTGGTGGATAAGCATTTTGATGTCCTGTTGGATTTGGTTTGCGAGTATTTTGTTGAGGATTTTTGCATTGATGTTCATCAAGGATATTGGCCTGAAGTTTTCTTTTTTTGTTGTGTCTGCCAGGTTTTGGTATCAGGATGATGCTGGCCTCATAGAATAAGTTAGGGAGGAGTCCTTCTTCCTTAATTTATTGGAATAGTTTCAGTAGGAATGGTACCAGCTCATCTTTATATATCTGATAGAATTTGCCTGTGAATCCCTCTGGTCCTGGGCTTTTTTTAATTGGTGGGCTATTTATTACCGATTAAATTTCAGAGCTTGTTACTAGTCTATTCAGCAATTCCATTTCTTCCTGGCTCAGTCTCGGGAGGATGTGTCCAGGAATTTATCCATTTTTTACAGGTTTTCTAGTTTATGTGTGTAGAGGTGTTCATAATATTCTCTGATGGTTATTTGTATTTCTGTGAGTTCATTTGTAATATGCCCTTTGCCATTTCTAATTGTGTTTATTTGGATCTACTCTCTTCTTTATTAGTCTAGGTAGTGATCTATTTTGTTAATTTTTTTTTTTCAAAAAACCAACTCCAGGACCCATTGAGGTTTTGGATGGTTTTTCATGTCTAAAGCTGTTTTAGTTCAGCTCTGATTTTGGTTGTTTCTTGTCTTCTGCTAGCTTTGGGATTGGCTTGCTCTTGGTTTTCTAGTTCATTTAGTTGTGATGTTAGGTTTTTAAATTGAGATCTAAGTTTTTGATATGGGTATTTAGTGCTATACATTTCCCTCTTAACACTGTCTTAGCTGTGTCCCAGGGATTCTGGTATGTTGTATCTTTGTTTTCATTGGTTTCAAAGAATTTCTTTTTCTGCCTAAATTTCATTATTTACCCAAAATTCACTCAGGAGCAGGTTATTCAACTTCCATATAATTGTATGGTTTTGACAGAATTTCTTAGTTTTGATTTCCAGTTTGATTGCTCTGTGGTCCGAGAGTGTGGTTGTTTTGATTTCAGTTATTTTGCATTTGCTGAGTGTGTTTTATGTCCGATTATGTGATTGATTTTAGAGTATGTTTCATGTGGCAATGAGAAAACTGTATATTCTGTTTTGGGGTGGAGAGGTAATGTAGATGTCTATCAGGTCCATTTGATCCACTACTGAGTTCAGGTCCTGAGTATCTTTTTTAATTTTTTGCCTCGGTGATCTAATACTGTTGGTGGGGTGTTGAAGTCTCTCACTATTCTTGTGTGGAAGTCTCAGTCTCTTTAGGTCTCTAAGAACTTGCTTTGTGAATCTGGGTGCTCCTGTGTTGGGTGCATATACATTTAGGATAGTTACGTCTTCTTGCTAAATTGAATCCTTTACCATTATGTAATGCCCTTTTTAAAAATCTGTGTTGGTTGAAAGGGTGTTTTATGTGAAATTAGGGTTGCATCCCCTGCTTTTTCTGTTTTCCATTTGCTTGGTAGATTTTTCTCCATGCCTTTATTTTGAGCCTGTAGGTGTCATTGCATGTGAGATGGGTCTCTTGAAGACAGCATAATAATGGGTCTTGGTTCTTATCCAGCTTGCCACTCTGTGCCCTTTAATTGGGGCATGTAGCCCGTTTACATTCAAGGTTAGTATTGACATGTGTGGATCTGATCCTGCTATCATGCTGTTAGCTGGTTATTTTAGACTTGTTTATGTGGTTACTTTATAGTGTCACTGGTCTGTGTCCTTCAGTGTGTTTTTGTAGTGGCTGGCAATGGTCTTTCCATATTTACTCCTTCCTTCAGGAGCTCTTGTAAGGCAGATCTGGTGGTAATGAATTATCTCAGCATTTGCTTGTCTGAAAAGGATCTTATTTCTCCTTCACTTATGAAGCTTAGTTTGCCTGGATATGAAATTCTGTGTTGGAATTTTTCTTTAAGAATGTTAAATATTGGCCCCCAGTCTCTTCTGGCTTGTAGAGTTTCTGCTGAGAAGTCCACAGTTAGTCTGATGGACTTCCCTTTGTAAGTGACCTGACCTTTCTGTCTAGCTGCCTTTAACATTTTTTCTTTCAACTTTGGAGAATCTGCTGATTGTGTGTGTTGGGGATGATCCTCTTGTGAAGTAGCTTACTGGGGTTCTCTGCATTTCCTGAATTTGAATGTTGGCCTCTATAGCTAACTTGGGAAAGTTCTCCCGGATGATATCCTGAATTATGTTTTCCATGTTGCTTACACTCTCCCCATGTCTTAAAATTAAAATTGGTCATATTGGATTATAGTGTTATGGCTATATCTTACCACTGCAGGTAAAATGAGTTCCACTATATTAGTGTTTTCCAGAGAAACAGAGATAGATGGGTATTGGCTGATCGTAAGGAATTGGCTCACGTGATTATAGAGACTGGTAAGTCCAAATCTGCAGTGTGGGCCAGCAGACAGGCCGGAGACCCTGGAGAGCTGACAGTGTGGATGACGCCCACGGGAAATCACTGGAGATTTTTCTCTTGCTTGGGAAGCTGGTATTTCTGTTCTATTCAGGCCTTCAACTGTTTGGATGGGGCCCACCCACATTATGAAGGGCAGTTGGCTTACTCAGACTTCACTGATTTAAATGTTAATCTCATTCAAAGCACCCTCAAAGTTGACATATAAAATTAACCATCACATCTACCACACAGTAAAATGAGTAGTTTTGAAATTAGTTCTCAGACAGTATGATATATGAATACATTTTTTTCTCTGTGGATTCATAAAAATATCAACTGTAAAGGGAGATGCTTTCTGCCTTCATCACATTTTGTAATCCTTTGAGATTTTATGGGAAAACTATAGATTTTCTGAGTTATTAGCATTAATCAATAGGCTCTAGGACCTACTTGTTTGAAATGTGCCCTGCTTGTATTCCAGACCAAAGTAATGAAATCCTAATTAATGTCTTTGAAACCATCCATGAGATCTCATCTGGCATTTTAGGCTCATAGTCTGTAAAGGATTCACAGAAATTCTATTTGGTTTTTATTAGCAACATTAAATGTATTCCCCAATTGGGGATTAGTAGCATTTTAATACATAGCATTTATTATCTATTAGTATAGGTTAAGAACAGCTGGGGACCTCTTTGAGCCAGCCATCTGCATGGATAATTCCCAGGATAGTTTTAGCCTAGGCATATCCAGAACAGCTGTACCTGGACAGGCTTCATCCTTGCTGTGGGGCTGGCGTCTCTGGCAGTGTTTTTTAGCCACAGCCTTTCCCCTGCAGGCTTATGGCTTTGTCTCTCTGCAAGGGTTATGTTTGTGCTGGTGGTACCTTTTATCCATTATATTGTCAAGTGATAATCTTAAAAACCCCATCATGCATGGAAATCTTATTTGGTCTTGAAAACCTACATTGTCATATTACCCAATCTCATTGATATTATCAGGCTAAAACCATAAAGTTATCTGCTGTAATTGTAAGTTTCTACACACATAACGTGGACAAATAGGTATAAAGCTCCACAGCACCCAACCCAGTGCCGAATGTCTTAGGTTTTACATACTGCTCCAGTTTTGTCTAGAACGTCACATGTGAATCAGCATTTCTTTTCTCACGTGGTTGTTTCTGCCTTCTGTGTTCCACATGCGTTATAGGCAGGGGTGCTTCCTCCCTGTCTCTTTTCTCTTCAAGGGCTTATTCCAGGTTCCTGGGAAAAGAGCTGTATTATCCTTGGCCAGCCATGATGCTCTGCTCTCATTCATAAGGCTACTGAATGTTACTGTCACCTAGCTGCTAAAGTTTTTCACTCTGGAATTAAGATTAACATGTGTTCATCTATTATGAAGACTGGATTCACAGTTCTTTTCCTAAGCTTGTTCTTTCAGGAAAAGCACTTTTAACTCAGTAGTTTTATATGCCATTCCTTTGGGGGCGAATAATCAAGGATATTCAGTAAGCTCTCTTGGCTTCACTTAGTTATTTTTGATATTATTGAGATAGAATATTCAAGTAACAAAGACAATGTTCTTTAAAAAATAGGTTTTAGTATACATTCTTCTAAAGTCTTCCTCCGTTAATATTAAACTTGTTAATATGTCCAGTTATAAACATCTAAAGAATTAGTAGCATTTTAATATATGACATTTATTATCTTATTAGTATAGGTTCCAAATATATAAACTACTTCTTAATGTTATTTTCTCAGTAGACAATCAAAATTACTACTGTAAGAAATCCCATACCTTGGTCATTGAATCAATTTAAGACCAAACAAGAGATGGAAACCACACAGTGGATTAAATGGGGAGGAAGTTTAATATAGAGTATTATTAAACTCTGAGAAATTAAGGAAATTCTATGCAGTCCCCCAGGGCCTTGGGAGAATACCCAAGGAAAGACAAAGTGGGAAGGAGGTCCTTTCACCAAGGCTGGGGGTTCAGCCCAAAGGACAGCAGAGAAACGCACTGCTTCCCCAGGTTGTACTGGTCTGCAGTTGCTTGGCAAGCAGGAAGCGGCCCTCTGCAGTGCAGGTGGGCACAGGCAATCAGCAACTAATGGTGTGGCTGTGTAGAGGGAGCAGAAGCTTAGTGTGGGCAGGAGGTCTTCAGAATATTGGTTGCCTTGTGGAGAGGGCATGGGGAGGTTATCACTAGGCCAAGCCAAGACTGTAAGTGAGCCAAGGAACCACACGTTCTGGGTGCATGGCTGGAGCAGACCTCCCGCAGACCCTTCACACTGTCAGCAGCCAGCAGCGGCAGAGCCCCTTCCTCCTGCAGAGTCCTCCGCACCCTCCACCAAGAAAGTGTCATCACGTTCACTGTAAAGCAATTCTGTCCATTACGGCAGAGCATATATGGAAGGCAAAATTTGGAGCTCAGTGGCAGTGAATTGACAGCTAGCACATTCATAGTCTTATTGTACTCTGGACCCCTTTTTTCTCTTTACTGTTTAATGCTTACTGTGGAATGACTCCCTTTATAGATTTTACAACCCAACTATTGTAAGGAAGAGGTGGTTCAGGAACAAAGCTTCAAGTTGAATTTTGGTACCATCATCTTAGTTTTCTTGTCCCCATTCAGGAGTAGTTAGACAGACAATGAAGTAGACACACTAGTTACCTGTAAATATTAAACTCATTACTTCCCCTAATGCTTTGGATTTCCTCAGTGGCACCAATTTTGAAATTGGCTGGTTTAACTACAGTTTCAGGAGAAATGAGAGGTAATTATTAAAGAAAAAAACAGAAGTATATTTTCTTTGATTACATTGGGAACTATAATTCATGTATATGTTAATAATAGCTCATTGATACTTGAATGTGTTTATTATGGTTATTAAAAAATGAAGTTTTGGCCAGGCGCGGTGGTTCACGCCTGTAATCCCAGCACTTTGGGAGGCCGAGGCAGGAGGATCATGAGGTCAGGAGATCGAGACCATCCTGGCCAACATGGTGAAACCCCGTCTCTACTAAAATGCAAAAAATTAGCCAAGAGTGGTGGCACGCACCTATAGTCGCAGCTATTCGAGAGGCTGAGGTAGGGGAATTGCTTGAACCCAGGAGGTGGAGGTTGCAGTGAGCCGAGATCGTGCCACTGCACTCCAGCCTGGTGACAGAGCAAGACTCCGTCTCAAAAAAAAAAAAAAAAAAAAGTTTCAGAATGCTATATTGGCTTGTTTTATATTGAAAATGAGGTTCTTGAATAATATACAGACACGTTCCCCTACAAAAGTTTTAACTAAGTTAATCTTTTAAAAAACCAGTAAACATGTTGAGTCTCTGAGTTCCTGTGCTGAGCACAGATGCTTCAAGATCTTCTTTTTCTTAAATCAGGCTGACTTGTTAGCACCCTTTTCTTGTAATTTTCTGAACTTTTCATCCCCTTATCAATAAATAAATGTGACAGATGTCTTTTACTGGTTCCCTTAGCTTACTCTGTTAGCAGTATCTGTCCATTGACTTAATGGCTGCTAATAACTTGTTTGGTATCTGTAGAACTCTACAGCTGTGTGCTAGAGCAATGGCAGGAAACTACACGAGAATCATCGTGTTCCAGGCTCTACTTTGCTGCCCCTCCCCCGATAGGGATTTCATTGTTCTCAAAATGGATTTTTTCAGACTGCAATTTTAGAAATCTGTTGGTCAGTCTAGTAACTCAACCCACGCACTAGTGATTTTTGCAGAGAAGGACAGGAGGCTGAGATGGTCTCATAAAATGTCCATAAGGTCAAGCCTTGTTATTAAAATATCAAAGATAATAATGGTAATGAAAATGAAAGACATTAAGAACCATCTTTAGATTTGAAAAGCAGTGGTACCCATGCAGTTTTTCTCTCCTTGTAACAACAGTAGCTTCTGCAGTCAGCCACTCCCCTATTTATGCCTCTTTCCCCGCATCACACTTCTCTGCACTGTTTTCCTACACTGCAGAGTGCAGACACTTAATACAGACGGGCTGAGTCTGTGTGTGCCCTGTCAGCAGCCGTCCTTTTTCTGAGCATATGGTTTTCATGCTTCATCTCACCCCCAGTGACCTCTCCTTGTGAGAAGGCTCCCTCAGCTCTCTTTTCTAACCAATAACTGTATTCAGCTAGCTCTGCAGAATAGCTCCAGGTGGATAAGTATGACTTTCCAACTTACATGGAAACAGGCAGACATACTCGCTATATGAAACCCTTATTTGGCCACCTAATAGGAACTGGAAGCCTAGGAGATTTTTTTTTTTTTTAATCTACCAGAAGTTTCTAAAAACTCTGGCCGTAAAAGGAGCCTCTCTCAACTGGAATTAGCCGTGTCTGTAGGTTCAAGGGCTCCATCGTGCTGGTTTATTCAGCAGAATAGCTCTTACTGTATCCCGTCTCCCTTGGCAAGGGAAGGGTTTTGCTCTTACCACGTTATAGTGGGCTCTTCATATCCACCGGCTCTGCATCCGGGGATTCAACCAATCATTAATTAAAAATACCTGGGAAAAGAACTAAGAAATAACAATACAACAATAAAAAATACAAATAGGCCGGGCGCAGCGGCTCACGCCTGTAATCACAGCACTTTGGGAGGACAAGGTGGGCAGATCACTTGAGGTCAGGATTTTGAGACCATCCTGGCCAACCTGGTGAAACTCAGTCTCTACAAAAATATAAAAACTAGCCAGGTGTGGTGGCTCATGCCTGTAATCCCAGCTACTCAGGAGGCTGAAGTGGGAGAATCGCTTGAACCCAGGAGGTGGAGGTTGCAGTGAGCCCAGATCATGCCATTGTACTCCAGCCTGGGTAACAAAGTGACTCCATCTCAAAAAAAAAAAAAAAAAAAAAAACCCCAGGGTATAACTCATTACAAACCATTTACTTTGTATTAGGTACTATAATCTAGAGAGGATTTAAAATATACAGAAGGATGTGCATAGGTTATATGCAAAATACCATGCCGTTTATATGAGACTTGAGTATCTGGATTTTGATTTCTGTTGGGGTGGGGTGGTCCTCGAACCAATCCCCTGAGGATCCTGAGGGATGACTGTATCTAGGTAAAGAGACTGGTCTCAGGTCATAGGAGAGCTCCATTCAGGCCAGTCACCTCACCATCCCTCAGGCATCCCATACGTCCCCCCGCCCCCCATTATTGTTGCACAAGGCATATCACTTTACTTTCTTTTGTTCAGGTCCTCGCTCTTTTTAAATTTACATTCCATGTTTTCTGTGGAGCCTTTTCTAGCCCTTCCAGCCCTCACTTTTCTCTAACTTCTACACCATGTATCATCTATACCCACAGCTTAATACTTATATTTCCTCTTGTGGTGTCCGTGGATGTTTATGTGACCCAAACTGGATTGTAAGGGGGATGCATTCTACACTTCTCTTTCCCCCTAGTTGTTCACTGGTGGTTGCTTGTTAAAATACACAATAATTTGTTGCATATATCTGTCCCTTAAACCAGATTTGGCTTCAGGTAGGACTAAATGTGGTTAAAAAGTGTAGAGCCTTCATTATCTCTAATTTTCAGATTGGCTGTTGTGAATTCCTAAGTATGGCAAACAGCTTCTCTATTTTAGATTTATGGCACTTACAGAAATGTTATTTTTAAGGCTGGTCTCAGGGTTAAGCTGCCCATACTTGAGGGTGTCAGAGTGTGGCCTGGAGCAGTGTAGCTTGTAGACATCTGTTGGTAAAGGGCTCCTGCCCTGTACAGGTTGCTTGGTGGTACTTTGTTCCACCACCTCCATTCTCTCTTACTTGACTGAAATCCAGATATCAGCATGATACTGGGAGGGGGTTGGTGGCTTGATTGCTGAAGTCAGTTTAGTGCTTTGGGAAACCTGAAACACTTCAGATCCCAGGCATTTCAGATAAGGGATACTCAACCTGCACTATACATTGTCCCTTTCTTTTTTTTTTTTTTTTTGAGATGGAGTCTTGCTTTGTCGCCAGGCTAGAGTGCAGTAGCACGATCTTGGCTCACTGCAACCTCCACCTTACGGGTTCAAGCGATTATCCTGTCTCAGCTTCCCAAGTAGCTGGGATTACAGGCATGTGCCACCGCACCCAACTAATTTTTGTATTTTTAGCACAGACGGGGTTTCACCATGTTGGCCAGGATGGTCTCGATCTCCTGACCTCGTGATCCGCCCACCTAGGCCTCCCAAAGTGCTGGGATTACAGGTATGAGCCACCGTGCCTGGCCCCAAATATATAATTTCTAATCACTGACTTTACTTTCTTACCACTTTTTGCCTATCACTTTTATTGGTTTTAATCATTTATATCTTTTCATGTGAGATTTGAAGTATGCATACTGTCCTAGAGTGTAAGCTCCATGAGGACAGGGTTGTCTGTTTTGCCTGCTGTTTTTACCCCATGAACCTAGCTCAGTGCCTGGCATATAATTGAGGCTCAATAAATATTAGTTTGAAAAACAGAGTGAAAGCAAACTCTAGGGTTTGGGGGGAGGTGAGGTAGGTGGCAGAGATCTGGACAGAGAGGAGTTTATGGAAGCAACTGAATCAGGAAGCTGGGTACCAGAAACTCAGGAATGGGAGGGCCCTGGGCTTGGGCAGGGATGGCCAAATGCAGCCAAGAAAAGCTCTAGAGTGGCTTGGAGACACCTCCAGGCAGCCCTTGCCTTCTGTAAGCAGCAAGAATAACAGAATGTTTACAGTGCACCAGATACTGAGTTACTGCTTTGAAAGCATTTTCATGTTTAACCATTCAACCACCTTCTGAAGTAGATATCATTAATCACTTTTACTAGAGGAAACTGAAAATATGAGATAAACAATTTCAAAAATGTCCAACAGGCCGGGCACAGTGGCTCATGCCTGTAATCCCAGCACTTTGGGAGGCCGAGGCAGGTGGATCACCTGAGGTCAGGAGTTCAAGACCAGCCTGGCCAACATAGTGAAACCCTGTCTCTACTAAAAAAAAAAAAAAATATATATATATATATATATATATATATATATATATATATATATATATATATGTATGTGTGTGTGTGTATGTGTGTATATATATTATATATATATATATAATATAATACATATATAGCTGGGTGTGGTGGCAAGTGCCTGTAATCCCAGCTACTTGAGACGCTGAGGCAGGAGAATTGCTTGAACCTGGGAGGCGGAGGTTGCAGTGAGCCAAGACTGCACCACTGCACTCCAGCCTGCACAACAGAGCAAGACTCTGCCTCCAAAAAAAAAAAAGTAAAATGGCTCCAAGCAGCAGAGCTGGGATTCATATCCAGGTGTGTCTGACTCTACAGTCTTTGTCCTAACTCCCCTGGGCTCTGCCACCTTCACAAGATGTGTCTCCTCCTCTTCTAAGCCATGGGACTTAGAACCTCATGCTTAAAAATCTGTAGCAGCCTCTTAACTCCCATCTCTTCTCTTTCCAGTCCATCAGCACACATTTACCAGACCACATTCTCTTAGAGCCCTCCTTTTGTCATTACTTGCTTCCTCAGTAATCTGTAGCCATTCACCACTGCTACCCAAATCTGAACCCCTTGGCTTAGCATTCCAAGCCCCATCCAGCCTCAGTCTTCCTCAGAAACTTTATCCTCCTTTGCCCTTTTGATCGACTGTCTAACCCCAAATGCAGAGCTGATACATTGGAGCCATTCTGCTTGCTACAATACCGGTCTCTGTCTTCTAATATCCATATAAAAATCCTTCAATGAAACTTGGAATCCTGTTCCACTGCCTGGTGAACGCCCTTGCATATATGCCTATAGTCTTATTCAACTCTTGTTTTACTTATCTTCTGTATCTATCTGAAAGCTCCTATAGAAGCATGACTACATACTCTACTTCATCTTATTTCCCCATAGCATCTGACTTAGTAGCATAAACATGGTAGATATGCAATAAGGATTTGCTAGCTGAGTAAATAAGCCATGCGTCTGGTGGTCTGTCTCACTAGATTTGCTTTACAATATGTTCCGCCACACTAAAGAAGTTATACATGCAATTTTAAAATGAAGGAACTAGGATCTTGCATATATTTCTGATTGAGAATTTCAGCTTGTTGGGAAATATGCAAACTTTAGCGTCCTCACAGCTCAAAGTACAAAAATATTGGTGTATTGACTGCCAGTGGGGCAGAATGAAGGGCCAGGCCACAAAAAATATTGGCTATAATAAATACTAAGTTCATTTGCTTTTGGTTTGTGATATGCTATTCAGTGAAAAATGAACCTTCCAGAAATTTCTAAATTAGAATATTTAGCATTACTTTCAAAATAATGAATGCCCTTGGGAATAAAATAAACATAATTATAATTCAAAATATAAAGTCAAAGAACTGAACTGTGCATGCAATTTACCTCAGGCCACTCATTTTTTTTCAGTAGATTTACCTTTCTAATTATATTTTGCTTGCACAAATATTTAAATTACTTTGCATTCCCTGAGAGCAGTATACTTCTTGTGTCAAGGAGGACACACATTTAACAACCATAAAACTATCTGCAAAAGCAAAAAGCTCATTTTCCCCCCAAAGGAGCTTTTTAAGAATCAAAGCGTACAACTGATCAAATAGTTGAGCAAGGTACACACAGTAGCTTAGCAGGGCTTATACATTTATTTTATTTTCTATATTTGTTTGGGTTTATTTTTTCTTTTTCATTCCCTTTGTGCTCTACAACCAAGAGAAAGAAACATCTTCAAGGAATTATATCTGCTATGTAATTATACAGTGCTGCAAATTGCAATGTTAGCTGAAGTTAAGGGCAGAGAATGACAGGGTAACTAATAGAGCATGATCTAAACCTCATTAAGTAATGGGTATCTTCCTGAGGAAAGAATACAGGGTTGTCTCAAGGCTGAGTCTAAGAATTGACTCCTATCTTGTTATAAGAGTTTGAGAATGTAATAACTCTTTGTTTCTTTTTTCAACCAAAGAGCCAGGATGAGAATATAAATCTTTGTTAGTGTTTCATTGAGGCATTGTGAAAAGGCATATTATTGCCAAACAGCAAAGAAGGAAAACATCATAAATATTATGAATCAAAACTTTAATAGTGGAAGTTACTTATTTGTGGTTTGATTGGCCTTTGAAAAACAACTGACAGTATTGATTCATGTACCTCCACCCTCAAAAAATTTTATTTTTCATTTTCTGGTCACAGTTGGTTTTTGTGTTAGTCATGTTGTATGATCACTTCCATTATTGAGAAAGTGATTTCAGCTCCCTTTAAAAAGATTAAAGATAAGTTAATGAGTTTGTGATATTTTTATATTATTTTTAAAATGGGTACTGGATACTATAATAAGGTATTATCTTCACTTTCCTATGGATGAGCTCTGAGAGTGGTTTGAATGAGTCATTAGCAAACTAAGATTCCACTTCACAGGAGTATTTTAACAACAATCTGAAGAATGTGTGTAAGTTCTTAATAAAAGGAACTAGGGCTCCTTGGAGAAATGGCTGCAGATAAAGTACAAATAAACGAGTAATGTCTTCTACTGCCAGAAAGTAAAGAAGTCTTCAGTCAAGGATGGGAATAGTTGAAAGGACACAGGTCCCGAGCTAAATCTGGAACAATATAAGTAACAAAATAAATGATAGTAACAGGTAGCAATACACAGAATAAATATCTGTGGGTCCATGCTTATATAAATAATTGAATAAATAAATAAATAAATGAGGGAGAAGGAGCAGCTTTTGGTGCTTGTGTCAACCAAGAAAAAAAAAATGAGGAAAAAAGTCTCCAAATATGTTGAATTTATTTGGGAATTATAACGCAAGTTGGCCTCAGTTTATCAGTGGAGATGCCGTTACTGGGCAGGTGTTCTTTCGTGGGCATCTTATCCGAATTGCTGCAGTCCTAAAGAAAGAATCTCTTAGAGTTATTTTAGAAAGTCCTTGAGACAAGTCTTTATCTCAGACATAGCACAAACCCTCCCCTCTTCAGGCTCTGCTGGCTTAAGTTTGTTTGGGTCTGACAAGATGTGATTTCATCCCAGTATCTTCAATTTCACACATAGAATTCCAATTAATAAATGTAGAAGGAATGACGTAAATAGAAAATCTGAAGAATCATGGTGTGTGGTTTAAAAAAAATCAGTTTGGCAAACACCACAGTAATATTTGTTGCAGACAAGAGCCACCTATCCATGCTAAAATTGGTGAAAGTATGGTGACAAACAGGATATTTGCACAGTCCTAAAATATCTTACAAAGAGAAAAATAGTAACTTTATAATGAAGAAACCTAGACAGGCACCACAAAGTTAATAAACATCACCTGTAACGAAGTTTATCAACAGCATGTACCTCCTAATACAATACACCAAAAAAGGGTGTGTCATCACATCTATGGTGATTATTTCCCTGTTGTTTTAGATTATACATTTTGAAAAAAAATCATAGATTTATATAAAATTTTAAGAAATACAGAGCCGTCATGTGCCCTTTGCCTAGTTCCCCCCAATGGCAATTAAGTTGCAAAACAGTAGTACAGTGTCACAACCAAGGTGTTGACATGAATACAGGCAAGATACAGAACATTTCCATCACTGTAAAGATACCTCAGTCTTACTCTTATGTAGCCACACCCCTTTTTAAGAAAATTGGGTTGTTTTCTCATTATGGAGTGGCAAGAATTCTTTAAATATTCCAGATCATATGGGTTTTTTCCCTGTAGTCTGTTAATACAGTGAATTATACTAATTTAAAAGTATAGCCGGGCACAGTGGCTCACACCTGTAATCCCAGCACTTTGGGAGGCCGAGGCGGGTGGATCACCTGAGGTCGGGAGTTTGAGACCAGCCTGACTAATGTGAAGAAACTCCGTCCCTAACAAAAATACAAAATTAGCTGGGCATGGTGGCGCATGCCTGTAATCCCAGCTACTCGGGAGGCTGAGGCAGGAGAATCGCATGAACCCAGGAGGCGGAGGTTGCGGCGAGCCAAGATCGTGCTATTGCCCTCCAGCCTGCGCAGCAGAGAGAGACTCCATCTCAAAAAAAAAAAAAAAATGTATAAAACTAATTTAAAATACATAAAGTCAAAGAACTGAACTATGCATGCAGTTTACCTCAGGCCACTCATTTTCTTGGTAAATTTTGGTAAAATATACATAATTACCATCTTAACCATTTTTAAGTGTACAGTTCAGTGGTGTTAAGTCCATTTATATTGTGCAACCATCACTACCATCCATCTCCACATCTCTTTTCATCTTGTAAAACTCAAACTCTACCCATTAAACAACAACTCCCCATCCCCCCGTATGCCCAGTCCCTGGCAAACACCACTCTTGCTTTCGGTTTCTATGAGTTGACTACTTTAGATACATCAAGCAAGTGGAATCAGAGTATTTGTCTTACTGTGACAGGCTTATTTCCCTTAGCATAGTGTCCTCAAGGTTCATCTAGTTGTAGCATGGGTCAGGATTTCCTTCCTTTTAAAGGCTAATATATTTTACGTGTATATGACCTCTTGTTTATCTGTTCATCCATCATGGACACTTGTGTTGCTTCCAGCTTTTGCATATTGCCAGTGATGCTGCTGTGAACATGGATATTCAAATATCCCTGAGACTCTGCTTTCCATTCTTTTGGGTGTGTACCCAAAAGTGGAATTGCTGGATCAAACTGATGCTCCTTTTGCTCTCTTTTTCTCTGAGCCCTCACTCTGAGTATCTTTTCCTTTTAGAGCTTTAGGTTTTAAAAGTTCTCATCCATTTATTCTTTAACACAGTAAACCCTTA
Organism: Homo sapiens; assembly: GCF_000001405.40. Taxonomy (NCBI): domain Eukaryota; kingdom Metazoa; phylum Chordata; class Mammalia; order Primates; family Hominidae; genus Homo; species Homo sapiens. Next base: position 185,087,179 of record NC_000003.12, on the reverse strand, counting down.
ATTACGATTGTTCAGAGAATATAGTGGTTATTGAATTTCTTGGCTAAATCGCCAGAAACCCGTTTCAATCCTTGCTGTTGAAGAAGTGTGTTCATTTTATTCTCATAGTAAACATAATTGAATCTGATAATTCAGGATCTTGCAGTGCCTCGGAGCTATGTGAACATGGATTCTCGGCCTAGGATACCCCAGGGATATAAGTTATCAGGGACTGGAGCAAAGCACTAACCCTTCACAGCCCTATAAAACTATATCTTTGAGTTTAATTATTTCTGTGTTTATAAACAATATAGTATTATGTAATGATTGATATTTCAAAGGTGATTACTAAAGGTTGTTTTTTTATGTGGCCATCTTTACTATTTTCCTCCTCTCTTTCTTTGCATCCCCATATCACCAGATAATAGGCTCTCACCCTCGCTCTGAGTAAACACATTTAATAGACGTACCTTGTAGAAAGAAGTGGAATCTGGTTCACATCTTCCTCACCCAGCTGCATTTCTCTCTTACTACATGTCCTGGTCAGTTTGGGCTGCTATAATAAAATACCACAGACTGGGTGGCTTAAACAACAAACGTGTATTTCTCACAGTCTAGAAGCTGAGAATTCTAAGAGTGAGGCAGAAGTCAGTGTCTGATGAGGACGCTCATCCTGGTTTGCAGATGCTGTACCCTCACATAGAGGAGAAAGGGATCTGGTCTCTTCCTCTTCTCATAGGGCACTAAACCAATGATTAGAGCCTCCACCTTCTAAACCTCATCTAAACCTAAGTACTCCTCCAAGGCCTCACCCCCAAATACCATCACACTGGGGATTAGGGTTTCAACATGAAGTTCGTGGGGATACAAACATTCAGTCCACAGCACTACACTTTCAAGAAAGAAAAACAGAGCTTTGGATGAGTGGGGACCAGAGAAAGAGTAGAACCAAGAGGAAAGAAAGCAAAGAAATTATGAAGAAGCATAAAGGAGGGGAAGGAAAAAAAAAGAGATGGAGTGAGGAAAGTCCCAAAGCCGGGCTTCACCTTTTCCCTCTATCTTTGGACAAATAAAGCCTTGTTCCCTCTGGATCTGAGGATGGTTCTGGAAGGCATGAATCAACTACGAGGATCCTCCTGTGGCTGTGACAGTGGATAACTAAACCACAGGTTACTTAGGGCAGGATGAACCTAATCAGCATATACAACAAGCACATCTTGACTGCCTGCCTTCCACAGCCTCCTGAGCTCAGTAACTACCAGCCAAGAATGAAAAAGACGAAACCTTCATTCCGCGTTTTATTTACCACTCTGTGGACAGAAGAGTAGTTCCCCAGGTTCTCTAAGTCCGTTCTCTATCCCGTGCCCATACATTGCTCTAATCCTGGGGCTGGAGGGTCTGGAGGGAGGCTTAAAGGTCAGCCTTCTTTAGCCCTTCAGCCGATAGTGTCCACAGTGCTTAGGGGCAGAGGTCCTACCATACCACCTCTTACATCTGACCTGATTTTAACTCTGCCTGACAAGTAGTAATTACCTTTTAAAGAGCTGGAGAAATGAAGACGCCTGGTATATTTTAAACATAGTTCCCCCAGGCAGGTGTGACTGGGTTCTTCTCAATGCGTTTTTATCAGACTGCGGGGTTTGCATGAGGTACGTCCAGGCTTGGAAGCACCCTGGGAACCCAGAGGCTTAACGACTTTAAATGTACTTTTTTCATATGGTACCCCAGGATGAAAATGAAGGTCTTTTTAGAGTAATTTGGTTATAAAGAAATTGTGGTACCTGAGTGGCTTTTTTGTGCAGGAGTCAAAAAACAAAAAATATAAGCAGGCTTGATTGATCTTAAGAGATTACTGATGTTGCATGATTTGTGGCCTCTTTACTACTTCATTTCTAATCTGAAATTGCTACTCTCCTGTGGCATCATTAACATTATAAAACCTAAGCTAGTTTTCCTTACAAATGTGATTCCTGTCCTAGGATTTCCAGTCTGACAAAGAAATAAACAGGAGCAAGTACCATACACATGAGTAATTCGCCTGCAAAAAGATGCTCATGAAGATACCATAAATCACTGGTTCTTAATCAGGGTGATTTCACCCGTTGGGGAATTTGTCTCATTTGAGAAGGAGCTGCTACTGGCATCTAGTGGGGAGAGGCCGAGGATGCTGCCTAGGATAGACAGCACCCCTCCCCACCACGATGAAGAATTATCTGGTCCAAAATGCAGGTAGTGCTAAGGTTAAAAGCCCTGTCAACAATGTGCAGAAGATACAACATGAACCGATAAATTGGCTAAATTAGGAAAAATTCAAAATGATGCCCACAATTGTGGCTACTTGTCTCTGGGATTTTTAGGAGCCCCCATCCCTGCTTTAGCTTTTTGTTTTGAAATCACTTTAGACTTACAGATTGGATATTTTCAGCCCTATTTCCTTAGCGTGTGGGAGGCTTTGCTAGATGTTGAATGAAAAATGGGATGAGGACCAAATCCATTTAGGTTTTACTTCCATGTCAACTATGTGGGAAACAGTTGAGGGCTCAGAGCAGAGAGGAAGGCTTGGAGATAAGCTTGTGGGCTTCCTAGAAACATCCAGCAGGGTGTCCTCTGCATCCCTCTGTGTGTTTGCCCTTTGCTTCTGCTTGGCTTAGGTCGCTTAGTGCCAGTGGAATTGGTGTCGGGGAGGGGTGCGGGGGAGACACCTCCTGATTAGGCCACTGATGAGCTTTGGTCCTCAGAGAAACCATTTCCCACCCTAAACTTTACCCCAGTCATTGAGGGTGGCCGGGACAATCCAGTGGGCCACTACCTATTAAATAAATATGTAGGTGTATGTATCTTATAATTAGAACATAGACACCTGGAAAGTGAAAATCTCCCATAATTCTGATGATAAACTTACATACATTTAAAAACTGGAAAAATATATACATTAACACAAACATTATTAGAGATAAACATGGAATTATAATTTTACAGTACATTATACTGTTTTACAACTTGGTTGTTTTTTTTTTTGAGACAGGGTCTCACTCTGTCGCCCAGGCTGGAGTGCAGTGGCACGATCTCGGCTCACTGCAACCTCCGCTTCTGGATCAAGGGATTCTCGTGCCTCAGCCTCCCGAGTAACTGGGATTACAGGCGTGTGCCACCATGCCCAGCTACGTTTTGTGTTTTTAGTAGAGACAGGGTTTTGCCACGTTGGCCAGGCTAGTCTGGAACTCCTGACCTAAAGTGATCTGCACATTACAGGCGTGAACCACTGCGCCCGGCTGTACAACTTGTATTTTTTACCATGCTATATTGTGGACCTTTTTTGTTCTAGTATAATGAGTAAATTACTTAAAGTTGTCTGTAAAATAAGGATTATAGTGTCTATCCACCTACTTCAGAGATATCAGAAAGACACAAATATAAATTGAGATTTAGAAAGTCGATTGAGTCTTTTAGATGAAAATTATTATATACCATGCTGACTTTTTCATTGACTATACCAATGTTGAATGATTTTATTACTAGTTTCTTTTGAGGTGTTACTGAAATATTTTTAAAGACATTGAGTCCTCAGAAACCATTATGGCCATGTTAATATAGTTTGTGTAATATAGATTTCAAGTGTCTTTTTGTGTCTTCACAGGCAAATACATGTATCAGCCTATGACCCCTGTGGAACAGCTTCCAAGCACTGAGATTCCTGCCAGGCCTCGGGAACCCACAAACACCATTCAGATCTCAGTCTCGCTCACCGAACACTTTTTGAAATTTGCATCTGTCTTCCAGCCTCCCCTTCCCCCTGACTCACCGAGGTACTGTATGATTTCAGACCTTTTTATTGACAACTATCAGGTTAAATGTATTAATGGGAAGATGTGTTATGTGCAGAAGCAGCCGGCACCACATTCCCACAGAATGAGCCCTGAGGAGGTCTCTGCACACGATGCCTTAATTTCAAAAGAGAGCAATACACCAAAAATAGATCACTGCTCTTCTCCCTCAAGTTCTGAGGACTCTGGGATCAATGCGATTGGGGCTCACTATGTGGAATCGTGTGACGAGGACACAGAAGAAGGAGCAGAACTGAGTTCAGAGGAAGATTACAGTCCAGAGAGCAGCTGGGAACCGGATGAGTGCACCCTTCTCTCCCCCTCGCAGTCTGACCTGGAAGTGATTGAAACGATAGAAACGACTGTGTGAGAGTCCAGACAGGAAGCCACAGCCTCGGACCCACGCCGAGCTTTTGTACCTTTGTCTGGTGGATCCTTTTTTCCAATGCTGTTGATATTTTCTACCCACCCCGCCCCGCTCCAACCAACAACCGTAGCAGTTCAGTGGTATGCTGATTAGCTTCTCTCCGTCTTACAACTAAGACATTCTTTTTATTATAAACAGTTTTCTTTTGTATCCTGACTTACTTTCTATGTAGCATCTGGTGTCATGAATTGTGACCCCGCCTTAATTTCACTGGGAGATTTGAAGGCGGTGAAGTGATGGTCGCAGAGAATCTTGGATCAGATTGAGGAGGTACCGAAAGGGAAGGAGCCGGTGTTTTCTCGGTAGCCAGTCCTTCACAGAGACTCTTGCCATTCCCTTTGGCATGTTCACAGGCACTCCCGTCCTGTCCTGCTTGTCCTACGCAAGTAGCACTCCCTACTGAGTGTGCACTGGTAGATGCCGTTTCTTCCCTTCCCCTTCTCCCCACACCTGCACTGGGTCTGGATCAGAGCTGCCTCGGCTTACTTCTGGGAGGTCACTGGAGGCCAGCTCAGCCCATGGTTTGTGGCCAGTGTCTGTACAAGGCTCCGTGACTGGGGCTGAGCTAAACATTCACATGAGAAGAGATGACCTCATCTGTCTCATGCTCAATCCAGCCTTAGCTGAGCACCTGTCCCCTGCAGGGGGCTGTGGGGACACAGCATGAATAAGACCTGATTCCCACCATGAAGGGGCCCACAGTCCTATATATGACACATTCAACTCATGGCACCCAAAAAGCTCTGGGAACCCAGGGGAAGGATGAGGTTTACTTGGCTGGGGCTAGCTGGGGAATGTGTTTCAGCATTTGAGCTGGCTTCTTGGTGGGTTCCCCAACATTTTTCTGCTTTTAATTGTTCTTCAAGTCTGGGAAAAACTCTTAGGAAGTTATATAGGTATCACATTTAGGTGGCAGCCACATCTGACATCTTAAGGAAAAAAAATAAATTAATAGTTTTAGTTAGCATGGAAATGCTACAGACAGAAGCCCTTTAGGGATTAGGACTGAATCTAATAGGTTTGATTAATTCTGCTTCATTTGGTTGTATGAAGCATTCGTATGGTTTAAGTGAGGAATGGATTAGAATTCAGTGTGATGCATGGATTTTTATGCAGCTGCAAAAGCAGTTGAAATAGTTTGCTGCTAAGTCAGGAGAAAATATCCAGTGTAATAGCCATTCACTTTCCCACACAGTCTGTCTGTTGTATGTGTTCTCTCCCCTCACATGCACAAAATAGTGACTAATTCTTTCTTATTTAGCTCTCTTCAGAATTCTACTTCTACTCTCCATTTATACCAGGTATTCTTGTGAGTCAGTTAACTGCTATTTCTCCAAACCTTCTATCCATGAGGCATAGTTTCAAATCCTGGAAATTTTAAGTATGGCCTAATGAGAACATCAGAGTTGGAGACAGAACAGTACTTCCATCCTAACTATCCAGAAGCGCACTCTCAGGCCATTGTGCTCTGAGATTCCCTTGTGCTCTGGCACCATTATGGTACATCTCTACGTCACATTAATTTTTTTTTTTTTGAGATGGAGTTTCCCTCTTGCTGCCCAGGCTGGAGTGCAGCGGCGTGATCTTGGCTCTCTACAACCTCTGCCTCCTGGGGTCAAGCGATTCTCCTGCCTCAGCCTCCTGAGTAGCTGGGACTATGGGCACGTGCCACCACACCTGGCTAATTTTTTGTATTTTTAGTAGAGACGGGCTTTCACCATGTTAGCCAGGATGGTCTCGATCTGACCTTGTGATCCACCCACCTCGGCCTCCCCAAGTGCTGGGATTACAAGCATGAGCCACCACGCCCGGCCGGATTTGTAAGAAAAAGTTGTGTTCTCCCCTGAAGCCTCCATTTGGCATCATTCACAAACTACTCAAGGAAGAATTTGCTTTCCCAGTTGTATGTATAATTTAAGTCGTTTACTAGATAGAACTTTTTTTTAGGTTTAGATGGCCAAGACATCTATATGGTTTAGAAGGCAGAGTATACATTTTCCTTTGCAAACAGTATGAGTTAAAACTTTCTATGCTAAATGAGAATGCGGCATAAAGTCTCCACTTACTGAAATTTAAAGATTCAACAAGACAAACCGAGAAGGGGGTCAGAGGAGCTCTAGGAAAGGCCCAGGAGAGGGCAGTTGGAGGCAGGTGTGAGCATGAGGAGCTTCCCCCTGCCAGGGCATGGCTCAGGTGGCACAGGGACATCTGATGAACCCTGCCCGAGGTTCTCGGTGCCTCCCGTGCATGAGTGGCTCACTGAAGGCAGGTGTGGAAGCCAAATGCCTGCAAGCCGTGTGTCAGGCCACAGCAGTGCAGTCATGCATCACGCACTCAGGTTTGTAACAGCAACACCAGGGCCCTGTCTAGATTCACCCTGTGGGTGAGCCCGTTCTCCAGATGGGCGTATAAAGGGGCTTTCTCCTCTACACCGTTCCTGTCAATGTTCCGTACAGGCCCACATTCCCACCACTAAGCCAATGGAGTCAACCAGATTTCTAAAGCCATGGATATACGTGGTCACGGGGCCACATTTCTGCAGCTGGCTCAGTGGCAGGCTTGGGCCGTCTCTCAGTACCATCTAAGACTTCTGTCTAGGTTCCTGTTTTTTTAGACTCCTGAACTGCCATTCTGATTAGACACAATTTTAATGGAATTTTTGGATTTAATAATAGTTGATAATCACCTTATGTATTTGCACAATCTCTTTATAATTAAAAACTCGCTAAGCTTCACTTGCTACTATCTACTATATAGAATTAGAGACATTCCATTGGATTCTAAGCATCAGACACTCCTGGATCTCAAAATGACCTTTTCTAAATAAGCACAAGATTTATTTTTGTCCTAGCACTGTTGATAACACTCTGAAATATGTTATTGAACTGGAATTGTTTCTTTATGCTTGCATTCCAAAACCAACTGAAACAGATTGTAGTTTCACTTTAAATTCTAGGCCTGTTCTATATTATGTGAAGGAATTCTCTGTAACGCTGATACTATGTTGCTAATTTGTGTACTTACAGACACTTTAGAAAATGTTTAGACTGCAACATGCACTATAACATTGAACTCAGTCACATGAAGTGGTTAACACTTGCACACTGACTGACAGATATGAAAGCTGTATACTTTGGACCCAGTAATATGCTCATTGGAGCAAGGGTTGGGCTGTGTGGATGGATAAACTGCTTTCTTGGGTTTACATGGAAACCTGGTACCACTCCTACTTTTGGAAAGTTGGTATAAAAGCTATTAGGTAGAAGCTTAATTCCACTAAATGTAGAATTTAGTTTTCTTCTCTAACCAAGATTTTAGAAGTTTCAAGTTTCAAATATGCTTATAACTTTTCCAAGAAATGATGATTACAGTGCTTTTGTGGTTACAACTGTTTGGTATATTAAAAAATAAGGGTTTACTATCACATCTAGGTCTTTTTTACTATGTCATTTTTAAGATATGAAATAAGAATCTGAGGACAGCCCTGAAGAACAGTCCTTTCCTGGGAGGGGAAGACTTGTAATTCAAGGTCATACAATACAAAATAAAACAAAAACAAAAGCACCAAGAGCAGAACAAAACAACGTAGTTGCTTTCCTGAAATACTTTTTGGATTTGATTCTATCTTGGGAGTGGTGGCTTTACTTTTTTTTTTTTTTTTTTTTTTTTGAGACAGAGTCTCGCTCCTTCACCCAGGCTGGAGTGCAGTGGCGCGATCTCGGCTCACTGCCAGCTCTGCCTCCCAGGTTCATGCCATTCTCCTGCCTCAGCCTCCTGAGTAGCTGGGACTATAGGTGCCCGCCACCATGCCTCGCTAATTTTTTGTATTTTTAGTAGAAACGGGGTTTCACCGTGTTAGCCAGGATGGTCTTGATCTCATGACCTCGTGATCCACCCTCCTCGGCTTCCCAAAGTGCTGGGATTGCAGGCGTGAACCACCACGCCCGGCCGGCTTTACTTCTAATCCTCCACTTCTTGGTCTATTTGAACCATCACAAGTATTTTGGGACCGATAACAAACCCCTTTTATGCTAATTTAATTCTTGACTTGGGTAATAGGTGCACCTGGATAATTTATAAAGCTGTCCATAGATCTAAGTTTAGTGGTACAGATACTACTGGGCAGGAGAAAAAGCACAAGTTAAAATATTTCTACAGTCAGCTCTTAATATTCCCACATCTTGTTTGCAAAATTTTATGGTCACGTTCTGGCTTTTTTACATGAGGAAAACAAAGTTTTAACAGTTTTCTCTTCTGTCCCCTTCTCCAGAGGAGGTGTGAACCAGAACTGAGGAGGCCAGTTATATTTTAGGCTTTTCAGTAGTACGATTTTGTCCTCTCCCACTGAGGAGGAGGGAAGAAGGGGGAAGCCAGTGGGAGTTCCACACACGTGGTCAGTGCTGTAAGTTCCCGGATATCAGTGTCTCTCACATCAACACAGAAATAGGGCACTTCTCAACATTAATTTTGGAATTATTCACCATTTAAAAATTGTCACTGCTCTTTTTCATTACTGTAGATAACTGAGAGTTAGCTGTTCTAGGAAAAGGCCATGTTTCAGTTAGTGCTATGACTTCTTTTTTCGATTAAGGTTGAAGCAGTGTTCTCTTAGTAGCCTGAACACTTCTCAAAGCGACTTATCACTAGCGGCTTTAATATTGAGCTTCTATATCGTTGTGTCCACCTCACTTTTTAAGGCTGTTCATACCTGGCAATATTCACTTACTCTGCTATTTTTAAAAACTATTTTAAAGTTTTAAGCACAATGTTGACTCTTCTGTAATTTCCTAAAATTATATTGTTTTCCTACAGACAGCTCAACTTTCCTTGATATGTAACACTTTAGGAAAATAACTGCCTTGTAAAATAAACGTGATTTTTTTTTTCTTTTATACCAGAACAAATCTGCTGTTTTGGAGTGTACCCAACCCCAAAACCAAAACTCACGTTTGCAAAGTGTGAAACATTTATATATCAGGTCTTTCCTACGTGCTAGGAAATAGCGTATGGCCATTACCCCATTAAACCTTTACAAGACCTCAATGAGGTGCAGATAAACTGTACTGTCCGCAGTATCTACTCAGAGTCACCACTCATGATAACTCCCAGAACTCTGGCTACATTGGGTTTATAGCAAATAAAACTTGATACCCCCCCCCCACCACCACCAAATAGCATTTATTTCACACGCAGTTACAGCCTTTCTGTTCGGCTTACACGTGTCATGTGGGGCAGTGTTGGCTGCAGTTCTAACTGAAGATCAGGCATCGAGGGAGGCTGCTGCCCGGCAGAGCTTGGGGGGGTCGCTTGGTCACCAAGACTCAGGGGCCAGGCCTCAGCGCGGCAAGTCCATACTCAGAAAAGAACAGCTTCAAGGGTTGGAGTCTATTGAACAACCTTCCTAGGAACTGCTAAATAAAGTCATTATCAGTAATAAAATCCTTGTTAATATTAATTATAGTTCAATGGCTACCTTAAGCTTTCTATGCATAATCTCCACAGCAACCCTGTGAGGGAGATTAAAGCAGCCCCATTTCACAGATCAGGAAAAGAGCTCAAGAAGTCCACATCTTTACCCAGTGTGGCACAGCTCGTACATGAGTGGCAGTCAGGGTTTGAACCCGGTCACTTTGGCTCTAGAGTCCGCACTCTTGGCCCATTGTCTGCATTACTCCATCCCCCTAACCCAGCAGATACCTTCCCACAGACTAGTGCCTCGTCTACCTCAGTGCACCTGGTCCCAACACAGTGGAGGAGAAACACTGACAGGCTTCCCTCTTTGTCCCCTTCTCTGTCCTCCATACAGTGCCCCCCCACCCCGCACCCTATACCATGTCTCTGCAAATATCTCTATGCTCTGATGAGGCCATTGCTTCTTCCATGTTTAATCACCTCTTGACTAGCATTCAAGACTAGCTCTGCCTTTCCTAAAGCTAACTGATCTTTTAAAGTGATTCCTGCAGACAGCGCATCTCATCTGCGTGTGCACTCTACTGTTTTAACTCTCTACCTAATTGTATTGCCAAGTCCTAGAAGGCATCTCATTGTAGCCTCTTACAAATGCTGACTGCACACACTTTTATTCTGCAATAAACTTTAATTTAGCATCTCATCCTCATTACAATTCAGTCACTGGGAATTGGTAATGCCCTTAACCCTTACTGTCCCACCCTAGTTCTATGCTGAATGAAGGGAGTAAGAAGGATCTCTGGACTCAGCCTCCCTGCGGTAGGGTCAGGAAGGGGCAGTTAGAGGTCAGATGGAATTCTTCAGGAATCAGGGAGATACGGGAAATTGATGGAAATAAAAAGGCAAAAGGAATGTGCCAAGATTAATAGTGTTTGTTTTAAATTTTCTACTTTTCTGAAATGAAGATACAATTACTTTTACAATCAGAAACGACCCAGTAAGTTATTTTGACGATGTCAACTCCTAGGACAGTGAGTACACATGGAGTCTGATTTTGCTGGATCTGTGCCTGAAAGTGGGTTGAGGCCGTGGCCAAACCTGCTCATGCACCTGCTGGAAGAGACTAGCAGCTGGGCTGGGAGTGTGCGTCATGAAACTAATGGGCCTCCACGGAGGAGTGACCCCTTTCGTGGCTGGAGAGTTCATGGGCCAGGTGGGTTGGAGAAAGGGGTGAGGCTTCATTTCTTCCTGTCTTCCCCAGTCCCCAGCCTGAAGTTGTGTGTGACTCGAGATAGGAGATGAGAAAGCTTGGGATCCGGGGGGACCATCCTGGCCCTGTATGACACCTAGCTGGTCACCTGTTGTCAAACCCCAGTGATTCCTCCCAGGACAAAGATGATGACAAAATACAAGGCATCGTGGATCAGCAGAACACCACAATGTCTGAACAGGGACCTGCAGTTTACGTAGCATCTTCCCAGATGGCAGCTTATCTGCTAGACCCATCAACTCTGTGTGGTGGACAGGGCAGGGATATTGGCGAGTTTCTTGCGAAGCAGCCAAGAGTTAACTCTAAAGGTCACACGGCAGGAAGTGGCAAGGTCAGAGCCCCAGACTTCTGATTCCAAAGCCAGCCTTGCTGCTTTACCACTTGTTGAGCCGCTGCAACAAAACCCTGCCCTGCTTTGCAGCCCATTTTCTCTTCGCCCCACAGCTGAGGCCACGAGGGCATCCCTTGCCTCGAGGGAACTACAGCTCAGCCCTCAGGTATCGCCCGAGGTTGCCCTTGGTGCCACATCACTCTGTGCGCCAGCCTGGCTTGACCTGGATCTGAGTCTGTCCGGAGAACAGGCATGACCTCGTGCTCAAGCGTGGCCGCTGGGTCTGAGAACTCATCCTGGGAATTGGCCTCGGGTCGGCCTTTTTTTTTATTTTTATTTTTATTTTTTGAGATGGAGTCTTGCTCTGTTGCCCAGGCTGGAGTGCAGTGGCACAATCTCAGCTCACCACAACCTCCACCTCCCGGCTTCAAGCGATTCTTCTGCTTCAGCCTCCTGAGTAGCTGGGACTACAGGCGCCCGCCACCACGCCCAGTTAATTTTTGTGTTTTTAGTAGAGACGGGGTTTCATTATGTTGGCCAGGCTGGTCTCGACCTCCTGACCTTGTGATCCACCCACCTCAGCCTCCCAAAGTGCTGGGATTACAGACGTGAGCTACCGCGCCCACCAGGTCGGCTCTTTCAGCAGCAGCTGCTCCTGTCTCCCTCCCTCCTACCTCCATTGGGATTGGGACCTTTGATACCAATTGCTTCCCTCAACTATTGCATGTCCTCAGTAGCATCCGCTTTGGACTTGCCTCTCGGGCCAGTCTACTTCAGGCGACTGTGTAGATCCTGACTGTCTGATTACCTGGCCACGAGTGTCTCATACCTGCCTCAACCAGGACTGTGTGCAGTAAACAAGAGTACATTTCAGCCCTCATGTTTAGAAGCTGCCTGTGTGAGTTGCAATGCCAAAATTCACAGAGCAAATATAGGCACACCCATTTATCTGCAGAAGGACCTGGAAAAGCCATCCTGGTCTATGAGCATCACCACTCCAAGCGGTCGGACAGGACTCCGGAGCTCTCGGGAAAAGTGGGAAGGCCACACAGTACCAGGAGGGGAGGTTCACCGTGGGCCAGGTGTGAGCTGAACAGGGGATTCCCAGAGCGTGTTTTCCCTGAGAACCTGGAATAATGAGGCAATTCCAGCCTAATTCAGAGGCTGCACTGAGTATGTGGGAAGCACGTCAGATATTTGGGGTTCCCGGGGAAACCAAATGAAGATACCTCGGGAAACCAAATATCTGGATGAACATGGGGCACACAGTGGAGATCTCTGACGAGTCACCAAGAGGCCAGTGGAAGATCAGCCAGTCCAGCTAGAATTCACTGAGGTCCTTTCACATCACTGGGGGTCCAAAGAGGTCAGTCCTATCCCAAAGGGATTTTTGCTGTCCCCATCATCATTTCCAAGGGTCACAGGCAGTGAATTGCTAGAGCTATCCAGTGCCTTCTGAGTCAATCAGGGAGTCACCTGGGCCCACATTATGCCACTTAGAGAGGGACTGATGGGGTCACGGAGAGGCCAGCAGCGGTGAGTATAAAGGGAGGCAGTTACCTGGAAACCTCATCTCATGTGGAGATGAGGCAGGGGTGGTGTGGGGGTGGGGGCTATGGGCATGCTGGAGGAGGATGGGCCGACTCATTCATCTAGAGAGAAGAGGCTGGGCTGGGCACGGTGGCTCACGCCTGTAATCCCAGCACTTTGGGAGGCTGAGGTGGGTGGATCACGAGGTCAGGAGATTGAGACCATGCTGGCCAACATGGTGAAACAGTACCTCTACTAAAAATACAAAAATTAGCCAGGCATGGTGGCGTGCACATGTAGTCCCAGCTATTCAGGAGGATGAGGCAGGAGAATCGCTTGAACATGGGAAGCAGAGGTTGCAGTAAGCTGAGATCATGCCACTGCACTCCAGCCTGGGCAACAGTGAGACTCCGTCTTTTCAAAAAAAAAAAAAAAAAAAGAAGAGGCTGGGTTGGGCAAACCATCAGGCCCAAGTTTGCTAGGGGCTGGGATGTGGACCCCAAGACTACTAGGACCCAATGCTGACCTTTGAGATAGGCAAAGCACAGGGATCTGAGGGAACAGATGTCTGGAATGGGGGACTACAGCTTCTCTCATAAGTGCTTCAATGTGAGCCCAGCGTGGTGGCTCACACCCGTAATCCCAGCACTTTGGGAGGCTGAGGTAGGAGGATCGCTTTTGCCTGGGAGTTTGAGACTAAGCCTGGGCAACAAAGTGAGACCTCCGTCTCTGCAAAAAATAAAAAATAAACTAGCCGAGTGTCCACACCCGTAGTCCCAGCTACTTGGGAGGCCGAGGTGGAAGGATCTCTTCAGCTTGGGAGGTGGAGGTTGCAGTGAGCCATGATTGTGCCATTACACTCTAGTGTATGTGACACAGTGAGATCCTGTCTCAAAGAAAAAAAACAAAAACCTCAATGTGAAGCTGAGGTCCCCTCAGAGCACCCGGCCAGTTAGGCTGGACCCAACCCAGCCCCACCTAGCAGCTCAACAGCAGACCCTGCCAGGCTCTAGAGCCAACCACACCCCTAGCTGGGGCAGAAGGCAGATGACAGGCCCTGCACTTAGGGTCAAGCTCAGGAAAAGACTGAGTATGTGAGCGCATGCGAGTACATGTCTAGCATGTCCCATCTTGCCTATCCTGTTGCCCCCGAAGCCGTAGAGGCTTGTTCATTCATCAGGCATGTATGCATTCAACAAGGTACTAATGACATTTACCCCCTGACCCTGCAAAAATCATTCCTAAGTCGGAGTCCTGTCCGACTGCTTGGAGTGGTGATGCTCATGGACCAGGATGGCTTTTCCAGGTCCTTCTGCAGATAAATGGGTGTGCCTATATTTGCTCTGTGAATTTTCGCATTGCAATTCACACAGGCAGTTTCTAAACATGAGGGCTGAAAATGTAGTCCTTTGTTTACTGCACAGAGTCCTGGTTGAGGCAGATATGAGAGGGTCGTGGCCGGGTAATCAGACAGTCAGGATCTACACAGTCGCCTGAAGTAGACTGGTCTGGGAGGCGAGTCCAAAGTGGATGCTACTGAGGACATGCAATAGTTGAGGGAAGCAATTGGTATCAAAGGTCCCAATCCCAATGGAGGTAGGAGGGAGGGAGACCGGAGCAGCTGCTGCTTAAAGAGCCAAGCTGGTGGGCGCGGTGGCTCGTGTCTGTAATCCCAGCACTTTGGGAGGCTGAGGTGGGTGGATCGCAAGGTCAGGAGGTTGAGACCAGCCTGGCCAACATAATGAAACCCCATCTCTACTAAAAACACAAAAATTAACTGGGCGTGGTGGCGGGCGCCTGTAGTCCCAGCTACTCAGGAGGCTGAAGCAGAAGAATTGCTTGAAGCCGGGAGGTGGAGGTTGTGGTGAGCCGAGATCATGCCATTGCACTCCAGCCTGGGGGACAGAGCAAGACTCCGTCTCAAAAAAAAAAAAAAAAAAAAAAAAACAACAACTGACCCGAGGCCAATTCCCAAGATGAGTTCTTAGACCCAGCGGCCACGCTTGAGCACGAGAAATGGACACCTACGGCCACCAAAAGACAGAAACAAAAATATTAACAGGCCAGTACTGGAAACAACCTGAATTCTCACTAACAATGGAACGGATGAACTATGGTGTAGCCAATCAGTGGGATGCTCTTCAGCCATGAGGATGAATAACACGGATAAGTCACACAGACATACCGTTGAGTGAAAGAAGCCATTTCCCAAGGGGGGCTTGATATACAA
This sequence comes from Homo sapiens, assembly GCF_000001405.40. Taxonomy (NCBI): domain Eukaryota; kingdom Metazoa; phylum Chordata; class Mammalia; order Primates; family Hominidae; genus Homo; species Homo sapiens. The sequence continues at coordinate 185,072,179 of NC_000003.12, read as the reverse complement.
CTCAATTGGTACCAAATTCCAGACAGGCGCAACGATCTACACTAGTAATCAGGGTCGTGGTTCACATGAGGGGTGTGGTGCGATGGAGGAATCCAGGGGACCTCTGGGTGCTGGTGACACCGGTGTGTTCACATTGCGAGTTAAGCTAGTGGTACACGTATGGTTTGTGAACGCTCTGTTCATAAGTTTACTCGATAGTGACTTAAAGGACAGCAACACGCACTCTGTCTCACCAAGCGCCTGGCATATACTTGGCACTCGGTAACTATTGACTGTGCCAGGGATGACACAGGAGTGAGCCAGACACAGTCCTGCCCTCAGGAGGAGTGGAGATGGGAAAACTCGCTTCCTCGGCATAGGTGTGGTGTGTCCCTGGAGCAGGTGGACAGGTGTCAAACTGCCGTTTTCCTTGGGGAAAGCTTTAGAGAGGACCCAGGATGTGGTGTGAGGAGACTGGTGGCAGAAAGATGGCCATGGATGGCCCTGAGAGAGGAGGCCCCTGGGATGGAGCCTCTGATCAGCTGGGGCCACCCATTGGGAGCTCAGACCCCCACCCCGGGGGCCTGGAGTCCGCCCCGCCTGGCCAGAAGATGGCACCGCAGGAAGCCTTTCCTGCAGCTCTGGGCAAGTCACGGACATCTGATTCTGGAGCTGCATCTTTGGAAAAACACTTTCAGCAAGCAGAGCTGAGTGGAAATACACTGCTTCTAGAAGGATTCCCAAAGCTCTGAATGATTTATTCACTGCAGTGTTCATTGATGAGGCCCCTGTGGGCTTTCCTCTTCCACAAGTAACATGTGACCTTTGTAAAGCATTTTCCCACACGTTGCTGGGACCTTTGCTGCAGATGAAACATCACTTTTATGTTCTGTATTTTTCAGAGGCCCAGTGCCTTGTTCGGCTCACACAGGGGCCATGATGGGGCTGTGCCTCGCTCTTCCCAGTGGGCCACACTGCCCCTCCTGGAGAGCTGGGCGAGTTTCCATCCCCCTGATGGCAGGAGGAAGGCGCAGATGCAGGGGCACCAGGGGTCCCTCCAAGCACCGCCTCCTTCACGCCACTGGCTAGGGTGTGAAGGCCGAGTTGCTCCACCCTCTCCCACAAACATGTCTCCTGCAGAGCTCCGTAGAATAAAGCAGGACAATCGTGAATTAGAGCAACGTTAGCGCCATGACAAGGGTTCCGTAAAGTCAGAACTGACTGGGTACAGGATGGGCCTGTCATCTGCAGGTGACTCCCCACTGATGGGCTCAGCTCAGGCTGTCGCCTCTCCTTCCCTGTCTACCTTCTCAGCGGGGAGGACAGTGCCGCCTACTCCATGAAGCCCTTCCCCTGCTGATTGAGTCGTCCCCGCACTGACCCACCGTGTCAGCCCTGCCAATTCAGCCTCGCCTTCTGTATGCCCGGCCAGATGCTGAGCAGGGCCCATCTCTACTCTGGGCAGACTCTTCCCTGAGCACACAGCACTTGAGAACGTAGCTGCCCCTGGTGGCTGCAGAGCTCTCTGCTGGACACAGAATGCTTCCTGTCCTCTGCTTCCTGGAACACTCACCCCAGAGCCTCCCTCCCACTCCTTCCCAGCCCCTGGGGCCAAGTCTGGTGCCTGTGTTTGGGTGGGAGAAGGGGGCACCGTGAACTCTGAGGTCACCTGGATGCTAGAATTCACTGACTCCAACATTCTAAGCTGCTGCTCAACTTCTGCAGGGATCTGCTCTGATTTCTGCGGAATGGTGACTTGCAGAGAACTTTGTTTTCTTTCTATTCCTTTGCTGGGTAAAGAAATGAAAGATTAGATCAGAAGCAAGATGGAGGAGTCCAAATTTTAAAAATAGGAAAAGTTTTGCACAGGTTCAGGTCCCTCCCGTGCCCTCAGCCGGCACACCCTCCACGTCACAATGTCTCAGGCTGTGTTGTGTGGGCAGGGTGTCACCTCTGTCCCCTCCAGAGGGGAGACCATGTCTGACCTACTCCCTGCTTGTCCCCATTGCAAAGGACAGCGCCTGGCATATACTTGGCACTCAGGAAATAACCACTGACCGACAGGCTCTGACTGTGGGCCTGAATTCAACAGAGTGGCTGCAGATCCTCACTGCAGCCCGCAGCGGGGAGCACCGGCCTCCCCAACACACATTTTTTTTTTTTTAAACAGAGTAGGAGACAGGCTGGTCATTTTTTCCAGGATTCCCCGGTCCTCACTCTGGGAATGTGACCGCACCTGCATAACCCCAGGGGTCAGCTTCTTTTAGTACGTCACACACTTCAGGGGCTGGGAAAGCAGCTGCAAGAGGGCACGCGAGACACGTGGCCCAGGAGAAGCCCTCCACGGTGGGCGTCCTCCTAGACAACCAGCACCCCCTGCAGGGCACCCTCGTCTGGCAGAATCAGCCCTTTCCCACCTGCAGGCCCTTCTCAGCGCCTCTGACTTCCCACACACACAGCACAGGTTACAAACTGGTCCCTGGCAGTGCACTCTAGCGGGCCTCTCTCACAAGTTCTGCGGGCCTCGTTTCAGGGAAAGCGGGTTGTGGATTCCTGCTGCCCTTGGATGGCCCCTGCGCAGCCACACCTCTGAGCGGGCACTGAGCGAGCGTGGGGAGCTGCTCCCTGGGAACTAGGCAGGAGCTTTTAAACACCCTTACACACAGCCATTCTGCGGGAATACATGCTTTCCCGGTAAGGCTTTTACTGTTCATTCCAGGTAAATTGGAAGTCGCACACCCCAAGCTCCAAATACAACTCGTTAGCTGGCAGGTCTCTGAAGCCAATTCCTTCTGAGGAAAATGGAGATAATAGCAGCTACCCTCCCAGGTGACTGGGGGAGAATAAAGTGGCTGTGCATAGTGGTGTTTGCAGCTGGTGGCTGCTATTATCCTTCATTACAGCTTGTAAAAAGGGTGTCTAGGCCATTTACACACAGATAGGCCGGGTGGGGTGTGTAACCGAGCTGGACTGATAACCACAGTGATTCTCAACCCTGCTGGTTCAGAAACCTCGCCCCGGGCCCTGCCTGGAAGCCCAGCAAGTTGAACAGAGCCTGCACACACACCCAGAAGCTGGCACACACGGGTTCCAGGTGGGGCAGAAGCCTGGGCCAGTTGTGGTGTCCAGATGCCACCCCACCCACCGTCCCTGCCACATGCCCCTGGACCGAGAGCCACATAAGCCAGAAACTCTGCCAGCGGCCCCAAGTCCTGAAGGAACCACACAGCCTGGCACCCCTCCTGCCAGAAAAGCCCTCCGAGGCCCTTTCCCCACCTCCACTCACCCTCCCTGGCTCAGTTCTTGATTAATGTTAGGACAGTTAGCCCACGTCACGGAGACCAGGAACTTGGACGTACACCGCCCATCAGGCCCTTCAATAAACCCCAAACTTGAGAAACATGTGCAGATATCTATAAAAACATGTCTTAGTCTGTTTTTGTGCTGCTATAACAAAATACCTGAGACTGGCCGGGCGCAGTGGCTCACGCCTGTAATCCCAGCACTTTGGGAGGCTGTGGCGGGCAGATCACCTGAGGTCAGGAGTTTGAGACCAGCCTGACGAACACAACAAAACCCTGTTTCTACTAAAAATACAAAAATTAGCCAGGCGTGGCGGCGGACACCGGTAATCCCAGCTACTTAGGAGGCTGAGGCAGGAGAATCGCTTGAACCCAGGAGGCGGAGGTTGCAGTGAGCTGAGATCGCACCACTGCACTCCAGCCTGGGCAACAGAGCAAGACTCTCAAGAATATATATCTGAGACTAGGTGATTTATAAAGAACAGAAACTCAATTTCTCACAGTTCTGGAAGCTGGGAAGTCCATGATCCAGGTGCCAGCAGGTTCAGTTGTCTGGTGAGGGTTGCTCTCTGCTTCCAGGATGGCGCCTGATTGCAGCATCTTCCGGAACGGGGGGCCAGCTGGCTGCAGGCAAGCCAGCTGAATACTATGTGCAGCCTCTTTTATGAGGGCCTTATTACCATTCACGAGGGAGGTGCCCTCACACTCTAATCACCGCTTAAAGCCCCCACCTCTTAACACATTGGCTATTAAGTTTCAACACCTGAATTCTGGAGGAGACACATTCAAACCATAGCAACATGAAAACCTGTGCTCGTTTATACCATCAGGAGGAAGGTAATGCTCCTAGTAAGAGGACTTCAGAGTTTTCATATATAAAAAAAAAAACCTGACCGGGCGCAGTAGCTCATGCCTGTAATCCCAGCACTTTGGGAGGCCGAGGCAGGTGGATCACCTGAGGTAAGGAGTTTGAGACTAGCCTGACCAACATGGTGAAAATACTAAAAATACAAAATTAGCCGGGTGTGCTGGTGGGCACCTGTGATCCCAGCTACTCGAGAGGCTGAGGCAGGAGAATTGCTTGAACCCAGGAGGTGGAGGTTGCAGTGAGCCTTGCGCTCCAGCCTGGGCAGTAGAGTGAGACTTCGTCTCAAAAAACCAAACCAAAAAACCTCCCTTTGGATAATAAAATGTGAAAAAAGCAGAATGGAAAACAGAGGCTATGACAAATAGCACCTGGTAAGAGTGAATCTTCACAAAGGTCGAAGCCCAGATTCTCTTCTAAAAGTGCCCAAAATAAATGAACAAAGTCACATAGAGGTAGGTTGGGACAATACATCCCACCTGAACAAATGTATAACCTGAAAGCAAAGAACCTCTAGGCCATCTTTTTTAAGAACTAAAGTATAACAATAGAAACAAATGCTTAAAGAGCTATGGGAGCGTTTCCTGCTGAACGTGTCCTTCCCCAGCCGGCAGGTGCCTGAGGGCAGGGCTGTGTACGGCTCCCTTTTGTGTTCACCGCAGCCAGCCCAGTGTCTTGCCCAAGGGAACGATTGAGCAATCCTGGAGGCTCAAAGGGAAGAAAAAGGCGCAGGGGAGAATTCCGTGAAGCTGGAAATTGACTGTAACTATCTTCAGGTGTGATATAGACGCATCCATTTGAAACCACCTTTGCAAAACTTGTTAACAGTGAGAAAATTCCGGCAGTGTAGAAGATCTCGCCTGCCAACCCTCACTTTGTCTTTGGCCTTCAAGCTACCCTTAATTATTCCCGTGCTTAGGCCAAGCTAACTTTGGAAGATGTTTACTTTAGTTTAAATAATAGCCTTTCCCCAATACTCAACTGCCTTTGTACAGTCAACTTGGTCTCTCGTTAGCTAATGAGAGACCACCAGGCTAGGAGGATAGAGGAGCCTGAATTCTGTCTGCTAAGGTGTTGATATAGACCATTGCCAGCCGTTATTCCAGAGGCCACCAGATGGGCAACTTCCCCAGTTACTCCTGCAGGTAACATCACAATTGTAGAGCCTAAGATTGGCCTTTAGATATATCTTTTTGGGTTTTTTGCATGCCTGACAACAAATGGTCCCACGTGGACCCACAGCCTCTTGTGTGGCCTCGTCCAGATTAGCAAGCCACTCGACTCAGCGTGGAGGACCATTTCCCATACCCCTATGATAGCATCCCCAACCAGTCATCAGCAAGCACCCGTTGGCTACCTATCCCCACCCCTTCCCACAGTCTACTTTAGACAAACCCTAGCCTTCAGATGCTCAGGGAGACTGATTTGAGTAATAATAAAACTCCAATCTCCTGTTCAGCCGGCTCTGGGTGAATTAAACTCTTTATTGCAATTCCCCTGTCTTGATAAATCAGCTCTCTCTGGGAAGAGGGCAGGAAGAATCCACTGGGTGGTTACACATTCAGATTCTGTCAGGTGTACTGGTCCATTCTCGCACTGCTATAAAATACCTGAGGCTGGGTATTTATAAAGAAAAGAAGTTTAATTGGCTCATGATTCTGCAGGCTGTGCAGAAAGCATGACGCCATTTACTCAGCTTCTGGGGATGCCTCAGGAAACTTACAATCAAGGTGGAGGATGAAGGCGGAGCCAGCACTTCACATGGCTGGAATGGGAGGAAGAGAGAGGTGGGGAGGGGCCACACACTTTTTTTTTTTTTTTTTTGGAGATGGAGTCTCACTCTGTTGCCCAGGCTGGAATGCAGTGGCACCATCATGGCCCACTGTAACCTCCCCCTCCTGGGTTCAAGTGATCCTCCTGCTTCAGCCTCCTGGGTAGCTGGGACTATATAGGTGCACAGTACCGTGCACAGCTAATTTTTTTTTTTTTTTTTTGAGACAGATTCTCCCTCTGTCACCAAGCTGTAGTGCAGCGGTGCCACCTCAGCTCACTGCAACCTCTGTCTCCTGGGTTCATGTGATTCTTGTGCCTCAGCCTCCCAAGCAGCTGGGATGACAGGTGCCCGCGACCACGCCCAGCTAATTTTTGTATTTTTAGGAGAGACGGGGTTTCACCAGGGCTGGTCTTGAACTCCTGACCTCAGGTGATCCGCCTGCCACAGCCTCCCAAAGTGCTGGGATTACAGGCATGAGCCACTGCGCCCAGCCAGTGCTACACACTTTTAAACAACCAGGTCTTGTGAGAACTCACTCCCTATACAGTACCAAGGGAGCCTGGGGCCGTTGGGTTGGGGGGGGCAGTGGCGAAGGGATGGTGTTAACCCATTCACCAGAGCTCCACCACCAGGATCCAATCACCTCCCACCAGGCCCCTCCTCTAACACTGGGGATTACAATTTGAGATGAGATTTGGGTGGGGACACAGAGCCAAACCATATCACCAGGTACAAAGGAGAAACAAAGCTATGATGGACACTGCTGTTTTTTGGACAACTCAAATGCCCTCCCCTCTCCCGTCAGTGCCCTTATCCAGGGATCATCTCCTCATCGCAGGGGGCAGGATGGCAGGAGAATGTTCAGACCAGTTACCTGCCTTCCCCAAATGGTAATAGGAAGGGTCTTCCCAGATCCTCCTTATCACCCATCATAGCCAAGTGGTGGGCATGTGACCTGAAAACACAGCTGGAGCCCCCTGGGGCTGGAGCAAGGCAGGTGCAGCTGCTTGTTTTCATATCCTGGGCCTGGCTCCTAGCCTGCTCTGTGATCCTCCAAGCTCCCAAGTCAATATCAGCAGAACCAGGTGCTATTGCTGAGTCTAAAGATATTTCCAGATAAGAGACTTTGCTCCCAGGGACCTGCTAGTAGAACGTGCGCTAAGTGCCACAAGATGGGACAGGGTCAGGCTTCCTGATGGCAAGAACTGGGGCTCAGCTCAGGCCTGCCACATCCCCAGGGCCTAGCACTGCCCAGCTCTCAAGCCTGTGTCTCATCTACCATTAGATGAGACGAGAGGGCTCTTCAAACCCAATCCAAAGCATATGCTTAGGGAGGCATGACCTGAATGTAAAGATGCTGCAATTTACTCAATTGTGCTGTGACTTGAATGACAACTAAAGGAACTCTTGGGGACTGATAAAATAGGAAAGGGGCTGAGGAAGAATAATTTGTTGGTGTGTGCTGGTCCTGGTTTGAACAGAGGTCCTGATAATCCCATAAACTGCCTTGATTTATTTTTTAAATTGACAAGTACAATTTGACATATTATGGCGCACATCATGATGTTTTGATATATGTATACATTGTGGGATGGCTACATGAGGCTATTTAAATGTATTACCTCATATACTTATATTTTTATGGTAAAAACAAAATCTACTCCATTTGCAATTTTCAAATATACAATATATTATTAACTGTAATCACCAAGATACATGATAGATCTCAACTTATTCCTCCTAAATGAAATTTTGTGTCCTTTGACCAACAGCTCCCCAACCTCCCAGCCTCCAGTAACCACCATTTCACTCTTTGTTTCTGAGTTTGACGTTTTTACGTTCCCTATATGTGACATCATGCAGCATTTATCTTTCTTTGGCTAGCTTATTTCACTTAACATAATGTCCTCCAGCTTCATCCATGATGTCACAAATGACAGGATTTGCTGCTGTTTCTTCTATTTATTTATTTATTTGTTTTGAGATGGAGTCTGGCTCTATTGCCCAGCCTGGAGTGCAGTGGTGCGAGCTCAGCTCACCGCAAGCTCCATCTCCTGGGTTCACGCCATTCTCCTGCCTCAGCCTCCCCAGCAGCTGGGACTATAGGCGCCCGCCACCACGCCCAGCTAATTTTTTTGTATTTTTAGTAGAGACGGGGTTTCACTGTGTTAGCCAGGATGGTCTCGATCTCCTGACCTCGTGATCCACCCACCTCGGCCTCCCAAAGTGTGATTTGCTTCTTTTTAAAGGCTGAGTGGTATTCCTTCGTGGATATAGACTGCATTTTCCTCATCCATTCATTTGTTGGTGGTCACCGAGGCTGACTCCTTTTCTTTGGTATTAAGAATGCTGCTGCAGTGAACATGGGAATGCAGACAGCTCTGTGACATATTGATTTCATTTCCTTTGGATATATTCCCCGTTGTGAGATTGCTGGATCATATGGTAGCTCTATTTTTAATTTTTCAAGGAAGCTCCATACTGTTTTCCATAATGCCCATACTGATTTACACTCCTATCAACAGTGTACAGGAGTTCCCTTTTTTTTTTGTATCCTCACCAACACTTATTCTCTTATCTTCTTGATAACAGGCATTCTGACAGGTGTGAGGTGGTATCTCATTGCGGTTTTGATGTGCATTTCTCTGATTAGTGATGTTGAGCATTTTTTCCATACACCTGCTGGCCATTTGTATGTCTTTTCTGAGAAATCTTTAGTCAGGTCCTTTGCACATTTTAAAAACCGAGTTATTTTCTTGCTACGGAGTTCCTTAGATATTTTGGGTATGAGCCCCTTATCAGGTGTATGGTTTGCAAATAATTCCCCCCATCCCATAGGCTGTCTCTCCACGCTGTTGTTTCCTTTACTGCACTGAAACTTTTTAGTTTGATGTAATCTCATTTGTGTTTGTATTTTTGCCTTTGTTGCCAATGCTTTTAGGATCATATTCAAAACATGTTTGCTCAGACCAATGTCATGGAGTTTTTCCCCTGTGTTTTCTTTTGACAGGTGTTTGTTTTTTGAGACAGGTTCTCACTCTGTCACCCAGGCTGGAGTGCAATGGCGTGATCATGGCTCACTGCAGCCTCAATCTCTCAGGCTCAAGTGATCCTCCCATCGCGGCCTCCCTAGTAGCTGGGACTATAGGTGCACACTACCACACCCGGATAAATTTTTTTGTATTACTTGTAGAGACAGGGTTTCACCATTTTGCCCAGGATGGTCTCAAACTCCTGGACTCAAGTAATCTATTTGCCTCGGCCTTCAAAAGAGCTGGGATTACAGGTGTGAGCCACTGCACCTGGCCTCTTCTGGTAGTTTTATAGTTTCAGGTCTTACATTTAAAATTTGAATCCACTTTGGTTGATTTTTGTATGTGGTGTGAGATGAAGGTCCAATTTTATTCTTCTGCATGTGGATATTCAGTTTTTCCAGCACCATTTATTGAAGATATTATCATTTCCCCACTGTGTGTTCTTGGCATTTTTGTGGAAAATCAATTGACTGTAAATGTGTGGATTTATTTCTGGGCTCTCTGTCCTGTTCCATTGGTCTATGTCTGCTTTTGTGCCAGTACCATACTGATTTGTTATAGCTTTGTAGTTAGTTTTCAAATCAGGTAGTATGATGCCTAGAGCTTTGTTTTTTTATTTTTTCCCCCTAGGAAGCAAACAGTATTATTTATTGCTACATAACAAATTACTCCCAAACTTTGTTGCTTAAAATAACAATAAACATGTATTATCTCATACAGTTTTCAGAATTCAGGAATTTGGGAACATCTTAGCTGAGTGATTCTGGCTCAGAACCTCTCTCATGAGATTCCAGTCAAGCTGTTAACTGGGGCACCAGTCACTTGGATGTCTGATTGAGACTGCAGGATCTGCCTCCCAGCTTACTTGTGGTTGTTGGCAAGAAGCTTCAGTTTTTCCCTTATGGGCCTGTACATTGGGCTGCTCACAAAATGGCAACTGGCTTCCTCCTGGGTGAGTTAAGAAGGGGAGGGAGGGAAGGAGAGAGGGGAAAGGATGGGGAGAGGGGGAGGGGGGTGGAGAGGGAGATGGGGGAGGCAGAGAGAGAGGGACAGAGAGAGAGAGAAAAGAGCACTAGCAGATGCACAACCCATATGAAAGTTGTAATATCTTTTTTTAAAAAAAAAATTCAATTGACATGTAATTATACATATTGATGGAGTACTGTATTAGTCCCTTCTCAAACTGCTATAAAGAACTACCTGAGACTGGGTAATTTATGAAGAAAAGAGGTTTAATTGGCTCACAGTTCCACAGGCTGTGAGGCCTCAAGAAACTTAAAATCATGGCGGAAGGGCTAAGGGGAAGCAGGCAACTTCTTCACGTGGTTGCAGGAGAGAAAGATCAAAGGGGGAAATGATACACACTTAAACACATCTTGTAAGAACTCACTCACTATCACAAGAGCAGCAAGAGGGAAATCTGCCCCCATGATCCAATTACCTCCTGCCAGGTCCCTCCCCCAACACTGAGGATTACAATTCAACATGAGTTTTGAGTGGGGACACAGAACCAAACCATATCATTCTGCCCCTGTCCCCTCCCAAATCTCATGTCCTTCTCACATTTTGAAACCGATCATGCTCTCAACAGTCCCCCAAAGTCTTAACTCATTCCAGCATTAACTCAAAAGTCCAAGTCCAAAGTCTCATTTGAGACAAGGCAAGTCCCTTCTGCCTATGATCCTTTAAAATAAAAAACAAGTTAGTTACTTCCAAGATACAAGGGGAGTGCAGACATTAGGTAAATGCTCCCATCAAAAGGGAGAAATTGGCCAAAACAAAGGGACTACAGGCCCCATGAAAGCCCAAAACCCAACAGGCAGTCATTAAATCTTAAAGCTCCAAAACAATCTCCTTCGACTCCATGTCTCACATCCAAGACACACTGATGCAAGGGGCAGGCTCTCATGGCCTTGGGCAGCTCCATCCCTGTGGCTGCTTTTGTGGGCTGGTATTGAGTACCTGTGGCTTTTCCAGATGGTGTGAGCTGTTGGTGGATCTATCATTCTGGGGTCTGGAGGATGGTGGCCTTCTTCTCACAGCTCCAGTAGTCAGTACCCCAGTGGGGACTCTGTGTGGGGGCTCCAACGCCATATTTCCCCTCTGTACCACCCTAGTAGAGGTTCTCCATGAGGGCCTAAACCCTGCAACAGACTTCTGCCTGGACATCCAGGTGTTTCCAGACATCCTCTGAAATCTAGGTGGAGGTTCCTAAGCCTCACAGGCTCAACACCACATGCAAGAAGCCAAGGCTTGGGGCTTGCACCCTCTGAAGCAACAGCCCAAGCCGTATCTTGGCCCCTTTTAGCCATGGCTGGAGCAGCTGGAATGCAGGGCGCCATGTCCTGAGGCTGCACAGAGCAGGGGGCCCTGGGCCTGGCCCAGGAAACCATTTTTCCCTCCTAGACCTCCAGGCCTGTGTTGGGAGGGGCTGCTGTGAAGGTCTCTGAAATGCCCTAGATACATTTTCCCTATTGTCTTGGCTATTAACATTCAGTTCCTCTTTACTTATGAAAATTTCTGCAGCTGACCTGAATTTCTCTCCAGAAAATGGGTTTTTCTTTTCCACCACATGGTCAGGCTGCAAATTTTCCAAACTTTATGCCCTGCTTCCCTTTTAAATATAAGTTCTCTTTGGTTATGCAAATGAGCATAGGCATTTAGAAGTACCCAGGCCACATCTTGAACACTATGCTGTTTAGAAATTTCTTCTGCCAGATACCCTAAATCATCTCTCTCAAGTTCAGAGTTCCACAGATCCCTAGGTTAGGGACACAATGCTGCCAGTCTCTTTGCTAAAGCACAGCAAGTGACCTTTGAGGTGACCTTTGCTCCAGTTCCCAATAAGTTCCTCATCTCCATCTGAGACCATCTCAGCCTGCATTTCATTGTCCATATCACTATCAGCATTTTGGTCAAAACCATTCAACAAGTCTCTAGAAGTTCCAAACTTTCCCTCATCTTCCTGCCTTCTTCTGAGCCCTCCAAACCGTTCCAACCTCTGTCTGTTATCTAATTCCAAAGTTCCTTCCACATTTTCAGGTATCTTTATAGCATGCCCCACTTCTCTGGTACCAATTTTCTGTATTAGTCTGTTCTCACACTGCTATAAAGAACTACCTGAGACTGGGTACTTTATGAAAAAAAGAAGTTTAACTGACTCACAGTTCTGCAGGCTTTACAGGAAGCATGGCTGGGAAGCCTCAGGAAACTTACGATCATGGCAGAAGGGCAAAGGGGAAGCAAGCAACTTCCTCACATGGCGGCAGGAGAGAGTGTGAAGAGGGAAGTGCTACACACTTTTAAACAACCAGGTCTTGTGAGAACTATCACAACAGCAAGGGGGGAATCCATGCCCATGATCCAGTCACCTCCCACCAGGCCCTTCTCCCAACACTGGGGATTACAATTCAATGAGATTTGGGTGGAGAAACAGAGCTAAACCATATCAGGTACATAGTAATGTTTCAATACATATAATGTGCAATGATCTGATCAGGGTAATTAGCATAACCATCATCTCAAACATTTATCATTTCTTTGTTTTGGGAATATCCAATTTCCTTCTTATAGCTATTTGAGACTACATTATTAACTATAGTCATCCTACAGTGGTGCTGAACACTAGAACTTTTTCCTCCTGCTATTTATTTTGTATCCTTTAAAAAATCTCTCCCTATTCCCCTCTTCTCCCTACCCTTCCCAGTCTCTGGTATCTTCTGTTCTACTTTTTACTTCTATGAGATCAACTTTTTTAGCTTCCACATATGAGTGAGAACATGTGGTGTTAAACATTCTGTTCCTGCCTTATTTCACTTAACATAATGTCTTCTAGCTCCATCCATCTGTGTTGCTGTAAATCACAGGATTTCATTCTTTTTCACGGCTAATATTCCATTGTGCATATATACCACATTTTCTTTAACCATTCATCTGTCATTGGACACCTAAGGTTGATTTCATATCTTGGCTATTGCTAATAATGCTGCAATAAACATCAGGGTGCAGATGTCTCTTCAATATACTGATTTCCTTTCCTTTGGATAAATGCCACGTTGTGGGATTGCAGGATCATATGATAGTTCTATTTGTAGTTTTTTTGAGGAACCTCTATACTGTTCTCCATAGTGGCTGTGCTAGTTTACATTCCCGACAGTGTATAAGAGTTCCCTTTTCTCCACATCTTTCCTTGCCAGCATTTGATATTTTTTGTCTTTTTGATCATAGTCATCCTGGAGTGAGATGATACCACACTGTGGTTTTGATTTGCATTTCCCTGATGATTAGTGATATTGAGCATTTCATCATCTATCTGTGGCTATATATGTCTTCTTTTGAGAAATCCCTGTTCATATTATTTGCTCATTACAAAATTTTTTTTCTGTTGACATGTTTCTTGTATATTCTTTTCATTTTTTCTTTCTTTTTTTTTTTTTTGGATGCAGGGCCTCACTGTGTCACCCAGGCTGGAGTGCAGTGGCATGATCACGGCCCACTGCAGCCTCAACCTCCTAGACTCAGGTGATCTGCCCACCTCAGCCTTCTGAATAGCTGGGATTGCAGGGACACACCACAATGCCTGGCAAACTTTTTGTATTTTTTTTGTAGAGACAGCATTTCACCATATTGGTCTCAAAATCCTGGACTCAAGTGATCCACCCACCTCAGCCTCCCAAAGTGCTGGGATTACAGGCGTGAGCCACCACGCCTTGCCTATATATTCTGGATATAGATATTCAACTCCTGTTGGATGAACAGTTGGCAAATATTTTCTTCCATTCTGTAGGCTGTCTTTTCACTCTGTTGATTATTTCCTTTGCTGTGCAGAAGCTTTTTAGTTTGAAATAATCCTATTTATTTTTGCTTTTATTGCCTGTGCTTTTGAGGACTTAGTCATAAAATCTGTTCTCAGATCAATGTCCTGAAGTGTTTCTCCTATGTTTTCTTCCAGTAGCTTTATAGTTTTGGATCTTACATTTAGGTCTTTGATCCATTTTGAGTTGATTTTTGTATAGAGTGAGAGGTGGGGTCTAGTTTCTTTCTTCTACCTATGACTATCCAGTTTTCTCAGCATCATTTACTGAAGAGGGTGTCCTTTTCCCAATAAGTGTATGTGGTGTCTTTGTCAAAAATCAGTTGGCTTTGTCAAAAATCACATACATGGATTGATTTCTAGGTTCTCTATTCTGTCTATGTATATTCTTATGCTGGTGCCATGCTGTTTGGTTACTATAACTTTGTAGTATATTCTGAAGTCTGGTAGTGTGAGCCTCCAACTTTGTTCTTTTTGCTTAGAATTGCTTTGGCTGTTCAGGGTCTTTTGTGTCCCATACACATATTAAGATTTTTTTTTCTATTTCAATGACGAATGACATTGGTATTTTGATAGGGCCTGCATTGAATCTGTACATTGCTTTGGGTAATATGGACATTTTAGAAATGTTAATTCTTCCAGTCTATGATCATGAGATGTCTGTTTGTGTCTTCTCCAACTTCTTTTCTCTTTCTTTCTTTTTCCCAATACAAGGTCTGGTTCTATTATGCAGGCTGGAGTGCAGTGGTGCCATCTCAGCTCACTGCAATCTCCACCTCCTGGGCTTAAGCCATCCTCCCACCTCTGCCTCCCTTTTAGCTGGGAAAACAGGGGTGTGCCACCATACCTGGCTAATTTTTGTATTTTTGGCAGAGATGAGGTTTCACCATTTGCCCAGGCTGGTCTGAAACTTGTGAGCTCAAGTGATCCTCCCACCTTGGCCTCCCAAAGTGCTGGGATTACAGACAAGAGCCACTGCACCTGACCTCCAATTTCTTTAATCAGTGTTTTCTAGTTTTCGTTGTACAGACCCGTCACCTCCTTGGTTAAATTTATTCCTAGATTGTTTTTATTTTTTGTAGCTGTTGTAAATGGGATTGTCTTGATTTATTTTTCAGCTAGTTTGTTATTGGTTATTCAGCTAGTGTTATTAGAGAAACACTACTGATTTTTGCATGTTGATTTTGTATCCTGCAACTTTACTGAATTCATTTATCAGTTCTATGAGTTTTTTGATAAGAGTCTTTAGGTTTTTCTAAGATCATGTTGTCTGCAAAGAGTGACAATTTGACTTCCTTTTTTCTCTTGCCTGACTGCTCTGGCTAGGACTTCCATACTATGTTGAATAAGAGTAGTAAGAGTAGGCATCCCTGTCTTGTTCCATTTCTTGGAGGAAAACCTTTCAGTCTTTCCTCGTTCAGTATGATGTTAGCTGTGAGTCTGCCATACACGTCCTTAATTGTGTTGAGGTACTTTCTTTCTATACCTAACTTATTGAGAGTTTTTTTTTTTTATCATGAAAGGATATTGAATTTTATCAAATGATTTTTCTGCAGGTATTGAGATGATCATATAGTTTTTGTCTTTCATGCTATTGATGTCATGTATCATGTATATTGATTGGCATATGTTGAGCCATCCTTGTATTCTTGTGATACATCCCACTTGATCATGGTGTATTATCTTTATAATCTTTTTGATGTATTGTTGGATTTAGTTAACTAGTTTTTTGTTTTGTTTTGTTTTGTTTTTTGAGACAGTCTTACTCTGTCACCCAGGCTGGAGTGCAGTGGCACAGTCTTGGCTCACTGTAACTTCCACTTCCCGGGTTCAAGCGATTCTCCTGCTTCAGCCTCCCAAGTAGCTGGGACTACAGGCATGCACCACCATGCCCAGCTAATTTTTGTACTTTTAGTAGAGACAGGGTTTCACCACATTGGCCAGGCTGGTCTTTATCTCCTGACCTCAGGCAATCCACCTGCATTGGCCTCCCAAAGTGCTGGGATTACAGGCATGAGCCACCATGCCCAGCTTACTTACCTAGTATTTTGTTGAGGATTTTTGCAGCTATGTTCATAAGGGATATTGGCCTATAATTTTCTTCTTTGTATAGTGTCCTTGCTGTTTTTGGTGTCAGGGTTAGGCTGGCTTTGTAAAATGAGTTAGGAAGAGTTCCCTCTACTTCAATTTTTTGGAATAGTTTGAGAAGAATTGGTACTAATTATTTTATAAATGGTACGTAGAACTCCGTGGAGAAGCCATTTGGTTCTGGACTTCCCTTTGTTGGGAGACTTTTAAATTACTGATACAATCTAATTATTTGTTATTGTTCTGTTTGGGTTTTCTATTTCTTCATGATTTAGTCTTGGTAGGTGGTATATGTGTCTTGGAATTTATCTATTTTACCTAGGCTATCCAATTTGTTCGTGTATGTGCTTGTCCACAGTCGTCTCTTATGATCCTTTTTACAGTTGTAATGTCTTATCTTTCATTTCTGATTTTGAGTCTTCTTCTTTTCTTAGTCTAGTTAGAGGTTTATTGATTTTGTTTATCCTTCCAAAAAACCAACTTTTGGCCAGGCACAGTGGTTCATACCTGTAATCTCAACACTTTGGGAGGCTGAGGTGGGAGGATTGCTTGAGCCAGGAGTTTTTTGAGACCAGCCTGGGCAACATAGTGAGACTCTGCCTCTACCAAACAAACAAACAAAAAACAGTAGCTGGGCATGGTGGCGTGCCCCTGTAGTTCTAGCTACTCGGGAGGCTGAGGGAGGATCACTTGAGCCCAGAAGGGTGAGGCTGCAGTGAGCAGTGATTGTGCCACTGCACTCCAGCCTGGGTGACAAAGCAAGAGCCTGTCTCAGACAAACAAAACCCTCTTAATTTCATTGATTTTTTAAAATTATTTTTCTAGTGCTAGTCTCTATTTCATTTATTTCTGCTTTGATCTTTATTATTTTCTTCCTCTTACTAACTCTAGGCTTAGTCTGTTCTTTTTATAGTTCTTTAGGTTGTTATGCCAATAGGTTATTTGGAGTTTTTCTTCTTTCTTGATGTAGGACTTCATTGCTATACACTTTCCTCTTAAAACTGCTTTTGCCACATACCATAAATGATATTTTTATGGGATATTTCCATCTTCATTTGTCTCCAGATATTTAAAAATTTTTGTATTTCTTCTTTGACCCATGTTCTTTAGGAACATGTTGTTTAATTTCCACAGATTTGTGAATTCCTTAAAATTCCTATTACTGATTTCTAGTTTCATACTATTGTGGTCAGAAAAGATACTGTTATGATTTTCAATCTTAAATTTGTTAAGACTTGTTTTGTGGCTTAAATATGGTCTATCCAGGAGAATGTTCAATGTGCACTTGAGAAAAACGTGTATTCTCATGCTGTTGAATGGAATGTTCTGTGTATGTTTGTTAGGTCCATTTGGTCTAATGTGTAATTCAAATCCAGTGTTTCTCTATTGATTCTCTGTCTGGAAAATCATTGTTGAAGTCCCCTATTATTGTATTTCAGTTTATTTCTCTCTTCAGCTCTATTAATATTTGCTTTATAGACTTGGGTGCTCTGATGTTGGGTGCATATATATTTACAACTGTTTTATGTTCTAGATGAATCCACCCCTTTATTATTATATAACTTTGTCTCACTTGACACTTTTTGACTTAAAGTCTATTTTATTGAAGTACAGGTACTCCTGCTCTCTTTTGGTTTCCTTTGCACAGAATATCTTTTTCCATCTTTCATTTTCAAGCTACGTGTGTCCTTAAAGGTGAAGTGAGTCTCTTTTAGGCAGCATATAGTTAGATCTTATTTTTAATCCAATCAGCCACTCTGTCTTTTGATTGGCAAATCTGATCTATTCACATTCAAGGTAATTATTGATAGGTAAGGACCTACCACTGCAATTTTGTTCATTGTTTTGTAGATCCTTTGTTCCTTTCCTCCTCTCTTGCTTTCTTTCTGATTAGATGATTTTCTCTAGTGGTATACTTTTTATTCCTTGCTTTTTATCTACCTACTATAATTTCTTGCTTTGTGGTTACCATCAGGCTTACATAAATCATCTTACTTATTTTTTTGAAATGGAGTCTCGCTCTGTACCCCAGGCTGGAGTGCAGTGGCACCATCTCGGCTCACTGCAGCCTCCACCTCCCAGGTCCCAGTTCAAGCGATGCTCCTGCCACAGTCTCCCAAGTAGCTGGGATTACAGGCACGCACCACCATTCCCAGCTAATTTTTGTATTTTTAGTAGAGACAGGGTTTCACCATGTTGGCCAGGCTGGTCTTGAACTCCTGACCTCATGATCTGCCTGCCTCGGCCTCCCAAAGTGCTGAGATTACAAGCGTGAGCCACTGTGCCCGGCCAACATCTTAGTTATAACAGGCTATTTTAAACTTATTACAACTTTATTTTGATTGCATAAAGTTCTGCTTTTACTTCACCCTTCCCACATACATTTCATGTTTTTGATGTCACAATTTGCTTTTTTATATTGAATACTCCTTTGCCTTAGTTCTTTACACTATAAAAGAAGAAAAGGAATAATTGAGTTTTGCTTTGAGAACATCAAGTTCCTTTGGCCTTATTTTAGGCTCAATGAGAAACCTTTTGATACATAACTTGGGGCAGGTAGCATCACTGGCTCTGGAATCACAACTCTGAATTCCACCTGCTCTGCTACCTCTTTGGTAGGTTACCTTGGTGAAATTACTTATCACCTCTGAGCCTCAGCTTTCTCATCTGTCAGCTGGGGTTGAGACTGTCATATAGCTGCGGCAGGCATCCAAGCAATGATGACTTAATGGTTCAACCACTTCCCTCAATTTTATCTCCTGACACCTTCATCAGGAAGCAGTACCCTTGTAGCCCAGGTCTTGGGAGAAGTTATATAATAAAAGCTAAGCTAGCATTTCTGGGGTATTTGCCATGTGCCTCAATGGCACATAGCAAATGTTTACATGTATTATTTCCTCTTCATAACAGTTCTGTTTATAAAGAAACAGAGGCTTAGAGAGGTTAACTGATTTGTTGATTATACGTAGTACATGGCAGAAACAAGATCTATTTTCTATTTAAGAGTTAAAAATTTCTATTGGCCAGGTGTGGTGGCTCATGCCTGTAATCCCAGCACTTTAGGAGGCCAAGGCAGGCGGATCACCTGAGATCAGGAATTCGAGACCAGCCTGGCCAACATGGTGAAACCCCATCTCTACCAAAAATTAAAAAATTAGCCGGGCGTGGTGGTGGGTGCCGGTAATCCCAGCTACTCGGGAAGCTGAGGCAAGAGAATCACTTGAACCTGGGAGACGGAGCTTGCAGTGAGCCAAGACAGCACCACTGCACTCCAGCCTGAGCAGCAAGAGTGAAACTCTGTCTCAAAAAAAAAAAAATTTCTACCTAGTTTATGTATCTATTTCCTGTGGGTTTGGTTAGTATCAGTCCATGAGAGCCTGACGATTCCATTGCACTGAGAAAAGGATCATCTGAGTATGTAAGGTGGAAACCTAGGTGTCTGGGTGTGGCGACCTCCTGTGGCAGTTGGTTCAATGATATACGAAGTCCCATGGCCAAAAACTGAGTACTATTCTCTTTGGCAGCCCAGCGCCTGTCACGGGAGCATATGGGTGGCTGGGCTGCTCTGAATACAGCTGACAATGGAGCTGCTTATCTGAATTAAGGAGGGTTGTCACAGGCAGGATTCCTGACTTTGAGCTAATAAAATTGTGACAACAGGGCTCGAAATGTCCTCCATGACTTGACAGACTGAGAGCCAGCCAGCCAGGAGACCTGCAGAACTTAAACACGGAGCATTTATTGTTAGAAAGGGCAAGTCTTACACTCAAATAGGTTTTAACATGAACACATTAAAGGGAGATGGCCCTGGCCCCCACAGTGTCTGCTCTCTCCAAGGCATGCTTCAGTTATACTGCAGCCTGGCCAACCACTGTTCCCTGTAGAAGTTGAAGTTCCTCTGTATTATCCAGCAGCTGGAGGAGACGGAGTATGGCAGACTCTGGAATGCCATTTGTGTGAGTTCCACCTACTTTCTAGGCTTCAGGGTAAATGGAAAAAGTCGCAATAGGCGAAATGTATTTCCTAAAAAGCTGGACAGAGGTATGTGACATTCCTTTGCTTAACAAGCAAAACAAAATCAATGAGTCTGGTGAACTGACGCCATGACAGCAATGTGGAGAAGACTGGGAGTCTACACTGGGAATGGTGCTGTGGACGCTCTGGGCACAGAAGCCCAATTTGGAACCTCTTCTCAGAAGCGTGGGAGGTGGTGGAGGCCAAGCCCACCAGAGGCGGGGCCTCTCCCCAGCTGCCTCGGGATCATCTCTGGTTCTCCTGGGCCAGGCTCCATGGAGTCATCAATCCTCAGTCACAGGTGGAGGAATGAGCTGCAGCTGGAAGTTCTCATTCTGGAAGATGCTGTTGAAAGCAGGAGCACTCTGCGAGCCACTGAATGGCCTATAGCTCTCGCTGCTGCGATTCTGGGAGAGTTCCGTGAGGAGAGCCAGCTGCAAAGGAAGGACACACATCAGCTAAGGTTTGTGGGGAGCAGAGGGAAGAGAGGCTCCTGAATCCACTGCTTCAGATACATGAGAGACAGTGCTGTGTTGCAGGAGTAGTAACATGCAGGGTTTGAATCTTAGGTCCATATATCACAAACGAGCAGTGTGACTTTGGGCAAGTTCACTTCATTTTTTAGGGTCTAAATTTCCTCATTCAATAATGAGACTGGACTGGTTTGCTCCCAAGGGCACTCAAACTGTGCTCTCTCTGGCACTGGAGAGCTCTCCCACCCTGGGCTGGCCCTGTGCTGAGGGCTCCTCCAGCTGCTGTGGATGGCCCTGCTGCCACCCTTCTCTCCCTGTGGACGCGCCCTGGGCTGAGGAGCTCTGTTCTCAGCTCTGCTTGTTCCAACCTCTCCATCTTGGTGCACTCTCCTCGGGGTGAATGACTAATTATGACCACTGGCTCTGACCTCTCTTCTGTAACCTGGAAGGCCTCAAACAGACACCCAGCTGCCAACTCAAACTCAGGGGTTCCAGAGTGGAACCCCTGGATTCTACCTTCTCCTTCAAGTGAGTCCTCTTTGCTCCCAGCTTCCTTATTCCCACCAATGACACTAGCAGTACCCTCGTTCTGTCAGTGGCTCAATTCTGGAAGACCTGCCAAGGAGGACAGAAGGGTAGGAGGAGATGCTAATGTCGGCCTGTTGGGAAGCCAGTGCTCTGCCACTCAGGGGGACCATCCCTTTCACCTAAAGAGGCTTTCTGCGAAAGTAGGGAGCTGGCAGCCTGGCTCTTGAGGTGCCCTTGATGGTCAGAGGAGAGACGAATTCTACACCCAAGGTCCTTAGACTTCCTGCCTGATTAGGGTCTTTGCCTGTTGCTTCCCAGAACATTGTGAGTTAACTTCCACCCCACAGAGCTAATGTGAAGGAGAACTCAGAGCCCAGGTCAAAATGGTCCCTAATAACAGTAGTTGGGACCTGTGGGATGGGCCACTGTGTCCACTACCAACACTCTAAGGGACCCTGTGTAGGCTCACATGGAGGCCAGTGAAAGCCTGGTCCATGGGGAGTGTACAGCTGAGACGAGGGGGCCATCAGACTCCTCAGGGCAGCCCTGTCTGTGTCTACCAAACACTCCAGGAGTCCGAGGGGATGTCTAACAACCTCTGGTGACTGTATCAAGTGTCTTTCCATGACAGGCACTTTGCTAGATCCTTGACATGTGTGTTATTTCTCATCCTTCACAACACAGTGACTTGCCCTCGGTCACCAGCAGTGAGTGGCGGTGTGGGATTCACCCGCCAGGCACCATGTCTTCGAGGTGCCCTCCGACCTCTGGCAAAGGGTTTTTCCCTCACACAGGCAATGGTGGCACAAGCTCACGTGTCCATGTGTCACTTCTGTGGAAAACTCAGTACCAGTGGCTGTGGTAACTGGGAAGACATCTGAAGGCCCCTAAGTTCTAAGTGTCAATTTATCAAAAGTGGTCCAGGTCCTGGCCCAGAGACACATGTATGGTCTCATTCACAACTCAGTAACTCTGACTCAAGCACTACTCCAGGGGCCAAGAGTCCACTTCGTGCCACTTCCTTCTTCCGTAACCCTCTCAGTTGCCCATCAGCCTGCGACGTTCTCTGCAATGACTGTTATGTACGATGCCTTGAACAGAATGAGCCACAGACGCTCAACTCAATGCTTTCACATCCTGACACTGTGAGGTGGGAAGATCAATTGCAAAAAAAAAAAAAAAAAATTATTTCCCAGGAAAACAGATATTTTTGTGTTCCACTTTGGTAACTTTGTGATCCGGAAATCAATGAGCCTTAAATAAGGGCTCAACAGTTTGAAGCAGAAGAACCTCCTTGGAAGGCCCAGAAACCCAACTCCTGGGGCAGAGCTTAGCTGAGGCTGGAAAGGGATGGGGGTGAGGCCAGTTCAATAAAGCTGCTGGACTGCATCCAGGAGACCCCTAGAGAAACTTCCTGGAATAACAACCTCTGCCCACACCAACTCTCAAAGAAGGAGCACCACTCTTTCCTCCGGCTGCCAAGTAACCTAGTAGGTTCTGCCTAAGAAAGGGGAGTGCGTGAAGGGGGCCCAGGTAGAGAAGCAGAGGACACAGCAGTTTGCACAAGCTCGAGACAAGCTCAGGAACAAATGGGACCACCTAGAATTGAGGTGTGATTTGGGGAGTGAAGAAGATGGTAGGGTTTGGACTCATTCTTTAGGTGGTGGAGATCCAGAATGTGTTATAAGCAAGGGAGTAACATGACATACTTGGTTTTAGAAAGGGTAGCCAGGCAGCAGCATGGAGAGGGGACAGAAGGGTTTCTAGCCAATCAGAAGACCTGCAGTGGCCTCCGTGAGTGATAAGGAGGCCCCACCCGGGGTAGTGGTAAAAGAGGGATTAGTAGACAAGATCCCACAGGATGTCCCCAGTCAGGTGGCAGGAAGGTGAGGAGTGAGCCTAGTGCTGCCAGGTCTCTGCTCTAGGTGGTTGGATGACAGAGGTATCATTCCTGAGGCAGGCACCAGGCATGAAGAACAGGTCGAGAAAGCGATGAGTACATGTCCAAAGTGCCTGGGGGACACCCGGTCTGATGTGGTGGCAGTGACTGATAGAAGCCCTCCAGTCTGTACTCTTCTTCCACAGTTAGATTAGACCAAGAATTGTAGCCCAAGGTCTTTTGGAATAAAAATCAATTTTCCCAGTCTCCATTGCAGTGAGGTATGGTCATGGGTCTAAATTCTAGACAGTGGAGGTAAGTGGAAGCAACCATGTTGAACCATACGAGTTTAAGTCATGTGCTAAGGAAGGCAGAGCAACAGGACAGAAGAAAGCTGAAGGGAGGTACGTGGATGTGCCCTGGCTGGCTGCATTTACACTTCTCTCTTGCTTAAACCACTACTACTTTGCATTTGTCTTTCATGGCCAAAACTAATTCAACCAGTGCAGATGCCCAGGAGGGTCTAGGGCTTCGGACAGATTGGGCACCTATCCATATCCTAAGCAAAGCCCTCCTGGGATCAACCTTCTGGCCTGCTCTCTCTGGAGGGAGGTCAAACACAGAGGCCCTTCTGTGTCCTCACAGCTCATGGTACGTAGGGGACAGACAGCTTTCTACTTCCTTTGCTCTCTTTGCCAAGCTCTGAGTGCTCCTTGGGGCCAGGGTCTGTTGTCCATGTAGCCATAACAGGGATGCCAGGGCACCTTCCAGGCTAGAAGGAGGCTAGAGGGAGGTTCCAAGACACTGCCTGTCTAAAGCAGTAAACTATAAATAGGGAAATAAAAATATAAACAACCACGCAAACATTACCCTGGAGCTTCCTCGGTAGAGACGGCAAAGCTGATCAAATGCTTGGATTTGCTGTGGATCCAGAACAGGTTCTGAGGTTCCCTGAAAAATAAAAACCGATACGATTAACAACATCACGTGGCTAGGCAGCCTCTCAACTTGCTCTACACGATGCTGAAGCATAACATGGTGCTTCCTTCATTCTCCTGAAAACAATCCATGCTACCAGCTATTAGTGAGATATATACTGAACATGAGTTAGAAATCGGCACGTCCCCTAAGATCCCTCCTTGGTGTGGCTGCAGGTTGACCTGTCTGTGGACCCTTTTCCCAATGGAGTCTCCAAATGTCCCGTATGTATAGGTTCCTTTCAGGTTTCTTGATCCCTCTTTGGCACCATTATGCAGAGCTAGTTAGTTCCTTCCAGCCTTGCATTCCCATGTCCATCACTTCATACGGCCAGCAAAGATACCGCTTTTCTCTGTCATGGTAACAGGAGACGCACTGTCATTTAAAAATCTCATCCCTGTCTCATTATAAAGCTGGTCGCCACCTATGGGGTTGCAAGATTCGTCTGCTGCTTTTGGGAAAAGGGCCGGTCTAGCCTGCTCTTACAGCAGCCATGTTTTGTTCCACCTGTTATTGTGGTGGGACCTGCCAAACTGCGGTTCTTCTCTCAGTGGACCTGATCCAGCTCATATGCAGAGAGAAGAAATGGGATCCTGGGGGAGGCGGCCATAAGCTTTGGAGTCAGAGGAGAATCTGGATACTAGTTCTGACAGTAACCTGCTATGTAACTTTAGGCAAGTCACCTCACTTCTCTAAGCCTCAATTGCCTCACCTGTGGGAAGGAAGGGGTAATGCTTACCTTTTGAGATTACCAAAAATTAAATGAGATATATATTTAAAGTGTCGCCTGCCTAGTACCAGGCGAGGGCTCAGTATACGCTAGCTTTTCTTACAATTCAGAGATACCCATAGTTAAAAGTTGATTTCAGAAGTGTTTTTGTTTATGTATAAGATTGGTAAAAGGACGTTTTTCTTTGCCCTATATCATGAACCTGTCCCAAGCGTCTGCACTGCACAGGTTGGTGGGTAAGAGCCTGCACTGCAGAGTTCATCAGCCTAAGCCCAAACCCTGGCTTTAGCAATTACTAGCAGCATAATCTTAGGCAAGTTCTCCGAGTTGGGTACTTTTTGCTTGTTTGTTTGTTTTTGCTCACATGGGGATAATGACTATAGCTACATCACATAAAGTGGCTATGAAGATTCAAGAAGGTAATGCACACAGAACACGTAGCAGATGCACGGGACTCTGCAAGTTCTCACTGAGCGCTACTAACTAGAGAGCACAGGAAGGCCCGCAGGTACTGCGCACAGAGCCAGTCTCCAAGAAGCAACATCATGTGGCCCTCGTCCTGATGTGGCTACAGAAACAGAAAGGAAGGGGACATCAGAGCAACGTGCACAGGCAAAACTGGGTAATGAAGGAGGTTGGGGGATGTGCAGGAGAGGGTATGCCGAGTGTGAGAGGGAAAACTTTATGGAAATGAGAGCTGCTAAGGTCAGCTCCCTCTGTCTTGCTCACCAGTGCCCAGTACTGTGCTTGCACAGAGCAGCCACAGAGTCATCATCTGCTGATCAAATGAAGGGATGGGAGGGCCGGCATGCAGATTTCTGATTTCTTACTATTTATCACTGGCGTTGTGACCAACCCTCGCCATGCAGTAAGAACACAGGGCAGGGCTCTGACACACTTGGGCTCAATCTGGACTCTGCCCAAGACTAGGTGAGTGGCTCTGGGCAAGGAATTTAGCTTCTCTCAGTCTCAGTTTCTTTATCTGTAAAACTCTACTTTGCAGAATTGTTATGAAAATTAGACATAATGTATGGGCTTGGCATCTATTTGATGTTCAATCAATGGCAGTAATTACTGCGATTGTGTTGTTTATACTCCCAGAGAGAAGTGTCCCCCTAGAAAGAACAATGGGATGAAATCAGGAAACATGGGCTCCAATCCTGTTACCAGCTCCCTGTATAACCTGAGGAGGTCACATCTCTCCTCTGAGTCTTTGTTCCAATTGATCAAAGGGCAATGCCACCTCAGGCCACACTCCACCATCCAGGGAAGAGGTGGGCACCATGAGATTAACAGGCATTTAGGGCATGAAAGTTTCAAGAAAAACAGTAATGTTTACTGAGCCTAATCATGGCTTTTATCTTTTACTGCATATTCAGAAGCAAATTAGGGGCAATGTCACAAAGATACATGGCAGCCCTGAAGATAAGTAACAGTTTCCGTCTACAGATGCCAAATTAAGGTCAGACAAAAAATAAAGGGGAAGCAACCAAATATGAACATAATCTCTGTTCACTCCAAAAACATAAAAGTATTCTCAGACCACTAAACCTCCCCAAGGATAAAACTGGTTAGGAGTGATTTTCCAACTGGAAGAGAAGGAAAAATGCATTTGCTGCTGTCTGTTAGAGCAAATTTCTTTCTTCCCATGTAACAAAGTCCAGTGTTAAGAGCTAAAAATTAAACTGTAGTGAATACGAGAGGAAGAAACAGTGGCAACCCTGGAAATGACCTTGTAGTACTCAGCATTAAAGGAAATCCTGTGGAAAACGAGGTCCTGATGATCTCTGAGAGCCCCAGGGAGAGGGGTGTTGGGCTAACATGGGGTGCCAGCACATTGCAAAGCTCAGTGACTCACAGATGTGGAAGTGGGAGCAGTAACTACATCCGCTGGAAGGAAGAAAACAAATCAGGGCTTTCAGGATCCACAGACCTCTTTTTTTTTTTTTTTTTTTTAGACGGAGTCTTGCTCTGTCACCCAGGCTGGAGTGCAGTGGCGTGATCTCAGCTCACTGAAACCTCAGCGTCCCAGGTTCAAGCAATTCTACTACCTCAGCTGAGTAGGAGAGATTATAGGCATGTACCACCATGCTCGGCTAGTTTTTGTGTTTTTAGTAGAGATGGGGTTTCACCATGTTGGTCAGGCTGGTCTTGAATTCCTGACCTCAGGTGGTCCACCTGCCTCGGCCTCCCAAAGTGCTGGGATTACAGGCATGAGTCACCGTGCCCGGTCACAGACCTCTTAACAAACATATCAAGCTCTGATATAGGAAAACAACCATGATCCACTGCCACCCTACAGGGCAAGTTCTCAAGAACAGGGATGGTACTACTCCTAGGGATACTGGACACGAAGCCTTCCAAATCATACTTGAAGACACGGACAGTCACAGAAGCCTGAGCTCGGCTTGTTCGTTTCTTACTCTCTACAATTACTAAGATCCTGAAATCAAAACCCTAACACTTCCTTTCCTAATTATCTTTCTACACTAACACATGAGAAGATCAAACCTAGTTTGCGAGAGACACGGGCCACTTTGTATTGACACTGGTGGCAATGAAGGTGGAGATGGAGTAGGACGAGTGGACTGAGAAGCATATTTCCACCTTTTCTCCCTGCCTGCCCTCCACCTCACTTTCAAATCTTTCCTTGTATCTCTTATAGCCTCAGCCAGTCTTTTGCCACCACCTAAGCTGTTTCACACTGGAGGTCCTTAATAGTTAAAAGTTTTGCCTAAATCAAAGTTTGGCTTCAGAGATAAAGGAAAAGCCACACACCTCCTTCCCCTCTGCAACCAGGAAATACCTTTTCTAAATTCCCATCCACAACACAGTTTGCTCTCAGATTGAACCTGACTCTTCATAGACCCTCATTCTCCAATGCCTCAAAACTCTCAGTAGGTCCCAGCTAATAATGAATTAGGTAATGAAATACTACAACAGGCAGACAAGTTGCTAAGCTGCCTAGAGAGAGGAGGGGAAAATGTGGCAGAAAGTCTCTGCAGGAGATTCATTTAGAGTAGTAGTCATGACCCTAGAATGAGCAGTTCTAAGGGAGGCGAGTGCTTGAGGCCACAGAGACAGACTGAAAGGCTCAGTGAAAAATAACCTTAAAAACCCAAGCCCTTCGATACCACAATTAAAAAGAAACAACATGGTGACCGTTCACAGCACAGGGGAAAAACACTGGTTTACGTTTTCTCAGATGCGACAACCCTCCCTCCCCTGCTGCAGCGGCTCACTTTATCGATCGTGTAATAACCATGTGCCAGTCACTGTTACAGGTACTTAGCATGGATCATCTCATTTAATGATCTCAAAAACCCTACGAGGTAGGTACTTTTCTTATTGTTATTTTACAGGTGAAGAAACTCAGGTCCTGGGATTCAGTGATATGCCAAGGTCACTCTGGTTGGTGGTGGAGCCCAGATCTGAATTGGGACAGTCCAGTTCCAGAGATGCCTTTCGTCTGCCATTCTCTCGGCAGCAGTCTGGAAGAAGCCTGACGAAAGTCACTTTCTTTCTTTTTTTGAGACGGAGTTTCACTCTTGTTGCCCAGGCTGGAGTGCAGTGGCACGATATCAGCTCACTGCAACCTCTGCCTCCTGGGTTCAAGTGATTCTCCTGTCTCAGCCTCCCAAGTAGCTGGGATTACAGATGCATGCCACCATGCCCAGCTAATTTTTGTATTTTTAGTAGAGACGGGGTTTCATCATATTAGTCAGGCTGGTCTTGAACTCCTGACCTCTGGTGATCCGCCTGCCTCGGCCTTCCAAAGTGCTGGGATTATAGGTGTGAGCCACTGTGCCCAGCCGAAAGTCACTTTCAAGGGACCCAAAAGGTTGTGTGAGGAGCAGTGTAGGACTTGCCTGGGTCAATTTGCCTAATCAAGCTCCTGTGAAACTGACGGACACCTGCCCTCCTTCTGGGGATCCTTCATGATTCTGCTTTAATTTCAAAACTCATCCCATCATTCTATAAAGTATAAACAAAAGACCCATGAGAGAGAACGAGAGAGCAGCTAATGGAAATAAATATAGCTACTAGTGTTCTGCTTAAAAATGACTTTGGAAGCCTAGACCAAAGCCCAGTGTTAAGAACTAAGCTTCATTCTGCAGTGAGACATTTCACATACAATGTCATGACAGTTTTGGGTACACACTAGGCGTTCACGAATGCCTTCTGCCATCACAGAAAAAAGTCTGAACTTGGCTCTGACACTAATTAGTTGTGTTGATATCCCTCATATCAGTTGTCTCAACTACAAACAGGGAAATCTCTGCACAGCCTACCTTACAAGGCTCTTTCTTGTGAGGGAAGGGCTGGGAAGGGAAATGGAGAAAGCTCATTTCCTGTTGTCCATTAGTCTCTGGCCTTCTGCTAGCTGCGTTTGTGTTTAATGTATACATTAGCCCAATGAAGGAGAAATTATTTTCTCTAATTTACCTGTGAGGAAACTGAAGTTTAGACATATTAAAATACAGCTTGTAAGAGACAGGGTAACTCTTGATAACAGGTCTAACCCTAAAGCCCACTATGACATGTTAGTGACAAACATAAGGTGCTCTGAATGTATACGGTTTCATGGGCTGCTCGCGGACACCCTGGGTTGCCTGGTCTGTGTCTGTAGGGGCTGATGCTACATCTGCCCGAGTGCCTACCGGGATCCTGTGTGGTGCCATCATAAGGTTAGCACTAGGTGAAGGCTGTGTCATTAGATGAGGGAACCTAAGTATCTTCTGTTTGGTGTTGGTCACCTGTTTTTGCTCCCTCACAAAAGAAAATGTCCCCCAATTGGTTTAAAGTCTTTGAAACCCACATACTGTTCCCACACAGGATTGGTATTCCTTGCCCAACCTGCTTTGAAAGGCAACAGCTTGGGGGAAAATCTGTGGTGACAAAAGCTGATCATCTCATTATATATTTTTTTAAAAATGGATTAAAAAATGTAGAATACAGTTTGAATTTTTAGAGAACGAATGTAGCTCCTTGGTCAAATTCATGAGAGGCTTCCTGTTTTCTTGACAGGGTTGGAAAGGGGTGGCCATCTCAGTGTATCTACTTCACAGGCAGGGGAAGCTCAAATTCCCAAACATTAAAAAATCACTGCCGGATGCTGCCACCCACAATGTAACGGAGGTATTTTCCTGAGTCATCATTATCCTGAGATGCCAGGACAGAGAGCAGGACCATTACAAACGGGGACACTGATGGATGACAGTGAGACTGACCCCCTTCCAGGGGCCACTCTCCTGTGCAAACCTGGAGTCTTGCCACGTGGCATACTGTGGCCATTCCATAATTACGTTTTCCTTTTGTCAGTACAGGAAGATCTTAAAAAAATCCAGAAAGATTTATTGTTACAGGGCATGTACTAGGGAAAGGGATACTCCGGGGATCTGCCCTAGCAGAACTTCAAAATAAGCCTCAAAAATACGTGGCTGATTTAATAGTAATAGCTTGCCAGAAAAAAACCTCAAAAGTCTCTAAAGGAAGACAACACAATCCAGATGCTCAACAACACAGAGTAGGGGCTCTCTTTTAAGGAGGTGTTATGATGTCTGGAATAATACCCACCATCAGTTGATATTTCATGGAAAACCGGGGAGCAAAATTTCAATATTAGGATGGAAGAAATGTAAATTCTAACTAGAACACACCTAGGATATTTGTAGAAAACAACAAAACATAAAAGTCCCAAGGCTGTGACTTGTCAGCCCCAGCAGACTGCACCAAGCACCTGCCCATATTTCACATTCATCTCCTCCTCCTTCCCTTCTGCTTTAGCCAATGGAGAGTCCCACTGTTTCCCAAACATGCCCAATCCAATGTTTGATACTGTATGAAGAAGTGGGAGCTTTCAGGGCTGGCACAATTGATTTGAGACAGAGGTCCAGGCAGAAGGCTACGCTCTGCAGTGACAGAATGTCAGCCATCAGAAAACACCACACACATTAGAGCAGCACAATCTGCGAAGCTCTGTTCAAATTCCATGACCTTTACAAACGGGTGATAATTCAGCACAGCACAATTAAGAACGGCCTACTGAGTTCTTTTAATGCACAGTAACAGGCTGCTAGTGGCTCTGTCACACATACTGAAGAGAAAGAAGATAACTGCCATGTATTTTGGGAAGTGCCTAAAAGCTTCATCAGGAAACATGTTGGAGGGGAAAGGCCTATTTGTAACTCGATCAATAATCTCAACATCCAAGAAGACGGTAGCCGTGAGGCAACTCCTGTTTTGCTGAGGGAGTTCCCTTCCATAGAGGGCATAGGATAGTATAGAGAACTACTGGCACCGAGATGGTCTCACACACAGCCCCATAATAAGACACACATATGACAATCTGAGTGGGAACAGACAACTACTCAAGCTGAAGTGTCATATTAACAAGCGCAAAACCCACAGCCATTAGCTCTCAGTTGCATTAGCATGGGAGCTAATAAATGATGTTAGCTAAGTCTCTGATGATGAGCTGTAAGGCTCTATCCTTGGCTTTTTTTTTTTTCCTTTGAGATGGAGTTTCGCTCTTGTTGCCCAGGCTGGAGTGCAATGGCATGACCTCAGCTCACTGCAACCTCCGCCTCCCAGGTTCAAACAATTCTCCTGCCTCAGCCTCCCGAATAGCTGGGATTACAGATGCGTACCACCATGCCCAGCTAATTTTTTGTGTTTTTCAGTAGAGACAGGGATTCACCATGTTGGCCAGGCTAGTCTCGAACTCCTGACCTCAGGTATTCTGCCCGCCTTGGCCTCCCAAAGTGCTGGGATTACAGGCATGAGCCACCGCGCCTGGCCAACCTTGGCTTTTTTATATACAAATATTTTATCAATGGCTTAAAGGGAAAAGAGGCCTATCCTTGGGAGGAAAAAAATGATTCCCAAGGGTCAGAAACTGAAACAATATAAGCAATGCCTTGCACTTGGCTCCAGAAACCAAGGGTATGTGCATGAATAGCACATGTGAACAGAATCGGGAGTTTGATATCAGTATGTTAGCTGTGAATCAACCATGCAAAATGGCTGCTAAAAAAGTTTATGTGCTTTGGTTCCATTTACAGAAACAGAATGTAGAGTAAGGAAGATGATGATGTCATTTTGTTCTAAAATGACCTCACCTGAAGTACAATGGTAATACTCAAGGAGATGTGGTATGATAGGGTGGAGTAGATAGAGGAAATGGATTGTGGATGTTCTGCCTGGACAAGAGACCACCAAGGGCTGGAGATTCAGGACCTCAGCTACATGAAGGACTGGAAAGTCTGTTCTCTAACAGAAGGATTAAGCTATTTTTGGTAGGTCTTAGGGGAAGGACCAGGATCAATTGGCATCACCTACTACAAGGAAGAATTATCTTAGTTAGAGCTTCCAAAGATGGAATATCCTGCCTTAAGAAGGTGGTTTTCAAGCAGAGGCAGAACACTGCTTGTTAAAATGGATGAGGAGAGAGGCTTCTTCTAGCACAACAGCCTGAGGAGCTCTGCTATAGTGTGGATGTTGTTCCCTCCAACACTCGTGTTGAGATTGGAGCTCCAATGTTGGAGGGGCCTAATGGAGGTGTTTGTGCTATGGAGGTGGATCCCTCATGAATAGATTAGTGCCTTCCCTGAGGGTGGGAGGTGAGTGATTTGTCACTCTATTAGTTCCCATGAGAGGTGGTTGTTTAAAAGAGCCTGGTACTTCCCTCCCCTCCCTCTCCTGGTGCTCCTCTTGCCATGTTGAAACAATGCCCAAAGAGTTAAAAACAATCTACGACTAACAGAAATTCTTGAGTTTGCAAGATAGCAGATAAGGAACAATTTGCTAAAATGCTGAAACTTCCTCTGCTTGTGAGATTAAAAAACAGGTTGAAATTGGCTAGAAGCAACATGGCTGACTGGAGTTTGTGCAGAATGAGCTCGCTGATGTCACAGCCAGCCCAATTTCTACTGCATGTTTCATACTAATTCTTCCCAAATTTGCACATGAGACCCATGAGGTAGCATGCAGAGATAAACATGCATCCCTGAGGACTTTCCAGACCTTCTCTTTTCTTCTACTAATCACCTGCTAATCCCAGAATCTACCCCCTGAACCTTTTCTAATAAAATTACTGCCTTAAAGCCAGCATAGGGAGACAGATTTGAGCTGGACTCCTGTCTCCCTGTTAGTCAATTTATAATAAAAAGCATTTCTTTTCCAAAAAAAAAACCCCACAGTGTCATAGCGTTGGCTTCTAACGTATCAGGCTAGCAATGCCCCTTTTTCTTGGTAACAACGTGATCTCTGGACATGTTGGCTCCCCTTTGCCTTCTGCCTTGAGTGGAGGCAGCCTGAGGCTCCCACCGAAAGCAGATGCTGGTACGTGCTGCTTGTACAGACTGCAGAACCATGAGCAAAATAAACCTCTTTTCTTTATAAATTACCCAGCCGTGGGTATTCCTTTATAGCAATACAAGTGGATTAAGATAAACTCCAAATAAAAACTGGTGAAAACTATAAAACGAAAACTCCAAGTATTTAAAGACCAAATGAAGAAACTATCCTCCCTACACTATGAAATTTTGATGACTATGGTTTGTGAACTGACTGCTCCCTTCCCCACCTTCAGAACTCAGTAAGGTAGAACTCCACACTACTGCAACCAAGAACAGCAGGCTCTCTTTATCCCAAGATCACAGTTGGAAGGCTTTCTTCCCAGTAGGAGCAGGACATTGGTATTTTTCATCCTGCCATCCATGTTGCTGGGGCTAAGTCCTAGCTGAGCGCAGTCAAGAGGTAATGGGGGTTCCCTTCTTCTGGAAGCCTCTACTCATGGAATGGAAGCTCTACCCTGGAGGCTGTGCACTGAAAATCTTCGGTCTCTGATCACCCTTGCCCTGGATTATGAGTCCAGGAGAGGCAGTCCAGGGGGCTGCTTAGGCTCTCACCTGAGGCTGCTGCCCCTCCGTGCTTCCAACAGCATTCAACAACTAGACTGGGGGATGACATTCAGAGAAAAGCCTGCCATTGTCCCTATCCTCAGCTCCAGAGCCCCAGCTCAGAGATTTTTCCTTGGGAAAGAAGTAGGTTCTAAAATAAATAACTCCTAATCTTTTCCCAGAGGAACTGACTTCACTTGCAACTGAATATAGAGAATTTCAATCCTAAGTGTGTTCTTAAGAACAGTGGAGTTAGTGGTGAAATGCAACTGGGAAGAGACTTGTGGATTTAATGAAAATACAACCTAGACTACAGGCTGGCTACTTTGCAGAAGATAACTGAGGAAAAAGACAACTGCAGGAGACCTTGTGAGGTCAGAAGAAATATCAAAACTAGCTCCCAGAAACTATTACTTAAAAGAAACTGCAATTTGACTGGATTAGTTTATAAACAATTTATGTCCTAAGGCGTTAGTGGAAACAATAGAGCAATCATCAGGCAATTTGTAGAGCTTAACAGTGTGGTATGGTCAGAGAAAAACAAACAAACAACAACAAAACCAGAGCCCAGCCAATACCACTGTCATTCCAGGGTGACTGCAGACATACCCAAGGCTACGCCTACTTGAGAAACAATATCAGAAGCTTAATATTGTGGAGAAAAATAGACTTTACTAAATTCATCTAGCCAGTCACCAATAACAAGCCCTGGGGGTAGGGGGACCAGTACATAGGGTATACAATATATTTTTCTAAAATGTCCAGTTTCCATTAAAAAGTTATGAGGCATGCAAAGAAATAGGAAAGTATGATCAAACCCCAGGGAAAAAAGCAGGAAACAAACTTCCTGGAAGAGTAAACAGATGTCAGATTTAACAGAAAAAGATTTCAAAATAGTCACTGTAAATATCCTCACAGAACTAAAGGAAAGCATGGTTTACAAAGTAAAGGAAGGTATGATGACAATATAACATCAAATAGAGACAGTATCAATAAAGAGATACAAATTATAAAAAAGAATGATTGAAAATTCTGGAGTTGAAAACTACAACTGAAACAAATTCACAAGACAGGCTTAACAGGAGATTTGAGCCAGCAGAAGAATTGGTGACTTAAAGACAGTTCAATAGAGATCATGCAAGCTGAACAACAGAGAGAAAAAAGAATGAAGAAAAGTGAACACAGTCTCAGAGAAATGTGGAGTTATCATCAGCCCAATATATGCACAAAGAGAAGACCAGAAGAGGAGAGAAAGGAGAGTGAAAATATTTTAATACATTATGGCTAAAAATGTCCTACGTTCATTGAAAAACAATAACCTACACATTCAGGAAGCTTAACAAATTCTAAGTAGGATGAAAACAAAGAGATCCACAAACAGATACATCATAATAATATATCTGAAAGTACATAACAATGTAATGCCAAAAGTCAGTAACAATGTGAAAAACTTGAAAACAGCAAGAGAAAAATGACTAGTAATTTACAAAGAACCCCAATAAAACTAACAGCAGAAACAATGGAGGCCACATATTCAAAATGTTTGAAGAAAAAACTGCCCACTAAGATTTCTATATCCAGCAAAGCTAGCTTTCAAAAATGAAGGTGACATAAAAACTTTCCCAGATAAACAAAAACTGAGAGAATTTGTTGATAGGCAGACCTGACTTATAAGAACTACTAATGCAATTTCTTTGGCATGAAAGCAACTGACTATGGAGGGTAATTTAAATCCATGTTAAAAAAAAAAAAAGGAACTGCAAAAGATAAGTAAGAAATTATAAAATACAGTATAAATGCATATTTGCTTTTTTCTTTTAATAACTTATTTTAAAAAGCAGTCATATAAAATGTGTATAATAAAATGTTGGGCTTATAATATGTAGAAATGTAATATATGTGTAACATATTTGCACAAAGGAGGTGGGTGAAAACAAAGCTTTTACTAAGCTAAGGAAATGACTACAGATGGTAAAGTAAAAATTACAACAACCTATTGTTGCATCTGTAACATTACTAGATGCACTATATATAACAATATAACTATATATGCACTATATATTACTAGAGGTACTAAATATATTTTGTGGTATGTGCAATACCACAAAAGTGGGGGAAGGGAATAAAACTATATAGGAGTATATATATAAATGGTATTAAGCTACTTTAAATCAAAAGCTGAATATGAAAATCTAGGATGCATATGGTAAATCCTAGGCCACCACTAAAAAAAAAAACTGAAAAACTGTTAATCATTAAAGACTTCATCAAAAAGATATACAGCACCATTTATTAAATAGGGAGTCCTTTCCCCATTGCTTGTTTTTGTTGGCCTTGTCAAAGATCAGGTGGTTGTAGGTTTGAGGCTTTATTTCTGAGTTTTCTATTCTGTGCCATTGATCTATGTGTCTGTTTTGTAACAGTACCAAGCTGTTTTGGTTACTGTGGCTTTATAGTATAGTTTGAAGTCAGGTATGTGATGCCTCCAGCTTTGCTCTTTCTGCTTAGCATTGCTGTGGCTATTCATGGTCTTTTTTTGTTCTACATGAATTTTAGAATAGTTTTTTTCTAATTCTGTAAAGAATTATGTCGGTAGTTTGATAGGAATAGCACTGACTGTAAATTGCTTTGGGCAGCATGGCCATCTTTACAATCTTGATTCTTCCAATCCATGAGCATGGACTGTTTTTCCATGTATTTGTGTCATCTCCGATTTCTTTCAGCAATGTTTTGCAGTTCTCCTTGTAGAAGATATCTTGGTTAACTATCTTCCTAGGTATTTCATTTTGTTTTGTTTTGTTTTATGGCTATAGAAAGTGAGGATCTGTTCTTGATTTCATTCTCAGCCTGAACACTGCTGGTGTATAGAAATGCTACTGATTTTTGTACATTGACTTTGTATCCTGAAACTGTATTAAAGTCATTTATCAGTTCTAGGAGCCTCTGGCAGAGTCTTTAGGATATTCTAGGTATAGAATCATATTATCAATGAAGAAAGATAGTTTGACTACTTTGTTTCCTATTTGGATGCCTTTTATTTCTTTCTCTTGCCTGACTGCTCTGGCTAGGACTTCCAATACAGTGTTGAATAGGAGTGGTGAGAGTGGACATCCTTGTCTTGTTCCAGTTTTCAAAGGGAATGGTTCGAGCTTTTGGCTGTTCAGTATGATGTTAGCTGTGCATTTGTCAAAGATGGCTCTTATTATTTTGAGGTATGTTCCTTTGATGCCTAGTCTGTTGAGGGTTTTTATCATGAAGGGATGTTGGATTTCATTGAAAGACTTTTCTGCAAATATAGAGATGATCATATTGTTTTTGCTTTTGATTCTGTTTATGTGCTGAATCACATTTATTCATTTGCATATATTGAACCAATCTTGTATACCAGGAATAATGCCCAGCTGATTGTGGTGAGTTAACTTTTTGATGTACTGGTGGATTCGGTTTGCTGGTATTTTGTTGAGGATTTTTGCATCTATGTTTATCAGGGATATTGGCCTGAAGTTTTCTTTCTACATCGTGTCTCTGCCAGATTTTGGTATTAGGTTGATGCTGGCTTCATGGAATGAGTTGAGGAGGAGTCCTTCCTCAATATTTTGGAATACTTTCAGTAGGATTGATATCAGTTCTTCTTTTGGTAGAAAGAAGTATAATTCGATAGAATTTGGCTGTGACTCCATCTGGTCTAGTACTTTTTTTGGTTGGTGGGTTTTTTTATTACTGATTCATTTTAGAGCTTGATATTGGTTTATGCAGAGTTACAATCTATTCTGGATTCAATCTTAGGAGATTGTGTATGTTTCCAGGAATTTATCCATTTCCTCTAGAATTTCTAATTTGTGTGTATAGAGTTGTTCCTGATGTTCGGAAAGTCTTTTCTATTTCTGTGGGATCGGTTGTGGTGTCATCTTTGTCATTTCTGATTGTATTTATTTGGAGCTTCTGTTTTTTCTTTGTTAACCTAGCTAGTGGTTTATCAATCTAGTTTACTTTTCCAAAGAATCAAGTCTTGGTTTCATTCATTGACCCTTGGCAAATATTTTTTTGCTAAGTCTCCAAAAGCAATTGCAACAAATGCAAAAATAAACAAGTGGGACCTAATTAAACTAAAGAGCATCTGCACAGCAAAAAAAAGCAAAAGCAAAAACAAAAACAAAAGCAACAATACACACAGAACAACAACAACAACAACAACAACAACAACAACAAAACTATCAACGAAGCAAACAGACAATCTACAGAACAGGAGGAGATATTCTCAAACTATGCATCCAACAAAGACCTAATATCCAGACTCTATAGGGAGTTAAAACAATAAGCAAAAACCAAATAACAGAATTAAAAAATGAGCAAAGGTCATGAACAGACATTTCTCAAAAGAAGACATAAAAGTGGCCAATAAACATATGAAAAAATGCTCAGCATCACTAATCATCAGAGAAATGCAAATCAAAACCACAATGAAATACCATCTCACATCATCAGGATGGCTATTACTCACAATAGCAAGGACGTGTAATCAACCCAAATGTCCATCAATGGTAGACTGTATAAAGAAAATCTGGTACACATGGACTACTACACAGCTATAAAAAAGAAATCACATCCTTTGCAGTAACACAGATGAGCTAGTGGCCATAATCCTAAGCAAATTACACAGGAACAGAAAACAAAATACCACATGTTCTCACTTATAAGTGAGAGCTAAACATCGAGCACACATGGAGATAAATACGGGAACAACAGACACTGTGGAATACTAGAGGGTGGGGGGTACTATGCTCACTACCTGGGTGACAGGATTCACACACTAAACCTCAGCATCACTCAATATTCCCATGTAACAAATCTGCACATAAACACCCTGTATCTAAAATGAAATTTGAAAAAAGATATACAAATGGAAAATAAGCATATGAGTCAAAAGACACTCAACATCCTATATCATCAGGGAATTGTGAATTTAAGAAAATGAGATACCATTACATACCTATTAGAATGGCTAAAATTCAAAACACTGACACCACCACAACACCAAATGCTGGTGAGGATGTGGAGCAATAGGAACTCTCATTCATTGCTGCTGGGAATGTAAAATGGCACAGCCACTTTGGCAGATAGTTTGGCAATTTAAAAAATGTAAAGATAGTCTTACCATATAATCCAGCAATCATGGTCCTAGGTATTTACACAAATGAGTTGAGATGCCCATGCAAAATCCTACACATGGCTATTTACTGCAGCTTTAGTCACGATTGTCAAAACATAGAAGCAACTAGGATGTCCCGCAGTAGGTGAATGGATAAACAAATTATAGTCCAAGCAGACAAGAGAATATCACTCAATGATAAAAAGAAAAGAGCTATTAAGCCATGCAGACACCAAGGAACCCTAAATGCTGACTGCTAAGTGAAAGACGCCAAGTTAGAAAGCCTATATACTATGCGATTACATGCCATTCTAGAAAAGGCAAAACTATGGATATAGTAAAAAGATTAGTAGTTACCGAAAGTTTGGGGAGAAGGCAGGATAAATAGGTGGAGCACAGGGATTTGGAGGGCAGTGAAGCTATTCTGTATGACGGTGTAATGGTGGATACATTTCATTATACATTTATCAGAACTCACAGAATATACAACAGAAAGAGTGAACCCTAATGTAAACCATGGACTTTAGTTAATAATGTATTAATATTGCCTCATCAATTAGAACAAGTGTATCCCATAGATGCAAGATGTTAATAATAGGGGCAACTGTGGGGGTGGGGAGGGAAAGCAAACATATGGGAACTCTGTGCTTACTGCTCCACTTTTCTGTAAACCTAAAACTACGGTACTCTTAAAAAATAAAGGGGCCGGGCGGGGTGGCTCACGCCTGTAATCCCAGCACTTTGGGAGGCCCAGGCAGGCGGATCACGAGGTCAGGAGATTGAGATCATCCTGGCTAACTCGGTGAAACCCCGTCTCTACTAAAAATACAAAAAAAATTAGCTGGGCTTGGTGGCGGACACCTGTAGTCCCAACTACTCGGGAGGCTGAGGCAGGAGAATGCCATGAACCCGGGAGGCGGAGCTTGCAGTAAGCCGAGATTGCGCCACTGCACTCCAGCCTGGGCGACAGAGCGAGACTTTGTCTCAAGAAAAAAAAAAAGGCTATTAATTACAAAAATTATTAACAAAATCAAACTGCTTATTAACTGATAACCAAATTTTGGTTAAGCTTCTTTCCTTTCCCCAAGACCCTGAACTCTGACCTATTCTCAGCCTGACCCAGAGTACAGAATCTCTCCTTTAAGGGTTGCTTCTGAGAATCGGCTGACCACAAGGAAAAGCATCTCTGATCAACTGTCCATTCCCTCCACCCACTCCTTCATACCTGGTTCTTTCTAGCTTTGTTTACCCACCCCATCTTATGAAATAAATTTCCTTTCTGTGTGATCTCTGAGACCCTTGCAGATCTTATGGTTGGAGCGTTCCCCTTACTGCAATAGCCCTCTCACCTCTATTGCAATGATTCTTCTGAATCAAGTCTCTCTTTACATAAATTCAGATTTTTCTTTGAAAGACAACACATTCTATTAGTTTAGGCTGTTTAGTTAGTTTTAACTAAAATCATTCACTACATCAGTGAACATGCAACTTGTTTGTTTTTTTTTTAAGACAAAATCTCGCTCTGTTGTCCAGGCTAGAGTGCAATGGCGCAATCTCAGCTCACTGCAACCTCCGCCTCCCGGGTTCAAGCAATTCTCCTGCCTCAGCCTCCCAAGTAGACTGGATTACAGGTGCCCACCATCACGCCTGGCTAATTTTTGTATTTTTAGTAGAGATAGGGTTTCATCATGTTGGTCAGGCTGGTCTCGAACTCCTGACCTCAAGTGATCTGCCCGTCTCGGCTTCCCAAAGTGCTGGGATTACAGGCGTCAGCCATCGAGCCCGGCTGCAACTTGTTTTTAATACAATTATAGACTCATAAGATTTTAATGCTTCAAGGGATCTAAAAATCAACTAGTCCAAACTCTGACCAAAGGCAGGAGTTTGACCAATAGATATTCTGTCACCGACCAAACACCTCTAGTAGTAGGTAATGTAGTGTCACTCAAGATACCTTGTTCTACCATTATGAAATTCTCATACCAAGCTGACATCTCCATTCACATAGTAGCTACCCACAGGTACCAGTTCTGTCCTCTCAACAATTAAGGATGCCTATGCTTTCTTCCAGTTAGTGTCCTCCAGATCATTGCCCTCCAGGTGTCTAAAGGCAACTAGACTCCAGCTTCTTCACATCCATAAAAAGGCATCTGTCTTGCTGAGGTTTTCAACTCTGCCGATGCAAAAACAAAGACCAAATCATGTTCTCTGTTTCCTTTTTTGGGGGTGGTGTTCAGTAGAGGCAATGAAGTCATATTTGGAGTCCTATTAAGACAAATACTCTAGAGAAAGAAGCATCTATATCGATCAAGGGCTATCATTTTGTTGTTTATGAGAACTCGCATCTTTGCAGGAAAGAGTTAAGGGTGAGGCATCAAAAGGTGAATGTATCTTTATTTTATTTAAGCTTCCATCAAATGATGGCTAGAAAATGCTGCATCTATCTCAGTGCTTTCTTCATTTCCCTTGACTTTTGTGAAACTATCAACCAGCCATTCTTAGGGCCAGCGAGCTGAGACACTGGGGCCAGCTTTTCTGGTTGTTATGGAAACAGTGGCTTTGTGAGGCTTTTTCCCTTAAAAAAAAAAAAAAAAAAAAAAAAAAAACGCCAACCTGTAATTCAACAAAAATTATGAGCAAGTATAGCTGTCTATATTGCTGACATGAGCAGCAAGACTGAGAATTGGTTATAAAAACCTTACTTCATAAGAACACCTGGAACAATGACCAAAAAAAAAAATCAGCCAGGCATGGTGGCTCATGCCTATAATCCCAATTACTCAGGAGGCTGAGGTGGGAGAATCGCTTGAGCCCAGGAGTCTGAGGCTGCAGTAAGCTATGATTGTGCCACTGCACTCCAGCCTTGGCAACACAGTGAGACATCGTCTCTTAAAAAACTCCAAAAATCAGCTCCAAATTCTTATAACGTACCTGAATACTTAACAAACTGAAAATCAACTTCTGAGAGGCTTGGCTATGATATCCACCAGTTCAGTCACCATTAACATGTAAATGTGCTGAGAGAAGGAACTGTATTTCTTCACTGTCCTTTGTCCCTCTGAACCCTGGCACCTAACAGGCTTGCGGAATATTTACTGAATGGACTCACAGAACTATTGGAAAGGCTTTCCACTCTCTCATTCCCTGTGCATTGTCCCTAACTGGAAGAAGTTACTTTGAGGAGAACAGCTGTGGACCTTCCAGTGGCACCACCAGCCTGAGGATAGTCTTCAGCCAGAGCACCTGGCCCCTCAGCTTCTGCAAACACACCAGCAGAGAAAGCGGATCTAAAACCAGGGGTTGCTCAGAGAGGTAACCATGTACCTGAGATCAAGACACAAGACAAAATGCTTTCTCTAGTTATCATAAATGTAACAGACCCAACTTTTCTGTGAACATTCTTGGTTGGTGTTTCTTTGGTAGTCAAGAAGAGATGCATCATAGCTGAGTGGTGTCTGATGCTGCCCCCAACTAACTCTCCTGATGTACCTTAAACGTTGTCAACACCTGCATTTGGATCTATCCTGGGGAGTTCATTGCAATGGGTTTTATGTCGATTTTTATCTGAAGGCAATGACTCCTGATTTTTACATTTCTGGTCATACATGATCAAACACTGTAAAGGTCCTAGGGAACCATGTGTATCTTCCAACTTCGTTACTGAAATTATCAATTAGAGCCCACTAAGAAGAAATTTTAAATAAAGTAAATACATACCAATTTTATATACAATAAATATTGCCAATTTAAAGCTTTTGTAAAGAATATCTATAATGCAAAATGCTAGTAAAAAGATACGTGTTGTGGGCAGGGCGTGGTAGCTCACGCCTGTAATCCCAGCACTCTGGGAAGCTGAGGTGGGAGGATCGCTTGAGGTCAGGAGTTTGAGACCAGCCTGGCCAACATGGTGAAACCCCTTCTCTCCTAAAAATACAAAAAAATTAGCTGGGTGTGGTGGTGTGTGCTTGTCCCAGCTACTTGGGAGGCTGCAGCAGCAGAACTGCTTGAACCTGGGAGGCGGAGGTTGCAGTGAACTGAGATCACACCACTGCACTCCAAGCCGGGCAACAGAGTGAGACTCCGTCTCAAAAAAAAAAAAAAAGATACATGTTGTGGAATGTGATGCACACTCTGACATGCAGCGGCAGAGTGGAACAGTGACATTCTAAAGAGTGACTCCTACATGAAATACCTAAAAAGAAGCCCCAGGAAGTTAGCTGAGTCCTACAGAACATGACTCTGGTTTCCTTAGCACTTGAATCCAGCTCTTGGCAGGGCCAATATTGACAGCAGAGTCACCAAACACTTCCTTCAGTTATCGGTCAACAGAGACTTTTTGGCTAAATGAAGAACACTGCTGCTTCCTTTGTGTTTCCTACACATGTCACTTTGGCAGTCACTCTGTTCAACAGACACTACTGCTGCTTCCATCTGTCAATGCAACTTTGGGAAGAGAGACTGTAGCTCAAGGATAAGAACCAGAATATATACATAGATGTACATGAGCATACAAGCATATCCACACAAAAATATATACCCAACTAAGGAAGTAATAATTAGGTGTTGAGTTTCACATTGATCTTCAGGTAAATCTCACTCGGAGTACTGGTGATTCAATAAGGAACTGACCATGCCTGGGAGACAAGCCTGAAACAGCAATGATGTTTCATTTATTTTTCCTCTAGTCATCAGAGCCAGAAATTTCTTTTCCCCCTCACTTCTCATAAACCACCAGGAAGTCCTGTGAAATCTCTTTCGTGCATCTCTCATTCATTCAACAACGACCGAGTGACTACTTTGTTCTACACTTACGGATACAACTGTAAACAAGACTGATGAGGTTACTGCTCTGCCCTCATGAGGCATATCGTCTAATGGGAGATGAGCATTAAGTAGAGAGGCAATCTCAACCCACCCAGGTATTGGTAGGGACTAATTCAGAGCGCTGTGAGCTCAGGGAAGGAAGGACACTTACTCAGACTTAAGGAGGGTGTCAGGGTTTTCTGAGAGAAAAAATAGCTAATATTTGAATCTATTTAATCTCTTTACTCCATTAACACAGCCTAGGGTTAGGATCTTTTTTCTTACCTGGACAAGTGTCTTACTCTTCCAATTGGTCTTTCTGCTTTCAGTCTTACCTTTGCTGGAAACCTTATCCTCAAGATAGAAAGCAAACTTCACAGACTGGGGCTCTTTGTGGTCTGAACCCCTGTTTATCTTTTACCAGACTTCTCCATGCTTTCACATTATACTGAAGACATGCAGAACCATTCCCATTTCTGACAATGTGTTACTCACTTCTATCTGCCTAGGTTACCATTTCCCTTGTTTCTTAAGGCTAGGTCAAGCTTTATCTTCGCTGGGAAGCCTTTCCTGACCCCTAATCTGGGATGGCCGCCCACTGACCCACTGTGATACATGTTTTCAAGTAACTAGAGACGACATAAACAGCATGATAATAAGTATGTGCTATGTAGTTTTGGGCTTCAACTCAGGGATGGTCAATGGCCCAAATTAAGAATCTATATTTCAGGAGAGTCCAGCTAACACGAACTCCGCAAGACAGCCACTAAAAAAAGCTCTTCAGCTATTCAGATGTTCACCAACACTAAGACTTGCCTCATTAGCTAAAAAATGGAAATATTTTTATTGGTGAAAGAAATGACTTGTTAACCGCCATGGTGAATAT
The DNA here is from genome assembly GCF_000001405.40 of Homo sapiens. Taxonomy (NCBI): domain Eukaryota; kingdom Metazoa; phylum Chordata; class Mammalia; order Primates; family Hominidae; genus Homo; species Homo sapiens. The sequence continues at coordinate 185,027,980 of NC_000003.12, read as the reverse complement.
TGGAAATGGACTCTCATTGATAAAGTAAAAGGCATTTGAGATATGTATATTGAATAAAATATTTTAGAGATAGTCCCAAGTTTTGCATAAACCAGGAATAAGTCTGCATCTGATCACAAAGGAATGCTGCCCGGGCCACTTGTGTCCAGTCATTGGCTTAGGAAGCTTCTGTTTGCCTGATGCCGATTCTAAGAGTAACAAAACCCTGCTTCTGTAATGTCACATCCCTGACAGATGTCAGACACCTAAAATGACAAAGAGCTGGGACATTACTCAGTTTGAAAAATAGGTTGCAGAACCTATTTCTAAATGAGTATTTATTTAATAAATGCCTATATACATGGCAAAATTTGCTCTCACTCTGATAACAGTGTTGTAGGGGAGCAGCTAACGATTCCTCAAAGTTCTTCATGGAGGTTTCTGCCATAAAGAACGTAAGAGCCGGGTGCGGTGGCTCACGCCTGTAATCCCAGCACTTTGGGAGGCTGAGACAGGCGGATCACGAGGTCAGGAGATCGAGACCATCCTGGCTAACACAGTGAAACCCCGTCTCTACTAAAAATACAAAAAATTAGCCGGGCGTGGTGGCGGGCACCTGTAGTCCCAGCTACTTGGGAGGCTGAGGCAGGAGAATGGCGTGAACCCGGGAGGCGAAGCTTGCAGTGAGCCGAGATCGTGCCGCTGCACTCTAGCCTGGGCGACAGAGCGAGACTCCGTCTCAAAAAAAAAAAAAAAAAAAAAAAAAGAACATAAAAACTGCACTAAGTTAGCTTAGTCATCTCAAAATAGGGCCTTTCCTTGGCGCCTTCACAGAACCCTGTGCACCTTCCATGGTATGTGTCAAGGTGTTCGGTAACTATCAGTTTACCCGTCTACTTTTCTCAATAAATGCTGAGGTCTTTGAGAACAGGATTGTATTTCTTTTCTCTAGTCCACTGTTTATCTCAGTAAATAGTGTAAGGAAATATAGCTGGCTGGGCGTGGTGGCTCACGCCTGTAATCCCAGCACTTTGGGAGGCTGAGTTGGGTGGATCACGAAGTCAGGAGATTGAGACCATCATGGCCAACATGGTGAAATCCTGTCTCTACTGGAAATACAAAAAAATTAGCCAGGTGTGCTGGTGGGCACCTGCAGTCCCAGGTACTCAGGAGACTAAGGCAAGAGAATCGCTTGAACCCAGGAGGCGGAGGTTGCAGTGAGCCAAGATTGTGCCACTGCACTCCAGCCTGGGCGACAGAGTGAGACTCTGTCTCAAAAAAAAAAAAAAAAAAAAAAAAAGACAGTGGCTCATGCCTGTAATCCCAGCACTTTGGGAGGCCAAGGCGGATGGATCATGAGGTCAGGAGTTCGAGACCAGCTGACCAACATGGTGAAACCCTGTCTCTACTAAAAATACAAAAACTGGCTGGGTGTGGTGGTGCGTCCCTGTGATCCCAGCTACTCAGGAGGCTGAGGCAGGAGAATCGCTTGAACACGGGAGGCAGAGGTTACAGTGAGCTGAGATCATGTGACTGCACTCCAGCCTGGGCAACAGAGGGAAACTCCATCTCAAAAAAAAAAAAAAAAAAAGAAATACAGCCATCCCTCGATATCTGTGGGGAATTTACTCTAGGACCTCCTGTGGATGCCAAAATCCATGGATGCTCAAGTCCTTTAAAATGCATGGTATTTGCATATAACCAGTGCACATCCTCCCATGTATTTTAAATCATCTTTAGATTACTTATAATACCCAATACAATGTAAATAGTTGTACTGTTTTTTATTGTTGTATCATTATTTTTTTTATCATTTTTCCCCCATATATCTTCAATCTGTGGTTGGTTGAATCCACAGATGCAGAACCCACAAATGTGAAGGGCAGACTATACTTGCTGAATGAACAATATTATACAAGCAGCATGATAAAGTAAGAGGACATCTGATTAGGAGCTGGGAGACCTGCATTTTAATACTAGTGTCAACAACAGCTTGAGTACTTACTATATGTCAAACATAGTATTATACTCTTAAGCAGTAGACTATTTCATTTAATCTTCAGGACAATTCTGAGAGTAGCATCACCATTTTACATAAGACGAAACAGAGGGGCCAATTTACACAAGGTCACTCAGATAAATAAGCAGAAGAGTAAATCTTCGAACCCAAGTCTGGTGGTATCCAAGGCACACGCTTGACATCACTATGTTAGAAGTGTGTTCCATAGCTAACATTGGAGAGCTAAGACAAAAAATTGGAATCCCTCTGGATTTCCATTTCCTCGTCTACTTACTGAGTGAGACTAAAATGACAGGCTCCCCCAGCTCTTTGCGTTACAGTGTGATGGTTCTAAGTATCAACAGTCATTGCCTCAGTCTCGCCTGCCCCTACTGCCTTGACAAGAGTGAAAGAGATTTTTATGTGCAGTATGTTATAGGTCTTTTCAGACAACATATTTTGTTTTTATTCTCTTCTCTTCTGAAAAAGTCTCAGGGGATTCTGAAGTCAGAGGAGGGGGACCCATTTTTGGAACATTGCTTTGAAGCTAAAACCTCCTGTTAGTCAACAGAGCCAGCAGGTGGTTATTTTTGTTCTACAGTCCTTCACTGATATGGATGCTGGCTGAAATGGCAAAAAAGGGCAAGGGAAAGAAACACTTCGACTATTAGAGAAAGAAAAATGATGAAAGAAACAAGCAAAAATGTCAATTTGTTTACCATGTTTCAACTGCACTTTTACAGCTGGATAAAGGAAAAGGATTTTAGTGGTTCTCTTGACATCATCTATGCATCACTCAGATAAGGTGTAAAACCGTCAGTCATACCCTATCTGTGGTCACAAAGCTTACAGTCAGGAACTGAAGTAGCACACATGAGAGCTCTCTTCTGCCAGCATTTATTGAAGACCTTCTTATGTGCTGTTACTATCTCAGGCCAGTTTTTTTAGGCACAGCTCTCTAGAAGTAAAGCACATTTTTTCTTTTTCTTTTTCTTTTTTTGAGATGGAGTTTCACTCTTGTTGCCCAGGCTGGAGTGCAGTGGCTCGATCTTGACTCACTGCAACCTCCGCCTCCCGGGTTCAAGCAATTCTCCTGCCTCAGCCTCCTGAGTAGCTGGGATTACAGGCATGCACCACCACGCCGAGCTAATTTTCTATTTTTAGTAGAGACAGGGTTTCATCATGTTGGCCAGGCTGGTCTTGAACTCCTGACCTCAGATGATCCATCCACCTCAGCCTCCCAAAGTGCTGGGATTACAGGCATGAGCCTCTGCACCCAGTCGAAGTAAAGCACATTATTAAGATAAACTATATAGCTTTCCTGTGAATATCTTTCACCTACTACCACTCATTGATACCACGATACCATGCCTGGAAGATGGACATTCTAGAAACTGATAGTTGCTAGGAGACTGATGTCGAAACCCAACTTGGTTTCTCTGGAGAAGCCAAAGAGGAGGCCTGGAGACATGTCATTAAAGCATCTAATCAGAAATAACCCTTGACAGCATTAAGATGATTAAAAATCATTGCCATGTTGAGAATATTGTTCCACATAGGAGAATAAACATACAGAAGGAAGAACTGGTTTTTTGCCTTTAAAACAAACTCACCTTTTTAGCAGTGGGATCCCCTTTGGACTGATGATACGATGGAGACATTTTTACCTGGAAAAAAAAGGCAAACATTTTAATACCCTTTCAGTTATAGTCTAGTTTTGTCTGACCCACATTCAAAATAATTCAACTAGAATTGGTATAACTAAGATAAAACAGACATTTCCAGAGGAAATTAATAGATTAATAGATTTTGTGTTAAGTCCCCTTGAAATTTTTCTGGAGATCAAAAAATCAGTAGTGAACCAAGAAAAAAATATGATTTGGGTAAGAAAAGTGGGTCTAGATTGGTTTTAACCAAATGGTGAGGGATTAAATAGATAATAGATCTTTGGTGATGATGTTAAGCAAATGAAGTAATAAACAATGATCAGCATTTCTTGCAGAAGGCAACTCAAAATCTCTACTGTGATGTAATATCCCTTTGAAGCAAAGCATGCACAGAAGAGTTTGATAATTGTGAAGGATTTAGAAAAAGTATCAGCCAAACCATAATAAGAGGATGTTTAGTCCAAGGAAGAAAAGATAATAGTACAGAAATATATTTAAATATTTGAAGAGCTGAAATACAGAGATTTTAGATTAGATAAATGAAAAAGACCTGACTACATGCTGCCTACAAGAAACACCATCTAAATATGAAGGCTCAAATAGGTTAAAAGGAAAAGGATGGCGACAATATGCCATGATAGCACTACATTTTTTTTTTAATTATTTATTTATTTTTTGAGACAGAGTTTCGCTTCTGTTGCTCAGGCTGGAGTGCAATGGCACGATCTTGGCTCATTGCAACCTCCGCCTCCCAGGTTCAGTGATTCTCCTGCCTCAGCCTCCCAATTAGCTGGGATTACAGGTATGCGCCACCATGCCTGGCTAATTTTTTGTATTTAGTAGAGATCACCTGACCTCAGATGACTGCCCGTCTTGGCCTCCCAGAGTGTTGGGATTACAGGCATGAGCTGCGTCCAGCCAATAGCACTAGATTTTAGAGCAAAGACTACTATCAGGTCCAAAAAGGGTCATCCCATAATAATAAAGGGGTCAATTCATTAGGAAGACACAACAATGCTAAACATCTATGTACCTAATAGCTTAAAAATACATGATGCAATCATGCAAATAACTATGCTGAGTGAAAGAAGTCAGATAAAAAAAAGTATATCTATTTTATAGTTTCATTAATCTAAAATTCGAGAAAATCCAAACTAATCTACTGTTTAATTAATTTGTAAAGATAATCAGTGGTTGCCAGGGAACAGGAGAGAGGGATTAAGTAAATTTTTGGTGGTGATGGGTAGAGTCATTATCTTGATTGTGGTGACAGATTCATGAGTGTATACATATGTCAAATTTGTACACTTTATGTATGTCCAGTTTATATCAGTTATTATACCTCAATAAAGCATTTAAAGAAATTTGAAGTATATAACTAAAACAGTGGTTAAAGAATTTACAGCCCATATGTTATATTGGAAAATAAGAAAGGTTTAAAATAAAGGATCCAAATTTCCAATTTAGGGAACTAGAAAGAGATCAAAGTAAAACCAAACTAAGTAGGAAAGAAGTAAATAATAAGCAGCAAAAATCAATGAAATAAAAATAAAAATAAACAACCAAGATAATTATCAGAGTCAACATTGGTTCTCTTTGAAAAGATAAATAAAATTGATAATCTGCTATGGAGCTTGATCAAGAAAAGGAGACTATAAATTACCAGTATCAGCAATGAAAGAGGATATATTACAACATGCAACATCATTTACAGGTATTTAAAAGATGATAAGAACCTTTTGTGAATAATTTTATGCCAATAAGCTTGACAAATTAAATGAAAAGGAATGAAAGGATACATTCATTAAAAACAGAACTTACAAAAATGGACCCAAAACAGAAAATATGAATAGCCTTATATCTATTAAATAAATTCAGTTTGTTATCAAACATCCTTCTGCAATGAAAATTCCTAGCCGACAGGGTTTCAGCAGTGAATTCTAGCAAAAACATTAAATATACAGAGACCAGAATATCTATTTATTAATTTACAGGGGTTAGTCCATTCTCATGCTGCTATTAAGAAATTCCTGTGACTGGGCAATTTATAGGAAAGAGGTTTAATTGACTCAGTTCCACATGGCTGGGAAGGCTTCAGGAAACTTAAAATCATGGTGAAGGGGAAGCAAATACGTCCTTCTTTACAAGGCAGCAGGAGAGAGAAGTGCCAAGCAAAAGGGGAAAAGCCCCTTATAAAACCATCAGATCTCATGAGAGCTCACTCACTATCACAAGAACAGCATAAGGGTAACCGCCCCCATGATTCAATTACCTCCCACCAGGTCCCTTTCCCGACACATGGAGATTATGGGAACTACAATTCAAGATGAGATTTGTGTGGGGACATGGCCAAACCATATCAAGGGCAAAATATAATTATTACTATAAGTAGTTCAATGGATACTCGATACTATCTGACTAGAATGAGGTGCTGGTAAACAGTTACAAGATCTCAAGCCTCTTTCAACTCTGCCTAATTATAAGAGACTACAGTACAGATGATATATACTATAGGAAATATACTATTTCCTATCACTGTCGCCATCGCTATTCAAGTAGGACCACGTTGCAGGTTTTGTTTAACCTCTCTGATTTTAAGAATAACTTTAGAAAACACATCTCAGCTCAACAATCAAAACTGCTAGCTGTCCAGACTGTCCTTTCAGATTGAGCAGATCTGCAAAAATTAGACTTGACAGTCTTTGCTGTAACATACCATGACATTAATACGCTGGAATTCACTCCAGATGTATGATGTAGCTTGCTAAAAATGATCCAATTTTAACTTCTGGTATGCTCTTTTTGAAAAGGGAGAAAACAGATTTTCAAAGCAAAGTAGATATTTAAGCTTAAAAAAGTGACCTCATGAAAGAATCTGCAGACTTTTAAAAACAAGCCAAGAACTAGATGTGGTGGTGGACAATTTATATGAGAAGCCTGTTCTCTAGAGATTAAGTCAGAATATGTTTGAAGTGGCAATGGAAGTGGTCCAGCATCCCTCATGAAAGGCCTTATTTTTTCATTTAACAGGATTCCTTCTGGAAATGCCCCAGGCAATGAAGCTTAAAAGAGACATTTTAAATCCAGGTATGCAGACACTAGATCTGGGGATACGGATGATATACGAAGCTAGGGCCTTAATAATGTTGAACTTTTTGTGATCTTTGTTAATAAAATGATTCCTGACTTAATGAAGCAATCTGAGCTGAAGTTTAAAAGCAATATGAATATCTTCTTTATCATCTTGTTTTTTGGTTTTTTTTGAGATGGAGTCTTGCTCTGGTTGCCCCAGCTGGAGTGCAATGGCACGATCTCAGCTCACTGCAACCTCCAACTCCTGGGTTCAAGTGATTCTCCTGCTTCAGCCTCCCAAATAGCTGGGATTACAGGTGCACCCCACCATGCCCGGCTAATTTTTGTATTTTTAGTAGAGACGGGGTTTCACCATGTTGGTCAGCTGGTGTCGAACTCCTGACCTCAGATAATCCACCCACCTTGGCCTCCCAAAATGTTGGAATTACAGGCGTGAGCCACCACAGCTGGCTTTTGTTGTTGTTGTTAAAATAGGGCTAGGAATGGTATCTTATACCTGTAATACCAGCAATTTGGGAGGCCAAAAGGAGGTTGGCTTGAGCCTAGGAATTTGAGACCAGTCTGGGTAACATGGCGAAACCCCATTTCCACAAAAAATTTAAAAATTAGCCTGGAGTGCTGGTGTGCACCTGAGGTCTCAGTTACTTGGGAGGGTGAGGTGGGAGGACTGCTTGAGCCCGGGAGGTCCAGGATGCAGTGAACTATGATCACAACACTGTACTCCAGTCTAGGCAACAGAGTGAGGCCTTTTTAAATGCAAAAAAAAAAAAAAAGCCTTAATTTTACTGATTACAAAAGAAATACATGTTCAGTGACAGAAATTTAAGAAATATAACAGCTCAAACAAAGCAAATAAAAAGCACAATCCAATCACACAGCAACAACTGCTATTAAAATTTGGAATCACTGCTTTGTGATCTTTCTATGTTGCACATTATGAATGTTTACTTCGACATATCAATATTCTTCTATGATATGATTTTTCATGGCTACAAAGCAGTTCATTCACTGCCTAGACATACCATAACTAATTTAATCAACTGTGGGCTATTGGGACATTTAGGTTATTTTCAATTTTTAAAAATTATTTTTTAAGATGTTGTATCCTCATATATAATATTTGGCACACAAACTTGATAATTTCTGTTGGACAGATGGACAGATTCTTGTAAGTCCCTGCTTAAAAGCGTGTAACCATTTAAAAATACATATTACTACTTTTTCTTCAGGTAAGTAAGATGGGCCACAACTCCCTTTCCTATAATTCTGAAATCCAAAAAGCTCTGAAACCAAAGGATTGTTTAAAAAATATTTTTCACACCAAAAGTCATCTGGCAGCAAAACCTGGCCTGAACCAAAGTGACGCTATTTATAGTCTTCACTTATCTCTCAAAAGCATTTAATTATGAAATAAAGACTAGTCCATACCAGGAATTGTTGGGAACAGGTACCCAAATCTGGCCACAAACTGGCCCCAAAATTGGCCATAAACAAAATCTCTACAGCATTGTGACATGCTCGTGATGGCCATGACGCCCACGCTGGAAGGTTGTGGGTTTACCAGAATGAGGGCAAGGAACACCTGGCCCACCCAGGGTGGAAAACCACTTAAGGTGTTCTTAAACCCCAAACAATAGCATGAGCGATCTGTGCCTTAAGGACATGTTCCTGTTGCAGATAACTAGCCAGACCCATCCCTTTATTTCGGCCCATCCCTTTATTTCCTGTAAGAAATGCTTTTAGTTAATCTATAATTTATAGAAACAATGCTTATCACTGGCTTGCTGTCAATAAATATGTAGGTAAATCTCTGTTAGAGGCTCTCAGCTCTGAAGGCTGAGACTCCTGATTTTCCACTCCACACACTGTATTTCTGTGTGTGTGTGTGTGTGTGTCTTTAATTCCTCTAGTGCCGCTGGGTTAGGGTCTCCCTGACCGAGCTGGTCTCGGCAAGTGGTGCTCAAACATGGGGGCTCAAACCTGGGTTGAAGGGTCGCCGGAGTGATGGTTGGAGAACGTGGAACTAAGCTGGAGGACACTGAGTACTCTTAAGCAATCCCCATGGTGAGTAAGAAGGGGAGCTTGGGAGCATCAGGGTAACAATGGGACAAGTGTGGGCTCTGGTTTGTTCCACCTTGGAACCTTTTCACTCTAATGATGAGGAGGAAGGAGAGTACAACGAAGTAACAGAAGAGGTAACAGAGCAGGTCTGTTTGCCAGCTAAAGCTAAAGCAGCAAAGGAGGATAAGGTTCATCCGTACCCTTCTACACCCCCTCATTATTTTGAAGAAAAAGAGTGGCTTGATCCTCCAGATCTTTCTTTTCCAGAGGACATATGGGCAAAAAGTAGTTGCCCCAGTGACTGTTCGAGCAGCGCCTCGAGCGACCACTCTCAGTTCTATTCAGGCAGGAATTCAGCAAGCTAGAAGAGAAGGTGATTTAGAGGCTTGGCAGTTCCCTGTTAGAATACACCCCCCAGATTAACAGGGAAATATTATAGCTACATTTGAGCCGTTTCCTTTTAAATTACTCAAAGAATTTAAACAAGCTATTAATCAATATGGACCAGGTTCTCCTCTTGTAATGGGACTGTTAAAGAAGGTTGCTGTTTCCAGTCAGATGATTCCTACTGACTGGGACGCTCTTATTCGAGCTTGTCTAACTCCTGCTCAGTTCTTACAATTTAAAACTTGGTGGGCAGATGAAACTTCCATTCAGGCTGCTTGCAACGCCCAGGCCCAACCGCAAATTAATGTAACTGCAGACCAACTTTTGGGGGTTGGCAGCTGGGCTGGTTTAGATGCCCAAGTGGTCATGCAGGATGATGCCACAGAGCAGCTTAGAGTAGTGTGAATTAGGGCTTGGGAAAAAATCACTTCAGGTGCAGAACAATATCCTTCCTTTAGTGCTGTAAAGCAGGGACTGAAAGAACCGTATGCAGATTTTATGGCTCGGTTACAGGAGTCTCTTAAAAAGGTGATTGCAGATCCGGCTGCTCAGGAAATAGTGTTGCAGTTATTAGCTTTTGACAATGCTAATCCCGATTGCCAGGCTGCTCTGCGACCTGTTAAAGGGAAAGCACATTTAGTTGATTCTATCAAGGCCTGTGACGGTATTGGAGGTAATCTGCATAAGGCTACTCTGCTAGCACAGGCAATGGCAGGACTGAGAGTGGATAAAGGAAATACTCCATTTCCTGGAGCTTGTTTTAACTGTGGGAAGCATGGTCATACTAAAAAAGAATGTAGAAAAAATCAGCAAGTCAGGCCACCAGTTGAGGGAAAAAATGAAAACTGCTGAGCCTGAAATATGTCCAAAATGTAAAAAAGGAAAACACTGGGCTAATCAGTGTCACTCTAAGTTTGATAAAGATGGGAACCTGATTTCGGGAAACGTCATGAAGGGCCGTCCTGGGCCCCATTCCAAACCGGGACCTTTCCGGCTCAGGCCATTCCCTCACCCCCGTACAATGTCTGTCCCCCGCCACAGCCGGTAGTGCCACAGTAGATTTACGCTGCACAAAAGCTGTGAGCCTTCTGCCTGGGAACCCCCGCAAAAGGTCCCAACAGGGCTCTGTGGACCCTTGCCAGCGGGGACGATAGGATTACTTTTAGGAAGGTCTAGTTTAAATTTAAAAGGAGTGCAAACACATACAGGAGTCATTGATTCAGATTACAATGAGGAAATTCAAATTGTTACATCTACTTCTGTTCCCTGGAAAGCAGAGCCAGGACAGTGTATGGCACAGCTCCTGATTGTGCCGTATGTGGAAATGGGGAAAGGTGAAATTAAACGAACAGGAGGATTTGGAAGCACAAATAAACAAGACAAAGCAGCTTATTGGGTAAATCAGATTACTGATAAACATCCTACCTGTGAAATAACTATTCAGGGAAAGAAATTTAAGGGTTTGGTAGATACAGGAGCAGACATTTCAATCATTTCTCTATAGCACTGGCCGTCCACGTGGCCAATTCAACCTGCTCAATTTAACATAGCTGGAGTTGGTAAAGCCCCTGAAGTATTATCAAAGTAGTTATATTTTGCATTGTGAAGGGCCCGATGGACAACCTGGACTATTCAACCAATTATAACTTCTGTACCTATAAGTTTATAGGGAAGAGATTTATTACAACAATGGGGAGCACAAGTTCTAATTCCAGAACAATTATATAGCCCTCAAAGGCAACATATGATGCATGAAATGGGGTATGTCCTTGGTATGAGACTAGGAAAAAATTTACAAGGTTTGAAGGAACCGCTTCAAGCAGAAAGACGAAGTTCCTACCAAAGTTTAGGATATCATTTCTGATGGTGGCCATTGTTAAGCCTCCAGAACCTACACCTTTAAAATGGTTAACAGATAAGCCAATTTGGATAGAACAATGGCCGCTAAGAAAGAGAAACTGGAGGCTTTAGAGAAATTAGTTACTGAACAATTAGAAAACGGACACATAGCTCCAACATTTTCCCCTTGGAATTCTCCAGTTTTTGTAATTAAGAAAAAATCAGGGAAATGGAGAATGTTAACTGATTTAAGAGCCATTAATTCAGTCATACAACCAATGGGGACATTACAGCCAGGATTGCCTTCTCCCGCTATGATTCTGAAAAATTGGCCTTTAATAGTCATAGATTTAAAAGACTATTTCTTTACTATCCTCTTAGCTGAGCAGGACTGTGAACAGTTTGCATTTACAATTCCTGCAGTAAACAACCTGCAGCCTGCTAAGCGTTTTCATTGGAAAGTGTTGCTACAAGGCATGTTAAACAGTCCAACAATTTGCCAGACGTATGTAGGACAAGCAATTGAACCCACTCGTAAAAAATTTTCACAGTGTTACATTATTCATTATATGGATATATACTTTGTGCTGCCCCATTCGAGAAATATTACTCCAATGTTATGATCACTTGCAAAATTCGATTTCTCACACTGGTTTAACTATAGCTTCTGACAGAATTCAGACTACTATTCCTTAATCCTACTTAGGGGCCTTAGTAAATGACACTACATTGTGCCACAGAAAGTAACGATACGTAGGGATCAACTGAAAACATTAGATGGCTTTCAAAAATTACTAGGGGACATTAATTGGATATGACCTGCTCTAGGCATTCCTACCTACGCCATGAGTAATCTATTTTCTATCCTTAGAGGAGATCCTAGTCTCACTAGCCCTCGGCAACTAACAAAAGACGCTGAGGCAGAGCTGCAGCTAATCAAAAAGCAAGACCATAAAGCTCAAATAAATAGAATAGATCCAGAGAAGACTCTAGATTTGCTAATTTTTCCAACTCAGCATTCACCCACTGGTGTTATTGCCCAAGAGCAGGACTTAGTGGAATGGCTTTTTCTTCCACATACTAATTCACGGACTAACTCCTTATTTGGATCAAATTGCTACTATGATAGGAAATGGGAGAACTCGGATTGTTAAATTACATGGATATGATCCTGGAAAAATTACTGTCCCTCTCAGGAAAGCAGAAATACAGCAAGCTTTTATAAATGGTCTTACTTGGCAAACCCATTTAGCTGACTTTGTGGGTATTCTCGATAACTCTTTTCCTAAAACAAAACTTTCAATTTTTGAAATTAACTAATTGGATTCTCCCTAAAATAACTACATTTAAACCAATTGAAGGTGCTGAGAATGTTTTTACAGATGGGTCTAGTAATGGTAAAGCTTCTTATTCTGGATCAACAGGTAAAGTTTTTCAGACACCCTATACTTCACCTCAAAAGGTGGAGCTTGTAGCTGTAATTGAGGTATTGACTGCTTTTGATATGCCTGTTAATGTGATTTCTGATTCTTCATACGTGGTTCATTCCACACAGTTAATTGAAAATGCTCAGTTACGATTTCATATAGATGAACAACTGATGACTTTATTTACCCAATTGCAAACAGCAGTTAGAATTAGAATGCACCCTTTTTATATCACTCACATTAGGGCTCATACACCTCTTTCTTCCAGGACCATTAACTGCAGGGAATCAAATGGCTGATCACCTAGTATCTAATGCTAGACACTTTCACAATTTAACCCATGTTAACGCCTCTGGTCTCAAACGCAGATACAGCATTACCTGGAAACAAGCTAAAGCTATTATCCAGCGATGCCCAACTTGCCAAATGGTGCATTCCTCATCTTTTACAGTAAAAGAGGAGTTAATCCTCGAGGACTGGAACCTAATTCTCTTTGGCTAATGGATGTCATACATGTTCCCTCGTTTGGGAGACTAGCTTATGTACATGTATGTGTGGACACCTTTTCTCACTTTGTCTGGGCTACATGCCAATCAGGAGAGTCTTCTGCCTGTGTTAAAGATCACCTTTTCCAGTGTTTTGCGGTGATGGGCATTCCAGCTTCTATTAAAACAGATAATGCCCCAGGCTATACTAGCCAAGCTCTAGCTACATTTTTCTCTACATGGAATATTAAACACATTACTGGCATCCCATGTAATTTTCAAGGACAAACCATAGTGGAAAGAATGAATCTCTCCCTAAAACAGCAGTTACAAAAACAAAAAAGGGGGGAGAAACAGGGACTATGGGACACCTCATATGCAACTGAATCTAGCATTACTAACTTTAAATTTTTTGAGCCTGTCTAAAGGCCAGATGCTATCAGCAGCTGAACAGCATCTACAGAAACCAGCTGCAAAGACAGAAGCAGAATAACTGGTTTGGTGGAGAGATCTGATAGCAAAAACTTGGCAAATAGGTAAAATAATAACTTGGGATAAAGGTTATGCTTGCGTTTCTCCAGGACCGAATCAACAGCCGATTTGGATACCATCAAGACACCTGAAACCTTATCATGAGCCAGATGCCGAGGAAGAGACTCTGGGAGGAACCTGAGGACCCCCTGGTTGCAGCCATGTCGAGACTGATGCTGAGGAGGACCCCAACTGTCATGAGCAACACCCGTCGAACACAGCCACCTACTTAGGGACAGATCAAGAAGCTGTCACAGATGGTGGAAGAAAACCTGAGGAAAGCAAGACAACCAGTCACAATGAGTAACTTAATGGTAGCTATGATAGTGGTGATTACCATTGCCGTGAGTATTCCTTCAACAAGGGCTGACACAGAGAACAATTATACTTATTGGGCATATTTATCCATTTTGGCTGGCAATAATGCCTGTATGTAATCACTCTATGACACAGTTACACATGCTTTCTGATCTCAGGATTTACCATAATAAAGCTATTCCTATAAGTGAGAGATACTGCCCTCAAAAACCTATTTGTAAACAGGACTGGTCCCAGTTAGAAAAAATGAATGTACTTGTTTGGGAAGATTGCATTGCAGAAAAGGCAGAGGTGCTGCACAACGATTCCCATGGAATCATTATTGACTGGTCCCCTAAGGGGATGTTTAGCTTAAATTGCACATCTGTCTGTGTGCCATGGCCACACTGTGTTCAGCTGGTCTGAACAAAATGGTCAGATGGTAGAAATGGTAAGAAGTACGGTAAGAGTTCCTATTATCTGGAACCATGGCGGTATAGTGGCACCTCAACCTCAAATGATATGGCCCGTTGTAGGAGCTAAACATAAGGATTTGTGGAAACTATGAATAGCTCTTAATAAGATCAAAATTTAGGAAAGAATAAAAAAGCATCTAGAAGGACACTCTACAAACTTGTCTTCGGCTATTGCAAAATTAAAGAACAAATATTTAAAGTATCCCAGACACACCTGACCTTAATGCCAGGAACTGGAGTGCTTGAAGGAGCTGCAGACAAATTAGCAGCTAGTAACCCATTAAAATGGATAAAAACACTTGGAAGGTCTGTGATTTCAATGATGTTTGTGCTTTTAATCTGTGTTGTCTTTGTATAGTCTGCAGATGTGGATCCTGACTCTTAAGAGAAGTAGCTCACCATGCAAAGCTGCCTTTGCTTTTATCACTTTGCAAAACAAAGAAGGAGGACATGTTGGGAAGAGGCCCCCCAAATCTGGCCATAAACTGGCCCCCAAACTGGCCATAAACGAAATCTCTGCAGCACTGTGACATGCTCATGATGGCCATGACGCCCACACTGGAAGGTTGTGGATTTACCAGAATGAGGGCAAGGAACATCTGGCCTACCCAGGGTGGAAAACGCTTAAGGTGTTCTTAAACCCCAAACAATAGCATGAGTGATCTGTGTCTTAAGGACATGTTCCTGCTGCAAGTAAGGAGCCAGACCCATCCCTTTATTTCAGCCCATCCCTTTATTTCCTGTAGGAAATGCTTTTAGTTATTTCCCGTAGGAAATGCTTTTAGCTAATCTATAATCTATAGAAACAATACTTATCACTGGCTTGCTGTCAGTAAATATGTGGGTAAATCTCTGTTTGAGGATCTCAGCTCTGAAGGCTGTGAGACCCCTGATTTCCAACTCCACACGCTATATTTCTGTGTGTGTGTCTAATTCCTCTAGTGCCACTGGGTTAGGGTCTCCATGACTTAGCTGGTCTTGGCAAGGAATGTCACATACAATACGTGCACCATATTAACTTACTTTTTAGCATTTTAAATGCCAGCTTATTGTCTTCTGGCCTCTTTTTTTTTTTAAATGAGAAATCAGCCATCATTCTTATTGTTGTCTTTGGCTCCTTGTAAGATTTCTTCATCATCTTTGGTTTCAACAGTTTGACTACGACTATTATGTGTTTGGGTATGGTTTTCTTTATATTTATTCTGCTAGAGGTCTGCTGAGTTTTTGACTCTATGGGTTGATGTTTGCTATGAAATTTGGGAAAATTTCAGATATTATTAGGTCCAATGTCCCCAGCTCCCATTCTCTTGCTCCTTATGTTCCAGAAATCCAATTATATATATATTCTATATATGTTGTATATTATATTTATGTTTATCATATATAAAAATTATAGATATATGTACATTATATCCATATATAAATTATAAATATAATTATATAATATATAAATTATAGATATATGTACATTATATATCTATAATTTATAAATATCTAATTTATACATTAATATATATCTATAAAATATAGATATAGCTATAATTTGTATATATGATAGACTTCTAGATATTGTTTCACAGGTCACCAAGAGTTTTTGTACTTTCTTCAATTATTTTTGCCTCTGTGCTTCAGTTACAATTATCATTTCTATTGAACTATATTCAAATTTACTAATTTTTTTCAGTGTTAAAAATGCTGTTGACATCTAATAAAATTTTCACTTTAGATATGTTTTTTAGCTCTGCAATTTACACTTGGTTTTACTTCAGAGATTCTATTTCTGTGCTGACGTTTCCCCATGTGTTCAATCATTCTGTTAATCTTTTCCACGAAATACTTTAACATATTTGTAATTTCTATTTTAAAGTCCTTAACTGCCAATTCCAGCATCTGGGTCATTCATAGGTCTGCTTCTACTGATGCTTTTTCTCTTGATTATAGTTTACACTTTCCTTCTTCCTCCTACTGATCCTATGATAGTTTGGGCTCTGGCTTTGTTAGGATTTACTGTGCTTTTGCCCTTAGTCCTGGGAAATCCCTTAGTCCTCAACCATAGCTCTTCTGCAGTTTCAACACAAAATTTGAGGTATTTATCAATCCCTGTAACATAGCAACATTTACATTCAAAACTCAGCACCAGGCAGCTGCTGAAATCTCTGCTTAGTTCTTTAGTACCTGATGCTGCTTTCTGGAAGCACTGTCTGTCTGTACACAATTTGGAAAACTGCAAAGAGAACTTGGGGCTCCCTCTTCTGTGGCATGCTTCTTTCTGAGATTTTCTCCCTCAACTTAGAGCTGCTTTGGTAGTCTTGTACTTTGACCTCTGTTTCTTCATCCCAGTAAGAATGATACTTGGTATTCAAGCTCTTTTCTCCAATACTCCATGGCAAGCCAAGAGGTGCCCTAGAAAAGCTGGTTAAATGTAGAGCTCGTCTAGTTTGCTTCCCTTCTTTCAAGGTTTGCATTCCCTATAGTTTCTGCCTGCTTCCAGTTGCTCTCTAAACAATGTTTTTTCATATTTTGCCTAGGGCTTATAATTATTAGCAAAAAGGTCATCTACTATAGGCTGCTCTGCTGTTACTGGAATTAGAACTCTATTATGTCTCTTTAAAGTTTTTTTTTTTTTGTACTCTGTGTCCCTACTTTTTTTTAGGATTCCAATTTGATGTATATTTGGCCACTTGAAGTTGTTCCATAGTTCACCAATGATCTATTCATTTCTTTTTCTTTTTTGTTTTTTTGAGATAGGGTCTCGCTTTGGTGCCCAGGCTGGAGTCCCATGGAACAATCACAGCTCACTGCAGCCTTGACCTTCTGGGCTCAAGTGACCTTCTTGCCTCAGCTCCTCAGCTGGGACCACAGGCATGTGCCACCCGCTTGGCTAATTTTTTAAAAATTTCGGTAGAGACAGGGTCTCATCATGTTGTCCCAACTGGTCTAAAACTTTTGGGCTCAAGTGATCCTCCTGCCTTGGCCTCCCAAAGTGCTGGGATTACAGGCATGAGCCACTGTACCAAGCCCTGTTTCTGTTTAGTCTTCTTTCTGTGTTTGATTTGGGATAGTTTTTATTGCTATATTGTTAAGTTCACTAATCATTTCTTCTCCAATGCCCATCCTGCTATTAATTTTATCTAGTATATTCTTCATCTCAGACATTGTAGTTTTAATCTCTAGATGTTCTACTGGTTCTTTGTAACTTCCATATTTCCATTTGACGTATTCAATTGTTCTTCTAGCTTCTTGAACATATGGAATACAATTATAACTTTGAATGTCCTTATCTACTAATTTTATTATCTGGGTCATTTCTGTGTTAGTTTCAATGGGTTGTTTTCTTTTCCTCATTATCATGGCTTGTATTTTCCTGCTTCTTTGCATGCCTAGTAATTTTTGATCAAATACTAGACATTGTGGATTCTATCTTGTTGGGTATTGGATATTTTTATAATTCTTTAATACATTGCTAAACTCTGTTCTGCGATATGGTTAAAATACTTGCAAATAGTTTTATCTTTTTAGGTTTTTGCTTTTAAGCTTTGTTAGGTGAGATCAAAGCAGCAGTTAGTTTAAAGTTAATTTTTTTCCCCACTACTGAGGCTAAGAACTTACTTAGTACTCTCAATGCTACCTTGTGATTTATGAAGATTTCCAGGCTGGCTGGTGGGAGCAAGCATTATTTCTGGCTCTTTGTGAGTCTGGGACATTGTTCAATCTAATCCTTTTGGGTGGCACCTTTTTTTTTTTTTTTTTTTTTGGACCTGAAGTAGTTTCCTCACACAGTGGGTAAATAAGTGGGTAAGTACTCAACTGAATACTCAAAAGTTACCTTCTGCAGATCTATGGAGCCCTCTGTATGGCTCTCACCTAATACTCCACCCTGCAAACTCTAGCCACCTTGTCTTTCCTGGACTCTGAGCCCTGTCCCCTTGACCCGGAGAGACTAAGCTCTGCCTTCGTTCTCCCTCTCTGAGTCATGCCGTGAAAACTTTCTCCAGGGAGTAATTTGGTAGAAATCTTAGGGTTTATGTCATTTGTTTCTTATCTTTCAGGGGTCACTATCTTTCACTGCCTGGTGTCCAATGTCTTATGAACCATTATTTTATATATTTTGCCCCTTCCCTACCCCCCGCAAAAAACTCCAAATGCATCTTGTCCTGAAGTGAAAGTCTTCATATTACATTTATAAAATCCAAAAAATTCTGAATTCTGAAACATATCTGGCCAAAGTGACTTAGACAAGGGCTTGTGGACTTATACAAATATGCATTCCCACTAGTAGTGCATAAAAGTATCTGTCTCCTCACATCCTTATCAATGTAAATGCATATGTATTTTTAATGTGTCTCAGTTTAATTATGTATTTTTAAATATTTGCCAGCTTAATAAGTAAAAAAAATGGTATTGTATAGTTGATTTAGCTTGCATTTCTTTGATCACTGGTAAAATTGCATTTTTTTCACATTTTATTGGACAACAGAATTTCTTATGTCCTTATCTCATATTTCCATCAAAACCTTAGTTCTATAAAATACTAAAAACAATGTCTTGGTATTACTTTCATCCTTAGTTCTCTTTGTCTGTATGAAGATTTTTCTGCATCAAAGGGAAATGTACGAATTTACAGAACTTCAAAAGTCTGACTGCTATACAGCTCTGGAAAATAAGTGAGAACTGGGCTGGTAATACAGATCTGGCTATCCATTTTCTACAGCTGCAATCACCATTCAATGTTTCCTAAGAATAAAAACCAAACTCTTGACCGAACAAGACATTTGTCTCCTAATCTAAAGTAGGTTTCCCTCATGTTACTCTCCCTTATTCTTTCCCTTTATGTCAATTAAGTACCTATCACAATTTGAAACTATATATTTGATATAATGCTTGTTTACCTGTTTACCAGGGTCTTTAAGGCTAACCAGGCCCTGTCTACCTACCTCTTCAACCTCATTCCTGGCCATTTTCCCTTTTAGGCACTATGGTTCCAGCTGCTGATCTTTTTTCAGTTCCTTGAACAAGTCATTTGTCTCCTCAGATCCTTTGTGCTTGCTGTTCTCTCTTGCCTGAAATTTCTTGCCTAAAATGTTTTTCACATGGCTGGTACCGCCTTAGCCTTCAGGTCTTGGCTTAAATATTACCTCTGCATATAAAGATTCCCTAACCACCTAACGTACGTTTCCCTCATGTTATTCTCCCTTATACTATTCTATTCTTTCCCTTTATGCCAATTATGTACCTGTCACAATTTGAAGCTATATATTTGATATAATGCTTGTTTACCTAATTATTTATGTCTAGCTCCCTTACTAGATGGCAAGATACATGATAGTGGGAACTATGGTTATTTTTTTGTTCACCAATGTATCGTCATACCAAGAATAGTGTTTGGCTCAATGCAGGTATACATTAAATACTGGCTGAAGTAATGAATCCCTTAACATTAAATATTGGCTGAAGTAATGAATCACTTAGTACTACAGTATAATAACAAGATTATTGGAAAATGGGCAAAAGTCTCCTCAAAATGCTGCATTTATATTAGGATGATCAATCGTCTCTATGTACTTCTGAGACATATTAATCTTCATTTAATTTATAAGTTTAATGTTGAATATACTCTTTTGAAAAATGGCACTACTGCTGAACACTGAAATCTCATTTTTTAGTATTTGGTTTAATTATAGTAATATATATTTAATTATAGTAATATAGTATTGATATGACCTATTTATATCAGAGAGCTAATATTCTTTTTAAATGGACAAATGAAAACAGGCATTAATATCACTGTTCCTATTTCATTAAATGGCATGTAAACTGAATCTCCAAGTGTAGTGGGAATTCAAAATAAATAAGCAATGTGCAATGGTTAATAGAAAATTATGGCTAGTGAACATAAATATCATTTACTGAATAATTACTTGGAAGTTGTTCATACTTCCTCCTAGCATTATTTGTACATTTACCCCAAAAGACAAAACGTTTTCCTAGAGAACACTAAACACCAAGAAATAAAACCAATTCCAAGTAGTGGGGAAAAACTCAGTTGGTTTTGAACAATACCATATAAAACTCCCTGAGTGTCTAAGAATGCTCTTGGGTTTGAAGTTTTAAAAGGAATAACAACTTGAATATTCTGGTACATAACAATGTGTTAGCTTATTACCTACTCTCAAGAACGCCAAGCCCTGTTAACTGAAATCTAGCAAATCTTAGATATTTTTCTTTGAATTTATATCAAGTTACCTGTTGACTAACAAATATTATTTTTTAAACAATTAATAGCAAGCTAATTTCTTCTCATGCTAATCAATGCCAAAGAAGATTGTTATTTGCTACTATGAATTTAATATAGGAATAATCAAAGGTGAAATTTAAATTATTTGATTGTATTAATGTAAGTGAGTAATGTTCTTGAGAAAATATACTAGAATGTTGAGTACTTCAGCTGAAATTAGTTTCTCCTGTGGGTAATATGTAGAGAAATCAGAAAGAGAATCAGATAGAGTTACAAGGCCTATTCTATAGATCTGATTTTCAGTAAGCCTGTGGGAAGGAGGAAGAGGGGGAGATAAGGAAAGAAAGTAATTTGGGTCATTTCTCCTTTTTTTGAAGACTAAAAGTGCTTATTCCAGAGAAAGCAGGCTTTCTGGGGAATAACTCCCAACACATCTATGTAACCTTGTTGGCAGGCAACTATTACGTCTGAATTATTGGTTGTATATATTGACCAGTTATGAAAAAAGCAGTGAGACAGAAGTGGCAGGAAGAAAGACTTTATCTGCCATGACCATAGTTTTGAGGGTAACTATTGCATCCTGTAGAGTTGGAGCCAGAAACTGAAGAAGTAAAAGTTAATTATCTCAAGTCTTGGAAAGAGATGAAACAAAAGGACTGCATTTGACAGAAGGACTGCATTACAAAGGCAGTGAGGGGATTCCAATGCATTCACCATCTTCTAGGTGTAGACAGCAACAGGCGGAAGCTGCCTGGCTGTTTCAGCTTGATGTCTGAGTCACTGGGCCCTCCTGTGCTGCTCTCCATGCACTGTGTAGGAACTTAACCAGGGATGACGGATTTTTAAAGGAAATTAAGGGGGCAAAGTAAAACTTTCATATAACAAAATTTAATAGAAACGATCACAGTAGAATTAGTATTTTCATTTTAAATTTTATTATAACTGGAAATGTGAATGGTTCACACAATGGTGAGAAATCTTAATTAGGACTGCCAATATGGTATGGATGTATTTGAAAAATCAGCTTTACCAGGTTTCAATAAAGCCAGAATAAAAATAGAACAGGTTGGTGGTAGGATAATTCAGGGTGATGATGGTCTTACAAACTTGAGGTCAAATATTGGCCCTCACTCTCTGAGCTACAGATAGTTCCTACAGCTGTAAAATAAGGATTATATCACCCTCACAACTTGATGTAAAGACTAACTTAACATAAAAACATCTAACACATGTATTTGATAAATTTCATATCCTCTTCCTTCTTATATTACCTAACCCACTAGATCTTTTTACAATATCTTATGCAAGAAAATCAAAGGACACAGAGAGCTAGAGGAAAATTTAAGAAAAAACAAAATAGTTCTCATTCTGTCTTCCATACAATTACAATAAAGTGTCTAGATTTGATCTTACTGAAGTTTCCTGTTAATGAAAATGTTGGGTCATCTCTCCTGTCCTGCAGAATGGGATAGCCCCAGAAACAAACTTTTGCTGATGTGTAGATCCCATTTTAAAATGGTTTCCCCTGAGAACTGCAACAAGACAAGGATGCCCACTTTCATTTATTCAACATAGTACTGGAAGTCCTGGCCACAGCAATCAGACAAGAGAAAGAAATAAAGGACACCCAATCGGTAAAAAGGAAGTCAAACCATCACTGTTCGCCAATGACATGATTGTGTACCTTAAAAACCCTAAAGACCCATCCAATAAGCTCCTAGATCTGACAAAGGAATTCAATAAAGATTTAGGATAAAAAATTAACATACCCAAATCAGCAGCACTGCTATACACCAACTATGACCAAGCTGAGAATCAAGAACTCAATCCCTTTTACAATAGCTGCAAGAATAAATAAATAAATAAATAAATAAATAAAATAAATAAAATACTTAGGAATATACCCAACCAAGGAGTTGAAAGACCTCTACAAGGAAAACTACAAAACACTGCTGAAAGAAATCACAGATGACACAAACAAATGGAAATACATCCTTTGCTCATGGATGGGTAGAATCAATATTGTGAAAATGACCATACTGCCAAAAGCAATCTACAGATTCAATGCAATTCCCATCAAAATACCATCATCATTCTTCATGGAACTAGAAAAAACATCCTAAAATTCATATGGAACCAAAAGAGAGCCCACATAGCCAAAGCAATACTAAGCAAAAAGAACAAATCTGGAGGCATCACATTACCCAACTTCAAGCTATACTACAACGGTATGGTTACCAATACAACATGGTACTGGTATAAAAATAGGAATGTAGACCAATGGAACAGAGCAGAGAAACCAGGTATAAAGCCAAATACTTACAGCTAACTGATCTTTGACAAAGCATACAAAAACACAAAGTGGGGAAAGGACACCCTATTCAACAAATGGTGCTTGGGATAATTGGCAAGCCACATGTAGAAGAATGAAACTGGATCCTCAACTCTCACTGTATACAAAGTCAACTCAAGATGCATCAAAGACTTAAATCTAAGCCCTGAATCCATAAAAACCCTTGTATAGACATTGGCTTAGGCAAAGACCTCATGATCAAGAACCCAAAAGCAAATGCAAAAATAAATAAATAAATAAATAAAAAACAAAACAAAAAAAACCAAATAAATAAATGGAACCTAATTAAACTAAAAAGGTTCTGCACAGCAAAAGAAATAATCAGCAGAGTAAACAGACAGCCCATAGAGTGGGAGAAAATATTCACAAATTATGGATCTAACAAAGGACTAACAACCAGAATCTACAAGGAACTCAAACAAATCAGCAAGAAAAAAACAACCCCATCAAAAAGTGGGCAAAGGATGCAAATAGACAATTCTCAAAAGAAGACATACAAACGGCCAAATGTATGAAAAAATGCTCAACATCACTAAACTATCAGAGAAATGCAAATTGAAACCGCAATAAGACACCACTTTACTCCTGCAAGAATGGCCCTAATTAAAAAATAAAAAAGAGCTCTCCCTCTCCCTCTCCCCGCGGTCTCCCTCTCCCCACGGTCTCCCTCTCCCTCTCTTTCCACGGTCTCCCTCTGAGGCCGAGCCGAGGCTGGACTGTGCTGCTGCCATCTCGGCTCGCTGCAGCCTCCCTGCCTGGTTCTCCTGCCTCAGCCTGCCGAGTGCCTGCGATTGCGGGCGCGCGCCGCCACGCCTGACTGGTTTTCGTATTTTTTTGGTGGAGACGGGGTTTTGCTGTGTTGGCCGGGCTGGTCTCCAGCTCCTAACCACGAGTGATCCGCCAGCCTCGGCCTCCCGGGGTGCCGGGATTGCAGACGGAGTCTCGTTCACTCACTGCTCAATGGTGCCCAGGCTGGAGTGCAGTGGCGTGGTCTCGGCTCGCTGCAGCCTCCACCTCCCGGCCGCCTGCCTTGGCCTCCCGGGGTGCCGAGATTGCAGCCTCTGCCTGGCCGCCACCCCATCTGGGAGGTGGGGAGCATCTCTGCCTGGCTGCCCAGTCTGGAAAGTGAGGAGCGTCTCTGCCCGGCCGCCATCCCATCTAGGAAGTGAGGAGCGTCTCTGCCCGGCCGCCCATCGTCTGAGATGTGGGGAGCGCCTCTGCCCCGCCACCCCGTCTGGGAGGTGAGGAGCGCCTCTGCCTGGCCGCGACCCCATCTGGGAGGTGAGGAGCGTCTCTGCCCGGCCGCCCCGTCTGAGAAGTGAGGAGACCCTCCGCCCGGCAGCCGCCCCGTCTGAGAAGTGAGGAGCCCCTCCGCCTGGCAGCCGCCCCGTCTGAGAAGTGAGGAGCCCCTCCGCCCAGCAGCCACCCCGTCTGGGAAGTGAGGAGCCACTCTGCCCGGCCACCACACCGTCTGGGAGGTGTACCCAACAGCTCATTGAGAACGGGCCATGATGACAATGGCGGTTTTGTGGAATAGAAAAGGGGGAAAGGTGGGGAAAAGATTGAGAAATCGGATGGTTGCTGTGTCTGTGTAGAAAGAAGTAGACATGGGAGACTTTTCATTTTGTTCTGTACTAAGAAAAATTCTTCTGCCTTGGGATCCTGTTGATCTATGACCTTACCCCCAACCCTGTGCTCTCTGAAACATGTGCTGTGTCCACTCAGGGTTAAATGGATTAAGGGCGGTGCAAGATGTGCTTTGTTAAACAGATGCTTGAAGGCAGCATGCTCGTTAAGAGTCATCACCAATCCCTAATCTCAAGTACCCAGGGACACAAACACTGCGGAAGGCCGCAGGGTCCTCTGCCTAGGAAAACCAGAGACCTTTGTTCACTTGTTTATCTGCTGACCTTCCCTCCACTATTGTCCTATGACCCTGCCAAATCCCCCTCTGCGAGAAACACCCAAGAATGATCAATTAAAAAAAAAAAAAAATGAGAAAAAATAAAAATAAAAATAAAAATAAAAATAAAAAAATATTAGATGTTGGCATGGATGTGGCAGAAAGGCAACACTTTTACACTGCTAGTGGGAATGTAAACTAGTACAACTATTATGGAAAACAGTATGGAGGTTCCTTAAAGAACTAAAAGTAGAACTACCATTGGATGCAGCAATTCCATTACTTGGTATCTACCCAAAGGAAAATAAGTCATTATATGAAAAAGACACTTGTACATGCATGTTTATAGCAGCACAATTTGCAACTGCAAGATGTGGAACCAACCTAAATGTCCACCAACCAAGGAGTGCATAAAGAAATGTGGTATACATACACCATGGAATACTACTCAGCCATAAAAAGAAACAAAATAATGGCATTTGCACAATCTGGATGGAGATGGAGACCATTATTCTAAGTGAAGTAACTCAGGAATGGAAAACCAAGCATCTTATGTTCTCATTTATCAGTGGGAGCTTAACTATGGAATGCAAAAGCATAAGAATGAAATAATGGACTTTGGGGACTCAGGGAGGGGGGAAGGACTGGAGCAAAGTAAGGGATAAAAGAGTACACACTGGGCATAGGGTACACTGCTTGGGTGATGGGTGCACCAAAATCTCAGAAATCACCACTAAATAACTTTTCCAAGTAATCAAAAACCACCTGTTCCTCAAAAACTATGGAAATAAAAAATTTAAAAATAAAATTAAATGGTTTCCGAACCTTTCTTGATGCTCGAGAAGGTAGGAAGAAATTCAGTGAACAGATTACCTTTCTTCACTGCAAGAGGTGTGGGGAACATAGGAAGAGGGCAACCAATGTAGTGTAAATGGCTTTCAAAATTTTACACCAATTCATGAAAAATTTCTCAAGAAAACTTGGAATAAAAAGGAATTCCCTAAACATGATATAAAGGTTACAGACTAAAAGCCTACAGTTAACATTACACTTACCAATGAAAAAATATAATGCCATAAGTATTGGCACACATGAGTACTTAACTTGGTCCTTGCTTGCCTAATGAACCTCACCTCATTTCACTCTCTTTCTGACCCTCTTAATTTCATTCTACTTACCTTCTAGTTCTGGGTTTGTTGCACTTAAACTCGTCTAGCTTACTCCTTTTCTTTTCCCTTCAAGGGAAGCTAACAGGGCACTTCTAGCAGGCCTTCCATGATCCCTCATGTCTATTTTATATCTACTCATTATCTGTACTTACAGCATAGTTCATCTGTAAGTACTTGTGGTATAATAAAAATACATATATTTGGCCTTTGTCTTAGGTTCCTGGCACACAGCTCCTAAAACCCTTGGAATCTCCTGAGTGATGAGAGTGTCTTTTGCATGAGAATAAGATGACTGCTGGCTGGAGACCCCTGGATAGCTTCAGCATGAGGGCTAGGTGCCAGAAAGACCAAGCCATGGTTAGAGGTTTGGAACTTTCAGCCCCATCTCCCAACCTGTGCAGAGGGGAGAGGGGCTGGAGATTGAGCTCAATCATAAATGACCAATAATTTTCAGGCATGACTACATAACGAAACCTCCAAAAAAAACCTGTAAATGGTGGGGTTGAGGAGCTTATGGGTTGGTGTAGACATTGATGTGCTAGGAAGGTGGTAGGCCCAGAAAGGGCATGGAATCTCTACCACTCCTCATCCCCCTCCCCAACCTTGCCCTATGCACCTCTTCCATTTGGCTCTTCCTCAGTCGCATCCTTTATAATAAATTGGTAAATGTAAATAAAGTGTTTCCTGAGTTCTGTGAATCATCCTAGTGAATTATGGAACCTCAGAGGGGGTCATGGGGACCACTGAATTTGCAGCCAAGTCAGACAAAAGTAGGTAGCCTGAGTACTTTGTTTGTGACTGGCATCTAAAGTGAGGACTGTTCGTGTGGGACTGAACCCTTAAACCATGGAGTCTCTAACTCTAGCTAGTATCAGAACTGAACTGAATTGGAGTCAGAAAAAACTTGAGAGTACTCTGTTAAAAATCCTTTTATAAGTTTGTTGACTGTATACTCTGAAAGACAAGACCATGTTTGCCTTGTCTACCATTGTATCCCCAGGCACCTGGCACAGTGCCTATCACACTGTTCAATACAAACTTGGGGAAGGTATAATTGGAAAGGCTACCACTGGAGAGTAGAAGTTCTACATTGTTATCTGGAGAGAAGTTAGTCAGGAGGTTTTCCCAGGCTCTGCTTCTAATACAATGCTGATGGCTGATGAAACAAAAAGAGAGGCCGGGTGCGGTGGCTCACGCCTGTAATCCCAGCACTTTGGGAGGCCGAGGCGGGCAGATCACGAGGTCAGGAGATCGAGACCATCCTGGCTAACACGACGAAACCTCAACTCTACTAAAAATACAAAAAATTAGCAGGGCATGGTGGCATGCACCTATAGTCCCAGCTACTCGGGAGGCTGAGGCAGAATGGCGTGAACCCAGGAGACGGAGCTTGCAGTGAGCTGAGATCGCACCACTGCACTCCAGCCTGGGCAACAGAGCGAGACTGCATCTCAAAAAAAAAAAAAAGAAACGAAAAGAGAAAAGTAACAAGCCCAACTTTTCACTATGTGATGTGAATGTGAAGGCCAACTATAGGATAGGGTAGCACAGAGGAAGGAACAGGAAGCCAAAAATATGATACTACCTCAAAGAGGAAGTATAGCCGAGTAGAGCACAATGATCAAGTCCCAGTCCCAGTAACTTCTCCACATTGAACCCCTCATGTTGTCAAGCTCTGCTCTCCTGAAAACTATCAAGCGGTAGAGTTCAAACTCTGCTCCACTGTCTGCTTTAAAAAAAGGCTGTAAAATACATAAAATTATCATCTAGTCCAGTAGTCAGACTCCAAAGGCAGTGAAAGAGCATATGTGTATGCACCTTGTCCATCATCAGCCCTACTTAAAAGTCATAATTCTGCACTCTTATCATATAGGTACTCATTGGTACCTGCAAGTACTCAGCTGTACTTGCTAAGCTGTTACTCTATCAAAAGGTCTTAAAAGCAGGCTCATGTGTGTACACCTCATCTGTCCAACTGGATCTTAAGCCGTTTAAAGGCAGAAAATGTCATCTGTTGCTCTCAAATTCATGTTTTTCCATACTGAGTAGAGAGGAGAGGCTCTTCGAACACTAAATAGGACTGAAAAGAACATTTCATGTACCCAATACCCACCAGGTAAATTTGTTGAGACCTATGGAACCGAAGGAAATGAGACCAGGCCCAAATGACATTGGTAAGAAAAGACCATTTCCATTTTGCCACGAAAACAAGTCTTACCTGTGATGGGGTTATCCTTCCCTTTTTAATTTCAGATGAATTTTCACTGAGTTTTCCTACTTTGTTACTTGAACTGCATTTGTAGCATGTCCATCTTGTTTGGCCCTCAAATTCCACAGTGCATTCTTTGTTTTGTAGGCAGAATGAGTGATACAAATGGCCACAGCTGCAAAACGAAGGCAACCAATTTGTACTTTTTATTATCACAAAATCCATAAATATAAGCTTGTAAGTGTACTTAGAAGCAATAAAAATCTCTAACAAGTAGAAATGCACTGATGGCTGTACAGGGTAAGAAACAAGAAAGGGAATGTACTTGCTGCTGTCCTCTCTTTTTAAAAATCCACATTCATACATATATTTGTATACTTATGTTGTGAGTACGAACAAATCACAGTTCTCTGACTAAAAACTACCTAGAGGATGAGTTGAACTTCTGTTCATTTCTCAAACTATGAAATCCGGATAGTATTTTTAGATAATCTGAAAAAAAGGCAACTGGGGGCTGGGCGTGGTGGCTCACGCCTGTAATCCCAGCACTTTGGGAGGCCGAGGTGGGCAGATCAGCTGAGGTTAGGAGTTTGAGATCAGCCTGGCCAACATCGTGAAACCCCGTCTCTACTAAAAATACAAAAAATTAGCTGGACGTGGTGGCAGGTACCTGTAATCCCAGCTACTTGGGAGGCTGAGGCAGAAGAATTGCTTCAACCCGGGAGGCGGAGGTTGCAGTGAGCCAAGATCGTGCCACTGCACTCCAGCCTGGGCAACAAGAGCAAAACTCTGTCTCAAAAAAAAAAACCAAAAACCAAAAAATTAGCCAGGTGTGGTGGCACACACCTGTAGTCCCAGATACTCAGGAGGCTGAGGCATGAGAATCGCTTGAACCTGGGAGGCAGAGGTTACAGTGAGCTGAGATTGCTCCACTGCACTCCAGCCTAGGAGACAGAATGAGACTCCATCTCAAAAAGAAAAAAAAAAGCAACTGGAAAAAATCATAATTATTTAAGTAGCTTGATAACAACATGAGTGGTCTGCTCACCAAATTCAAGGCAAGGGTTGTGATTTGATTAAACATTTACAAAAATGTCATTGCTGTAGTAAATCCTTACGCTATTCTTATAAAGAAATTCCCTATTGATTACACTAAATTACCAAATCAGCCTCCCAGAAGTTGAGTACTGAGAATAATTCTCAGCCATCTACACTGATTTATCTTCATTTCTCTAATCTAAAATGTCGGACATTCCAGAAATCAAACCTTTTCTTTTCTATAGTCTTTATACTCTTTTTCTTTTTTCTTCCCTTCTCTCTCTCTCTCTCGCTATATATATATATATATATATATATATATATATATATATATATATATATATATATATATAAACTTCCTCTTCTATACTCTGTTGTTGTAGCTACCTTTGCTCCTTTAGAGATTACTTCCAGGTTCCATAGCTTTAAAATACCACTACCTTCTAAATATATCCAGAATCCTACCACTTCTTACTTCATGACTATTACCTAGACCATCTCTCACATGGGCTACTACAACAGCCTAAGTGGTCCATCTGCTTTCCCCCTTGATCTCTCTAGTCCTTTCTTAACACAGCAGTCAGAGTAATCCTTAAGACATAGGTCAGATCATGTCACCGCCCCAGTCCTCAAAACCATCCAGTGGCTTCGCATCTCAGAGTAAAAGTCTCACTTTCATTATAAAAATGAGTTAGACTTGGGCCAGCTCCTACATGATTTGGCCTCTGCTCCTCTGAAGTCTCTTTCACTGTCCCCTTCCTTGGCTGCTCAGGTGCCACTAGCCTCCTCACTCACTACTCCTCAAGAATGCCAAGGCTCTCCCGCCTCATGGTCTCTGCACTTGGCTCCTCTGCCTGGTGTACTCTCTTCTGACGTTGCATGGCCACTTCCTTTAGATCCCCTCAAACGTCACTTAAACAAGAAGGCTTTCCTGGACTACTCTATAAATTAGTAGCTCCCAACATTCCTTTTCCTCTATAGCATAGCTTGTTTTTTATTCATGTAACTATTATTTTTCTATTAATTAATTTTTAAGTTGTCTGTTCATAAGTCACCTTAACAGTGAGCCTTTCCCTGACCAACCTATATAAAATATCTGCACCCCCCACCAAACACTCTGTATCTCCTTTAACATTTTTTCCCCCATGGTAGTTATCAGTATCTGGCATTTCACTTGTTGGCTTATGGTCTATCCCTGCCACTACAATGTAAACTCCATGAGGGCAAATCCTTTGTTTTGTTCATCCTGTATCCTATCCCCTTGAATAGCAGCTTGCATACAGCAGGTGCTCAATAAATATTTCTTGCCTGAATGGGCTCTTTGTGTGAAGAGAACTACTTCCCCTTCCAACCATCAAGTCTACCAATCTTCCTGCAGATGTAACACTCAGATAGTGCTTACTCATGCCAGGCACTGTTACAAGTGCCTTATATAAATCATCTCATTCAATCCTCACAAAACCCTACTATCCTATTTACAGATGAGGAAACTAAGATATAAAGAGGTTAAATAACTTGTCCAAGGTCTCACAGCTGGCATGTAGTAGAGTCAAGACTTGAAGTCAGGAAGTTTGGATCCACGGCCATATCATGTTACCTCTATCCATACATTCTAGATGAGCTGTCTTTGCTCCTGAGACCAACACCTTCACTCTGCACTAGGGTTCCTCTCTCTTTGCAATGTAGCTTAAATATCATATGCTGACAACTTCTAAATTAAAATTTTCCAGTCTCAACACATCTCCAGATTTCTGACTTGAATAACTGTCTAGCTGGCATCCCTACCTGATGTCTAACAGTACATTTCAAACCTAACACGTGCAAGACAAAACTCTTGATTTCCCCAGTTCCTTGTACCTGTTCTTCCTCATCTTAGACAACGGTACCATGTTTACCCAATTGCTCAGACCAAAGATTCATTTTTCTCTTATACTCCACATCTAATACACCAGCAAGTTATCCCTACCTTTAAAGGATACTCAGAATCCAAACACCTCTCAGCACCTTTGCTCCTCCCTCTCTCGTTCTGCTCAAAGGTCATGTCCTCAGATATGCTTTCCCTCATTCAACAGCACTTGTCCTGAACTCATCATCCTTCTATCTATTTGTCCTGTGTTTTATTTTTCTCCATAGCTCTTATTCCTCTGTATTTATGTCTTTCCTGGGCACCCTAACCTCCACCCCAATGCAGAATGTAAGGTCTGTGAGGGCAGGAACTTGCCTATCACGTTCACTGCTAGAATGACTACCCGTGTATCCATGTGGATTCTTGCCTGGTAATGCCACAGATGTACATGTACCATACATGTAACATTTCCTTCCCTTTCTTACCTAAAGACAATTATTTCATCAGCCATTTCTTGGCGTCTCTTGTACTGCTGCAAACATATAGAGCAGTAATCTTGTTTGGGATTCAGTCCTCTGGTGACCGAAGCTCTCAGGTTACACAATGACCAATGGAGATCTTGGTTTAGAAGGCTGGTTGTTGTTTCCAGCAGGGTCTATGAAACACCAAAACAAAAAACAAACAAACAAAAGGTTATAAGATGAAAGAGATAGAGGAGATGAATGGTGAATAGCACTTGTTTAGTTTTCAACTACCAACAGCTAAAATTGAAACACACTATAAAGGGATAACATTGTTGAAACAAAAAAACATCAAAACCTCCCAAATTCAAGCAGTTAACCTCAATGTGCAGAGTAATGGTGAGTGTATACATTACAAAGATTCTCAAATCTGTCATTAGTTTCTATTGAGAAATGTGAGCTCTGCCATTCTGCAGCTTCATTCAGTATTGATGGCTTTCAAATGACTAGATAAGCCCAAATATATTTATTACATTTATATAATAACTGCTCTCTGAATGGCTCAGAGTGTTGTAATAAAGAATACAGCTAAGTCTGAATCCCAGATTTTTTACTGAAACTGCATTCGTGGTAATGTTTCAAATATCTTTTCACTAGTAAAGCTAATGGCCATTACTCTATTTTCATCTTCCTTGGGCAGAGAGATCACATTTTCCTGATCAGCACTTAGAAGTCATTTGCATCTACTCAAGACCATGACATCTATCATTAAGTCACATAAAGACATTTTAACAGCTATCACATTAAGTCATTTTAAGGCTCTATGTATTTATATAGTATTGTTTTTGTACTGTATCTCATTCTTAACATTCATATATATCATCTGGCTATGTATTTGGGTTCTTTTCTCTCAGTCCCGAAGGGGAAGATAGAGCTAGGTACTGCCTGCCCTCCTTGTTATACAGCTTAACTCTTTAACTTTGCCTGTAATGCAATACTTTTGGTTCTAATGGTCTATTCTACTTCTTTCCAATCAGTATTATCTTTTTCTCCTCTTCCATAGTTCCAAAATTGGCAAACATTTTCTGCCTTGCACACAACTATACCTCTGCTAACCTGGAATCTGTGACTGCAGGGGTTATCAAGCTTCACTGGGCTACGCTTAACCAAACTGCAATTCTTACAACATTCTAAGAAAAGCTGTCACCCAGATTTTCCTTTTCTTCTCTCGGATTCTTAAAAAAAAGCAGACATTGTCTCCAACAGACCTAAATGGTACTTTTCCTAGGTGGCTTCATGGGTTACTCTGCAGTACGCTAAGAAAAAAGCCCGTACACCAAGCTGGCTCTTACTGAGACTTACAGCTAAAGACAATTTTGAGTTAAGGGAAGACTAATGACCATTTATGGTGATACGGTTTGGCTGTGTCCCCACCCAAATCTCATCTTGAATTACCACGTGTGGTGGGAGGGACCCAGTGGGAGGTAACTGAATCATGGGGGCAGGTCTTTCCTGTGTTGTTCTCGTGATAGTGAATAAGTTTCACAAGAGCAGACGGTATTATAAGGGGGAGTTTCCCTGCACAAGCTCTCTTCTCTTATCTGCTGCCATGTGAGACATGCCTTTCACCTTCCGCCATGATTGTGAGGGCTCCCCAGCCACCTGGAACTGTAAGTCCAATAAACCTCTTTCTTTTGTAAACTGCCCAGTCTTGGGTATGTCTTTATCAGCAGCATAAAAACAAACTAATACAATGGTTAGTGACAACTATCTGTTTCAGAATGTTTAAAATAATACTCATTTAATTTTATTTTACAATTTTCTATATTCATGTTGATCCTTCCTTTTCATGTGGTATATAGCTTTGTATTAAATTATTTTTCCAGAAAGTTTCTCACACTTTCATTTTGAAAAAAGATATTTGTTTCATTGCCAATGAATTAAAATAAACTAAATTTGAATTAGATGCATTTCTACATTCTGAAATGTGTGTGTGTGTACACAAATTAAGGTCAAGAGAATTTTTTTTTTTTTTTTCAGAGAAGGGTCTTGCTCTGTCACCTGGAGAGTGCAGTGGCACAATCATAGCTCACTGCAGCCTCCAACTCCTGGGCTCAATTGATCGTCCTGAGGAGTTACAATTATAGGCACATGCCACCATGCCCAGCTAATTTTTTTTTATTTTTTGTAGAGACAGAGTCTTGCTATGTTGCCTGGACTGGTCTCAAACTCCTGGCCTCTGGCAATCCTCCTGTCTCAGTCTTCCAAAGTGCTGGCGTTACAGGTATGAGTTACCATGCCTGGCGAGAGAAAAACTAAAAGAAATACACACACATACACCTCAGTCTACCTAACTGCCAGTAAATAGATGGTAATTTTTTTTTAAGTATAGGTACAAAATTAAAAAAAATAGCATTTTTCTACCTTAGGACAGACTTAGATGTAACAAGTAGCTTACTTACTTGTTCATAGTTAAAGGTATCTAACATTCCCAAGATAAGTCCCTGGATTTCTCCAAGTTTTCCTTTTCCATAAACTGGATCCTAATCGGAAAAAATTACAATTCTGTTACAATTCTGTATTTTAAAATTACTTTAAAATGTAAGTTATCTGAAAAAGCCAAATGCTTTTAAGTATTTTTCTACAGTCACAAAATATTTATTCTTCCATGAACTTTCCACCGGAAATGTACCATAGTCTTCCTCTGACCATCTCAAATATTTTTGAAAAACAAAATTTAAATTATCCAAGCCCCTTTCTTAACAATCCTTACAAATCTAATTAAACTTTACTTTTATTTTGTTTCTGCAAGAAGCTTCCTCTCCTTCATATAAAACAGCAACTCTCCCTCTTTGAGCTCGTATATATGTTACATTAAAACCAGTGTACTCAGGAATACCCAGAATCTGTCCAACAACTCCTCCTGTGATCCCATTTAGCCACTTCCTGCCCCTAACCAACTCAATTGCATCAGTTTTGGAGACAAACAGGTTCTGAGAAAACAGCTCTCAGTTTTTTGAAGTTTTTTTCAATAAGGTCACTACTGATAAACAAAAGATACCTAGATACCCAATGTTCTCTCCACTGCATTTCATATGAGGTATGCCAAGTAACTTGTTTATTATGTGCATTTTGGAAACACTGAAGTGTACAAAAAAAAAACCCAAAAAACAAAAAACAAAACAAAAAACAAAAAACCACACCAAAAACTGAAATCCAACTAGAGGTAAACACTGTTGATATTTTGATGTATATTTCTCTAGTCTTGTTTCTGGGAGAGGTGAGAAGAGGAAGAGAAAGAGGGATGTATTTTTTAGTGTATAAAATTTGAGTATTTTACAAAATATTTTTATATCTTTTTTTAATTCAATGGTATATTGTGAGCACTTTTCCATACCAGCAAATATTTCTTTTTTTTTCTCTACTCTTGTGACACATTACAAGTATTTCTTAATAGGTACAGAATATAAATCATGTGAAAATATCATGTTTTATTCATTTTCTGCTTTGAACACTTCACTTTTCCCCTTTCCCAAACTCCAGCCACCATTATCAAATGCTAGTGGCTGCAAATCTCAATTGGAATCTCTGATTCTTTCTTTAGAGATTTCTAGACAGAAAACTATAGACTCAAAGGGCATTTTCATGGCTATCAATATATACTGCCAAATTGCTCTACCTATTTTAGGATTTTTATCCCCATCAGCATATGTATGTGCTCACTTCACTGACCTTTGGCTAGACTAATAATTATAATTTTAAAACTGTGAATAAATGAGTCAAGTCTATTACTTTTCTCTAATATCAAGTTATATATGACATAAATGACTCTTTTCCATGCCAAATAGGAGAATCCAACTACACAGTTATGATAAAAGTAGCTGCTACTTTAAGTGAGTAGCATATGCCAAGTACAGTACTAAGCAGTTTATGTTTAACATATTACTAAGTTCCTTCAACAGGTTTTATGAGTAAAGAAACTGAGGCTTAGAGAGGTTACAAAAACTTCTCTAAGTCACAAAACTATCAAGCAGATAAGATGGGATTTGAATCTAGGTACTTCAGAAATCACGCTTTTAATAAACACACTATACTGGTCTCCCAAGTCTGGATACAAAAACTAATAAATTAAGTAATAAATTACTTTTTGCTTGAAAATATGGGTTTCTAACATAGGTAAGTAAATGATAAACTAATGATTGCTGGAAAACACGAGAAACATGTCTGGCTATTTCTTAGGGAGTAAGGGTTATTAAACTCTTGGTACTGTTAAGAGTTACTGTGAGTTCAGAAGGAAAAAAGGCTATGGAAGCAGGAAAAACCTGTATAAGAATTGTCTCAGGATTTGCTTTTCTCTTCTGGGTTCTAGTGATGGCTCTTGCAGAATAGGTTGTGCAGTTTCTAACTAAGATTGGTTTTCAGTGCTTTGAGTCTGTCTAGAGCAGCATGAGACTGTCTGCCAGAGGTTTCTCTGGACTCTTCAACTGCTAGGGTTATGCTGAAGAAATCCAAGGCACAAAATAACTATGTATTTGTGTAGTAATTATCAAATTAACAAGTTTGGGCTTGAACACATCACTTAAGCTTAACAGGAAAAATTTCTACTTCACAGCTAGAGATCATATCACTAAGCTAAAGATATCTGTCAAATATGTGGAAATCATTTCCAAAAGGCAAGATACAGATATTTCAGACTAGTCCTTCAGAGAAAAACAACTCAAAGCCATATACCCACTGCACATTTTTTTCTTTTTATTTTCTTTGCATAAAAATAGACCCTTGTTAATGCTTAATTATACTTTTGGTCAAGTTCTTAATAAGTATACGTTTGTCAAATATCAACAGATGGTACAATATCTTATTAGAAAAATCTATTATAATATTTACTATAATATGTGGATCCAATAAGACAACAGAGCTCTGGCATGTGTTTTCGACAAGGGTGGTTTGGAGAACAAAGAGGTCTTAAAAGGTTAAATTCTGGGAAAAGGAAATCTCTATAGGTCATTTCTATATTTGTATCAGTACATCTCACTGTAATATACATAATTTAAAAGCAAAATCAAGAAAATGACCTCATGCTGGGACAACATATAAATTATAGAATGCAAAAGGGAGCTCAAAGCTTCTAGCACAGCATGCTCCAACCCACTAGCTCTTCAAATTATTTTCCAAAGATGTCAGCTAGATTCTTCAGCAATGAATAAATGCTGAGGTTTCTCTTAAGTTGTTTGTTTGCAAACTATGAAGGAAGAGCATACTTGGGTACCCAGGTAAATTTGTTTTTCAAGACACACACTAGAAAAGATGTGATGACCATGTTTTTTTCCTATTGCTTTCTGGTACCTATTGTATCATGTATGTGGGTGTTTAAAATAAAAATCTTTATTAATTGAGCACTGCTTTAAAATATGAATGATGCCCTGAACAGGAGAGTCTATAAATAATTTGTTTGCCTTTCCTCAGTGAGAAAGTAATAAACGGCTTCTCAGAAGCTAAAAGTTACTTCAGCCATACAGCAAAGATAGAATGTATATAACAAAAATATGGTCCTTTAAAATGTTCTTTTATCACCTAATATTCATGGAAAAAAAAAAAAACGGTGTAATTTGGGTCCCAGGCATCAGTCTGAATAAACACGTGAAGATCAAGAAGATCTGTGAGAACCTCTTATCATGTGACCACTTCTTTTGGAAAAACTAATTTTTTCATTTGCATCTGAGCAATTGTGCATCTAAGTAACTGCTGCTCCCTACTTTTTTCAGTGGGGATCTGATACAGTGAGGTGGGTATGAGAAACGCCTTGATTAGTGTTAGATACAGAAGAAAAGCCCTAAAACTTGAAGTTAGCAGACCTGGATTAATTCTAGTGGTTCCCATTTCAAAACTGAATAAACTAAGACAAATTATTTGATCTTTCTGAGTGGCACTTTTCTCATGAGATACATGAGGTATTGCTACATCCCCAGCTCAATCTGCACAGTTAGAGATCAGAGAAGATAATGAACACTAAAGTGATTTGTAAACTGGTGAGAACTATAGAAGGACATTAGGTGAGGGAGTCAACTAATATTTAATGGGCATATACTATGTTTCAGGCACTGCACTGGGTGTTGTAGGTAACATAGTGAACAAGGGAGACACGATCTCTGCTTTTACAAAACTCACAGCCTCGGGGGTAAGCTAATATGAAGGCAGGGCTCAAAAAGAGTTTATATTTACAGGTGTGATTGGGGCTGCAGTGAGGGTGGAAAGGCAAGGGAGAAAAAACTTAACTCCTAAAATATTCTAGGAGACAGAGTAGAGAGGATTTAACGTGGATTAAATACAGGGACTGCTGAGGAAAATAATGAGGAATTCTACCACACAGTTAAGGAAGAAACTATACAAACTGTCTACAATCTATTCCAGAAAACAGAAGCAGAGGGAACACTTTTCTTTTTTCTTTTTTTTTGTAGACAGTCTTGCTCTGTCGCCCAGGCTGGAGTGCAGTGGCGTGGTCTCGGCTCGCTGCAAGCTCTGCCTCCCAGGTTCACACCATTCTCCTGCCTCAGCCTCCCGAGTAGCTGGGACTACAGGTGCCTGCCACCATGCCTGGCTAATTTTTTTGTATTTTTAGTAGAGACAGGTTTTCACCGTGTTAGCCAGGATGGTCTCGATCTCCTGACCTCGTGATCTGCCCGCCTCGGCCTCCCAAAGTGCTGGGATTATAGGTGTGAGCCACCACATCCCGGCTGAGGGAACACTTCTTAACTCATTCTCTGAGGCCAGCATCACCCTAATACCAAAACCAGACACAGATATTACAAGAAAGGAAACTATATGAACAGAGATGCAAAAATCCTCAACAAAATATTAGCAAATTGAATCCACTAATGTATAAAAAGAATTATACATAACAACCAAGTGGGATTTATCCCAGGTATGCAAGGCTGGTTCAACATTTAAAAATCAATTAATGGGCTGGGTGTGGTGGTTCATGCCTGTAATCCCAGCACTTAGGGAGGCAGAGGCGGGAGGATGGCTTGAGCCCAGGGTGAGACCTGCTTGGGCAACACGGTGAGACCCCATTCTCCACAAAAAAGGAAAAAAAAAAGACAAGAAAAATCAATTACTGTAATCCACCACATCAACAGGCTAAATAAGAAAAATCATATGATCATATTAGCAGATGCAGAAAATGCACTTGATAAAATCCAACGCCCACTCATGATAGACAAACTGTGAGCAAACAAGGAAGGAAGGGACACTTCCTAAACTTGATAAACAGTATCTATAAGAACCTTGCAGCTAACATCATACTTAATGGTGAGAAACTGCCTTTCTTCTAAGACAGAAAATAAGGCAAAGATAACCCCTCTCACCACTCCTATTCAACACTGTACTGGAAGTTCTAGTTACAGCAATAAGACAAGAAAAGGAAACAAAAGATATACAGATTGGGAAGGAAGAAATAAAACTGTCTTTGTTTGCAGATGACATGATTGTCTAAAAAACCCTGAAACAATTAAGTGATTATAGCAAAGTTACAGGATACAAGGTTATTATACAAAGTCAATTGGTTTCCAATATGCCAGCAACCAACAGTTAGAATTTAAAATTAAAAAGATACTATTCACATTAGTACCTAAGAGAAATATTTAGATATGTCTAATAAAATATACACAGTTTGTATGAAGAAAACTGTAACACTCTAATGAGGGAAAGCAAAGAAGATCTAAATACATGGAGAAATATTTCATGTTCATGAACAGAAAGATTTGATATTGTTATAATGTTAGTTCTTCATTTGATCTATAAGTTCAATGTATTCCTAATCAAAATTCCAGCAAGTTACTTTGTAGATATCAACAAACCGTTTCTGAAGTTTAAAGCAGAGAGGCAAAAGACAAGGAATGGCCAACACAATAATGAAGAAGAGCAAAGTTGGATGATTGTCACTCCCTGACTTTAAGACCTACTATAAAACTAATCAAGACAGTGTTGGTATTGGTGAAGGAATAGAAAATAGATCATTGTAAAAGAACAGAAAACCCAGAAATAGACCCATATGAATATGGTAAACTAAGCAAAGGCAATTCAATGGAGAAAGGGACAGTCCTTTCAACAAGCAGTGTTGGAACTAGTTCCAACTGTGTATATTCACATGCAGAAAAATGAATCAACACTGACCATATATTTTCCCCCAAAATTAACACAAAATGGATCATAGCTCTAAGTGTAAAATGCAAAAATACAAAACTTTTAGGAAAAAACAAATGAGAAAAATCTGGGTAACCTTGAGTTTGGTGATGAGTTTTTACATACAACATCAAAAGCATATTCCATGGAAGAAAAAGTCAATAAACTAGACTTCATTAAAAGCAAACACTTCTGCTGTGTGAAACACACTGTTAAGAGAATAAAAAGACCAGCCACAGAGTGGGAGAAAATATTTGCAAAAACACGCATGTGATAAAGAACCTTATCCAAAATATACAAAGAATCCTTAAAACCCAACAACAAGAAAACAAACACTTCAAAAAGCACGTAAAAGCTCAATATCACATGTTGTAAGAGAACTACAAATTAAAACAATGATGAGACTACTACACGTCTACTAGAATGTCTAAAATCCAAAACACTGACAATACCACATGCTGCTAAGATATGGAGCAACAGGAACTTTCATTCAGCGCTGGCGGAAATGTAAAATGGTATAGACATTTTGGAGCAGAGTTTGGCAGTTTCTTACAAAAGTAAGCATAGTCTTATATAATCCAGCAATCACATTCCTAGGTATTTACCCAAATGAGTCTAAAACTTAAGTCCACACAAAAAGCCTGCATATGAATGTTCATAGCTGTTTTACTGAAAATTTTCAGAACTGGAAGGCAACCAAGATGTTCTTTGATAGGTATGTGGATAGACAAAACTGTGGAACATCCATACAATGGAATATACAGAGATAAAAAGAAATGAACTATCAAGCCCCCAAAAGAAATGGAAGAACTTTAAGTGCATATTGCTAAGTGAAAAAAGCCAATATGAAAAGACTACGCACTCTATGATTCCAACTATATGACATTCTGGAAGAGGTAAAACTATAGGGACAGTTAAAAAAAAAAAATCAGTGTGGGCACGGTGACTCGCAC
The DNA here is from genome assembly GCF_000001405.40 of Homo sapiens. Classification (NCBI taxonomy): domain Eukaryota; kingdom Metazoa; phylum Chordata; class Mammalia; order Primates; family Hominidae; genus Homo; species Homo sapiens. The sequence goes on along the minus strand of NC_000003.12, from coordinate 184,987,391 downwards.
CTGTAATCTCAGCACTTTGGGAGGCAGAGGTGGGCAGATCACTTGAAGCCAGGAGTTCAAGACCAGCCTGGTCAACATGGCAAGACCCCATCTCTATTAAAAATACAAAAATTAGCTGGGCACGGTGGTGTATGCCTGTAATCCCAGCCATTTGGGAGGCTGACGCATGAGAATCTCTTGAACCTGGGAGGTGGACGTTGCAGTGAGCAGAGATCACGCCAATGTACTCCAGCCTGGGTGACAGAGTGAGACTCTGTCTCAAATAAAAGAAAAAAAATTAGTGGTTGCCAGGGGATTAGCATAGGGAGGAGGATGAATAGGTGGAGCACAGGGGCCTTTTAGAGCAGTGTATGATATGGTAATGGTGGATATAGGACATTATGCATTTGTCAAAACCCATACAACTGTACAACACAAAGGGTGATTGCTAATGTAAACTATGGACTTTAGTTAATAATTATAATATATCAATATTAATTCACCAATTGTAACAAATATACCACACTAATACAAAAATGTTAACCGTAGGCAAAACTGAGTGTGGGAGGGAGAAGGGGTAAAAGGGAATTCTCTGTATTTTCTGTTTAATTTCTCTGTAAATCTAATACTGCTCTAGTACTTAATAATAGAAATACTAAACCTCAATGAAAGGCCTGGTTGTGTAACTGAGGCTTGCTGACTGATGCAGCTCCATGGAGAGTGACAGGACAGCTAGCCAGCCTTTTTCTTGAGGAAAACCTGAAGCATCCAATCTGTTTAGGGTTTATTCCTCTGAGATCATTCAGTGTCTCAAGAAAATGAACCTCTGTCTCCTTCATGAGAAGTGAGTGCGTCTGATGGCTGCTGGAAGGGGGAAGAGGAGCACGGGGAATACCATCAGCAGACTTTCCCCAAATCCTCATTTTCAGCCCTGTGTTTTACTCCCCTCCCCTTGTGTCTGAGTCATTCCTCTGCTAAAAATCTTGATGACAACTGATTTTAGAATAAAATCCAAACTCCTTATCATGAATTATAAAGCAATTAAAGACACAGTCCCTGCCTATCTCTCAAATTTCAGCTCTGTAATTTTTCTTTATTCTTATCCTATGTTCTGAGCACACTTAAAAAACTTGTAACTTTCCAAAAGTACCATGCTTTCACCTCAAAGTCTTTGTGTATATAGAATAATCCTACCTCCTTTCTTTCCTTGATTTCCTTAGACTCTTTTAAGAATCAGCTCAGACATCTCCTCTTCCAGGAAATCTTTCCAAATTTCCTACTCTGTTTCAGGTATATACTTTTATTGGTACTCCTTTGGTCATATATAGCCATAAATACCACTCAATCTAACTTACTCAAAAAAGTTAATTATTGTAAAGATGCTAGGGTATTTCACAGATCTAAGAAGAGGAATGCTGGTAAGTCTTAAGAGTCACAATGAGAGACTCATGTGCATCAGCTTTTTCTCCCCACATGGTCTCCTCTCCTCGTCTCTATGTCTTGAATCCTCTTTATGCATTGTATCCATTTGTGTGTCTCTTCTTAGTGTCTACTACATTCGTCTCCTTCTCTCTACAGATTATGCTTTTTCACTCTTCCAGTCCATATAATGGAAAAACAGGAACTGTCCGTTCCTGAAATTTGTACCTGATGTAATCCAGAGACTTAACGAGAGACTTATAGATCTTTTCCAAGTTCAGTTCCAAAATGTCCTGGAAAGCACACTGATTGGCCTTGTTTAGGCCATTTGCTCACCCCGAGTCAATCAGCTGGACCCAGGAGGCAGGGTCACACTTTCCCACAGCTCCTTCTGCTCTTACACAGATTAAGTATAGAAATGTAGGCATGGCAATTATCCTATATGGATTCAGAGCAGATAATCCTAAAGGTGGCCACTATTACTTGAATAGAGCCCTATGAATAGTTGTATCAGCACATTTTTTGTCTCTTAAATAAGAGCTCTTATGGGTTCAGAACTATGCCTTTCATCTAAACAGCATAACATACAATTAATATATTTAATTAATAATGAACTCAAAAGACCAGGGACATAAACAAATAAAAAAAGCTCACATGACATAATAAAAAAGAACGTGAATTAGGAAGTGAGAGACTTAGGGGGTGGTCCAGGTTCTGCTGCTAATGATAGGCTAAGAACTCAACTTCTCTATACTTCAGTTTCTTCTTTTTTCAGCAGAAATGTTTATAGTAGCCCTGCCTACCTCAAGGGATTGTTGTGGGCTTCAAATGAAATGATATCTGTGAAAGCACCTTGAAAAATAAAAATCTCTGTACATATATAAGGTAGCATAATTACAGTAATCACAAACATGCAAATGAGGAATTTAAGAAATAGCATACCTTCCTGATTAGTGGGAGTTAACAACCATTGAAAATAGAAAATGATAAGAAAAAATTATAATGAATGCCAGTATAACTCAAAATAAAGTGAAGATTTTCAAATATCAAGAGACTTCTAGATTCCAAAGTCTTGAAATATAAAAAATTTTAAAAATCATGTTTTTGCCAAGAGAAAAACATGTTTTTGTTATAATTTACATATCATAATGTGTGGTTAAAGCTCAATATAAAGCAAAATGTATAGCACAGAGAGAACCCATTTGGCTTTATGATTTCATTTCTTATAACTTACTTGGAAAAGTATTCCTGCCCTTATGGAGATATTACTTTATACATGATTAGAAACCTCATAAGTAATGAGCTTTAAAATGGATATGTGAAGCAGTCTATATCAAAGAATTATTCAACACATGATAATTGCTAAGATCAAATGAAATAATACATGTAAAAATGTGTTCTGGCCGGGCGCTGTGGCTCATGCCTGTAATCCGAGCACTTTGGGAGGCTGAGGCGGGCGGATCACCTGAGGTCAGGAGTTTGAGACCAGCCTGACCAACATGGAGAAACCCGGTCTCTACTAAAAATACAAAATCAGCTGGGCGTGGTGGCACATGCCTCTAATCCCAGCTACTCGGGAGGCTGAGGCAAGAGAATCACTTGAACCCAGGAGGCGGAGGTTGCGGTGAGCCAAGATCACACCATTGCACTCCAGCCTGGGCAACAAGAGTGAAACTGTCTCAAAAAAAAAAAAAAAAAGTATTCTAAATGATAGTATACCATGTAATGACAAAGACTACAGGATGTAGTCATCTTTATCAGAAAAGCCCCAGAAGCTTAATATCAGATGGGAAGTAGAGTTTTTTTTTTTGAGACGGAGTCTCGCTCTGTTGCCCAGGCCGGAGTGCAGTGGCTCGATCTCGGCTCACTGCAAACTCTGCCTCCCGGGTTCACGCCATTCTCCTGCCTCAGCCTCCCAAGTAACTGGGACTACAGGCGCCTGCCACCATGCCCGGCTATTTTTTTGTATTTTTAGTAGAGACGGGGTTTCACCGTGTTATCCAGGATGGTCTCGATCTCCTGACCTCATGATCCGCCCGCCTCGGCTTCCCAAAGTGCTGGGATTACAGGCGTGAGCCACCACGCCCGGCCAAGCTTGGTGAGTCTTAAAAGAGCTGACAGGAACATTCTTCATTGAATAAAAATCATTTGAAAATTATAAAGACTAATGGCATCATATTACGGTTTGCTTTGTATGTGTGTGGGAGGGGGGCGGGGTGCATGCACATGTATGCCTATACTGAATAAAGTGAGGATAGACAAAATGGATTCTAAGTATAATTCCTGTTGTTTCCCCAAGAATGCTCACAGGTTTTTTTCTAAAAATATATCTTGGAGTATTTTGAGTGTTCTCTTTTGATGAAGCCGAGAAGGTTCAGGCTTTTTTGTTGAAAGAAGCAAACCAAAATAATGCTTCCTACAAAAGCTTTGGACACAAAGCCAGCTAGAATTTAGAGTCAAGGATGAGTATTCAAGACAAAAATAATTTTAGGATGAGTTAGAAAGCCTAAATAACAACCAATGCTTAGGAAATTCCTGTATTAATTTTTAGATTATCTTTTTGGAATCTAAAAATTATAATCAGCTGATAACTCCCTCCCAGTTAGCAAACCAATAGGAAACTTGTATATCTGAATCCCAAGGCAACAGGGAATATCTGAAGGCCGCACGCCCTAACTGAAGGTCACAAGCTTATGTCAGGCAAAGTCACACCAAAAAACTGACAGAAAAGATTCAAGAATGAGGGTCGGAAGTTAGATATTTAGATATTTAGCTATTGCCAAAAATTAGCTGCATTATGCTTGAGATCCATTTAAATATTAGCCCAATTCACTGTTATTTATATATAACTAAAATGTTAGTTGAAATCAATATTTAATATTCACCCCTTTTAACTCACCTGTAAGATTCTTTGCAAGATTGATGGAAGGGCAATAAATGCTGCCATGCTATTTAAAACTTGCATGGTCAAAGACTTCAGAGCTGTTATAACAAAATATTAACATTAAGGTTAGTTTAAAATAAGAGTTTTCAGTTTTTCCTATAAGTCTGTGGAAAAACAGTGCATTTATATAGCTTCTTAGAAACTTAGCTAACCAAGGCCTCTTTGATATTTTAAAATTAACTGTTGACAAGTTACAAAGACTACAATTACTTAAGATAAATTATATGAGTGGAACATCAGAAAGAAACATGAAAGATGAGATCAACCATACTATATGGTTTCATTAAGGAAAAATCATAAGAATATGCTATTGGAAAAAGATATTATACTGATAGTTTCTGCAGACAAATATTGGACTGATGATACAGGTGGACTCAGTCACTTGAATTCTGAAGAACTTACCTTCAGAGTGTAGATGAGGAATGGCTGAACTGGACAGCTTCTGAGGGGCCATCATTGCCTCCAATAACGGAAACCAAAGTGCCTATAATGTCAGAGAAAATCAAAGAAAAAGAAAAGTGGTCAAAGAAAACAATGAAAAACAAAAGAATAACTAACATCAGCATGATGTTTTACAGGTTGAAACGTACTTCTCACATACATTTGTTGGTAAACATTAGAAAAAATAAAAATGGAAATATTTGGGGCAAAAAAAAAAAAAGACAATACAAAGCAGAAACCACAGCTAGAACAGGCATCTTTATCATGAAGCCCTGGGAAACGTAAGGAGGCCACTGTTAAGTAAGTCTAGGCCTCGGAACTGCAATCTTATGTGTCTCAGGGGAGGGCAGGTTCAAAGAAGCCAGGAAAGAGCTTCCTGCTAGATTCTTATCTACTCTATTAAAAATTTATCACTGACAAAGTTTAAAATAACACTATTGCTGCATAAAGAAATAAGCACCCCCACTAGCTGTCCCCCACCCAATTTCCTTTAGCTATGTCAAGCAAGAAAAATGAGTAAAGGTTATCCAAAGTTTTTTCTACATCAAGCATTATCTTGTATTTCCTAAGTCATCACGGACCAGGAAATAGAAGTTAAAACTGTATCAGTTAACATGATCAACCATGTCAAGAGATTAAAAAAAAAACTATCATTTATTTATATTATGTTAATCACTATTAAATGCTTTACATTTACATTTTTGCATTTCAATCTCATAATAACCTTATACAGTAGGTATTATCTTCACTAGAGATATGAAATTGAGGCTCACTGAAGTTAAGTAATTTTTCAAAGATCACACAGCCAGTCAATTACCTGACTCTAAATTCTGTGTTCTTCCTAAACCTTAGGAAAAATATTTATTAATGAATGGCCAGGCATGGTGGCTCACGCCTGTAATCCCAGCACTTTGGGAGGCCGAGGCGGGCAGACCACCTGAGGTCAGGAACTCAAGACCAGCCTGGGCAACATGGTGAAACCCCGTCTCTACTAAAAATACAAAAAAATTAGCCAGGCGTGGTGGCAGGTGCCTGTAATCCCAGCTACTCAGGAGGCTGAGGCAGGAGAATCGCTTGTACCTGGGAGGCGGAGGTTGCAGTGAGCCGAGATCACGCCATTGCACTGCAGCCTGGGCAAGAAGAGCAAGACTCGGTCTCAAAAAAAAAAAAAAAAAAAAAAGAACCCACTGCTGCCCTGCTCCCATGAAGACGCTGCCACCCCACCTCTGCTGGTGTGCAGCACACCCCACACCACTGCTGTCCATGCTGGCACAAGCATGTGCACCTGTCATGCCGCTGTTGCTGCTGGCACACACACACAAGGATGGACTCTGGACTCTGCAGCCACTGCCTCAACAAAGTGCTTTAGCTGGCAGCCCCCACTGGAGCATTGCTACCAGCTGACCAGAAACATTTCAGCTCCTCCAATGCAGCAAGTACATAAGCCTGAGGGGCCAGAGCACAAAGCCATAGGCCTGGTCTCAGCCACTCAGGGTTAGAACAAGCAGCTCAGTAGTGCTGAGCTGAGCCTTGGCCCCCTGAAATCTTCCGGAAATGAAGACAGTTGACTGACCCCACATTATACCACAGTCAAACCTTCAAAGGCATCAAAGAATACAAAAGCAAAAAATGCCATCCAAAGTACAGCAACTTCAAATATTAAAGATACACCAGCTTATACGGATGAGAAAGAACTCTGGAAACTCAAAAAGCCAGAGTTTCTTCTTAACAGCAAACAACCCCACTAGTTCCCCAGCAATGGATCTTAAGCATGCTGAAATGCTGAAATGACAGATACAGAATTCAGAATCTGGATAGGAATGAAGATGTTTGAGATTCTGGAGAAAGTTGAATCCAAATCCAATGAATCTTAGGAATCTAATAAAATGATACAAGAGCTGAAAGATGAAATAGCCATTTTAAGAAAGAACCAAACTGATCTGTTAGAGCTGAAAAACTCACTGCAAGAATCATGTAATACAATTGGGAGAATTAACAGCAGAGTAGATCAAGCTGAAGAAAGAATCTCAGAGGTTAAAGACCAGTTCTTCAAATAAAAAATGAAGACCAGTTCTTCAAATAAAAAATAAAGGCAAAAACAAAGAAAAAAAGAAAAAAAATGAACAAAACCTCCAGGAAATATGAGATTATGTAAAGACACCAAACCTTTGGCATTCCTGAAAGAGAGGGAGAGAGGACAAGCAACCTGGAAAACATATTTGAGGATACTGTCCACAAAAATTTCCCTAACCTTGCTAGGTTCTTGACCTTGAGAAGCTGACATTTAAACTCAGGAAATGCAGAGAACCCTTGTGAGATATTATACAAGATGACCATTACCGAGACACATGGTCATCAGATCTCCAAGGTCAACATGAAAAAAAAAACTAAAGGCCGCTAGAAAGAAGGGGCAGGTCACCTACAAAGGGAACCCCATTGGGCAAACAGTGGACTTTTCTGCAGAAACCACACAAACCAGAAGGGATTGGGGGCTTATACTCAGCATTCTTACAGAAAAAAATTCCAACCCAAAACTTCATATCCAAACAAACTAAACCTCATAAGCAAAGGAGAAATAAAATCATTTTCAGACAATGAATGCTAAGGAAATTCGTTACCACCAGACATGTCTTACAAGAGGTCCTCAAGCGAAACATGGAAACAAAAGACTATTACTGGCCACCACAAAAAACACACTTAAGTACATAGACCACTGACGCCATAAAGCAACTACAATGAAGTCTGCACAACAACCAACTAAACACATGATGACAGGATCAAATCTGCACATAACAATAGTATCCTTGAACATAAACAGGCTAAATGCTGCCCTTAAAAGGCACAGAGTGGTAAGCTGGATAAAGAAGCAAGACTCAATAGTATGCTGTCTTCCAAGAGATCCATCTTACACGCAATGATACCCATAGACTCAAAGAAAATGGATGGAGAAAAATCTACCAAGCAAACAAAAAAATAAAAAAGAGCAGGGGTTGCTATTCTAATTTCAGACAAAAGAGACTTTAAAACAACAATGAACAAAAAAGACAAATAAAGGTATTAAATAATGATAAAGGGCTCAATTCAACAAGAAGACTTAAGTATCCTAATACATATGCACCCAACAATGGGGCACCAGATATATAATACAAGTTCTTAGAAACCTATGACGAGACTTAGATAATCACACAATAATAGTGGGAGACTTCAATACTCCACTAACAGTATCAGACAGATTATCGAGGCAGAAAACTAGCAAAGATACTCAGGACCTGAATGTGACACCTGACCAAATGGATCTAAGTGACATCTGCAGAACATTCCACCCAATAATAACAGAATATGCATTCTTCCCATCTCCACCTGGCACATACTCTAAAATCAACCACATGACTGGCTATAAAACAATACTCAACAAATTTAAAAAAATGAAAATCATACCAACCACATTCCCAGACCACAACATTAAAAAAACAGAAATCAGTACTAAGAAGATCTCTCAAAACCATGCAATTAAATGAAAATTAAACAACCCTACTGGATGACTTTTGGGTAAAAACAATGAAATTAATGCAGAAATCAAGAAATTCTTTGAAACCAATGAAAACAAAGATACAGCATACCAGAATCTCTGGGACACAGCTAAAGCAGTGTTAAGAGGTAAGTTTATAGTGCTAAATGCCCACATCGAAAAGTTAGAAAGATCTCAAATTAACAATCTAACATCACACTTAGAGGAACTAGAAAAACAAGAGCCAACCAACCCCAAAGCTAGAGAAGAAACAACCAAAATCAGAGTTGAACTGAATACAATTGAGACAAGAAAAAACAGATAAAAGACTAATGAAACCAAAAGATAATTCTTTGAAAGAATAAATAAGATTTCTAGACCACTAACTAGTAAGAAAAAGAGAGGCCAGGTGCGATGGCTCACAATTGTAATCCCAGCTTTGGGAGGCTGAGGTGGGGAGATTGCTTGAGTCCAGGAGTTCGAGACAAGCCTGAGCAACCTGGGGAGACCCTGTTTCTACAAAAACACAAAAGTTAGCAGGGTGTGGTGGTGTGTGCCTATAGTCCCAGCTACTCTATTTGGGAAACTGAGGTGGGAGGATTGCTTGAGCCTGGGAGGTCGATCATACCACTGCTCTCCAGCCAGGGTGACAGAGCAAGACCCTGCCTCAAAAACAAAAAAAGAAGGAAGGAAAGAGGGAAGAAGAGAAGGAGGGAGGGAGGGAGGACGGATGGACGGACAGAAGGATGGAAGGAATGACGGAAGGAGGGAAAAGGAGAGAAGATCCAAATAAACGCAGTCAGAAATGACAAGGGGACATTAACACTGACCCCCAGAAATATAAAAAATAGCCCTCAGAGACTATTATAAACACCTCTATGCACACAAACTAGAAAACCTAGAAGAAATGAATAAATTCCTGGAAACATACAACCTTCCAAGATGGAACCAGAAAGAAACTGAAACCCTGAACAGATCAATATAACAAGTTCTGAAATTGAAGCAGTAATAAAAAGCCTACCAATGAGAAAAAGGCCAGGACCAGATGGATTCACAGCCAAATTCTACCAGGCATATAAAAAAAACCTGGCACCAATTCTACTGAAACTCTTCCAAAAAAATTACGGAGGAGAGACTCCTCCCTGACTTATTCTATGAGGCCAGCATCACTGTGATACCAAAACCTGGCAGAGACACAATAAAAAAAAAAAAAAAAGAAAAAAGAAAACATCAGGCTAATATTCCTGATGAACATACATGCAAAGGTCCTCAACAAAATACTAGCAAACCAAATCCAGCAACATATCCAAAAGCTGACCCACACCCACAACCATCTGAGCTTTGAAAAAGTTGACAAAAAAAAAAAAAAAAAGATAAGCAATGAGAAAAAGACTCCCTATTCAAGAAAGGGTGCTAGGATAGCTGGGTATCCATATGCAGAAGAATGAAACTAGGGAACTATGTATCACCATATACAAAGATCAACTTAAGATGGATTAGACTTAAATGTAAGACCTCAGAGTATAAAACTCTTAGAAGAATACCTAGGAAATATTATTCTTAATATCAGCCCTGGTAAAGAATTTATGGCTAAGTCCTCAAAAGAAACTGCAACAAAAACAACTGAAAAATGAGACCTAATTAAACTAAAGAGCTTCTGCACAGCAAGAGAAACTATCAATGGAGTAAACACACAACCTAGAGAATGAGAGAAAATATTCACAAACTATGCATCTGACAAATGTCTAATATCTAGAATCTATAAGGAACTTACATCAACAAGCAAAAAACAAATAACTCCATTACAAAGTGGGTAAAGGACATTAACAGACACTTCTTAAAAGAAGACACGCAAGTGGCCAATAAACATATGAAAAAAAATGCTACGCATCACTAATCATCAGAGAAATGCAAATCAATAAGATACCATCTCACACCAGTGACAATGGCTTTTGTTAAAAAGTCAAAAAATAGCGGACATTCACAACGCTGCGGAGGAAAGGGAACACTTACATATACTATTGGTAGGAATGTAAATTAGTTCAACTACTGTGGAAAGCAGTTTGGAGATTTCTCAAAAGAACCGAGAGTTGAACTACCATTTGACCCAGCAATCCCACCATTTGGAATATACCCAAAGGAAAAGAAATCATTCTATCAAAAAGATACATGTACCATATGTTGACTGCAGCACTATCACAATAGCAAAGACATGGACTCAAGAAAGTGCCCATCAACAGTGGACTGGATAAAGAAAATGTGTTACATATACACCATGGAATACTATGCAGCCATAAAAAGAATGAAATCATGTCCTTTGCAGCAACATAAATGGAGCTGGAGGCCATTATCCTAAGCAAACTAACGCAGAAACTGAAAACCAAATACCACGTGTTCTCATTTATAAGTGAGAGCTAATCATTGGGCATATGGTCATAAAAATGAGAACAATAGACACTGGGGAATATAAGAAGGAAGGAGGGGGATAAGAGTTGAATAAAAACTACCTATCGGGTACTATGCTTACCACCTGGGAGACAGATTATTCATTCATACTCCAAACCTCACCACCATGCAATATATCTAGGTAACAAAGGCCAGCATTATTCTGATACCAAAACCTGGCAGAGACACAACAAAAAGTCATGTACTGTCTGATTCTAAAATAAAAGTTGGGGGGAAGAAAGAGCAAGTTAAATGAAAAAACAAAAAAAAAAGTCCAAATACAGGCTGCCAATCAAAAGATGAATAAAAATAAAAATCTAGGAATAAAAAAATTGTAACAAAAAGACTGGTATGATCTACCTAAATAAAAGTTAAACAACTATGGAAATTATAGACACAGAAAAGAATGTGTTATAAACCTTCATTAGGTAAAACACTGTGATTAATTAAAATTAGTAGGTATGTGAAGAGGAGAGTAGGAAGCAAGTATGAGTCCATGGGAATTTCATTATTGGCATGGCATCATACATATCATAAAAATGGAAATGTATAATAATTATAAACATATACACATAATTACAATGGGAGCTAAACATTGGGTATACATGGACGTAATGATGGGAACAATAGATATGGATGAATACAAGAGGGGGAATGAGGAAGGAGGACAAAGGCATATGCAAATTTTCAACTGCAAGGGGGTTGGCACCCCATGCCTTGTGTTGTTCAAGGGTTGACTGTAATACGCCATGATTAAGTGTGACTTATCCTAGAAATGCAAGGATTCAACATGTCAATAAATAAATGTGATACATCACATCAACAGAATGAAGAACAAAAACCACATGATCATCTCAATCAATTCAGAAAAAGCATTTGACAAAATTCAACATCTCTTCATGATACAAATCTCAATAAATTAGGCAGAGAAAGAACACACCTTAACATAATAAAGGCCATATATAACAAAACCCACAGCTAACATCATACCAAAAGGGAAAAAGCTGAAAGCCTTTTTTCTATGAACTTGAAGAAGACAATGATGCCCACTTTTACCACTGTTATTCAACATAGTACTGGAAATCCTAGCTAGAGCAATAAGGCAAGAGGAAGAAATAAAAGGCATCCAAATTGGAAAAAAGGAAATCAAACTGTCCTTATTTGAAAATGACATTATCTCATAGATATGAAAACCTAAAGACTCCACCAAGAAACTGTTAGAACTGATAAACGAATTCAGTGAAGTTGCTGGATTCAAAAATCAACATTCAACAATCAGTAGCATTTCTACATACCAATAACAAACTATCTGAAAAAGAAGTCAAGAAAGCAATCTCATTTACAAGAGCTACAAACAATAAAACAAAATACCTAGGAATACATTTAACCAAGGAGGTGAAAGACCTTTATATGGAAAACTACAAAACTCTGATGAAAGAAACTGAATATACACAAATAAAAAGACATCCCATGCTCATGGATCAGAAGAATATTAAAATGACAATACTACCCAAAGCAATGTGTAGATTCAATGCAATCCCTATCAAAATACCAGTAACATTTTTCACAGAAATAGAAAACACAATCTTAAAATTCATATGGAACTACAAAAAATCCCGAATGGCAAAAGCAATCCTGAACAAAAAGGATACATCTATAGGCATCATACTACCTGATGTCAAAATATATTACAAAGCTGTAATAACCAAAACAGCACAGTACTGGTATGAAAACAGACACATAGACCAACGAAATAGAACAGAGAACCCAGAAATAAATCCACATATTTGTAGCTGACTGATTTTTCACAAAGGAGTCAATAATATACATTAGGGAAAAGACACCCTCTTCAGTAAATGGTGTTGGGTAAACTGGATATCCATATGGCAAAGAATGAAACTAGACTCTTATATCTCACAATATACAAAACTAACTCAGCATAGATTAAAGACTTAAATGTAAAGCCCACATGCATACAACTACTGGAAGAAAATATACGGGAAATACTTCAGGACATTGGTCTAGACAAAAATTTTACAGCTAACACTTCAAAATCACAGGTAACGAAAACAAAAAAATAGACAAGTAGCATTATGTTAAACTATAAAGCTTCTGCACAGCAAGGAAATGATCCAAAGAGTGAAGAGACAACATGTACAATGAGAGATAATATTTGCAAACTAGTCATCTGACAAGGGACTAATATTTAGAATATATAATGAACTCAACTCAATAGCAAAAAAGAACTAAATAATCCAATTAAAAAGTGGGCAAAGCATATGAATAGACATTTCTCAAAAGAAGATGTCAGCCATACAAATGGCCAACAGGCTCATGAAAAAAATCTTCCAACGTCGGTAACCATCAAGAAAGTGTAAATCAAAGTCATCATGAGCCATTACATCACACTTCTTAGAACAGCTATGATAGAAAAGATCAGAGATGAGTCTTGCTGAGGATGTGGAGAAAAGGAAAGCCTTGTACATGGTTGGTGAGCATGTAAATTAGTACAGCCATTTTGGAAAACAGTATGGGGGTTCCTGAAGAAACTAAAAACAGAACTACAATATAATTCAGCAATCCTACTACTGGGTATTTATCTAAAGGAAATATATTGTAATCAGTATATCAAAGGGACACTTGCACCCCTGTTTACTGTGGCACTTATTCACAATAGCCAAAATATGGAATCAACCTAAGTGTCAATCAACAGATGCATGGATAAAGAAAATGTAGTAAATATATACAATAGAATGGTATTTGGCCATAAAAAAGGATGAAATCCTGACACTTGCAGCAACAAGGATGGAAGGGGAGGTCATAATGTTATGTGAAATAAGCCATGCACAGAAAGACAAATATCGCATGTTCTGAATTACATGTGGGGAGCTAAAAAAGTTGACCTCATGGAGGAATAGAGTAGAATGGTTACCAGAAACTGGTAAGGATGGGTGGGGGTATGAGGAGAGATTTGTCAATGGGTACAAGCATACAATTAGATAGAATTTTAATAAGTTCTAATGTTCAACAAAACAGTAGGGTGATTATAGTAAACAATAATTTATTGCATATTTCAAAACCGCTAGAAGACTCAAAATATTCCCAACACAAAGAAATGATAAATGTTTGAGGTGACAGATATCCTAAGTAACCGATTTGATCATTACACATTGTATGCATGTATCAAAATATCACATTAACCCCACGAATATGTATAATTATTATGCATCAATTAAGAACATTCTTTAGTTTTACTTAAGTTTCCTATGGGAAGCTGAGTAATATACATACATTTTTTGAGTACTATATTTTTAAAAGCAAGCATTATTTAATGCAATTTTACTAAAATTATATCAACCTAGGCAGACAAAAAATATCTAAAGTTATGTTCACCAAATGATAATGATGGTTATTTCTGAGTGACAGGATGAATATATTTTAATTTAAAAAAACCCATTCTTCTGCATAACTTTCTATATTTCATGATTTTTAAAAATGATGAGTATGTATCATTTCACAGACAGTTTCTTTTAATAAAGAAAAGCAATCACATTTATGTAACTAGGCTTGTTATACACAATTTACATTCTAAAGACGTTTCATAATTTATGACCTTGAAAAATTCTGGACAAAAACTTAAAGGAGAAATTTACTCATCTCAGAAGAACAGAAAATATGCCATGATTTATTGTTTTCATTGTAACATGTATGGCTAAATATAGATATATAATTAACCTGTTCCCCATTTCAAAAACCCAGGCATTAGAAAGAGGCCAGTGTCAAGTCAGAGGCCTGAGCCCTGGAAGGGCAGGCGAAGAGTTAAGCCATATCATGATACAACTTTACTTCTTAAAACTATTGCAGAATTTAACTATCAAATCACATCTCGCCCCCTTAGTTTCTGCTTCACTGCTGTAACTCCCACCTTGCACCTGCTGCTCAACGATACCTCCTTCAGTTTTGTTTTCTTCTTTTGTGCCATCTGGGATCTGTGATAGCAGTGGTTCCAACCTTGGCTGCACATTGGAATCATGAAGGGAGCTTTAAAACATGGTGGTGGCTGGGTTTCATCCCCAGAGACTTTAATTTAATTGATCTGGGGTGCAGCCTGAGTACTGGAATTGTTCAAAGCTCCCCAGGTGACTCTAGTGTGCAACCAAGGTTGAGAATTAGTACACCATAGGCTTCTTTAACCTTTCTTCAGCTTTCTCTGTAGCCCTTGAGGGCTTTCCTCCAGTTCTTCATGCCTACTTTCACCACAGGGAATAGAGACGATGATAAATGATGACCTATCTCTGGTGCAACTACATGGCATACACAAAATCTCAGTCCAAAGAGAACAGGCACATCTAGCATTCATGCACCTTAAGTTTTGCAGCACAGCCAAACCATGAATATAAAGCCTTTGGTGAGAACAAAGAAGCCACACACTCTTTATAGTAACTTCGGGAGTCTCCTACTCCTGGGAACACTAAGAAGTGATTAAAATCCACTTGAATTAAACCCGGGTGGCTGAGAGGGCAGTGGAAACAGAACTGATTCCTAGTTTCAGACAAGTACAGGCTTTTTTTTTTTTTTGAGATGGAGTTTCACTCTTGTTGCCCAGGGCTGGAGTGCAATGGTGCGATCTCAGCTCAACGCAACCTCCGCCTCCTGGGTTCAAGCGATTCTCCTACCTCAGCCTTCTGAGTAGCTGGGATTACAGGCATGTGCCACCACGCCCGGCTAATTTTTTGTATTTTTAGTAAAGATGGGATTTCTCCATGTTGGTCAGGCTGGTCTCAAACTCCTGACCTCAGGTGATCTGTCCGTCTCGGCCTCCCAAAGTGCTGGGATTACAGACGTGGGCCACCATGTCTGGCCAAGTACAGGCTTTTAAATACCTAAACAGTCATTCTCCTACCTCACGTTGCTGCTGGTTCAAATTATGTGAATTTCTCTGGCAAAGAGCAATGGTCTCCACCATAGTATCTTCAACATCCTTCAATGAGGGATCCTCTTTGGTATCTAGATTTAGAAAAAGTGTAAACATCATTTAAGGATATGTTGCTGATAATCTCAGAGCCTCTGTGAAAAGTTAAACTTCTTTTTCTTTGCATCACCTTCATTTTCTAGTATATAATAATTAATAAAACCTGATGCTAATGTTTTATAGATTAAAAAACAGATTATTCCGTGAAATAAGAGTTTCCCACAGAAATGTTTTACATTCGTAGGACAGATAAAGCACATCACACTTAGCATTTCAATATGCTATGGAAATATGGAAAATCCCCAATCATCTGTCTAAGGATTAGTTACTAGAGAGATTATCATTCACCTTTCTTGGTATACTATCTCTTCTTCTGCCTATTTCTTAAATGTAGATATTTCCCCCAAGATGCTATTTTAGGTCTCTCTTCATTTTCTCAATGATTTCAGCCATTCTTGTTTCAACTCTCATATCTTTGTTCATAACTTTCAAACACACATCTCCAATCTTTATTCCATTCAAAATCTACAGGTTGAATTTTCTAATGAACCTAAGACATTTATTTCCACATGGATGTCCTGCAAGCACTTTCAACTTTATATGTGCAAAACCCAACTTATTTTTCTCATTTCAAATCTGCTCCTCCTCCTCCATTTACAAACCAAGTTAATGGAATCATAATCTTTAAGTCAACCAGTTTATAAATCTTCATCTTTGGTGCTTCCCTCTCCTTCACCCCACACATTCAGATAACTTGCGAATATTTGTTGATTCTACTTCTGTGCTTGCATATGACCACAACTTTTACCCTGGTGGAGCTTTTCATCACCTCGTCTATGCTACTGCAATAGTCTCTTAGTTGAACTTTTGGCATCCCAATCTTGCCTCCCTCATCCTCTTATATACTGTCACTAGGGTTCTCTTAAGCACAAGTTCAAACAGATCAGTCCCTTCCATAAAAACCACCAAGGACTCCTAATTCTGAAAAATAGAATGTAAGTAAGGATCTGACACTAAGTAAACAGAGCAAAGACTTGGGCTCATCTCACCCTCCAAGCTCTGGTGTTGCCCTATTCTTTTTTACTCGCTGATTACTAGTCAGGCACTTCCATGTTCATGTTTTCCTCAGCCTAAAAGGTTCTTCTCCTGCTTCTATCAAACTCCTATTTATCCTTCAAGTCTTTCTTCAAAGGTTTTCCACAAAACTCACTGGTTTATGGGTTACAAATAGTTCTGTAATTTTCCACACACCTTAGTCACTCTCAGTGTACCTTTTATGACACACCATTCTACTGGTACTACAAGGTTTTATTTACTTATCTGTCTCCTTCAGGAGACTAACGTTCTTTGTGCAGTGGGTAGGGGAATCTGTGTTTTAGTAGTCTGTGTATAGCCCATAGGAACAAAGCACAATTAGCAAATCCTCCCAAATACTTAAGCACACTATCAAAATTGAATAGGAAAGTAGATGGGGCCGGTCGTGGTGGCTCATGCCTGTAATCCCAGCACTTTGGGAGGCCGAAGTGGGTGGATCACCCTGAGGTCAGGAGTTTGAGACCAGCCTGGCCAAGATGGTGGAACCCCAACTCTACTAAAAATACAAAAATTAGCTGGGTGTGGTGGCTGGTGCCTGTAACACCAGCCACTCGGGAGGCTGAGGCAGGAAGAATTACTTGAACCTGGGAGGCAGAGGTTGCAGTGAGCTGAGACAGCGCCACTGCACTCCAGCCTGGGCAACGGAGTGAGACTCCGTCTCAAAAAAAAAAAAAAAAAAAAAAAAAAGTAAGAAAGTAGATGGCAGGCATGAGACTATTTCTGGAAAATTTATTTTCACTGGAATTCAAAACACTGGCCTTTGCAAACATACCACCTGCAAATGATTGTAGTGATTTTGGGGGAATGCTCTTCTTAATTTTTTTCTGTCTTTCATGTATTGTCTTGAAAAGTTATTTTTGGCTGGGTGTGGTGGCTCACGATGGTAATCCCAACACTTTGGGAGGCCGAGGCGGGTGGATCACCTGAGGTCAGGAGTTCGAGACCAGCCTGGCCAACATGGTGAAACCCCATCTCAACTAAAAATACAAAGATTAGCTGGGAGTGGTGGCACATGCCTATAGTCCCAGCTACCCAAGGAGCTGAGGCAGGAGGATCGCTTGAACCCGGGAGGCGGAGGTTGTAATGAGCTGAGATCACGCCACTGCATTCCAGCCTGGGCAACAGAGCAAGACTATCTCAAAAAAAAAAAAAAAAAAAAAGGGGGGGGGGTGGGGCTGGGTACAGTGGCTCATACCTGTAATCCCAGCACTTTGGGAGGCCGAGGCAGGCAGATCATGAGGTCAGGAGTTCAAGACCAGTCTGACCAAAACGGCAAAACCCCGTCTCTACTAAAAATACAAAAATTAGCCGGGTGTGGTGGCACGCACCTATAATCCCAGCTACTCGGGAGGCTGAGGCAGGAGAATCGCTTGCACCTGGGAGGCAGAGGTTGCAGTGAGCCAAGATTGCGCCACTGCACTCCAGCCTGGGCAACAGAGCGAGACGCCGTCCCCCCAGAAAAAAACAAAAAGTTATTCTTATAACACTAAAATTTTAAAATTGCCACAAAATGTAACAAACATAACCAAATTGACTAAACACATACTGATAGTACAAAAATGGTAATTAAGTGTCCAGTTGAACTATCAATATAACAAAGTCAATCAAATGTTCACTGATGTTCCAAAAAGATTTACTGTAATACCTGATGATCATAAAACAACATAGACCCTATCATCTAGGACCTTAATACAAAAATATAGGTAAGTAATCTACAGAGAATTAGGGAAATGGTATGTTAGTGAAATGCGTGGACCAAGGAGTCTCTAAGAAACGTGTGTTAAAGAGGATAATCTAAAAATCACCCACCAAGTGATTCCCTGATCTTCAGGAGGGCTGTTTTAAAAATGTCAAGGAATATGAAAACAAACAACCCAATTAAAAAATGGGTAAAGGACTTGAATAGACATTTCTCCAAATAAGGTAGATAAATAGCCAAAATACTCAGGAAAATCATCACTAATCATTAGAGAAATGCAAATCAAATCCATAATTAGATACTACCTCACACACATATGGATAGCTACTATTAAAAAAAAGAGAATATAAATGTCGGAAAGGATGTGGAGAAATTGGAACCCTTGTGTACTGTTGGTGGGAATGTAAAATGAAGCAGCAACTAGGGAAAACAGTATGGCCATTCCTCAAAAAATTAACAGAATTAATGCTTGATCCAGCAATCCCACTTGTGGTTATATACCCAAAAGAATTGAGAGCCAGCTCTTGAAGAGACACTGTACATTCATGCTCATAGAGGCATTAGTCATAATAGACAAAAAGTGGAAGTGGCCCAAGTGTCCATTGAAGGATGAATGAATAAATGAAATGTGGTCTATACATACAATGGCATTTATTCAGCCTTAAAAAGGAAGAAAATTCTGACACATGCTACAACATTTATGAACCTTATGGTAAGTTAAATAAGCAAGTCACAAAACGACAAACACTATATAATTTCATTCATATGAGATACTTGAGTAATCAAATTCAGAAAAAGAATGGTGAAAAAAGAAAGTAAGACGGTATTTGCCAGGGGCTGGGAGGAGAGGGGAATAGGGGAGCTGTTGCTTTATAGGTACAGATTTTCAGTTTGGGAGATTAAAAAATTTGGAGGTGGATGGGGGTAATGATTATATAATTACGTGAATATACTTAATGCTACTGAACTGTATACTCAAAAATAGTTAAAATGGTAAATTTTATGTTAGGGTATATTTTACCCATAATTTAATTTTTTTTTTTTTTTTGAGATGGAGTTTTGCTCTGTTGCGACACCCAGGCTGGACCGCAGTGGTGCAATCTCCGCTCATTGCAACCTCCGCCTCCCAGGTTCAAGCAATTGTCCTGCCTCAGCCTCCCAAGTAGCTGGGACTACAGGTGTGTGCCACCACACCCGACTAATTTTTGTATTTTTAGTAGAGACGGGGTTCACTATGTTGGCCAGGCTGATCTCGAACTCCTGACCTCAGGTGATCCACCTGCCTCGGCCTCCTAAAGTGCTGGGATTACAGGTGTGAGCCACCATGCCTGGCCACCACAATTTATTAAAATAATTTTTTTTGAAATATCAAGGAATATGATGAAAATTTTGTATTTGCTGAGGACAAAACCACTCAAGATACTAAATTGTCAACTTTTACTGCTTTGGGTTAAAACTGTATAAATTCGGTTTGGAAACATTGGCTATGTTCAATGTCCTACTAATTAGAAGCTCTGATTTGCTGTTGTTTGGCACATTAATTTTTAGGATGTTAGTTATATACCTCATTTAAACATAACTAAACCATACTTTTGTTATAGCAAAAGTATAAACAAAAAGATAACCAGCCTAGCGTGGTGGCTTATGTCTACAATCTCACCACCTTTGGAGGCTGAGGTGTGCAGATCACTTCAGCCAAGAGTTCGAGACCAGCCTGGGTGACAGGTGAAACCCCATCTCTACAAAAAATACAGAAATTAGCCAATGTGATGGCATACGCCTGTAGTCCCAGCTACTTGGGAGGGTGAGGCAGAAGGACTGCTTAAGCCTGGAAGATGGAGGTTGCAGTGAGCCAAGATTGTGCCACTGCACTCCATCCTGGGCAACAGAGCGAAAGCCTGTCAAAAAAAAAAAAAGATAACCAACAAACAGTGCATAATTTTCTGTATATTTAACTCCACCGAAAATTAACATCACAAAGCCACAATGGTTTCTATGATTTCCTGTTGTGAACTCTTGAAAATTAGCTAAAATTTGGATCCATGTTAAAATGAATAAACAGTAATTATGCATATATGCAAGTGTAATTATTACATAATAAATGCAATTTATTAAACATCTTTTAAAACATGGGGTCCAAGGATGAAAAATGTTGTAATTATTTTCAAGAACTTACTTTCACCTTGATGTGTTACCTCTTGAAGTTTGCTTTGTAGTCTCTAGGAGATAAAAAGAACATAGGAGTTAAAAAGGAACACTTTATAGTTCTACCCACCCAATACTTGAATTAACATATTTTAAAGGTAAACCCCTCAAAACTACAAGGTTATTAAGAACAGTCCTTTAGTGTCAGTCAGAAGTAAACTCTTCTGTTTATAGAAAGTACAGCTAGCAGTATGAAAAGGGACCCAAAGATCAAGTAGCACTCATTTTGCCCACCTCTGCTTCTGTCATCCCACCACAGTCACTTTGGATAAGGGAATCCAATTCATATTGGGTGATATAGTTTGGATATTTGATTCCTCCAAATCTCATGTTGAAATGTGATTCCCAATATTGGAAGGTGGGACTCAGTGAAAGGTGTCTGGGTCATGGGAGTGGATCTGTCACGAATGGCTTGGTGCGCCCCTCTGTGGTAATGAGTGACGTCTCCCTCTATCAGTTTACATGAGAGCTGGATGTTTAAAAGAGCATGGCACTCCTCCCCCAACCCCACTCTTGCTCCCTCTCATGCCATGTGACACGTCAGCTCTCCTTTACCCTGGCTTCCTGAGGTCCTCACCAGAAGCAGATGCTAGATGCTAACACAGCCTGCAGAACTGTGAGCCAAATAAACTTCTTTTCCTTAAAAATTACCCAGCCTCAAGTATTCCTCTAGAGCAACACAGAAGAGACTAATATACTGGGTTGTGAGTAAAAGGGGTGTAATATACTGGGTTATGAGTAAAAAGCTTATAAGCTAAAATCATCAACTACTTCCTCTCAGTTACCTCATACCATATGCAAATGATCAATAACTTCTCAAATCTATCCCTCTTCTCTCCATTGCCACTGACACACCCAGTTCAAGCTCTCATAGACTCATACCTGTACCATTGCAATGGCCTCCCAAGTATTGTCTGCTTTGTTTTACCTCCCTCTTCTCTGTATCCTGCCTTCCATCCCCCAACAGTCACCAGCGTAGTCTTTATGAAACAAACATCAAATCCGTTTCTTGCTTAAAAACCTTTATTTGATCCTGTGTGACAAGAAGACTAGCTACAATTCTTTAGCGTGTCCAACAAAATCTGTCCAAATCTGGAC
The DNA here is from genome assembly GCF_000001405.40 of Homo sapiens. Taxonomy (NCBI): domain Eukaryota; kingdom Metazoa; phylum Chordata; class Mammalia; order Primates; family Hominidae; genus Homo; species Homo sapiens. Next base: position 184,965,586 of record NC_000003.12, on the reverse strand, counting down.
CTAGCCGTTGTTTCTCGCCTGACCTGCCTATATATTACACAGCGGAGCCCTAGTGAAGCTGCTGGCACTCTCTTGGTCATCCATACTTCTTTGCTTTGTATTCCTAAACCTTTATGAATGATGGCCTCATGCCCCACAGAGATCTCCTGTTTCTCCTCTCATCAATGTCAGAAATACTCTTATTTATTCCTTAATACTAGGTTCATGGTATTGTCAACAAATAAATTGCAAGAAAAAGAAAGAGGTATAGGAGTAATTTACAGATTAAAAGAGATTAAGAGCCTACACAAAGCCTCTGTGGATGATTCTTCCTGGCTTATTTTAGAATCATATGGCTAGAAAGAAACGAGAAGCCAATATGGAACATTTTAAAATATAAATATGATATCCCTAATCTATTCCTAGCCACACGACAATATTAAAAAACACAACAAAACAAAACTGCTACGTCACTTCACCCATCAGGATGGCTACTATCAAGAAAACAGAAAGTGTTAGCAAGAATGCGGAGAAACTGGAACCCCTGAGTGTTGCTGGTAGCGATGTAAAGTGGCATAGCTGCTATGGAAAACAGTAGGGCAATTCCTCAAAAAATTAAAAATAGAATTGCTATTTGATCCAACAATTCTACTTCTGGGTATATATCCCAAAGAAATAAAAGCAAGAACTCAAAGGCGTTTGTACACCCATGTTCACAGCAGCACTGTTCACAACAACCAAAAGGTAAAGCAGCCCAGGTGTCCCCTGAAGGAGGAATGGGCAAACAGATTGTGGTATATATATAAAAATACTTGTCAAAAACTCATCAAATAGTACATTTATGACTTTTTTTTACTGTTGTACATTTTACCTTTTAAAAAAGTACCACAAAGAAATATTAAACTCTAGTTAATGCTATGCATGATAAAAATATTCAGGGGTAAAATATATTACGGTCTGCAACTGGCTTTGAAACATAATTAAGATGGATTCATGAATGAATAGAGGAATAGACAGAAATATGATGAAAGAAACATAGTAAAGTGTTACCTCTAACATTATTAGGAAGGCACCATGAATATCTCCTTTCTTTTCCAATAGATAAGCGGTGACTTCATGAAGTTGATACTTCTGAGTAATCTAGGAAATAAAAAAGATAAATATTTTTATTCACCAATCTTATTTGTGGAGTGGGAAGATCCCATTGAGGATGAAAAAACTCATATGATAAATAATGAATTTATACCTTATTAGTATGATATTTTACAGTACAATATGCAAATAGCTGACTTTCTAGTCATATAGTAGATCATTTGGGAGTTCTAACTGGACCAAATTCACTCATTTTTTTCATTTATTTATTTTAAAAAAATGTTACACACCTGAATTAGGTATACACACTGGAGAAAAGCTAACTTATATACATACATACTAACAATACAAACTAGAACTTGATCAAGTATAATTATTAAAAAATTGAAAATGACAATGAAAACATTACAAATCAACTTGTGAAATATTAATAAAAATTAATAAACAAAATCTCTAATTAGTAAAAAAAGAAGTATCAGTTAGGCTAGGGAGAAAAAAGGAAAAAAGTACAGAAATGACAGCAAAGAGAGATTTCACAAACTCCACTGTAGCTTTTTTGAAAAGATTAACAGGTTAGAAAAAATGTTTATTAGAACAAATAACACATTAACAGTTTAACAGAACAAAGGAAAAAAACATGATAGTCTCAATAAATGCAGGAAAAGCATTTGGCAAAATACAGCACCGAATCATGACAAAAACAAAACACTCTTATTCAAACGGGGGATAACATTTTCTTAATAAAAATTATCTACCAAAATCCTATGATAAATACCATATTTAATGTAAAATATTAGATATGTTCCCTTTTAAATCAGGAACAAGGTTAGAAGTCATACTGTCACTGCTTCTATTCGCCAATACCTTAGAGATCCTAGACATCCAATAAGAAAGAAAAAACTACAAGATTGGAATTAAAATAAAACTGCCATTCTTCTTATTGTCATAAAAATCTAGAAATTGAATTTTAAGAGAATTCTTCCTGGTTGCTCCATAGAAAACAATGTACAAAAATCAGTAACATTTTAAAACAGCAGCAGCAATCAATATAGAAAGGTCATCTTGAGAAATCTCCTTGTACAATATTAACAAAAACTATAAAGTAACTATGAACAAATTTAATATGTGCAGGAACCTTATATAAAAGCTATAAAACCTCACCAAAGAGCAGAAAAGGCAGTTTAAAAGGCATACATTTTCCTGAAAGAGAAGAATCAACACTACAGAGATGTCAGTTCTCTCTGAATTAGTCTATAAATTCAATGTATTCATAAATCAAAATTCCAGAGAGTTTGTATCTTTTAAAGAAACTTGAGAATGTGATCTCCAAATTCATGTGGAATACTAGGAGATGTAGGACACTAAAAATAGCCAAAGCATTTTAAAGAAAAAGAATAAGGAGGGAGGATTCTTTTTCCAAATAATAAATCTATTGAAAAGCTGTATTAATTAAAATATGTGGTATGGATATAGGGAAAGACAACCAAAGGAAGAGAATGGAACCCACAGAGTCATGTATATTTGGGAGTTTAGTATATGGCAGTATGGCATTAAAAATCAGTGAGGAATGGATAATAAAATGCCACATGGACCACTGGCCATCATGTGGAAGATAAAAATCCTTCTTTTGATCAGCTTGCAAAAATTAACTCCAGATGGATTAAAAGCCTAAATGTAAGAAGCTGAACTATAAAATTTATATATAAAAGAGAATGTCCTTTATTCCATTAAAATAGGAAAGGAAATAAGACACACACACACACACACACACACACACACACACACACACACTTAAGCCTTAAAGAATGGTAAACTAAAACAGAAGTCACTAAAAGCCAAGTTAAATGATGTGCCATAATAAATTGGAAGAAAGTACCTCCAACACATAAAATTAGCAAAGGATTAGAGACTGGGAAATCAGAAAAAACTTCTTGAACTCAATAAGAGAAACACAGAAACTCAACAGAAAAAATGGGCAAATGACATGAATAAATAATTCAGAGAAAAGAAAATTCCAATGGTCATCAAACATATGGAAAGATGTTTAATGTCATGAGTAATCACTAATACCCACCATGGCAAAAATTAAGAAGACTAAAAATACTAGGTATCAGCAAGGATGTGAAAAACAGCAAATATCAGACACTGCTGATGAGAATAGAAACAATCTGGAAATCAACTTGGCAATCAGTAGAACTACACTACTTGGTTGTCTAAACAATTCCATTTGCAAGTATATTATTCAGAGAACCCTCATATGGGCACACAAGAAGATATATACAAGGATGTACACTGTAACACTGTTTATAACAGCAAAAGATTGGAAACAATCTAAATGTTTACCAACAGGGAAATAAACAAATTGGCACATTCATTTGATAGATTACCGTAAGATCATTAAATGAATGAAGTAGATCTACATGTATAAAAATGTTTTAAAAATTTAGTAAAAGTGGCCGGGTGCACTGGCTCACGCCAGTAATCCCAGAACTTTGGGAGGCCAAGGTGGGCGGATCTCTTGAGGTCAGCAGTTCAAGACCAGCCTGGGCAACATGGTGAAACCCCATCTCTACTAAAAATACAAAAATTAGCACGGTGGTGTGCACCTATAATTTCAGCAACTTGGGAGGCTGAGGTAGGAGAATCACTTGAATCTGGGAGGTGGAGGTTGCAGTGAGCCGAGATCATGCCACTGCACTCCAGCCTGGGTGACAGAGAGAGACTCTGTCTAAAAAAAGAACAAAAACAAAAAAAACAAAAACAAAAACAAAAAAATTGGTAAAAAAAAAAAAAAGGCAACTTATAATAAAATATCTACTGTATGATATTAATAGAAATTTTAAAAACATATAAAACTAGCATGTATTTTATAGATACATACACATATAGAAAAAATTCAAAACATAGATCAGAAGGATAAACACCAGTTTAGGATGGTGGAGACCTCAGGGGAGAGGGGGGAATAAGACAGATAATGGGTGCTCTACTTTTAATATAAACAAACAAAAACAATAAGATAACAAAGAACTAAGGCCAGTACGGCAAAATGTTAACTATAAAATTTGGTTGGTGGGTATATACATAATTGATATTCAGCACATTTCTGTAAATTTGAAATATTTCATAATTAAACATTTTTAAAAGTATGTGTGGGCAATTCAGGAGGCAGATGCAGAAAATACAGGCAACTGTTTCAGGAGTGTTGACAGCAAAGGAAAAGCGATACATGACAGCTGAAAAATAAATGTTAAATGGGAAACATACTAATCTGTTATAGAAAATAACGTGTGTGTCTGTACATTTTCATTTAGAAACAAGAGAAAATAAGGGAAGAGAATGAAGGCAATGAATGTGCTAAACTTACTCAACTGCTATTTAGTCTATTAAGTTTTATGGCACAACAAGACTAATCATCTGTGTCTGCAAACAAGAGTTTGGTCTCCTTTCAATATTTTTACTATGTTCCTTTTTCTATGCTTATTGAGTTGGTTAGAATTCCTATCATGCTTGATCGATAACAATTTCTATAAAGCTGACTTTACTAAAATAAATGGAAAGGCAGTTTATCCCAGCAATTAAGAGCATGCACTACAGAGTCAGACTATGTGGGTTCAATCTCAGGGGCTACCACTTAGTAGGTATAAACTTACACAGGTAACTTCATATGTGAGTCTCCCTTTTAATTATGACTTTGACTTACGAATTACCATTATTTCACAGTGAACTGTGATCCTATTCTGATCCAATCTTTTAAACCTTTGACATGTTTGACAGGCTTCTCAAAATCAAAGTTCAGATTCTAAAATTGAGTCTTTTTAACCTCAACCTAATATTGGGATGTTGCAGAGGGTCCCTGAAGCATACAAAAAAGAGAGAATACACCAGCTTATCTGATGTGCTAAATTATATGGGAAACACTGTGACATAAGAAATCATGTTTCTTTGAGTTGAATTTGTATATAGTGTTATTAATATGTGTTCCAAAATTCTATGAGATTCCTAGAAATCTGGTTATGTCTTGGTATATGTTATCAGTCATATTTTGGGTTATTATGTTAAACTGTTGTAGGCCACAGAAAATAACGAAATATCCTTGACAACTATGCCTTTAATCACAGCCATTTTAAGTCATTTTGTCCACAGTTACTTTATTTTGACGCTTTTTTTCTGAAATCTCCTTGCAAATTCTAAAGTGTTGCATCTTCAAGGAGGTCATGAAAAAGAGTGCAACACTATTCACAATAGCAAAGACTTGGAACCAACCCAAATGTCCAACAATGATAGACTGGATTAAGAAAATGTGGCACATATACACCATGGAATACAATGCAGCCATAATAAAGGATGAGTTCATGTCCTTTGTAGGGACATGGATGAAGCTGGAAACCATCATTCTCAGCAAACTATCGCAAGGACAAAAAACCAAACACCGCATGTTCTTATTCATAGGTGGGAATCGAATAATGAGAACACTTGGACACAGGAAGGGGAACATCACACACCGGGGTCTGTTGTGGGGTGGGGGGAGTGGGGAGGGATAGCATTAGGAGATATACCTAATGTAAATGACGAGTTGATGGGTGCAGCACACCAACATGGCACATGTATACATATGTAACAAACCTGCACGTTGTGCACATGTATACTAGAACTTAAAGTATAATAAAAAAATTAAAAAAATAAAAATAAAAGAATAGAAGGGAAAAAAAAGAAAAAAGAAAAAGAGTGCAACAAATACTCTTGAATACAGGTTTCTGACAACTGTGACACCATATTATCACTGGATTGGGTAAAAATTTCCCAAACCCCAATGGAAAAAGCAAACAAACCTGGCCTCATAAAATTGCTAACCTGACATTAAGAAAAATAAGAATAATTACACTGGACTGAAAAAATTTTTTATGACTTGTTTGAAACACTGCTGATACTTTTTATACGTTGCTTTCCAGAGTTAAGAAAACATTTTTTTTCTGGGGTGGTGGTGGGGGGCGGTGGCTATTCATAGCATTACAATAATTTGGTAAAGTATATTTTTGTGGCAAAATTAAAACATTTACTTTTTTCTATACCTGATCCTTCCCAAATTCAGAAACTGAATATTCATATTCTATGGCAATATAGTTATTTTCATGAGTTCAGTAAGAATTTGCTCTGTTTGTAGCAGAAAAATTGGAAACATGGGTTATATTACCAAGGCTTTGACTGGGATGTCATTATTTTTAGATATAACCAGACTCCTTTAAGAAACTAAGCTTAACTTTAAGGAGGCAATAAAGGCCTTGGAAAAACTGGCCTGGTACCTTGTCAAGATGGTGTGCTTACAGGGTTCCTAGCCTGGCAGTAAGTAAAGAATGTCACTTCCTGAGAAGCCCAGGAACTTCAGAATATTTGGGGGCCTCAAGAAAAGAGTATACCCAGGTACTACAGGTAAAATCTGATGATGGCAAGCCCATGGCTTCGTTTCCCAGCCTGAAGACGAGAGACTTTTAAAGGTCTACTCTGAGATTTCTTGTAAGTTTCAGCAGAGGAGATTTTTAAAAAGCCTAAATGGCCAATCACTACTCTTGCAGTACTTATATAAATAATCAGGCCAAATATGACACTAAACTTATTTTACAAGTCAATTGAACTTACTCTGATTATTTTTGGTAAAAATGGGGGAACTGGAGAAAAAACTATTTCAGAAAAAAAAACTACAGTAAACATTATGAGATTCTAACTCACGGTTTTTGAGATTTTATTATTTACTTGCAATTTGACTAAATCTGAATTTTTAGTTTCCTCCAATATCTGACCAACTCTCCAAACTAGTATTTGAACATTTTCTCCCATTTTTCTGACTTGGAATCACTGAAATTAAAACTGCTTTTCCTGAAGCTCTGCACACTAAAGCTAGACAACTTGATATTAACTTTGGAGGAATCACCACAACTTATTTATGGACAGAAAGTTCACTGGAACACCTCATTCAAACGGCAATCCAGGAAAATCTGTCCGATTGCCATTTCCTACTTCCACCCCAACTATAGATACTTTAAACACAAATCTTGAAATATTCTCAGCTGGCTCCCCTCCAGACTGAGAGACAAGCTTAGAGACTGCTCCAAACATTAACTTTTGTTTCCTTTTTGTTTCTATAGAAATGTCTTTTATTAAATGCCTATGTGCCTATACCTTTGTCGGAAACACACTTACAACACCACCACCTCCTAAAATGAGATGCAACTATTTAACTAAACTGACCCATTTTCACAACCAAGAGATTGTTTCAATAAGGGACAATGTACCCGAATTTGTTCCTTTCCACTTGTTCCAATCTATGATTTTCTCCCCTCTGCCAATCTATTACGTCAAAACCACTAACCCAAATCTCTCCACAGTTACCCACCCGGCGTTTAATATGTGAAACTTTCTAAAAGTAAAGTTTCAAAGGGGGCACTGAACAAAACCAAAATATGTTTCCCCCAAATATTGAGGATTGTTAAGTTAAAGACAATGAAAATGCAGGGGAATCCTCTGCTCCCGCCTCTATCTGCCTGATAGCAGGACATACATTCTTTACTGGAGATAGCACTTGCTTATTGGCCCGGAGAAGGCACCAGCAGGCACGGGAGGAATCTGGGAACACAGCTGACTATCTTCCCATACATGTTTCCACCTTTTACTAGGCTGGAACTGCTCTCTCCTGTCTTGTCACTATGTAAGATTTAAGGCTCTTTGTTAAAATACAGTTTAAGCAAAGCCCCTAAGCCACTGCCTTGAGAAAGATACTTTTGAACTGAGGTCTCTCCTACATGATGGGTATAGCACATATCAATAAACCTCTGTTTTTCTTTTGTTAATCTGACTTTTGTTTTCAGGAGTATGTCTCAACTAAGAATTTATAAGGTTTAAAAAAGAAATTATATATTTTTTCCCCTTGTCTTTGATCATCTGTCAAATGGAGAATGTTAAGAAGAGTTTACTCTTGTCTCTTTTACATTGTTCGTCTCACCTGAATAGTTTCTTCCAGACGGTAGCACTCAAGGACTTGCAGAGTCTCTATAACTTGGGTTGGGTTGAACTGACACAACAGCTCAATGAACTGCTCTGTGATACAAGGAGATATTTGCAGTAATTCTTGATTTACATGAATACCTTCCCTAAAAACATAAAAGATAAAGAGAACACTCAATTGTAGCATTATTTAATCACATCTATAATTAAAAGCTACCAGTAAAAAGCACATTACATTAAAACTAGGACTACCTGCTGGTCAGATAAAAATATGAATTGAAAGTCTCAATGTTATTTAGGTTACTTGAGCAAACTGTACATTACATAAGAGGCATTGTAAGTTGTAATATTACTCAGGTTATGTTGAATAATTAAGGAAGTAACATTCAGTTGAAACTCTTCTAAATCATACCAAAAGTTGTGTTTTATTCTAAAAGAAACAAGAGCCACCCAATTTAGTCCTAATACTTTGATCTCTAAGTAACTATATATAACCATCTTCCAATCTCAGTAAGTGTTTCTTCTTTATATTCTTCATAGCACCAATCATATCACATTGCAATGACTTCTTTAATTATCTATCTTCTCTAAAACACTATAAATTCTGTGAGGGGTAGGTACCAGGTATCTTCTCAGTAGTAAATTTTTGAAGCTAACCAATGTCTTGCACATAGTGAGGACTAATTTTTTTGGTTATTGTTATAATAAATAAAGGAGTAATACTAAAATACACAATATTTATGGGTTCATTTGCCTAGTACACCAGCTACTCACATAGCCCGCTATTCACAATGCCTACACAAAAGTTTTGGAAGTAGAGTATTAACTGCATCATACTGGCCACTCAAGCACTCAACTACTGATGGCCGAAAGTAGCTGCTTAGGAAATCAACTGTTCATTGGAGACCTAAGAATCATCCTCTCTCTAGCTTCAAAAGAACTTAGTTCCTTCTGAGAGTCCTATCTTCTCTTCGGAATTCCTCAACTAAAGCTCATTATTATATAAATAACTGGAATACGGTTAATAAGATACAACAATGATTGCTTGGAAAACTAGCCCAGTTCTGAAGAAAGGTTAAAGCACATGGTCTAAAGAAGTAGTTTCCAGGTTTTCTCATATTGTGGCACACAGAAAATAAGATATTTGTTTGGTCCACTGTAGTGAAGTAAGATTGCTCACAAGGGACTCTGGTTGTCCCAAGAGCTGAGACAGTCTGCAGGCACACTTGTAACCATGTACAGTACATCAATAGCCACAGGGTGGGACTCTCTGGACTCCAGAAAGAACAATTTGGATTTTGTGATTATTCATAAGTGATGGTAAGTAGTGCTTCTACTTTTACTAATAAGAAGCTTGGGTCAAAGAAAAAGAGACTGTATTTAGACACAGGGCATTTTCCCTAATTTAAGAGCTTTGTGATACCAGAGGTGGGTAAACGATAAACTAAAAAAATTCTGCTGCTTGGAACTTTCAATACTTGCTGATGGGCTAATTCAGTATCTCCTCAAATTGGCTATAAATTCCAAAGAAAGAGTGTTCTTTTTTTTTTTTGTATCTTATAACTGCCTTTAATACAGAAGTTTGTTCAGTGACTGGCCATTCCCTATGTATACCACCACCTTAGTTCTCACCCACAACTTGAAAATCATGTTTAAGTATGTGTGTCCCCAACCACATTGTAAAGTCCATGGTATTGCATTCATAATTGTTTACCCATCATTAAGACATAATAAATAGTGCTCAGTAATCTGATGTAAATATATATTGAACTGAACTGAAATGAATGTAGACAGTACATTGGACTGCCTTCAAACAGAGGAAAACGTGTAGGGTCCAGTCCTACGGGGCTTAGCAGGTGTTCTCCCTGTGTGCAGAGACAAGAGATTGTAATAAATAAAGACACAAGACAAAGAGATAAAGAGACAATAGCTGGGCCCGGGGAAC